>NC_000003.12:177455574-178705574 GCF_000001405.40 Homo sapiens
TTAAAAAAACTTAACATTCTAGCTGAATTTTTTTCTGCCTAATGTTCTAGACTTCTTTTTCTCTGCATAAAAAAGATCAGCAAGTGTTGGAGAAGTTAAGATATACTACCAACAACCAATTCTCTCATCTTGATGTAATCAGAGAATAGGAAGAGAATTAAAAGGGAATAACTATCTCACTATGTAATCCAGTGTTATTTAATACTAAATGAGAATTTCTCTAATTCATATCTGTGAACCAGAGTACGGGGGCCATAATGTGGCAGACACCAACTTAAGTAAGTGATCAATTGTGGATCCACCATCATTTATCAGATATAATTTCAGTCTATTTTTGTAAAACTCAAAATGGAAATATTTCTGATGTCTGTTTCTCAGCCCCAATTTTTCCACCAATCCTCCATTCTAATGTAAAACTGGCCTACATTTTCTCTTTGTTCTGTTTCTATGTTTAGAAAAGATTAGAAGATTCCTACAGATAAGCCTCCTCCCAGTTCAGGTGAATTTACCTCTTTCATTTAAGCAGAAATAAAAAATTCAGTTCTTTCTTTCCTTGATTCATTCACTGAAGAATATATCTTTTGATGTCTACAAAGCTGGCTTAGTACAGGATAAGTGCGGAGAGACAGGGATAGAATCTGAGAGGGTGTATTTGTGAATGCTACTGTCTGGCTATAACAACCCCAGGCATGCTTGGGGAAAAAGTTAGGGAATTAGAAAT
The DNA here is from genome assembly GCF_000001405.40 of Homo sapiens. NCBI lineage: Eukaryota > Metazoa > Chordata > Mammalia > Primates > Hominidae > Homo > Homo sapiens. The sequence continues at coordinate 177,456,296 of NC_000003.12, forward strand.
TTTGGACAAGAAAGGAAACTAAAGTGTAAAGATAAAAAGAAGAAAGTAAAAGAATTAGTAAAGGAATGAAGGAAGATTTTCTTTCATTGTATAGGCCCTATATATAGAATATCATTTTTTTTCCTGGATTCCAGTTTATTGGAAAATAGATGTATCACAGGTATGATAGCCTCTTATATACATGTTTGAAAGAGTGATTTGAAAAAACTAATTAGTATGTAAATGTTCATTGTAGTGAAGGAAATGAGTCTTCAAGTTCTCAGATCATACAAAGGAATCTCATAGATTTGGGTGCTCAAAGCTCTGTTCTGGATATGTCTCCAAAAGTTCTTTACTTTTAGCTATGTACTATTTTTTTTGGAGAAAAATTGCCACTGAGAACTTAACCGTGGAATCCCCAGATAGGATTAGGCCTTGTTTTGGCACTACCTATGAGGTATGCTACTTGTTTCTGGCACCTGGATCTTCTTTGAAATTGTCAATTGGGTCCAACTGGTTCAGAAACTTCTTCCAAGTAAGGGGGGTTGAAAGGGATCCTTAAATTTGTGATTTTACAAAACTTCACCTGCTAGCCAAGAGGGAACAACATGAATTGAATTTACCCTCTTGCTTGAAACAACTGAAAAGATGGATCCAATATATGAAAACAAAATAAAACAAGACAAAACAGTTTTCAAGACTTTAGACTTCAGTGTTCCCTGAGAGACGGGCAACAAATGAGATGACTGAGTTTTGTGATTATCCCAACTTACTCCCTGGAGAGAGTTTCCGGGCCATGAGAGGGAGAGGGAACCTAGGGAGAGCCTGGCAATTATCTTGAGTTGAGGAGGCCAAGGCAATGTAGGATACAGTAAATTCCTCTTCAAAGTTTAGCCTGTTAACTTCCCTTAAAATTCGAGAGGGAGAAAATTGTTAAGTACAATGAGTTCTGAGTCCCTCTCCAAAGAACCAATGTGGCAGTATGTTCAGCTTCCCTGTACTTCATTTTCCATTTTAAAGTTTGACTTCCTCATTCTTTACATCTCCTTGCCCCTAGTTTCAGTAAACAACTCCCTTTTAGCCTCTATCACCTGCTCTGTCCTCAGTCATCCTTAGTCACCTGCTCTGTCCTCAGTCATCCTTAGTCACCTGCTCTGTAACCATCCCTCCCACCAAAACTACTCACCCTGCCACTCTGGCTTGTACCCTCACTCTCTTTAAAATAGCCAGTCAGAATTAGCTTAGACTGCGTGGTCCAATACTAGCCAATAGGGGAAAGACACAGCAGTAGGGACTAGCTGCATTAGGAATAAGGCCTTCCTTCCCCTCCCTTGTCTGGTGTGCTCTTGCCATTGCTCCATCCATGAGACGTACCTTTCTATAGAAGCAAATTGCCTTGCTGAGAAAACTTTTGCCCGAGTGCTATTTTCATTTGGCAGCACAGAGCATTTACTTCCAAGAGCAGCTAGAATTTGCAGGTAGGTTGCTGTAAAGGAGAGAGTTGTACAGAGAGAGGACTCTGGAGACCTGCCAAGGGTCCTCCTTGAGTCTTCAGCTGAATACCAATCAGTGCATGCTTGTGAGAAAAATATCTTCAGGCAGGAGAAAGAACTAGCTGAAAGAAGCAGAAGAAATCATCTTCAAAGTTCTCACAGGGCTGATATTATTCCTGTTCCTGCTGGCCAGACTAGAAAACATCATAATTCATGGGGCTTTTGATAGAGTATTTGGAGGGATTTGCCTCAGTGGTGGTGTAAAATTAGTGCAGATTAAATGCATTAGAAATTGAAATATGTGGGTGCTATGGTTTGGATATAGTTTGTTTGTCCCCAATGAAACTCATGTTGAAATTTGATCCCCATGTGGTGGTGCTGGGAAGTGGCGCCCAGTGGGAAGTGTTTGGGTTATGGGGGTGGATTCCTTGGGAGTGGCTTGGTTCCATTCTCATGGTTGTAAGTGAGCTCTGGTTCTGACAAGACTGACTGGATTAGTTCTCATGGAAATGGATTAGTTTCCCATGAGAGTGTGTTGTTATAAAGCCAGGACACCCCTCTGGTTTTGTCTCTTTCCACATGTTGGCATCTCTTTTGACCTTCTCTGCCATGTTATTATGCAGCATAAAAGACCTTGCCAGAAGCCAGGGCCATGCCCTTCAACTCCTCAGCCTATAGAACTATGAGCTAAATAAACCTCTTTTATTTATAAACTACTCAATCTCAGGTATTCTGTTATAGCCACGCAAAACTAAGACTGTGAGTAAATGTAAAGACTTGTTTTTTTCTTATTTTGGTGTCTTTAACAGATGATCGAAATGGTTACAGCGAAATTAATAATCATGTATTGTGGGATTTATAATGTGTATTTGGTCAAATGCATGACAAAATAGGACAAAGGTTGGGAAGGAAGAAATGGAGGTAGATGTACCAGTGTCAGGTCCTTCTACTTTATGTGAAGTGAGTAGTATCACTTGAAGTCAGAATTAATTCACTGGTACAGTATGAAAGTTCAAAAAGTGTACAAGTAACAGAGAAGCTGTCACAGGCATCAAATGATATCTGAGCTGGTCCGAATGTGTAAAGTGGATTTTAAAATGTCACTACGAAGGAAGAAGGGCGTTCAGGGTGAGGGAATAACGTGAAAGAAAATTAGTGAAAGAAGGAGAATAAAGAGCCTATGTTGTTTATTGTGAACACTCCTGCTTAGTTGGAATATGGGAATGTTCCAATGCATAGTGGGCAGTAAGGCTAACAAAGTCAGTAGCAACCAAACCATGGAAGGCCTTCTCTAAGTTTGTACTTTCTTTTGTAAGTAAGCAGTGGATGTGGACAGCTTGCGAGTGGTGGGAAGGCATGGTCAGAACTACACTTTAGCATTTGTGCTAATCTGTCAGTAATGTATAAAATGAATTAGAGTAGACAAAGACTTAAAGTAGGAAAGTTAGGAGGTTGTGGTAAAAGTCCAAATGAGTATAATAGGCTTTAACTAGGACAGTGGGAGAGAAGATGGAAAGAAAGGGAAAGATATCAATGAAGAGCAGAGAGAATTGATGGGTTTGAGTAAAGGGCATGAGAGAAGAGAGAGGTAAAGATGTCTGCCTGTCTGATCTAGACTGGGAAGATAATGGTACCTTGAACAGAAACAGGGAAACACAGGTGAACACACAGATTTTGGCTTTGGACTTCTCGGCTTGGGGTATCCTGGATTCGTCTGGGTGGAGAGGATTGGCAGACAGCTGAGAATGCAGACTAGGAGCTGGGAAAAGAGATTGTGATGAGAGAGGGATTTAGGAATCACATGTACTATGTGAGTGTTGAAGCTGTGGAATTAGATGAGATCATCCAGGGAGACAGTAGACAGCAGTGAGAGAGGAGAGGGCAGGGAAAGGAACATTGGGTCAAGCCTTCATTTAGCAGGCAGGAAGAAAAATACCAGAAGAGGAGGAGTATATGGAGGGTTTTTTTGTTTGTTTTTGTATGACACCTTGGTGAGATTTTTCTCTGTCTCTCTGGGAGGAAATGGAAAAAATCCTTGGAGAAATAATTTCTTTAAATGGTTGTGGACGCCCCCCTCCCTTATGCATGTATATATTTGCCAAAAAGAGCATAATTTTACAGGATGCAAATGCCAAAAGTGGAAAGAAGACTTGTGTAGAAGAAAAAACAGCACTGAATAACTTTTTATAAATGCAAGAAACAAGAAGAATAAAGCAGACCACTACAACGGTAAAAGAAACTATTATTGTTATTTTAATGAAAAGAACCAATTGGCAAGTCTAATGACATTTTTGAATGCAGGAACCACTTTTTCCAGTGATTTGCTTCCCTGTGCGAGGTCTCCGTTCACCCTTGCACCACTTCAGCAAAATGCTGAACACATAGTAGATGCCCCATTGTGTTTTAATTAGATGCCACATACTCAGGCAGGATTCGCCAGTCGTGGTCCTTGAATGTAGAGATTTCAGAGGTGGGAGGAGGGGAAGGAAGAAGGTAGTTTTGTTTACGTTTGCAGCAGAGGCGACTGAGAAGAGGGAAACACTTTTATTTCCCTTGTGGACTGGCCGTTCACTTTGCTGTAGCAGCTGCTAATGGAAAATAATAAAACCCATTTTCATCAGGCAGTATCTGGAACACTTACAGGTCAATTGAGTGCTCAAAACAGATTGTTACAGAACACATTATTAGTTCGTCATCAGCATCCACTCTGGTCAGGGGATTTTTACCATTGGAAATTGAATTTATAGGTCATGGTTTGTTATGATTCCTGAAAATCATCAAATTTTTGTAATCTAGTGGAAGCATATAGCCAATTATTATAAATGAACATACATCTTTTCATTTGTTAAAATCACAAAGGTAGCAAATTAAGCTGTGGAAGAATTCTACAGCAGCTGCAAAAATATGACTTCACTAATTCTAAACCTATGTTATGCTTATTAATTGTTCCAAACTGAAAAATTTGGTCCCAGTTTCATAATAAATCCCATCCTATAATACAATGCCAGGAGGTAATGCCAACACTATTTTTGTAAAGCACCGAAACCCAAGCATGAGATGAAATTCAAGGGTGTTTTTCTGTTTGCTATCATTCTCGTATATGAATGTGCTGTTTTAAAATGATCCTTTCCAAATGCAGAGTTAAATGAAGTTAGCTGGACTTTTTTTTTCGAGACGGAGGTTTGCTCTTGTTGCCCAGGCTGGAGTGCAATGATGCAATCTCAGCTCACTGCAACCTCCGACTCCCAGGTTCAAGCAATTCTCCTGCCTCAGCCCAGCTATTTGGGATTACAGGTGCCCTCCACCATGTCCAGCTAATTTTTTGTATTTTTAGTAGAGATGGGGTTTCACCATGTTGGCCAGGCTGGTCTCAAACTCTTGACCTCAGGTGATCCACCTTCCTCAGCCTCCCAAAGTGCTGGGATTACAGGCGTGAGACACCGTGCCCAGCTAGCTGGACTTTTAAAACACAATACCCATGGTGGGGATTGAATGGTCTGGTGGAAAGAACCCTGCCCTGGGCGTAGGGTGCTAATTTTGTCATTTGCTAACTGTGGGACCTCGGGCAAGCTATAGCACTGCCTGGGCCTCAGTTTCCTCCTCTGCAACATGAGGAATTTGGATTAGATGTTTTCTTAGAACACTTTCCTGTATGTTTACAAAATATTCGTTCTTGTTTCTTTCGAATTACATAAATATATGTTTATGGTGGAGAACTCCCAAAATAAAAATAAGCAAAAAAGAGAAAGTGAAACTCATGTATAATGCTACAACCCAGAGATACACACTATTAACATTATGATGTCTGTTCTTCCAGTTCACTCGTGTGTATACCTATGTACATTTAAGTATACACATACCATTCTATATATACGTCATTTTGCAACCTAATTCTTTTCACTTAAAATTGGACCATTGGACCACTCTATATATACGTCATTTTGCAACCTAATTTTTTTCACTTAAAAATAGTGCAAGTATTATTCTCTAATGTGATTTTTTTTTCAAATAGAATCCCATTGTATGAATAGGTCATTAATTTCTCTAATTCCCTATGAATGGATTACTTGGTATTTTTCAGTCTCTTGCAATTTTTCACAATGTTTGAATAAAAACTAATATGGCTAAATCTCTAAACATTTCCAAATTCTTGTCTTAGGGCAAATTGCCAGAAACAGAATTGCTGGGTTACAAGGTATGCGTGCTTCTTAAAGATTTAATGTCTATTGCTAAATTCACATAAAATTTAAATTATGTGTTACGCTTTTTTGTCTCTGGAGATAATTAATCACATTCAGAGTCAGGAATCCTGAGTGTGATACTCCCTTATAATAAGATATGGCTGGGTGCATTTATACACATACACTTTTATCCGTGAACTGTTTTGATATTGTGCTGTTTTGTGATAACTCAGAAGAATTGCAGTACACATTTATGTGGCTATCTTTCTGCTTTCCTCCCAGGGAATGTTGTTAGAGAAAGAAAACAAAATCGCTACATGTTTCTGAGTTTGCAGAGAATTTTAAACCGATTCTCTAAGACTCTTTCTAGCTTTTATAATTTAAGTTGGTGTTTGTTTTATCTCAACACACTTATTGAGTTTCTACTACATGATTAGTAATGAGGCCTGTGGCATGAAGAAGCATGATGTTTGGGAAGAAGAGTTATGCAGCAATGGTAAGCGTACATTGTCAGAGGCAAGCTGTATAGCGTCGGCAATCATGCTCCAAGGATGTCTGGCTGACCTATAGAATAAGGAGATGGGGAATTCAATGAGGTCTGGGAAGATACTGTGTTAGCTGGAACTCTTTGATTAGCACCTAGAGAAAACCACCTCAAATTAACTTAGCAAATAGGGTTACATTTATTGACTCATATAATCAGGCCCTAGAGAGGCCGGGGTTGGAGCAGGGCATGACTGAAGCAGGAGCTTTCTTCCTTTTTTTTTTTGTCTTCTGTTTTCTTCATTCTCTCGGAATTTTCTAAGCTGGTGGCTGGAATTAAGGCTCTTAGCTGCTTATGCTTACATCTTTAAAGCCTTAAGTCCAGAGGGAAAAAAGTCATTCTCTCAGCTCCAGTTTGAAAAAGCCTAAGACATCACTCTGGTTGGCCTGTCTGGGGTGATGGACCCACCACATGGAACAGGTATTGGGCCAAGGAGGAAAACCATGATAGGCCAGCTTGTGGCAATCCCAGGACGGGGGTATTTCCTTAAGAAGAGGGAAAAGGGTGCTGGACAGAAAAAAAACATGAATGCTTAAGATGGGCAAGATTTCTATAGGCAAAAAAGGAATTTAGCAGAGGGTGTACCAGTAGCAGGTGATTAAAATTATGCATTGAATACATAAATGAATGAAAGGGCATGAGTAGCAGTGGAAAAGAAAGTATCCTCCTTGATTACTAGGAGTCTACATTAATTATTTCTTTTCATCTCCATGAAACCTCTCTGATACGTAGGTTCCCATTTTTCAGATAAGCAAAGTGGAGAGGATGAATTAACGTCCGTCATTACTCTGCTAATGGGATGCGTGCTTATAAAGTCACTATTAGCTAGGCATGGTGGTATGCACCTACAGTCCCAGCTACTTGGGAGGATGAGGTGGGAGAATTTCTTAAACCCAGGAGGTCAAGGCTGCAGTGAAAACAAACCCAATTTTCCTCCTCACCAAATACACAATAAATTGTTGGCACATTTTGTTGGCTATGTCAGGGCAAATGGCCAGAGAGATCATTGCCAGGTGCCGTAGCAGGTGTCTGGCCCCTTATTACCCATGGTATTCCAGGGCAGCACGCTTCCATCTAGCAGGGTTGGGAATCCATCTCTGTGGGGAGAACTAGATTCTGGGAGCAGCAGCCCATCTTCTAGCAAGATCAGGGGCTGGGATTTTATTTTATTTCTTCTTACTTTTTTGAGACAGGGAGGGCCTCACTCTGTTGCCCAGGCTAGAGTGCAGTGGTACAATCATAACAGTCACAGATAGTGTTTTGGTTAAAAATCAAAACAGAACAAAGTAAACTACAACAAAACCACATTCATCTATAGCCAAAAAAGAGTTTGAGAATAATTGAATTTTTCTTTGGGTTTCCAGAATGCCTCAAAGAGGAATCCTCAACTTTTTGTGATCTCCCCCACTTTTCTTGCCCTGTACTGGCTTGAGCTCCAAGCATCTCATCAGCCCCAGCCCTAGCTCGTGGGCCTCTATTTTCATCTCCCGGCCCCATCATGACTCTGCATTCCAAAGCCCGAAGTCACTGGTCTCAAAGAGATAGACTTTCCTTGGATTTAAGGGGAAAGAAGACTAGGAAGAAGCTGTTTCAATGAGTGAGTTGGGGGAGGCTGTGCAAATTCCTGCATTATTAATTTCGTTACAACCTACTTGACCTACTTTTGAGTGGCGCTATGATTCTGACTCAGATCTCGCTCTCAGATCTGTGTGTTTTGCCCCTCACCATTCTACCTGGGGAGAGCAGTGAAATAACTTGGAAAAAGACTGAGGTTTTCTCTTATTATCCCAGGTTCTGACTTCTTGATTTCTACTATCCTAAAACTTATATGTAACACCTATCACATAATTAATCACCGAATGATGTGTAATAATAGCCCGATTCTCTCATTATTTCCCGTGTTTGACTTAGGTCAACACAGCACATCACTATTCCCTCCCTCTCAGGTACCCTTTTCCTGCTTTGTCCTCTGGTGAATGCCTGCTCATCCCTCAGAGCCCAGCTGATGTGTTTTCTTCTCTGCTATGCCTTCTCTAGGGCTTTGCAGGATTCTGTGAACATATTTTTAGTGTCAGCTTATCACAGTGTGTTGTAATTGTTGTTTACCCATTTGCCAACCCCAGGAAAGTTTGAGTTTCTCTAGGGCAGGGGCCATGCCTTGTCCATCTATTCTCCCTCCAGTGCCCAGCATGGCTTCTGTCACTTAGTAGGTGCTCAATAAACATTTTTTAAATGAGTAAAAAACATGAATGACTTGGTTTTTCCTGTGTGTAGCAGAGGGCTATGCACTGAACAGGATGCTGAGTAGTATGAACTGATTGATTGATTGATGTGAGAGTAGGAGGGAGACACCGTAAGTCCTGGAAAAGGGAATGGCATTATGAAATTCATGTTTCAGGAGAATGGATGTGGCAGTAAGATCTGTTACTTGAGACTTTCAGACCTTGGAATAATTGCCTGTGTTTTGACATTCTTCTGTAACGTTGGGGAAATAAATGGAACTAATGGGAAAAAAACTCTTCTAGGACATTCTCAGATGTAGCTAATATTGACTCAGCAAAACAAGACTTCGGAAAGGATCCTGGCACATTTCCTTGCTCCCCAAGGTTCTGGGAGTAATTTCCTTGTGCGTGGTCTCCCTTCTGCTTTCTACGTTTACCCACAGTTGTTAGTGCTCTCCACAACTCAAGTAAGATTTAGAATAGGATCTGATCTTCCTTATATTTACCACTCTACCAATTTTTCTTCATAGGAAATTGGATCTTGTACGATTGGCTCACATTTGATGTATAAGATTTTCAACCACCCCGTAAGGACTTAACTTGTTATTCAAGAATGAAATATTCTCTGGTCTACAGGACTCATATTTGGAATCTCCAAACCCGGATTGCTACTGCCTGGATCAGCCCAGCACAAGTCCTGCCAACCTCTGTCTTGGCATGCGCTTGAGTTCTGTGTGTTCTCACATGAAAGCAGAGTTTATAGATGTTCAAACAGAGAGAGCTGAGAGTCAGTGATGCTAAATGGTTACTTAAGGTCACACAGCTCTAGGAGAAAGCCCCAGATCTTAAAAACACATTTCAGGAGAATCTGGAAAGAGGAAGACCATTTAGAAAATGGTGAGGTTGGAATTATTTAGGACCATTTATAACTAAGGAGGGAGTGTGCTCCACATGTGCTGAATGACACTAAGCCACTGACATAATTTGAGAAATTTCTGGGACTTAAAAATTTTTGTTTCATGACATACAGAAAGGTAACAGAATCAACTTTCTGTTGGGCAGGAATTTAAGATGTAGTTGGTTCCATGTAAGTGGCTGTAATTTCCACAGTTTTGAGTTAGGCCCTTCTGGTGTTTTGTAGCTGGGTATCGCTACCTGCAACTGCACAGCCTTCTGTAGATTAAAACATTAATATGAACCATTCATGATCTTGAGTTCCAATTTTAAATTTCATTTGTCTGAGTACTAATTTATAAAGATGAAAAAAATTCAATGTGGGTAATCCAGCTTTTCATTATGTATTAGTTGCATGCTGGGAAAGAAAGATACAGCAAAGACCCTGCCCTCAAGGAACTCACAGTTAGAGGAAGGGCGAGAAACCTCATCAGTCATGGTGGTGACAGAAACATGGAAGTAGTCCACCCTAGAAACCTGGGAAGTGATACCTTATGTGTTGAAGGATGTGTTAAGAATGACTTGAATTAAAGAAAGATGCAAAGAATACAGCATGGACAAGAACACTGAGTTGTAAACAGATGTTATTTCAATATGAGTCATCAACCAAATTAACATCGGCGGAGATATTTTCTCTATCTCAGAGTAGAAGTTTTAGTGCATTTCTAATTACATATTTTACATGTTTGTGAAGACCAGTTTTTCCCATTTTTAGATCTCTGGTTGACTTTGCTGTTGCTCTTCCTGGTTCCCTTCCTTAACGTCTGCTGTTCATATTTAGATGTGCACTATCATTTGGATTTCAACAAGGAAAAAGATAAAGATTACATCGATTAAATTATCATCCTGAAAAAGACGCTTAAGGAGGCAGTTTGGTTCACAGATTCATGTAAATCCAATGCATGGAAATGATGTACAACAATCTCTCATGTGAAAAGTCAATTGGAAAGTGATAAAGTTCAGGCTTTGCCCCTGGTATTTAGTTATTTGAATTTTGTGGCAAAACTCCCCCAAACTCATATTCTAGTAAGTTGAGTGTGACTATTTTAATACTAGCAGTCACAATTTTAGGGAGACTCAAGAATTTTGGATTCAGAGAGGTGTGCGTTTTAACTCACTGCTGTGTTTTATTTATTTATTTATTTATTTATTTATTTATTTATTTATTTATTTATTTTTGCGACAGAGTCTGTCTGTGTCGCCCAGGCTGGAGTGCAGTGGCGCCATCTCAGCTCACTGCAACCTCCACAACCAGGGTTCAAGTAATTCTCCTGCCTCAGCCTCACAAGTAGCTGGGACTACAGGTGTGCGCCACCATGCCCAGCTAATTTTTTTTGTATTTTTAGTAGATACGGGGTTTCACCAAGTTGGCCAGGATGGTCTTGATCTCCTGACCTCGTGATCTGCCCACCTTGGCCTCCCAAAGTGGTGGGATTACAGACGTGAGCCACTGCACCCGGTCACTCACTGCTGTTTTTACTTTGAGCTAGTAACTTAACTTCTTTGAGCTTCAATTTCTCCATTCACAGAATGGAAGAGAAATATCCAAGTGCTATTTTGGGATAAAATAAAAAACATTTAGTAATGCTAAGTACAGGACCTGGAACATAGTAGGTGCTGAATAAATAACTGTTATTATTATTATTTTGCTACCTTCATTCCCTCCACAATATCATATTGCCTGGGGATTCAATATGTGACATTCAGAGTCCAACTTCATAGTCTGAGGTGCAAATTAACTGCCAGAGTGATTGAGAGCGTAAAAGATCAGCTCCTCTATTTGTCAGTAGGAGTACAAAGTCTAGAAGTCCAATTGGCCTTCTGCAACTCCTTCCCTGTTATACACTCAGAGAGCTCCTGAGTTTCTTGGGGAGAGTCTAGTCCAGCTCTGCTCTGTTGTGATGTGCTGTGCTGGTGGTTGTGAATGACAGTGAATGCTAGCATGAATAAATTGAGTGTGAAGTGGAGATGGTGAATGCGGTTCCCAGCTCTTAAGGTGGCAGTAGCTGTTTGGGTGGTATTGCCCCTACACCAGCTTTCACACTTTTGTTGGCTACCAGTTCCTTAGTGTACCTGGCACTTCTCTCACCAAAGAAGAGAGGGGAACAACCAACCAAACAAACCCAATTTTACTCCTCACCAAATACACAATAAATTGTTGGCACATTTTGTTGGCTATGTCAGGGCAAATGGCCAGAGAGATCATTGCCAGGTGCCGTAGCAGGTGTCTGGCCCCTTATTACCCATAGTATTCCAGGGCAGCACGCTTCCATCTAGCAGGGTTGGGAATCCATCTCTGCGGGGAGAACTAGATTCTGGGAGCAGCAGCCCATCTTCTAGCAAGATCAGGGGCTGGGATTTTATTTTATTTCTTCTTACTTTTTTGAGACAGGGAGGGCCTCACTCTGTTGCCCAGGCTAGAGTGCAGCGGTACAATCATAACTCACTGCAGCCTTGACCTCCTGGGTTTAAGAAATTCTCCCACCTCATCTTCCCAAGTAGCTGGGACTATAGGTGCATACCACCATGCCTAGCTAATATTTAATTTTTTCTTTTTTTGTAGAGATTGGGTCTTACTGTGTTGCCCAGGCTGGTCTTCTTGAACTCCTGGCCTCAAGCAATCTTCCTGCCTCAGCCTCCCAAAACACTGGCATTACAGGCATGAACCACTGTATCCATCTCTAAGGGCTGGGATTTGATAGCAAAATGATCTGGCAGGATCTTGCCTCCATGCCTATCCTGTCAGCCAAGTGTTTGTGATTGCAGAAGCATTAGTGCCTTTCTTGGCAGCATTAGGGGGCTGGGGTCCAACCTTGAGGTTGTGGTTGGTGTGATACAGTGAGCTTATGGCATGATTCACCACCACAGTGTTCATGGCTGGGGAAGCATTTGTCCCTTCCCTGGTGTAATTGGTGTGGGTGAGGCTGGGGGCCAAGTCTTGCAACTAACTGGAATTGAATGCCTTGCATACTTAGCAGTGGCTGGTTTCCATGGATATTTGCAGGAGACCCATTCCTTTTTGGAAGACAGACTATAGAGAGTGACCAGAGACAAGGTAATCCTTATCAGTGAAATACTGATCGACTATTGATGTTACAGTTTAATATGAAAACTAGAATTGCTTTCTTCTACTTTGTTAGCCATTAATATAAATTTATTTATTTTTTCCACTTTAAACAACAAAGTAATTGAGGGCTGCAGGAGTTTGGCATCTGATCCTGTTTCTTGGGCTTGTAGTAGGACCTTGTTATCTGCAGTGGTAATGAGTCTGACCTTAATCCATAACACCCTTGATAAAGATGTAGAGAAGCAAGTCCCTGTGGACTTCCATGTAGTTGTTTGTTCATTCATTCATAAAACTTATGCTTACTCATGATCTGCTGATTACATGGAGCAGACTAATGGAAAAACACTACTTGGGGGATTAATAGCTTGCTCAGAAAGGAAGATGAGCCTGTGGTATAACCAATGTAATAAATGCTGCAGCAGGAGTAATTGCGAAGTTCTCTTGAACTATAGAGGTGGGAGTAATTAACTTGGCCCTGAATAACTGGGGAGAATTTCACAGTGGGTATGCTATTCAAGTCAGGTCTTGAAATGGGAACAAGAGCTTCCCTGGTGGAGTAGAGGTGGAAGGACTTTCCAAGTAGGGAGCATCACTTGTGCAAAGGCCTGGGGGTGGGAGGACCATGACTTATTCACGAAGTGGCAAAAAACCAGTAGGGCTGGAATCTAGGTTTGAGGCTGGTGGTGGTGGGGGTGTGTGTGAGAAGAAAAATAAGGGCCCGTCTGTGACTAGGAATGTGGGAAAATCTGTAGAGTGGAGAGAATATTTAGGGGTGGGGGAGGGGTGTCCCACTATAGGCGGGAATTCAGAAGTCTGCTTTTCTAAGACAGGATTTCCCCAAATATGTCCCATGGAGCACTAGCCCCTGAGATATTCTTGGACTGAGAGACTTGCAGACAAACAAGTATGGGAAACGCTGCACTATATATATCTCTCTATATATTCACATATATGCAACAATATTATAGAAGCTCTGACAAGTCATGTAGGAAAAAAATCTGTTTAACTCTGTTTGACCTCATATTTTACCAACTCATTTGACCATGATTTGATTTTGTGTTATGAGGTACTTGCTAATATCCCAGAGAATTAGCATCCTTCGTTTCACGTATGGGAACGTTATTCTAGGGATATGTAAACTCAGAAAGTAGATCTGGAAGGGGGAGAAGACAAGTTGGCCCCATATTTTGTTAGCTAAGGTCCCAAGAGGCCACTGTCTATGAAAGCTCTGGGCTGTTGATTAATGAGGACACCGAAGGCAGATACCCGGAAGAAGTAGAGACAGGTCTTTAGCACTTGGGAGCAATATTGAGGACCCAGCCACAGAGGGGGTGGTTTTTGGGGGTGTGCACCCAGCCCTAGAGCGCTAGACAGTGGCATACTGATACATTAAGGTCAGAGTAGACTCTTAAGAGAAGCCTGAAATGAAAAACAATTTTTTAAAGAAGACTGGGTTGGGAACAGTTTACATGAGACCTCATGCGTTCTTGCAAAGTCTCTAGCCCTGTGGGGTGGGGGTAGGGTGTGGATGGATGCTAAAGGGGATTTCATTTCCAGAAGCTCAGAGAATGAGATCATCAAGCACATCCAGTCTCATTCTCTCTCCTCAACTCACTCCCTTCTGTTGCCCTCAGGACATATTCCTGTCCTTAATGTGGCTTATAAAGTCCTTCTTTTTCCATTCCCTGCTGCTAGCTCCAGTGTCTTGTTTGAAATTCTCACCCGCCCCATGCTCCAGAACCCCTTGCTGTCCACCAACAATGCCGCCCTCTGTCTTGTGCTGTTAGAAGCTACCTCCTTTCAAATGCTTATGATGCATTAGGTTCTGTGCTAAACACTTGACATAAATTACTTACGTATAGTGTTTACAGTAATCCTATAACGTAGAGGTGCCACTTAGCAATGTATTTGGGATAAATTATAGAAATATCCCACTCACAGTGGCTTAAACAAATATGGGTAATTTCTCCCAGATATGAAGAAGCCAGAGGGAGGCAGCTGTCGAATTCATTCTCGGTGATGCCCCTACAGGCCCCAGACTGTAGCTTTCACTCCATCTTCCTTCACTGTTTGATGATTGTCTTCGTGTTTTGACCTCATGGTTGCAAAGTGGGTGCTGTACCTCTAGGCATTGTGCTGACATTTCACTTTACCTAGAGTGTGTGAACAAAGCCTTCCCAGAACCCCTCAACTGTTTCTGTTTTTGTCTCATTGGCAAGAGCTATGGCCCATAAATTTCCCAGCGGAAGAGAAGCTGGGAAATTGGGGATTTAGCTTCCTACTCTTTATAGTTGAGGGAGGCAAGGATGAAATGGATTGGAAATGGGTATTAGGGTAGCCAACCCTCAGGGCCTGCTTGATAGGCATTGTTATTCCCATATTAGAAGACAAAGCTGCTCAGGAGGCTAAATTAACTGGCTTGGAGTCTCATGGCTGCCAAGTGTCAGAGGCAGATTCCAAGCTGACTCCTGGCTCCACAGCCTATGGTGGTTTCACTGTTTCACATAGGCCCCTTCTCAAATTCTCAAAGTTCACCTCAACCTCTGTTTACTGAGCATCTACTACATCTAAAGCTCCCTATTGGTGTCACATATGGATACACAGATGAGGAAAACATTGTTCCTGCCCTCAGGAAGTGAATCACCTTGATGGAGGGAGACAGCTATGCACATTGCCAGTTTAAGGTAGTTTTTTTTTTTTTTTTTAAGACATTGTCTCGCTCTGTCACCCAGGCTGGAGTGCAGTGGCGCGATCATGGTTCGCTACGACCTTCGCCTCCTGGGTTCAGGCGATTCTCGTGCCTCAGCCTCCAGAGTAGCTGGGATTACAGGTGGGCGGCACCATGCCTGGCTGATTTTTGCATTTTTAGCAGAGATGGAGTTTCACCATGTTGGCCAGGCTGGTCTCGAACTCCTGACCTTAGGCGATCCACCCATCTCGGCCTCCCAAAGTGCTGCGATTACAGGGATGAGCCACTGCACCTGGTCATGAGGTAGATTTTAATGGTTAACATCACTGGGGCACAGACAGTAAGTTGTGGGTATTCTGGGGGGAAAGAGAGGAATTCTGCCTGGGGGATTCAAGAAGCCTCCCTGGAGAAGGAGAGTTTTATCTGGGTCACCTGTATGTAGATGTTTCTTTCATAAACATTGTGGTGGTTAGTTTCTGTTTCATTAAACCTAAGGTAAGTTTAACGTATTTTGTTCTGGGTCATCTCAGGCATTGTTTATGGAGGAAGCTAATGCAGAGATATAATCTTTGAAAGTAAATCAACTGACCATGTTTCTGTTCTTATTTTAATATCTCCATAAAAACCGTAATCTTGTACTTTAAACCAAAATTTGTCTAGTCTATGAAATTAAAATTCATGAAGTAAAACATTCCCGAACAGTAATAAACACAAGGCAATTTAAAATAAGCATAACCCATTATATATTTTCCTAAACAAGTTTAAGTGTCAGGTTGCATTGCATAAAGAAAAGTTTTTATATTCCAATTACACAAAGGAATAAAATGACAAAGGAACCATTTTTAACCCCGACACAAAAGACAATACCATGTATTGTTCTTTCAGTGGGAGAAAAATTAGTTACAATAGATTTGAGAGAAAGTGAAGTGAGAATGATTTTAATTATAGATCTTAGCCCCCCCCAAAAAAAAAAAAAAAAGAAAGCCCTCAAAAGATAAAGGGGCAAAGGGCATGATCAGAATGTTCACAGAAGAGGGAAAAACAAATGGCAAAAGGCATGTAAAAAAATGGAAAGCAATAGAGAAATGCAGAGAAAAATGATGCAGACATCATTTTCTCTCTGTTAAATTAGCAAAGAATTTTAAAAGGATAAATCTATGGCAAGAATTTGGTGAGATGGCAATTTCATAAGATTGTTGTAGGACTGTAAAGTAATATAATCTTACTGGGAAGCAATTTAATGGTATATATCAAGAAACTCAAAACATTGATACGATTTAATCCAGTAATTCCACACTTAGAAATAATTTGACATGTTAAAAAGATATATACACGAAGATATTTATTTCGGAATTATTTATCATAATATAAACATGAAAATTTAAACATTTATTAATAGGGGATTGGTCAAGCACATTATAGTATTAATATATTATAAGACACAATGATCTCATCATTACGAAAAACATTTTGAAAACCTAATGATATGAGGCAATCCTAACATGATGTTAAATGTATAAATAGTGCAATTGCAACTGTAAAAAAACATTTAATAGGAAAAGTCTGGAAGGAAACATCAAAATGTAAGTTTTTGTTGGGCTTTGGCATTTGGAAAAGTTTATTTTTTTAAATCGTTTTTTGTACCTTTTACATTTTCTTTATTGAGTACATGTGATGTTCATGAGAAAAAAGAATGATAATAAGTATGACCCCTGAATCTGCCCGGTGACATTGAATGCCCTTTGTTGCGTCTCTGAGACATCAGCCTTGCAGCTGAGCCTTGTGGCTGGATGACAATCCTGAGCTTGACGTTTAGAAGCTTTCTCTTGGGGAGGCAATGGCTGCTTCAATTCATCGCAGTCCTCGGCCAGCACAAGATCGTTGAAGAAATCCCCACAGGATTGCAGTATTTGAAGGGCAAGGCAAGGCAAGGAAGCTATGACTGAGACATCTCAAGTTTCCCATTGTGGTCAGGTTGCAGGCTGCCCCCATTCTGGCTTAGCAATGGGGCAGAGCTGTCAGCTGTGTGCTTGGAATACAAACGTGCTGTTCAGGAAGACAACTTTACAGAGCATCAGCACCTACATCTGGAGGGCTTTATCATCTCTGTGTGACAGCCATGGCGTCCACCAGCTGACCAACTCTAGGGTAGCTGTGAGCAGGCTGTAAACCCTAGGGAAGTTTGTGATAGTCCTGGAGATGAGGCAGGATAACAAGCCAACGATAGGCAGGATTGACTGCCCTAGTTTAGTGTCTAATTGTGGTGCTTCTCTAAATTACATAAACTCTCTTTTCTTGATAGGACTCGGTTTATTTCATCCATGGAGTCTATCTAGGCAGTTATAATAATAATGATAGTCACTCAGCACATATGCTGGGCCGTTCACCTACGGTATCTCATTTAATTGAATCTTTGCTAATATCCTTTGAGGTTGGTGTCATTGTCCTCATTTTATAGATGGGAAACTGACTTAAATCTCACCAAATTATGGGAGAGCAGATCCAGGATTCAAAGTCAAGTCACTCTACTTCCAAAGCCCATAATGTCTGTAACCAGAACACGAATGTTTCCCCCAGTTTAGTCATTTTAGTGTTCACTACCTTCACCAAAGCCATGCACCATCTAAATGCTACATAATATTTAATATTATAATATTATTAATATATTACAATATTATTATATATATTATTTAATATAATAATATTACATATTTTTAAGTCAATTTATTTTTTTCCAGTTAAAAAAATTACCCTAATCCTAAACAATAATTGATGTGAAATCATGAGTTTAATGTACTCGTTGTGTTTTTTCTAATATGTACAGTAAAAAAAGCTAGAAAAAATGTAAAAGGTTTGATCCCTGTATTTTCTAAAATACTTGCAATACCAGGCGATATGTACTGCACTTTGGGAAACTACATTATGGGGTCTCTTTGACTATGTTATCTCTTGGTGGGAATATTGTTATGGCAATTCCTGCATTAGAGAAGGAACTGACTTACACAGTCTTTAAGGATAACAATAACATCAATAATCTAATGATACTCTACTCTTGCCAATCCAGAGATTCTCTCATGATTTTATAGTTTCCATGAACAACTGATATTTTGGGGGCTTATTATTGCTGGATGCTCTTACTAGTATGCCAATGATATCTGTAGAGAGTTCATATGTTTCTATTTTTCTGTAGCATCCCTCTTATGGTGGTAGAGGTAACAGGAAATTAAACAGTTTCTCTTCACTAATGGTCATATCTTTCTGCCCTTGGTAGACTCTAACTGGCTGTAATTGCTTCTTTTTGATGTATCTATCCCAAGGCAAATGGTTGCTCCTAAGAGCGTCATCTTTTCCTCCTGTTTTCCATTCTAAGCCCAGTGTCCCACATGTGCTGCTCCCAGGCACAGGCACTGCTGCACGGGGCTCCCCAGCTCAAAGGTCAAGCACATCAGGCTTTGAGAGATCAGAGCAATGGGGCTGGCTCTTCCATGGGCATCTCACAGAATGCCTGTGTAATATAATTTGCAGCGTCAGTGTTGTGGAGCAGCTTTGGGGACCTCCTAGGACCACTTTATTTTGCTTAGCAGTGTGAGACCTAGCTGGATGGCTGAATGCTGTCAGTCGTGCATTTGGCCGTAAAACATTTATCCGATATAAAGTGTCACAGGGAAAAGTTAACATTGCTTCACCCCGTGCCATAAATGGATGACACTTTCAGGATTGTGGCGCTAAAGACAGAGAGTCTGAGAAAAACTGGAAAGCAGCAAGCTTGCCTCATGAACAGAACACTCAGCTAGGGATTAGCAGGCCTTGGTTCTCATCCCAGCTCTGCCAGCTGTGTGACTGCAGGAAGGTCCCATGTTTTCTGGGCTTCTGTTTCCTCATCTATAATGATATCTGCCTCACAGAACTCCCGAGAGGTACCTCGAGCGTGCAACAGCACGTTGTCAATTAGAACATTTCTGCTGAGGTCGTTGCTATGATGCATCCTCATATAAAACGAGGGAGCCACAGCAGTGAACTTTGGACTTTTCCAAGCTCTAGAACGCTGACTCCGGGGAGCAGGCAGAGGAACAGAGGGGTCTGAGCACATCACACAGGCATATTTGGTTAGCTGTGCAAACAAGATGGATGACAGTGTCCTCTGTTTCTATTAAGCTTCAAAACTTATTTGGGAGATATGGATTTGGGAGCTGCACTGAGGCAGAAACAGAAGAGAGAGAAATGAAGAAATATTAACAATAATCCAGACATCCTTACTCTGAGGCATAGTTGAAGGGAATCAGTGTGGCCCAGGAAGGGTAATAGCACCAGGGATAACCACCAAATATCTTGTTCATTGGCCAAAAAAACGACGACGACGACAACAACAATGACAACAAAACACAACCCAAGATGTGTTGAAAAATAGAGTGGCTAAACCCAATTATTGCATTACTGTGTTTTCTGGCGAGATGGCAATAAAGAGTTGTGTGACCTCTATACATGGTCATCTTTTACAGAGTGATTTAGTTGTTTTTTTTTTTTTTTTTTGAGATGGAGTCTTGCTCCATTACCCAGGCTGGAGTGCAGTGGTGCAATCTCAGCTTACTGTAGCCTCTGCCTCCCAAGTTCAAGTGATTCTCCTGTCTCAGCCTCCCGAGTAGCTGGGATTACAGGCATGCGCCACCACACCAGGCTAATTTTGTATTTTTAGTAGAGATGGGGTTTCTCCATGTTGACCAGGCTGGTCTCGAACTCCTGACCTCAGGTAATCCACCTGCCTCGGCCTCCCAAAGTGCTGGGATTACAGGCGTGAGCCACCGTGCCTGGCCCAGAGTAATTTAGTTCTGTTATCATGTTAACTCCCAACAGCCCCCAAATTTAGGAAATGATTTTAACAATACTGTGATTTTTCTAGTAATAGCTCTGTGCAAAGCATTTTAAGAGGGAAATTGTCTTTAATCCTTATAGCAGTGCCATGGAATAGATAGTATCACCTCCTTTGTACTGAGGAGAACACAGAGCAGGGTGGTTCAGCCATGTTCCCGAGGCTGACTGCTTAACAAACAGCAGAGCAAGGGGCTCAGATCCTGCTCTGTTTGACTCCAAAACCTATGCTCATGGCTGAATGCTACTTCAGTCTTCACTCAGTAATTCTTTCTGAGAGGGTAAATCAACATCGTTGAGGATTAAAAACATGACTTCTATTGACGCGATTGCCAACTCTTGACAGACCATTAAGAGGAGCAGGGAAAAATATGTCGCTGAATATGAAGTTTGAAGTTTATTACGTTAGTTATCATTCAAATAGGTTTTGGAAATCACTTATCTAATTAGCTACGATGATTATTCGTCAGTTGTTTCTATGGATACTACTCATCTTATTACTCAAAATAGACACTCATTTATGTGCTTATTTCTGCACAGTCTAGTCATCAGCATCTGATAGTTCTGACACAGGAGGGAATCCTGTTTTTTTTTTTTTTGTTTTTTGTTTTTTTTTTTAGTGGGCCGTTTACTGGCTACACTGAGTCCTATCTTGTAAATACTCGTAATGCACTTCCTCAGGCTTTGAAGTAAGTGAATAAGCGCAGCCCTCATGGATTTCATAGCTCGAGAACAGTGTTTCTTAAACTTGGCTACACATTGGAATCACCTGGGGGTGATTGTCCACTCACAGAAATTCAGAATCTCTCCAGGGTAAGACCCAAATATCATTGATCTTAAAATCTTCCAGGTGTCTCCAATGGACATCTAAGTTTGAGCACACTGGCTCTTAGGGTAAACAGGTGCAAACATTCCTAAGCAAACATTCACAAAATTCTCTCTCCTCACAGGCATGCTAGAACATGAAACTGATTGGGTTGGACATTAGACTCACTGGGTAGTGGGGCGGGGAGGTGGGCTTATAGACAGACTGATGCCTGGCCCCCACCCTCGTCAGATTTTTAATTAAATGGTCCCTGGAGAAGGCTGTGCTTAGCGATCAGTATTTTTAAAAAGCCCCTTAGGCCACTCATATAAACAGCCTGGTTTTGAACCACTGAGTCACACCTACTAATCTCGAGAGAAGGCCCAAGGCTCAAGAGAATTATGTTTCCGTTGCATTAATTTCCAGTAAGGCCTGATGCTTTTCTTTTTTTTTGTTTGTTTTTGTTTTTGTTTTTGTGACAGAGTCTCGCTCTGCCACCCAGGCTGGAGTGCAGTGGCGCAATTTTGGCTCACTGCAACCTCCACCTCCCGGGTTCAAGCGATTCTCCTGCCTCAGCCTCCTGAGTAGCTGGGATTACAGGCATGGGCCACCATGCCTGGCTAATTTATGTATTTTTAGTAGAGATGGGGTTTCATTATGTTGGCCAGGCTGGTCTCGAACTCCTGACCTCCAGCGATCTGCCCACCTCGGCCTCCTAAAGTGCTGAGATTACAAGCTTGAGCCACCATGCCAGCCAGCCTGATGCTTTTCAGCAGACATCTTCCTGGTTCTGAAACGAAGAGATGAAGAGTGAAAAATTCAATTTAAATAAGATTTTCCAGCAGTGTAGGGTTGGGGTGGAGCTCTAAAACCATCTTGCCAGCCTGAGTTATTGAATACCAATGTCAGGAATAATTGAAGCAGCAGCACAAGGGGTATCTGTGAGGGGCGGAAAGGTCTAGTTTAGTTGATCTATTTGACCTTGTTTGCTAGATGTGAAGTCTTCTTTTCCTCGCAGAAATGAAGAGTTTAAAACAACAACAAATCAATGACCATATCACATTGTATTGGAATATTGAAAATACTCAGGCTGCTTGATAATGTAAAACAGCCATACTTATATTAATTATTCAATAATAGGCAGCTATCTATATTTTGAACTTTTTCCTATTGTTTCAGCTAGGAGCAATTCTGCTTCTCACACGTGTAGCTTGCTTGTCTGTTTCTTTTCCCTCTTTAGACTGTAATAGTGCTGAGTTCACCATGGCCCCTTCATCATAATGAGAAAGAACTTTTCTAATGACTCAGAGATTTCTAAATTAAACCTAAAATGTTTATTACAAAGATGCTGGACACACATTATGCATCGCTGTTGCAATACAGTAATATAATTCAGATAGAAATTATCTTTGCAAATGGCAATCAATTTTTGCTACTACTTTTTGCATTCTTGACAATCTAGTCACTGGGCTGTGGAAAAGTGCTTTTACTTGATTATTTACACTGTTGATAATCACTGTGGTTTTTGGCAGAGCTAAGGCATTATTTCACAGACCTGCATTGCAATAGGGAACGGGTGTAACTTCAAAATACTGCCAAAGTTCCTGTGGCTTTAGCCGACACCAAGGAATGTACAAACTCAAGCACAATTCTTAGGAGACTTCATTCTTTTACAGTGGTTTGCCACAGGGCAGTCCACATGCAGGGACAAGTTAAACAAATATGGTCCCTGGAGAAAGTGGGCTCCCCTGTAGCCCAAGAAGTCTACTGCTGTGGAGGTCTTCAGGAACTATCTGCATCTCCCACTTAATGCCCAGGACACATATCCTCCCACTTAGAACTTTGGGTTTAAAAGGGAGGAAACATATTTTAAAGTATTAGATAATTCAAAAACCGGCCAGGCACAGTGACTCACGCCTGTAATCCCAGCACTTTGGGAGGCCGAGGTGGGTGGATCACCTGAGGTCAGGAGTTCGATACCAGCTTGGCCAACATGGTGAAGCCCTGACTCTACTAAAAACACAAAAATTAGCTGGGCCTGGTGGCAGGTGCTGGGAGGCTGAGACAGGAGAATTGGTTGAGCCCAGGAGATGGAGGTTGGTTGCAGTGAGCCGAGATGGCACCACTGCACTCCAGCATGGGTGACAGAGACTCCATCTCAAAACAAAACAAAACAAGACAAACGAAAAAACAAAAAACAAAAAACAACCCCGTGGTGCCACTGCACTATTTTCAAAGGGAAAAAGAGCCACCGCTCCAGGCTGAATGTTTTCTTATAGATCATATGCTGATAAAGAAATGAACACAGACCTGTAATGTGGCAGATAACCTTTTGCAAGCGACTGCAAAAGAATAAAGAAAGATAGAAGCAGCGGAAAGAGCTATATTAAATGACTGCCTTATCACTCTTAGACAACTCCTACCTTTGATTTTTAAAAAATTTAAACATTTCAAACAAATCGTTATGCCATAGTGGGATGCTCTTGGGAAACACAAAAACAACAACAACAACGACAACAACAAAAAGAAAAAACAGACTCTGACTAGTCCAAAAACATCTCAGCAGGCAATCTAAGGACTAGAACTGATTTAATTTCTTTCAAAAAACTCTCCTCTATCATAACAAAGGTGTCAGTTATAAAGGGGAACATCTGTTTTGCTAGACCCTAAACTAAAACCTCTGATTCTTTTCACATCAGTCATTGAACAGCTGTCAGATATATGAACAAGTTTTAGACACCTGAGAATTATGACTTTGAACACGTGACCTAGAGATCCTCTGCCCCTGTTATCACTTCCTTGGGCCACCCGCCATGGCAGACTACACAGTCATTATAGAAAATGCCATCACCCAGTTTTGTTTGAGACTACACCAGCATGTGTTCAGCATTTTGAGTATTTTTCTGATTTAAGTAGCACTTATTCCTGATTGCTTTTGGTCTTGTCCCTGTCCTATTTTGTGATACTACTATCTGCCAGCCACTAAAGTCAGAAATTGTAATTATCTTTAATTTACTAACCCTGGCTGATCTTTGGCCATTGTGGCTGGTGAATTCTTCTTTTCTTCTTGTGCGTTACCATTACCTGAATTCAGGCTGGCATTATTACATTATCATCCTCTTTGAATAGCTAAGGGGCATTTTGGCTCCTTTAACTCGCCACCCATTCTTCCCTTTACTGCCAGATTTTCATCTTAAATCAGAGATCAAATAATCTCATTGCTATGTTCAAGTTTTTCCATGGTTCCCCACTTGTCTTCAAATTCCTTATCATGTTATTCCTCACTACTCATGTTAGTAGTACTAACACTACTCATGTTAGTAGTAGTCTTCTAACACTACTCCACCTGGCTCTGCTGCTCCACTGAAGACCCTTGATTATAATCTCAGCTCCAGCTCTGCCTGGTGATTTTTCCTTACTAACAGCGTATGTAGAATCCTTCCATGTTTGTGTTAATACACAGTTGCTCCCGCTTAGGACTCCATTCTCCTCTTTCTCCTGCCATCATAATACACACCTCTTAGAAGGCTCATATCTAATGTCACCACAGAGAAGTCTTTTCTGCCTCAAGAAATGGAATACTTCGGCCGGGTGCAGTGGCTCACTCCTGTAATTCCAGCACTTTGGGAGGCTGAGGCGGGCAGATCACGAGGGCAAAAGATCGAGACCATCCTGGCCAACATGGTGAAAACCCGTTTCTACTAAAATCAATAAAATAGTGTGGACTTACATACTTTTATATGAGCTTCCTACAGACCAGAATTGCATCTTCTTCATCCTTCTGTGCTCAATATTTGGCCCTCTATCTGTACATTGTAGGTGCTCAGTCAGTGTTATATTGAATTAGGATTACAGAGCACTGGCTTTCTGTGTGGTAGTTCATGGGAAGCTTCCTGCTCAGTGCCTATCAGGTGTGCCATTGCGTGATATATGAGTTGATCTGAATGCCCCTTGAGTTCCTTGTGAGCTTAAAAATTGGAGGAATATGTAATCCCAGCACTTTGGGAGGCCAAGGTGGGCAGATCACGAGGTCAGGGGATCAAGACCATCCTGGCCAACATGGTGAAATCCCATCTCTACTAAAAATAGAAAAAATTAGCCAGGCGTGGTGGTGCGTGCCTGTAGTCCCAGCTACTCGGGAGACTGAGGCAGGGGACTCTTTTGAACCCGGGAGGCGGAGGTTGCAGTGAGCTGAGATTGTGCCACTGCACTCCAGCCTGGGCGACAGAGTGAGACTCAAAAAAAAAAAAAAAAAAAAAAATTGGAGGAATAACCCAGAAAGTAGACAACTATTTCCCTCCTGTATTGTCTTCTCCTGCTGGCCTCTTCTGTGACCCCTTAACCTTCCAATCCCTTCCATCCTGCTGTCTCTGTCTTTGTTCCTCTTTTTGTACCATCAGAGCCGTTTCAAAGCACAGCTCACATTGCACCTTCTACTGCGAGCCTTCTGCTTTGGATTTGCTTTTTTGCTGATCTCTCTAGGACTTCAGAATCTCTTTTTCACTATTCAGCATTTTATTACTTACAGTTTTGTACCAATTATTCATTACTTGGTAAATTGTTCCCAATTAATTCAACTGAGAACTACTAGAGTCTAGCTTAATTTTCAACAAAGGTATTCCAGCGTCTCTCCTGAAGGCCCTGGCTCTGCCATATCAGATATATAACTCTGGGAAAGCTTTAACAATGGCCTAAACCTCAAATATAAAATGGGGAAAATTATAGTGTCCATCTTATAGACTGTAGAAGATAAAATACATTTGAAACATTTTGTGTAACATTTATTAATCTCAACATATGACAATTGTTTTATCATTATTATTATTATGGACAGTTTTAATCACAGCCTGTTGAAATTAACTTATCTTTTATTCAAAGCCTATCAAATGTAGGCAATGTTTGATACTTTTAGGTCTTTGTCATATTTCTCAATAATTGTGATAATTAGTTTGGCAAAAAGTAATCCCTTGCATAGCTTTTGGAACCACTCTTGCACCTTGAATGAAAAACAGCCAGTGTAGGTACTGAAACCATGATCTGTTCAGTGGTGTCTTCTGGCTCAAATGAAGCACAAGAGCTTGTGAATTGACCTGAAACACACAAATAAAATGTGATTCATTAGATACTAACTAATAAACTCAGTGCGTTTTTGGTGCCATCATACCCAGACTATAAGGTCATTGAAATAAATCTGAGACATTTCTCTTGAAAGACGTTATAGTCAACTCATTTCTCTGCCAAAAGAAAAAAAAATACAGCCCTATCTCAACACAATAATCTAGGACGTATTTATTTTAAAACCATTCCATTTTGCTTTCTTAATTTCTCATCTCCCACCCCAGAAAATCGGAATTAACATGGCAAAAGTCCACTGTTTGACTTTAGGAAAAACAGTATAATTCTTCTGTATCTTTCACAGACTTTGCTTGCTGGGCCAGAGCCGACTCATTTGGACACAGCTGTACTCTGAACTTATGTCGCTAGTTAACATTTCCACTTCTAGGCATTCATTTGGCTTATTTGTTCCAGAAAGTTTTCTGTTCTCTGATTTAATGTTTCACTGTGCTGTACCCACAGATCCATAACCTAATTCAGTGGCTGATTTTTGAAGACTGTGATTTAAAGAGCCAGAGACTTATTGAAAAAACTATATCTTTTCACCATTGGATCTAAGGCCTTCTTATACACAACTTCAGTGTAGGTTAAGTTTTGTCCTCGGACCTAAAATTGCCCTGGTAGGGCTCTTTCCACCCCTACAGAATCTTCCCAGCTAAATCTGTGGGGTTTATCTGGTGTCCTTTTCTTAATCTGAATAGCTGTATCATAATCCTTATTAAGACATTGTAGCTCATGAAACTATTTACATCTGAAGTATGTATGACTGAAACTTGGAAAATGTTTTAAGACCCTGAAGAATGAAAGAATAATGGCAGAATGAATGGGACAAATCAAGGCTTATGATAACAGTGATTTTATCAGAGTTATAATTTGGGAACAGCAGGTCTTGATCCTTATTCTTCAAATCGAATTGATCTTGTAGAGATTTATACTTGGTATAGGCTTCTGTTTCCTATAAAGAATGACCAGGAGTCAACTAGCTGGGGTTGTTTATTGATTAAGACATAGGCACTATAGAAAGAATAAGCCTGCCCATAGGAAAATGGTTAAATGCTGTTCTCACTCACAGGCTCTCTGGTGGCTGATCCTACTCACTGCAGGGTAGAGTGGGAAACTGGTTGCCAGGAGAGCACAGGAGCACAAGGCTGGTGACCGCGGGTGTGCTGGTGAGAGAGCCACCATGACATCTGTATTTAGAGACGAATCTTATCTCCAGTTCACAGACATGGAAACTGACACTCTTGCCTGGGTAATCTGTGTCTCTCATTTCCCCTTTCTGTGCCTCAACTTTCCTTATCCATAAGATTCAGGGTATGGGATAGATGATTTCTAAGTTTCCTTCCTTTTTCCTTTTTGATTCTTATTGAATCCTGGGACAATGACAATCAGAATGAGGCTCTGTGGGGCAGTAGGAGTGGCTGGAAAACTCTTTGAGCTGTATGTCAAGTTGCTCTGTCAACATTTAACTAGGGCCAAACAAATCTGCTGAAGACCAGGACTGTGAATTAGGGTGGATCTGGAGAGCCCATTTGAAGGGTGGGTCTGAAGAGCCCATTGCTATGACACATAGCAATTCAGATCACCAGTTCCTTAGGTCATGTTACCACTTGCTCCTCCACCTCCTGCTATTCTTTCTGTTCTCAGGCAAACCCAGCCAATGACTTGGTTAGCAGTTGAGCTCTGCATATCCAGCAGACCTTTCTCGGGGACTAAAGGACAGCCCATTCTTTGGCTTCTGTGGTGATTGGGGAATTCTCTAGAATGTGCATGAACATGATATACACCTCTCAGTACAGGCTATCCACTTTTTGGTGTTAACTCTAGTGTGTGATGGTCCTTGTGGAGGATGGGTGAAATGAGAAAAGTGGAAAGCATGACATTTGAATATGTGTTACAATATCTCAAAGAGATGAGAAAAGCCTCCAAGTAGCTTCCACCTATTGGGAATGATTCTGCAAATTATGTTATGTGTTTCCTTTCATAAGGCATTGTTAGAGAGCTCGGCTAGAGTTATGTGCCTGTATTTGTGGAGTATTTGCAATGTAGGGTGTTTTCTCCAGCAGAGCCATTTTGGAAGCAGTTGGTTATTTCTTCTCAGTAATCTAGTAGTATAGTATCATTCAGTGAACTTTCTGTGACAATGTAATTGTTTTATATCTTGCCACTAGCCTTATGTGGCTAATGAGTGCAAGCATACTTCAGAGATACTGAAGGTTCGGTTCCAAACCACCACAATAAAATGAGTCAACGTGAATTGTTTTGGTTTCCCAGTGCATACAAAATTTATGTTTATATTATACTGTAGACTATTGTGTGAAATAGCATATTGTCTTAACAAAAGTACATACCTGCATAAAAATACTTTATTGCTAAAAATTGCTAACAATCATCTGGGCCTTCAGCGAGTCTTATTTTTTTATTTTTTATTTATTTTTTGCTGATGGAAGGTCTTACCTCTATGTTGATGGCCACTGACCAGTCTGGTGGTTGCTGAAGGTTGGGATGGCTTTGGTAGTTTCTTAAAATAAGACAAAAATAAAGTTCATCACATGGATTGACTCTTTTTTTTCCTGAAAGTTTTCTCTGTAGCATGCAATGCTGTTTGATAACATTTTATCCACTATAGAATTTCTTTTAATCATCTCAAACCCTGCTGTTGCTTTATCAAGTTTGTGCAATATTCTAAATCCTTTGGTGTCATTTCAACAATGTTCACAGCATCTTCACTAGATTCCATCTCAAGAAACCAGTTTATTCTGTCATCCATAAGAAGCAACTTCTCATCTGTTCAAGTTTGATCACGAGATTGCAGCAATTCACTCACATCTTCAGGCTCCACTTCTAATTCTAGTTGTCTTGCTGTGTTTACTACATCTGCAGTTACTTACTCCACTGAAGTCCTGAACCCCTCAAAGTGATTCATGCGTGTTGAAATCAACTTCTTCCAAACTCCTGTTCATGTTGATATTTTGACCTCCTCCCATGAATGTTCTTAATGGCATTTAGAATGAAGAATCCTTTCTTGAAGGTTTTTAATTTGCTTTGTCCAGATCTATTAGAGGAATCACTCTCAATGGCAGCTATAGCTTTATGAAATGTATTTCTTTAATAATAAGACTCGAAAGTCAAAATTATTCCTTGATCCATAGGCTGCAGAATGTATGTTGTGTAAGCAAGCATGAAAACAACCTAAATCTTGTACATCTCCATCAGAGCTCTCTGGTGACCAGGTGCATTGTGAAAGCAATAATATTTTGAAAGGAATCTTTTTTTTTTTTTTCTCCCGAGCAGTAGTTCTCAACAGTGGGCTTAAAATATTCATTAAACCATGCTGTTAACAGATGCCCTGTCATCCAGGTTTTGTTGTTCCATTTATAGACCACAGGCAGAGTAGATTTAGCATCATTCTTAAGGGTCCTAAGAGTTTTTGGAATTGTAAATGAGCATTGGCTTTCACTTGAAATCACTGGCTACATTAGCCCCTAACAAGAGAGTCAGCCTGTCCTTTGAAGCTAGGCATTGGCTTCTCCTCTCTAGCTATGCAAGTCCTAGATAGCATCTTCTTCCAATATAAGGCTATTTCATCTACACCAAAAATCTGTTGTTGAGTGTAGCCAGCTTCATCAATGATCTTAGCTAGGTCTTCTGGATAACTTGCTGCAGCTTCTCTATTAGCACTTGCTGCTTCACCTTGCACTTTTGCATTATGAAGATGGTTTCTTTCCTTAAACTTCATGAATCAGTCTCTCCTAGCTTCAAACTTTTTTTCTGTAGCTTTCTTACCTCTCTCAGTCTTCATAGAATTGAAGAAAGTTAGGGCCTTTCTTTGGATTAGGCTTTGGTTTAAGGAACTATTCTGGTTGGTTTGATCTTCTATCCAGATCTCTAAAACTTTCTCTGTATCACAATAAAGCTGTTTCACTTTATTATCACTCATGTTCACTGGAGCAGTATTTTTAATTTCCTTGAAGAACTTTTCCTTTGCATTTACAACTTGGCTACATGGCACAAGAGGCCTAGCTTTCTGCCTAGCTTGGCTTTAGACATGCCTTCCTCACTGAGCTTAATCATTTCTAGTGTTTTATTTAAAGTGAGAGACTTGAGACTCTTCTTTTCACCTAAACACTTAGAGGCCAATGTAGGGTTATTAATTGACCTAATTTCAATATTTTTGTGTCTGAGGGAATAGGGAGGCCCAGGAAAAAGAAAGAGACAGGGAATGGCTGGCTGGTGGAGCAGCCAGAACACACACAATATGCGTTGATTAAATTCACCATCTTATATGGGCACAGTTCATGGTGTCTGAAAATAATTAACAAAAGCAATATCAAAGATCACTGATCACAGAGTTATAATAATACTGAAAATATTTGAAATATTGCTAGAATTACCAAAATGTGACACCGAGACACAAAGTGAGCACATGCTGTTGGAAAAATGTTGGTGATAGACTTGCTTGAGGCAGGGTTGCCACAAATCTTCAATATGTAAAAAAATGCAGCATCTGTGAAGCACAATAAAGTGAAACACAATAAAACAAAGTGTGCTTGTACTGAAAATGTGGCTAGTGCAAATAAAAACTGATTTTTTTTTGAGACGGAGTTTTGCCCTTGTTGCCCAGGCTGGAGTGCAAATGGTGTAATCTCGGCTCACTGCAACCTCTGCCTCCCAGGTTCAAGTGATTCTCCTGCCTCAGCCCCCCAAGTAGGTGGGATTACAGGCATACGCTACTACGCCTGGCTACTTTTATGTATTTAGTAGAGACGGGGTTTCACCATGTTGGTCAGGCTGGTCTCCAACTCCTGACCTCAGATGATCCACCAGCCTTGGCCTCCCAAAGTGCTGGGAT
Organism: Homo sapiens; assembly: GCF_000001405.40. Taxonomy (NCBI): domain Eukaryota; kingdom Metazoa; phylum Chordata; class Mammalia; order Primates; family Hominidae; genus Homo; species Homo sapiens. The sequence continues at coordinate 177,487,063 of NC_000003.12, forward strand.
TACAGGCGTGAGCCACTGTGCCAGGCCTGAAAACCGAATTTTTAATGTATTTCATTTTAATGAATTTAAGTAGCCATGTATGGCTATTGGCTACCAATTTTAACAGCACGGTTTAGAAAACTATTGTACAACTTCTCTGAGGCAGACTCAATCATTATATGTTGAGTTTGAATGTTACAGTTCTTCAGGGCGCTCATTAAAAGATGTGCTTTTGACATATGTTTTTCAAATGTCTAACACAAATTATTCTCAGTAATTCTAGATTTTCTATTCTTTTGATACTTTACTAAAAAAGTTATTATAAGTCTGGAGCTAAACAGTCATTATTACTAAAGCAGTGTTTCAGGGACTCTAGGACTTGAGAAAAACAATTCCCACAATAATGTATAATAGTTCTGCTGTTTCCATAAACATGCATTATAGACTCTGTCTGCCTTCCACGGTGCTTCCTACATCATTTCCTAGTGAAAGCAGGAAACTGATAATTCATGAATGTTTCCATTTTCTCTCCACTGAGAAGGAGGAAAGTGAGCAGCACTTTGCACTAGGAGATGTCTGGGTGTGAATTGCAGTTCTGAGGTCTTGGAAAAATCATTTCAATCTTTAAAGATTCAATTTTTCTTCTTTATCAAATGGCAATGAAAAGAATTCTTTCAGGCCTAACTACTTTTCAGAGTTGAAGTGTAAAAACTTTTGACGTAAAAAGTAGGCAAGTCTTTCTGAGCTGTACAATACTGTATAAATATTTGTGGCTATGGTTACTTTTATCTCAATTGGCACTGGAGCATTTGTATTGACCTTTATGGCATATTTTTTTCATGCCTGTAACTAATCATTCAGCCACTGCCTATGATAGCTGGAGACTTATCACTGAAACACTCAGGATCTTAACTTATTCTCTTGTTGTTCTCATATGCATTTGTTAAGTATCCATCTGCATAGTTTAGAGCTGACTGCTATGTAGTAGATTGGTTAGGTGAAGCCAACTTTCCTGTGACAGGAGAAAAGTTGATGAGTTCTCACTCCCGTATTCTGTATTGGCTTGATGATATACTTGCTTCCTGAGATAGCGAGAAATCTTAGTTCTGGGTCTACCTCCAGGTTTCACTGCATGACTAGGAAGATTCATTTGATCTGTGTATGGATTCTCCAGAAGAAAGATGAAGTTTGTGGTAGCAACTTCTGAGCCCCTGTTGAGTCTTTAATCTCTGTCAGGTGACTATGTCTGGATTTTGTGATTTGATTTTAAACTCCTTGAAGATAAGGGACGTACCTAATTCTTCATTCTTGCTAAAAACTGTGTTCCTGAGTCACACTCAGGATGTGGAGTACACTCGTGATGAGGCTGCTAATTTAACTCACGCTGCATGCAGATGTACAAAGAAAATGCAGCTTCTTTATTGTTCTATAGCTGATTTAACATTTCTCTTGATCTTTCAATCTTTTGGGTAAGAACAAGGATGTTAGTTTTCAATATCTGCAATGCTGCATGATACATTACCCCAGAGTTTAGCAGCTTAAAAGAATAAACATTTATTATCCCACAATTTCTGTAGGTCGGAAATCTGAGTGTGGCCTTACTAGGTTCTCTGGCTCAGGGTCTCTCCCAAGGGCACATTCAAGGGGCCATCTACAGGTCAGTCTGTGGTGACCAACTGTCTGGGGTTGCTCAAGACTGAGTGGTTTCTTGGGATGTGGGGCTTCTGGTGCTAAAACTGGAGACATCCTGGGCAAACTGTGCTGAACTGGTTATCTTATCTGGGTTTTATCTGAACCCTAGACAGAGGGACAGTCCTCTTCTAAGCTCATACCTTGTCATGTGGCAGGACTCTGTTCTACGTGGGTTGCTGGACTGTTCTTCTCTGGCTGTTGGCCAGAATCCTCCCTCAGTTGCTTGCCAATATGGTACTTGTTTCATCAGAGTGAGCAAGTAAGAGAGAAAGAGAGGTGAGCAAATTGGAAGCCAGAATCTTTCAAATTCCATTTGTTAGAAGCAAATCACTAAGTCCAAACCACACGCAAGGGGAGTAGATCACACAAGGGCAGGAGTAGCAGGAAGTGGAGATCATTGGGAGCCGTAGAAGCTGCTCACCACAGGGTGAAAAAACAACTTGCAAATGTGGGTGACAGTATCTTTTGGGTAATCAATATGATTTACTTATCTGTGGGATCTAAAATCATCAAAGTTGGAGCAGAGAGTGGAATGGGGGATAGAGACGTGCGGAAATGATAGTTAAAGGGCAAAGCTTCAGCTGCGCAAAATAAATAACTTCTGGAGATCTAGTATACAGCATAATGCCTATGGTTGACAGTATTGTATCATATACTTAATATTTGCTAAGAAGATAGATCTTACATTAAGTCTTATCATACACACACAAAATAATAAAAGTGGCAGGAAGAAACTTTGTGGGGGAGGTGATAGGTGTATTAGTCTGTTTTCTGTTGCATATAACAGAATACTTGGAACTGGGTAATTTATAAAGAAAAGGAATTTATTTCTTACAGTTATGGAGGCTGAAAAGTTCAAGGTAGAGAGGCTGCATCTAGTGAGGGCCTTCTTGCTGATGGGGACTCTGCGGTCCTAAGGTGGCGCAGGGCATCATATGGCCAGGGGCTGAGCATGCTCACGTATTAGCTTCAGTCACTCTTCCTCTTCTTATAAAGCCACTCCCATGATAACCCATTAATGAATTAATCCATTAATCTAAAAGTGGATTATTCCATGACCCAATCACCTCTTAAAGGCCCCACCTCTCAATACTGCCATATTGGGGATTGAGATTCAACATGAGTTTTGAAGGGGACATTCAAACCATTGCAACAGATATGTTTATGGCCTTGATGGTAGTGATGGTTTCACAGTATATATTTAACCTCAAACTCACTGAGCTTTTTGCAATTAATATGTACAGCTTTTTGTATGTCAATTATACCACAACAAAGTGATTTTGAAATAAAAGAATTCCAGATTTTCTTCTCATCTTCTTTTTCTGAGATGATTTTTCAGTAGATAGCAGGAGGAAGACTGGCTGACCTGGTGGCAGTGGGAAAGAGGGTTCCCAGGCCCATGTCTGTCCTTCCCTGGCTCCTCAGTCCTCTGCTCTGCTGTCTCTTTCATTCCCGCTCTACTTTCCCTGCTGCTGGGCAGCTGAAATTGGGAGCTGTCAGACTCCTGCTCTATAATCTCTTGGTTTGGTTGGACTTGGTTGTTCTCGCTGCTGATTTGATGCCACTTTCATTCTTGAGGACAGGCTGTTACTCCCACCTCATCCTCTGGTCTAGCAGGCTCCCTTCTGATTCCCAACAGCAAGCCCAGAGTAAGCGCTCTACCTGGTACCTTCAGATACAGCCTACTTCCTATCTCAGGGCAGGTGGAAATGGTCAGATAGGATACTTGGGGACCAAGAGAGCCTCTGGGGGCTAAATTCAGGCCCTCCTTCTGCATAAACGAAGTGTTTCTCTGATGCAGCTATTCTATGGTAGTTTGCTATGAGTCTCAAATGGGAAATGAGGCAAAACACTCTCTGTTTGGCTTTCCTCTAAACCAATGTAAGCCCCATTCTAGAATTGCAGCCCCTTGTGGGGACAGGGACAGGGAGGAGCCATGATGCTTGGTCCCATTTGCTGCCTCCTTTGCTTCCTGCAATGCAGCAGGGCTGAAAAGGCAGTTTTTATTTTTTTCTGTGTTCTCTCCAGAGTTCGTTCTCCCTACCCAAGGCATGTGATGCCCTCTGGTCTGCCAGGCTTGGCTCTTACTATGCTAAATAGAGGCTAAGGGAACTTAGAATGGCCTTTTCTGTCTACCCAAAGCTTGGCTTTCGTGACAATTGTTTTGATGTGGACTTACAAAAGTCAGATTTATGACTCAAAGATAATCAATGGCCTCTTATTCCCTGAGGCAATGCGCTTTTTGGCTAAGCTTGGATGCTGAGGTTGTGAAGGTGCATGATTTAAGGGGGAAATGAAAATATTCAAAATGCCAAAAATACTATCCCCATTACACGCATTGGTTTTTACCGCTACAGGTGACTTCCTAGGGTGACCACCAGCCCTGGCTTTGGGGTTCAAGGACCTACTCATTCTGCTAGAACCAAGATGTGCTGGAAATGGAGAAGTTAAAAAAATGCTTTTCTAGTGGCACTATCATGAATCCAGCATTTTCCTGCCAAAAGGATAGCATTTTCCACGGGTTAAGCGAGTAACTCCACATATTTGAGTGAGCTGAAAGAAATGTTTGTTGTGTGTGTCTGGAGGCGGGGGATGGGGGGTGGGTACGTGCTTAAAAAGGGGACAAGGACGGGAGTCACATGTAGTGTGCAGGGGAAAATTGAACGTATAAGAGGCATGTGATGGGAACAAAATGGTTAAACAGTTCCCTTCTCCCCGCCCCTCCTAAGCAGCTGCATCCAAGAGGGAAGTTTGCCATGGAAACACAGGAAGTATCAGAGAGCTGGGCAACAAGGGAAGCTTTTCTTGTAGTATCCACACTGGAAGTAGCTCTCTTCCCACCAAAAAGCCTGGAGCTATATGACACTTCTCTTGGGAACAGCACAGGAAATAGAGACTAACGTCTATTTATGACAGCAAGCAGCCAGAGATGACAGTTTGCAGAACATATTTGGAGAAAGCAACCTCCTGACAAATGGATTCCATGGGGAATTTGAATTAAAAGTGAACTTTGAATAATTTCAGATGGAGAAATGGCATTAAATAATTGGCATGAAAAGTCTTGACACAGGAGAGTGACCCCTTCAATCCAGATGGTGTGAGACACAGACACAGAGGGACTCAGCAGAGGGCAACGGAAGAGCCAGATATGAAAGACAGAGGAAGGACAGCTGCAGGGGACCAGGGCAGACACTCCCCTCAGCCACATCTGGCCAATTAAAAAAAATTCTCTTAGCTGTGTAGGATTGTATGCTATTATCAGTTCTATATTGAATACCTTTTGCAATTAACTATATATTCAATTCAGCTTAACTTCTTGACATATAAATTGTATGTAGTTCTCGTTCCACAATGGGGTTTGAGTCAGTCTCAAAACATTCTTTTTTTCCTCTTTTTAAATGAAGTCTGCAGTTAAAGAACCCTCCCTGATAATGTTACATATATTTGTCATCATTGGGAGGATCTAAGTAATAAAATTTGGGTGCCAAGACTGGGCAAACCAGGACTATAGCAACTCTAATAGAAAGTAGTTGAGTGAAGCTCATTCCTACGTGGAGGTACCTTTATTTATTTATTTATTTATTTATTTATTTATTTATTTATTTATTGAAGATGGAGCCTTGCTCTGTAAACAGGCTGGAGTGCAGTGGCGCGATCTTGGCTCACTGCAGCCTCTGCCTCCTGGGTTCAAGAGATTCTCCTGCCTCAGGCTCCTGAGTAGAGGGGATTACAGGCATTCGCCACCGTGCCTGGCTAATTTTTGTATTTTTAGTAGAGATGGGGTTTCACCATGTTGGCCAGGCTGGTCTTGAATTCCTGACCTCAAGTGATCCACCTGCCTCAGCCTCCCAAAGTGCTGGGATTACAGGTGTGAGCCACCACGCCTGGCCCCATGATTTATAAAAGCAAGAAAAAAAAAAGAGAGATGAGAGAGGCTGATTGGGACATAAAATCAGAGAGAAAGAAGGAAGTGCAGTTGAGAGTGAGCACATAAAGCACAGTGTGCGTATTAACGGGTGTAGGAGAATCTGTAAAGCGATGAACAGATCTCAGAAGAAGGGACTGGTGTAAGTTGTGTTGTGCTTTTGCTTTTAGCTGAAGAAAGGAAGGCAAGTTTGGAGGAGGAAGAGGGTTGGTTGTGTAGACTTTGAGAGCACAGAAAGGTGTGTTATCTCCTGGCTCTAAGGATCAATATGCAAGTCCTCTAGAGAGAGAAATTGCTAGCAAAAGCAGAAAAAACTATGTGTCTCTGTGACCCAAGTGGAAGGGTGGAGGGGGCATTACTCCCAATGATAAACCGAATACCGTGCCTCTGCAGCATCCTGAGAGATTGCTGCTATGTAGTCTCATTAGGAGACAGCCTTGTTTTAGGGGAGCATCTGTAATCAAGGTAGTGATGAGGTACTGCCCTCAGTGACTTCCTGAGACCATCCACCATGAAGGCGTCTGGATCAGAAGAGGAAGCCTACTGTTAGCATCAATGGTGATTCATTTGTAAGCACTCATGAAACACCATCTGAGAACTTCTAGTTATAATTAGATGAAAGTTCCTAGGGAGTGGCATAAGAATGTGGGGACAGGTGTCAGTGATATTTTACTTATTCTATTAATATGCACCTTCTGTACCAGGTTCGAGAAGCTTATTATTATCCCTGTTGGGAGGGAGGCTTACCAAGGGTAAGTAATGTGTTTGCTGCATCTAAACAAGAAGTGGTAGAGCCAGGATTTAAAGCCATGTTTATCTGCCTCCAATGCTTATTCCTGGTACCACTACGCTGTACAAACTTCCAGTAGAATCCCAAAAGCTGTTAAAATAAGAGGAAAATTTAAAGGGGTAAGTCTTCAAGTCATGTGTCGGATCTTAGACAGTGAAACTTGAGACATGATAGAAAACAGTGGCTCAGGCCGGGTGGCCATGGCTCACGCCTGTAATCCTAGCACTTTGGGAGGCCGAGGCGGGTGGATTTCTTGAGCTCTGGAGTCCAAGACCAGCCTGGGCAACATGGTGAAACCCTGTCGCCACAGAAAGTACAAAAATTAGCCGGGTGTGGCTGTGCGTGCCTATAGTCCCAGCTACTTGGGAGGCTGAAGCAGGATTGCTTGAACCTGGGAGGTCAAGTCTGCAGTGAGCCAAGATGGCACCACTGCACTCCAGCCTGGGTGACAAAGTGAGACCCTATCTCAAAAAAGAAAAAAAGGAAACAGTGGCTCAACATGGAAACTAAAAATCATCTCTGGCCATGGGAGGAGGAACCTCTTCGTATCAACAAAGTTCAAACATGGGTAAGTTTACTAATAGATGTTCTTATAATCAAGTGTTAATTTGGCCAAGTTGTTAAACTTGTTTGGGTTTAATTTTCTATCTGTGAAATGAAGAGAATGAAAGCATCTGTTTTGTAGGTTCATTGAGAGAAGTCACACAAATACAGAGTGTGGTAGATTGTATTTTCCAAAGATGGCCATACAAATATACATATCTGAGTGCCACATGCATTTCTTAAATTGTAACTGACACCTTCTTATTTAATGCTGAGATTTATATTTTCTGGGTTTGGATCAAGACAGAAACTTCCATTTTTGATCAACAGATGCAGCAGAAGTGATGCTATGTGACTTCCAAGGCTAAGGCCATAGAGAGGATACAGCCTCCATCTGATTCCTCTCTCAGGACACCTGTCCTTGGAACTCAGCTGTTATGCTCTGAGGAAGCAAAATTAACTTGCATGGAGAGGCCAATATAGAGAGGAACTAAGGTCTTCAGCTGAGTGCCACCATTGTACAGTAGACACGAGTGAAGACGCTTTCAGATGATTTCAGCTCCCAGTCTTTGAATCTTCCATCTGAGACCCCAGACCGTTGTGGATCAGAGACAAGCTGTCCCCACAGTGTCCTGTCCAATTTCCTCTACAGAATCTGTGAGCATGACACATTGCTGTTTCATGCCACTGAGTTGTGGGGTAAATTCATATGTGTCCTTAGTAACTGGAACAGATTTTGATGCCATGTAAAATGGTACAAAAGAAGAAGAAGATAGCTCGGGAATTTTTGCAACTTGCTTCTTATCTATTAATTTAATTTGGTCCATTGCTAGACCAAGTACGTAAGAGTTAATTCTGTATCTAACAATTTAGTAACCAGATTGTCAGTAAAATGCAAGCAAAATTTAGAAGGACAATGATATTTTGTCCTTCTGTCTTGTATTGACAGATTCAACATGGTACTGGTTCACTTTCAGCTTCTGACAAAGGATACTTTTGTTTTCCTGGTCTCTCTCTTTTTTTTTTTTTGGTTGAGATGGAGTCTTGCTCTCTTGCCCCGGCTGAAGAGCAACGGCGCAATCTTGGCTCACTGCAACCTCTGCCTCCTGGGTTCAAGTGATTCTCCTGTCTCAGCTTCCTGAGTAGCTGGGATTACAGGCGCGCACCACCACACCCGGATAATTTTTGTATTTTTAGTAGAGATGGGGTTTCACCATGTTGGTCAGGCTGGTCTCAAACTCCTGACCTCATGATCCACCTGCCTTAGCCTCCCAAAATGCTGGGATTACAGGCGTGAGCCACCGCGCCCAGCCTTTTCTGCTCTCTTACAATTGTTTTACCTGAGCGCTTACTAATTTACTCTTAGCTAAAGTTCTCCTGTTCAGGAATGAGGAAATTCTAGTAGCCAGCTCAGAGGTGGTCAACCAGAATTCTTGTATTATAGGAGCTCATAATAATAAAACTTTATATTTATAGATGGTTTTGCACAAGGTTTTTACATCCTTAATCTCAAGTGAAGTTTACTAATGCATTTGTGTGGGCTTGGCATATAGTGGCCAGAGACTATACTGATCTAGTATGTATTTGCTGCTTCTTGCAGCTGTTGAAATATGTGATACAGTATATGCATACTAAAGATAAAGATGTACAACTAGGGGGAAGAAACAAAGAAACTAGTGCCTACTTTTGGCATCTATGTGAGAATGTTAAGAAATAGAATTCTGGGGGTAGAGTCCTATGGGGACCTGGTGAATTGGCACATGGCCAGATGCTATGTAAATACATAGCAGCCATCCCACTCTTGGAGGAGAAATAAATACTATGAGAGGGTTGGGAAGGTACAGAAGGTCATTTTGTAACTGCCAAGACCTCTGAGGGTCTAGGATTTTATCTACTTGCAAGCTGACAGGTTAGCCAGCCACAGTTTCAAGGATGCTGGTTGGAGACTTGAGACTCCCAGGTCAGAGGTAAAGGACAGTAGCCAGAGAATTAGCATTTTTGTCCTAATCCCTAAGCTCCAGTTCCCACAGGAGCTACATAATAACTGCACACTCAATGGGTTTGTTACAGAAGAGTCCCCGAACTTAGGGAATCTGAATCTTGTGTAATATACATTTAGCATGCTTGACCTTTGCTTTCAGAGAGAAACATTTTCTTTATTACACTGGACAGTAAGCATACCTGCCTTTTGCTTCAGTGGGAAATATCGCCTTTAAAATCATGGCGAAGCTGTAAGCAACCTGCTCTTTGCTTTGGAGGGAAACACACTGTCTATTATTTCCATGCTGTTTGCTATACAAATATCCTTGAAAAGATAGTTCAGAACAAAAGGCCGTCAGTACTTCTGCTTATAAGATGTGCAGAAATATTGAGAGATCCATGGAAAATTGTCTGCTAACAATAACTCCCAATCTTCAGAGGATCCAAATAAATTGCAAACCAACTATTATTGTTAGGCTAGTGATGAAGGGTCAATGACAGCCATATGCATCAGGAAAATTAGAGGGAAATGTGTACTATAACTTGAATTTACATGTTTTTTCTTCTTATCTGCACTTCAGGATTGTCTCCATCAATGGGGTAGCAAAGACAACTTTCTAACAATTCAATTTCCCTGTAGTTCAAGTCTGTCTTCTTTCTATATTGGTTTGGGGACCTGGTGGCTACCATTGAGACTCTGAGCAGCATCATTCACATTGACTCTGTGAAATAAACAGAATGGGTACTTATTCTTTCCAGCTGATGGGAAAGGACATTTACCCATGGCTGGCTTTAGGGAAAAGAACCCCATGTGATAGGCTGGTAGTGACAAATGCAGAAGGATACTAAAAAAAGCTGAGTTCCTGAGACCTGCTTAAAAGAAAAAGGGGCTTCATTGGAAGCTGCTTTGCATTAGATATGGCGTTGGTCACTCACCTGTTTTCTTCCATATCCAATCTTTACCCTTTTTCTGTTCTACTCGATTAATTACTTGCACCCTTTGTGAAGGAGAAATTAAACAAACTGCTTATTGGCTCAGCAAGATGATAAAATGAAGAAAATTTATTACCAGCAGACCCATCTAAAAGAAATGCTAAAGGAAGTAGTTAGGCTTAAGGGAAGTGATACTAGAGAAACTTGAAACTTCAGAAATGGAAGAGAATGGTAACTGGGTAATATAAAAACTGTCTGGTAATATTAATATATTAATATTAAGAACTTAATATTTTAAGTTCTTAAAATATGTATGACTATTGAAAGCAAAAGTTGTAACTTTTGGCTAGGCATAGTGTGGCTGGAAGCGGTGGCTCACGCCTGTAATCCCACACTTTGGGAAGCCGAGGCGCGTGGATCACCTAAGGTCAGGAGTTCAAGACCACTGTGGCCAACATGGTGAAACCCCATCTCTACTAAAAATACAAAAATTAGCCAGGTGTTGTGGCACATACCTGTAATCCCAGCTACTGGGGAGGCCAAGGCAGGAGAATCGTTTGAACCCTGGAAGGGGAGGTTGCAGAGGGCTGAGATCATGCCATGGCACTCCAGCCTGGAGGACAAGAGCTAGACTTCGTATATAAAAAAAAAAATTGTAACTTTGGTAGGGTTTCTCGGTATGTATATGCAAAGCATCTGACAGCTGTGACACAAACGGGAGAAGGCAAAGGGTTGCAGGACTTCCATGTTTTGCTTGTAGTGGTAAAATATTCCATCTAAATAGACTGTAAGAGGTTAGGTATGTATTTCATTATCCTTAGCGCAATCATAAAAAAACTATACAAATAGATATAGCCAAAACACCAACACATAAACTTAAGCGGAATACTAAAAAAAAATTCAAAAATAGTTAAATAAATTTTCTAGAATTGCAAAATATCGTCATTGAAATGGAAATGCAGTGCATGGTTTAATCAGCTGGTTAAAGACAGCTAAAGCAAAAAAATTTATAAACCGAAAGTTAGATATGAGAAAATTGCCGAAAATGCAGCACTGAGATAAAACAATCAATTGTATTGATAAGGAGAGACAAACATCTTTTGAAAGATTTCAGATTATATCTAAAGTGAAATAATTGATGAACAGTGTAATCATTTATCAGTTAATATTCAGTTTCATAAAAGTCAATTGACCATTCACATTAAAAAAATGTTGTAACATATTTGTTGACGCCTGCAGATTTAGACCCTCTGCTCAGGACCAGGTTTTACTTCTGCATCTGTGCATTCATATACCACTAGAAGGTGAAAACATGGTTTGGGGTCTGTTTTGAAGTATGAGGAGAAGTTGGTTAGGGTGCTTGCCAAAGTGCCCTCATCCTTGTGGGCACAAACATCCACTGCTACTGATTTGAAGAAAGTGGTTCTGTAATTTCTACATCCACCTGCTGCAAACTGCAAAATTCCTTGGCAACACTTTCAATTCCCTTAGCAACTCAAGGTGCATGAGTCACTAGGCTGAAAGTGGAGCTCAGCCAAATCTTGGTGGGATCATAGAAACCCGCTCCCTGCTTGCTTTCTCGAGGGAGCTTCCTACTGGGAAGCAGCAGAGGTGCCCCTGGGCCTGACAGTTCCCTGTGGACATGCGGAGGGAGGCTGTTCTTAAAATGTCACTGAAAACAGAATTTGGCAGCAATGGGGACTTAGCGATCAGCTCTACTTCACCTTAGAGAATAAGAATCAAGGTTGTGCAATATTAGTAGATTACATGCTAGTCAAATAATAACAGATCCTGTAGTAATAAATGTAACAACTTTACTATTTATCTGTCTAGGTACTGTCTTCTTTAATCCTTTCAACAGGTCTAAATGGCAGGCATGTTTATTCACATTTCACAGATGAGGAAACTGAGGCTCAAGAAAAGATGAAGTCAAAATTCTATCACAGACTTATCTAGCTCCAAGGCCTCTCTATTACCACTGTGCTGTCTCCTAGGTAATTCGCAGTATTATTGACGACTGTGGATGTGTGAATCGATAATGCTATCTATTCAAAGTGTATATGATATACACATATACACACCTATATAGGCACTTTTAAATTATATCCATAATGAAAGACGGCTTTGTTAGAGTGAGACATAACCCAATATGGAAACTCACCATTTTGTATGTCTTAGATTCACTTTGCTGGACATCTTCTTACTTAAGGGCCCCTTGCCTAGTGAAGGGGAGTCTATGACCAGCTTTAGAAAATAGGGTTAGGTTATCAAATGTCCATCAATGATAGACTGGATTAAGAAAATGTGGCACATATGCACCATGGAATACTATGCAGCCATAAAAAAGGATGAGTTCATGTCCTTTGCAGGGACATGCATGAAGCTGGAAACCATCACTCTAAGCAAACTATCACAAGGACAGGAAACCAAACACAGCATGTTCTCACTCATAGGTCGGAGTTGAACAGTGAGAACACATGGACACATGGTGGGGAACATCACACACCGTGGCCTGTCAGGGGGTGGGGGGCTGGGGGAGGGACAGCATTAGGAGAAATATGTAATGTAAATGACGAGTTGATGGGTGCAGTAAATGAACATGGCACATGTATACCTATGTAACAAACCTGCACGTTGTGCACACATACCCTAGAACTTAAAGTATAATAAAAAAAAAGAAAAAAAAAGAAAAAAAAGAAAATAGGGTTAGGTTATATTCACTACCCTTTCTGGTAGTTATAGTTTTGTTGGTCAAGCTTTTGGTATAGGCACTGGAAATTGTTATTGGTTTATTTGGGAATAAGTGAGTGTTAATTTTACACACACACATGCAAAATACATTATCATTATTTCAGATTTTACATAGCGAAATGAATCACCGGACAGCTGAGGTTATCTATTCACCCTAGAGCCTTCTCAAGAGCATGCCAGCAGATGATCATGAACCTATGAGTCCTCCAGAAAAAAACAGGCCCTGCTGGGGCTCAGCAGCTAGAGGATCAGGTCCTGGAAGGGCCTTATACGCAATCATAGAGCACAAGGATGCCTTCATAGTGTGTTTTAGGAGGTTCTGAGGTTCTGAAAGGCCTTCTTTGTGATACAACACATTTAATTAGACCAACATTTGCCATAACCAGTTTGTGTCCAGTAATGCGTCAGGCTCTGGATGTACAAAGATAAAGAAGTCAAAGTCCATGGCCTCTCAGCTTTCCCCATCCAGTTTGAAAGGAGGACAGGAAAGAAAATAGTGGCGCTGTAACAACAATCAGGGTTGCATGTGAAGCTCTATGAGGACATATATGTGCGTATAATTAATGCTGTAAGATGGGAAGGTAAGAGAAGAAAGTCAGCAGAAGCTGTAAGAAGATATTTAGGTTGGATGTAATGGCCGAGTTAGAATGCAGCAGGGTTATGAGGGCACAGGGCATTGCAGCCAGAGGGAAGTGTGGGAGTAGAGCTTTGAGAGCCGAGCCTGGGAGGCTTTGAAGAGTCACGGGATGGAGACTGGAAAGGTGCAGAGGGCCACATCACAAGGAATGTGGCTTTATCCTGTTGGCTATAGTTAGCCAACATCAACCAAACTGGGACACTTTTGAGAGTAAAAGGAGGTGCTAAAAATAAGTGGAACTTAATCTTTTGAATATTTATTGACCATCAAGTTGACTCTATTAAAAACTTTTTGAAAAAAAAATCTTTTTTTTTTTGGAGATAGAGACTCCTTCTTTCTCCCAGGCTGGAGAGCAATGGCACGGTCTTGGCTTCCTGCAAACTCTGCCTCCCGGGTTCAAGTGATTCTCATGCCTCAGCCTCCCAAGTAGCTGGGATTACAGGTGCGCACCACCATGCCCAGTTAATTTTTGTATTTTTAGTAGAGATGGGGTTTCACCATGTTGGCCGGGCTAGTCTCGAACTCCTGACCTCAAGTGATCTGTCCACCCCAGTTTCCAAAGTGCTGGGATTACGGGCATGAGCCACCACGCCCAGCCTGAAAAAAATTCTTAAAATATAAAAATATTGCCTGGGCACAGTGGCTCATGCCTGTAATCCCAGCACTTTGGGAGGCCGAGGAGGGTGGATCACCTGAGGCCGGGAGTTTGAGACCAGCCTGACCAACACGGTGAAACCCCATCTCTACTAAAAATACAAAAAACTAGTCGGGCATGGTGGCATGCGCCTGTAGTCCCAGCTACTCCGGAGGCTGAGGCAGGAGAACCGCTTGAACCTGGAAATCTATAAGTTGCTTTGGACAGTATGGTCATTTTAATGATACTGCTTCTTCCTATCCATGAGCATGGAATGTTTCTGCATTTGTTTGTGTCATCTCTGATTTCTTTGAGAAGTTTTTTGCGGTTCTCCTTGTAGAGATCCTTCACCTTCCTAGTTAGCTGTATTCCTAGATATTTTATTCTTTTTGAGGCAATTGTATAGGCACATATTTTAATCTATTTCTTATCTAAATCTATCCTTAATATCATGCCATTAGTATCTTTCTGAAGAATATATGTATTTTCAATATAATCTTATTAAAATGTTCTAATAAAATTGAGTAATAGTCAAAGCTATATATATATATATATATATATATATATATATATATATATATGTTTTTTTTTTTTTTTTTTTTTTTTTTTTTGAGAGAGGTAGTCTCACTGTGTTGCCCAGGCTGGAGTGCAGTGGTGCAATCTCGGCTCACTGCAACCTGTGCCTCCTGGGTTCAGCCTTCCATGTAGCTGGGACTACAGGCGCATGCCACCATACCTGGTTAATTTTTTGTATTTTTTTTTTAGTAGAGATGAGGTTTCACCATTAGCCAGGATGGTCTTGATCTCCTGACTTCGTGATCTGCCTGCCTAAGCCTCCCAAAGTACTGGGGTTACAGGCATAAGTCACCACTCCCGGCCTCAAAGCTCTATTTTATGGTAAATAAATTAGAATGTTTGATGACTCCAATGAATTATTCTCTTTTTTTTTTAAATTAAGAAAATACTTTCCCTTCAGAAACTGAAGCATATTCAAAATAAATTCTGCTCGATGTAGGATATTCGCAATGAAAAAATTTTTTTATATTAAAATGTGTAAACATCTCAGGTTGTTTCCCCCCTCTATTCAGTGTATTTTTATTCAACAAATGTTTTTATAAGACAAAAACTCATCAAATAAGTCATCTGTGTTTATGATGTTTTTGAAGTTTTGCCAAATATAAATGTTATAAAATTATAAGTTTTTTTATTCTACTCCAGAACAGAATATAAATTTGTTGAATTAAAAATAGTTGCTCTGTCAAATGATCTCCCTAAAAGTAATATATTCTGAAGAACAATTATCAAATTTGAAAACAGAAACTTGTTTACCCTTTAAGCCCTTTTCATTTGATATGTTCAGTTCCTCCCTTGTATTAGGAAGAATAAATTTCAATGTCTTTATTGTTATAAACCTTATTTTTAGTAACCAAAATTTACTAAAAACTTCAACACTTTTTTGTTGTTTTATTTATGGAGTACTTTTATTAAAGAGTTCCAACTAATTTTGAACAAAATGCAACCATAATTTAGAGGACTTTTTAATTTAAAAATTCAATTCCATTGTAGGACACTGGGGTTAATATAAAAAATTCTTCAATGGCTCAAACATTTTTTTTTTTTTTTTTTTTTTTTTGAGATGGAGTTTTGCTCTTGTTGCCCAGGCTGGACTGCAACTGGGCAATCTCAGCTCACTGCAACCTCCGCCTCCCAAGTTCAAGCAGTTCTCCTGCCTCAGCCTCCCGAGTAGCTGGGATTACAGGCACTTGCCACCACACTTGGCTAATTTTTGTATTTTTAGTAGAGATGGGGTTTCGCCATGTTGGCCAGGCTGGTCTTGAACTCCTGACCTCAGATGATCTGTCTGCCTCAGCCTCCTAATGTGCTGGGATTAGAGGTGTGCGCCACTGCGCCTGGCCCCCAGGCTCAAACATTTCTAATATTCAGTTGATTGTAGGCATCAAGAAAAAGAAAGTTTGTATTGCAGTATTGAATTTTTTTTTGTCTTCAGCATGTGTCATCCTAAATTTTATGTAGTTAAACCACTTATATATAGAAGTGATTTAAGTATACCTATATATGTAAAGTTTGATAATTATAGTTTTTATTTTGAATGGTAGAATATCACAGCTCGTATTAACCGACTTATGAATTACATGTACACCACAACCAATTCCAAGTAGAGCTCTGCTCCATAGTTTCTATGTTTTTAAGTTTTGTGAGATCATTGTTTTTACTACGATGCTGGGCTCCACCAAAATTTCTAATTGTTTTATCACAACAACAAAAGTTTTAACTGAACTTAAAATAGCATTCACAAAATGTCAGATGTTTCAACTATGCCAGAATGGGCTATATTTTTATTTCATAAATCATTGAAAAGAATAGAAGTATTTTTATAATTAAGTGATTTTCAATTTGAAGCTGAAGACTGCTGTAAAACTTGTACTACTTAACCATTTTATCAGGGAAGATAGTTCTCTTCAACCAAGCACAGAGCTTTGGCAAGGATGTACATGGGGCAGTGAGGGAGGAAGGGCACAGCCACATAGCCAGCCGGGTTGGCAGCCACATCAACCTTGGTGATCAATATGGTGACAGATGTTGTGAATAGATCACCCTCACATCCACCATTTAACTATTTTAGAAGTTTTTCTTCTGCTAATGGAGATAACACCTTGATAATGATCACTTTATTTTCAGACTCGCACAAGGAAACTTGGAATAAAAAATGAGTAAAGTTAATTTAGAAGATGCATTTGATCTAAATAAAAAGTCATGCTTCACAATGTGATGTGTGTATTTTCTATAGCTGCACATGTGAAATCACCATCTTTGGGCACAGCCTTCTCTTGACTGTTAGAGGAGTTTCTGATATTTCTTCATATTTGTGTCTTCTGGTTTTCATTGGGCCAATAATATCAGTAGCTCAAGTGGTAGATGGTAATTCTCAACAAATATTTGGTATGAGTTACTCTTTCATTGTCAATACTTTTGAGAAGTGGCAAGTCAGCCAGGTGTGGTGGCTCACACCTATAATTCCAGCACTTTGGGAGGCTGAGGCAAGAGGATTGCTTGAGCCCAAGAGTTTGAGACCAGCCTGGGCAACATAGGGAGACCCTAATCTCTAAAAACAAACAAATAAACATTAGCCGGCCGTGGTGGCATGTTCCTGTCGTCCAAGCTACCTGGGAGGCTGAGGTGGGAGGATCACTTGAGCCCAGGAGTTCAAGTCTGTAGTGAGCTGTGATCATACCACTGCACCCCAGCCTGGGTGACAGAGTGACACCTTCTCTTAAGGGAAAAAAATAAGAAGGAAAAATCTGTCCTAATTTTTTATAAAACTTGAATTTTTTTTTCTTTTAAGCTTATTGCTGCTGAATGGTTTATTGTAAAATAAAAATGCATTGACAATAAAATATATTTATTTTATCTTAATAATTATGTATGGTGTAAATCTATAAGTATTTATAATAAAATCTGTATTTATGTATGATATTTCATATGTAAAAACATTTATTATATATGCATATTTATAGATTTTCACTATACAATAGTTGAAACTTTGTTTTAAACACACTGTTACTGGCTTGAAAAGATGATAAACTTGTAGAGTAGGACCATTCAGACTATTCTGTATAGACTCTGACAGGATTGGTCAATCTCTATTCCTTGTACATATTTTACTTATGTTTCTACCTGATTAACCACCTGTCACCCTGGTGACTAGGTGCACCTGGAAGGCATTGCCATTGGACTAGAAGGAGCTTACTGATCCTACCCAATTATATCCAAGTACACTTCAACTTATGAACGAATTATGAGTGAATAACCCTATATGTTGTCCTTGGAAGGGAAATGTAAACTAAGTTGGATCTTGAAAGGGTAGAGGAAAGAGAGTTGGTTTATCACTGTTATCTTTTAGCTATAATCAAATGTCAAAATAAGAAATCTATTTATTTTACATGCTTCTCACACAGTACCAGAAGAGACTATGGCAGAAGCTGGAAATAAATATAAAGTAGAGGTTCATGAAATATACCTTGGCTTATTTTAATACATATATAGGTGTTATTACTTTATTAAGAAATAAAAACCAGGACAAGTGCTAAATGAGAGGGGACCCCAGGACAAGAAGCATAAGCCAAGATGGCCTTGGGCAAACTGGAATATATGGTTTCCCTAAGCTTAGGGTATTATTGCAGGTTTTAAGTAATGAAGTTATATAATTAAACATAACTTTATAGGGATAAAGTTGGAACTCTTATGGCAATGAGTTGTATTGATTATGATAGAATAATTTTTAAAGGGAGATTATTTTAGAGATTTTGGCCACAATAAATCATTATCTGCTTTTAAATACTTTAATATAGTTAATTTATTGTGTGATTAGTGTTGCCTAAAACCTAGAGAAACTAGAGAATACAATTGAAAAGAAATGTGACCCAGAACAGGAGTGTTTCAACAAGGTTCAAATGAGCTGGAAATAGAATATGGAATATGGAATATTCTCACAGATGTCAGAAAAATGATCTGTGTCATGGATTGCTAGTTGATCCCTGTCTTGGTCTGTGCTGCTATAACAAAATACCGAAGACTCGATAATTTACAAGTAACAGAAATTTATTTCTCATAATTCTGGAGACAGGGAAGTTCAGGCCGAGGTGTTGGCAGGTTCAGTGTCTGGTGAGGGCTGCTGTCTGCTTCCAAGGGGGCACCTTGTTGTTGAGGATGAATGCTGTGTTTTCACATGGCAGCAGAGATGGACAGGAGCAAACTCACTCCCTCATACCATCTTACAAGGGCTCCAATTCTATCCATGATGGCTTTGCCCTCATGACTCAATCACCTCCTAAAGGCTTCACCTCAATACCATGGCATTGATGATTAAGTTTCAGCATGAATTTTGGAGGAGACACAAACATTCAAACCATAGTCATCCCTAGTAGCCATTACCTGAATGATTCTTATTTTTTTGAAGTCCTGGTTTTCAGCTGGGCATATGTTTGCTCGATCTCCCTTGCAGTTTGATGTAGCTATTTAAGCTCCGACAAATAAATGTCATCTGGAGTGTCATGCATAATTCCTGTAAGTGTCTTTAAAGAGAGGGAGAATGTCCCCTCTCTTTCTCTTTCTTGCTGTCTGGAACGCAGACATGATGGCAGAGCTTATGTGGCCAACCTCAATCCTGACGAGGAAATTAGGTGCTAAGAATGGTCGAGCATCAAGAGAGAAAAAAAAAAAAGCATCAAAAGAGAAAGAGTTTGGGTCCCTGCATCCTGTAGCCATTACACTGGCCCTGAAGAGCTTCTCTCTCAATTTCTTTCACATGAGAAAGAAATAAAATTCTAACTTGTTTAAGCCACTATCACTTTGGGTTGTCAGTCACATCAGCAGAACTTAATTTTAACTTGCTTGAGCAGCTTACACAGTATAATGTTCACTTATAAAACAGTCAGACAAAACATTCCCTATTTTATCTTTACAACAGCCTTTTAGTTAAGCAAGGCAGGTGAAAACCCCTTTTACCAAGGAAAAAAATAAGACTTAGAGAAGATAACCACTTTACTTAAGGTCACAGAGCTAGATAAGGATAGCTGCAATATAGAATTTGAGGCCTTCTTACTCTATATTCAGTGGCCTTGTTAAATGTGGAGTTGGCACAGCCGTGGTAAGTAAAAAGAGGTTTGTTAGGGGAAGAGAGAAGTCATAAAAGATTAATTTTCCTGGGGTCTGACATAAAGGAGGGACAGTGCTATGGCTTGAATGTCCCCTCCAAAACTTGTGTTGAAACTTAATTGCCAGTATGATAGCATCAGGAGGTGAGGTCTTTAGGAAGTGATTGGGTCATAGGAGCTTCACCTTCATGAGTAGATTAATGCAGTTATGTTGGGAGTGACTTAGTTATTATGGGAGTGGCTTTGTTGCAAGAACCAGTACTCTCTCACATGCATTTCTCTTGCCTTCCATTTATTCATCATTGGATGGCCCTTGTCAGATGCCAGAACCATGCTCTTGGACTTCCCAGCCTCCAGAATTTTGTGCTGAATGAACTTCTTTTCTTTGTTCATTGACTGGTCTCTGATATTCTGTTATAGCAACAGAAAATGGACTAAGACAGAAAATTGGTGCATAAGTAGAATTGTTGCTATAACAAATAACTGAAAATATGGAAACAGCTTTGGAACTAGGTAATGTTTAGAGGCTGAAAGGATTTGGAGGAGCAAGCAAGCTAAAGCCTAGACTATCATAAACAGAACATTAATGGTGATTCTGGTGAGGGCTCAGAAGAAGACCCCAGAACTAGGGAAAGTCTGAATTTTCTCAGAGACCACTTAAGTGATCGTGACCAGAAAACTGGTAGAAATATGAGTAATAAAGGCCATTCTGCTGAAGCCTTGGATATAAATGAGAAATAAAGTATTGGAAACTGGAGTAAAGGCCATCCTTGTTATGAAGTAGCAAAGACCTTGGATAAATTGTGTTCATGTCCTAGGACTTTATGAAATACATAAGAGCAATGACTTAGGATACCTGGCAGAAGAAATATCTAAGCAGAAAAATATTCAGGCTGCTGCATGGTTACTATTAACCACATAAAATAAGATATAAGAGCAAAGAAATGACCAGATAGAATTTATAATTAAAAGGGAATCACAGAAGAAAGATGTGGAAAATTTGAAGTCTGGCTATGTAAAGGGTTAAAAAGCATGTTTGGGAGAGAATACTAAGAGTATGGCCAAATGATCATTTGCTAAAGAGAGTAACATCGATAGAAGGGAGCCAAGTGCTATTCATCAAGAAAATGGGAAAATGACCCTGAAGGCATTTTAGAGATATGTGAGGCTGTCCCTCCCATCGCAGGCCCGGAGATCTAGAAGGGCAGAAGAATTTCAGGGAAACAGCCCAGGGTGCCTTCCATGAGCTTACTGCTCAGAGCCACCTCAGGTTTCTGCTCCCTAAATTTTTGACACAGCATCTCTCAGGTATACAAGCTATGGCTCAAGTGGGTTTATGTGTGGCTTGACCCACTGCCCCAGAAGGTACAAGAATGTAAACCTTGGGAGTCTTCATATGATGCTAATTTTGTAGGCATGCAGAATGCAAGAGCTGTGGGGGAATGACTACCTTCCTCTAGGTTTCAAAGGCTATCACAGCCTGGAGGACCAGGCAGAAACCTGCCACAAGAGCAGAGCTGCCACACAGAGCCCCCACTAGGGTAATGCCTAGTGGAGCCATGGGAGTGGGGCCACCATTGATATCCTAACATTATAAAACTACCAGTGTGCAACACCAGCCTAGGAGAGCCGTGTGGGCTGAGCCCAGCAAAGCCACAGGGATGGGGCTGCCAAAGGCCTTAGGGGGCCAATCCCCACACGGTGTATCAAAGAAGTGGGACGTGGGGTTGAAGGAGATTATTCTGCAGATTTCAGGTTTAAGACTTGTTGGGTTTTGGACATACCTGAGACCAGTTACCACTCTTTGACTGCTGATTTCTCCCTTTTGGAATGGGTATGTGTATCCTATGCCTATTCCACCACTGTGTTCTAGAAGTAGATAACTTGTTTTGATTTCACATGTCACAGCTGGAAAGGAATATGCATGCCTTTAGTCTCACCCGTACCTAATTTAGATGAGACCTTGGACTTAGGACTTTTGAGTTGGTGCTGGAACGAGTTAAGACTTTTGGGGCTATTGAGATGGAATATTTGAGATGGAAATGAATTCTGGGGGACGAAGGGTAGAATAATGCTTTTAATTACCCCTCCAAAACTCACGTTGAAATTTAGTTACCATAGTAACAGTATTAAGAAGTGGGACCTTTAGGAAGTGATTAGGTAATGGGAGCTTTCCCCTTGTGGATGATGATCTCAGGAGTGGGTTAGTTATGGGAGTGGCTTCATTATAGAAGTGAGCTTACCTGAATGAGCTTCTCTTGCCCTCTGCCTTGTGTTGACCCCCATCAGACGTCAGCACCATGCTCTCAGACTTCCCAGTCTCCAGAACCATGAACTGAGTAAACTTCTTTCCCTTATAAATTACCCAGTGGTATTCTGTTACAGCCATAGAAAATGGACTAAGACAGGCAGCAATCAGATATATAAAAGTCGAAGGGTTTCCTCAAAGTGATACAGCTTAATATCTGATCTGCTTAACATATTGCTGAATAAAAGTGCCTTTGTTGCTCTTGTCATGGCTTCTTTTAGTATTCTGAGACCCTAAAGCATAGTATCATGTCATGTCATTGTAGGCAAAGGGGAACCTTATAAAAGCCTTTTAAATTATTGAGGTGATAAACTTTTTGTATCACAAAGCATTGTGTTTATTTTTTAAGTGCTCCTTTATTAATATGTACCTGTTACAGTAGCAGTCACATTTTTTACCTTGAGAGACTGAGTGAATGAGTAGGTATGAATCAATTGCTAGTTGCACTAGTATCAAACCCAGCTAAACTAACGTGTGTTAATTTAATAGTGGGCTGGAGGATCTAAAAATTCAATACATTATTTTTTAGAGGAATTTTTAGCTACCTCTTTTATAGGCTCCAATAACCTGAAGATAGATGCTGGTTTATATTTGTGTTTTATTTGTTATTTTAGAATACCAATTTGATAGAGTTATGGGGTTAATTCTCTACAACATGAAGGCAATTATTTTCATTACCAGTAAAATTTATTTTGAAAAATTTGTAAGTTCAAACTGAAGGGTTTGCTTGGAGGCAAAGTTTTCATGAACTCTAAGATAATTATATGTTTTTAATATTCCAGAAGCCAAAGGGTGGAAAGGAACAAAACGACATCAAACGTTAAAGTCTTCTCAGTATTTAATGGAATATTACAGGGTTTCTTCAAGGTCCCTTTAACATGCAGTTGCAAAATGTGGTAACTATGTAAATTCAGCAATCAGTGGCATAGAAAATATTCATTTTGCACTGACACTTAGGATGCCAGCTCATAAACTGAGCTTCTAGGATTCTGTCAATGCTTGACCATGCCAGCAGGTCATATAAACCCACTGATAATTAAAGTAGAGAAAGCACAAAAAGTAAAAGTAAATGAAAATTTTCTAATCTTGCAAAACATGTTAATAGATACATTTTGTAGCAAAATTTTTGACATGTTGGAAAGAATACTTAACTGGGCGGTGCCATTATTCCTCTTTTGAAATATATCATGCTAAATATGTCCCTTGTGCACTATAAAATCACCACATATCCGTTTTGTAAGGCAGTCCTGAAAGAGTTAAAAGTTCCTCTAGAGAAGTCTAGAGGCTATAGTTAATTATTAGCAAGCTCTCTTTTTATTATATATATTTTAAGATTTAACAAAGCCACTCCTCATATTTTCCTGTGATCAAAAGGCATAATGATTTGATGCCTCTGAATGCTGATGGTGTCCTGTGGGGACATAGGATTCTAGGACTTCCAATTCTATCATGTATTTTTCATGTATCCTCAAAGACTACATTGTGAGTTTCGATGTCTGTTAGTATTTGCAACACAGGGCACTGAAAAATCACCAAAATTACCTAATTCTAAGTTTTCTTTCTGTTATAAACAACTCTGAGAAAATACTGTTTTACTATAAGGAACTTAGGAAGTTACTCTTAGACATGTGTTGATATTTACAAATTATGGCAATGAATGATAATGATTGAAAGATTATTTTTAAATTTTAGAGCAAACAGCTTAAATGGTCCTAAGAGACTGGAACTTTTACATAAAGTGGTTTGAGGAAGGTAATTTCCAGAGGAGAAACACTCTGAACTTAAAATAGAGTTAGAGTATTGGTTACTTTCTAGTTCAGCCAATTGGACCTGGTCAGTATGAAAATGACATAGACATCAAGATTTGTTTTTGTATTCTGTGGGAATCTTCCAAGTTCCTTAGTATCTACTGAACATCTGCTGCTCTTTGATTCCAGGGTGTGCAGACTGCAGTGATGTTTTTGTCATGGTATGCTCAATGAGGGCCTCCTGGGGTTGGGTATAGTAACTTGGCCATGCCCAAAATGCGCCTGAGGTGTCTTGACACTTCAACATGACAAAGCTACGGAGATTCTAGTGGCATGCTCAGAGATTATTCTCAGGGTTGTTCCAAAATAACATGATGGCATCTGGAACCATCTGGAGGGAGGGTGGTGCTTCTGAGGAGTGTTAGTGTAGGAAGAAAGTCCCAGCTTGAGTTTGTTTCTTTCTATGAAGTTGAGAAGAAAACAGCATTTTCAGTTCTCTGCCTTTTCTTCTCATGTGACATGATGCATAGATGTTTGTTCAAATGGATATTTACAAATGATGACAATGAATGATAATAATTGAAAGATTTTTTTTTAATTTTAGAGCAAAAAGCTTAAATGGTCCTTAGAGGCTAGAACTGTTACATAAAGTGGTTTGAGGAAGGTAATTTCCAGAGGAGAAATACTCTGAACTTAAAATAGAGTTATGGTATTGGTTACTTTCTAGTTCAGCCAAATAATAGTTGCCAAAAAAACTTAAAGATTTATAATAAAGATTTTTTTTTTTTTTTTTTTTTGCCAATCCTCTTCATTGCCTCCCCCTCAAAAATAAGGAAAGGAGAACAGCTAGATAATTGCAGCTGCTGGAAAATTTCAGGTGATTACCACAGTGCATTACAATCCTTCCAAGGCAGAGGTGAAAGGGACAAGGAATCAGGTGGTGATGTGTGAAATGCTCTGAGGTCTTCTCCAAATAGTGCCAAGCAGATAGGGTTAGTTGGGAGGCTGAACATGTCCATTCAGTCTTGGGAACTGGAGCTGGAGTTTCTCTGTACTTCTTTCAGACACCCAAGGGGCTGAGGATTGTCATCTATGAATATGATGCCAGGAAAATTTCTAATCACCACAAAAACCAATATTTTTCCCCTTTATATTTATAAAATGGTCATCTTTAACATGCTGATAGAAATATGTCAAAAGCTCTGAGGTTAGAGGGGCGTGCTTTGCCCGGGTGCTGTCACTTGGTGACCCTGTACGCCTCTGCTCGCCAGGCTGTTGAATTTTTCCTATCATTCACCTTGGCCTTCAGAGTTAGTTGTGCCCTCCTCTATGCTCCTGAAGCACTTACTACTCTGAATAGCCACAGTCTATTTTTTATCTGTGTCTCTCCTATTGGATTATGAGCTTCTTGAGATCAGAGACTTTTTTCTTATTTATCTTTGTATAAATTATAAATGTTTGGTAGTGTCTAGTGTGCTTAAGACATTGTTGGTTTAAATAAATAAATAGATTACAGCTTTAATACTATTGTTTCAGGGTAATCCTTTAATACAGTTTATAATTTTATTTACAAAGCAATAGAATTATCATAGAAATTTTAGAAAATAGAGCTGAAGAAAATAAAATCACCTATTACATCACTGTTAGGATGACCGCTGCAAACATCTTGATATATATCCTACCAAGCTTTTTTCTAGTATGTGACTATAGATTTAAAAACAGGAGAAAGAAAAATGGTATTATATGACACACACTCTCTTATAAGCTGCTTTAAAAAATGCCATTATACTGTGAATGTTTTTCCATATCACATATTCTTCTATGACAGTGCTTTTAATGATTCTAAAATGTACCACAATTTATGTGATCATTCTTCTATTGTTGGACATTTATGTGGTTTCCAATATTTTGCACCTACAAAAACTGCCACAATGAACATCTTTGTGTGCATCCCTGATGACTTCCTCAGAATAAATTCCTCGTAGTGGAATAGCAGGCAGAAGGGCATATGCATTTTTAAGGTATTTGGATTACATTACAAAGTTGTAATAATTTATATTCTCTACAATGACATATGACAATTTCCATTTATCTGAATGCTTGCCATGAATAGGTGTTATAATATACATGTCAAAAATTGTCAATCTAACAGTCTAAAAACCACATAAAAATCAACGTGATAAAATGGTCTATCACCAAAGTCTCGCATGAAGGCCTAATATTGTTGGAAAATGGTTGTGTGTGTGGGGGAAAGGGTTAGCTTAAAATCTGTTGAAGGTATAGCTACTGGCAATGAGGAAATAGGATGGATGGGGCTGGAGTTGTGAGGTATAGGGAGCAAAGAGAAAGACAGAGGACACCCCTGGGAAGTTCAGAACCTGAGTGGCGGTGACTATGGTGATGCCATTTCAGAGCCCAAGGAAAAACTGTCCAGTCAGAACAGAGAACAATTCAGGTCAGGACTCAGGGACTAGAGAAGAGGCAGGACATGCCAAGCATTGAGAAGTCAAGGAAAGACTAAGAATGTATGAAAGAGAAAGTAAGTCTGGGAGAGAAGGTTTTAGAAACCCACACGAGTTGAAAGTGAACGTTGGATCAAAGTTCCTGAACGGGTGGAATGTTGACATTGTTTGGGAGACCATGAAAGGAGAGATGACCTTTTCATCAGAATCAGTCAAAGCTGGTTTAGAGTTTTGGCTTTGCCACACAATGTGACCTTGAGTAAGGCACAGAGGTTGTGTGGTCTCAAGTTTCTCCCTCATTAAAAAAAAAGGGGGGGAGGAATTTAACAGTTTGGTTAAAAGGGTCTCTAAGTAAGGCTTCTTCCAGCCCAGAAATTCTCTGCTTCTATTTTAAATGAAAACAAACCGGACTTTGGGATTTGTTTCTTGGACTGTGGGAAGGGGGCAGTCTCTATTGTGCAACCATGGATTTAGCCTATATTTAGATTCATGCTTTGGGATTATTACTTCTGACAACAAGTCATCCTGCAGAAGTCCACTAATAATTTGAAATAAGGACTCTGTGTTTCAAAATTCTGAACTGTGATACTGCTTCAGTTTATTTGAATGAACAGTGGTGATATAATCAGCTGCAAATATTTCTTTTCTATCCAGGACATCTGCCATGTTTGACTCGTAACAGCAATCCATAAATGTGGAAGGCTGCGCCATCAAGCATTCTTATTTCTCTGTAGGTCTTGTCATTAATGAGAACTTTGGTTGAGTTGAAAGGGACTGGAAATCTGAGGAAAGCATGGGACTAAAACCCCAACAAATGTAAGCAATAGCTGCTTAATTTGAAGTGACACTTTTCTGTGTTTGACATTTTTGGCACTGCAAGCTGGGATGTTTGCCACTGGAAAGTCAAAATGCCTGCAAAAACAAATGCCCAGTTTTCAGATATCTGGTCTGTATCATTTATTTTTAATACTAAATGTGACATAGTGTAATGTTCTATCGATTAAATTAAACTGCACGAGTGAGGGAGATAGAATTTCAATCGAATTCTTAGATGAAAAATGAGCTGCCTGTCGTAGAATTTTCCTGGCAATCGTCTAACATCCTGATAGATATTGGCTGGCTCCACTGAAACAGCTGCAACCTTGCAGCCATCAAGCTATGCCTAAACAAGGGGCACCCCCATTCAGGAGAAAAAATGTCTTGGGCCTTTAAAGAAGAGGGAAAGGATTTCTTGGTTAGTCGGGAGCTTTACAGATTGATTTTCCCCCTCCATGATTGACATCTTCTTCTTGGAGACTTTGTGTGTTTTTTTGGTGAAGTCATTATGAGATGCTACACAGCTGCGATGTATGTTTAGAAGAGGCACTCTGCATTCAGTCCTACCGCCCTTCCCAATTGCCTATGAAACAAGAAAGTCTATTCATGTTGCTATCTGCTGTTTAAAGAACATTCATGTGTCTCAGGCTGGTGTAGTCCAAATATGATGCGGTAGGAAGGTGTTAGCAAAATTCAAGATCCTAAGGAGACATTTCTGGTGGGATAACAACAGTCTGACGAGGAGCTACATTTCCTGTCTTAGCATGATTTATATTGTTCCTTGCCCCCACGATGCGGAACAAGAATAACATTTTTACAAGAGACCTATATTTCTGCACAAAGAAGGGTGAGGGTGGGTGGCGTGAGAATCTCCTTGGTGATGCTTTGTCTGGAAATTCCTCCTTCTTATTTGGCAACTTAGAGAAACTGGGAGGCAGGGATGTTGAGAGAAATATGACAGGGTAAGACCATTTGGGGCCCAGCAGATGTGCTCAATTGAAGTAGGACATTGCAACCCATGAGGTCAGTGACCTTGTAGCTATGCAGCCAGGGCATAGTTCCCTAGAGAATGACAAAGGCTTGAGATCTGTCCTTTAAGGATGGATGGTCAAAGGTGAAATGCAGCCTGGAGAATCCAGACTGGGAGTGCCACAGGAAGGGAGCACTATGGGTCAGCAAGGCCTGGGAGACAATGTGCTTGCCTGGAACCGGAGCTCAGCACAGGTAGATGCAGTGTATAAAGTGCGAGAGACAATCAGAGGAGGTGTGAGTTTCCCTCGGAGGATAGCAAGGAGGGGCTCTTTCAGCAGTATAAAGCAATGTATGAACTGTACAGGCAAAGAGACAAAGACAGATGGAATATACAAAAATATAACCCGTAAATAGCAACAGTGGTGGCAGGAACAACTAGAACAGTCAGCTCCATGCATTGGAAACTGAGCTTAAATAAATTCGGAAGGAATAAACTATTAGAAACATGGACTCCAGAGAAAAGATGGTGCAAAAAAACCCAAAAAACCAAAACCAAAACAAAAAAACCCCCCACAGAATAGATTATGTCTTAGCTTTATAATAGAATACTATGAAGTCATTGTAAAGAATACATAGATTTATTTGCTTTCCTATGAATGTCAGATATATACTAAGTGAAAACATTATGTCCCAGACAGTGTACTCTGATCAATTTGTGGGAAAAAACTGTATATATACATAGGTATGTGCATGAATATGTTTGTGTTTATATGCATTTATGTCTGTAATATTTTTCTATGCATATTTACATGTATGTGATATATGGCACATTTTTAGAAGTTTTTGTAAATCTTCTAGTAGTTTTAGGAAACAATTCAGAGAGGGTCAAGTTGAGATGGGGGAAAGATTAGAAGAGAATATGAAAACAGAAACTTTAACTTTATCTCCTTGTACACCGTTGGCATTTTTTTCTTTTTACACTAAGTGTATATTACTTTAGTAATGATAACAATGATGATGACGATGGCAATGGGCAACAATAAATCACAAAGCAGAACTAGTGTGTATGTGGCAACTTTGTTTCTGTTCTCATTAAAGGAAGCTAGAATAATTTAACAATTGCTTAGTGAGTGACCAGTAATTCACCTAGCTGTGTGTTACTCATTGAAATGTGCTATAGAGGGGACAAAATTAAAATCTGAGGATACTTAGGTATGCTATACCGTGTTTTCATCCCTCAGTGAATCCTTTCATGTCCAAAGTTCTGAGTGTACCCTCTCAGTCAGCACAACCAGAAATTCTTTGGCTGAGCTGACACTGGCTAACCTTGCTGCCGCGATGCACGTGTCCAGGTCGGGCCTGTTGATTCCGGCTGGGGTGTCTCTAGTCACAGAGGTTCCGGCCACACAGCTGGTGCCAGAACAAGGGTCTGGCTCTTCTGTTAATCAGCCTTACTGAAATGAGCTGCAAACACAACCGAATGCTTGAGCTGACCTATGATCCTTCTGATTCAGGAATGTCTCATTTAATGCATCAACGGGCTTGAGTCTCCCCTTCCAGTGTGGGAGAACATGAACTACTTACATATCTTCTTAGGCCGGAAGGAGGGAGGCATTTCTCAAAAGCTATTCCTGAATGTCTTCCTCTTGTGATTTTAAGGGAGGAGGAGGCTTGTGGGGGTGGGGGATGGATAACATTCTTCAGTTTCTGGCTGGGATGCCAGCCCAAAAATCTTTTATTTTTTTTTTCTGCACCATATGGATACAGGAAAAATATAAAGGATGTGTTCTTTGCCCTTGAGGAATTTATAATCTGGTTGGGGGGCAGCCAAACTGCTGCTGGGTAGCCTCAGATCGGGTGCAGCATGAGCTGGTGAGAGGCCGTGTGTGCTGTCCCAGCAGGCCCCAGCTGTTCCCTTTTCTCGGGGTCTCGGCCTGAGCTCCGCCTGGGGCTGCAGGTCAGTGGGCTGCAGGCAGGCACTGTCTCATTTCTTTTGTTTCATAGCATTGGTTTTGGCCACAGTCAGGAATTTTTCAAACTAAAAGCTTCTGGTGAACAGTCTCTGGTTCAAGTTCACAAGCCACATCATTAATCATGAATAAATGGTTGTAGAACACCCTTTCTCTTGCCAGGGAAAATACAGAGAGTTATAAACACACAAACAAATAAACACACAGCGCCCCCAACTAGAAAATTGATACCTTCTGTGGCCAGGGCATTTTCAGAATTGGAAGACTTTAGACACCACCAGGTTAAGCCCTGTCATTTCAGTTTAGGGACAGAGAAGTAAAGGCCCATGTTCCATCGATGAGAGATAATCTATTAAATAGCCCATATTTTCTGACTCCTCAACCAGTATTTTTTCCCATGGTAGAATTTGAGAATGCCTGTTAATGTGGACTGAGTTCATGTCATTCCACTGTATGTAAAATGAGAGGAGATGAATTTCTAAGTGATAGCTTCGTTTTTACTTTTTGATTAGGTGACTACCTAAAGGCAACATGAGCAGTAAGAAAATAAAAGTTTTTTTTTTTGTTTCGAGACAGAGTCTTGCTCTGTCTCCAGGCTGGACTGCAGTGGCACGATCTCCACTCCCTGCAACCTCCGCCTCCCGGGTTCAAGTGATTCCCCTGCCTCCTGAGTAGCTGGGACTATAGGTGCGCGCCACCACACCTGGCTAATTTTTTGTATTTTAGTAGAGACAGGGTTTCACCATGTTGACCAGGATGGTCTTGATCTCCTGACCTTGTGATCTGCCCGACTTGGCCTCCCGAAGTGCTGGGATTACAGGAGTGAGCCACCATGCCCAGCCAAAAAATTTTTTTTTGAGAAGGAGTCTTACTCACTGTCACCTAGGTTGAAGTGCAGTGGAGACATTTCAGCTCACTGCAACCTCCACCTCCTGGGTTCAAGCGATTCTCCTGCCTCAGCTTCCCAAGTGGCTGGGATTACAGACACGCCACCACGCCCGGCTAATTTTTGTATTAGAAAATGAAAAGTTAATTTATCTAATTGGGTTTTTGTCTCTGTCAGGTATGAGAACAGAGTAAAGATGGGCTGGGATGGGGAGAGAGAAGGGCCTGGGTCTGCAGATTAGATGGCCCATCAGAGCAAGTTAGGGGCTGAGGTGGGTTTATAGCAGAAGCAAGAGAGATAACATCTAAGTGAAGGTGGGAAAGAGCAGGGGCTGATGTCTGGCAGCGGCAGCAGGGAGCGGGGATCTGTCAAGAAGAGAACCAGCAAGACTCCAGTCCAAAAGGACTTGTGACCAAGGCAGGGATTCAGCCATGGGAAATGAAGAACATCCCCAGATACTGAAATGGGCTGCTGAGCCAAGGACTGAGTTATGAGAAGTAAGGCAAAATTTTAGAACTAGGCACAGAGTTCTACCTGGATCAACAACAGGGCTCACTAGTGGAGTTGAGCCTGTGGAGTCTAGAGTCTGTCAGGTTGGGATTCCTTAATTTCTTCCAAACCATGAATGGGTTCTGGTGTAAGGCTTAAGTCAGCAGGAGGGAACAGGGAGTCGGGCTGGTAACTGTAGGAGGTAGATGGGAGCAGAGCCTAGAATTTGGAAATGGATGAATTAAAAGCAGCTGGACAGTTCAACACAGAAGGGATTGGAGGTATGTGAAGGAGAATGGGCCCAAGGTCAGCTCAGAAAGGCTTGGCTTTCCTGGTTCTCAAAAATTTTAAAGAAAAGCTGTTAATTAGAATGGTTGTTCATCAATGTATAAAAAAATAGAAAGGCAGAGTCTAGAGGCAAATGTTGGCAGTGCCTGTACAAACACTAACCGGAATAAAGGATGTGAATGTTATCAATAAACTTGGAGTTTCTGGGTCTCACTGCTTGTATTAGTCTGTTTTCACACTCCTATAAAGAACTACCTGAGACTGGGTAATTTATGAAGAAAAGAGGTTTAATTGACTCACAGTTCTGCAGGCTATACAGGAAGCATAGCTAGGAGGTCTCAGGAAACATAATCATGGTGGAAGTTGAAGGGAAAGCAGGTATGTCTTACCATGGTGGAGGAGGAGTGAGAAAGCGAGAGAGAGAATGTGCCACATACGTTTAAATCATCAGATCTTGTGAGAACTCACTATCATAAGAACAGCAAGGGGGAAATCACCCCCATGATCCAATCACCTCCCACCAGGCCCCTTTCCTGACACATGGGGATTACAATTCGATATGAGATGTGGTGGAGACAGAGTCAAACCATATCACTGCTGGACTAGGACTTTGGTGAAGAAGCTATGAATTATGTGGATTGTCTTATAGAAGCTCCTCTTGCCTCCCTCTGGTTCCACACCCTCTAGACAACCTTCTGAGTGAGATTTGACTCCTTATATAGGCAGGACACACCAATAAGTATGCTCTGGTGCAAAGGAAGTTTAGTTTCATTGTAATACATTGAGTTTCTGATTTAGACATTGGTCTCTGTGAGCTTGGTTAAAGTGTGATTGTCATTAAAAGATGAATCTGTTCTTGATGTGTTGTCAAAATCTGCTTTTGTAAAGCTGATGGTGATACGGGAATGCTGGGAAGGGAAGAGCATGGTCCCTTTAAATGATATGGAAGAGGGGAAGGGAAGTGTTGGGTAGAGGAGGGTGTGGTCCCTGGCTAGGGCTCTATCCCCCCCATGGACCTAGGTGAGGACAAGCATTTCTGCTGTGGCGGCCAAATGTTGCAGTTTCCAAGACCACCCTGGCCTGCCATGCCCCCATGCTGGGCCTATAAAAACCGGAGACCCTAGCAAGGCAGAGACAGAAGCTGCTGGACGGCGGGAGGAACACATTGGCCGAAGAACACAAGCGGCTGGACATTGAGAGGATGCCAAGGGAAGCACGCCTGCGGCAGAGCGGAAGAGCACGCCTGCGGCAGAGCACGCCTGCGGCAGAGACACTGACAGATGCAGCAGGCTAGCAGACGGAAGGAGGTGGAGTTTGGCCAGGGCAGTGGGTGGAGAGCCTGGGTCACCCAGCAACTTGACTCTGGGGGAAAACCACCTCCCTACTGGCTCCCCCATCTGCTGAGAGCTATTTCCACCCAATAAAACCTTGAACTCATTCTCCAGGCCCAGTTGTGATCTGATTCTTCCAGTACACCAAGGCAAGAACCCGGGATACAGAAAGCCCTCTGTCCTTGTGACAAGGTAGAGGGTCTAATTGAGCTGGTTAACACAAGCCACCTATAGACGGCAAACTAAAAGAGCGAAACTAAAGAGCACCTGGTAACACATGCCCACTGGGGCTTCAGGAGCTGTAAACATTCACCCCTAGACACTGCTGTGGGGTCGGAGCCCTACAGCCTGCCGGTCTGTATGCCCCCCTAGAAGTTTGAACAGCGGAGCACTGAAGAAGTGAGTCACACCCCCATTGCACACCCTGCAAGAGGGACAAGGGAACTTTTCCTGTTTCAATGGGGATTGGCAAAGGCATCTCAAAAAAGGGCAGCTTCCAAACAGAGACTCAAAGGACTTTGTAGGAGTTGGAGAGAGTGTAGTAGAGTGAGGGGGAAAGATGAGAATACAAGAATTTCTTTCTTTCTTTTTCTTTTTTTTTTTTTGAGACGGAGTCTTGCTCTGTCGCCCAGGCTGGAGTGCAGTGGCGTAACCTTGGCTCACTGCAAGCTCCACGTTCCGGGTTCACGCCATTCTCCTGCCTCAGCCTCTGGAGTAGCTGGGACTACAGATGCCCGCCACCGCACCCAACTAATTTTTCTATACTTTTTTTAGTAGAGACGGGGTTTCACCCTGTTAGCCAGGATGGTCTTGATCTCCTGACCTCATGATCCACCCGCCTCAGCCTCCCAAAGTGCTGGGATTACAGGCGTGAGCCACCGCAGCCTGGCCAACAAGAATACAAGAATTTCAATAAGTGGTCTGACTTGGGAGGTATAAAGGTGAAGACAGCAAACATTAAAAAGTCCTTGCGGTGGGGCGTGGTGGCTCATGCCTGTAATCCCAGCACTTTGGGAGGCCGAGGTGGGCGGATCACGAGGTCAGGAGATTCAGACCATCCTGGCTAACACCGTGAAACCCCATCTCTCCTAAAAATACAAAAAATTAGCCGGGTGCGGTGGCGGGCGCCAGTAGTCTCAGCTACTCCAGAGGCTGAGGCAGGAGAATGGTGTGAACCTGGGAGGCGGAGCTTGCAGTGAGCTGAGATTGCGCCACTGCACCCCAGCCTAGGCGACAGAGCGAGACTCCGTCTCAAAAAAAAAAAAAGTCCTTGCAAAAACTTGTCTCAGAAAGGGAAAAAAAGTGAGATACAAAGGTAGTTAGAGCAGCGGTCGCCAACCTTTTTGACACCAGGGACTGGCTTTGTAGGAGACAATTTTTCCATGGACGGGGGAGGGATGGTTTTGGGAAGTAACTGTTCCATCTCACATCATCAAGCATTAGATTCTCATAAGGAGTGTGCAACCTAGATCTCTAGCATGCGCAATTCACAATAAGGTGCGTGCTCCTATGAGAATCTAATGCTGCCGCCTATCTGACAGCAGGTGGAGCTCAGACAGTAGAGCTCGCTCAACCGCCGCTCACCTTGTGCTGTGCAGCCGGTTCCTTACAGGCAGGGGGATGGGACCCCTGAGTTGCAGAACCGGTTTCCCTTGAGGTTCTTGACATAATGGACACTCATCTTCACTCCAAAAAGTTTGCTTTTTCTCCCTCTGTGTTGGTGGGTAGTTGGTGAGGAGTGTCATCTGGTAGCTTACCTGGTGATGGAGGGGAGAGCTCTGTTTTCACAGGCTATTCTCAAAATCTTAAAAGCCCAGAGATTTGGCCTTGCCTCCCACTTTCTAACACTTCTCTTCATCACTTCAGAATGGATCAGCACTTAGGAGATCTGAAAGTTAATCTGCTTAGCAATCTGGTTGCTAGGTATTAATATATAGAAAATAAATGTTTTTTCCCTTCTCCTTGAATCAGGAAAAAGCCTGATTGAAAGAAGGATCTAGGAGGGATTTAGAAGAAGTCCTTCTCCTTTCCATGACTCTGAGGTTTGTGAAGTCTATCTGAGTGGTTTGTTGCCACTACATGCTCTTTGCTAAAAGGGGTAATTGAGTGAAGGAAACGTGAAGGAACCACAGGTAAAGAAAATTAGGATAGTGCTCCAAAGTGATCTCAGCTCCATAGGATCCCTTCCAGGGTGGGTCCTGAAACTCTAGATCAGAACACGTAAATGTTTGTATTTGGCCAACCTGCTTTCAATTATTAGCATTCACAGACCGATTGTGCTGTATGATGCAGTTGAGTGATAGTGAGTGAAAGGCCAATTGGCCATGGAAAATCACCTGGTGAAGATCACAGTGAGTGCTCTCCCTGTCATGGAGCTTGCCGGTAAAGAATGCTGCACTGTTCTTTCAGAACCACATTGATAAATGTCCCCTGAAGAAATTAACATTCCCATCTCTACTGACTCATCTGATGGGAACAATCAGTTCACAAACCGATGTGTGGGCTAACCCACATGGCCCATCCACCAAACATTGCAAAGTATATCTTTTTTCCCCATATGCTAACAAGTGATGGGGAAAAGGAAGCTGTTCTCCCCACTCCACCCACCTTTCAATATCGATTGACCTGCATTCATCTCATATTCTGGGAATCAGGAATATGCTAAATATTGTAATGGTAGTCAGGTAGAGAACAGGGACAGAAGACCTAGGAAAAGGAAAGGAGTGGGGAGATATTTTATCATTCAATATATTATTATTTTGTCAGAGGCTATTATTAGACTCCTTACACTCAATGAAAAATAAACAAAATAAGCCTTTGAACCCATTTGAACAAGGACAAACATGCAGGTGGGTTATTTATTCACACATATCTGCCTGCCTGTCCCTTTCCACTAAGACTATTTTGGAACCTACTGGAGATGATTTCTGTATGTCATAAGCAAGTCATCAGGCAAAAATAGTGAGTCTTTACCAAGTTGTACCATTAACTAGGAATGATAAGAGTGTGTTTATACATAGCATTTAGTTTATGAAAATACAGATCTCCTGTTTGCGGCTCCCATTAACTTGTCCAACAAAACAAATCCATCGATTGGCTTTAGCTGTAGGTGGCTTGTTTTCCAACTGCCTCTTTTCTCCTGACTTAAGAGACAGATGTAATTTAAAATGGGGATTAGAAATAACTGTCCTGAAATCCATGTAATTCTGGTTTTGCTGCTGGTAAAGGTTATTGTATAATTAGCTGATTCATAACAAACTGTAAGTATCATATCAGAAAATAGAACCCTTTGGAAACTAATGACAGATGATCTACAAATAGATAGCCTAGCAATGTAA
Organism: Homo sapiens; assembly: GCF_000001405.40. NCBI lineage: Eukaryota > Metazoa > Chordata > Mammalia > Primates > Hominidae > Homo > Homo sapiens. The sequence goes on from NC_000003.12 coordinate 177,523,210, forward strand.
ACATTAGTGGGGGGAATTCATTAAGTTCCTGCTAAAAGCATTTGATTTAATTTTGCCTATCTTTTATCAGATTTTTTCACGTATAAGCCAAAATGACAAATGATAATTATCTTGAAGGCATGTGGCATGATAAATTGGAAGACACGTGATGTGTTTTCTCATTTTTCACAGTCTCAGATTTTCTTTTTTTGGTCTGGTTTGTTGTGTTACAAAAAGCTCATGATTTTTCACCCATAGTTCACCTCCTGGGAAATACCATAATTAAGGTCTCAAGAATGAAATAGGCTGGTACAGTCATCGAATGACAATGAGCCATCCATGGTGTTGGGACATCAATGTAATAACATAAAAACTATTGGTTTTGAAAATTTTCCTCTATATAATTGCTGTTTCCACTTCTATAAAACTGAGGTTAATTTAAGATAGATTTATTTCTAGTCAGTCCCACTAATGTTCCAGGACTTTTCATATTCTGTATCATTTGATATGTATTGTCATAAAGCTTTTATATTTTTCAAACACTTCAGCAGTTTTATGCATTGAGTTTGTTATGAAATGTCATTGTGTCACTTTATGGGATCCTATTTAAAGAAAGTCAGTAGCTAGGAAAAGAGATGAGAAACATTTATAATTTGACCCTAAACTCAAGGGCAATATAGGACTTAGTAAAAGAGAATTTATAAATTTCTCAGGTGCTCTTCATAAAAACAAAGTCAAAACAAAGCAAAACAAAAAGAAAACCCAAGGTGAAACCACATCAAACAAAAAGTTTACTTGGTAATCACCTGGTAACCAGATATTGGGTTTTATGAATAAGAAATTCCAGACGAGGTGTCGTGTTCTGGAACAACCCTTCCTATATTTCACAATCATGTAAAGCCTAGCTCAAATGTCCCTTTCTCTACCTCCCAGGAAGAATTAGGGACTCCCACACTCATATACTGTAGCATTTTGTTCATACATATGCTTCCTCTCACATGGTCAAATGGTTAGTTTTTTATCTGTTTGACTGCCAAGCAGTGGACTTTGCCCTATCCATCTTTGTTTTTTTTTAGTGTCTAAGGCCTGGCAAACGGAAGGAGCTCAGATGACACTTTTGAAAAAGCAGGCTGTTTATATGACTTCAGCTCTTAGAATATTAAGAATTGCATCATCATTGCACGGGAAGAAAAAGGTCTGATTGGATCCTTCTCTCTCAACAACTGCCTTAATGGTTTAGTGGCAGGATGGCTGGGTGTACGTGGCAGGATGGCTGGGTGTACGTGGCAGAAAATGGAGCAGAAGTTTGACATTAGTTTAGTGTCAATAATGCATATTATTGAATTTACACAATATAGATGTTTGAGGCCTTTTTTAATTGGGCCTTTCCAGGATCAAAGAGACTTGCATTAAATTTATTATTTTGTTTATATGGAGATCCTTCTGTTTCTCCAATTGTTCTGGGTATTCTTTTTTGAAGCAGTTGTAGCTGATGTCTTCCCTAAGAGGAGAGGAGTTGAACTATATCTCAAGTTGGGCCATAGGACAGCTGTATAAGCAGTTGCTTTTGCAGTATCAGATCCGAGGAATATCAAAATACTCTTGTCCTGAAATACATCGTGAAACTCATCTCCTCCCAATAACATGCTCCTCTTTAAGGATAGGAATCGAAAGGTTTTGGATATTGTTCTGGTTTTTGGAGTTGCCTCTTCCAGCACTACTGGGCACTCAGCTCTGGTTTCTGGCTGTGGCCCCTTCCTTTGGTAAGTGGCATCCCTGTTCTGAAGACACTCAACTACCCTGAGAGTGTTCCTGTGAATCTGATTCTTATCTTTAACCATGTAGGAAAGATGACAGGCCTCTCAGTTTTGCAGAAATCAGGAGATTTGCCAGCACTGAACCAATTGCGTGTGATCACCATCACCTGTTGACTTCTGGTGGGGATGTGTGGTCTCTCCCTTCCCCCATCCCTCCCTGTGTTTCAGCCTTAGTTTGCCTCACTCTTTAAGTCACCTACTAGACCTCCATAGGCATGTGAGTTAGCCGTCCATGCATTCCACCTCTGACCATAAGCCTGTTCTTGAGGACCATCATGCTTTCCATATGATGGTGGCTGCCATTCATTAAATACCATCTATACCCAGATTGCCCACACTGAAAGTGAGATAATCAACTGTTGTGCTCCTAGCCAAGATTAACAGGAAGAGTATATTCTTTTTTTGCTTTTATTTTATTTTATTTATCAAGAGATTAAGACAAAGATGAGCCTACAGTTCACAACCGTATGTGAAGATGATGCAGTTGCCTTACTCTGTAGAGTGAAGCCAAAACCACAGACAGAAATAAGCATAGTAGGCTATGAGAAGATGAAATTTAGCACTGTGTTTGGGATGGGCATCTGAGGAAGTTGTGTTCAGAGCACCCTGGATCTTCTTTTGGTGGCTTTAGGTCTCCCCATCCTGTTGCCCTATTTCTGAGCCAGGAGCTAAACTTGAACTGATGCCTAGCTGCTCCTCTTTCACCCCCTTCCCCAACCAAGAATGAAAATAAGAAGGATTAGTGGTGGTACATAGCCTGGTTTTTCTTTTTCTTTTCACAGCTCCATTTCAATCCTAAAAGGTACACTCTCTATCTGTGTGACACACAAATCACTTTGCTTTCTTTTAGAAATGGCCTATTATAAGAAAAAATTATAGGTCCGTATTCTACCTTTTTAAAAGTTATAATAATTACTCTTGGTATTTAAAGAGAATAGTTACATAACATAATTTTAAGTGAATATAATGGTTGAAAAGATGCTTTAGTGTGGAAAATAGACAAAATGATTTAACATTTTGAAAAATCACATTCTGACCTCATTCTAATACATGCCATCAGTAAATTAAATTTGAGATGCATTCCATTCGTGACTGACTTGCTTACAAAGGACACAAGAGCCTTGAAAGAGATTCTGTTTGTTAGCTTATTTCTTTGCAGTTGAACTGGCAGAGTAAACACAGGGAGGAGACGGTTGAGGTGTGGTTAGATCAAGCCCTTTTCAGTGCCCCGTTCTCCTATGGAGCACTTATAAATGACATGAGGAAGGTAGTATTTAGACTGATCATTAGAGGAAAGATCAGCATGTTGTTAGGAAAGTTTACTTCTAAGGAACCTTGTAATTTGGCCAAAGAAAAGGTTACTGGACTTCAGGCATCTCCGCGATGAGGAAGTGGTCTCTGTGGTCAGCAGCCTGGGCACAGTTTTGATGGGGTTGGTGAGTGTTGTCTGGTTTCCAGATAGTCTGGACAGAAGAGGACAAACGTAGGAGAAAAGAGGATGGAGACAGTATTTCTGTTTTGCTGGCTGTTCCTGCTAAGGGAAAATTGGTTATCTGTTGAGGATCCCACGTGTCATATTTGTGGGCGCTGATGGCAGGAAAGAAGAATGGATGGCATCAGGAGTGGGGAGCCTCAGGCTGGGAAAACATGCCAGACAGTCTCAGCTGCGTCTTTTGGCAAACCATGGTGTTGCCATAAAATTATTATTCCGTAAAGCCTTGAGATTACTCAGCTGTGTCAATATATTTTTCATTGTTACTTTTACAATTTGTAAAATTAAAAATTGCTTTTTTCTTGTTATAAAAGCCATTTTTTATTATTTGAATTATAAATATTAGAAAGTACAGGTAAGGAATGAGAAGATTAAAAACACTCCTAATCCTACTTATAAGAGTTAAGCACTACCCAACACTTTGAAACAATCTTCATTTAACAAAACACGTGGACATAATTTCTGTCAATAAATGCTCATGTAAGTTACATCTGAGAGAGAGAGACCATTAACGCTCCGGAAGAGGAAAGTTTGGAAGGAACTTACCCAGCCTTCTTCCTCTACCCCAGGGTGGAGTGGGCTTATTGAAAGGTGTAAGCTCAGGAAAATGGAACTGGAGACATGTGGTCCACAGTCTTCCCGATTCTCTCTATTCTGGGAAGAATAGGGCAGAAGGGAGGCTCTTATTTTTTGGTCCCCTCCAGCCCCATTACTTGGTCACAGTGCTGCTGTCGCTAATGTCTCAATATGAAATATGTTGCTGGGATTCTTTTGCTGCAACTTGGAATTTTTAGAGTAGGTACTTAAGCAGACATGAGCAGGGCAGGAGAAGCCCCCGCTTGGCCCCAGGAATGTCAGGCGACCATCAGGTGATGGCCAGGCTGTTGTTAAACTGTCTCTCTAAAACAGTAATTGGTTGCAGCTGGTGCCAGGGACAGGCCGGCTCCCAATAGATAGAAAACAGCTGAAGCTGGTGATCAGCAGCTTCCCAATAAGATCTCAGGAGTTGGGCAAATGGGCTCAGGCATGCACGCTAAGAGGCAAAACGGCAGAGTTTAACTGGCGTATGACCTTCCTTTAAGAACGCTTGACGGGTAAGGGAAAAGTGCCTCAAATGAGCATATACACAACTTCAGTAAACACACTGCACATGCAGCTCCTCCCAAGTGCTGGCAGGCCACTGCACATGTGGACAGCCCACTTAAAGAGAAGAATCAGGGGAGAAGAAATGCAAACTTCAGAACCAGTCAATGTGTAGAACCCAAGTCAAGGGCTAGATGAGACACTTGGATCTCTCAGTCGCCCTCTTGGCCCTCTTCCAAGTGTACTTTACTTCCTTTTGTTTCTGCTCTATAACTTTTTAATAAATGTTCACTCCTGTTCAAAAACTTGTCTAGGTCTCTCCCTCTGCCTTATGCCCCTTGGCCGAATTCTTTCCTCCAAGGAGGCAAGGATCAAGTTGCTGCAGACCTGTATGGATTTGCCACTGCTACCAGAATGAGGGATCAGATGCAGTGAAGACATTCCCAACTATGAAACTGTAGGATAAAGGGCCAGGCCTGATAATACTTCTTTTTTTTTTCCCTGCAGAATTCAGAGAATATCCTCAACACTCTTAGGTTTAGACTCTAGTGTGAGGTAGAACCTCACACTAGATCAGGTAGAACACTGATCCAGGCAAAAAGTTGGAATTGATGGCAATGACCTATGAAAAGTTACTTTGAAGCAATTTGAAAATGGAGGTCTTGCTTTTGTCTATCAGACCACAAAGCCCTTAGCACCAAAAACCCAGCCCACAGTTCAGGTGTCTGGTCTTTAACTTGGCCAAACAGGTGGATATTTGGGAACTTCCAGGCAGATGTTTGGGATAATTCAGTGGTTAATCATATAAGACCAAATGTTAGGGTGGTTATTAATTGTTTTTCCTCTCCCTTTGAGGTACTATTTACACCCAGTGGGATTTGAATCACTGTAAGATTTTTCTACTGCCTCCAGATGAGGTGGAGAAGGTGGGGTTTTAAGGACAGGGGGTTTTACCTCTGGGCATAGCTCTTTGCAATCCATACCCTTGCCCTACCTCAATAGCCACTACCTTTATCTGAGCCTTCATCTTCTTCCTGAATTACTTATTAGCCTTCTGTACTCCAGGCTCTCTACAAGCTAAGCTGCCCTTTGACTAACTTCCTGGTTAATGTAAAGATCAGAATGGATCCCTCTCTTGATAGTTTTACACTGAATCATTTTGCACTGCTTACAGAAGAATATCCAATCTCTTATGGTAACATTCAAGGGCTTCCAAAGTCTGTTCTCTACTCGTTGTTCCTGAATTAATTCATTTATTTTACATGTTTTTGAGTACCTATTATAAAGTGTTGAGCATGGCTTAGTTTTGTTTCTTACTGCTTCTCTAAGGTTCTTGTGAGTCAACTTTATGGACTTTCCTTCTGGGTTTCTGCACATCTGAGCCTCGGTATCAACCATGACTTCTTACTGGGATACTCTCTTCAAGGGACTTGGTTAAAATTCCTTATGGCTCAGTTTAAATACCACTTCCTCCATGAAGCTGGCTGTGATCCCTCTAGCCAGACTCATTTTCTTCTTCTGAGCTTCATTGGATGACAGTGTCTTCCTCTCTTGATTGACAGCCTACACTCTGCCTTGCATTATAGTCATTTCTGAATATGTATTATCTCTCTATTAACCAGTAAGCTGTTTGAGAGTGGAAAGTACCTCTCACTTACCTTTCTTTTCTTCCCTCCTAGAGGATAATAAAGCACAATGATTTAGAATTTGGGGCTATGTGGTCAGATAACTCTGAACCTGAACCTTAGCTCTACCAAATTATCAGCCACATAACCCGAGGCAAGTGACTCACCCTCCTCAGTTTCTTTATCTGTAAAATGGGACTAACAGTTGGAGTCAGAAACTTGCTTGTGAGAATTAAATAAGATAATCTATATACAGTGCTTAATACTGTGTCTAGTACAAAAGTAAGTGTTTAGTAGACTTTGCAACAGGCATGGTTAAAATACATAGCACCAACTCATTCTTGGTATACGACTGGCCATCAATATATATTTGTTAAATAACTGGATTAGCAATTGGTGTCTTAAGTAGCTCAGTAATAAGTGTCTGTTTATGGAAAAATGAATCTTTCTGTATTCATCTCTATTTATAAAATATTGTTTAGAAAGTGGGATTATCTGGAAAATCTTCAATTTCTACATTTTCACCTTCTTTAAATAGGCTGTCAAACTATATTCTTTCTCAAATGTTCCCCTTGCATTTGGATATTAATAGTAAAAGCAATGCTGAGTAGTGATTGTGAAATGTATATAAGCAGCCAACATCTCCACAGAATTTTTTAAAGATAACCTGATAGCAGTGTTTTGCCTGCATTTTCCACTGGAAGAGAACTCAGTCTCAGGAAGGACAAGGCTCTTCCAAAGCCCCAGAGAAATAACTGCTTAAGCAGAAATAGACACAGGCCTCCTGATGCAACCTAGTTTTATAATGAAGCTGAGCCCAAACCACCTTCTTCCAATTTGCTTCTTTTTTTTTTTTTTTTTGAGAAACAAGTTGGCCTTATAAAAAATATTCAACAATTTTTTACCACTGAGTGGGGAACATCTGGTTCTGTGTCCTGCGAACACAAGAGAAGGCTGATTATTACAATCAAAGTTTCTGGCATCAAGCTATTAGAGACGGCTTTGTGTTCGAACCTGAGTCTGGGACTCCGTGTCAGAGTGGGAACAGGCATAGGGAGGATCTAGAAGGGGTCGCAGAGCTGATCTCACTTGCTGCCAGCAAAAAGCAGTGTCATGTGGCCAAAGCCAGACTGCCAGAGCCCTGCCACATGTCAGCTGTGGATGCCTGGTTAGTAACTTTCCCTATCTGTGCCTCGGTTTCCTTTAATGTAAGAAAGGAATAAGAGTACTTGCCTCATAAGGGGGAAATGAGGATGAATCCACTAAGGTATATAAACTATTTAGAACTTAGGCTGTCCCCTGGGGATAACTTGATAAATATCAGCTATTAATATTAGTGGTAGAAGAGAAAAAAGAGTCAATGTAAAGGTATTTTTTAGGGCTCTTTTAATATGACATATTTGGAATAGCTTCTCAAAATATTGTGTTTATAGACTGAAACTGACACTATTCCCTACTGAAGGAAGGTAACAGTGTTACTGCTGGTGAATGGAGAATTACCGTTTGGGGATTATGTAAAGGTGAGGGGCCAAGGCACAGGGAGTGGAGGGATTGGTTGGAGTTGGCGCTTTAAGTGGGTAGAGGGCTGTGGGAGATATGTCCCCTCAGAACCTTCCTGGTGTAACAGTTTCTGGAATTCCACCTTTGGACAGCCTCCTCTTTGGGCCAATTACAGCATTTTCTCTGCAGTTCTCATTTAAAAGGAAGACATTTCGTGTTGGGGTCAGGGATAACATCGGGAGCTTAAAAGATTAGCACTAGGCCTGAATTAATTTGCTCAAGGTTCTTGAAGGTTGAAGCCTCTGAGAGAGGCATTCAGTACTGAAATAATACAAAAAAGGGAAGTGCCAAAGTCAGCCTTTACTTCTATTCCAATGTTGCCTTTTGTTTTCCCGGACTTGCAGAGCTGAGAAGGAGATGGCTAGTGCACCACAGGCCTCCTGGGCCCTGGACTTGGCCTTCCTTAGTGCTGACAGAGATTGCTTAGGGAGTGCTTCCTCAGCTCATACCTTGGCCAACGCCATACAGCTGAAAATCAGAGATTCTTGGAGGCAGAATAGATCTCTTGGTGGTTTGGGGGAATGCACAGCTCCGCTTTTACTGCTTGCCTGCTACCAGCATGTTACCTGTGACTACATTAGAATAGCTGCTTTATGGTACACAAAATGGTATTTTGGCCATCACAAAGGATTAGACACTGAGAATCTTCTTATTTATTTATTCTTACAGTAAACTTTAAAATTGCTAATGCAATGCAATGCATATTCTAAATTAAGAATAGAAAGAAAGGCTCTTAGGGTGAAATTCTGTATGTCAGACTCGATCAAGAATTGGGATCACATGGAGAGATTTAGAAACATCTGGTAATGTGTTATTAATAAGCTAGCAGGAATGAATCAACAATTTCAACTGAGAAACATTAATTTGCGTAAGATGCTCAATAAAAAAGAATATAGAATATACATTTTTCATCATATATAGCAATTGTGCAATCTAAACATTATTAAGCATACCAACCAACCAGTGAATTTATAAATTGTTGAAGACCAGGTTAAATTTGCAAATGAAGAGAAAAATCTATTTTTTTAAAAAACATTATGTTTACTATATCTTACAAATAAATTACACTATTAATGGTAGTATGCACAGAAGTAGATAACAAAAATAAGTCACATATAAGTCTGTTTGAAGTGAAACAATTGTTCTTTTCCACTAACAAAAGGAAAGTGGATGTATAGTTAAAAATGTAGCTCAGACCTCGGTTCAGGCTAACACAACAAAACCTGAGTTTTGAATTTTTTAAATTAGGTGCTTTGTAAGGAATATGTATTGTGATGGTTAACACTGAGTGTCAACTTGATTGGACTGAAGGATACAAAGTATTGATCTTGGGTGTGTCTGTGAGGGTGTTGCCAAAGGAGATGAACATGTGAGTCAGTGGGCTGGGAAAGGCAGACCCACCCTTAATCCGATGGGCACAATTTAATTGGCCGCCAGTGAATATAAAGCAGGCAGAAAGAACGTGAAAAAGAGACAGTGGCCTAGCCTTCCGGCCTACATCTTTCTCCCATGCTGGATGCTTCCTGCCCTGGAACATCAGACTCCAAGTTCTTCAGTTTTGGGACTTGGACTGGCTCTCCTTGCTCCTCAGCCTGCAGACAGCCTATTGTGGGACCTTGTGATCATGCAAGTTAATACGTAATAAATTCCCATACATATATTCCCATACATATATATCTCCTATTAGTTCTGTCCCTCTAGAGAACCCTAACTAATACATGTGTGCAATTTGCTTTACATTCTAAAGTAGTGTGGAGCAGGAGGAGGAGAAAGACATGTACGTACATGTTGTTAAGAAATACAGTGTTTCTCTTAGTTGACTGCTTATTCCGCAACATTTTTTTTTTTTTTTTTTGAGAAGGAGTCTTGCTCCGTCTCCCAGGCTGGAGTGCAGTGGCACCATCTGGGCTCACCACAAGCTCTGCCTCCCGGGTTCACGCCATTCTCCTGCCTCAGCCTCCCGAGTAGCTGGGACTACAGGCGCCCGCCACCACACCCAGCTAATTTTTTGTATTTTTAGTAGAGATGGAGTTTCACTGTGCTAGCCAGGATGGTCTTGATCTCCTGACCTCGAGATCCACCCACCTTCGTCTCCCAAAGTGCTGGGATTACAGGCGTGAGCCACCACGCCTGGCCTTATTCCACAACATTTTAACTGTGTCCTGGAGCACGTGGCTTCTGAGTGTCAGCTGTGCTCATCTCTCCCCAGCTCTGCATTCAGTGATGCTACATTGGGAGCTTAAAATTGGCCATGGTGGGCTGGGTGTGGTGGCTCATGTCTGTAATTCCAGCACTTTGGGTGGCGGAGGCTGGAGGATCGCCCAAAGCCCCGTATTTCAACACCGGCCTGGGCAACATAGGGAGACCTTGTCTCTACAAAAAGTCAAAGAATTAGCTGGGCATGGTGGCCTGTACCTGTAGTTCCAACTACTTGGGAGGCTAAGACAGGAGGATCCCTTGAGTCTAGGAGGTTGAGGCTGCAGTGAGCCACCATCACACCACTGTACTCCAGCCTGGGTGACAGAGCAAGACCCTGCCTTGGGGGAAAAAAACGAAAAGAAAAAAAAAAAAAGAAGCTATGGCAAGCAAAAGTATCTACACCAAGGAAAATGGCACAACCAATGCATTAGGCCTTTTTTTTTTTTTTTCCTGGAGAGCCAGTTGTGAAATATTAAAAAATGAATTCTGTGTGCCCATGAGCAAGTTGCTGAGCCTCTTTGTCCCTCAGTTTCCTCATCTCTAAAATGGTACGAGGGAATAATTTTTCAACCCCATATGGTTTTGATGAGGTTTGAATGAGATAATTTAGATAATTTCTTAAACACTGCGTAGCCCATGGCTCCTAAAAAATAAGAGTTAATGTTGTCGTATTTGGGGACAACAATATTGGATGTATTCTAGTGGATAAATTCAATGTATTCTAGTGGATAAATCAATCTGGTAAGTTCTTTTGGTGTATACTAGTGAGGATGAATACTGTTAACATTTACTGACTATTCACTATGTGCCAGGAATAATTCTAAGCATATTCTGTATATATGTCATTAAATCCTCACCCCAACCCAATGAGGGAGGTACTCATTTTATCCCCATTTAAAAAATTATGAATCTGAGGTTTAGTAAACAATGTATCCAAAGACATAAACTGTAAGTTGTAAATCTGTGATTTAAATCCAGGCAATTCACCTCAGTATCCTACTCTTAGGCCTATACTATTGTGCTTCCAATAGACTTCATGAGATGTTAGAAAGAATAAGACCTTAGATCAACCTGGTCCAGTGTCTTGTTTTTATGATGAGGACGAATGAGACTCAGAGAGAGAATGACTTGCCCAAGGTCACAAACAAGCTTTTGTATTTTCTATTGCAGCTCAGCCTTTTGTTTAACAAGGAGACAACAGGACAGTGCTTACACTCAGAGATAAATGGGAAGCATGTACAAGGGAATTTGTAAAACAAGAAATACGTTTAAAACAAAAATTTTATATTTTAGGATCTGTATCGTAAGTTTGATTTCCCTTCTTTTCACTAGACCATGAGACTTTTCATGGCAATGGGATGGAGTTTTCACTGCAGCAAGAGGCTGGGCTTCATGTAAACTTTTAATTCCCAATCAGTGCAATATTCAACCCTTACTTAGGAAATGCATTTCCGGTTTTTTTTTTTTTTTTTTTTGAGACGGAGTCTCGCTGTCGCCCAGGCTGGAATGCAGTGGCGCGATCTCGGCTCACTGCAGGCTCCGCCCCCCGGGGTTCACGCCATTCTCCTGCCTCAGCCTCCCGAGTAGCTGGGACTACAGGGGCCCGCCACCTCGCCCGGCTAATTTTTTTTGTATTTTTAGTAGAGACGGGGTTTCACCGTGTTAGCCAGGATGGTCTCGATCTCCTGACCTCGTGATCCACCCGCCTCGGCCTGAAATGCATTTCTTTTCAGCCCTTCCGCTTGAACCTGGAAAATTTCCCGGTGTCCAAGCCATCCGACCCTTGCCAGCTCTCATCTCTTTCCAATCTGGAGCTATTTGTTTATGTTGGGCCAGAAGGACATGTGCATATGTGTGTGTGTGTATGGGCTTGTATACAGACATGTATGAGCATCTACAGTTAACCACTCAAAGAAATGTCACGTTTCTGTGTTCCCACAATTGGAAGGGTGCCCTGATCTCAGGACCAAGAAAGCAGAGATTATGACTTGATGACAAAATTTTGTTCACAGTCTAACCCAGAGATTGATCTTAATCCTCACTGGGTAATTGTCCTGGGCCAGGCAATCTTATCTGGAGAAGGCCTACTCTTCAATGCTGTTAAAAAGATAAAGTGATGCAGAAGGCTCCCAAAACAAAAATGTATTCACTGTTCCTCATGTACAATCTGCTACTACCTTGACAGAACAAAATCTTTGACATAACTTGCTCAGGAAAATGATTATAGGTTATGAATATTTTCTACTTCTATAGGTAGGAAAAACATTATATGGTGATTGAAAATACCCCATGACAGCTGTATAAAGTTTGGAGTGAGTTAGCTGAGGAGTTTCTAGATAGAAGGAAGATGATGTAGGATCCTGAGAGTAGTGGAAGTTCTTAGAGGAAGGATGTTCTGGAGTCAGAGGATAGGACTGAAATGAACAGTCCTGGGTTTGGGAGAGCATTGAGATTGTCTTAGTTTCTAGAAGCAGAGCCTGAGACAGGAGTCTGGTATACATGATTCATTAAGCAGGTGCCCACAGGAGAAGGGGAGTGAGGGAAGTACGAGGTCAGGGGAAGAAGGGTAAGAAGGATGCGTTTTCGGCTGGAGCCTAGCGTTATCTTGGACTTCTAGGGAGCTTTGGATAGCAAATTGCACCATCAAGTTGGTGGCCCTTTAATGCAAGGGGTCAGCTTTGTGTCTGAGGTAGTCAGTCATTGGCCACTGGCCTAACTTCCAAGGTGAGGCAGGCCCATTAGGCAGGATGCAATTCTTCTGCAATGGATACAGCTGTGTGCCTTTTGCAGACCACAGCCACAGAAGCTGGGAGCTGGGCATGTTGACCTGGTGAGAGAAATATGAACAGGTACCGGAGCATCCACTATGCTCATGGAATAACCCAGGCATGTAGTGTTGACAGTTTGTGTCCTATCCAAATTATGCTGAGGAAAAGGGTTATTGGGGTGGCATTGAAATTCTTAGCAGTAGAACAAACACAGGTTTTAGAGCAGACTGTGACAGCTGGAAACAACCAGCCCAATAGAATACAAATTCCCTGGCTGCTGGCAGTGAGGGGCCGAGGTACCTGCGGGACTCAGAACTCAGGGGGGCTTGCCCCTTCTCTCCTGTTCTTGAAGTGCTGGCTGGAAAAGGGATCATTATTGTTTGGGGATTTGGGAATTCTCTAATGTTTTGGGGTACGGGAAATTGAGGATGAAACAGGTCATCTAGAGGTTCAGCTTTTCCGTGGCCTGTGATGGTGGTGGTGCTGGGAGAGTCAAGTGAAGGTGGGAGGAAGGAAGATGGAGCTCAGCATGTGGACTTGGCCAGCCTCATCTTTGTCCTCCTAACCAGAGGCCTAAATTGCTGTTCACCCTGAGTCCAGCCGCTGGCCACTTACAACTTCATGGCCTGGGGCAAGTTGCTTAACCTTTCTGTGCCTCTCTTCATCAACAAAAGAAGGCTTATAGTACTGAATTTATGGTTACTGTGAAGACTCTATAAAATATTTAAAATTTTTTTGCATGTAGTCAGTGCCAATACATTGCATTATTATGATATATTATTATTATTAGATACTAATGGTTTTTCTTAGCAGTGAAAAACTTTAAATCTCTCTTCCTCTCTTTCCTTCTCTTTTTCTATAAATCACATGCTTTGAGTACATTCAGATTATAGTTTAATATATAAACATAAGGGAAATTTTAAAAAGGGCAGAGAACTCAGAAAGTCATGAAAGAACAGCTATTCAACATATATTTTTCCACATGTGTTATTACCATTCAGTATGGTGGTTTTCTTTTACTCTGCACAATTGCATTTGTGAAACTAATTTGGGAGTAGTCAGAGGCCAGGAGATGAAACAGAGTTGAAGTAAAATCTCATTAGTTACCATGTAAGGGGCTGGCAAAATTTGACTTGAATTAGCCAGGTTAAAATGAGCTCGTATTTTAATAAACTAACAATAAGACTGTCTAGGCAGTTGAGGAGTGGGAATTGTTTTGAATTACATACTACTCGGGGAAAAAGATCTGTGATCAGAATAACAAGGTTTTACTGTACACTGCATATTGTATGAATTCTGCTGTCTCTTTGTGTCTTGAGTCTTTTATGATTGTCATGCCATTCTGGGAGCCACTCACTCAGTCTTTTGTGTCATTCTATTGTCAGCCATAATGAAATAATTGGGATGACAATTATTTGCTTGTTTAGTTTCAAAAGTTTTCTGTGTTCAATATCTTCTATTGTTTGCCTCATGGTACCATGATGTGATATATCATTCCTGCCCAGATTCCAAGAATAAAAAACATGCATTTTTTTTTTCCGGGAGAAGTGTCCCCTTAAGCACAATATTTAATGGCCATATATTAAAAGTGCTATAGTGAGCATATATTTAATAAAATAATTGCAGCCATCCATAACTCAAATAACTGTAACATACCAAGATGGTAGATGAGGTCACAGTCTACCATGGGAGTTCAGCAGTCTAATTTTATAAACCCCAAATCAAAATAGATAGATTGACAATGAGAGAGAGAATGTTTGAGACTGGACTTGTTAGAAAATACAGGAACTAGTCAGCTTGAAATATAACAGTATAAATTATACCTTGCCCACTTTAGTGATTCAAATGGCATGTATTTTTATTGTGAAGACTGCGTAACTTTGGTTCCCTCTTCCTCCCGAACCCTGCTCAAAGATTTTAGGGAATTAACTAAGGTTTCAGTAGTGAAGCTTTGGATCAGCACAGGGGCAGTTGTCACCATTACTCTACTTTATAATCTTGTGGGGAGGGAGCTTAACCAGGACTATCATCTCAGCCTGGGATGACATGCTTTGAAAGTGCTCCAGTGTCACTTTGAGGAGGGTGGCCACCTGCAACCCAGACTAAGCAGTGTAGTTGCATTACTAAGAGGTGTGTTTGGAAGTCAGACAAACTTGCCTTCAAATACAGACACTTGCTTGTTACTTAACTTTTCTGAGTCTCCTCATTTGTAAAAAAAAAAAAAAAAAAAAACAAAAAAACACAAACAAACACCACCAAAAAACCAAAGAAAAAAAAGTAGGAGAGTGAGAATAATAGTTCTTGCCTTAAAGAGTTATTGTGAGAATCAAATGGGACAATGCAGGTAAAGACATTTAGCCTAGAGCCTTGTACCGAATATGCACATTTTAAATAGTAGCTTTCTATTATTTTGTGATTCTTCCCGCCCCTGCTGCATTCCCCAATGCCTCATCTACCAGCAATTTGTGTGCACACTCAGGGTCAGCAATTCTTGGCTTGGGATTGCAAAGAAGGGAAGTACAGCCCTTTTCTGCTGGCTTTGCCTGGGTTGACCTCCCAGCTTTGCTCCTTGGCCTGATTCAGGGTTGGCAGGCATAGATGGAAAAGAGCCATTGGTTGTTAGAATCGTCCAGCAGGAGATGAAGGGAGATCTCACCCTGCATTTTGTGTCTAAAACAATTGCTTAAATTTGTCATCTTAGGGACACATGTACATAGGTAAACACACGCATATACTGTACACATCCATGTGTACAGCTCAGATATTGTCTATAGGAGAACAAAATGTCTTGATGAAAATGAGTAATTCAGCTAATCACCCAGATGTTTTAGCTATATGTTGCCACACAGCTGGGTGATCTGAAACAGCTATCTGTTTGGTGACTTGCAGATAAAACATAGATAATAGAATCTCCCTCTTTTCCTCCAGTTTTTTGGCATCACTTAGATATAATCTAAATGATATGGCAACATATGGGAAAATCTCTCACATTCAAAAGCATGCAAGCAGCTAGCTAACGCTTTCTACTAAAAACTTTGCTTATAGGTATTTTGATGAATCTAGAATTCTCACAAAGCACATCATTTGAAAGAAATACGGCAGCAAAACAAACTGCTGCATTCAAAGCAGGGGTATTGAAAAGTGTCAGGCAAACATTTTTAACCTTGTGTTTGTGCTCGGTCTGGTCAAAATAGAATATATTTCCTTTTATGGAAGTGGTTTAAAAAGGGGTAAGAGACAAGATTTAGTGTTTGCAGGAAATCCTTTAGTTGTTTAAAAAGCTTCAAGGGTTCCATCTTTGGCATCCAGGTATTATTCTCATTAAGTTAGCATTTTAGGTTTCTGAAGTGTTTGGTTCAAGTGAAAAAGATTAATGTTATGCTTTGAAATTGATTACTATGGAAAGTCTTTGTACATTTGACTGTAAAGCAGAAATCAACTTGGACAGGAAGCAAAGCGGATGAACAGGAAGCTAAAGTAAATACCACAGTGACACGTGAGGGGTGGAAGGTGGTTAGTTTATTTTTTAAAGAGTTTTCAGACCATCAGTACATACGTTTCAGTTTCTAGATCCAAATCTCTAAGTGCTTTTCTCCAACTGGTGGGATGATTGAAATTAGAGAGTAAGACGAGAATTCACTGTGCTGGATTTTTCATTCCAGGTGCAGAGCTTTAAAGGATTATGGAGTCTGAAGACCAAATGGGATGATGGAGAACAGCTATTCAGTGGTACAAATGTAAATGCTCCCAGGCCCGGGCAGGTAATTTAAGTGAGTGAAGCAGGGCAAAGTGTAATTGTGTAAGCAGACATTTGCTGACTCCACATACCACTAGGGAACTATACTTTCCCCTGGCAGAAAGACAATCAGCTCCAGCCTATTATTGCGTACAGTAAGGCTAACCAAAGTGAGGGGCTACTCTAACTTTTCAGGAAAATCCAGCAGTCTTGATTTTTATGTAGTTTCCAAAATGTTTTTGTTATGGTTCATTTGGAGAGCAGCCTTTTGATCTCCAGTTTGCTACTTTTAATCTAGTCTAATCACACATCTTGCAGTTGTAGAAACCAGACCCAGAGAAGCTGAGCACCTTGCTTAAAGTCCTGCAGCAAAGGATAACACTGGGGCTCAAACCCAGTTCTCCTCCATCTTCTTCTCTGGCATTACCCTTCCACTGAGAGCACAGCATCCCGCCCACAGTGGGCTTCAGCAGGCTTTGTTAGAGGAAACCCATGGATTTTTGAAGGTTTTAATAAGTTAATGAAACTCTTTAATTAAATTAAGTAATTTAATTAAGGTGCTCTCCTGACTTTTTCCCTAAGATAATTATTTACTCAACCAATGTTTGTCATTGGTGCCTCTTTTAAAATGTTGTGTAACATTTTCATTGTTCTTTCATTCAGTTCAAGTTACTTTTCTTCATCTCTATATTTAATATATCCTCTTTGTTGATCAATGCTTCCAAATTCTCTTTACTTCACATATATCATTTGTCTAATTTCTGTGTTTGACTTTTTAAACTCAGTCACTCAGGGTCTGAAAGTGTCTTTAACTGGATCTATCTGTATTATATATTGCTATGCATTCATTGGAGGGAATAAAATACAAATTTGTAAATCTGAACATTATACTACATGGGGCCAATGGAGAGAGTCCATTTTACATGAAGAATGCCACTACTTTATCCCTAGAGAGTATGAGGAAGAGTTTCACCCATCTTTAGCCTCAGATCTTAGATTCAGTGCTTGTAAGAGAAGAAGCACTTATTCAAAGAAGCAGGTATATATACTCTGGTTGTGAATTCTTTCTGTGATTTCAAACAATATTTGGAAAAACTCATTTCTGAAGGCCTAAGGTGCAGGGAGACGAAAACTACTCTTGCGAGGATACAGTTGGTAACACCCATGAGGGTTCCATTTGCATCGACTCTTAGCCATAGCTGCACCATAGCACCAAATTAGGTAGGGACTGTGCTGCTCGTACCTTTGGGCTCAATGGAAAACTGTCCTATGATTCTGTTACTAATCATCTCCTACATTTGAGTGGCACTTTAATTCCCAAGACATTTCACATATTACTTTTGCCATTTTACAATGAGGAAACTGAGGCTCAGAAAGGGCAAATGACTTGCTCCTTGCCTCACAGCTGTGTTGAGGAAGAGGTGGACTAGAACTTCATGAATCCTTCTCTTCTCTTCTCTTCTTTCTCTTCTCTCTCTTCTTTCTTTCTTTCTTTCTTTCTTTCTTTCTTTCTTTCTTTCCTTCTCTTTCTTTCTTTCATTTTTTTGGAGACAGAGTTTCGCTCTTCTCACCCAGTTTGGAGTGCAATGGTGCAATCTCGGCTCACTGCAACCTCCACCTTCTGGGTTCAAGCGATTCTCCTGCCTCAGCCTCCTGAGTAGCTGGGACCAGAGATGCACACCACCACACCCAGCTAATTTAGGTATTTTTAGTAGAGACGGGGTTTCACTATGTTGGCCAGGCTGGTGGTCTCAAACCCCCGAACTCAGGTGATCCACCTGCCTTGGGCTCCCAATGTGCTGGGATTACAGGCATGAGCCACCATGCCTGGCCGATCCCCCTGCTCTTTCTACTGAGTACTATCTTAGCTTTATGGCTGTTCCAGCTAGCCCCCATATCATAGTCATGTTCACTATTAGATGACCTGCTGGGATAATTTTGCACATTCTCCTGCCCAGCAACACCCTGGTTGGTTGCTGCAATGAAGACAATGGCTATGCATAGAAGAATTTTAAAATACCAATAGAGGATCTCTAACTCTCTGGCACTCTACTATTTGTACATGAGGGGGCTGTTATTGTAGAAAAGGAAGAAACATTTTCCTGGTTGGGATTTTCATACTGGCAAATTGGCTATTCTGATTTAAATTCATATTGTTACTAATTGGTGTTAGAACTTTTGTTCTGGACTGTGCTTATGCTAAGTAGAGATTTTCCCTCCTTGTTTGATTATGGATTAGTCCACACATTTTTACCTTATGAAAGGAAGAAACAGCTTGTGCCGCCTCGGGAGGAAATATGTCATCTAATAATTAGGCTCTGAGGCACTGGCATCTTGAATACTGACCTGTGGGCAGGCCGTGGAGAGAATCATGGAAAAAGCTGCATTATCCAGGGCTTTTTCCTCAGATAGATTTAAAAAACAAATGTCTTTAGAGCAAAGCACTGAAGGGCGAGAAGCAGCAAACAGGCAGATTATTAAAGCATTTGTCATGAAGTTACAGGTGGGCTCAGGAAGGGTCCCAGTCCTGCAGGCCGGGCTGCCTTGCTGAAAATATCTTGTAAATTATGAGTTGTTCCCCCAAAGAAATCACTAGGCAGGAAAGGGCAAAGTTACTCCCTAGCAACTCTGGTTGCAATAGTTTCTGAACTATAGTTTCAGAAATCTGTCAAGGCAAGGGTCAGTTACACATGGGAGGCTGAATTTTTGTATTGGAAGACTAGGTGTTTAGGATTACAGCAGTGATCATTCCTGGAGCATGTGTATTTACACTTCTGTTTCAAAGAATGAGAAATACACACTTATAATGTCGGTGCTTTTTCTCATCTAAAAAAATGATGAAGTATGTCCTCTTGCATTTACAGATTCACTGTTTATCTTTAGTCTCATTAACTTATGCTGTAGTTCAATTCATTTTGTTTCTATTCATTTCATATAGAAATGCACTGAAATTTTGCTTCAATCTTTGTACAGTATTTGGCCAAACTCTCTATTTGGCTTTAGTTTTGGCCATAGCCTTTAAAGGCTGAGTAAACAAATGTCCCACTTCTGCGTTATTGATGGTATCTCTGAACCTGAGATGATCAATGACAGCCTGATCGTATTATTTATCATCATGCATAATTGGCATAAAAAATTAGTAAGAGGAACAAAGCATGCCCATCTGAATAATTACATTAAAATACAGGTAAAAACATTCTATATGTAATATGCTTTATATATTGAAATTCTCTGTCCATTTAAAATTTAAAATACATAAAAAAGTATGTTTATTATTGCAAGAGTACAATATTGCAATTATGAATGGGGATTATGAATGTAGTTAATTTTATAAACAAAACAATTAAGAAACTTCAAGTAAATAAGACTACAGGTTGACAGTTAATATTGATATTAATAGAGAGTACCTTAGCTACATAGCTTTCAGGATGATTATATCTTTTTTAAGCCAGCAAATGCTCATACACAAATTACTTATACAGAAGAACATTACAATGGAGATTGCATTATATCATAATTACCATCTTTGTAAAACTGTTGCATTTGAAAAATTAAGCAAAATAAAAGTTTAAGAATAATATTTGCTTATTATTTAACTTAATTGTGAATTTTCCATTATATTCAGAAAATTCTTCACAGAGATATTGTTATTGCTATCATTATTATTTACTATGATGCCAAACTTTAAAAATATGACTGGTAAGCTGAATGTGGTGGCTCATACCTCTAGGCACAGCACTTTGGAAGACAGGCAGATCACCTGAGGCCAGGAGTTCGAAACCAGCCTGGTCAACATGGTGAAACCCTGACTCTACTAAAAATACAAAAATTAGCCTGGTGTGGGGGTGCACGCCTGTAGTCCCAGCTACTCAGGAGGCTGAAGCAATAGAATCACTTGAACCCAGGAGGCAGAGGTTGGCGTGAACCAAGATCAGGCCACTGCACTTCAGCCTGGGCAACAGAGTAAGACTCTGTCTCAAAAAATAATAATAATAATAATAAAAGACTGATAGCACTTTTTAAAAGTCAGGTTTAATGACGAATAGTTTATATATGGTGAAAGTCACCCTCTGTAGGCCTACAATTTTTAGCTTTGACAAAGGTAAACAATTGATTTCATAATTGATCATAATCAAAGTATAGGATTTTCCTGTATTAGTTTGCTAGGGCTGCCATAACAAAGTACCCCAAACGGTGTGGCTTAGACTACAGAAATTTATTTTCTCACAGTTCTGGAGGCTGGAGTGTCCAAGATTAAGTTGCAGGCAGGCTCGGTTTCTCCTGTGGCCTCCCTTCTTGGCTGTGTCTTCACTTAGTCTTTCCTCTGTGTGTGCACATATATGGTGTCTCTCTGTCCAGGTTTCCTCCTCTCATAAGGATACCAGTCAGATTGTGTTAGGCCCACCTACAGACCTCATTTTAACTCAATTATCTCTTTAAAGATCCTATCTCCAAATACAGTCCCATTCTGAACTACTGGGGGTTAGGGCTTCAACACATGAATTGAGGTGGGGTTGCAGGGGCGGACAAAATTGAGCCTATAACAATTTCTATCACCCCCATAAGTCCTCTCATGCCCCTTTGCAGTCCATCCCCTTCTCCGATGTCAGCCTCTGGCAACACTGGCCTATTTCTTGTGCCTATAGTTTTGCTTTTTCTAGACTGTCATGTAAATGAAATCTTACAGCCCTCTCCTGAGGGATGCCTGCTTGCTGCATGGAGGTGGTAGCACCGTCCTGGTGCAGGCACCACCCTGGTGTAGGACCAATTACATGGAAGTGGCAAGTCTAAACTCCAAAGTTGTCAGTGCCCTCAGAGTCAGTGTGGTTGCGAGCTGGACACCTACAAACTCTCACCAGGAGCAGCTGTACTAACCAAGCCAAATCCCTGTTACCCTGGGCAAAGCATCCCTGCAAGGGAGCAAAAGCAACAACAATCCATTTGGTGGGTGAGATGGATTCACTGGTACTGATCCAGGCAGGGAAAGCCAAATGGCCGCCCCTTCTACCCTGGGCACCCGACTCCCCAGTGCCTGGAGGCCTGGGTCAGCCCCTTTGGCTGCCCTTTTCTAGACCATGGATGTCGTCCCCCTTATGCTAGGCCTTTCTTCAGATGGTTTACAAGACAATTGATGAAGTCACCACTTTAATAACATTCATGGCCATTGCCAGTTGTATACTACTCATAATGTGGCAGGCATTAGATTAAATGTTTTAGGTAAGTTGTAGAGAATCCCCATAATAACATAGTTAATTATTCTCTTTATTCAGCTGGGCCTTCTTAAAAATGAGATGTAAGTGTTTCTACAATTTGGGGATACATAAGTGGATGTTTAAAGGGCTTAAGGTATTTGCCAAGCTCCTACATCCTTCTTAAATTTAAACTTATTTTCTGGTACCAACACTCTAGTGTGGTGATTAGACTTCCTAAATTTTCTCCTGTTTGCTTGGTCTTTTTCTGAGACGGAGTTGTTCTTTCTCGTTGCCTAGGCTGGAGTGCAGTGGCGCCATCTTTGCTCACTGCAACCTTTACCTCCTGGGTTCAAGCAATCCTCCCACCGCAGCCTCCATAGTAGCTGGGACTACAGGAGTCTGCCACCATGACTGGGTAATTTTTTTGTATTTTTATTAGAGATGGGCTTTCACCATATTGGCCAGACTGGTCTCGAATTCCTGACCTCAGGTGACCTGCCCGCCTCAGCCTCCCAAAATGTTGGGATTACAGGCATAAGCCACTGGACCCAGCCTTGTTTGTTTAATGGGACAACAGGAAAATCCTCATCATGAGCTCTTGCCACCCCTACCCTGAACAGAGATCCAGTTGCCCTGTGACTACAGTAAGGAAGAGGTTAGAAGATGAGATGATCATGACAAATAATAACCATAAAATCATTTCCCTTCTCTTTTCTAGAACACATTACAACTAGCAAAATATTTTTAAATTCGTGGCCTCATTTGATCCTGTCAGCATAGCTATTTTTGCTCTTTCCTGTCTAAAGGAAACCCTTTAGTATGGGTTCATAGAAACACAGTCCTGTAGAATTGGAAGATACCAGATAAATTATTTTTTTCTTTAAAGTCTTAACATTACAGAGAGAAATTCTTAGCCCAGAGGCCATGGAATTAATGAAATTCTTTTTTTACAAATGAGGAAGCCGAGGCCAGGAAAATTTTGGTAACTTGATCAGTCACAGAAATGGATTCCTGGTTGCCTGATTCTCAATGTACTGTTCGTCCCATGCTTCCACCTGCCTTCAGACATAGAGTCAGGTTAGGGCCCAGCGTGATGGCTCATGCCTGTAATCCCAGCATCCTGGATAGGCCGAGGTGGGCGGATCACCTGAGGCGGGGAGATCGAGACCAGCCTCACCAACATGAAGAAACCCTGTCTCTACTAAAAATACAAAATCAGCCAGGCAGGGTGGCGCATGCCTGTAATTCCAGCTATTTGGGAGGCTGAGACAATAGAATCACTTGAACCCGGGAGGCAGAGGTTGTGGTGAGCCAAGATCACACCATTGCACTCCAGCCTGGGCAACAAAAGTGGAAACTCTGTCTCAAAAAAAAAAAAAAAAAAGAGGTTAGATTCCCACCATTTTTTTTTCTGGCCTAAGTCACATTTGACATATGGGATTCATTTTATGTTCCAACTCTAATATGTTTGAAGCAGTTACCAAAAGCATTGTGTTGAGCAGGATTTTGAATCTGCATCTGGGCTTAATGGGAACAGTGTCGTACTTGATTACTGACGTTCTGCCATGGATTCAGGTTGGGGAGAGTAGCAGCACCCGAGTCTGCTGCCCTGGGTTAAGGCACTGCCACTCCAGGAGACTTTTGTTTTGTTTTGTTTTAATAGAAACATCTTTTGGAATACTATATCACCATTAACAACTTGTGGTAAATAAATTTTATCAGCAATTAGTAACTACTGGAGATAGGCAAGTTTTGAAGAGAGACAGAAAATACATGGGTCTGACGCTGGACAAATTGTTCATGGGGCAGAGGTAAGTGAGGAGCTGTGGAAATGGTGGGTGAGGGTCTGGGACAGGAGCAGAAACAATTAGACGCAGCATGAGGGCCTCAGATGTCTACAGCAGAGCTATGGCTAGCACCAACAGGCAAAAAGGATTCTGAAATTGGAGGTGGGAAGGCGCTAAGATGACTGACCATACTGGATTTTCTGAGATGCAGGACTTTCAGTTTGAAAACAGACTGTCCTGTGCGAATCAGAAACACTAATCACCCTAAAAGGCACTAGCAAAAATTTTTCATACTTCATTGTTTGTTGTGTCATGCCGTTGGTCAATGTATTAATAAACTATTGGTATAATAAAGCTACAAAACAAACAGCCCCCGAAATCTTAGCGGCTTTCAACCACAAACATTTCTCTTTTTGCTCTGCAAGCCTACTCTGGTTTGGCTGATCGAGACTGGACTCAGCTGGACTCTAGCTTGAGAATTGAATGTAAGTCTCCTCTGCATGCTTCTTCATTCCTCACTCATGTTTTTTCTAGGGCAATTTATTCTTCTAGAAATGGTAAGCACAAGAGGCCAAGGCAAATTTTACAAACACACTGAAAGCCTTGGTTCACATCAAATGCACTAACATTCCGTTGACTTAAGCAAGTCATGTGCCCAGACCCAACATCAGTGGTGTGGAGAAATGTGCACCACTTACTCTGATGCAGTATTATTGCCAGGTTATCTGGTAAAGCGCATGGATGTGTATTCCTTCTATATGGAGGGAGTGAAGAGTGTGAACAATAATCTATAGAGTCAGTAAGTAACTTGAGTGTACAGACTCAGCCAGACATATCTGTGTTTCTCCAGTGTCTGGCATGGTAGGTGTCCCATAACTATTTGGTGAATGAATGAATGAATGCCTCCAAAATAGAATTTCCTGTGATGAAGTGGTACATGTTCCCAGTTTTTAAAAACGTTATTTGGTCCCTCTATCATTAGATATCAGGAACTCCTAAAGGACTGCTGAAAAGCCGATGTCTTGGCTATCAGGAAAGCTTTCCTTCCCCTGACCTCCTATTACCCCTTATTGTCTGTTTTTTTTTTTTTTAATTTTCTTCTACTTCTCGTCTTCTGGCTAGCCAGCAGCTCTTGGAATCCTGGGGGAGTGTGAGAGATGTCCTTGGCCCTTCTCATACCAGGAGGACAAAGTTACCTACCTATTCCAGGGACTGGTGGGAATTGCCTTTTATCTCCCTTTTCCCCTCCAACTCCCTTCCTCAGTACCTCACCCAGTGGTTGGCACATGGCTGGCTGGTGTTCCAAAAATATTTCTTGACTTAAAAGCCAAGCATGTGATTTTAAAACTTTGTGTTGCTGTTTCAGAATTAAATGCAGACGTTACCACCTCCTCTGCTCCTCTGCCCCCATGGTCTTTGTGTGTGTGTGTGCGCGCGCGCGCGCGCGTGTGTGTGTTGTGGATTTGCTGAACTCATTCTAAATGTTTTCCATGATCCTATGCATTACAGCTCTAATTCTGGATACTTTTGAAATTCTTTTCCTAAGCAATGAAAAGGACAGCTAGCGGGGGGAGAAAGATAGAAAAAGTTAGCCAAGTGTTAGAAGAGCCCGCATGGAAGTTGAACCCTCTGTGGCACACAAAGGAATTCAGAAGCCTCTATTTCCTTTAGCAAGAACTCAGGTGTTCTTTTATACTTGAGTTACAAAGTACACCGGAAAGAGTCAAGGCTCGGAGCATTTAAGGTCAAACTTGGCTTTCAGCTCTGAAGACTTCCAAAAAAGAAAGTCTGAGCTTATTGCACAGCAGAAGCCACAGTCTCTTTTCAAGCTAGGAAATTTATTCAGAGGCTCAAAATAAAGCCACTGGATGGAACCAACTGTCCTCTCTGTCCAGCCACTGCACCCTCCTGTTTACTCCTTTTCACACAAAGTTGAAGGAGACAAGTGAACACCAGTCCCTCTCCCTATTCAAAATAGACATGTTCCTGAAGAGTTGGCAGGATAATACATTTTAATATGGAGAAATATATTTTCTCACTGACTTCAACAAAACAGAGGAATATAACTTGCAACAAAAAGGTGGCATCTAGGGCCTGGCATGTTGGCTCACACCTGTAATCCCAACACTTTGGGAGGCTGAGGTGGGCGGATCACGAGGTCAGGAGTTCGAGACCAGCTTGGGCAACATGGTGAAACCCCGTGTCTACTAAAAATACAAAAATTAGCCGTGCGTGGTGGTGCACGCCTGTAATCCCAGCTACTCAGGAGGCTGAGGCAGGAGAATCACTTGAACCTGGGAAGTGGAGGTTACAGTGAGCCAAGATCATGCCACTGCACTCCAACCTGGGTGACAAGAGCAAGACTCCATCTCGGGAAAAAAAGAAAAAAAAAAAGGTGGCATCTAAATGTTATCATACCACATGACAGAATGAGACAAAGAGAGGACACACAATGTTAAATTCATTTAACAAGAACTACTAATTATGGATACTATGGATGCTAATGCACATGCCGTTTTGTGAAATATTGCTAACAGGTGCAAGGTATTAAAACTGTGAGGATGGAGTTGGTGTGGGGTCAGGTCAGGGACTGGACCGCCTTCAGGGATTGGGATTCAGGTGTTTTAGAGTTGTGATTTCTCCATCCCTATGCCTTCTTCCTCTCCTTTTTATTTTCCGGTGTAACAGCCAGGTAAATGGAAAGAAACTCTGCATACTTTTTAGCACTTGTGATCATTTTCACGTCTTCAAACCCTAAGGAGTATAACACACTCCCATCATTAATGATAACTCATTATGACAGTGATTTTTCACTGGAGTGAGTGTCTACGGGAGTGTCTGTGTACTTAGAAAAGCCTTCAGAGTAACGTCCCTGCCCCACCCCACTTGCTAATCACCGTTTGTGACATACATAGGTCATTTACTACTTGTTTTTACTGTCTGGGTCTCTAATTAACTTGGTCAGGCACTCTTTATGCCTCAGTTTCCCCAGTTGTGAAGTGGACATAGTGATACTTTCTTTACCAAAAAGTCTGAAGTGGCGCAGTTCTATTTCCAGACAGCAATTGGAGACGTGTAAGGTGTTATTTGGGTTGTTCCAGTAACTGAGCTTAATGACATGTAACACCCCTGGCCACTCCCAGTAATACCAGTCATATTTCTGGTACTATTGGTATTAGTACTGTTATGAGTGGGGGGGGGGGGGGCTAGGGGTGCTAAATGTCCTACAGTGCATGAGATGGTCTCACCCAATGATAATTTGTCCCACCCAATGATAATTTGTCCCACCCAAAATGAGAAACACAGCAGAGCAATATAAGCATGCTGTGAAAAGTCTAAAATGGTGATGAAAGCAAAGGAGTAATGTTTCTGTGCCATTATGTCTGAGAGTACTGTGGTGGTTCCTTGAAAAGTTGCTGCTTATATTCATAATTGCAAAAATGTGGAACCAGCCCAAATGTCCGCCAATCAATGAGTGGATAAAGAAAATGTGATGGCCAGGTGCGGTGGCTCACGCCTGTAATCTCAGCACTTTGGGAGGCCAAGGCGGGCAGATCACGAGGTCAGGAGTTCGAGAACAGCCTGACCAACATGGTGAAACCTCATCTCTGCTAAAAATACAAAAATTAGCCAAGCGTGGTGGTGTGCACCTGTAATCCCAGCTACTGAGGAGGCTGAAGCAGGAGAATTGCTTGAATCCAGGAGGCAGAGCTTGCAGTGAGCCGAGATTGCGCCACTGCACTCCAGCCTGGGTGACAGAGCGAGACTTCATCTCAAAAAAAAAAAAAAAAAGTGATATATATACACACACACACATACATACACACACACACACACACACAATAGAATACTACTCAGCCATAAAAAGGAATGAAATAATGGCATTTGCAGCAACCTAGATGGAATTGGAGACCATTATTCTAAGTGAAATAATTCAGGAATGGAAAACCAAACATTGTATGTTCTCACCCTTAAGTGGGAGCTAAGCTATGAGGATGCAGAGGCATAAGAATGATATAATGGACTTTGGGGACTCAGGGAAAAGGGTGGGAAGGGGATGAGGGATAAAAGATTATACAGTGGGTACAGTGTACACTGCTTGGGTGATGGCTGCACAAAAGTCTCAGAAATCACCACTAAAGAAATTATTCATGTAACCAAACACCACCTGTTCCCCAAAAACCTTTTGAAATGAAAATTAAAAAACAAGAAACAAACTCCTCAGGTTGTAGACATGAGCTGTTAAAAAACAACAAAAAACAAACATTTAATCTGAATCACATGGGAAAGGCAGGAGACACTGTAAACTTCTTTCCCTTATTAAATTCAAATCTCTTACAATTAAGAAAGGAGAAAAATCATAAAATATATGTATAAAACTTACATTACTTTAAAACAATAAAATAAATGAATAAATAAATAAATAAATAAATAAATGACAGTTGCTGCTTATGATAAGACTTGCTTCATCTCCCCTCTTACCTGTTTGCAAAAGGGAAACTCTGATTTGCTTCCGATGAGGCTGGTGGGTTCATTTTCTATTCAGCCAAGCCTATTTAAGAAAGTAATACTAGTAATCACCATGACAGTAACTACTCTTTCATGAGCACTTACTATTCTCTAGGTAGACACCCATGAAGTTTTTGTGCTTTGTCTCACTTATTCCTCATGACAAACCTGGGAGCAGATTGTAGGAGAATTCAACACACAGATGAAAAAACCTGGCCGGGCGCGGTGGCTCATGCCTGTAATCCCAGCACTTTGGGAAGCTGAGGCGGGCAGATTAACTGAGGGCGGGAGTTTGAAACCAGCCTGGCCAACATGGTGAAACCTCGTGTCCACTAAAAATACAAAATTAGCTGGGCATGGTGGCGAGTGCCTGTAATCCCAGCTACTCAGGAGGCTGAGGCAGGAGAATTGCTTGAACTCAGGAGACGGAGGTTGCAGCGAGCCGGGATCGCGTGCCACTGCACTCCAGCCTGGGTGACAGAGTGAGACTCCGTCTCCAAAAAAGAAAAAAAAGAAAGAAAAGAAAAACCTTGCTAACTTCGTTTTGAACTAAGAACTAGAGCTCTCGGGTGGCGTTGTGGGTAGTCTACTGCACCTCTACAGAGGTGCTTCCTGTGTTCTCTTTGTTCCCTCTTGCCCTTCCTCTACTCAAATAAACAACATTAAGCAAATAAACAGAAAAACCAAAGTGTTTCCTCTTTAATAAAGGGATTCAAGGCCACCAATTTAGTTTGCACACACAGTGCACTTCCCACCTCCAGAGGTCACCAAACATGAGGACTACCTTGCTATTGGTGCTCCTTGGAGCAGTGCAGTGTGGTAGTTCCAGGAACCTTCCATTGTATCACTTGTCTTAAAATAATAGGGACCCAACTCTGCCCTAGGATGTACCAAGATGATGCTTTGGGGGCACTTATAGTCCAGCCTTACTATGCAGGTTGCTTTTAGCTTGGCCCTAGTCCGCGAGGTGGGGTCAAAGCAGCACCTAGAACCTTCTCATACTGCAGATAATACACACCTGCATATGCTTTCTTCTTTCGGGTGCTTTGGCTCTACAAATTTGTGAACTTGAGCTGTCTATAAGATGAGAGTTATTTAACATCATAAATGTTTCTCTCTCTTTAAAAAGAGGAACAGCTTTGTATAAAGATCAACTTTAAGAATATATGATGTCATTATGGTATTGGTTTGCTGAAAGCCTAATAATTGGATTATATTGTGGGTTGTCATTAAGTAGAACTTCACTGTAGATTATAGGAGAGGCTTAACTTGAGTCACAGAGCATTTTGTGGGTTTGTTTTCTCCCCAGAGAGCCAGGCCACCCTCTTGTGTGAAGTAGTTTTTTTTTTCTTGGAGTTACGTACAAGGATGTACCATGTCTGCCTTTGCTGTTTTTATTCCAATGAATAAGAAAAGCTGCTTTTTAATCTGTTTAATTCATTTTCACAGATCAGTGCATTTGCAAAAGTGGAGAGCAGAGACATGAGGTGAAATGGGGAGCCCTGACAAAAGCAATCGGCAAAGGCACAATTTACAATAAATGAGAATCTTGGAATTCTATTGCCAAATTATGCACACCTTTCCAGAAAGAGCAAGTCACAGCAGATCAGATAACTGGCTCACAATTAGCACTGACAAAGAGCAGAATTGCACCCTGTCCTGTTCCTTTTATTTGTTTCCTGTGGGTGTCCATGATGGAGAAGCCTCTGGGAAATTGTGAGGGGATTAGTTTGATTGGAAAGAAGGGGAGAGAAGGAGCTGACGTACAGGGAGGAGGGCCTGCATCATTTAGACCCTTTCCAGGGCTCACTCCTCTGTTGCCTGGAGGCTGAAAGTCTGTTGGATCTTTCAAAGCCAGGAGGGGCTATAAAATCACCTCAGTTGGACCCAAATGAATTAAAATGACCAGTTAACTCCCTTTGAGGACTTTTGACCAAAAAAGGGGCTCAAGGCCTGGCCCACACAAGTTAAGAATACTCCATTGAAAAAGGAAGAAAATCTCAGTATATAGTCCTCATATTTTTGCACTTGAGGGTTCAAATAATGATAATACAACCAAATCCTGAATGACTCAAAGATGTTCATATAACCACATAAATGTGTATTTTTGGGAACTGGGCATAATGTTAATATGTGAAATTGTGGCTAATCCAATGTTCCAATTCTGGCCTTGGATCTCTGCCTCTGTGTCCCTTTGGGCTTCCGCCTGGCTCCATTCTGCCTCCCTTCATTCCTGGCACAACTCTATTGTTTTCTAGTCCAGAACTTGATGTGGTCCTTGCAAATCAGAGAGCCAGATGGACAGGGAAGGAGGTAATATTGAGCCATCTCATTTGTCCTCACAGCATCCGTTTGAGGTAGAGAAGGACAGGAATTAAAAATGACATTATAGATAGACACACTGAAGCTCTGAGAAATCAAGTGCCAAGATGGTGGTGACTGGAGATGAAAACCTAAGGCTTCTAACAGCCAGCCTGAGACTCTCAGACTACATGAAGCTGCTAGCATACAACAGGAAAACAGTAAAGCTCGGTTAATAGTTTTCTTAAAATAATCAGTAGACCACATCCTAGCTAAACATAATGGGAAAATAGACAATATTTCTCTCTCTTTGTTGCATTTTTCAAGCTAGATTTTCTTTTTTACATCCCCTGCCTGGTCAAAAGCATCTGGAAAAGCAGCCAAGCCAGTGCCCACTGTTTCCCTTTTGTTCTCACAAAATAGAATTGCAAACTGAGATTATGCATACAACCTCCTGAGAGTGCAACTGTCCATCCCTGAAGCTGTCTCTCAGCACTGAGCCAGCCCAGTCGGCACCACTGGGCACCAGGCTCTGCCAGGGAAGGGTTTCAATACAAACATCAGGCAATGTGGGCTGCCAACCCAGGCTTCATCACTAAGTGCTGTCCACGTGTTCTGTAGAGACTTCTATGGAGGGGGCTATTTTCTTCTAGAAATATTGCTGGTAAAAAAGAGTCAATACCAGGACTTTAGTATCCTTGTGTAGCTCATGTCTATTTCAATGCTCTTGGATTTCTTCCTCCCAATTGTTATTGTCTCTCCTAGAAGCTTCCTACATTGAACCTTGATGACAGAAAATTGTAATGGAAAGAAAAATCTCTGGCCTGAGAGCTCTAAGACCTGGGTTCTTTTTAATGTATCTACGAACACATTCTATTGCTAGGCCGTTTATCTGGCAGTATGATCTGTCCTAGGGAAATTTTATTCTTAATTAAAAACATTGGTTTTAACCTCAAGGAACTTCCAATCTAATTTAAAGAGACAAGGCGTATGTAATTGTTCCTTAGTTAAAAAATTAATATTTGCAAAATGACTGTTGGTGGTCTAAGGGTTGCTTTTGTCTACCAAGTTAATTCAATTTCAGTGATTTTTTTAATTTATTGTTTACCCTTACTGAATTGCCTTGTTTTAATCTTTGTGGTACAGCCATTGCCAGCTGTAGACTTTCAGTGCTGAAGGTACTTGGAGTTCAGCTCTTTCTTTTTGCAGACAAGGGCACTCAGATCCAGAGACATCAATGCTCTTGCAAGTGTATAAGACACATCCTCTTCCAAATGTATAAAAAACTCACCTGCATCTAATAAGTCATAGTTACTGACTGAACAAGGATGCAAAATACTGAATTGCTTTCGGGCAGCCATGTCTACAAAAGAGAAAATACATTATTTTGTTCCTATAAATGTAGTATAATGCATCTCCAGTAGATAATTAGAAATTTTAATATATAGTAATAATCTGGAAAAGATAAATTTTAAAGAAATACCAGTTATGTCTGTGCAGACAGCATAACTGTTCACTTTCAATAAACATATGATGAAAGTACATAAAATGCCCCCATTCTTCTGTGAAATTATGTATGCAAATGCATCTTATACACCAAAAAATAATTGCAGTAACCTTTTAAATCTCATATAACCAAAGTGGCCTTTGCAAACACTCCTTGCCCCTTCAGAAATAATCACTTGTAAACAATACTCAGAATTAACAGGATTTCAAAGTTTTTTTCCTCTATTACTAAAAAAAAGCCATTGCAGAGAGGGCAAGGAGCTGGTGGGTGGGGAGTGGGAAGTCTCAGAGTTAAGCGCTACTGCTGCCAGAATTCCACACCCAGTGGCTGGTTAGTGACTCAATGTTGAGGGCAATTGAGACAGAATCTCAGCTGGTGCTAAAAAAAAAAAAAAAGGAGTGCAAATCTGCTCTCAGCAAGTAACAGCCTCCATTTTAACTTGGACCAACTGGGTGGAACTGCCCTTCCTTCCTAACCCACACAGTCCTCTGCTACACTTGACTTTCTTTTTATTCTGAATTTACCAGTGAAAAACACAGATGGGGGCTGGGAAGCACAGTGGGAACTGCCCCAGGCTGCACTCCAGGCCCCAGACCTGAATGGGAACTATGTCATTAGTCCATACATTGCTCTCTGGGTTTTCCTTGGCTTGTAAAGTACTTTTTGACTTATATACATTAAAAACAAAAAACAAAAAAACAGCTTGGTGTTGAATTGGGCAGCAGACCTGTCTGTTTGCTCAGCTTGATCTAAATTGGCTTTTGGTTGAAACTTCAGGTGGCTTTTCAGTTTGTCTATGCGCCTCACCCTCCAGGAAGACAACTTAGCCCCTATTTAGCATTTTTGCTGACAGAGAACCAGCAGGCTTGCTGTTTGAACCTACATTTGAATGTACTATTTGGCCAAAAAAATTAGAAAAAAATCACTCCTTTTAGATTTGTTGGATTTGGTTGCTTTATTTTTGGCCCAAATGCTCCTCTGTCATATTGTTTTACATTTCTCTGTAATTCACTCTTTTGTGGCTCTTTCAGCAGAATTCTCTCTGCATTGTCAGCTTTTATGAACAAATGGGAGACAGTTTGAATTATGAATAGAGTGTTCATCCATCACAATCCAGTGACAGGCAACACCTATAGACTGTCCACAGCACACAGATACTACCTCCATGGAAGACTGATTTTAAAAACAAAATTATCCCTTAATCTCTTAAATCAATCAAACCTTCACACTTAGTAGTTAGTGTGTCAATGATGAACATATGTATCCTCCTAACAAAGTAATAATCATTACAGTGCAGGTGCAATATTATATATTAATATCATCAGTTCAAAACTTTACACAGTGTATTAAGGAGAAAAAAATAGAAAACTAGCTTTCTTTTCTATGTTAATTTCAAACAACATTTTTCTTTAAAATTAATTTTGGGATTCTGTATTTGACTTAATGTAAATTAAAAAAATTTGGGATAACTTAGAGGTTCATAAAAATTGCCCTTTACAAAATTGCTGGGGTAGTTATGGTTGTATACTGATCTAGCTTAGAATTTATGAGGGAAACCAAGTGGAATGAGTGGATGGACAGACACAATTAAAGAATTACTGCTGTTAAAGGAAAATTAGAGCTTGACAATGAAGTGGCCCAAACAGGTTTTATTCAGGAACTATTGTAATAGGAGAAAAGAGATCTCAGTAGAGAACTGGGCTCAATTTTGAATACAGCTTGGACAAGTGGGGATTTATAGCCAAGAAGCAGGGTAGGGGTGAGTGGATGGAAAATACTATTAGGAAACAGCAGCGGTAGGGAGGGTTTTGGTTAAACAGACCTACAAGGATTCTTGCTGAAGGCAGGCTAGGGTGATCAGGGTGGGGGATAAGGAATCTGAAAAGATGCTGAGAATGATCAGAGATCACAGGTGGAGAATTCTCTCTAAACTGACCATGATGGTTAATATTGAGTGTCAACTTGATTGGATCGAAGGATGCAAAGTATTGTTCCTAGGTGTTTCTGTGAGGGTGTTGCCAAAGGAGATTAACATTTGAGTCAGTGGACTGGGGGAGGCGGACCCACCCCCAATCTGGGTGGGCACCATCTAATCAGCTGCCAGTGTGGCTAGAATAAAGTGGAATGAAGAAGAAAGTGGAATGGGCAGACTTGCTGAGTCTTCCAGCCTTCATCTTTCTCCTGTGCTGGATGCTTCCTGCCCTTGAACATCAGACTCCAAGCTCCTCAGCTTTTGCACTGTTGGACCTATACCAGGTTTGGCAGGGGCTGTTGGGCCTTTGGCCACAGGCTGAAGGTTGCACTGTCAGCTTTCCTACTTTTGAGGTTTGGGACTCGGACTGAGCCACTGCTGTCTTCCTTGATCCTCAGCTTGTAGATGGCCTATCGTGGGACTTCACCTTGTGATCATGTGGGTCAATACTCCTTAATAAACTCCCCTTCATATACATCTATCCTATTAGTTCTGTCACTCTAAAGAACCCTAACTAATACAGTGACTTAGCAGGATTTTTGCTAAAATGGCATGATGCAGGCCCAATTAGGTAGACACCAAGGTCAGACTTAGAGGAGCCTGACTAAAGTTTAGTGAAGGAGAGAATCTTTACTACTGCAAAGATGTATGATTCTTGTTTTAACTGGGGTAGGCTAGGTATATATTGTAACAAGCTCTCCCACCCCCAGATGACAATGTTTGTTTCTTCTTGCTGGTAGGTGGATGCTATGGTTTGAATGATTGTCTTCTCCAAAACTCATGTTGAAATTTAATTACCATTGTAACAGTATTAAGATGTGGGACTTTTAAGAGTGATTAGGCCATGAGGGCCCTGCCCTCATAAATGGATTAATGCCATTACTGGGGGAGTGGGTTTACCCCCTCATGCTCTCTGTCTCTCTTGTGCCCTCTCTTTGCCCTTCTGCCATGTGATGGTGCAGCAAGAAGGCCCTTGGCAGATGCTGTCATCGTGATACTGGACTTCCCCGCCTCCAGAACTGTAAGCCAATACCTTTCTGTTCATTATAAATCATCCAGTCTTAGGCATCCTGTTACTGCAGCACAAAACAAATTAAGGCGGTGGAAGAGAAAGGAGTTTGTTTTACACAGTCACTCACAGAACCTGGCTGATGTAGCCTTCTCCATCTTATACCTGCAATTTCTGGAATAATCTTCCCCCTTTGGTTACCATGGCAGGGAAAGAGACTAAAGAACTGTACCAAGGCTTTTCATTGCTTCATTCCAGATGTGGCCTTGTAACTTCTTCTCACAGCTCATTGGCCAAGCCAGTTACGTGGTCCTACCTAGTGACATAGGGAGCTGGGAAAAGTGTGCATATAGTGGAGTATTTCGTGAGGATTACTGTGGGTTCCACATTTACACTTAGAGATATGTATGCAATAAATGTCTTCTCCAGTAGCAGTCCCCTGTTATTCAATGTTTTGCTTTCCTTGAATTAGTGACCTGTGGTTAACTGAGGTCTCAGATAGGTGAGTACAGTGCCATAAAATATTTTGAGAGAGGGAGACCAAATTTACATAACTTCTATTACAGCATTTTGTTATAGTTGTTCTGTTTTTAGTTATTGTTAATGTCTTATTGGGCCTAATTTATACATTAGTTTTTTTTTAGATGGAGTCTTGCTCTGTCACCAAGGCTGGAGTTCAGTGGCACAATCTCAGCTCATTGCAACCTCTGCCTCCCGAGCTCAAGGGATTCTCCTGCCTCAGCCTCCTGAGTAGCTGGCATCACAGGCACCTGCCATCACGTCCAGCTAATTTTTGTATTTTTGGTAGAGACGGGGTTTCACCACGCTGGTCTCGAACTCCTGATCTCAGGTGATCCCCCTGCCTCGGCCTCCCAACATGCTGGAATTACAGGCATGAGCCACTGCACCCAGCCTATAAATTAAATTTTATCGTAGGTATGGACAAATAGTCCCCAATTTATGATGGGTTGACTTAAATGATTTTTCAACTTTAGGACTGTGCAAAAGCAATATGCATTCAGTAGAAGGCAGTACAATACTATTTTTTTGTATGTTTTTCAATAGGTTTTTAGGGAACAGGGGGTTTTTGGTTACATGGATAAGTACTTTACTGGTGATTTCTGAGATTTTGGTGCACCCATCACTCGAGCAGTGTACACCGTACCCAAAGTGTAGTCTTTCATCCCTCGCCCCCTCCCACCCTTCCCCACGAGTCCCCAAAGTCCATTGTATTGTTCTTATGCCTTTGTGTCCTCATAGCTTAGCTCCCACTTAGGAGTGAAAACATACGATGTTTGGTTTTCCATTACTGAGTTTCTTTACTTAGAATAATCGTCTCCAGCTCCATCCAGGTTGCTGTGAATGCCATTATTTAGTTCCTTTTTATGGCTGGGTAGTATTCCATGGTGTACACACACACATACACACACACACACACACCCCACATTTTCTTTATCCACTTGTTGATTGATGGGCATTTGGGCTGGTTCCATATTTTTGCAATTGCAAATTGTGCTGCTATAAACATGTGTGTACAAGTATCTTTTTCATATAATGACTTCTTTTCCTCTGAGTAGATCCCCATTAGTGGGATTGCTGGATCAAACGGTAGCTCTAATTTTAGTTATTTAAGGAATCTCCACACTGTTTTTCATAATGGTTGTACTAGTTTACATTTTCACCAGCAGTGTAAAAGTGTTCTCTTTTCACCACGTGTATACCAACATCTATTATTTTTTGATTTATTAATTATGGCCATTCTTGTAAGAGTAAGGTAGTATCAAATTGTGGTTTTGATTTGCATTTCCCTGATCATTAGTGGTGAGCATTTTTTCATATGATCCTCTCTCGTGATAGTGGGCAGAGGCAGTGCACGCAGTGCACTGTGTTGTCAGGCAATTTTGCCCAAGTGCAGGCTAGCGTAAGTCTTCTGAGCATGTTCAAGGTAGGCTAGACTAAGCTGCGATATTCCGTAGTTAGGTGCGTTAAATACATTTTTCAGCTTAGGATGGGTTTATTGGATTGTAACTCCATTGTAAGTGGAGGAGCAGTTTCAGTTCTCTAGGTAGTTTCAGGCATCCATGGGGGGTCTTGGAAGGCATGCCCGCCTGGAAGGGGGTGGACAATTGCATTTTCTTTTGGGAGGAAGGGCAAGAGAAAATGTTGCAAATATGGAATACAAGCAGAGAAATTCTTAAATTACCCAGGATGTTTCTTGTAATTTCAAGTCAGCACAAATAATAAAATATATTTAAAGCATCAATAAAATAGTGTAGTGTCCAACCTCTGTGCACTCCAATGGCGATGGCATCAGGTTTAAGAGGCCAAAGAAGAGCCTCAGAAACAGCAAATGAGACATAGGGTTTTACTGGGGGTTGATATCCAGGGGAGAGAGTCCAGTGGCGGTGGGCTGGGCAGGAGAGCCACCTTATGCATGGTCCAAAGGTGGTGGGCCGGACAGGAAAACCGCATTGCAAACAGCATGCAGTTTATATAGCATTTTCCCTTAACCCCTTCCTCTTCCAGGTCCCACCTGGCAACCTTCATTTAACCCAAAAATTCAGGGTCTCAATCCTCTGTTTGGCCCATGTTCCACAGGATGAGCTGAGGGCTCAGATGTTCCTCATAATCAGGAACAAATTTCTGGATTAGCCACTCCCAAATCCCTAGCTTGGAATAGACATTCGGGTGCATCTGCCATGCAGGGTCCATTCTAAGGGTATGCTTAAGTTATTGCTATCAGGTGTGTTTACCCTACAAATAGTTACATGAATTTTCCTCACCCCAGATACAAAAATTCTCAAGTGATGGATATTTAGATCTCCTATTTTCAGGAGTTACATGAACTTTGAACTTAATGAAAAGGAGACATTTTGGAAAATGTTTTGAAGGGTGAAAGCTTATGATTTTTTTTGTAGTATCTCCTTTTGGAGAAGTGCTACTGGGAAGTGCTGTATTAGCCTAGCAGTAGTAGTTCTTTTGGCCAGATCAATATATATTAAAAGAAAAAAAGGGAAAATAAAAGGACTGTATTTAAGTGGGTTGTGCTCTCTGCAGTGTGGCACAGGCCCCATGATGCCCTATTATCTATGCCCAGTTCATTTCCTAATTTTTTTTTTTTTTTGAGATGGAGTCTCGCTCTGTCACTGAGACTGTAGTGCAGTAGCATGATCACGGCTCACTGCAACCTCCACTTCCTGGGTTCCAGCGATTCTCCTGCCTCAGCCTCCTGAGTAGCTGGGATTACAGGTACCCATCACCATGTCCAACTGATTTTTGTATTTTAGTAAAGATGGGGTTTCTGGCCGGGCGCGGTGGCTCACGCCTGTAATCCCAGCACTTTGGGAGGCCGAGGCGGGTGGATCATGAGGTCAGGAGATCGAGACCATCCTGGCTAACAAGGTGAAACCCCGTCTCTACTAAAAATACAAAAAATTAGCCGGGCGCGGTGGCGGGCGCCTGTAGTCCCAGCTACTCGGGAGGCTGAGGCAGGAGAATGGCGTGAACCCGGGAAGCGGAGCTTGCAGTGAGCTGAGATTGCGCCACTGCAGTCCGCAGTCCGGCCTGGGCGACAGAGCGAGACTCCGTCTCAAAAAAAAAAAAAAAAAAAAAAAAAAGATGGGGTTTCACCATGTTGGCCAGGCTGGTCTGGAGCTCCTGACCTCAGGTGATCCACCCGCCTCGGCCCCCCAAAGTGCTAGGATTACAAGCGTGAGCCACCACGCCTGGCCTCATTTCCTAATTTTATGTTACATGTCCAGGCTCCTGAATTTGTTATCCCTGTAGAAAATGGGTGAAGAAAGCCCCCTGTTGGGCTGTTTCTCTAGCACTCATTGGAGGTATGTAAAAGAAACTGATTGCCTTTTAGAATCAGTCTCTCCACAAACAGTAGGGAGATTTACCAGTTATTTCAGAGGAATTAGAGAATAAAGTGGACATGCTGCGTAAACTATGCTAACTCTGGCAATACTGGACATTTAAGAAGTCAAAAAAGCCTCTGTTATGGCTAAGAGAAAATTGCAATTACGTAAATAGGGGGTTTCACTATATTAGCTGTGTTAATTTCTTGTCCTCAAAGGAGTAAATGGTTTTAGTATATGGTGTACAACACAGAGTCATTAAGTCCATAAAAGCAGTGTTTAGTGGGAGAAATAGAAAAGTCAAATTTAATTTAAAATTGATGCGTCATGGAGAATGTCTGGCTTTTCAGTATCAGCACTTCAGAGCCATAAATGTGGAACAGATACAATTTCCCCACTGCATGGGAAGCGGCGAGGCCACTCATGTGTTGTGCCCTGAAAGAGCTGCAGGGCAGGTGTCGATATTATGGTGGGTCTGAAGCCAGACCATTTTCTCTTTAACCCAAATACATGACTGGGAACAGAAAATGCTTGATATCCACATGTCAAGTCGGTTAGAATTAACTAGTTTGCTGAACAGCTGAACCAAATTTGACAAACTCAAGCTCGTTTGGGGTCCTAGCTTCCTTCCCGGCATGCTGATTTTCAAGCTGGTGCCCATTATGCTGCTCATATTAAAATGCTATGAAAGCAAAGCATTTTGTGTTGAGTGGTTGAGCAAACTCTATTATACAGTAATTATACTATCAGTATAGAATCTAATTTTATATGGAGGAGGGGGTTTTAACCAAATGAAAGAGGAAAACTCACGAACAGTATTTTTTCATTATCACTATGGGATGGTAAAATTGCAGAACTTTTAGGCTAACTTGGGAGGCTATATTTAAGCCTATTTCTACTAATTGAAATTAACTCTGTTTTTGCTGGATTTTAACAAAACTTAGCCACTATAACAATAAATGTAAATTCTAAGGAGTTCCCTCTATTAGGTGCTTATTGAGCATGCAAAAATTTGTCTGTCAATGACCAATCATAGGCACACTTGCTCTATTATTCATGATATTTTAAGCATCATTGAGACACTAGGTTACAAACGAATGGGCCTCAGGTTACAAATGAGTAGAACCACCCCAGAAAGAATTCTTGCTGACAGTGGGGATGTAGAAGATGAGGGAGGGGGGTGCGGGAAGACCTAGTTTGCTGTAGTACCAACTGAGATACTCAAGTTACTTACAACCAAGTAAAATAAGGTTGGTTATGTCACTTGTGGAATTTAATTAAATAATTATTACTAAATACCTACCACATGCAGAACATTATGTGGGGATTGTTACTATTCAAAGGTGAGTAAACGTAGGGTTTGTGCCCAGGGAATGTATAATCTTCTGTAAATCAATTGCAGTTGTTTATTGATTGCTACATAAATATTGAGTATTAAGTTAATTACAAAGGAAGGGGTTATCTGGTGTGTGGATTATCTAGGCTCTTTGTTGCTGCTTTTCCTCCGATGACTTTGCAGCTGTCTCCCACCTCCTTAGCTAGAAAGATGAAAAAATGAATGGAAACAAAACAAAAACCCTAATTTACTGCTTGTTAGCAAACCTGGAAAACTGGATAGTTTAAAGCAAGAAAATGTGCCAGTTAGAACAAGAGTTATGGATTGAATGATTTTTGTTTGTTGTCTGATGCTTATTGACAGATAAATAATATATATGTGTTCATTTGCTATACATACACTATATGTGCAAAGATATTTATATATACAAATATATGAATATTTGTGTAGTACATATCCCACACTGCTTAAGGGTGTGCGTGTGTGTGTATGCATGCATAATGTCTATGATCTGTTACCGCTAAAGTGAGAGAAAAAGCAAATCCAGTAATCAGCCTCCAGTCTGTATTTCCACAATAAAAGATTATTATTTGTTCGAGACTTGGGTGCAGGGTGAGTACCACCAGTCTGTGTTCCTTCTGTGGAATGTGTGGCTTGCACAATAAAACCTACTTGTGGGAAGCAGATTTTTATTTATTTAATGAGATTTAATGCATTAATATACACAGAAAACCTTAACAAAAGAAAAAATAAAGTCCTCACAGTAAAATAACATCAGAAATTGGGTGAACTCATGGCTGCCTTGTCTGTCTCTGACATACCTCATTGGCAGAGAGCCTTCTGCCAAGAAATATGCCATTTTTACTGGCATCATTTACTCTAGGTTCTACTTTTCTTTTTCAAATTTGAGAAGAGAAACTCTACTTCCAGGAGGAGGAATTCTCAGTTGGCCAGAATCTCAGGAGAGAAGGTGTTATCCCTAGAGAAGGTCAGAGGAAAAGGCGGGGTGCTGCCCCCTACCCCCCCTACTTTCCTTTCAGTCTGGCCACACCCCTCAGAGGAAAGCAGGCAAGTCTTTCGGTCTACTGCTCTCCCCTTCCAGATCTCATCCTCTTCCTTTAATTCAGTAGTTTCCAATCTTTCAGGCTATGAATGATAGTACTAGTCAACCTAAAAACGTTCATAGACTCCCACATGATATAGCTGGTTTCAGGTTTCTTTTTTTCTTTTTCTTTTTTTTTTTTTTTTTGCCCTGTTGCCCAGGCTGGA
Source organism: Homo sapiens (assembly GCF_000001405.40). Classification (NCBI taxonomy): domain Eukaryota; kingdom Metazoa; phylum Chordata; class Mammalia; order Primates; family Hominidae; genus Homo; species Homo sapiens. Next base: position 177,564,211 of record NC_000003.12, read on the forward strand.
GTGCAGTGTCGTGATCTCGGCTCACTGCAACCTCTGCCTCCCGGGTTCAAGCAATTCTCCTGCCTCGGCCTCCTGAGTAGCTGGGACTATAGGCATGTGTCATCACGCCTGGCGAATTTCTGTATTTTTAGTAAACACAGATTTCACCTTGTGGCCCAGCTGGTCTCAAACTCCTGGCCTCAAGTGATCCACCTGCCTTGGCCTCCCAAAGTGCTGGGATTACAGACGTGAGCCACTGCGCCCGGCCAGTTTCAGGTTTTTATCATTCTTTTGAGTCATGATTCCAGAGAAAGAGTTTTTCCCTCATATATAGGTTAGGAAAGTCATGGAGAATTTTCTTATTGACCTGAGCCACGTATCCCCATCTTACTGGCTTAGGTTACATATCCAGCCCCTTCTCATGAGTCCAGCCCTCTGGGCAGGATTAGCCCCATTTAAACCACATGGAGTGGGTCCCTCACAGAAAAGAGCAGTTTTGTGGCCAGAATAAAGGAGACAGGATGATGAGCTGACAAAAATAGTGAACGTTTCCCCACATTTAGAAAAGTGCTTTGAAAAATTGTGTAACAATATATAAATGTATAACATTGATAGCCTTTTCTCATTCTGCTATAGACTTCAAGCATTGATTTTAAAAGTAGAGCAATTATGTTAACAAATATAGCAAATACGTGGGCAGTGTGCCCTACTTCACCAGTTTTTAGTGCATGTAGAGTAAAATCTCCCAGCTGTCCATTCAGTAGCTCAAAGGCCCACCTGCTTTTATTAACAGAAATTCTAATATGTCTCTCTTGGACCTCCTGTCAACGCTGATTTGTCCAAAATGTTCCAAAATCTACTCAGATTAAAGAGTGCCAATCCCTGATGCTCTTAGAGATTCTTTCTTGCTGTTGCTTTCACTGCCAGGTAGTGCCCCTGTTGAAAGCTGTTCTTGTCCCAATGATGGACCCACTGCTTCAGACCCCCTGAAGACCCCTGAAGACGCTGGCCTTGTCTTGGGCTCCAGGGCTCCAGCTCACACGCACAGACACTATTTATCAACACTCAAGCCAAGAGGGGATGATTTCCAACTTTGGCTTAACACTGTGTGGGAGCTGGCCATTTCCAAGAGTCTTTGGGCCAATAGATGAGACTGCAGGACCACATGTCCCTATTCCTGGTGAGTTCTCCTCTAGGATTCTTTTTTTTTTTTTTTTTTTTTTTTTTTGAGACGCAGTCTTGCTCGGTCGCCCAGGCTAGAGTGCAGTGGTACGATCTCGGCTCACTGCCAGCTCCGTCTCCCAGGTTCACACCATCCTCCTGCCTTAGCCTCCCGAGTAGCTGGGACTACAGGCGCCCGCCACCATGCCTGGCTAATTTTTTGTATTTTTAGTAGAGACGGGGTTTCACTGTTAGCCAGGATGGTCTTGATCTCCTGACCTCATGATCTGCCCGCCTCGGCCTCCCAAAGTACTGGGATTACAGGCGTGAGCCACCGCGCCCGGCCTCCTCTAGGATTCTTGAGGTCTTCTTGACACTAGACCTACATCATGGTCCCCAGTTCTTGCTCAGTGGTGTCTATACCTTTGAGTTAAGGTAAAACCCTGGTAAAACCAGAGGCCATCTCTCAGAAGGCCTCTGGGCTACTGGGCTTCTGGTTTATCAAGCAAATTGGTTTATCTTCTTATATACTAAAGAGAAGGACTACTTTTCCTAAGTCTCTGGAAGGATGAGGTTTTTAAATGCACCTTTCCCCAGGGCAAGGGGTGCTTTTTAACTTTAATTTTTACAAAACAGCCAAACTACTCTTTCAAGAACAACAAGAATAACAAAATCTTCCCCAAGGAGACCTCTTTCCAGATGGTAAAAGGCTGGCATAATTATTTTAAAATTCTCCCTCCCTGGGCATCCTGTTAACACAAATGTAAACCTGGATTTCTGCCTCAGGCTTGTCCCTCCTGATGTGTTCACAGTGTTAATGAATGACATCATTCTCTACCTGGGTGACCAAGGCAGAAACCTGGGAGTCAGGTTTGGCTCTTCTTTTAGACTTGTCTGCCACATCCAAGCAATTAGCAAGTCTTGTCATTTCTACCTCCTCAATATCAACCGGTTATGTCCACTGCCTTCCAACCTCATTCCCACTAAGTTCCCTAATGTCTCCTCTGAATTTTATGGCGAATCCTTCTGATTTGGTGTTCACATTATGGTCTGGATATTTACTAAACTGTAAATGTGATCGTATGACTTGTCTACATACAGCTTACCAGTGACTTCTCATTGTTTTTAGGCCGAAATCCAGAAGCAGTCCAGCATCTTCCTCACTTCTCCAGGGTTATTTCCCACTGTTTCCTTTTTCATAATCTTTGTTCCACCCATACCAGAGTCCTCACGCTCACACGGGGCTCCAGGCTCTCTCTGACTTACGGAGCGAGCACTCACTCATTCAGATCCTGTGCTCTGGAAACATCCCCTCCCTCTCTCACTCCCCTCTTGCCATGTTGTGTGTGCTCCTGTTTAAACTCAGATTGCTCACGTCCCAGCCTGGTTTCCATGCCCTGCTGTGAATTCTATACGGCAGGGGTCCCCAGCCCCAGGCCACACAGCAGGAGGTGAGCAGCAGGTGAACAAGCGAAGCTGAGTTCCGCCTTCTGTCAGGTCAGCTGCACATTCGATTCTCATAGGAGCATGAACCCTATTGTGAACTGCGCATGTGAGGGATCTAGGCTGTGCACACTCCTTATAAGAATCTAACACCTGATGATCTGAGGTGGAACAGTTTCATCCCGAAACCATAACCCCTCCCCTGCCCTGTCTATGGGAAAATTGTCTTCCATGAAACTGGTCTCTGGTGCCAGAAAGGTTGGGGATTGCGGCCGTACGTCCTCCACCATGTCACATTCTGCAACGCTGTCTTTAAATAGCATTGCCTACCAATGGAAGTTAGGAAGTCAATGCTGAGCCTCATGATGCCACCAGCCATATCTGCACAACCACCATCATGTTTCCAGAGGTTAGAACAGCATCTTGTGTAGGGTGGACACCTAATACCTATTTATTTAAATAGTAAACACATTAATAAACCTTACAAGGCAGCAAAGGCTTGGGGAGAGGATTTTCAACGGCAATTAGGAAGTGTGATTTTTTTTCATCTTTTCTTACTCTTTGAATGATTTTTATGTATGACTCTGCATTACTTTTTCACGGGAGACGAATGATCATGCCCTAACGGGACAGAGTCTGGTCCTTAGTCAGGGGCTCCTGGCAGAACTGGCCTTCTGGAGGAAGCACTTATCAGCTCCTTTTAATTAACTGTCATATTTTCTACCTGTGACCCTAACTACTTTAAGAAAAAATGTGAATGCCACACAGGCACCTCAGAATATGAAAAAAATGCATTTGAAGGCCCTTGAGTGAGATGACTGATCAGGCTAACTCTGAATTTCCAGTCCACTTGAAGTGAAATAATGGTCCCAGAGATAAAATTATACAACAAGGAATAATGTTACAAGCTGATAACACCAACTTTCTGACCCAAGGATGGTTTCTTTTCCCTCTGAAAATCATATTTCCACCAATAACATTCAGAAAGCTGCTTATCTGGGCTGGAGTTCATGTGACGAGGTTAGGCATGAGGTATGCTACAGTGGCTATTTGTACTGATTTTCTCCTCTTAAAGCATGCACTTAGAAAGTTCCTGTAAAGCAAAATAGACCTTTTTTTCTTATAGATTATTTTTCTAAAAAAATGGCAAATCATAAACTACTGACCTTAAGAGAAATTCAATAAATCATTAAAATGCCACCACTTGCAAACCCAGCTCTGACTAATTCCTTAGGCCTGGCATGATCAGATACACTAAGACTTCAGTCACCCTTACCAACCACCTAAATACTGCACACCATGGCAGCCTGCTGAATGCGAGCCCCTGGATCAGGGTGATAGGGTTTTCTTTTGGCTGCAAATGTATTGTGTATGTATTTATTTTCTGGAGTGGAGGAAGAGGAACACAAAAAATGGTTTCTCTGCAGCCCATGTGGTGAAACGTGTCCATTTGCAGAGAGGTGCTTCTTGTGAGACATGGCCAGTTGGGGCCTCATACACAGAGACAGGTGGATGTTTTCCCCTGTGGTCTTAATTATTCTTACCTGAGAGAAATAATAGAAGATTGACAGAACTAAAAGTATCATTCATAGGCTAGTCTCGTTTTGAAAGACTAAATGTGAGGATAAATACTTTTTCCTTTTTTGGAGGTGTGATTTTAAAGTTTCTGTTACTTGAATTAGAAAACTAATCCCCTCTTATTTGAACAATTCAGATGATACAGATACATGTAAGAAAAATAAAAGTTTTCTCCAGTTGCCTCTTCTCCCACCTACATTCCTCTGTTACTTTCCTTATTTCTTTGTGATTATATAAACATATAGGCACATGCATGGGAACTTTGTTTCTATTCTATGTAAAAACAATAAACATATTGTCTCATAACTTGCTTTTTTGTTTATTTATTTATTTATTTATTTATTTATTTTTGAGATAGAGTCTTGCTCTGTCGCCCAGGCTCAAGGCTCAAGTGTAGTGGCGTGATCTCGGCTCACTGCAAGCTCCACCTCCCAGGTTCAAGCAATTCTCCTGCCTCAGCCTCCCGAGTAGGTGGGATTACAGGCACTTGCCACCACCCCCAGCTAATTTTTGTATTTTAGTAGAGATGGGATTTCGCCATGTTGGCTAGGCTGGTCTCGAACTCCTGACCGCAGGCGATCCACCCACCTTGGCCTCCCAAAGTACTGGGATTACAGGTGTGAGCCACTGTGCCTGGCCTTGTTTTTAGTTTTTTTTTTTAGCTCAATGTGTCAAGGATATCTCCAGTCATCCCGTCTTTTGAACTCTATGGGGCTTCTGTTCTGTGCCATGAACATGACACCTGTGTCCTCTGTTACGTTCTTGTGATTGCTCCTGTTTCATATATTCCTGTCTTCTCTTCTGACTAGGTTTAAAGAAAAAGACAGTATTATTTGCCCCTTTCCCCCAGTGCTCAGACTCACTAACTGACCCTTTTGAGTTGTTTCTAATCAACTCTTTGGGCTGAATTTCAGTTTAAGTGGAGTCCTTTTTGTAAGCACCTGCTTTGAAGCCATGTATTTTGTGTTCCTTGGCCACTACCCAATTACCACACCAAATGTGCGCAGTTAACTATCTATGCAACCGAAGTGAAGCAGTTGTGCAATTACCCAGATAATTCAGGGAAAGAAGGGCGTGCTGCCCTAATGACTCAGGTAATACTTGCTACGGAAATCTGGTATAAGAAGGAAGATTTCTTTCTTTTATTAAATGTTTTATAGATATGTGGGTGAATCTTCTTGGGGTAGACTTCATGGTGGGCTCTTGCCCACCTGGTAAAAGTTCCCTAGGTAATTGTGAAAATCACCTTCCTTATTTAAAGATTATTGTTACAGGGAATGATTACATAACCAGGCACTTCTTCTGAGATAGAAGTTAGGAAGTCAATGCTGAGTAAAAATACATAAGGTTCTTGCCCTCATATGGGTTATGGTGTGTATTAGTTTCCTAGGGCCGCTGTAACAAAGTATTACAAACTGGGTGCCTAACACCAATAGACATTTATTCTCACAGGTCTGGAGGCTAGAGGTCTGAAATCAAGGTGCTTGCAGAGTCATGTTCTCTCTGAAGACTCTGGAGGAGGACTCTTCCCTGCCTTTTCCGGCATCTGGCAGCCCCAGGTGTTTCTTGTCTTGTGGCAGCATAAGTCCAGTCCCTGCCTCCATCTGCACATGGCCATCTTCCCTCTGTCTGTGTGTCTTGGTGTCTTCACAAGTGTTCTCCCCTCTCCCTGTGGGTCAATGTTTGTGTCCAGATTTCCCTCCTCTTATAAGGACATCAGTCATATGAACTCAGCTGACCCTAATGACCTCATCATAACTTGCTGAAATCTGCGAAGACCCAAGTACCAAATAAGGACATATGTACAGGCATTTGGGATTAGGACTTCAACATTATCTTGTTTGTGGGGACACAATGCAACCCATAACAGAGTCTAAGTTTTCACCCTAATGGGCCAGACAGACATTTAGTCAAATCATTAGGGAAACAGATACAAACTTACAAAAGGAGAAGGTCTATAGAGGAGAGAGACAGGGTGCCCCAACAACTCACATAATGGGCATTAGACTTGGCCAGGATTCTGGGGAAGTAATGCTTGGCTGAGTAAGCATTAATTAGGTGCAGATGGGAGGGAAAAGCAGGTTCAGGCAGAGTAATCAACATATGCAAATGCCCCTAGGGAGAGGAAGGATGTAATTACCAAATACTTGTGTGAGTGGAGTGGAGGGAGCAAAGGCATGTGATTAGGATGGCTAATGTTTGCGAGACTCACCATCACATCATGCAGGACCTGGAAATGGATGCCGGGTATTTGTTTTCTTCTCCTAAGAAAAGCAGGGTGCATTGAAGGGTTTAAGCAGAGGACAACTTATGATTTTCATGTCACATCAATCACTCTAGCTGGAGAGTGGAGGACAGATGGGGGCAATGCAGACTGGATGAGCATAGGCCAGTTAGGAAACCCTGGCAGGTATGAGATGATAATGCCTAGACTGGGATGGTAGAGCTGAAGGAGGAAAATTTCAAAAATTATCTGGAGGATAAAACAAAATAGAAATTAGGAGTTGATTACATAAAGTGAGGACCTTGCTAAGGATGGCATGGAGAGTCCTGGCCTGGGAAGGCTGGTGATGACTTCATGGAGACAGCCCTGAAGACCACCTGTTTTGGGGAAGGAAGATGGTAAGAGTAGTTCCATTTGAATTGACATTAAGACATTCAAGAGGAGACATTAAGCAGGCATTAGATATACAGGGCCCTGTTGGAGGAAACTAACACTTTATTTAGTAACTGAAATTTAGTGCTAACCTAAAAAAAGAGGTTGGGTAAGATCCTGGGCCTTAGAGATTTCAAACAGGTTTCAAAACCTAAGGCAGATCATTATCTACTAGCCATATGTATTAGTCCATTTTCTGTTGCTATAACTGAATACCTTAGACTAGGGAATTTACAAAAGAAAGAAATTTATTGCTTACAGTTCTTGAAGGTGAGAAGTCTAAGGTCAAGGGGCTGCATCTGGTGAGGACCTTCTTGCTGGTGGTGGCTCTGCAGAGTTCTGAGACAGTTCAGGGCACCACGTGGTTAGGAGACTTAGGAAAAATGGCCAAACTGGCTTCTGTAACAGACCCACTCTTGTGATGACTAACCCACTCCCTCTATAACCCTGTAATCCATTAATCCATGAGTCCATTAATCCATGAAGGAATTAATCCACTCATGAGGTGGAGTACTTATGACCCAATTACCTCCCCAAAGTCCTACCCCTCAACACTGCTGCATTGGGTACCAAGTTTCCAACTCTTGAACTTATAGAGGACACATTCAAACTATAGCACCATGTTAACTATAATTTTGGTAGCTACCATCAGACAATGACTGGGGGAAGCCTGCTAATTGGTACAAAGGCCTAGTGAATGGAGTATTTCAGACAAAGCTGAGGAGACAAAAATGGCACATGATTCAGCAAATTTTAATTTTTGTATAAAACATTTCACTAAAATAACAGGTGAGTAATTCATGACCTCTAATTGCTGTTTTGTTTTGCATCAGAGAAGATTTATATAAACACTTTTTGAAAAGGCTGGTGAAGTACCACTTCTTGTAACCTTACAAGCATTCTTTCAACCTAATACAACTTAACTTCCCTTTCTGTTCTCTTGAAAGCATTTACTTTCTCTTACATCTTAAGTTTCCCTGCATTTTCCCTTAGCTTTCCTGGGAGACACTTGTAATTTGAGTATTAAAAATGTTTTAGCTCTTCCTCTTGCTGCTTGAATTCATCCAGGCTTGTCAGCCGAATGGCTTTCCTAGCTCAGTTTTCATGCTTGCATCTCGCTAATTTGCCACCCCTCTCCTGAAGGAGAGAGAGCTCCTTGCTTTCTCTTGGGGCTGATCTCATCCTGCTCTGGGAAGCTCCGAACTGCCTCTCACTCCAAGTGCCAATCTCTGACACCCCACCTTGCTTTGGTTATTCAGACTTTTTCCAAGACTGAAAAAGAAATGTGGATGGTGTACCCCTTTCTCTCAAATCTGGCTCTTATCCTGAGACAATTTCTTTCCAACCAGGGGAAAAGCTACCCCAGCAACTAAGCAACCAACTAACGCAATTAACATTTCCACTCCTCCTTTATCAATATTCTATGAACATCCAGTTGCTTCTTTGCTATGCTCAGAAAGCTGAATTGGATCAAGGACTGCAGAGGGGTGTGGTGCGGAATGTCATGAAGGGGCCAAAATGTACAGAGGGAGACCCAGAACCTGATGAAATTTCCTCGTAGTTTAAGTCTACTGTATGCATCTCAGATGCATCCCCTGGAGGGGATAGGGACAAAACTCTGAGGTAACAAAGATGAAATTTCTGGCACTTAGCAGAATGAGGGCTTGGGAGCACACATAGGTAGATTAAAGGAAAAATAAAACAATTCTTTTTTGCGTTTTGAATTTATGGACCGAAATTTATATTGCAGTTGTCAAAAGTAGTGGAGGACAATAAAATGACACCTAGTAAATTTATAGACTGTTTTTACTGTGAAGGTCACAGGGTAGAAAGTGGTTTGCTCCTAAAGAAATGAAAGGGGAAACGAATAGGATACTAGCCTTTCTCTTTCTACTATTTCTGCAAGCTGAGAAATATTCTAATCTTAATATTGGTTTAGAAGCCCAGATAGTTTCCTCAGCTTCTCCAATTGTAGAAACAAGTTGCTCAGTTGGAAATTCTCAATGCTTTATACATTTACTTCTTCACCCTCATTCTCACTTGCCCTAGACAATGCCTCCATTCTACACAGAGCCACATATTTCTTTTTTTTCCTTTTTCTTTCTTCTTTTTTTTTTTTTTTTTTGAGATGCAGTTTTGCTCTTGTTGCCCAGGCTGGAGTGCAATGGCACAATCTCCACTCACTGCAACCTCTGCTTCCTGGGTTCAAGCGATTCTCCTGCCTCAGCCTCCCTAGTAGTTGGGATTACAGGGATGCGTCACCTCGCCTGGCTCATTTTGTATTTTTAGTAGAGACGGGGTTTCTCCATGTTGGTCAGGCTGGTCTTGAGCTCCCCAACTCAGGTGATCTGCCTGCCTCGGCCTCCCAAAGTGCTGGGATTACAGGCGTGAGCCAGCACACCTGGCTGAGCCACATATTTCTTATCTGCATCATTCTTTCCGGAAATAAATGGGGGGTAAGAATAAATGCATGTGTTCTATTCTGACAAATTAATCATTTAGATAAAACAAGTGAATTAATACATAAATGCACAAAATAACCTTAGTGAACCTCACTGGGTGCTTACTACCTGACGTGCACTGAGTACTTGGAGTATCTCACTAGGAATGCCCCATGAACTAGATGCTATTGTTCTTATTTTACACTTGAGGGAATTGAGGCTTGCAAAAATCTATGTATCTTGGTTAAGGCCACACATTGAGCCACCAAAGGTCTGGGATTTGAATCCAGGTCAGCTTAATGTCAAAGACATTTACTCAATTACTAACTATGCTGTCTGCATGAGCAGAGAAGAAAAACGATTTTCCTACTTAGGCACACGTCTTCTTCAAATGCTGGTCCAGGGATGCTCTGACCTTGACAAGTTACCACATAAAGCTTATGCTTCCAGAGGTGCAAGTTAAGTGTCTATACAAGGGGCTAATTGTACATGAAATCCTAAGTGGTGAGATTCATCTCTCTCTGCCCATTGTATAAAATAACTGTGTATACACTCTATTTCTTTATGAGCAGCTAACCCTGGGACTCAGGGCTGCCAGAATGAGCAAATAAAATTAAAAGATGCCCAGTTAAATTTAAATTTCAGGTAAATAACAAATCATTTTCAGTATAAGGATGCCCTATGCAATATTTGGGGCATATTTATACTAAATTTTTTTTATTGTTTATTTGAAATTCAAATTTAACTAAGCATCCTGCATTTTATGTGGCAACCCATCTGGGACTGTTCTGTCACTGTAAAGCACGTGCTTATATTCTTTGCTCTTCTGCCTAACACTGAGCTCCACCATGGCTAAGGCTGCAAAGAAACACACACACACACACACACACACACACGCACACACTTGGTAGCTATGTAAATACCAACTAGCGCAGCCCAGGAAGACATCCCATGTGGGTGTTTTGTCCTGGGCTGGTCTTTCCCAGCAACTCCTCCCTCCCACTCAGTGCTTGCTGACTGAGGAGCTGCCCATAGCTTGGCTCTCCTTCTCCTCCCTATCATCAGTATTTCCCTCCCTGATAGCAAACACTCCAGTCACTGCCTTTCACAATCAGTACCTGGTGCAGATGATCCTAAGGTCAGAATGTTAGAGCTAGAAAGACTCAAAGAGGATTTTTACAAGTGAGGAAGCCGAAAACATCATAAAGATCACTTGTTCAAAGTCACACAGCTAGGCAGGGGCGGAGCTGGTGCTGGAATTAACATTTAGCAAGGATTTCTTCTAATTCGGGTGGCTCTGCCTTACCACAACATGGGGTCAATGTTCCACCCCCCTGTTTACTTGCACGATGTGGGGCACTTTTCCTCTTCCTTGATGGTGCTGTTGATGATGGTGATGATCATAACAATGTCCGATTTCTTTGATTCTAGACACTTTACACATAGCATATCATTTAATCATCACAATACCAACAAGGTATCTCTTATTCACTGCCAAAGTTGATCCACCAGCTTTTCATGCTGCTAACTCTAATTTTTACTCTCCCCAGGAACAACAGGGACCCATAATAATAATTTGCAAAGAGAGAGTTTGGGAAGTACATATTTGTGCTTATTAAACTCAACAACTCTTTCTCTTTTTGCTTCTTGTTTCCAAGGGGTGGGTAGATGCTGCAACTGGGGAGACAACTTATGTAGCTCTAATCCTGTTCCAATATATATAGCCTTCCAAAGGCTTCTTAAATTTCCTCCTTTTTTTCTCTACTAATTCCAGCATGCTTTGCAATGCACACTTATTTTATTGCTTTGAGGAGGAAGAGATTTTTGGGTGTGTGTTTCCTTTAAGGAAGGATGAAGCAAGAGTATAATGCAAAAGCTCATAGAAATCTTTAATTCTATCCATTTGGACATAGTTGTATTTGATAGAAATAATTGGGGAAGAGCTTGTATTCTTTGGAACATATGGAAATCTAATAATTACTTCATTTATTGAGCAGTAATTATGTGCTGGACAGTAAATAAGGTATTATATGTTATCTACTGTATTTTTTGTTCTCCTGGTAACCAGGTGGGGTAGGCATTACTATCCCAATTTCACAAGAGAGGAAAAATGAGTCTCTGAGGGGTTTAAGGAGTTTCCTCAAGGTTACATAGTCAGAAAGTAGAAAAGTTGAATATGGGACTCAGGACAGTCCAATTTGAATGTCAATGTTCCTTGTTAGTGTGACACTTATTAATGTTGGAAATTATGCAGTTGTATTTTTGAGAACCGCTTTATATTGTTTCTTTTTAAAGTTTCACAAAGCATACTAGCATGTTAAAGACTGAGAATTCCTGCAAAAAAAAAAAAAAAAAAAGTCTGTTTGACTTTATTTAGCCCAGAGTTTGCATACAGAACATATCTGAACACGGACCATGAAGTTTTTTTTCTTCATTTTTTTTCAGGGACCATCTTTGCAATAGCTTTACCTATTCCATAGTAAAGGCTATGGTTATACTTGGGATTACAATGGACTTAACACAGTGCCATTTGAGGCTCAATTAATGACCTCGGGAGGAAGCTTTTATAATGTAGAAAACTAACAGGCTGGAAAAAAATAATAGTATTTTGAGATATCTGAAATGCTGTCATGTGAAAGAGGGATTAGATTGTTTCAAATGTCTATAAAGGGTAAAACTAGAACCAACGCATAGAAGGCACAGGAAAATACATTTCGGTTTCACTTAAGGAGAACTTTCCAATGGTTAGAAGTGCCAAAAAAAATTAACTAGATCCCCCATTACCAGAAGTAATTGACCATAGTCTCCATGCTACTTGTGAAAAGAGCACTCTAACATCAGCAGAGCTCTTGAATTAGGTGACCTTTAAGGTTTTGCCAACTAAGATTCTGTTTTTATTTAAACTGGTTAATCTTATCCACAAAATATCAATTTAATGCTGAACAGTTGGTCTACCAGTGTATAATTGTATAGAAAATAGCCAGTTGCATAGCAAACAACAGATTATATGTCTGAATTTTTTTAACTCTACAATTTTTTTGGCAGTACATACTGCAGGATATTGATGTGAATGGCCATATTTTCTTTCAGAGATGAGTATTCTTTCTTAATGTGTGTTTCACTCTGCAAAGGATTGGTTGTTGACTTAATTGGGGGCTTAGGAATGGTTTCAGGAGAAGCGCCGATGGGGTAGAATGTGAGTTATTTTCTGTGGTGCTGGTATGTCCAGGTTTTCTCCTGTGCAGTAGTAATAAATTTCTGAAAGGATAGGTCTAGGTAAGCAGGTGAGGTTTTAAATATCTTAGTTATGTTATGTAAGTAAACTTATATTAAATATGTTTACATATGCTGCCCAAACTCTCAGAGAGGAAACGGTGAAAACATAAAAACTCTACAGTCCCCACACCCACTGTGACCTAAAATACTACAACGCCTCCAAGGAGCAGACCACTGGGAGCCTTGATGCTATTTATGGAATACAACAATGTGTGATGTATTTGACTCCATTAGACAAACTGTGAACCGTTTTACAGGCAGGAAATATGACTATCTTATAAGCATGCATTATAAAACCATGGCCATGAGCATGAAAATCACCCAAGCTGTAAAACCAAGTACATACTTTTTTCTGTTAATGGGTGTTTGCTACCTATTTGTTTCTCGATGCCTGCCAATTTGCTCACAAAGAGTGGCGGGCAGTGAAATTAAAAAAGAAAATATTGTGAAAAAGACTGATGTAATCTCAGTCCAAGTTTCCACCATCGAGTACCATTCTGTAGGAAATTCAGTTCCCTGTTGAATACCCGAGGATTGCTGGAGATTGCTTTCATGTCCTGATCGTCACTTGCCACTGCCCTTGCCCACACCACCTCTGCTGCTCCAGAGTCATTCCACAGATTTCAGTTACTCAAAGTCTGTCTGACCCCCTCCAGCAGTAGGTGGGTATTTCCTGGCCCCACCTTAACCTTCTGACGAGAATCTGCATTTTAGCAAGCTCCCCAGGGATTCAGATCCACATCAAGATTTGAGAAGCTCTGTTCTTGGTCACCTCTTGGCCTCTCATAGAGGCATTGTCCCAAGCATGGACACCGAGGGGCCTTTAGCCCTCCTTGCCCCTGTTGTATGTACCACTCTTAACTAAAGGCATCCAAGGACCAAGGACGATACACAGCACAGGAAAACTAAAAAGTGGATCTCAGACATCTCTGCACCCTAAGCTTCTCACAGCATTTACAGGATAGGGGCTATTTTCTTCTTTAAACCTTAGGCTAAAACTATGTTGCTAGGGCCTACATCTTCTTCAAATTAAAGTCACCTTTGTCATGTATTTTTCCCTTCAATTCTCAGAGCTATAAGTCCTTGCCTCTGGTGTTCTCAGGGCAGCCCTAAATTAACATCATAACCATCTTTGCCCCCAAGAAAGAAAATCCACTCTACTGGGCAATTTCACTTTCCTGGTTCAACTTCTCCTTCTAGGCCTTGGGTCTGCCCTTTCATAAACATAGCCAAAAATCTCTTTAAAGGATTTTCCTAAGCAAAATAGCAGATTTCCTCCAAGGATAAATCATATACCACCACTGGGAGATGGAAACAGCTTCAGGAAGATCTTAAATGATATTTATATGCATATGAACATATACATACATATACATATATGTCTTGCTATACTTTAAATTAAAAATCTATTAATATAATTTCTGACAAACTAAAGAAAGAATACTATTATTTGGATACCAAGTTCTATGGTGAGTATTGTTTAAAAAACTGTCATCTTATTCTTTATGCTATATTGTCTAGTTTCAGTTTGGTTTGGATCTCTCAATTGATATTTTAGGTGATGATGCCAAACCATCCAAGAATTTCTCTGGAGATAGACATTATTTTGTTATAAAAGATATTTTAGCACTTTGGGAGGCTGAGGTGGGTGGATAACCTGAGGTCGGGAGTTCGAGACCAGCCTGGCCAACATGGTGAAACCCTGTCTCTACTAAAAATACAAAAATTAGCTGGGCGTGGTGGTGCACATCTGTAATCTCACCTACTTGGGAGCCTGAGGCAGGAGAATCGCTTGAACCCAGGAGGCAGAGGTTGCAGTGAGCCAAGATAATGCCACTGGATGCCAGCCTGGGTGACAGAGCGCGACTGTGTCTCAAAAAAAAAAAAAAAAGATATTTTAGGGCAAAATTCAGCCTTTGTCTCTATGGTCTCAGCAGCTCTTTGAGAGTTTCTACTACTTTTTTCAGTTCCTCTTAAAGTATAAGATGCTTGAGGTTGAGGGCTGGATTCGTTAACGTAATACTTTTTGTGTGTATCTCGTTTTACATTTAATCATTACAACATGTTTCTGATGTTGATATTATTTTTATTTTAAAACCAATCAATCAATAGATATTAACTGGACATCTACATGCCAGACAGTGAATAAGACCAAGTCTTGTCCTTAAAGAACTTACATTCAATAAACAGTTGAATTACATTCAATAGACCTAAGACCAACTGCCTCATTTTCGAGGTGAAGACACTGAGGCTCCAAGAGTTGAAGTGTTTTGTTCATGGTCAGCTAACTAGTCAGGTCAGAACCAGGACCGAACCAAGTCTCCCAGGCTCATGTTCTTCCTTATGTTGCAGGATTAAATTGCACAGCCTATAGCTTCCCTGTAGGTATCTGTGCAATGATGTGGTGAAAAATCTGTTTGGAATAAATATGCTTATGAGATGCTTAGGGTGGAGATGAAGATCTCAGGGGTATGTTCAACAAAAGAGTCTATTGATTAGATTAGGAAAGGCCCCCCAACAAAGCAAAAGATGAGAAAGTAGACATAAAAGGAAATAGGAGAAGGAGAATAGGGGCAATAAGGATGTTAGGGCAGTGTACCAGTCAATTCAGTGGCTTCTAACTCCAAAGCTACAAGTAAGATCTGCTAAAATAGTCATGAGTGCTTGGTATGTGTGGAGTCAAGTTCTGTGGGGTCTGAAGTTCATGCAGTTGAAGAGGACTTCTTTCTGAAAAATGGCATCAAGTCACAAGTGAAGCAAATAGAAACAGAGTTTTGGAAGGAACCTGCGTGAGAACCTGTGAAGGTTATGCATCACGAGCTCATCAGCCTTATGACGAATCCACCTCTGAGAGGATCCAGATGCATTCAGAGGGTGTGGGAAATGGTGAAGGGATGGAATGCAATGTCTGGGTTGAGGTGGGGCAAAGCGGTGACAGTATACATATATGTTGTGAGAAGGGCTTGGAATGAGAATGCAAGTTCTGATGAATTAGCAGAGATTTGAAGAGGTGTTTGGACCTCCCTCCAGAGCAGCTTGGGGTGTGTGTGTGTGAGGTTGAGTCAATCTTATCTACGGCCCTGAAGACAGGAGATCCCTTGCTATTACAGAGTTTTTTTTTTTCTTTTAATTAAATTAACAAATAAGCCAGGCATGGTGGCATGTGCTATAGTCCCAGTTAATCAAAAGGCTGAGCTGGGAGGATTGCTTGAGCCCAGGAATTCAAGGCCAGCCTTGGCAACTTAGTGAGGCCCTGTTTCTAAATAAAATAAAATAAATTAATCAATTAACGAATGAAATGGTTACTGTTTCTTTTTATGCATTCTATACTCCAGTCAAATTGAAATACTTGTTGTTTTAATAATGTACAAATAAATATATTTTTATACCTGAAAATTTCAGAGAAAATAACAAGGTGCATTAACAGGAAGGTCTATGGTGATGGTGGAAAAATTATTCAGGATTTTGGCCCAATGGTGACTGATTTCTAAAATGAAGACTGACATAACTTTTATAGGTAAGAATCTAATGGACCAGTTATTATTAGGTACAAAATTAACTTACAGAAACATTTTTGGAGCACCTGTCTGGAGCCGTGTTCCAGATAACAGTAAGATAATGAAAAATAAGACAATAATTCTCCCCTCAAAGAGAAGATAGACCATTTAAGGGTTATCTCAATATTTTGGGAACAGGCAGAAAGATAGGATTGAAAAATCATTGGATTCTTAAGGAAATCCTGCCATTAACTAAAGGCAGTAGCTTGAGCTTGGCAGAGTCAGCTATTTAAATTCCCTGGACGTTGCATTGAAGATTAGCTAGCTGTTCCCCAATCCATTTTCTCTTCCTCTTGGGTACACAGCAAAACTAGATTTTCCAGCCTCTCTTCCAGTTAGGTGTGCTGATGTGAATGAGTTCTGAACAATGGAAGGTGGTTAGAAGCAATCGTACCTTGAGGAGTTACCCTTAAGAACCTCTCACAGGAAATCTACATTCTTTCTACTACAATGACAATCTTGGGAGCATTGTGGAGAAATGGAGCCAGGAGATGGAAGAAATCTATGTCCCTGAATTATGGCTTTGAAAGTAAGAAAAGAGACCTACTAATCAAGAATACCTATTTTGCACATGTGTGGGAAATAGATAGCTATTGTATTAACCCCCTAAGATTTTGGGTTTTTCACAGGGACTACATTATCCTGATTCTGGGTTCAACAAACTGTGACCTATAGGTCAAACTCAGCCCATGGCTCACTTTTGTATAGCCCATGAGATGGTTTTAAATTATTTTATATTTTTATGAGGTTATTGGGAAAAAAAATGCAACAGAGACCACATGTGGCCCACAAAGTCTAAAATATTTACTATGTGGCCTTTTATTTTTTATTTTTTCAAGACGGATTCTTCCTCCATCACCCAGGCTGGAGTGAAGTGTTACAATCTCGGCTCACTGCAACCTCTGCCTCCCAGGTTCAAGCAATTCTCCTGCCTCAGCCTCCCTAGTAGCTGGGATTATAGACGCATACCATCACCACTGGCTAATTTTTGTATTTTTAGTAGAGACTGGTTTCGAACTTCTGACCTCGTGATCTGCTCGCCTTGGTCTTCCAAAGTGCTGAGATTACAGGTGTGAGCCACTGCACTGGGCCCTCTAGGTGGCCTTTTATAGAAAAAGTTTGCCAATCTCTATTTTAACCCACACGGAAATTTCATATGACAGAAATGTTCCAGACAGACATGAAGTCCTCAGACGGGCATGGTGGCTCACATCTGTAATCCCAACACTTTGGGAGGCCAAGGCACGTGACTTACCTGAGGTCAGAAGTTTGAGACCAGCCTGGTCAACATGGTGAAATCTTGTCTCTACTAAAAATACAAAAATTAGCTGGGTGTGGTGGTGCATGCCTGTAGTCTCCGCTACTTGGGAGGCTGAGGCAGGAGGATTGCTTGAACCCGGGAGGCAAAGGTTACAGTGAGCCAAGATCGTGCCACTGCACTCCAGCCTGGGCAACAGAGTTAGACTCTTGTCTCAAAAAACCCAAAAAAACTCACAACAGATAGGAAGTCCTCTAGTTATATTAAAGTTACTTTTCATATGCAAATATATTTAAATATATTGAAAAAAGAACGATAGATTTCTACTTCCAGAAAAAGTGGAATAACAGATTGGTTTTACCAGACTGGCTTTACCTTCTGATTTGAAACCATTTTTTTTTTTCTGGAGACGAAGTCTCGCTCTGTTGCTCAGGCTGGAGTGCAATGGTGCAATCTCGGCTCACTGCAACTTCCATATCCCAGGCTGGAGCGACTCTCCTGCCTCAGCTTCCTGAGTAGTTGGGATTACGGGCGTGAGCCACTGTCCCTGGCCCTGAAACAGTTTCTAAAAACCTAAAAACTCAAATACATGGTTTTCAAGACATTGAATGTTAGTCAATGAAGAAGTGACCCCGAAGAGATAGGAAACAAATGAAGTGAGTTGTGTGATAAGGCAGCCTGTTGCCTGTTGCCCAAGAGAACTTCCAGGTCTCCTGTGTGTGAGTTGGGGGAACCTGGAGTGGCCCAGCTGCCTCTTTGCACAGAGGAGGCAGGGCTGGGCAGCTGAGGAGGCTAAGTTGGCTAATCTTCACAAGGCAGAGAACTAGGTTGAGAGCTGCATACAGAAAGAACTGTGGCAAGGTGCAGAGATCCCCAAGTATGCTGTTGATCACTGATTAACATATTCATGTGAGAAAATTACTTTAGTCCAGGGGAAAACCTGTCCAAGAAGAGTAGAGGAAACAATCCCTAGAGTGCATGCAGCCAGGACTGGGAAGAGTTTCTATTGCCACCAAACAGAAAAGAAAAACCTCAAAATAAATAGGACATCTGGTAGAGCACTTAGAGGGATTTGCCTTAACAGTAGGGCGCAATAGCCCTAGACTAGATGCTGTTCTAGTTTACTTAATAGAGCTCAAAAGCAAGATCCAGGAAGATTAAACTTTTTCCATGTAATTCACCTGCATCCCAAAACACAACTCAAGAATATTTGTAGGAAAATAAAAATATCCAATTCCTACAAAGGTAAAATTTACAATGTCAGGCATCCAATAAAAAATTACTTCTCAAAAGAAGACAGTTATACAGCCAACAAACATATGAAAAAAAGCTAATCATCACTGGTCATTAGAGAAATGCAAATCAAAACCACAATGGGATACCATCTCGTGCCAGTTAGAATAGCGATCATTAAAAAGTCAGGAAACAACAGATGCTGGAGAGGCTATGGAGAAATAGGAACACTTTTACCCTGTTGGTGAGAGTGTAAATAGTTCAACCATTATGGAAGACAGTGTGGCAATTCCTCAAGGATCTAGAACCAGAAATACCATTTGACCCAGCTGTCCCATGACTGGGTACATACCCAAAGGGTTATAAATCATTCTGCTATAAAGACCCATGCACATGTTTGTTTATTGCAGCACTATTTACAATAGCAAAGACTTGGAACCAGCCCAAATGCCCATCAATGATAGACTGGATAAAGAAAATGTGACACATATACACTATGGAATACTATGCAGCCATAAAAAAGAATGAGTTCATGTCCTTTGTAGGGACATGGATGAAGCTGGAAGCTATCATTCTCAGCAAACTAACACAGGAACAGAAAATCAAACACTGCACGTTCTCACTCATAAGTGGGAGTTGAACAATGAGAACACATGGACACAGGGAGGGGAACATCACATACTGGGGCCTGTCGGGGTACTGGGGGGGCAAGGAGAGGGAGAGCATTAGGACAAATACCTAATGCATGTGGGGCTTAAAACCTAGATGACAGGTTGATGGGTGCGGCAAACCACCATGGCACATGTATACCAATGTAACAAACCTGCACATTCTGCACATGTATCCCAAAACTTAAAGTAAAAAGTAAAAAATAATTACCATACCCAATAAGAAATGGTTGGAGGACTTAAGCAGATGGACTTAAGCAGATACTTCGTCAAAGAAGATATAGGGATGGTAAATAAGCATGTGATAGATGTTCCAATTCATTAGTCATTAAGCAAATGCACATTAAAACCACAATGAGATGTCACTACATTGCCTGTTAGGATGTCGAGATTTAAAGACTGTCTCTAAGTTTTGCTGAGAATATGGAGCAAGAGAACTCTCATATACTACTGGTAGGAATGTAAAATAGTATAACCACTTTTTGAAAACTGGTGTTTTTGTTTGTTTGTTTGTTTTTTTGAGACGGCGCCTTGCTCTGTCACCCAGGCTGGAGTGCAATGGCGCGATCTCGGCTCACTGCAACCTCCGCCTCCCAGGTTCAAGCGATTCTCCTGCCTCAGCCTCCCGAGTAGCTGGGATTACAGGCACCCACCACCATGTCTGGCTAATATTGTTATTTTTAGTAGAGATGGGGTTTCACCATATTGGCCAGGCTGGTCTCGAACTCCTGACCTCAGGTGATACACCTGCCTCGGCTTCCCAAAGTGCTGGGATTACAGGCGTAAGCCACTGCACCCAGCCAAGGTGTTTTTTGTTTGTTTGTTTGTTTGTTTTTAAATAACGGAACATTTACTGTATGACTTGGCCATAAATACGAGGTGTTTATCCAAGTAAAATGATAGCTTATCTCTATACAAAGATACGTACATAAATTTTCCTAGCATCTTTATTTGTAATAGCCCCAAGCTGGAAACAAAGCAAATGTTTGTCAATAGGGTAATGGATAAACAAGCTGTAGTAAATCTTTATGTATTAGTTTGTTAGGGCTGCCATAACAAAATACCCCTTAGTGGCTTCAACAACAGAAATGTATTTTCTCAGTTTTGGAGGCTAAAAGTCCAAGATCAAGATGTCAGTAGGTTTGATTTCTCCTAAGGCCTCTCTTCTGTGGTTGCCTTCTCCTTGTGTTCTTATTATGTTCTCTCAGTGCATCCTTGAGGTCTTATGCATTCTGTGCTTCAGTCAAATGTACCTAATGCTTCTGCAGGTATCTAATCTCCTCTTTTTATAAAAACACCAGTCAGAAAGGATTAGGGCTTACCCTCATGGCCTCATTTCAACTCAATTATATCTTTAAAGCCCCTATCTCCAAATGCAGTCACATTCTGAAGTATTAGATTCTGGAACTTCAATGTAGGAATTTTGGGAGGACACAATGTAGTCCATAACACTAAGTAATAGAATACTACTCAGCAATAAAAAGGAAAGAACTATTGATACATGCTACAACATGGATGAATCTCAAAATAATGATGCTGAATGTAATAAATTAGACCGGAAAAAGGAAATACTTTATGATACCATTTATACAAAATTCCAGAAGCTGCAGACTACTTTATGGTGACAGAAAGGATCATTGGTTGCATGGGGATGTGAGAAGGTAAGAGGGTGAGACTGCAAAGGGGCAGGAGGAAACTTGTGGAGGTGATGGATGGGTTCATTTTCAAGCTGGTGGTGATGGTTTTATGGATGTATATGTATGTCAAAATGTTTTACATTGCAAATTTTAAATATGTGTAGTTTATTGCATTTCAATTATACCTTATAAAAACGTTTTTTAAAGAGCTATAAACATGTTATAACTTCATTTATAACCCATGGCAGGCCTAAGTTCACATGGCAATTTTGTTGTTTTAATAATAATAATAACGATAACTACCAAAAAAAGTGACCTGTGTGGGTGAATCATAGTGGTTTTGGGTTTTATCTGCTTTGAGCACCTGCTATTTTGCTTGTGCTGCACTGCTGTCCTCCTTTCCCCTGGAGGAAGCACCTCCAGTCTTTTGGTAACTGTTCCTTTCCCTGCTCTCATCATGGGGATGCAAGAAGAATACCTGCTTTTTTAGACACAATTGATTGGCTGATGGGTGGGCACTTCGAACCTAGTTTGTCCAATCAGATCACTTTCTTGGGGTTTTTCTTACTAAAACTGTGATGAGTTACATCATGCTGGAGATAGAAGCTATGGGATGAAGAGTTTCTGACTGGTGGTTTCCATGTTTTCTTCCATCTGGAGAAAGTTAGTGTGTGCTGAGAGAGAATGAAGCCCACACAGAGAGAGGCAGAAATGACAGCTGGAGGGAGAGGTTTGGCATTGTTTGAGGTTCTGGTTCTGGTTTCATTTATTCCTGAGAACCAGTGATATCCCTGACCTTTCCATAATTTTCATTTTTCCACATTTCCTTATATTTTTTGTGCTAATAATTTCCTCATTTATCAAGTTAATTCAAGTTAGGCTCCTGTCATACCAAACACCGTCCACAGTTTGTTATGTATTTAAGACATACATTTCTAATTTCTCTTTCAATGCCGGAGATCCTGAAATATCTCTGAGCAAATAATTGGGAGTAGGTCTGACCAAATCAACAATTCCACTTAATTCAACACATGTTTATCAAATACCTACCAAGCCAAGACAGTCTCATCAAGAATGCATGTAAATGGCCACTCAGAATTGGAACAGCTAAATAATTTTGAGATATTCCACTATAAATAATTTTGTAGCAAACTCCCAAGTGTACATTGCTGAAAAAAATAGATGGAGCCCCAAATTGAACTCATTAGAAATATGACCATAGGGAAATGAAAATCATTCAATGATAACTTTTATTTTCTTAGCATTTCCTGGATTCTAAATCAACTGTGGGCTAGAAACTGGCTCTTAGACTTTATCTTTTATGGTAACTTACACCATAATCAAGAGAAAGCTTTTTAGTTCCAAGGAATTGTAATTCAGTAAGATACTCTAAATTCAGTCATCCATTTCTCCCTGTTGCCCCAAACCACTAGGAAGTAAAGAAACTGAGCAAAAGCTGTATAGCTCTTCATTATAATGCTACTGTTTTGTTTTGTTTCATTTATTATTATTTTTTAATTTGTCTTTTGTGTTGCACATGACAGGTGATTGGGTATTTTCTTAGTGGTTTAAGGAGTAAACCACTAAGTCTTCCATGTCACTAGAGGGTTTTAAAAATAAAGTGTGGTGGTGTTTCTTGATAACAGAGTTGAGTATCAAGTGCACGTGTCTCCCTCGTATAGGGTTAAATAGTCATGGTGAGAATGTCTTAGAAATGATCAGATAAGGCCAGGCGCGGTGGCTCACGCTTGTAATCCCAGCACTTTGGGAGGCCGAGGCAGGTGGATCATGAGGTCAGGAGATTGAGACCATCCTGGCGCTAACACGGTGAAACCCCATCTCTACTAAAAAAAAAAAAAAAATTAGCTGGTCGTGGCAGCACACGCCTGTAGTCTCAGCTACTTGGGAGGCTGAAGCAGGAGAATCGCTTGAACCCGGGAGGCGAAGGCTATAGTGAGCCAAGATCGCACCACTGCACTCCAGCCTGGGTGACAGAGCAAGACTCTGTCTCAAAAATAAATAAATAAATAAATAAATAAATAAATAAATAAATAAATCATATCATGGCAAGTAGAGTGCTAAGCAGAGTATAGGTACTTAATAAATAGCTACTAACCGATTACATAGTAAGAGGTATTCAGAAAATGTATACCCAACATTCACATATGAAGCTGCTTCTATCTTAAAGTTTGTTAAGAAATTCTTTAAAAATTAATAAAATCTTAAAAAAGCACATGCTCTTAGGAAGGTTTCAAGGTTTTTATTGTTTGTTTTGTTTTTTGGAGCAAGCATGAATTTGTTTCTCTGTTTTTGCCTTGTTACCAAACCCGAACTATCTCTAACTCATCAGTCCAGGAGAGGAACCCAGTATTATCTTGCCAAAATGTAATTTTTAATATTTCTCACATTATCAAACTGTAATTCCTGCTCCCATAGGGCCCTTTGCCATCACTAAAATACCTTACTTTTCCATCTATCGCTCCCTTTGATTAGTCACAGTTTAGAAGTGATGACTACCTTTTTCTTAACTCATTTTTTAAATTATATAAGTAATATGCTTTTAATAGTATAAATGTTGTGTTAGGCAGTTTTCTTGCTATAAAGAAATACCTGAGGCTGGGGAATTTATAAAGAAAAGAGGTTGAATTGGCTCACAGTTCTGCAGGCTGTAGGGGAAGCATGGCGCTGGCATCTGCTTGGCTTCCGGGGAGGCCTCAGAGAGCTTTTACTCATGGCAGAAGGTGAAGCAGGAGCAGGCATCTCACATTGCAAAAGCATGAGTAAGAGAGAGAGGTGGGGGTGCGGGGAGGTGCCTCACATTTTTAAACAACCAGATCTCACCTGAACTTATCACCAAAGGATGATGCTAAGACATTTGTGATGGATCTGCCCCATGATGCAAACATCTACCATCCGGCCCCACCTCCAACACTGGTGATTACATTTCAACATGAGATTTGGTGGGGAAACAAATCCAAACCATATCAAACATGAAAAAATGAAGGTGACCCCCTACTCCCCAAAAAGAAAGAAAAATCACTCTTCATTTCCCTGCCCAGAGATGTCTGTTGTTAACCTTTTGGTAGGTTAACAACATCTTGTTTCTTTTTCGTCAGCTTCTTTTGCTTTTCTTCCTCTTCCCTCTTTCTGTCTCTGCCCATTACACACACACACACACACACACACACACACACACACACACACACACTTGTACAGTACATGCCTGCATGTTTCAAACTGCAGTGGAATTGTACTCTTTATCCCATATCATGAAAAATTTTAATGTCAATGAAAACTCACATCCAGTATTATTTCTAATGACAGTACAATGTTTCATTGTGCAATTATACTTCAATATAGCTTCCAGAAAAATTTAAAATATTATCAAGAGGAAGTATAGTCTTTAGGATAAAAGATAAAATGTTATCAAGATGAGGTATCGTTTTTAGGATGCCTCCTAATCCTCTTTATGTAGACTTGACTATGTCTTATAATCTCACTGCTTCATTTCCCACCCATAAAGCAGGACACTTTAAATCTACCCAGCACATTCCACTGGGGTGGTAGGTGGGATTAATTAATACTTTCAAAAATAATTTAGAAAGTGAAAATTGAAGGACTGACCTGAGACAAAAGTGTCAACTAAGAAAGACTGATCTTGAGACTCTGTTTACTTATCTGTAATATGGGATTCATATCAATATTATAGGATTGTAATGAGGATACAAATTAGGTGATAATAAGAAAGCATCAACCACTGACAATGACATCCAAAAAAGAATTCGGTGAACATTAGTATCCTGTCTGGGAGCTCCACTTTTTTACTCTAAGTCTTCCCTGTCTCTTCTTGCTTTGTCAATTTTCCCTCTTGTCCCCACCTCCGGTTCCTGGGAACCTTGTGTTTTCTGTCCTTCCTGTCAAAAGCTCAGCTTTCAGATCCTTCCTTCATCATAAAGTGTCAATACCTAGCAGGTGATTAAAGAACACTTTAACAGGTAGCGGATGTTCAGATGCCTGGAATTTTAGATATCTGCAGCTGGGTGGGGTGAGATAAGACCCAGTGAGTGGGTATTCACTTGCCTTGCTTACCTATTCATTTACCTTGCATGAGTCTACCATGATGACTGGTAATAGTGGGGTTGATATTCAGGATATTTAGCAACCAGTTCTTCCTCATCAGAATGGATGCTGACAGAAAACAAGTGATTTGGCCAGACAGTATGCACTGGCTGTGTGTTAACCTCGGTAAATCGTGTTTAACACACTCTTGTGGTCTTTACTTTGTTAACTGAGCTATTCACTTTGTGGTAGGGTCTGTGGAGCAGTAGAAATAATCTGAGATTTGGGCTTCCATTCAAACCCTGGCTCTGTAATGTCCTGCTTGTGTAATGTTGGCCACAATTTTCTTATCCCTAAAGAAGAATTATACTACCTACCTCATAGAGTTTGTTTGTTTTTGGTGAGGCTCAAAAGTAGTTTCTATAAGGGAATATTTTATAATGAGAAAAATGTGATAGAAATACTAGCTGCTATGATTCAGGAGTTCTTCTTTCTCTATATGTGACAAAGACAGCACCAATTATGCACCAAAGCTATAGATTAAAAAAGATTCCAGATTTAGTATAAATGATAGTTTATATTTTAAGGCTTAGTGAGATGGGGTAAAATGTATATTTCTGGGTACCCATAGCTCTTTCTCATCTATGAAATAAGACTGTCCTAAATCATTCTGAGCTTCCCTCTAACTCTTCAAATCAATGCTTTCAGGGCCAGGGCTTTTTATTGGGCAATTTCTTTGGGGGTTTGAGTCTTCTTTGCCAGGCTACTCGGACTCACTTTAATTGAGTGCAGCTGCGGAGAATTAGCTACCCGCCCCCCTCTCTACTTCAAGGCTAGGCTTGAACAATTCTGTTCTGAATCCATGAGTGGCCCAGAGAATGAAAGAGACAAAAGGTTTCAGGTTTCTCAATCAAAGTTTCCTGTGGTCCTACCCATACCAGCTATTGTGTGCTTTTTTCCCTGAATGACTCAACTCTGACCTGTCATGAAGTGTTTGATATTTATATTTCTGGAAATGGTTAGCCACATTACTAGGTAATAAGGTTGCAAATTCCAAGTCTCCCTTGTAGTCGAGGTCAGATGTTGTCCTGGGAGTGGGTGGGAAGGTAGAGAGGCCAAGATTGAGGCTGCTATGCTTAAGGGCAGATGATGAGATCAAGCCTGGCTGCCTGCATTATTCCCTGGTACTTATCTCTATTTTGGCAAAGGACCTCCTGAGCTCTTAGTTCAAGTTTTCTGGTCTTTTACTTAAATTTGCATGGCTCTTGGATCTTTTCAATTGTTATTATTACTCCATATTTAAATGGAATTTGCCTTAAAACATAAAATATTAGAGGCCGGGCATGGTGGCTCACGCGTGTAATCCCAGCACTTTGGGAGTCCGAGGAGGGCGGATCACCTGAGGTCAGGAGTTCTAGACCAGCCTGGCCAACGTGGCGAAACCTCGTCTCTACTAAAAATACAAAAATTAGCTGGGCGTGGTGGCAGGCTCCTGTAATCCCAGCTACTTGGAAGGCTGAGGCAGGAGAATCACTTGAACCCGGGAGGTGGAGGTTGCGGTGAGCTGAAATCGTGCCATTGCACTCCAGCCTGGGCAATGAGAGTGAAACTCTGTCTCAAAAAAAAAAAAAAAAAAAAAAAAAAAAGAATATTAGCCTGGAAAGAGAGCCACAGGATTAAACAATCCAACCTACTCCTTTGGAGTAGAGGTAATACACATGGAGAAAAGTTTCTTGACTTGCCCTGGGCTACAGAACTGCTAAGTGGAAGAGAGAGGTCTGAAGGGCCTGGTTTCCTGATTCTAAGTCTGTTGTTTTTTCAAGACGACTTTCTGTGCTAATTCCTGTTGGTGTGGTTTGCCCTTGGACACTTCTGATGCTCTCAGCTTCATCCATCTGTTTGTTCCAAATAAACACTATTATTCCCCACATACACACATCCTGGGACATTATCCACATACAGGAATCTAAAAGTGCTCAGGATGTGGCAAAACCCCAGGGAAAGAAGGAAGGGCAGGGGAATAAAAGGGATGGGAGTGAGGTTGCTGGGGGCAACTGAATTCACACTGGCACAATGACCGGTTCAGTCCTAAGTCAATCTAGTTAGGTACTTTAATATTTTAAGTCTTTCCTTGGGATGGCCCAGGGTGGTGGGCCAGCTCCCTCCTCTCTTTGCTCCTCCAATATATAGGCACCTGGAGCCAGAGGGTTTGTTAGTTTTAAGACCCCACCTACATTTCCTATCCTGGGTTACTGACACTGGCAGGGACTGACTTGTAATGGCAGGAGCTGGCTAATCAGTTGCAAGTTCCTGACATCTGGTAATGGAGAGGAACAAAGAGTGGGAGGCCAAATAGGGAACAGACAAGCCCCATGCGGGGTAAAGTGAAATAGGGCAGAAGTGGCTGGGCAG
This sequence comes from Homo sapiens, assembly GCF_000001405.40. Lineage (NCBI taxonomy): Eukaryota > Metazoa > Chordata > Mammalia > Primates > Hominidae > Homo > Homo sapiens. The sequence continues at coordinate 177,591,569 of NC_000003.12, forward strand.
GAAGACCGAGAAACACACACATGACATGTTCAGACATATCCACATTCTCTCACACAGGAAGAGGTGGCGAAAGCCCACAAAAACTATGCTACTCCCAAACACCAGTCACTTCCCTGGTGCATCCATGAAGTTGACTAAACTGCTATACATTCCACTGCCTTAGAGGTCCACAACCCCGTTGAAGAGCTCAGAGTCTAAAGGAGGGAGCTCTTTGGAGCAGGGCAGTGGCTCCCAAGGCTGCCTGACCTTCAGGATCACTGGTGCCTCTTGTTCAATGTGCAGTTTCTGCAGTTGCTTGGTTCCTCTGAAAAGAACCTAACCACCTTTGGGCTTCTCTATTAATAAGCTATACGAGAGATTCTTAGGACAAGGGATGTTTGGGGAAACTGATGGGGAGAAAAGAACCTGGGATGTGGAACCACATGATCCTGTATTAGCTTTGTACTCTTGAGCAAGTGTTTTCTGAACCGAAAACAGAGGAGGTATAGTAATGAGTTCAAAGGTATAGCTCTGGAGCCAGAATGCCTGGGTTTGAAATCCTGGCTCTGTTTCTTATTAGCCTTGTGTCATTAGGCAAGTTATTTAACATCTTTTCCCCTCAATTTCCAATCTGTGAAATAGTGATAATGATTATAGTACTTTTCTTATTTTCGTGAAGACTGAGCTATGACTTAACTAACTTGGAAAGATACCTGGTTCATTGAAAGACTATACAACCATTTGCTGTTAGTATTAAATAGTGGATAATGATGTTATTTCCCATTTTGTTAGGAATTATGTAAGAGGATATAGATAAATTGCTTCATGCAAAGTTGATGCTCAATAAACAGTACCTGCTTTATTGTGAGCTGTATACATAAGAATGTTTACAAACATTGTCTACGTGGGAGCATATTATCATATTGTAAACTGAGTACGTAAGTACTGAAGAGACCTCAGGGAAAGAAGATCCTAGAGTCTTCTGCAAGCCTAATTTATAAGTCAGTGCATCAGCTGAGGCCATCAGGCTAAATTACAGCTGCTCAAAGGGGAGATGAGAATATCCATTATCTTATGAGTGGATCCATTGAAAGTAATGGCAAAAACCGCAATTATTTTTGCACCAACCTAATATGAAGGATAGTGTGGATGAGCAAGGCTCGAGGCAATTGTTATCAGTTCAAATCAACTCAGATCCTCGTGAAAAATCAAATGGATTTTAAAAACCTAGCTCATCGGAAAACTGCCAAAATGCATGAGAACAGCTCCGGAAATCCCATCTGTTTCATATTTACAGAACTTCTCGTTCCTTCAGTCTGGGCACAACTGACTCACTTTTCATTGTGTTCCTATGGCAGAGTGTCTTGTCATTTCCAGAGAAACCAGACAGCAGGTTTGATGTGGGTGAGAAATGCGCATGCCTGCTTTTGTAATTGGTAAGGCTGTCTAAGGATTTGATTCCTTGTGAGCCACATGGGAAAGGGATTATATAATTTAGCAAATTTACAAATATATATTTTAATGTGAGGTAATGATGCCCGGATCATAAACTATGCCTTTTCTTTTGCTCACAGGCACCGCTCTCTAGCCAGACTGCCCGGCTCTATTCTTGTCCCACTACTTAGTAGCCATGTGACTTTGGGCTAGTTACTTAACTTCTTTTTTTTTTTTTTTTTTTGAGATGGAGTTTCACTCTTGTTGCCCAGGGTAGAGTGCAATGGTGCGATCTCGGCTTACAGCAACCTCCACCTCCCGGGTTCAAGCGATTCTCCTGCCTCAGCCTCCCGAGTAACTGGGATTACAGGCATGCACCACGATGCTCGGCTAATTTTGTATTTTCAGTAGAGACGGGATTTCTCCATTTTGGTCAGGCTGGTCTCGAACTCCTGACCTCAGATGATCTGCCTGCCTCGGCCTCCTAAAGTGCTGGGATTACAGGCATGAGCCACTGCGCCTGGTCTAGTTACTTAACTTCTGTGTGTGTCCCAGTTTCCGTGTGGATAAAATGGTTAAAGTAAGAGTACCTATCAGTATTAATTAAAACTACCTGCTGTTACAGCCTCCTAAACCTTAGAACAATAAATATTTATGTCTTGCTCTCACCAACGTCTGGTGGGCATCATGGTGTTTTTTTTTTTTTTTTTTTTTTTTTTTTTTTTTTTTTTTTTTTTGTGGCTCCCTTCCAAATAGTGATTTAATCTAGATCTCTTTCATCATGGGACTTTGTCATCCCCTAGGGCTGTGCTCTCCCGTATGGTCACTAGCAACATGGGGCTTTTGAAATTTAAGTTAATTAAAATAAAATATTAAACTTCACTTCCTAGTCACACCTTAAGTGCTTGTCAGCCACATGTGTCTAGTAATTTGCTACATTGAATAGCACAAATATAAAAAGTGTCTATCTGTTAAAGAAAAAAATTATTCAATGACAATTTTAAAAGCATGATAAGGAAGACATTATGCAGGGTCATTGTCACGGGTAAAAGGACCATGGCAATGGGTCTTGCACTCAGAGAGAGATTGAGTTCAACTGTGAATACAGCATGAGTAAGTAGCGATTTATAGCCGAGAAACAGGGTGTGGGTCAGCGGATGGAAAATTACTAAAAGGCAACATCAGGGGTAAGGGGGATTCTGGCTAAGCCTAACTAAAAGGATTCTTGCTGAAGACAGCCGGTGTTATCAGATATTACCTGTGGCATCATGGAGGATGAGACACGTGATCAGATGTTGAGGGTGGGGAGGTCTTGCCAAACTGATTTGTTCATGCTCTTGCGAAAGCTGGATTTTACAAGGAAATGCACAGATAGGCCTAGGAGAAGGTTCAGGAGTCTAAGTTTGTTCAGCAAAGAATCTTTGTCACATCATCATAGAAAGTTTTATTCCACAGTGATACCTTAGGGCTTCCTTGGAGTTCTCTGCTGCATTGCTTTCATTTAGCCAGCAAGTGAGCAGACAGCCCTCCTGGTATGTTGAAGGACAGTAAGAAAGGGCTTTAGGATTTTTCTGCTTCTATATCATACTAGGCTCAGGGCCTAGTTATCAATAGATCAAAGGAGTATATTTTCTGACTATAGAAGATACAATATGATGTGAGTTCCTTAGGCTTGCTTTTTGATATTCTGCAAAATTATAGAATATGCTCTCTCTAGTTCTTGACATAGCCTGCTTTCGCGCCTATTTGCTGAAAAATGTTATTTGAATATCAGAAGCTGAATATTATTTTGTTTTTTCTCTTTGCTTTCCCTTTGTAACACTCTCCCCACCACTGGTGCAGGAGAAAGTCTCACTAAGCCTGGAGAGAAGGCACTTTAATATTTTTCACACTGTTATCCCTGTTAACACATCTTGCCTCAGTTGACAAATTTCTGCTTCTTTCACAGGGGTCAAACATCAGACTAAACGTGGAACAGTGTGCCTCAGACTAAGACTGCAATCATACAACGGAAATAAAATTGTTTTATTTAACCAATTAGTGACAAGGGAGCAATCAAGTTGTTTTCTTGGCACTGTGTATCCAATTCTATGACTATGATTTTCACCTTTGAAGAAGTTGCATTCTGTTTTCAGGAAGACAATCTTTGGTTGCCTTCCTCACATCATTTTCTGCCTTTTCAAAGTCATGACTAGCGAATATATTAGAAATTTTCTATATAAATCATAAATTTGCCTCTGAATATTATAACAATATTTTATTCATTTTCATACATCATTTGACTCTTCTGCCCTCATTATTTTGTTCTACTTTGATTGTATGTTTGGCCCAGAACACTGAGTGAAGGAGGCATGCAATTGCTGTTTTGAGGGTAACCAGCAGGCCAAAGTTAATTTACACTTGGTGGATTTCCAACTGCAGAGGAGTTGGTGAAATTGTCATTGGAGCTTTTATTTTGAAATATTATGCAGTTTTGTGCTACCACATGTTTAATAAGATTGAACTAACTGAGCACTTGCTACGTGCACAATAGAGAACTAAAAAAAAAAAAAAAAAGACCTGTCACATCACTATTTATTTCCTTCACGGCACTTATTGCATTATCTGATTCTCTTGTTTATTTACTTGTTTACTTACACATTGTCTGTCTTGCCCACTGGAAATGCAGACATTCTGCCCCTCTGTTTTTGTGGTTATAAATCCAGCACCTGGCACAGTGCCTACAACATAGAAAGGTTCAAAATATAGTTTGTTATCTGACAGAAAAAAAAGATGTTTATCTTCTCTGGTAAGAATGTTTTTCCTCTTTCAAATCTCCCATCTCATAAACTTTCCATTCCCAATCATCCTTTGGTTGGTTGAAGCAGCCATTTTCTCCTCTGATATCCCAGTGATGACTCTTAGTACTAGTCATTTGATGTATTATTATACACCAGTTTATAATGACTCTTTTATTCTCATTTAGTTTATGTTTCTCTTACATATCTCTGCACTGATACATGCAACAAGCATTTTGTGAAATGTCAAACACCTCTACAAGTATTGCTTATGATGACTGTTGTAAGCTCCTTGAGGTCAGTGGCGCTAGAATACAATTTCTCTTATTAAACCGTAGTGACTGATCCCTGTGTTATGTCGATGAATAATTAAAGTAGCAATGATTTTGTCTATATCTCTAGAGATGAGGACCAATCATAACCCCACCTCCAATTTGGAGATTATTCTCAACTGTATTTGCATCTTTATGTAAACCCCTCCTATTAGCTTCATCAAGAGGTTTTATCCCCTCCTCTTGGCTTTCAAACCAACATGAATTTTCAGCTGAATATAGGGCAGATTTGCTGTTCAGTGTCAACTTGCTTGAGGTGGGACTGGGAGCAATTCACTTGCTGAAGGAGACTACAGTGAAGTCTTCCAGAAACTCTGGGGAACTGGTCACATTCACAGGTCACAGGCTCTGACTCAGACGTGGCTTTGTCTAGGTTGTGGACTGCTGGAGTCTTTCCAGGAAGAGAACACCTTCCTTTTATCTTAAAACCATGCTGTGATTGCCCCAACATATTCCTGACTGCCCAAACCTTGTTAACTAGGCGAGCCAGATAGAATTTGAGTGCATGCTCATTAAGCATAGATGCTTGGATATACACATATACGTACAGCAAGGAGTCATGCCAGGAAAAGGTGCCAGACCCCAGTGCTGTGGAATTATACTGGATTTCTGTGGCAAAAGCATCATGGAAGACCCTTTTGCAAGGGAGTGGGCTTTGCCAGAGTTTTCATGCAGAGTCATAAGGATATTCCCTTTTAGCATTTGGCACCAGTTATTTTACACCAACTTGTGAAGCACAGTGCCAAGTTCTATTGCCTGGAATCTCCTTAAAGGTTTACTCAGATGTTGAAAGAAGCATCCAAAGTCATATTTTCTGTTGTTTATTCTTTTGCTTTTTTTTTCTCTTTGCAAATGAAAACCAGAGGTGTAAGTGTTCCATCCCAAAGGAGGAAGATTGTATCAAAAGCTATACCTCCTTCTGCTCACTCATACAACTCCCATGCACATCCCTTGGCTTTAATCACACAGCTTTCCACGCTGCTGACTATGCCAGGGCAACTCTGTTCTGCATGTCTGTATTGCTTCAGGGCACATTTCAGACCAGAACTGGATGGACTCACCTGGCTGGGTAATTTAGACATTTGTGGTTTGCAATGTTCCAGTGTGCTCCAAGCTATCCCAGCTTACTGGTTTCTTCCCAGGAAGTGGGAGAAGACTTTATCCATTTGTTTTCTGACAAGAGACATTATGGCCATAATTTAAGCAGTTTTCCAGAAGTTTGGCAGCAGAGGGTTACAATCTAGCAGGATTCGGTATTGCCTAAGCAAATTTGAATTTGTACTCTGGCTCACTCAGCCCATTTTAAACCCAGCAGCCTGGGGAGAATGAATCCTTATGAAATCAATGCGGTGGCTTCAGTTTCCTGTGGATGGCTTCCAGAAATGCTCCAGACATTGCTGAATGCTCTAGGTAGACTCTCAGTGCTTCGACCAAGGCACATTCAGACAAGCCTTTTTTGATTCACTACATATATTTCTGTTTAGAAGCGGCAAGGCTGAACTGATGACCCTGCAACGCGGTTTTGTTTCCCTCTCATTATCTATCTGGCTTCACAGGAAGTGAATGCTTGGCTGGTGAAGACAAAAAAGCTGTTCTCCAGCCTCATGCTTCATGGCTGGAACATAGCCAGTTTAGGCTTGTGAAGAGTCCATTAAAAACACACGGAGGCAGTTGAGGGATGGGATCTGTGTATGTACAGGTCTTTCAAACGTAGGCAGCCTATGTTTGGCTTATGGGGCTTGGAGGAGAGGCCTTCTTTGATGTGATTCTTGGATCACATATTGATTAAAAAAAAAACAACCAGAAGTCTAATACCCACTGTAATGCATCCAGCAGACAACCTCTTAGCATCTCTATAGAGACCTTTCCTCCTTTACTGGGTCACACTTAGGGCACATTTAGCTCTCAGATAACCTTAAATAACCCACAGTTCATTTCCTGTTGACTTCGTGTATCCTCTACTTCCTGAAAGGTTTTCTTCTTTTTTTTCAGTTGCCACTCATCGTTAATATGACATTCTCCAGGTCTTCTCCGCACTTCAGAATTCTCTTCTGGGCTTTTGAATGTTCTTGTTTTTTTGCTGAATTGTTTTTCCTGGGTTTTCATCTTCTCTTACCCTGTTCACAGTGGAGAGGGGACTACATTTCACCCCTGCTGTCTCAGAATGTTTCTCATGCTTAACATTCTATTTTCCTACTGACTTGGACAAATTGCATTATAACCTTTGATCTGGCACAGTTCAATCACATTTTGGCTGGAAATGTTTTACACATTAAAATGATGAAGGATGACTTTATTTGCCAGACAAAAGATGTTTAAAATGGAAAAAAAGAAAAAAAAAACTCAAAAAGGTCTTTCTGGAGCTACTGTATGAAAAAGACTCTTGAATATGTAAAAGCTTTTGGAACACAGAAGGGAGTCAGTTGCTTCACTTTAGAGTCAGTTTAGCAAAGGACGGATTTGTGGTGACTTGTCACGGCCTTGAGATTTTTGAAAGCAGGTCTCTCCAGAAAGCCTGTCCTTAAAGACAGAGTGGCTTCTTTCCCCTTTGGCTAAGACTGACTGCCAAATTTCACCAGGTTGCATACCCAATGGTGGAAAGTGCCAGCTTCTTGGCTTTGCATAGGCAAATTCCTACCTCCCTATTTTCTCTCCAGTCAATGCAGCAGTCTGTTTATGCTGTGCAGACGGATACCCACCAGACAGGGTTTTCTGAACCTACTAGTCTATTTAGGATCCAGTTTTTTTTTTTTTTTACAGTGCTGCAGCCTAATTAAGCTTGGCGATATCATTAAACTTCTATTCAATTCGATTACATTTTAGTTCAAATGTTATTGATGCCATCCACATGCCAGGACTGTGTTAGGCATTGGGGTGGGTGGCGAGAAATGGTCCATACCCTCACGAAACTTAGCGCCTAGCTTAATTTTCTCATATTTATCAATTTGATCCTGACGAACTAGGACACCAATATATAATGCTAAAGACTAGATTTCTTCCATCCATACTAGTTGAGTTGTATAACATGAGTGTCTTAAAAACAAATTCAGGGCCATCTATTTTGCAATTGGATATGTAAAATAATTTGTACTATGGCTATTGTGGGAAATAGGATTCAATTAATGACTTGTGGGAACACTTTGCCAATAATCATGTATGAGAGACTTTTCCCCAACTGGTGGAAGCAGAGGGGAGGGAGGAAGTGAGCTGATGACAGAATGTAAAAGCAGAGAGTACATTGAAAAACCCACTTCATATAATTAGTATAAAGTAAGGTAGAAGCAAAATAAAACAAAAAGTGCTATTCATTTTGGTCCCAGAAACCATTGTTGGTGAGGGCTATTAAGTAAGCATCCAACTTACTTCCTCTAGCTCGACTTCCAGAATGTAGTGATATTGGAAACTACCCTGTGGATTTTTTTTTCCCAAGCCACTTCCTTTTCTGAGGAAAGAGACCTATTCTATGCACACAAGTCAGTTCTTGTTCGTTTTATGTTTTAGCAATGTGGGCCCTTACAAATCTTTAAAATGACACAATAGATCTTCATATAAGAACCTTGACAAGTGAAGCTGTGATACAAGCAAAGGGCAGAAGTGGAAAGGGTGTGGGAAAGAATGGAGCAAGAGGAAGGAAGGGTGGGGTTGGGGGTCCAGGGATGCTCCACGTGCGTGTGCCCTCATAGGTTAGACATTAGGAAGGCTTCAGAAACACCATACATTTGGGCAAAGCCTATACTCTTCTTTATTTCCTTCCTGCACAAACTTACATACCACCCCGTGCCTACTCTACCTACCACCCTTCACGATTCCACACCTCCTGGCAGGCAGTGCTCCTGTAACAAACCCCCCGACATCCAGGCTGCTTATATTTCTGTCTCAAGTGAATACGTTTCTAAAATACTGAGTTTGAATAAACAACACAATAAAGCAAGATTTAAAAATATGTTTACATTTGGCTGTTTGCCCTGGTTTGGGGAAGGGAGTAAGTATAGACTTTGTTATTCCCTCAGAATCCTCTAGAACAATTACCTTTAATGATGACCTGGAGGGTGGGGTCCCTTAATGATTTGCAAGAGATTCAGGGAGAGGTGTCTCAGGATGGTTTCTTCTGTTACTAATGTATTTTGTTGTGATTTCTTGGTCTTAATTGCAATTTTGTAGTTCATTCATCTAACATGGCATTCTTATAATAAATAAAAATGTGTAACTTCCTTCCTAATTATAGAAGTCATGCATAGTTATTGTAGGTCATTTGAAAAATTCAGAAAAGTCCAACTAAGAAGCAAAATCAACCATCATCCCACCTCCCAGTGTTATGTATTGTAAAGATTTGGTGTTTGTCTTGTCAATCTATGGTTGTGTTTTCCTCTCCCCATCCAATTCATTTTCATAATATTTTTATATATTGGCTAGTGTGACCAGAGTTTGGTTCAATCAATGATCGTCAAGTGACTAAAAATGTTCATGAAACACTTGCTTAGGAAATTTTTTAGTGGAATTAGCTAATCCTTTTTGAGAAACCAAGCCTATGTCTAGAAATAGTCATCATAATTTGGAGAAATCAATCAGCTTACTTTTAATATCACAAATCAGGAATTTTATGCAAGCACCAAACATGCATTGCCTTACTTTTATTTTTTTCCTTAACTCTTATTTTTTTCTAAGTTGATATATTTGTATCTTCTTAAGCAGCAATAAGATAAAAGAAGGAACAGCGAAGTTGGAGACAGAAAATCTGAGAAGAAGTCCTAGCTAGGTTTCTTAAGAACTTTGTGACATGGGCCCAGATGAACAAATGTATCTGGGCTTCAGATTTATCATCTGTAAACTGTGGATAATAGTGCCAACCTCATTGTGTTGTTGGGGTGGAAGGAGGGCAGAGGAGGAGCAAATAAGAGAATATATGTGGGTCACACACAAACTGAAAGTACTGTACAAATGAAAAGTATTTCATATTATATCACCTATGAAAACGTGGACACATTTTTCACCAGAGATGTCTTTAGATGAATTGCTCAAAAACCTTGAATGAATTTTCAAATGATAATTCCTCATGTTGCAACTCTCTCTAGGAAATAGTAGCCATTTTGTTGTGGCATCATTTCTCAAACTTTTCTGTACCAATTAGAATAGCTCTCTGAGGTCTGACAGGCAGAACTGGCTGAAGAGCCTAAAGGCATTGCTAAGATAAGTAGTCAGGCAAGTTTTTGATACCTAGGAGCTTGTGATTTCTTGTTATTGGGTCCTCTTCTTAATTAACAATCATTGTTCCTCTATTGCAGCTAGCACACACCCCTGTCAGCAAGCTGCTTTTCAGAATGAACCTGCCTGGACAATAGCAATGTAAGAGGAAACACTTCCACACAGCTGCAAAACCTAACCACTCCCAGATAGACAGGGAATCCATCAATCAACTCTGAGAATAAATCCTGCTGATACAATCCTCTGGTGGTGTCCCTTTGAGAGTATTATTATTATTATTTTTAAACAGAGTCTTGCTCTGTTGCCCAGGCTGGAGTGCAGTGGCATGATCTCAGCTCACGGCAACCTCCGCCTCCCGGGTTCAAGCAATTCTCATGCCTCAGTTTCTCAAGTAGCTGGGATTACAGGCGTGCACCACCATGCCCAGTTAATTTTTTTGTACTTTTAGTAGAGACGGGGTTTCGCCATGTTGGCCAGGCTGGTCTCAAACTCCTGACCTCAAGTGATCTGCCTGCCTCTGCCTCCCGAAGTGTGGGGATTACAGGTGTGAGCCACTGTGCCCAGCCTCAGTGTATTTTTTTGAAGTCTCCAAGTCAAAGATGCAAAGACTCCTCTGCAATCCCTCCCTGGCTCCACATCTCATCATCAAATATTTCTAAATCCTTTCTGGGCTTTTCTGACAATATCAATCATAACAGAAATAACCTGGAGCATTAGTATTAGCCTGAATAATCTTGAATCAGGTACTCCTTAGACTACACATGGTCCATAGTTTAGATTTATTACATATAGTTTTATAGATACTGAAGTGGAGACGTAAGGAGAGATTAGGTGATTTGCCACCAGAATGCCTTGGTTGACGGACAACTCAAAATGAAGAATTCTTGATACCCTCTCCTTTGTTGGGTCTCTGTTATGATCTAGAAATCAGGACAATACATCTGCCCCTTTTGAGAAACTATTTTTCCCTTCCCTTATTATCTCATTCAAATGTACTCTTACTCTTTAATATTAGCCATTTTATATTCAGAGCTCTCTTCCTCTTTGGTTTTCTTCATCGTCAAATTGTTGTGTTACTCATTTATGTTTCTCTTTTCATTTGCCTTCTGAAATTTAAAGATTTTTCAGCTGGGTATTTCAGGCTTCAATCTCTGGCATTGTAAATATCACTTGCATGGTGACCCCAGTGAGGTTAAGAAAAGGTTTACTAAGTGTGTGTGTGTGTGTGTGTGTGTGTGTGTTTGTGTGTGTGTGTTGGGGCGGGTAGTAACATAAAATACTTTGGTATTCACCTGTCAGTGTGCACTTAACAGAATGCAGAAAAGAAAAACTGAGCTGGGAACACTGTAAGAGCAAAGAATTGTTTGTTTGTTAATAAAAGGTTATGAGTCATAGGCAAAAGGGAAGCAGTAGTTCAAGAGAATAAGAGAAATAATTAGGTTCAGAGAGGCAGAAACTCTGGTCCAGATGGTGGGGGATGCAGGGGAGGGTAAACTGCACCTCAGGGAGCGATAAGAAAAGGAGGAAGGAGGATGTGAAATAGGCAGGTGTCCAACAATTGTATGCCAGGATGGTAGGAATGTGAGAGGAAATACCTCCAAAAAGCTCCAAAACCTAACCACTCCCAGGTAAGTGGAGAAAATCCTTAATAAAAATAGTTTTGGTGTTGGAGTGTCTGGAGGGCTGGTCCTATTTGCCCTTCATAATGAGCATAATCATGTCATAGCTTGGAGGTTCCAGGGAGCCTTGTTGGCACTGGAAACAATGAGAAAACCAGAAAAGCAAGTCTTTTGGCTCCTAGCTACCTTGAAAGAACTCATGCGATATACAAAGGGTGATCCATTCCCTTCCATAACCCCTTCACCCAAGCACATAAACAGGGACAAAATGGGAAGGAGGAATTGTCCTGCTGATTACGGTGAACTGAACCGGCCTGTTGTGTAGAAAGAACCTTATCTCCACTTGTTCCAATTCAAATACCAGTTGACAGAATGTTCCCCAATGACTGATACTTGTCATGCTGAGTATTAGGGAGTCATTTTTTTCATGTCAGAACTTCTAAGAATCTCAAAATGACCAACTCAAATATGCCATTCTGTGGTTTCTTGCCTCACCCCTTTCCCTTTTACAAATGTGGAGCCATATGTTTCAGAACATACAGCTGTCCTTGCTCAGAATAGCCCAAAATAGCTAGATTCCCCTGCACCTCTCTGGGTGTTAAATGTATTTACATTTCAAAATGCATGTGGGGAAGTGGTTGATTTTACATAGTTTTTTTTCTTGGCTGTCAGCAACTTCTCTCTTCTGTGTAAACTTAACTTAGTTCAACTAACCTAAACTTGAAGTTTAGTTCCACTCATTACAACTACATTCCAGGTGCTCAGTCTTCCTTTCGTGATCTTATCATTTCCATGATAACTGAAACAAAAAAGAAATTTTCCATGAAGAATATGATAAACTCTCCTAGAAGTCAAATGTAGGGCTGGCTAAGGTTATTTTAGTCCACAGGAGTAGTTTAAACAATGTTTGAAGTAAACAGAGACAAGAATATCACACTCCCGTACCAGAGACTCGCTTTAAATTTGACTTAACCTAAGACAAAAGATTGTAAAGCAACAGTGAGAATGAAGGTGGCTATGTTTTCTGATTTTTTTTTTTTTTTTGAGATGGAGTCTTGCTCTGCTTCAAGACTCAGTTCACAATAATCACAGCCTCCTGTGTTCAAGTGATTCTCCTGCCTCAGCCTCCTGAGTGACTGGGATTATAGTCATGCTCTACCACGCCTGGCTGATTTTTTTTGTTTTTTTTCAGTAGAGATGGGGTTACACCATGTTGGCCAGGCTGGTTTCGAACTTCTGGCCTCAAGTGGTCCACCCACGTCAGCCTCCCAAAGTGCTGGGATTAAAGGCATGAGACACTATGCCCAGGCTCTTTTCTGATTCTTAATTGGCTCGATGAACCAAGATATTTTGAATGAATACCTCTCCTTCTCCCAAATGGTTTTCTAGTGAAGTGCAGGCTCCACGGACTAAACCGATTAAGTGGAAAATAAATGATTGTCTAAGGTTCATTGAAAAAGGAGTGCTGCAAATTCTCAATTCTGGGAGATTACCCGTGATAAGGTCATGTCATGGAAATTCCAAGGGGATGCTCCAAATACCAGAGATTTTTGTTGTTTGTTTTGTTTGCAATCCTTATGAAAAAAGACAGGTCCTGTAATCCCAGCACATTGGGAGGCTGAGGCGGGTGGATCACGGGGTCAGCAGATCGAGACCATCCTGGCCAACATGGTGAAACCTGGTCTCTACTAAAAATACAAAAATCAGCCAGGCGTGGGGGCGCGCATCTGTAGTCCCAGCTACTCGGGAGGCCGAGGCAGGAGGATCGCTTGAACCCGGGAGGTGGAGGCTGCAGTGAGCCAAGATCACGCCACTGCACTCCAGCCTGGGTGACAGAGCAAGGAGGCTCTGTCTCAAAAAAAAAAAAAAAAAAAAAAGAAAAAAGACAGGTCATATGAATAAAGAGATTTCTTCAGAATAATTGACTTGAAATCGTTACATACTACAATTTAGCTTAGCTTGCTGAAGGATGGGGACCTAATAAAAGTGAAGAATATGTAAATAAAGTGCTATTTTAATGAAAGTCAAGGAAATATGCTTCCTGTGTCTACTATATATATGTACTGGCTCCTATGTCATTTCCCCTCCATACTTCTGGGCACAGTGAATGTCTCCTTTGAGCAATGGTCTCTTCTCTCTTCTTGTCTGGGTGTTACCTGCCTTTTAATGCCAGCTCAAATCTCACCTCCTATAAAACCTCCTCCTAACTTGTCCCCGGATAGGGTTGTCTTCCTTCTCTAAACACAGCTCTTGTTATCTGTAGTTCCCTAGCACTTGGCTTATATGTCATCATGTTATTTAATTGATTATCTATATATCTAGCTATTTGCCTGAATCCCAACTTTATGTGACCACTATCCAGGTTAAGACATGGAACACTTTCATTCTCTGTAAAGGCATCAGCTCTATTCTCATGTTTAAAAATTGCAGGTTGCAATAGTGCTATGATCTGAATGTTCATGTTTTTCCAAAATTCATATGTTGAAACTTAATCCCCAGTGTTGGGAGATGGAACATCTGGGAAATGGTTAGATCATGAGGATGGAGCCCTCTTGAATGGGATTAGTGCCCTTACAAAAGAGGACTGAGGGAGCTCGTTTGCCCCTTCTACCATGTGAGGACACAGCAACCAGGCACCATCTATGAGGAATGAGCCCCCACCAGACCTGAATCTGCTGGCACCTTGATCTTGGACTTCCCAGCCTCTAGAACTGTAAGGAATAAATTTCTGTTGTTTATAATGTACCCAGTCTAAGGTATTTTGTTAGAGCAGCCCAAATGGACTGAGACAAATAGTAATTGCCCAATTCCTTAAAGGAAATGGAAGGTGCCAGTTGTGAATTTAAAGTTCTGTTTGGAATTAGCAGGTTTGAGAAAAAAAAAAAAAAAAAAGTGAAAGGATGTCTCTTCCCCAAAGCTCTTCTCCAATAAATATACTGATTTACTGCTGCAGAGATACCTAACAACTTATAGTTTCAACACAGCTTTCATGCCACCAGTGTTAAGATCACTCAGGTTCTTCCCAAGTCATTAAATACCTGTTAATGCAATTGATGAATTAGCTCTCTGTTGAATGCAATTAAAGGAAAAGATGACAATATTTCCTATATAATGTTTGGTAGGAAAATTTTATGACTTGGGTCTGTTAGTGTTGTTTAGCTAATAGTGCCTCAACGTTGTATTAGCAGTTAAGCATTGTTCCTGGCCTACTGTTTACTGGGGTTTTGGTGGAGAAGAATTTAACTTCTCTGGAGTTCACAAAGTAAGAACCACAACATAGTTTATTTTATTTATATATTTTTTGAGATGGAGTCTCGCTCTTATCGCCCAGGCTGGAGTGCAATGGTGCCATTTTGGCTCACTGCAACCTCCTCCTCTCGGGTTCAAGCGATTCTCCTGCCTCAGCCTCCCAAGTAGCTGGAATTACCGGCACCCACCACCATGCCCAGCTAATTTTTGTATTTTTAGTAGAGATGGGGTTTCACCATGTTGGCCAGGCTGGTCTTGAACTCCTGACCTCAGATGATCCGCCTGCCTCAACCTCCCAAAGTGCTGGGATTACAGGTGTGAGCCACTGCGCCTGGCCAAGAACCACAACATAGTTTAATGGAAAATATTTCTTGTACAATTTGTGTTCATCTTTAGAAGAAATTTTTCTCTTCTGAAGAAAGAAAATACAAATACAAATCTCTTGAGCATATCTTTAATCAGTATTTACTAAAGAACATTAACTTAAGTGATGCCATTTTGTCCAAAATATAAGCTAAACTCTTGACAAACTTCAACATGTTTCGGAAGCAGAAATAAGGGCCTGTTGGAGGTTTCTATTTAGTTTCAAAGGAAAGCACAGCAAATCAGAATCCTGGAAGATTAGACCACCCAGGAGTTCTGCCAAGGTGAAGCTTTTATGAATCCTGGATTGTCTTACGTTTTATTTCCATTCACTTGTTCTGAGGAAATCTAACTCATCAGGAGACTTGAAGATAATGAGTACCCCTGGAGTATCTTGTGCTGATTTTTGTGATGCCTCAGCTGAGGCAACTGGTTGAGAAAGGAGCCAGATAGCATCTTTACACTAAGCCCCATGGAGATAAAGCTACTCCTGTTTCCTGTGATGCCCGGATCACATCGAGATGCTTTGCTTGACCTGTTGCTACTCTCACACAGCTTTCATGAAATGCTTCCTATTTGCTATCCTGAATCATAGTTTGACTTTGTTCACATCATCCTAGCCCTTTTAAAAAAGATGACCTCATCAGCCAGGTGAGTTGGCGCCCTGCCTCTAGAAATCTTCCTGTCATCTCTTTGTCTGCTTTAATCTTGGTCCCCGCTCCAACTTCTGTTCAGCTCTGTATTGAAGTTCTACTGTTTGGCCCTAGTGCTCTGCTAAACTGCCTGGTATCAGCTTCTCTGGCTCCGTGTTAGCCTTTGCTTTTCCCACAGCCCTCATGTTTGTCATTTTGTTCTATACACTTAGGAAAACTTGCTTGCCTTACTTTACCTGGTTCCTCACAAGGAAAAGAGCACAGGACAAGCCTGTTTCCTTTTGTAAAAAAATCACTGTGCAAATGGTCTCATTAGCATAATTTAGGAGAAAATTTTAAGTCTTACCAACAGAGATTGAGATTTCTGCTGTGGTAGCTGATAGGCTGAAGAAGAATTTCTAGATTCTTAGCTTTGAATGACATTTACTGAAAGAGGGAGAGGAGGTGGCAGGGGGAGAGAGAGAGAGAGACTGAGCAGCAAGTGGAAAATACTATATTCTTTCTCACTTAATGTGTTCCTGGGCTCCAAAGGCAAACACAATGAAATAATAATCTAAGAAAAAACCCAGGAAGCAGATGTCCTTGAAAAATACCATACGTGCGTTTAAACAGCTGCTTTAGATGATCTGTGCCATGGTTGCTCTGTATTACGGCAAATAAGCACTAGGGTCAACTCTATAGTTGATGCATGGTAGCTGATAATTACCAACCAAGATGAGCTCAGAAGACTTACAGAAAAACTCAGGCCGAATTCTCTCTTTGAAACGTAAACTAAAAACATTCCATTTATAGCCAGCTGCAGAAGAAATGTGTACTCATTACTAATAAAGTAATTCTGAAATCCTCAAAAGGAACACATCCTGAAGAAGAAATGATTGGAGTGGTCCCCAAATCTGCCACACTCTGAGTTGCATTTAACTTGTTTGGCTTAATAATTTTATGCAAGTGACAGACAGACTTATCTTCCGAGCCCCTCCCCTCTGTATACTGGAATTTGACAAACAGCATCTAGGGGAGAGGGGACTCTGAGGTTGGAAGGTAGACACAAATATCCTTGGAATGGAGAAGAGAAATTGATCAGGCTGCTATTGCATGATAACATCCACCTCCTCTGTTCTATTTCTAAAATCACCAGGAAGTCTTCGGATCTGTAATTTGATTTTCTGTGTAGCTCTACCTACCAAAAGGGAATGTGCAGACAGTTGGCCTAACTCCTGGGCCAAGCCATGTCGCCAGTTCTAAATGAGTAAATTGGCATTCTGGCTTAGTAAATCAGACTTTGGGTTTGCTTTGCATGAATCTAGCTCCAGAGACATATCACCTCTGGGCAAACTTAAAAATTGGGTAGTGGGGTCCAGGAAAGGGCTTTGGTGATACATGGACATATGTATATTTACATAGGAAGAAACTCATGACCTTTGCTTTAATTCTCAAATGGGAACTAACACTAAAAATCGATGATTTACTGACATAATGTGTGTAGTGAAGCTGAGGCCACACCTGGGCCCAGGGTAACCCTTTCCAGGTACTGACATAGGAAGGTTTCTGCCCAAAGCCATTAGTGACTCTCTTCTCATCTTTTAACTGAGGTAGATTGTACTCTTCTGGGAGCTAAAAGGACTTGACTGAGTCTTTTGAAGAAAGTAAATTATTCCATTGCCTTGCAGAAATGTTTTATAGAGCTGTCCCTACAACTCAGTGATTTCCACCAGTGTGTTGTGAGCAGTTATATCAAAGCCCTTCTTGCATGTGTTAAATTCAAACTGTTTATTTATTTAAAAAATTATTTTTTAAAAGAAACTTTACAACTTGAGAGAAGACATAGAAAGGAAATAGACAGAATGGGAAAAGTGAAATCATCTAATCTAGGTGAGGAAAAGTATTCCATTTCATTTCCCATCTACTCTGTGTGGAATTGTTTTGTTCTATAGTTTTAAAAAATTAACAATAGCATAGACATTTTAATTTATGACTATATTTTCTTTATATCACAAGACAAAGAACCCTCTCTCTGTTTCTGGAAAACGATCATTCTGTACCAGATACACGCAGATTGTTGTGCATTATTACAGTGCAATGGGGAAATATTCAAATATCAGTTCCAAGTGCTAATAATAACAAAAGAACAGTGAGATTTGGATAAGAAGGGAAAAAATAAACTTAAAATTCCTGCTTTATATTTATGAGACACCATCTTGCTAAAAGGTATGTTGATGAAAAGAGTTGATGAAAAGAGTCAAACTCTGTAAAATCTTTGAAGAGGGTTATTCTAAGCCAAATGTGAGTGACCGTCACCTAAGGCACAGTCTTACGAGGTGCTGAGAACATATGTGCCCAAAATGGTTGGGCTTCAGCTTGATTTTACACATTTTAGGGGGATATAAGACATCAATGAATATAATGTGAGGGATGCATGGGTTCGGTCTGGAAAGGCGGGACAACTCAAAGTGGAAGTGAGGTGGGGGTGGCATAGAGGGTGGTGAGGGATGGCTTGGGGTGTGGTGGAGTGGAGTTTACAGGTCATAGGTGGATTCAAAGATTTTCTGATTGGCAATTGGTTGAAAGAGTTAGTTATTATTTAAAGACCTGGAATCAATAAAAAGAAGTGTCTGGGTTAAGATAAGGGGTTGTGGAGACCAAAGTTCTTATTAGTAGAAGATATCACAGAGGTTGCTGCCCTTAGAGACAATAGATGGCAAATGTTTCCTATTTAGACCTTTAAAAGGTATTTGACTCTCAGTTAATCTCTTCAGGGTTGAGGGGGCTGGAAGGGGAAAGATCTAGTTATGTTAAGTTAACAGAGATTCTTTACAGATGCAAAAGTTTCCCCACAAAAAATGGCTTTGCGGGACCATTTCAAAATATGGCAAAGAAACATAATTTGGTGTAAAATATTTTGATATCCTTCTTTATCTGTTATGTGATATTATACTAGAGTCAGGTTGGAATTTGCTGTATTATTGCTACAAAGAATCTGTTCTTGGCTGCGTTTCAGGCCAAGATTCAGTGCTCACACCTGTAATCCCAACACTTTGGGAGGCTGAGGTGGGTGGATTGCTTGAGTCCAGGAGTTTGAGAGCAGCTTGGGCACCATGGCAAAACCTTGTCCCTACAAAAAATACAAAAAAATTAGCTGGGCATGATGGTGTGCACCTGTAGTCCCGGATACTTGGGAGGCTGAGGTGGGAGGATCATCTGAGACTGGGAAGTTGAGGTTGCAGCGAGCCCTGATGATGCCATTGTACACCAGCCTGGGTGACAGAGTGAGATCCTGTCTCCAAAACAAACAAACAAACAACAAAGAAACAAATGCCTGTTCTATTTTAATGTTAATGCTGGTCAGCTGTGTCTAAACTCTGAAAGGGAGAGAGCATAATGATTCCTTCCTGTCACAACCTGAACTAGTTCTTCAGATTTCTTTGGAATTTCCTTGGTGGAGAGGGAATCCCTGCATTCACTTGGAGGGGCTTACAGTTTTATTTTTGGCTTACAGGTGGTCAAAAACATACTAAGTGCCTCACAAACTCCGGGCACACAAAGACAGCCAATAATTAATACTTCCAAAAAGATTTGAGGCTAACAAATTATACAATGGGTTGGTTAAGAAATCCAATAATTAACTCAGGCAATTCTAATGCAGGGAGCACATCTTGGCTAAGAGGAAGTGAGCCCAGCTAAGTGTTCTAGAACAGCAGAGGAGCGGAGACAGGCAGCCATATTTTAGGGTTAATGGCACAGCTTGGCCATATTTGTGCATGTGTGCAGTGATTTGTTTTTCAGACACAGACTCAATGACTTCCCAGGCTAAAAGACCAAGATATTTTGTGAAAAAAATATAAAACCAACCAGGCTTAAAAAAAAAAACCTCAGCTAGCAATCCACAATGTTTATCCTTTGCTGGAATCAATTCAAAGTCTGAGCAGTTATATGGATTTCTGAGTGGATACATTTACAAGATAAATGAACAAAAAAGTCCACCTAAACTAAGTAAATCTGAAGATTTAGTGATTTTTACAATGTCTGTTGTGGGAATTTATGATGTCAGTGTCTACGGACATTTAACCCTATCAAGTCGAATTTAAGTTTCTTGGAACCATAGGAAGTGCCACTGGGAATGGTGAAAGCTGTGGAATTAGGTTATTTGGATTTTTGTTTTTTAAACTCTCCCTGAGGGGCCGAGGGTCATTTCCTCCATATTGTTTCTTCAGGTTTAAATTGCTGCTTCCCCTCTGAGGCAGTGTGAAAAAGTGAGCTATGGAATAATGAGTCTTTTCAAGTCAAATGCAAACAATTCCACCTTAAAATAGCAGACCTCACCTTAAGCCAGCTTGGCAGCCTGCCAGAGAAGGGCATGAAAGCTGCACTTTAATCAAAAAGATGTGTATTCTTTATGCAGGCTGTGGAATGAACAGCTGGGAAGAGGGTTTTTATTGATTCTTTTTATTTCCCTCTCCTCTTCACCCCCCACCACGCTTTCTAACAAACACATTTAAAATTTACTGGCAGACTTTTTTCTTTTCTGAAACTATTGGAAGAAAAACTTTTTCCTTTCTAAGTGCCCCGTAATTTGGAAGCTTCCTAAAGGGGCTACAAGCTGCATCTCGATACTGCCTTTATCTTGACTGAAATCAAGCCCAGGCAACATTAGGTGCACAAGAATCCTCAGAGAAAAGGGAATAGTGAAATGCTCTGGCAGAAAGAAGCACTATTCCACTGAAGGCTGGATGGAGACACCCAGTTTTGGTCCAGGAATGACAAGTGCTCTGGCTTTAAGGGATGAAGGCAATAAGAATCACACACTGCTCTACCCCTTCGTGATGGAAGTACAGGCTGTAAAGCTATAAAGGATGATTTAATTGCACATAATTTTTGCTGCTGAACCGTGTAAGAAGGAATTTTAGGTATATACGAGACTAGGGCACATCAGTACACACCAGCGGTAATCAGTAAGGCCAGCAATCATCCTTGAAAACAGAGCAACACAGGGCAGTGCAGACATCACATCATGAGTATTAAAAATAATCTCTGTATGCTTTGGGGACCAAAAAATACACGAGGAGCAGTTGATCACTTTGACAGATGTAACAGTCCTCTCTCTCTCCTCTCTCTCTTTTTTTTTTTTTTTTTTGAGACAGAATCTCACTCTGTCACTCAAGCTGGAGTACAGTGGTGCAATGTTGGCTCACTGCAACCTCTGCCTCCTGAGTTCAAGCGATTCTCGTTGCCTCGGCCTCCTGAGTAGCTGGGATTACAGGTGCGTGCCACCACATTAGGCTAATTTTAGTATTTTTAGTAGAGACGGGATTTTGCCATGTTGGCCAGGCTGATCTCAAACTCCTGTCCTCAGGTGATCCATCCACCTTGGCCTCCCAAAGTGCTGGGATTACAGGCATGAGCCACCGTGCCTCCCTCTCTTTATTCTGTGCTAAAACAGAGATGCAAATTGGGGGTCTGGACAAAAAATCCAGCATGTTTGGCCTTCATAGTGTCTTCTAACAATCTTTAACATAGTGATAATGTGTAATTCATAGTATCTTCTAACAATTTTTAAAATTAGTGCTAATGCAAATTGGGGACTAGACCACAAACCCAACACGCAGACCTGTTTTGTTTGGCCAAAAAATTTTAAAGTTAGTGCTAATGTGTAATTTAGAAGTTACCATATAAACCCAGCTTTTCAGCTTCTCTTGAAAAATTGGAGATGTGGCACACTGGGTGTGCATCTCCAGATGAAAACAGCTGGAAAGATCTGAGTAGTAGATGCCCCATTAGATGAGGCAAGTGCTTGCTAGATTGATAACCTTGCCTTCCTATGCATGGAACCTGCCTGGCCTAGGTAAGCATTTGAGTTTACAGTCCCTATAGCAAATGTGCAATAGTTCAATTAGCAAGTAGCTACTGAACATCCTTTATCCATGTGCAGATTCTATTATAGCACTTCCCAGTTGAAAGCTTTTCATAGCTCTCTGCTTGCCAACATTATGAGATGCAAACTCTTCAGGTTGGAATAAAATCTCCCAACCTTTGCGTCATTCACTAATGCTGAGTTCTCTTCCCACACGTCCATGGATACTCACACTTCATATCTTCCAACTGCACAAGTTGTGTTTGTCTTCATTTGTTCCCGGAATCCCCC
This sequence comes from Homo sapiens, assembly GCF_000001405.40. Classification (NCBI taxonomy): domain Eukaryota; kingdom Metazoa; phylum Chordata; class Mammalia; order Primates; family Hominidae; genus Homo; species Homo sapiens. The sequence continues at coordinate 177,613,313 of NC_000003.12, forward strand.
CTTCTGAATAGATGCTGCTGACTGTCCTCGTTCCACCCTTCTTTCACATAGTTAGCTGTGGAAGTCTTACTCATCTGCAAGGACTAGGTCAAGCCTGATTCATTGAAGACCACTCTTCTCAACTTCTTTGTGCAGAAGGGCCAATTTCCTTTTCTCTCTTCCTTCCTTTTCCCTTTTTTTTTTTTTTTTTTGAAAATTTCCAATCTGCTCACAGACATACAAAGCACAAAGCACAAGTTGTAATTTTTTATTATGAGATTCAGCAGGTAGAATTTCTACTTTGTCAATTGCTGTAAGAGTTTCTAAATAAATACTCTCAATTTCTGAACTTATTTCATATGGAGTAATAATGAGAGCTGGCTCTTGGATCATATTTTGAGTATCTTTTGTCAGATACTCTCAGGTGAATTAGTCTCCCTGTTACCTGCATTCACACAGAACTGTCTATACTTTTACCATGGCAAATTGTATTAGAGCTGTTTAGGTTGCTCTGCCTGTTCCATTTTAAACTTTAGGAGGACAAGAGCTTTTTTGAGTCTGTCTCCCTCATCTTGGCCCCTCTGGGCCTATTTGCCAATGAAAGGGGTTTAGTCAATGTTGGATTTTCAGCACTGTTCCCAGGAGGTGTCAGGAGCAGGAGGATTCAGAATCATTTTGCCATAGTGGTAGCCTTCAAGGAGTTTATAGTAATGTTAAATAGAAGATTAATGTTAAAAGAGAAACTTTAGCAGATTAAACCTTTAAAGAGTTTATTTGGGCAGACAGCAATTCATGAATTGGACAGCTCTAGACTGGAAGTGGTTCAGGGCTTCAGCAGAGGTGGTTGATGGAAAAGCTTTTACAGGGTGAATGAGAAAGCAGAGCAAAGAAATTATTTGATTGGTTGAAGTTTGGAAAATTGCCCTATTTGGACTATCTTGGTGGGAAGTTCAAGACAATAATCAATGCCCAGTTGGCTATGTGATTGGTTGAGCTTAAGTTTCATTTCTTTTAAATTAGCCTCTTGCATGAAATGAGGCTGAGCTAGGTTTTAGTTTCCTTAGGTAGGAACCCAGGGTTCCTGTCTAATGGCTTCTCATTTTATTATTTCAATGTTAACTTGCATAAATATATAGCAGATAGTACACAACAAATAATTGCTGAAGTTTGTGATACATCTTATGAAAATGTAGGTAGAAAATAAGGTGCCCAGTGAATGCTGGGCCAGACTTAGATTTCAGTCTATAACTTGAGAGAGACCTTCCCATTGAAGATGGCAGCCCTAAGTGGTTGTTTATATGGACAATGTACTCTGTGCTTTAGTTTGCTCCTCTTTCAATTGAGGGGTTCAATTAAGGGATCCCCTTAATTTCCATGGCCATATGATTCAGAAGTGTCAACAATGGAATAATCTACTATGTATATAGTTTGTAGAAAATAGTTAGAATGCACATATTTTTTCATCTTTTTTTTCCCAACCTGCCTAGGTGAAAATCTAACTTGGACATACTTCTTTATAGCAACATCTCTATAGATACAAATGACAATTTAGATCCAATTTATCACTTACTCATGTTAACTAATGTTCACTCCAGTCAGCTATATTGAAAATATTAAAATAATTAAACAAATTTCTGGGAGTTTGTGATAATGGGATTTGACTGGTTCTTCCTTTGGTATTTTCTGTGATGTTTCTCCTTCATTTTATTGCCAAAGTCAGAGGGATTGTTATAGTATAGGCCTGAAGCCTGCTTTCAGGATCTGTGCAGAACCAACCAACCAAGAGAGCCTTTTATTTTGTCCCCCAGTTGACCTCCTTCCAGATATGCTGAGTCCATTTCCCTGAAATGACTGAGCGGGGAGAGGTAACTGCAGCTGTGTTTGGATACCTTCTTTCTCTCCCTTGGCTCCAGCCCAGGGAAACGCACACACTCTTTCACAATCACACAAACCACTTCATTATCATATTTTTGAGGATGTTGGCCAGGGGAAAGGGCAGACCAGTCAGTAGGCTGGAAAGTTAGAAATGTGTGTGTTTATTTTTCCCTCCCCTCTCCACTGTGCTATTGGAACTGGTATAGAAAGGGAATAGTCATTCACAGTTGCCCCTTTTCAGGAGGGTGAAGTTCAGAGGAAGAAATGTTTGCATAGACATTTGATAATCATAATAAAAAGACCATTAGAAGCTCATTGATTAAACAGTTACTGCAGATTTCAACTACAACTTAGAACTGTTTTTTTTGTTTTTGTTTTTGTTTTTTTTTTTTTTTTAGACAAGGTCTCTCTCTGTTTCCTAAACTGAGTGCAGTGGCATGATCATGGCTCATTGCAGCCTCAACCTCCTGGCCTCTTGGGCTCAAGCAATCCTCCTACCTCAGCTTCCCGAGTAGCTGGAAGCACAAGCATGTGCTACCATGCCTGGCTAATTTTTTAATTTTTTGTAGAGATGGGAGTCTCCCTATGTTGCCCAGGCTGGTCTTGAACTACTGGGCTCAAATGATCCTTCTGCCTCGGTCTCCCAAAATGTTGGGATTTATAGGCATGAGCCACTGCACCTCACTAGATACTTAGGTACTTTGGAAAGAGGAGCCCAGATGGGCAAATGTATTAAGGGTTTGTCATTTATGATTGGCACTAGAGCTGTATCACATAGTGTGGAAGAAAATTAAATTAATTCTCTCCCTGTAAATGTGCTTTGTAAAATTTTAATGTGCTATGTAAATAAGTTGGTAATGTTTTCAATGCATAAAGCTGTAGCTTAGATTCAATGAATGTTTATTTTTAACTTATGAAGTGAGATTGTAGCTCATTTTATGAAAGAGGCTAACAAACCTTTGGATGTATAAATTCTGATATATCTATTGAACAAGGTATATGTTTTATTCAATGATCCGATATTGGTGACCTACTATGTGAAAATTACTTGAATAATGATAGTGAATACTTTTATGATACTATGGTTTACATGCTGTTCTTACATGGCATTAATTTATTTTGCCTCTATGAATACTATCGGTTATCACCTCCTGCAGATGAGGAAACAAAGGTATGGTTGTCTTTGACTTGGTTTTAGCGATGGAATTATAGGTTTCAAAAAATAGCATGGGAGTGCAGAGGGAAATCTAGGAGGCAGGATCTGAGTTGTGAACATTAGGAAGTTGCTAGACAAATGCTACGGTTTGAACGTGTCCCCCAAAAGTTCATGTGTTGGAAATGTAATCTCAATGCAACAGTCTTGGAAGGTGGGGCCTCACAGGAGGTAATTAGGTCAGGAGGGCTCTATCCTCATGAATGGCTTAATATTGTTATTGCAGGAGTGGATTAGTTATTGCGAGAGTGGGTTTGTCGTAAAAGCAAGTTCTGCTGCATCACTGTCTTGCTCTTTCTCCCTCTCTGTCACATGCACTCTATGAGAAATACATTTCTTTTCTTTTCTTTTCTTTTTTTTTTTGAGATGGATCCTTCCTCTGTCGCCCAAGCTGGAGTGCAGTGGCCCGATCTCAGCTCACTGCAACCTCCACCTCCTGGGTTCAAACAATTCTCCTGCCTCAGCCTCCCAAATAGCTGGGATTACAGGCGCCCGCAACCATGCCCAGCTAATTTTTGTATTTTTAGTAAAGACAGGGTTTCACCATGTTCGCCAGGCTGATCTCAAACCCCTGACCTCAGGCGATCCACCCGCCTTGGCCTTCCAAAGTGCTGGGATTACAGGAGTGAGGCTCCGCGCCGGGCCTAATTTCTTTTCTTTATAAATTACCCAGTCTGTGGTATTCTGTTATACCAACACAAAATGGACAAAGATAACAAAGGAGGTAGGAAAGTACATTGAAATGATTCCACTGTCACAAACATTTCTAAATGCTTTTCCAATGTATATGTTTTAAAATTACTTTCAAAATATGTGGCACATTTTTCAGTATTCTCAATTGTGGCAAATCTTTGGATGTGAAAGTATATTTGAATGTTGGACAAAGTGAAATATCATTCACATTCAAGTTTAGTAAATGAAACCAGTTATTTTTTCAATATTGGCAAATGGCTTAAAAAATAATACTAATATTTTGCATGTGCTTCATATATAAATAGGTTCTAAAGCTAATACCAAAAAAGTCTGAAGAACATTTTCAGCTTATCTTACAACTAGAAGCCCAAATAATAGGAATATGAATTTACATATGCAAATGAAAACCAGCTTCATTTTAAAAGTTTAATGTGGGCATTAGATGTACTTGTGTATTGTGCTTCCAAGGATCTGTGTGTACAGCTCTATTATCATACACTGCATTACAGGTGGGTGTGAGTTCCACCTCCAGCCTGTGAGATGCCTGCAGGGAGCCATCCTGAGTCCTCCGAATTGACACAGTGTCTTTGGGGTAGGAATTTCCCAGTGAATGCTTACTTAAATGAATTCAGTAAGTGCGTTTTGATTTTTCCATAGATTGACACAGTGGAACAGTGGCTAAGAGATGATTCTTTACTATAAGCACCCTTCATAGGCAAAGTGGGAATGTGCTTATTGATGAGGTCAAATAATTCAGACTGCGGTTCCCACATTGGTCTTGAGTAGTGGATGGCTCCACTAAAACACTAGGTTTCATGGGTTTCACCTGTTTTCTGGTAGTTAATTTAAGGAGATGGTGCACTAAGACAACTTAGATGGAAAAAATAAATAGCAGCATAAAAAGCAAACTGTGATTGTATAGAACTGTGAGATAATATTCAACTTCGTTTCATTTATTTATTTATTTATTTAGTGACAGAGCGTCGCTCTATTGCCCAGGCTGGAGTGCAGTGGCACGATCTCACTGCAACCTCCGCCTCCTAGGTTCAAGTGATCCTCCTGCCTCATCCTCCTGAGTAGTTGGGATTACAGGCACCTGCCACCACTCCCTGCTAATTTTTGTATTTTTAATAGAGATGGGGTTTCACCATGTTGGCCAGGCTGCTCTTGAACTCCTGACCTCAAGTGATCTGCCCACCTTGTCCTCCCAAAGTGCTGGGATTACAGGTATGAGCCACTGCACCCGGCCTCAACTTGATTTTAATGTGTGGGTGAGAAATATATGTTCTCATGTACTCAGTTTTGGTTTAAGTGTATAAATGGACTTACACGTGACACAGGTTGGAAAGAAGCAGAACACTTTAGGCAACAAGGCACTTGATGAAGCACCATGGTACTCTAAGACCTTCTCCACTTTGTCCACATCCCACCTTCCTTTCATGATGCAGCTCTCATTCCACCTCCTTCCTGAAATCTCTCCTGACCTCTTCATTCTAATTAACATACCTTTCTCCGGACATCCAGAGCATCTCATCTTGCCTTTCCTAAGGTACTTTTTCCCAACACCTTCCACCTGGTTTAATACCTATCTGTATATATCTTCTCCTCCTCCCCACCACTATATATTATGCCCCACATGCGCAGAGTCTGTGTATCTACATCTTTGTCTCTTTACATGGTGTCTGGCACAGCACCTTCTTCAGAGTGGGTTTTCAATATGTGATTATTGAAAAGTAAATGAGCAAGATGGCCATGACAAAGCAAAGGAGTAATAAACAACTTCTTCCTAAGAGACGAAAGATATACAATGTTTTGCTTTGTGAATACACAGCCATGCAGGTCTAGAGAGAAATGCAATGTACGTTTATTTTTGTTGTGTTTATTTGTTCTTAGTCAAGGTGTCTAATCTACTATGCTGTTTCCTTATGCACAGATGGAAACTTATCATGCATAGGAGACTCTGAAGGAAATAATTTTTGTTTAAACTTTGCCTTAGAAACTTCAAGGGAATTCAGAACAGGATTTCTTTAATGATCTGGCTGTATTATATTACCGATTACCAAGCTGAAAAATGCTTGGCAGAACTTTTGGCTTCTGAGGTTTTGGATGTCTTCCAGGTAATCTGCCTCGGAATTTTGAAATACAAATAAATGAGTTCCAGTTCAAATTTTAAAAAATCTGAGCTGCTAGGCCTTTGTTTACCTTCCATCTGAACATTTTGGTACAGATATACCAACCAAGCAGAAAGAAGATAATCAGTCGACATTTCTGAGGTTATTAGTGGCCTTGGTTTAAAAGAACAAAATGAGAGTAAATGGTTTAAAACTTCATCATGTTTCTTCCTAGTAACTGGCTTCTGGTGTTGGCATTTATTTTCCAGGATGTTTTCTCCCAGTTTTTATTTGGGAGAGGAGGACGAGGGTGTTCTTTGCTGCTTTGTTTCTCCCAGAGGGAAGATTCTGAATGTTCCTTTGTTAAACGTTACACACGTAGCTTTTGTTTTACTTTCTTGTCTGGTAGCCAAGTATTTTTCAAGTCACTCAACATTCTACTGAGGCATGCTAGTCCACTGAATATGATTATAAAGGAAAGCCTAACATGACCTAAAAAGAGGGAGGACGGAGAGCTTTGGCTGTTGTGAGCACCACAGCTAATGAAGAAGCAGGATAATTTGCATGAGCGATATCCCTTCAGTTATTTCTGTAAATCTCAGAGCCAGTTCCTGTCAAGTTGTGAGGAAACAAACATTTTTTATTAAGGAATAAAAAGATAGGCCAGGCCCAGTGGCTCACACCTGTAATCCCAGCACTTTGAGAGGCTGAGGCGGGCAGATAGCGAGGTCAGGAGTTTGAGACCAGCCTGGCTAACATGGTGAAACCCCGTCTCTACTAAAAATACAAAAATTAGCCGGGCATGGTGGTGGGTGCCTGTAATCCCAGCTACTTGGGAGGCTGAGGCAGGAGAATCGCTTGAACCCGGGAGGCGGAGGTTGCAGTGAGCGGAGATAGCGCCATTGCACTCCAGCATGGGCAATAGAGTAAGACTCTGTCTGAAAAAAAAAAAAGAGAATAAAAAGAGAAAGAAGGAAAGCCCTTACTTCCACCCCCTAAACACACATGCGCACATTCCACGCACACATATATGTGTGTACATGCTCGGAAGTGAAGTGGTTTTTGTAGGATTTCGTGGCTATAACACCGTCGTTTATGTTCTGGGAGGCTGGGGTGAGTCAGCAAGTATTCTGAAAGGGAAAGACATGGTGGGGAGGATAAAACGGCTCTTCATTTTAAGAAATCCCTCTTATCAAGCCTACTATTAACTTGTTTCTTTGGCAACTACTATGCATTTGCTACGGAAATATATCCCCAGAATAAAATTTCCATGGAAGGAAAATAATAGCATCAAATTTTTCCTCCAAAGTTTCCGATACAATGAAATTTATTTGTCCTTAACTTTGGATTGGTGGAAGAAGACCAATACCTCTCACAATACAATTCAAAGACATGAGATGAAAACAATCTTTCTCACTTTACAATTTTGGATGACATGTTTTATTTAAAAACTTTTCGTTTCTGTGGGAGGTTTTTACAGGAAACTATCTTTAGTATTTCATATGACCATTGTCATTTGAAGATGATGCTGAACTTGTCTTCCCACTTGTAAGCTCTTCTTACAGACCAGCATGAAACAAGCAGCTTAGCCCATCAGCTAATGCCCAAACTGAGACTGGGCTGGCAGGACAGGTGGACAAGCCACCTGAAGCCTAGAAATGACCTGACCTCTCTACTCTGGTAGGTTCTGAGACAGCCACTTAGCTCTAGTTTCACCAGCATTCTTTTCGATATCTTGGAATAGAATAGGCCCTGAGAAAACTGTGAAACAAACAAAAATAATTTTTTTCCAGGAATATTTTATTCTGCCTCCTGCCTTCTTCCCTTCACCAGGTTCCTAGTTTCTTTACCTGTTCCTGGCCCTGCAAAGCCCTCATGTGTCACTGTTCTGGGTGAGAATCTTCTCTCTAAAGCATTTGAGACCCTTGCTCTTCCCTTTACCACCGCATCTCCAGACCCTAATTCCTTCCCTAGTGAAGACTTAGCATTAGATGGTGATGATATGAAAATAGGAGCAACTAACATTTGTCACATTCTTTCTTTGTTTATGGCCTTCGCTAAGCCTGGTAGCTGACCTGTCTCATTTAATTACTACAACCATCTTATAAGCTCTATAGAATTTTGAATTCCAGTTTTATTTCTGAGAGACAGAGGCACAGAAGCAAGAGTCACTCAGTTACTACACGGGAAACGTGGATTTTAATCTGGGTTAAGTAGCATTCTAGTTGAAGAGTATACAGTGGCAAGTGTGAGACAACCTGAGCATTTAAAAATGACTATGAATATATAAAACTCCGCAAGTACATAACTAGAAAAGAGAATGTCTTCCAAAACAAAACTCATTTGCCATCACTGGAGGTGATTATTACATGAATTGGTTATTCTGAGAATTGAGAATTAAAAATAATTAAAGATTTAATGTCTTTCTAGAAGATACTGAATTTCAGCATAACTAAATAGTTCTACTTGATGAAGGAAAACTTTTCTTTATTGAAGAATGTCAGCTGTGAATGTAGATGCAATAATACGGTCAGAAAGTCACCATTTTGCAGCCCTTGATAGGATGGAAATTCAAATAAGAACCTTTGACAGATGCTGAAACCACTAAAAGAAAGGTGGACAGGGACCATTGTGACAGACTTCCCCAGATGATTGCCAATTGAGTGTTGGGGCGGGGGCATAACTCTGCAGCAGAGGCATCTGTCCATCATCATCCGATGCTATGATGCTCTTGACACTGCTGTTGATGCAATGGCCAGTTACTGTGAAGATCCAAATGTGGTACAATATGAAGTTGCAATATCATCTATGAAGCATTCTTGCTGAAAGTGAATCTACTCAAGCCTTTAGTTAAAGTTTCCACTTCATAAGAAACACAGAAACTAGAGGAAAAACTTAATCAGCACCACAAGGAAATAAACAAATCCAGAAGGCAGATCATTCTATAGACTGATCTTGATTCCTTAGCAATTAATGTCATGGTACAAAAAGGGAGTAGGAAGGAGGTGTTTTAGAATTATATAATTAGCAAATGTTATTCATGATTTTTCGCAGGATACTAGTTTGAACAAACCAACTGTAGAAAAGATACTTTTGGAACAATTACAGAATTTTGAATATGGTATTAGGGAATTGGTAATATATTTTATCAGGTGTGATAATGCTATTGTGATTATGTAAAAAAAATCCATCTTTAGAGATGCACGCTGAAGTATTAAGGAGTAAAATACTATGACATGTTAACTTATTTTAAAGTATTTCAACAAAAACTGAAGCAAATATAGCAAAATGTCAATAGTCGTTAAATCTAGGTGATGACATGGAAGTAGGAATTTTTGAAAATTTTACAATTAAAACATATAAGAATGAAAAAAAAAAAAAAAAGAGTGGATTGGTCTCAATACAGAGAGCTCTGGATTGCAGTCCCAGCTCTAACCACTTACTTTTTGTAGGGTTTGGGCAAGTCGCTTCACCTCAGTACCTTCCTCTGCAAAAAGGTGGCAATAGCAGTGTTTGCTTCCTAGAATTGTTGTGGGAAAAAATGAGTTAACACAAGTAAGGAGCTCAGAACAATGATTGGCATGTAGTAAGCTTTCAACAAATGTTTGCTATAATTGTTTCATGTAGGAGGAGTCAGATGGAATTAGGTTTAAATCCTGGCTCTGTCTTTTATTAGCTATGCTGCCTTGGGTTGTTTGCTTAACCTCACTAAAACTCAGTTTTCAGTGGAAGTAATAATACTGCTAGGGTTGTGGTGGGATTAATAACCTAGCATATATAAAGTCACTAGCATATAGTAACCACTTAATAGATAGTGGCTTTGACTATCAGTGCTGTCAGATAGCTGTAATTTTTATGAGGCCTTCAATGCCCTACACCAACGCGCAGCTAAAACTGGAGTGTCCTGGCACTGTAGTTGTACAGGAGAACGCTGATAGATCTGCAAAGGGAGTGTGGGGAAGCCTCTGTGGTCTCCACTCATGTCAAGACAAACATCATGCCATATAGGTGGCTCCTCACTCTGTGTGTTTGGCAGAGGCCTTGCTTTAAGGATGGTTGGAGACAGCACATAGGGCAGGTACAGGAGAAGATCTGGGCTTTTTCAGGGTACAGAATGTGGATAAGACCCAGAAGAAAGGAAAAGAGATGGGGAACTAGGGAGTCTGGCTCATGTTTGTTTCCACCTTAACTTCTCTTGGAAGTTTGAAATAGTCCATGAAAGTGAAAGCACTTTTCATCACAGTCATCAACTGCTATAGGCATTTGCAGCCTGCAAATAGATTAATTTCACTGGATGTTAATTTCACTGTGAGGCTTTAGCCAGCACTACTGTTTCTCAACACATAGCCTTACCTGGAACATGTAGTGTTGCCATGTGCCCAGGGAGATAATTTAGGGACTAATAGGCCTTGAAAGAGAACGCGGCCACAGAAGATAGCATTTCTAATACTTGACTCTAGTGATTATATAGATTTTTAATGGCATCAATGGGGCAATGTGAAAATCTATCATTTTCTTCTTCTTTTTTTGACAGTGTAAAGAGGTGTTTTCGTTTTAACTGTGTGTGTGTAACATTAGGCAAAATTATTTAAAGTCAATAGATTTTTATTCAAGGAATTCCATGTTGTAAGTTCTTCCACTGTCCATCGAGGTCACTTTAGATCCTCTAAAGAGCTGGAGTCAAAATTTATCTTCAAAAGATTTATCTTCAAGTTAGCCCTTTTTAATGAAACTGATGCTTATTTTAATGCAGTTGTCCTGTCAGGCCATAATTCTTTGATTTTTGGCATCTGTCGTCATCTCCTTTTAATATGGCTATACTGATGAAGATTTCAAAATTTACCTTTGGAAAAATCAAGAATCTTTAAGATCTAATTTCTTCAACCAATTTACTTTAGGGTCATTTTTAGTGTAGGTGGATCTGCCTAGTTCTCAATGTGACACCCTCTCTAAACCTGAGTGAGTTCAAATCATATTCATTCCTAAGCGATCACACTCAAGAATAGTGCAGAGTGTGGAATATGCCAATACATAAGGTAAAAAAGTAAATTATCAGGTCTTTCATATATTTAGTAACAGTCTTTTTCATACTTGTAGCAACTGTCTTGTAGTTCCCACAGATCTAACAAGAGTCCTGTGAGTAAAGTAAAACCACAGAGTTAACTCTATGAGGCGTTTCCAATGATGTGCAGCCTACAGAAAAGTCCCATCGGGAAAGACCTCAAAAAATGTATCATTTCCTTTTGCACTCTGAGCCTCTCTATTTTTCATCTTCTGTCTTAACAGCTATCTTTTTGTTTCTACTTTAGACACTAAGAGACTTCTGGTCTACCTCTTTTCTCATTATTAAGTTCGGCTTATAGGAAAATGTGTACGCCTAGGCATTTACATAAAATCAAAGGCCTGAACACAGATCAAAGGATATGCATGAGTAACGGCGAGTAAACAGTTAAGAACAAACAAATCTAATCTAACAGGCCTTTATGGCTCTTGAGATGAATGTATGCCCAAGTTCACCAACATTGTTGTTTTTGTCTCCCTGGGCACAGGGAGACACCACGTGTTCCAGGTAAGGCTATGCAGTGGCATTCTGGCCAATTGGATATGAGCTGGAGCAACACGTGCCACTTGCAGAAATAACCTACATACGCTTCCTTTGTGTGGTCATCACGTTCTCTTTTCTGCCTTTTTTCTCATTAGCTACCTTGAAAGAACTTTAAGGGCCAATATGAGGGTGGAGCCACAAGATTGAAGGTGCCTGGGTTCATGAATGAATGTGGAACAGAGTCCCTCCATCCTCCCACACTGCGCTGTGACATGAGCAAGAAATAACAGTTTCACTATGTCAAGCTGCTGCAACTGGGGAGTTGTTTGTTATAGAAGTTAGACTACATCGAAATAATATATTCCTTTTGACTGACTTTCTTTGCAGCTGCCAAGGATAGCAGAGATGTCCTCTGCTTTCTAAATTACATGTTTGTTGATATTTTTACGATCAGGGACTTTTTAAGTAAAGAAACCAAGAAGCTTGTTCACTAGGCTTCAGTCACCTCACATGGAAGTCAGTACCTTCCTGTATAAACACTAGGGTCTGAACATTTGTTACCTTATTTAATCTGAGTACTCTCTTTGTGAGGATCTTGAGGGATGAGGAAACTGGGGCTTAGAGAGGTTAAATGACTTGGACAAGTTTCCACAGCCGGTGTTTTCTTCAGATCCAGGATTCAAATGAACATTTTTTGTTTTTACTTCAAAGACCTTGATCTTTTCACTACAACATACTCCTTTCTAAGAAAAGAATAGTCGGGAAAGAGACAGAATGCAGAGGGAGTGCATAAGGAATTTCTGGAGAGATAGCAAAACCTCCACAAAAGCTGACTACCAGTTTTAGTTCAGAAACTTACAAGACAATAGACCATAAAACAAAAAGGTAAAAAGGAAAGAGAATAATCATGAATCCCGATCATAAGATTGGGTTGCTGGGATCCCATATTCAAAACTTAGTTCAAAAATTTTTAGTGTTCCTCTAATCAGTTATTTAGGTTTAATTTAAATTGTTTAACAAAATGTTATTATTTACTCAGAATCTCTGAGTTTATTATACTCAAATAAGTGTCTTTTTTTTTTAACTTTGATTTTAAGTTCAGGGGTACATGTGCAGGATGTGCAGGTTTTTTCCATAGGTAAACATGTGCCATGGGGGTTTGTTGTGTAGATTATTTCATCACCCAGGTATTAAGCCTAGTATCCATCAGTTATTTTTCCTGATCCTCTCCCTGCTCCCACCCTCCACCCTCCGGTAGGCCCCAGTGTGTGTTGTTCCCCGCTGTGTGTCCATGTGTTCTCATCACTCAAATAAATTTCTTTTTATTTCAAGTTCTGGATCTAAACCCTAAGGGGTTTTAGGGGATATGTATTAGTCAGGGTTTTCCAGATCAACAGAACAAATAGGATGTGTGTGTGTGTGTGTGTGTGTGTGTGTGTGTATGTGTGTGTGTGTCTGTAGAGAGAGAGAGAGATTTTAAAGTAAGAATTGGCTCACATGATTGTGGGTGCTGGCAAGTCTGAAATTTACAGGGAAAGCCAGCAGGCTGGAGACACAGGGAGGAGTTGACATTGTAGTTTGAGTCTGAACGCAGTCTGGAGACAGACTCTTCTCTTCCTTAGGAGATCGCAGTCTTTTTTTTTTTCTCTTAAGGCCTTCAACTAATTGGATAAGGCCCACCCACATTATGGAGAACAATCTGCTTTATTCAAAGTCTACTGATTTAAATGTTAATCTCATCTAAAAAATATGTTCACAGCAACATCCAGACTGGCTTTTGATGAAATATCTGGGTATCATAGCCTAGTCAAGTTGACACATAAAAATAGCCATCCTAGGTTATTAATTACAAACATGTTCAAATCTAGGCAGACCCTAATGAATGTCTCTGGTTACTGGTTTGGTGGTACTCCTCCTGAATGGGACTGCTTCACTCCCGTCTGTCTGGTACGGAGAAAAAGAATGGCTATTGAAACCCACAAATACATGCTTAATCAAGCATTGAAGCAAAATTCCAAACACTAAAGTCAAAGAAATTTTAAATATCATCCAGCAGGTGAGCAAAAAATGTCTTGGATCATAGCGGATTGCCTTTTCTACCTCCACTGAATATTAACCCTCATCAGTGCCTGTTCTGCTCCCTCCCTGCCCAAAGAGACTTCTCAATGCCTATTGAACTTAAAGCTGCCATCACTTGTTTAATATTGAATTTTTCTCTGTAGGTGTTGGCCTCTGATATCCTTGCGGCTCAGCTGCAATGTATTTCAATCCTTTTTAATAATTCAAATATGTACCATGATGTTACATCCCATTCTAGTATTCTCTCATCTCTGGGTCTTTTCTTCCATTTCCCACTCCTCTAGCAGTAAAAGCTCTTGTGGCATTTGCATCCATGTACAACCAACAGATCATTAGTTTCATGGGAAATTGTCAGGTGGCAGAGCTTTCCTTTTGCACTACTCCTAGGACTATAAAAAGCACACCACAAGCATATTTCAGCAAAGCTAAAATTAAAAGTTTAATTAACAAAAATGCTACTTAATAATACATTTGGATCGATTTGGCTATGTCACATAGTAACTGCCAGTCATATCTGAAAAAACAGAAACGACAAATGACAAAATGATATAAACCTCTCAAATCATCTTGTGGATGGATCACTTTGTGGTCCAGGAGTCACAGTTCCACAGCTCTCACTGTACTTGCTTGAGTGTGTTGATCTAAGACCCCTTTGGCACCTCTGCATCAAAGTGCCTGTTCCACCCCTTCCTGCAGCCTTCACATGCCTCCGATGCTGGAGGGCATGCAGGAGCCCTCTCTGCAGCACTCCTCCTTCCTATTTTAGATGCCTACGACCAGCGACATGAGACCTGCGCTAGGATCTGCCACAATCGCCTCTGCTGATCATCTGTGCAGCATAACATCATTGGAGAGTAGGAAAGGGAACTTAGTTTATTTTGTGGTGGTCAAACCATCTTTTTCTGCCCTCTATTTTATTCTTGGGATGGTGGACTATTTCCTGATCCATCTAGAAAATAGTGGACTTATAATCCTTTCTTATTCTAAAATCCAATGAATATTATCTTCCCAATGTAGGTTATAAAGTTTTCGAAATCACAAACTGTGTTCCATATTTGTTGAGTATCTTCACATAGTAACATTATATACTTTTAAATATTTGGTGGGTGTTAGGGGCTCAATTTCTGTTGTCCTGAGTGATTTTCTGTCAAATTAATAATTGGACTGCAAATGGGTAAAGTGTATTAAAAAAAAATCTTCTTACAGAATGTTAAAGACACTCAGATTTGATTGAGAGACAGAATTTATATAAATAAGAAAATGTCTTTGAGAGAAAAAATGTTTCTAACTATTATTTTTTTTCTGAGAAGGGAGATGTATTAGTCTGTATTCATGCTGCTGATAAAGACATAACTGAGACTGGGCAATTTACAAAAGAAAGAGGTTTAATGGACTTACAGTTCCAAGTGGCTGGGGAGGCCTCACAATCATGGCAGAAGGCAAGGAGGAGCAAGTCACATCTTACATGGATGGTGGCAGGCAAAAAGAGAGCTTGTGCAGGGAATCTCCTCTTTTTAAAACCATCAGATCTCATGAGACTCATTCACTATCATGAGAACTGCACAGGAAAGATCTGCCCCCATAATTCAATCACTTCCCACCAGGTTCCTCCCAGGGCACATGGGAATTGTGGGAGTTACAATTCAAGATGAGATTTGGGTGGGCACACAGCCAAACCATATTAGAAGAAGTACTGAAGAGTCACTCAAAGCAAGTAAATGTCATGTGTCTGAGTTACTGTTAGATACTCTTTGAAGAAGTCTTTGAATAAAGAGTACATTTCTGGAACATGTGGTTAGTCAGGTGGTGACTAAAGTGGTTGATCATGGACACAACTGACTGCAGGCTCCACAGAGCAGCTTTTGGAGTCCAAGATCACTGCCAAAAAAGAACAGAGGGATGGGAGGGTCCTTTCTGATTATAACTGTAAAAGCAACTTATGCCTCAAGACTTTTAAACGTTTTGCCCATAATTTCATGAAAAGTTACTGGTAGAATGGTGGCTAGCTCCAGCTATTTTTTTTTTTCCCCTAGGGCGATGTTTGTTCTCTACACTGCACTAAATGGAGAACAGCTCCACTGCTTCTTTTCTCTTGAGCACATTGTCTGTGAACCAATGTTTAGGTGGGTTTTCAGCGACAATCAAGGTGTCCCTCCAGAGTGTCTGGGGTGCAAGAAGCAATGACAGGAAAGCAATCTCGGAGAAGGAAAGGAAAGCAAATGGGAGAGCAGGAGGAACAAAGAGGGGGAAGAAAAAAGATACACAGAAGAACCATCTATTGATCTAGAATGTTTGGAAATGTTTATTTTGGTTGACAGAAGGCTGCCCTTCATCTCATTCACAGTCAAACAAGTCTTAAAGATGTCATTTAACACCAAAACTAAACTGGGCATCAGTTAATTTGTTTCATATCATGATCAAAGTCTTATGATTTTAACTTCTAGTTATTATTGTGAATCTCTAAGAAAAACTCTGGTTCTATTGAGTCCAGATAGATGGATTTTACTGCATTCATTGTATACCATGGACAATTGTTTCAGATGCCATTTGTTGTCCCGAGTTGTCATGTCCTAGCCTGCCTCACTGGTTCCAATCTATTATTTCAACAGAAAAGAGAAAACATTTCCATGGAAGAGGAAACAGGAAATTCCAACAGATCAGCAACAGTTGGAGTGCTAACCTGTCACTGGAATGGGAAAAAAAATGCTGTCGTTGACACATCTTTTCCTTGTTTTTGACACAAATTAGGTAACTCACTGTCTCTTCACAAAATTGATGGGGGTGTGAAAAATGTCTATGCAGTATATAGAGATATTCATAACAAAGACTTATGCTACGAAAAATGTCCTTTGTTCACAATAGAAAGAATAACTCATGCTTTACATAATTTGCACATATATATTTTGTTGTTGTAAATCCTGGTTTGCTCACTAAGCTGAAGTTCATTTTCTCACCATGATTCTTGAGCCCAAAACTCTGATGAATCAAAAGGATCAAATATTGGGCTCCTACATTTTATGTGCAGTAGTTGTGCAGTTCACCTCACTGGGTCTGCATTAAAGCCCCCACTTTAATGAAAAGGATTGTTTCTTATTCTCAAAAGCAATTTTGAAATTCGGACTCAGAGACTTTTTATTCCTATGTTTTGTGTTTCTTGAAAGAATAATCCCAGATATAAGGATAATTACCCTATTTTTGATTATTTAAAAATATATTCAATATTCACTCAAAAATACATATGATTTCTGGTTTCGATAATTGTATTAGGGTGATATATAATGTTAATCCTAGGGGAAACAAAGTGAAAGGAATGGAAATGTAAAAAGAAAAATATTTATTGACCTGCTACCGTGGGCCAGGAATTGTGGGAGGTACTTGGTATACAATGGTAATTAACCAGACAGAACCAATAATTCCCTCCTCTCCTCATTTAGTTATGAAGTTGTCATTTAATCATACCAAAGTCTTTTTCACTGCAATTGAAGGTAATTTGTATTTTATTCTCTTCTAGAAACCTTGATTTTACTACTTACTGAGCATTTACAGCATGTTAAGCACTTATTCCTAGGTGTTTTCCATATTTGATTATTTCATTCTTACAAGCACCGACTGAGTAAGTGTTATTACCCACAATTTGCAGATGAGGAAACAAATGTGAGTAAGTTAAATTAGTTACCTCATATATAAAGTGGCTGAGGCCGGGCACGGTGGCTCACACCTGTAATATCAGCACTTTGAGAGGCCGAGGGTGGATACTTGAGGTCAGGAGTTCAAGGCCAGCCTGGCCAATATGGCAAAACCCCATCTCTACTAAAAATACAAAAATTAGCCGGGTGTGGTTGAGCGCCTGTAATTCCAGCTACTCAGGAGGCTGAGGAAGGAGAATCACTTGAACCTGGGAGGCGGAGATTGCAATGAGCTGAGACTGCGCCACTGCATTCCAGCCTAGGCAACAAGAGCGAAACTCCATCTCAAAAATAATAATAATAATGATAATAAAATAAATAATAATAAAGTGGCCGAGCTGGTACTTACTTTCACATGGGATCATCTAAATCTATAGAATGTTCTCATCTCTCCTCACAGCCCATCACTGATGATGAACACCTCCATGCCATGTCCTTCCAGACTTAAATATTCTCTCAGGATAAAGACTGCCAGATTCCTTTCATCATAGCCTAATTATAGCATTTATTACATACTAACAATCTACTTTTCTACCTCCTTCTGTGGTTAACTTAGCAGAACCATAAACTGGACATCAGTTTCTTAATCACGGCTTGGTTAATGTAGAAGGAGTTAAGATAATGGGTGCAGAGCCAATATTATTGCTCATCTTCTGATGAACATCACGTAGATAACAAAGAACTTTTGTGCCAGCGATGTGAGTGGGTTTGAAGTATCTCTACTTAAATGCTACTTCCACCATCCCTTTATAATTTTTTCTCAAGCTAGCCTTTTGTTTCCAGTTACCATTTAAAGTCAGAAAAGAAATCCTTGAATAAATTATTAAATTTAACTTCTTAACTTTAATATGAAAAGGTCTCACCAAGGGATGCCTAAGTTGTCTGGGCTAGAAAGTATACTGGTTCTTTTTAACTCAGTGGTATGGAAATTTTAGGATAACAAAGAGGCAGAGAGAAAACAAGGCACATATTTTTTCCCAACAAACATGAAGTTCAAACATTACTCACCATCTCTTAGCTTCTATGTGAAGATGGACACACCCTCAAGGCTTCTGGGCCCCAGAGCTGTTGTTGCTTTTTTTTTTTTGAGGCAGAGTCTCGCTCTGTTGCCCAGGCTGGAGTGCAGTGGTGCAATCTCAGGTCACTGTAGTCCCGAGTAGCTGGGACTACAGGCGCCTGCCACCACACTCAGCTAATTTTTGTATTTTTAATAGAGATGGGGTTTCATCATGTTGGCCAGGATGGTCTTGATCTATTGACCTCACGATCCACCCGCCTCAGCCTCCCAAAGTGCTGGGATTACAGGCGTGAGCCACCGCACCCAGCCTGTTGTTGCTTTTTAATGATTGGAGTAGATAGTGCCAGAGCAGGTGCCTATGCGGTATAGTCCAGTCTCCTCATTCCTAGTAAGATCATGTGCAAATTTCTCTCAGGACTCAGTGCCAGGCAAGTCTACAGTTCTTCCAGTAAGTAAATTGCTTCTCTCAGACATTGTGAATGCCTTTTCTTTTTGTTTAGCTGGTAAGAAGCTTAATTCCAAATTTAAGGCTCTACTATGTTGTCCTCAACTTGGTTTTGGCTTCATCTTACTTTCCCATTATCATCTTTCATTAATCCTGATTTCTTTCTTTACTTTTATGCTTTATGTATCTCTGAAAGCAGCTTGAAATTCTTTCGAGAATGAGGCTACATGTAAATAATCAATACTACTACTAATAATATTTGAGCAGCTTTATCCTTTATCATCTCTACATCCCAAATAATTATACTGTTAACAGTTCAATGAAATATTCTGTTGTCTAGGGGGAAGAGCCAGGGCTCTACCAGGGCCCGCCATGGTAAAAATCTGACTTCAGTGATCTTTATAAAATTTTTACAGGTTAATTTTGCATCTGAGAAAGAGAACATACGCCTATATTGACATTTTTATAGTTCTTAATATCCACTGTCTCTTTCCAAAGAAATTAATCAATTATAACTGCCACCAACCATGAGTGAGATTGCCTGAATTTGTGTATCTTTGCTGAAACAGGGATTTATAGCTTTACTTTCCCCCCTACATTTGTAATACATGCCAGTCATTTCTAAGGTTGTTTTCTCAATTTGGGGACCATAGATTTCTGGGATACTTCATAGATCCTGAGAAAGTTCCTGGTTTCATAAAATGATTTTGATGGAAAAGAGGAATTAGGTCACTCTTCTGCAATAAATCTTTTGCTATGAAATTTAAAGATGAAGACTGTGATTAAGAATTAAGAGGCCGGGCGCGGTGGCTCACACCTGTAATCCCAGCACTTTGGGAGTCTGAGGCGGGTGGATCACCTGAGGTCAGGAGTTTGAGACCAGTCTGGCTAACATGGCGACACCCCGTCTCTACTAAAAATACAAATGTAATCCCAGCTACTCGAGAGGCTGAGGCAGAAGAATGGTGTGAACCCGGGAGGCAGCGGTTGCAGTGAGCCGAGATCACGCCACTGCACTCCAGCCTGGATGACAAGAGTGAAACTCCGTCTCAAAAAAAAAAAAAAAGAATTAACGACATTTTAAGAGATGAAAATGGATGCTAAGAAGAAAGATTAATTCATCCTTTCTAGTTAGGAGAGAAGAAGGCTGAGCTGTAACATATAATGAAGCTTTATGTAAGGCATTTGATACAGGTTTATTGGATAAATAAATGAATTTAATAGTCATCTAATTATGTTACCAAAAATTGAAAAATAGATAAGGCTACGTAAATCTTATTTTGCCTAGAACACATTAACATCTTTATGTCTGTCTACATTGTTTTCAATGACAAAGTCAAAGTACAATAATATAGGACCATAACAGTTCAAACCCTCATGCATTTTAAAAGGAAAATTAATCCATACGATCTAAGTTTATTTGCACTTAAATCATTGCAATGTTGAATAGTAAAGATGACCTGATATCTAAAGAAGCTTCTGGGTTTTTAAAAACAACAACTTCTATCAGTTTTTGCCAAAAATAAAATGCATTTAAGAATCAGAAGGTTTTATAAAGTGTAGCCCAGCCTTTTGAGCAGGTTTTACACTTGGTGTTGTAAACCCTGCCATTGTATCAAGACATATCTCTGAAAATGGAAAAAGACAACAAAAACAAAAAACCCAGAGCCTACTGAAAATGTGGATAGTACAAAGCTAGTGAAACAGTCAGCTTCTGAAGCCAATATTTTCATCATGTCATCACTTATTAATAAAAACAAATGTTCGCATTCTTCTCTACTTTCCCACAAAATATTCTGTTTGTGAAAAGGTTGATTCATTTCAGTTAAATATAAACAGTTAACTATGAATATGTCTCTGCTGCCAAAGGAAAGTTATCCCTGGTAGGGGAGACAAACAAGGGTCAAAACATTATGAGTAAGGATAGTATGTGGTTAAGTGTTACAAGAAAGCTTCAAAGTACTGTGGGACACAAACCCGGAAAAGATTAATTTGGCAGAGATCAGACTGGGGAAAACTCGATGGAAGGGGTAAAGCATTAGATATTATAAATTTTAACACTTCAGCTGAAATAACTAAATATAGCTATGTGTTGCTTAATGATGGGAAAAGGTTCTGAGAAATGCATTGTTAGGCAATTTCATCATTGTGCGAGCATCATAGTGTACTTATACATTCTTAGACAGTGTAGCCCGCTCCACACCAAGGCTCTGTGGTGTAGTCCATTGCTCCTAGGCTACAAACCTGTACAGCATGTGACTGTACTGAATACTGTAGGCAGTTGTAACACAATGGTAGGTATTTGTGTATCTAAACATTCTATCTATAGAAAAGTTACAGTAAAAATACGGTCTTATAATCTTATGGGACCACCATCATATATGTGGTCCATCATTGTCTGAAACATTGTTAGGTGGTGCAGGACTGTACATGATTTTACTATTTGCCAGGTGAAGAAGGAACATGGAATTAGACAGACTGTATAAAGTTTGGGCTTCTCCTGCTGGAATAGATCATGGAATAGAGATATGTGCCTCAGACAGGTAATAAGAGTAATAGATTCAGGACAAGTAAAATGGGAAGAAAGAGGAGATAAGATATTAGTCCAGGCAGCTTTCTTTTACTTTCTGATTTTACTTCTTTCATAAAGAAGAACACCTCTGAACTTTTGCTCCAGCCCTTTTACCACCACCAGTAATGATTCCTCCACTGCCTACCTAGAGTCCATCTCCAAACCAGTTCTTCAAGGCTAAGTTCAAAAATCATCAATTCTGTGAAAGCTTTCTTTATCCTTCAGGTGGAATTTTTGACTCCCTCCTTTGGGTTTTAACAGCACTTAGATTTTATTCTTTTTTAAAATGTATTTTGTATTTCAATAGGTTTTTCTGGGAGCAGGTGGTGGTTGGTTACATGAATAAGTTCTTTAGTGGTGATTTCTCAGATTTTGGTGCACCCATCACCTGAGCAGTGTACCCTGTACCCAATGTGTAATCTTTATCCCTCGCCCCCTCCCACCATTTCCCCTGAATCCCCAAAGTCCGATGTATCATTTTTATGCCTTTGCATCTTTATAGCTTAGCTCTCATTTATGAGCGAGAACATACGATGTTTGGTTCTCCATTCCAGAGTTAATTCACTTAGGATAATAATCCAGGTTGCTGTGAATGCCCTTATTTTGTTCCTTTTTATGGCTGAATAGTATTCCATGGTATGTATATGTATATGTATATGTATATGTATATGTATATGTATATGTATATGTATATGTATACGTATATGTATATGACATTTTCTTTATCCACTCATTGATTGATGGGCGTTTGGGCTGGTTCTATGTCTTTGCAATTGTAAATTGTGCTGCTATAAACATGCATATGCAAATATCTTTTTCATTTCATGACTTCTTTTCCTCTGGGTAGATACGCAGTAGTGGGATTGCTGGATCAAATGGCAGATGTACTTTTAGCTCTCTAAGGAATCTCTGTACTGTTTTCCATAGAGGCTGTAGTAGTTTACATTCCTACCAACAGTGTAAAAGTGTTGCCTTTCCACCACATCCATATGAACATCTATTATTTTTTGATTTTTAAATTATGGACATTCTTAGAGGAGTAAGGTGGTATCGGATTGTGGTTTTGATTTGCATTTCCCTGATAATTAGTGATGCTGAGTATTTTTTCATATGTTTATTGGCCACTTGTGTATCTTCTTTTGAGAATTGTCTATTCATGTCCTTAACCCACTTTTTAATAGGATTGTTTGTTTCGTTCTTGCTGATTTGTTTGAGTTCTTTGTAGATTCTGGACATTAATCCTTTGTTATATATTCAGATTGTGAAGATTTTCTGTCATGCGTAGGTTGTCTGTTTACTCTGCTGATTATTTCTTTTGCTGTGCAGAAGCTTTTTAGTTTAATTAAGTTCCATCTATTTGTCTTTGTTTTTGTTGCATTTGCTTTTGGGTTCTTGGTTATGAAGTCTTTGCCTAAGCCAATGTCTGGAAGGGTTTTTCTGATGTTATCTTCTAGAATTTTTATAGTTTCAGGTCTTAGATTTAAATCTCTGATCCATCTTGAATTGACTTTTGAATAAGGTCAGAGACGAAGATCCAGTTTCATTCTTCTACATGTGGCTTGCCAATTATCTCAGCACCATTTGTTGAATATGGTATCCTTTCCCCACTTTTATGTTTTTGTTTGCTTTGTCAAAGATCAGTTGGCTGTGAGTATTTTGCTTTATTTCTGGGTTCTCTATTCTGTTCCATTGGCTTATGTGCCTGTTTTTATACCAGTACCATGCTGTTTTGGTGACTATGGCATTGTAGTGTAGTTTGAAGTCAGGTAATGTGATGCCTCCAGATTTGTTCTTTTTGCTTAGTCTTGCTTTGGCTATGTGGGCTCTTTTTTGGTTCCCTATGAATTTTAGGATTTTTTTTTTCTCTAGTTCTGTGAAGAATGATGGTGGTATTTTAATGAAAATTGCATTGAATTTGTAGATTGCTTTTGGCAGTGTGGTCATTTTCACAATATTGATTCTACCTATCCATGAGCATGAGATATATTTCCATTTGTTCGTGTCATCTATGATTTCTTTTGGTGGCGTTTTGTAGTTTTCCTTGTAGGTGTCTTTCACCTCCTAAGTATTTTATTTTTTGCAGCTATTGTAAAAGGGGTTGAGTTCTTGATTTGATTCTCATCATGGTTGCTGTTGGTGTATAGGAGAGCTACTGATTTGTGCACATTAATTTTGTATTCTGAAACTTTGCTGATTTCATTTATCAGTTCTAGGAGTTTTTTGGAGGAGCCTTTAGGGTTTTCTAGGTATAGGACCATATCATCAGCAAACAGTGACAGTTTGACTTCCTCTTTACTGATTTGGATGTCCTTTATTTCTTTCTCTTGTCTGATTGGTCTGGCTAGGAATTCCAGTACTATGTTGAATAGAGGTGATGAAAATGGGCATCCTTGTCTTGTTTCAGTTCTCAGGGGGAATGCTTTCAACTTTTCCCTGTTTAGTATAATGTTGGTTGTGGGTCTGTCATAAATGGCTTTTATCACCTTAAGGTATGTCCCTTCTATGCCAATTTTGCTGAGGGTTTTACTCATAAAGGAATGCTGGATTCTGTCAGATGCTTTTTCTGCATCTATTGAGATGATCATGTGATTTTTGTTTTTAATTGTGTTTATATGGTATATCACATTTATTGACTTACATATATTAAAGCATCCCTGCAATCCTGGTACGAAATCCATTTGATCATGTTGGATTATCTTTTTGATATGCTGTTGGATTCAGTTTGCTAGTATTTTGTTGAGGATTTTTGCATCTATGTTCATCAGGAATATTGGTCTGTATTTTCTTTTTTTTTGTTATATCCTTCCCTGGTTTTGGTATTAGGATGATGCTGGCTTCATAGATGATTTAGGGGGGATTCCCTCTTTCTCTATCTTTTGGAATAGTGTCAATAGGATTCATACCAATTTTTTAAATATCTGATAGAATTCAGCTGTGACTCCATCTGGTCCTGGACTTTTTTTGTTGGCAATTTTTTTTTATTACAATTTCAATCTTGCTGCTTGTTATTGGCCTGTTCAGTTTCTATATTTTCCTAGTTTAATCTAGGAAGATTGTATATTTCCAGGAATTTATCCATCTTCTCTAGGTTTTCTAGTTTAGGCACTTATAGGTGTTCATAGTAGCCTTGAATCGTGTATTTCTGTGCTATTAGTTGTGATATCTCCTGTTTCATTTCTAATTTAGCTTATTTGGATCTTTTTCTCTTCTTGGTTAATCTCGCAAATGGTCTATCAATTTTATTTATCTTTTTAAAAAACTAGGTTTTTGTTTAATTTACCTTTTGTCTTTTTTTGTGTGTTTGTTTCAATTTCATTTAGTTCTGCTGTGATCTTCGTTATTTCCTTTATTCTGCTGGTTTGGGTTTGGATTGTTCTTGTTTCTCCAGTTCTGTGAGGTGTGACCTTAGATTGTCTATTTGTGCTCTCTCAGGCTTTTTGATGTAGGCATTTAATGGTATGAACTTTCCTCTTAGCACTACTTTTGCTGTATCCCAGAGGTTTTGATAGGTTGTGTCACTATTATCATTCAGCTCAAAGAATTTTTAAATTTCCATCTTGGTTTCATTGTTGACCCAATGATCATTCAGGAGCAGGTTCTTTAATTTCCACATAATTGCATGGTTTTGAGGGTTCCTTTTGGAGTTGATTTCTAATTTTATTCCACTGTGGTCTGAGAAAGTACTTGATATAATTTCGATTTTCTTAAATTGACTGAAACTTGTTTTGTGGCCTATCATATGGTCTACCTTGGAGACTGTTCCATGTGCTGATGAATGGAATGTATATTCTGCAGTCGATGGATAGGATGTTCTGTAAATATCTGTGAAGTACATTTGTTCTAGGTTATAGTTTGAGTCTTTTTTTTTTTTGAGACAGACTCTTGCCCTGTCACCCAGGCTGGAGCACAGTGGTGCAATCTTGGCTCACTGCAACCTCCGCCTCCTGGGTTCAAGCAATTCTGTGTCAGTCTCCTGAGTAGCTGGGACCACAAGCATGCTCCACCATGCCTGGCTAATTTTTGTATTTTTAGTAGACATGGGGTTTCACCATGTTGGCCAGGCTAGGAGTCCATTGTTTCTTTGTTGACCTTCTTTTGATGACCTGTCTAGTGCTGTCAGTGGAGTATTGAAGTCTCCTGCTTTTACTGTGTTGCTGTCTATTTCATTCCTTAGGTATAATAGTGATTGTTTTATAAATTTGGGAGCTCCAGTTGTATATATATAGAGGCATATATATTTAAGAATGTGATATTTTTCTGTTGGACTAGTCCTTTTATCATTATATAATGTCCCTCTTTGTCTTTTTTAACTGCTGTTGCTTTAAAGTTTGTTTTGTCTGATGTGAAACTAACTACTCCCGCTTGCTCTTGGTGTCCATTTGCATGGCATATCTTTTTACACCCCTTTACCTTAAGTTTATGTGAATCTTTAGGTGTTAGGTGAGTCTTCTGAAGACAGCAGAAACTTGGTTGGTGAATCCTTATCCATTCTGCCGTTCTGTATCTTTTAAGTGGAGCATTTAGGCCACTTACATTCAACGTTTAGTACTGGGATGTGAGGTACTATTCTATTTATCGTGTTATTTGTTGCCTGAATACCTTGTTGCTTTTTCATTGTGTTATTGTTATATAGGTCCTATAAAATTTATGCTTTAAGGAGGTTCTATTTTGGTGTATTTGAGGATCTGTTTCAAGATTTAGAGCTCCTTTTAGCAGTTCTTGTAGGGCTGGCTTGGTAGTAGCAAATTCTCTCAGCATTTGTTTTTCTGGAAAAGACTGTGTCTTTCCTTCATTTATGAAACTTAGTTTTGCTGGATACAAAATCCTTGGCTGAAAATTATTTTGTTTAAGCGGGCTAAAAATAGGACCCCAATTCCTTCTAGTTTGTAGGGTTTCTGCTGAGAAATCTGCTATTAATCTGATAGGTTTTCCTTTACAGGTTACCTGATGCTTTCATCCTACAACTTGATACTTTCCTTCAGCTTGACTTTAGATAACCTGATGACTACGTGCCTGGGTGATGATCTTTTTGCAATAAATTTCCCAGGTGTTCTTTGGGCTTCTTGTATTTGGATGTCTAGATTTCTAGCAAGGCCGGGGAAGTTTTCCTTGATTATTCCCTCAAATATGTTTTCCAAATTTTTGGATTTCTCTTCTTCTTTGGGAACATCAATTATTCTTAGGTTTGGTCATTTAACATAATCCCAAACTTCTTGGAGGCTTTGCTCATTTTTTGAAAGTCTTTTTAATTTGTCTTTGACAGACTGGGTTAATTTGAGAGCCTTGTCTTCAAGCTTTGAAGTTCTTTTTTCTGGTTTTTTGATTCCATTGCTGAGACTTTCCAGTGCATTTTGCATTTCTCTAAGTGTGTCCTTGATTTCCAGAAGTTGTGGGGTTTTTTAATTTATACTATCTATTTCACTGAAGACTTTTTCTTTCACATCCTGTATCATGTTTTTGATTTCTTTAAGTTGGACTTCACCTTTCTCTGGTGCCTCCTTGATTAGCTTAATAATCGACCTTTTGAATTCTTTTTCTGGCAATTCAGAGGTTTCATCTTGGTTTGGATCCTTTGTTGGTAAGCTGGTGTGATTTTTGGGGGTGTTAAAGAAACTTGTTTTGTCATATTACCTGAATTGTTTTTCTGGTTCCTTCTCATTTGGGTAGACTATGTCAGAGGGAAGATCTGGGACTCAAGGGCTGCTGTTCAGATTCTTTTGTCCCACGGAATGGGGCTTCTTGAGAGCCGAACTGCAGCAATTGTTTCACTTTTCTGGGTCTGGCCACCCAGCAGAGCTACCAGTCTCTGAGCTGGTACTGGGGAGTGTCCGCAGAGTCCTGTGATGTGATCTGTCTTCAGCTCTGTCAGCCGTGGATACCAGCACCTGCTCCACTGGAGGTAGCAGAGGAGTGAAGTGGACTCTGGGAGGGTCCTTTGTTGTACTATTGTTTAGTGTGCTAGTTTTGTGTTGGTTTGGCCTCCAGCCAGGAGGTGGTGCTATCAAGAGTGCATCAGCTGCAGCTGTATAGGGAGGATGCAAACTTGCTCTAGGGACACCTGGTTAAGTATTTGTGTTTCTCAGGTGGTGGGCAGGGCCATAGAGCTCCCAAGAGATTATGTCCTTTGTCTTCAGCTATGAGGGCCTGTAGAGAAAGACCACCAGGTGGGGCAGGGATAGGCATGTCTGAGCTCAGCCTCTTTTTGGGTGGGTCTTCCTGTTGCTGCTGTGGAGGATGGGGGTGTGGTTCTCAGGCCGAAGAAGTTATGTTCCCTGTGGGATTATGGCTGCCTCTGCTGAGTCATACAGGTCACTAGGGAAGTGGGGGAAAGCCAGCAGTCACAGGCCTCACCCCGCTTCCATGCAGTCGGTAGTCCTAAAGGCTGGTCTCATTCCCACTGTGCCGCGACAACAGCACCGAGTCTATTTCCAGGCAGCCAGTGACCAGGGCTGAGAACTTGCCCCAGACCATGAGCTTCCCAGCTGAGAAAGCAAGCAGACTTACAGTTTTTCAGCATCTCAGGGAGCCTGCAGCAGTGATCCAGTTCCTTCAGAGGGTCTGTGGATTCTCTTGGCTTTCCTGGTATGTTTCTGTGGTAGTTCACGATGTGGGTCTCCACACACTGCTCTGTTGTCCGAGAGGGAGCTGCAAGCTAGTCCTGCCTCCTATCCACCATCTTAATCCTCTGATTTTTTTTCTAGAACTGTAGATTTTAAGTGAACAAGATTGTAAGCATCCACATCTTAGAATTATTGAGAGAGGATTTAAAAAAATTAACATGTAATTTCTTCAAATATGGCATTAGAACTACTGAGGACTCGCTCTGCTAGAATTCCTAGCATGTAATGGTGGGCATCCTGTGGCCTGCCACAATTGTGTGGTGTTGGGAGTGCAAAGCCAGAGAGAAGGAGAGGGTAGGGTGGAGCCTCAGCAAGGACTTGGCAGTCTCCTTGGTGATGCTGGAGTTAGTAGTGCTCTTGGTTGTTCTCAATCATAGTGTTCCTTTGGAATTATGATAGCTAAACTCATCAATGCAGAGCAGGTTAGCTCCTGGATATGCCATTAGAATCATCTTCTACAATATTTTGGTTTATCTTTTATTCTGTCTTAACACTTACCACATTGTTTAAAGTGAGGTCTGAAATAGTTGCATCTTCTATGCATTTAACTCAAGCAATTTGACCTATAAACCAATGGCAATGGGGCAGGGGCTAGAAAGAAGTCAAGAAGACAGGGTTAGATTAAAAGATCAAGAAGGAGGGAGAGTGAGAACAGAGGCAACACTTGATGTAAAAAACATTTCTGTTGAAAAAGCAGTGGGTTTAAGTTGGGAGATATTGAACCAAATTGCCTATTTGCGCTTTGTACCCTGTGCACTCTGAGCGTGCAATTTGCTATCTTTGAATCCATCTACAGGGAACAGATAATCCCTTTTCGATAAGTATCTTAAAAATGTGGGGCCGCATATGTTGCTTGTTTTGACCATACGTTCTGCTCCTCTCATTTGATTAATAAGAATCATGAGCAGCTCTAGAAAGAAGAGGGGTCTACAACTTTCCTTCTGGGCTGAGTGGGCAGGTGAACGACAGGGCGGGAGGGCCCATTGGAAAGGACTCTGAACCCTCCACTTCTTGGGGCCATACTGGGTCTCAGCTGAAATCAAGCTGTTTGTCTGGGGCATGGAAAAGGTTAATGAAACTTCTCCTCGTCATCTCTCCCTCTCTCACTGTGAGGTGACTGTTGCAGTGGGTGCAGACTCAGCCTGGGAGAGCTTATGTGCTCCTGCTTAATTGTTTGGGAGCTAAACAACAGACATGGAACAGTGAGAGGCAAACTGTTTCCTGGGTATATGTTCAGAGGGGCACTGCTTAAAGCACTTCAAGCCCTCCCCCAACCCCCTACCATTGTTTTTGAAATGAGGTGAAGTAATTATATGAATAAATGGAATCCCAGAAAATCACAAGAGAAGAAAACTCCTTCTCCCCATTCAGATTATTTTCAGACAGCTCATTTACTAAACGCCAGGCAACCATTCCCTTTCAGCGTTCTTTCTCCATTGCCAGCTCAGCTCCTGGCTGCTGCTGTGCTGGGTGCTGGGTCCCAGGCTCCACCACAGGGATGGTTCTGGCTCAGCAGTTTGCATAGCCCAGCCCCCTCCACAACCTCCCATGCCCACGGCACTGCCACCAAGCACACCACCTGAGAGCAGTAGTGAAGCAGTGGGCACTGTCACAGGGACCAGAAAACTGTTAGAGGAGAACATCCACCGCGGATTTCTCTAGAGCTGCAGCTGTGGGAGGCACTTTGGCCTAGCAGCATCTGTCAGAGATATTTTCAGAAACCAACTTAATACAAAAGACACACACTGCAATATTAATGGTAGTCTCTGTACATCCGATGTTTGAGAGCCGTCCTTTGTGCCATGATGTACCTTGATGGCAGCTGCTCGAGTTGTCAGATCCTGTAAAAGCCACAAAAATAACAGCACAATACTTATTGGCTGAATGGTTTTGAAACAGGAAATGTTTCTAGCATGAAAGAAGATGAAATTTATGCTAACAACCAAAATAATCTCAAATCTGGGTTATTAAAACCAATATTGTATTTTTAAGAAGCTGCACAAACTTAGCTAACAGACTTTAAGAAAACCAAGTAGGCCGGGGTGTGGTGGTTCATGCCTATAATCCCAGCACTTTGGGAGGCCAAGGCGGGCGGATCACGAGGTCAAGAGATTGAGACCATCCTGGCCAACACGGTGAAACGCCGTCTCTACTAAAAAATACAAAAATTAGCTGGGTGTGGTGGCATATGCCTGTAGTCCCAGCTACTCAGGAGGCTGAGGCAGGAGAATTGCTTGAACCCTGGAGGTGGAGGTTGCAGTGAGCCGAGATCGTGCCACTGCACTCCAGCCTGGAGACAGAGCAAGACTCCGTCTCCAAGCCAAGAAAAAAAAAAAAAAAAAAGAAAACCAAGTGATTCTGAGTGGCATTAGATAAAATGAGCAACGTTAACTGTGGAAACAACGTAACTGTGGAATTAGCATGATAGTAATGAATCAGGACTGTTCATTCCTCTCTACTTTTTATTTGGTGGTTGAGGGATTAAATCTTTTTTATAAATGGGGGAAAAAACAAAAGTCTCAAAGTGGTGTGGAAAATTCCGTTTTCAGGTGCCAGGTCATGTATACATCACTGATTATTTTCATTGGAAAGCATAATAAATCTCCACAGGACACAAAGCAAAAACTTTGGGTTATTTCAGGTATTAGTTACATTTTCAAAAAGTTTTTCTAATGCAGTCTTTTATTTCTCTTATTGGTTTACACATATTTGTCATGAACTACCACCCAAAGAACAGTTTTATAGCCATACTCAGCACCAGGTTTCATTACATCGATTGTGCAGATCAAGAAACCCGTAGTAATAAGGACATGGCAACACAGATAAGCAGCTCCAAATCCTTACACATTGGCCAAGCAGTAAGGGGCATTCTGATTTGCTTTCAAATGTCTATTCAATTTGTTCAAATGGGCAAGAATTCCCTCACAACTCAGAAGACATTTCTATGAAATATTTTCATGCCTTTGGATAATTTTTCAGCAGTAAAAATGGAGGAGAGAAGAGGCTGAAAGGAAAAAAATATATCTCTAATTTTCTTCTGCCCTAGATATAAATATTTTCTTATATATGTTATTTTCTAAGATGACAGAAATAAGGATGCACCAGTCTTCCCAGGTCTGCTCTACTTGATAACGGCATCAAACAATCAAACAAACAAAACAAAACCAAACAAAAAAAGAAAAAAAGAAAGGAAGGAGAGGAAAGACCCACTGTGAAAAATATGAGCCTGCCACGTTCAGACCTTAAAACTGAGCAGGAGGACAGGGTACAGTGGAGAATAACACTAAGTTATTTAGTGCTAAGAATGTCAAGGTATAATTTTCAAAAAGTTAAAACAGGGCTCTCAAAACAAATATAGAATGAGCATGTGTCAAAGATATTATTCAACTCATTAATTAATGAGAGAAAATCATTAAGCTGGTTCAAAGAGCATTTGAGGAGCTGAGTATTTATAGGCAGTTTAATAAAGGAATGTTAAATTAGATTGCTAGGTTACAAACAAACTAGTAAATCTCCGGTAGGATAATAAATCATAGAATTTGGGGTTATTTTTTTCTCTTAGAAAATATTGCTTCTGTAAAATAACGTGGAACTTCACAGAGCGTGAACCCTTAATTTGTATTTTAAATAGCAAAGGCAAGTCATGGTAGATTATTTTAGAAAATAAGTAATCCCCAAATGAGCCTCTTAAACACTGTCTGAGTGTGACATTGAAATAACATGCAGTTATTTTTTGTCCTTGTTTATAAGTTATGGATAATTTTTCTTAACAAGTGATATAAGGAATCCTGAGTTGATCATCTAATAATCTGTTACTTTTTTTTTGGACAGCATGATGCTTGATAGTAATGAAATTTCAATCAAGTTTCTATCAAACTTTTGTCACTTCCTTGATTTTTTTTCAACATTGGTAGTTGGCACTCATGTACTTTGCAACTTATAAGTTAGGCTCAGTGATTGTTTCAGTTCCTAGCAGCCTGGCTTGCTCAGCAGGAAGCGTGTAGTGACAGTGAGAACCTATTCCACCTTCATATGCAAGGATGCTAGGATATTGTGAGGTTAGCTACACCAAGCCCCGCAAACACACACACACACATGTACACACACACACAATGGGAGTGATGGATCCAGACAAGGATGCTAGGATATTGTGAGGTTAGCTACACCAAGCCCCGCAAACACACACACACACGTACACACACACACACACGTACACACACACACAATGGGAATGATGGATCCAGACAAGGATGCTAGGATATTGTGAGGTTAGCTACACCAAGCCCCGCAAACACACACACACACGTACACACACACACAATGGGAGTGATGGATCCAGACAAGGATGCTAGGATATTGTGAGGTTAGCTACACCAAGCCCCGCAAACACACACACACACGTACACACACACACAATGGGAATGATGGATCCAGACAAGGATGCTAGGATATTGTGAGGTTAGCTACACCAAGCCCCGCAAACACACACACACACGTACACACACACACAATGGGAATGATGGATCCAGACAAGGATGCTAGGATATTGTGAGGTTAGCTACACCAAGCCCCACAAACACACACACACACGTACACACACACACAATGGGAATGATGGATCCAGACAATGTTATGAGGAAAGGAAAAGTGCAAATCTTCCTAGACTAAGATAACCTTCATTTGAGTTTCCTGATTAGCTAAGCAATAGAACCAAAGACTTTGCGTTGTACGGGACCTTAGAGGTCACCTATTCCCACTTCCTTGTCAAAGCAGGAGTTTCCAGAAAAGTCTTTTTCTGTCATCTTTGTAAAATGTAAATCTGATCATGTCACTCTCTTGTTTTAATATCAGTCAATGATTCCCCATTGTCCTCAGGATAAAGTCCATATTCCCTAACATGACTTACAAGGTCTGGCCCCTCTTATCTCTCTCTACTCTCAGATTTCTTCACTCTCTCCCATTGCACTTTTCCTGTTAACATATGGATTTATTCTAGTTTTCCAAAAGTGTTATTTTCTGGTTAACCTCGGTGTATAGGCTGTGTCTTCTCTCTGGACAGTTCATAGTTCCCAAGGCTGGTCTGAAGAAGAGCCTGGGAATTCCACCCAACAGTCCTTGTTTTCTTCTTAGAGTAATAGTCAATGCCTTTTATCCTTGAGCTAAAACTATATATGAAAGAATAGCATAGAGTTGGTAGATCAGGAGATTTAAGGAATGACAGAAGTATAGCACATTGCAACTTTGGCTGGAATCTGACAAAGTCACTCATGGTGTCTTTTTGAGAACAGTAAGAAGGGATGCAGGTTGGTACTTCCCAGTACTGTGAGTGAAATTCATAACTGGTTGAAAACAGAACCCAAAGGAGGCATGAGTATGAGGTCAACTGCATACTTGAGAGTGGTCTCTGTCTTAACCGACCACATGTCACTATTTTCAACAGTGTTTCAGAGGTGGATATTAATGGCATGCTGATGAAATTTTCAAATGGACTCAAGTTGGGAGAAGTGAATATTTAGATGAAGATTAGCTGACAAAGTGCTCTTGACAAATTGAAATAATGAGTTATATCTAACCAGACAAATTTTAAGTGGATAATCATAATGAAACAGCACAATGATAGGTTGGGGTAGGAGTGGGGAAGAAGATTTGGATCAAATAGTTGGTGAGTCTAGTTGGGAGTAAGTTCCACTTGAGTGCCCAGGGCAACATGACTTGCAAAAAAGGTTAGGTTCCTTGGCCGAGTTAATAAAAGCTATTATTTATATCAAAGAGGGTTTTAAGTGTCTTTCTTGTCTGGCTTGCCCAACTTGATGGGAGCCTGCATGTGGATTTCCGGTATTGTATCTCAGCATGCTGGCCGACTGCAGTGTTGGAGAGACACACACAGCCTGGAGAGGGACAGGAAGCTCTGTGGTGGAAGGTTGGTTGAAGACATCTGCATTGTTTAGCTTGGAAACTATTACTTAGCTTATAACATTAATTGCTAAGGATTATTTATTTGTAACAAAAATTTACAATGAGAAAAACCCTCCAATACACTTCAACTGAACTAATTAATCAGTGTGGTTTATGAAATGTTTGAATTGGTCACCCATTACTATCTTTGTATTAAAGTTTACCATGATCTTTTCAAAGAAGTGTTGAGAAAGAAGATAATTTGGATTTATGGTGTGTCTCTTAGAATTTGGTCTCCTGCAATTCTCTGTCAATAAATTTGCTTGGGGAGTATCTGTTCTTCTGTGCCAATAAAAAAGGTATGAGTTTTATAAATAATAATAGTCCACAGGCTTGAATGTGCAAAGCTGAAACTTTCTATCTCTATAAATGAATTTAACGCTCTCTAGTTCCTATTTCTGCTTTTAATGGAAAACTTAATGTTATCACTTTGACAACATTCACTTCTAGTTTAAATCGAAACTAAAATCTAAATTTGGTCTAAAATTCAGTCTAATCAGAATTTTCTTTGCTTCTTCTGCTTCCCCGGAGTTCCTGGCAGGTTGGTGTGGCATAAGGAAAGAAAATCTGATTTTCCTGTTTGTCTCTGATCTCTGTGGTTCTCACAGAGGGTGTGTGGGGGGGGTCTCCTTCCATTTGGTCTTTGGTCTTCCCTCCATGGAAGGTTTATGCACCCTGTATCCTCTGACCTGGAACTGTGAGTGGTAACCCCTTTTCTCAACCACTTCTGTGACTTTTTTTGTATGCGCATTGGGATTGTGTGCCTTCTTAGGTACTCTTGGCTCTTTTCCACTTACCACCCTGCAGAAATCACAGCTTTGGGAACTGCACCTATATTCCTCCTTCGGCCCTTTGACCTACAGCTTGGCATCGTGTCAAACTCAGGGCTTTGCTGTGAGCTGCGCAGTATCTGAACCGCATTGTGGAAAGCCAGGAAATGGGCTCTTTTTCTCTGAAATCCCCAGTTCTCACCTGTGACTTCTGGTGTGGATGCTACCAAGGTCCTATGAGAGATGGCATTGTCAGTGTGCCAAGCCACTTCTCAGGTCCTCACAGCATGCAAGCTCTTACAATTATTATTTCTTCTCCAAGTGGTAGGAAAGCTGCTCTTTGCACAGCTAGTTTCCTCTGAAATGTTTCCCACTCCATGAATGCTTTGTTCTGAATTTTCCAGAATTTATCTTTTGTAATTCAAAGCCAAATCTTCAGAATCTCCAATAGTTTTGTTTTTTCTTGTTCTCAAGTGCCTGCCTCTGCTAATGTCATGAATCAGTTGTGGAAATGCAAAGCCCAAAGTGTACTCTATTTTCCCCACCATCAGCCTCATGTACCCCTCTATAGACTGCAGAGAAAAAAAAATGGCTAAGAAGGAAAAATACAAATGTTTCCATTATATTGGGCAGGAGAGGAGGTGGTAAGGTTAACATTGGAATTGGAGTGGGAGTGGGAGGCCGTTAGGTGGGAGGGGTGAAAACTATTGTTGGGCTTGTGGAGCTTGGAAAATCTCCTTCTGTGGTTCTGATATAATTCTTGCCTCTCCCTAGAACCTCACTTTGTGAGGTTCAGTGTTTACCAGTGTCTTTCATTGTGTGACACATTCTTCAATAAGCCATCGTGTATTGAGAAGCGGGCTGTGGGTCATTGTTCACTGCACTTCAGGGCACTCATCCTTTCCTCTGTCCCTAAGGAACACAAGAACCACACCTGTCTTTTCAGCATCCTGTCTTGCAAGCCCAGTCACACGGTGGGTGCTCTGGAAATATTTATTGTATGAATGATTGAAGACGGTATGAATGACTGAAGACGGTATGAATGACAGCCAGGTTTAGTTTTGGGAAAAAATTATATTCAAGACAATTGAGGAGGTGATGCTATTCTGGATTAGGAAAAGGAGAGGGGAAAAAGGGAAAATAGCTTCTATATTCCAAGAGACTCATATTTTGAAACCCAAGATGGCACAGAGAGTATTGAGTTGTGTTTATTAGGGGCTGAGCAGTTTCTAGTGTCTGATAGCCAGAACATTGCATCTGCCTTCCCCTCTTATCCCCTCTGCAATAAGACATGAAGTCTTGGTTAATCTATAGGTCCTTGAGCAGAAGTGTCCTGGGTTATCCAGTCCTCAGCATCAGCAGTGTTCATCTATTGATCAATTGGAGCCTCAGTCAGGATCTTTGAACAGCTTTCCTTGGGCCAAGGGCCAGCTTCCCCAAGTGAGTGTTCTGCATAGAGGCCTGCACACCCCAGCCAGGTCATACCACCTAAAGTCACTCCACGGAGGTAGACACAGAAGGAGGAAACAATTCCAAACCAGGAATTTGTTTCCCCAAAATGTTTCTATCATTGATTTTCGCATTTATTTTCTACTCTTAAAACCATTAATAACCATGAAGCTGAAATAGATGCCTGGTTAGTTTCAAATCAGTTCTGTGACATTATTGACTTCATTCTATATCAGAGGAATAAGGAGAATTTTTGGGGAAATTATTTTAAATTCTGTCCTACTCTGTCTTACCTTATCTTTGTACTTCTTGATTTTTGAAAGCAGTGTGGTAGTGAATCATTAGCTATACTATCCTCACAAGCCCATGTCAGATTTTTTAGTATTCCTTACAGGAACACATTCTATCTAATAAATTTTTCAGTCAGGAAATCATAGGAGAGAAGCCACTGGTCGTTGCCAGATTGGGAAAAAATGGAAATTCAGCTTCATTTAAAAATATTCTCTCTACTTGACATATTTAAATATGTTATTCTTTATTATGTTTTGATTACATAAGCAAAGATATTTTGCAATCTGCCATTTTTATTTACAGCAAAGTCATAGAAATGAATCTTTCTCTTTTAGTTTATGGTTGTGTGGGAAAATGTGTTACTCTTTAAGATCATTGAAGCTTAAAATATAAGCTTGAAGTTTTACATATTGATAAGTTGAAATATTTTGGCAAAAAAATTGTATTAAGCAACCAAAAATTTGAGAAAGTACGGCTAAAATATCTTTCCTCATTGTAATAAAATAGAGATGTGAAGTTAGTAACATTAGTATAATATGGAGTTTAATTCAATAGAAATCACGCACTCAAACCTTTTCAACAACCATTTATTGAATATTGACAACGAGCAAGGCCAAAGTCAGTAGAGAATTAAATAATGAACCAAATCCATATTCTGTCCTCAATGAATGTATAAGATAAAGTATAATCAAAAGCAAGGTGGGGAGTGGTGAATACCATAAGGAATTTGGAAAAGGCATGTACTGCTCTTAGCAAGAGACTAAGGAAGAATCTGGGAGGAGTCAGTAGCTTTTGAGTTATTTCTGGAAGGATGATATATGAAGGGAAATCCTTGTAGTAGAAGAGCAGTATGTGAAGTATACATAATTTGAAGACTGCTTGTACTTCACTTTTATTTGGGATAAAACACATTTTGAGACTTGGCCTAGGGACTTAACCAAAGATAAATCCATTCTAGCCACAAAATCCCCTTGGACATTTTCTCCCTTTCTGGCCCTAGGATATTTATGTTTGCTGCTCCCTCTACCTGGAGTGCTTTCTCCCTGAATACCTGTTGGTTTTCTCCCTCAGCTCTTTCAGGATATATAACATTCAAAATTTCAGCTGTGATTTCTGTCTCTCTTTCCTGCTTTGTATCCACCATACGTATTACTGTCTAATATACTACATATGATGCTTATTTATTTTATTTGTCTGTTGTCCCTCACTAGAATGTATGCTTCAGGAAGGCAAGGATATTTAATGTTTTGTATCCCCAAATCTTATAATAGTGC
This sequence comes from Homo sapiens, assembly GCF_000001405.40. Taxonomy (NCBI): domain Eukaryota; kingdom Metazoa; phylum Chordata; class Mammalia; order Primates; family Hominidae; genus Homo; species Homo sapiens. The sequence goes on from NC_000003.12 coordinate 177,650,888, forward strand.
ATGGTGCACAGTATGCATTCGATATATTAATGTATTTGTGGAATGGTTGAGTGAGAGCACAAAGACGAAGAAGCAAAGTGGCTCCGAACAGTTTATTTTAATTGTTTTAGGTCACAGCACAGCTATAAGCTGAATATGTATGCTCTTGTCTGGTGGCAGGTAGCTTATATGGGATACGAATCAGCATATAATGGCTAAGAGCACACTTATTAGCTGTGTAACCTTGGGCAAGTCACTTGACCTCTTTGTGTCTGGTTTTTTTCATTTGTAAAATAGGGCGAACAAAGTCCCCTCTGCATAAGATTATTGTAAATATTAAATAAGTTAATATATTTATGTGTATCTGACATAGAACAATTGGTACATAAGTATTTACTATAATTATTTGCTTTTCTGTTACAGAATTGAGTTTGGTTTTGCCCATCTGAAATATCTGTATTTGCCCATCTGAAGTATTTGCTTTTCTGTTATAGAATTAAGTTTGGTTTTGCAACCAAACTCTGTTTTCATCTGTAAAATAGGGAGAACAAAGTCCCTTCTGCATAGGATTATTGTAAACATTAAATAAGTTACTATATTTATATGTATCTGACATAGAACAATTGCTATATAAGTGTTTACTATAATTATTTGCTTTTCTGTTACAGAATTGAGTTTGGTTTTGCCCATCTGAAATATCTGTAAAGACTCTGAGGACAGAACAGATACTTTGGAGTTTTCTTCAAACTTGCATAGCTCAAGGGGTAACTATTTCCTTCTGCATGGGCCGTCACCCTCCCTCCTGTCAGACCCTGCCCCTGTGCTTGCCTTCAAGCCTTCATACCTTCAAAACATCTTGCTCTGGTCACCTTTTATAGATGACCTTTCCCCATCTTAATTTCTCTGTTCTGTGTTTTGTGGCATACCGATTCTGGGTATGCAGTATGTGCTCAGCCAGCAAATCTGGTAATCAGTATCTTAATTGGCTTGGTATTTCCCAGTGTTCCTTTTTCCAAGGCATAATTTATTCTTTCTGTTTTTGAATGTAGCACATAGAATTGTATTACCTGAATTTCACCATTCTGTAAATCCAGTCATTGCTGTATACTTTTCTAGCCCTGACCAGGAAATCTATTCTTTATTTATCATGCTAACAACAACAACAACAGAGAGAGAAGCAAAGTCTTGCTTAAATGCTTTTAATTGCTATGCTGTCCACATGTGCTCATGATGAGAAATGCACCTCTCTCTTCTTCTTCTACCCATTGCTTGGCCTCCCTACTTCCATTTTCTTAGTTTACTCCTAAGAGCCCAATGTAACCCTGACAGTTTCCTTTAGATGTTGGAACAAACTGTTTTCCTGATGTTGAGTTCCTTATCAGTGTGTAAATGGCTCTAAAACATCAGTTTAAGCTCTGTCCCTTCCCTGTTCCAGATTTTGAGGTCTAGCAGGACAGGTACACAGAGGCTCAGCTTCTGGATCAGATCTTCCTGGTATAGGGAGTTGGATACAACCATCTCTACAACTCATCTAGCCCTGCAGCCCATTGGAGATCTCAGGGCCACTGCACACTGTTTTTCTTTACTTGGGGTAGTGCAAATAAGCTGTCACCAGTTAAGAAGTGGTCTCTGTTTAGAGTGGCAAAGACTCACTTTGAGCACTAAAAACAAAAATGGAGAAGAATGTGAAACAAACCAATATTATTTTTACATAAAATACCTTACTTTTTTTTTTTCTGTAATGCATTCCTGGATTCAGCAATTGAAAGCAGAAAAGTGAAAAATGCACATTTTCTTTATAGACCTATGTTCACTGCATAGCTGACAGTAAGTTAAAAATACTTGGCTGGTGAAAAAGGTGAGAAATGGATGATTCAGCCCCTCCAAATAAAGAACCTGCAGCTGAAACTAAAGGCTGGTCGGATGTAGCATTGCAGAATTGGTTTTAGGTTCTCTTCTACTAGGCAAAATTTAAGGTAGTGAGCAGCATGCGCTGCGGTATCTAGACATAAAAGCCTTTATAAAAGTGAAAAAAATGTCAAAATGATAATTTTGAAAAAATGAGGTTCAACTCTTACTCTTAATTAGAAACACCAGAGAGAACACATAACACAGGAGTTCTTGTTACAAATCTGGCCTCTGTTTACCTAACACTTTCCTCTTGCGGGCTGCCTTGTCTCATTTCGAAGGCATTGCAGGAACTGTTTATGACCCTGGCCTGCTCACTCCCCTACAGCTGGTTTATTTTTGACTGCCAGTCAGTCAAGGTGCTAATTGTGCTTATGAATATCTCACAGCTGTTCTTAACACATTGTTCCAAACAGTTCTCTTTGGCATTTAACCATGAATTTTGACTTTTTTTCCCCAGTGCTAACATTCAAGACTCCACTGGGTTGAGAGCTCCTACTTTTTTTTTTTTTTCCTTAACTTATATTTTAGGTTAAGGGTAGATATGCAGGTTTGTTATGTAGGTAAACTCCTGTCACACGGGTTTGTTGTATGGTCCCAATGCTAAGATACTAAGCCTAGTACTCAATAGTTATTTTTTTCTGCTTTTCTCCCTCCTCCCGTCCTCCACCCTCAAATAGGCCTCAGTGTCTGCTGTTCTCTTCTTTGTGTCTATGTGTTCTCATCATTTAGCTTCTGCTTATAAGTGAGAACATGCAGTATTTGGTTTTCTGTTCCTGTGTTAGTTTGCTAAGGATAATGGCCTCCAGCTCCACCCATGTTCCTGCAAAGGACGTGATCTTGTGCTTTCTTATGGCTGGGTAGTAGTCCATGTTGTATATGTACCACACTTTCTTTATCTGGTCTATCATTGGTGGGCATTTAGGTTGATTTCATTTCTTTTAATTTGCCCAAAAACCCCCAAACAACCCCATTAAAAAGTGGGCAAAGAACATGAACAGACAATTTTCAAAGGAAGACATACATGTGGCCCGGGAAGCATATGAAAAAAGCTCAATATCGCTGATCATTAGGGAAATGCAAATCGAAACCACAACGAAATACCATCTCACGAACCAGTCAGAATGGCTATTATTAAAAAGTCAAAAAATAATAGATGCTGGTGAGGTTGCAGAGAAAGGGGAACGCTTATACACTGTTGGTAGGAGTGTAAATTCGTTCAACCATTGCAGAAAGCAGTGTGGTGATTCCTCAAAGAGCTAAAAACAGAACTACCGTTGGACCCAGCAATCTCAATCTCATTATTGGGTATATACCCAAAAGAATATGAATCATTCTACCATAAAGACACATGCACGTGAATGTTCATTGCAGCCCTATTCATGAGAGCTCCTACTTTTGATGTTAACTTCCATTTCCTTTTAATGCTCACCTCTTCTATTGTTTCTTTGCTGCAACCACCTTCCATTTTATTTTTTAAAATAAAATTTTCTTTTAGTAGTTTTAGAAAAATGCAGAAAACATGAAAAGATAGCAAGGAGTTCCCATAAATTCATCACCCAGTTTTTCCTATTTTTAGCACCTTAAATTATTATGGTGTATTTGTCACAATAAATGAACCAATTTTAAATATAGTTCATACTTTATTCAGATTCCCTTAGTTTTTACTTAATATTCTTTTTCTCTTCCAGAATCCCATTCAGGATGCCACATTACATTCAGTATGTCTTCTTAGACTCCTATGGGCTGTGACAGTATCTCAGAATTTCCTTGCTTTTGAATATATTGAGTTTTGGTAAGGTATTTTGTAGACTATTCCTCAAGTGGAATGTATCTGATGTTTTTCTCATGAGTAGACTGGGTTTATGGATTTGGAGAGGAAGACCACCATATCATATCAAGGGTGCATGCTATCAATGTGACTTCTCACTGTTGATGTTTGATGGAGGTAACCTGTTGGTAACCTGACTGAGGTAGTGTTTGCCAGATTTCTCCACTATGAAGTTACTTTTCCCCTCGCGTTCACACTGTGCTCTTTGAAAATGAGTTTCTATACACACGCCATACTTAAAGAATGGGGAATTATGCCTCACCTCTTGGAGCGTAAAGTGTTCACTGTATATAAATTATTTGAAATTCTTCTTTTCTTTTCTGTTCTTTTTTTCTTTCCTTTTCTTTCTTTCTTTCTTTCCTTCTTTCTTTCTTTCTTTTTCTTTCTTTCTTTTCTCTTTCTTTCTCTTTCCTTCCCTCCCTCCCTCCCTTCCTTCCTTCCTATTTAAAAATCAGTATGTGTGTTATACTTTGGATTATATATAATCAAATACTACATTATTTTTAAACTTAAATTGGAGACCAACTTTATTTTTAAGGAGTCACTTGTCACTTCCGACACCCCATCTCTTAATAGTCTTGATTATTATAAGCAGAATAGTATGGTTTAGAGAGTTTAAACTGTATCAACACAATTCTAGACAGCTATTTTCAAAGGCTTCTTCCAGATCCTCCCTTTCTATCCTCCTTCACAATCCCAAGACATTTAAAAGAATAACCTGTGCTTAGAACCCTGCTGATAGAAATGCTTCTGGTTTTAGGTAACTGCCCAAACTTACTGGAACATTACCCTACCTTCTACTCCACTTCGCTGATGTAGTTTTCATCATATCTTCTGTGTGTTGTATTGAGCACTGGCACTCAATAAATATGAAATGATGATCAATACAAGGCACTAAGTGGTCTCAGTTGAGAAAATACTGAACAGAAACACAAAAATATCAAGGTATAATACAATTTTCTTTTCCGTCATCACTGGTTAGCCCGGTTTGAACTTTCTAGATACAGAAGATAGAACATCATGTTGTCCAAAATATAATGAAAATTTCTTCCCAGAAGGCTTTTTAAGGGCAAATGGAAGTACATTTTAAGCCCATAAATCTGTTGCTCATTGTAGATTTTTCTTTACTATATTTTTCAAGTTCATCCCAAGCCATAAATGTCTAAGTGACTTCATGTGCTTGAGGCTCTGAATTTTTACGTTCCCACCACATTCAATTAGTTGGCTCCTTTTGCCCGAGGAAGAAATGGCTTGTTATTTTTTGACTAAAATGCTCCATCTGTTATAACGGCCTTCGTGTATTCATTTTTATCAAGTTACCAGCCACATGTGCCGCTCCAATTATTAGAAATGGAGTTTAGAAAATCTATAATCCCTCCCTAGACAAATATCTTTTTAAATGCTGTTCCACTGGTTGACTTGAGTCCAGAACTCTTTGGGGGCGATTTTCGTTTTCTTTAGTAACAGCCCCTGGAATGCTTTCTACAAGCACGGAATTAGGCAATGGTAAGCACTTCTTGAAGATTACTCTTCTGTTTCATCCTGGTATCTTGAGGTGGATCTCCTTGGTATCTCTGATCCACGATGTTTGCAAAGCCAGACCACTCCCTTATGACTCCAAGGGGCTTCCTGGTTTACTGCTTCTCTGGCCTAGCCCTTCCAATGTTCAGATGTGGTATATGACACAGTTACCTGCTCTGCGGTCTTGCAATGATCATTTATTGTGTTTTTTTTATAAATCATGTCCCCCCAAATTTGAAAATGATGGGCTTATAGTTGGCATTTTTTGGGTGGGCCCATATATATGGATGCTGTGGAATCGAAGTGTGGTATGGAGTACACGCATGTACAGCTGTTTGGTTGGTGGCAGAGGTAGCACTAGGAAAATGGGAATGGTGGTTGCAAAAGGGGCCACAGGTATGGTGTAAGATCTTGACATATGGGAAGCTGTCAGTACCTAACATACGGGAAAAACATTATTTTAGAGCTACATGTGCCTGCTCTCTAAATCATAGAAGCATTGAAGAAAGACTTTGGATTTACCTGAAGTCCTGAGTTCTAGTCCTGTTTTTGTCTCCAACTGGTTGTGTAGCCTACAATAAGTCACTTGGACTCTATAGACCTCTGTTGTCTCATTTGCACCTAAGCGGGTTGGACTAAGACACTTTGGTTCTTGTAATATTGAATAGTTTTTGACAATTTTTCACAAGGCTGCCTTATTTGCCAAGCTAGCATAAGGTCGAATTTTGTGGATATAAAGAATGAAGATAGGTTTTAACCATCTCTCTTTTACTGGAAACAAGAGCAAGCTGGAAATTAAAATGAATTTAAATGCATTTCTACCATGTAGATTTATTGAGTGCATGATACTAAGAATGCAGTAGTGAATAAGACACAGCCCTGTCCTCAAATGTGCTGTTTGTAGACACAAAACATGTCAGTTCCCCCTCCTTCTCTCCACACTCCTACCAGATCTTGAAGGAAACAGTCTGGGACCAAATCTCTGGTTGGCTTTTTCCAAAAGCTCTATTATCTCAGGGTTGTGGCAGAGACCCTTGAAGAGTCAAAGTAAATTCAAGAGACTTCCTAAAAGTGACAGTTTTTATCTCTACATTGTCAGGTTTTTGGACAATAAATCATTATCCAATCTATTTATTACCCAGGCTCCAAGCTGCTGGCGTATATGGTACCTTTTTACAGATAAGGAAATGTATCCTATCCAGAAAAATTGCATCAATGTGTGCCCTCTGTGCACAATTAGGGCAAGGCCCTCTTTCTTACAGGCTGACTCAGCCTCTCACCAGAGCACCCGGTGCCATGAACACACACAGGAGCCTATCAGACCCTGTCCAGACCCTCAGCACATGCCCACACACGATCACCTGGCATCCCTAAGAGCCTCCCTCAGAACAATGCTGCTCTTTGGATGTTTACCAGGAAAGAGGGCTCTCTGAGAGTCACTCTCCTAACAGAACCAGGCTGTTAAGACAGAGTCTATTTCCTTCATGTTTAAAATATGGCACCGTGTGCAAGCTGCCTTGGGGTTTGGGTGACAGGCATTCTATTTTTGTCAGATTGTCCTGGTTTTTAATACTTTTTTCCCTTCGGTGTCCTGAGAAGTCCTTCCGAGTGGCGATGTGTCCTCTTTAATAAATGAAACCACCCATAGAAGAACACAGCACTTGAAATACAACTATGAGGAACATGTAGAAGCAGAGTTGTGATGGCACTGCCAAAGCTCACTGAGCTGGATTCTCCCTCACACACAGTCTTGTTTAATTGGCCTAATGAGTTTGGCTGATGTGACCAAGTGATCAATCAGGTTAGTGTTATGAGATATTGGAAAACAGGATGAGAGAAGAGAAAAGGCTTTTGGCAAATTGACTACAAGACAGGGAGACAAGAAGTCTTGATTTAACAGTTGAACACTTTTTATTTTTTCTCTCATCCCTTGAATGCTGATAAGACATAACAAAACCTACTTGGATGTGCTTGCTTGCACATGTTTCCTTGGTATTCATTTTGCAGACCCCCTCTGTTTTGATTCAAAAATGCTTTTCTTTTTCTCAAACACAATAAGCTAGAAGTTCTGCCTCTTATGAAACATTCAAGAGCCAATGAATGCCTGCTATCTAGAAAAGTGAAATGCCCTCATAGAATTCTTGCGACCTTTATGCATTGTCAACAGATTCTGTGAATAAAACAAAACAAAACATGAATTTTAACACTGATGTGTAACATTAGCTTCATTTCAGCATTAGCCACTTTGATCCTATGTATTTGCTGAAGTGGGTGACTGACCAGAGAGAGGATTTTTGAGTGTGGACTTTCTTTCTCCCTCTTTTCAAATGGCTATTAAGGGAGGAAATCCTGGGGTCATCTCAGTCCAGTAACTGAAACTGCTTGAGACAGACATTCTTCCAGCTCTGGGAAGGTGAGAAATCAGGTGAACTTCTCATGCTTGGCTGGTTTTCCAGTTGACTTGCTGTGTGGGAGGTAAATATGGGTACCCTGCAGCATGTGGAGTTCTGCAGTTCATTTACAAAGACCCAAGGGCTTGATTTTGTTTTCTAAAAGGCAAATTTGAACTTCAGTCAAATTTGTAAAATTGGTATAAATTTGCTCCTCACCTCTGGGAGCAGGAAATGTTTATTTCAGTTCAAATAAATCTGACTCTGTTCCCTCCTCTTCCCTGCAATGCTGGTAGGAAATTTAATTTCATCTATTTCTGCCCCACACTTTCGTTTCGCCATTCAAGGGAACAGAGGGTCTTATACCTTTCAGAAAATCTGAGGAAGGGCCTCTGGTCTTGCTGCTGAAGGGGCTCGCTGGAAAGAGGGTGTATCTGGTGCCACACCCTGCACATCTAACTTGGCCCTGGGGATTTTTTATCCTTCCTGGACCACAGGTTTCAGGATTTAGACCTAGGCCTCCATCACCTCATTAGTAGCCCTGCATAGGATGGGGCCTTAAGGTCCACTGGGATAAAAAGGTCATATCTTTTAGAAACTTCTGAGCTTTCCTCTTGAATAATACAACTATCTCCTTTGGGAGCCTAAGCTTCTGAAAACTCTCTTCCTTGGAGTGAGTCAAGTCTCAGACATCTAGGTCACAGAGCCTTGCTTTCTCCTTGAGATGGACCTAGGGAAAGTATCTCTCATTCTCTCACAATAAACCTACAGGCATACTTAAATTCTCAATCTGTGTTCCCTGCCACATTTGATGTCGTCTTAATTTTTTTCTTATTCTTTTTTTTTTTAATTTTATTATTATTATACTTTAAGTTTTAGGGTACATGTGCACGACGTGCAGGTTGGTTACATATGTATACATGTGCCATGCTGGTATGCTGCACCCATTAACTCGTCATTTAGCATTAAGTATATCTCCTAATGCTATCCCCCCCTCCCCCTACCCCGCAACAGTCCCCGGTGTGTGATGTTCCCTTTCCTGTGTCCATGTGTCCTCATTGTTCAATTCCCACCTATGAGTGAGAAATGCGGTGTTTGGTTTTTTGTCCTCGCGATAGTTTGCTGAGAATGATGGTTTCCAGCTTCATCCACGTCCCTACAAAGGACATGAACTCATCATTTTTTATGGCTGCATAGTATTCCATGGTGTATATGTGCCACATTTTCTTAATCCAGTCTATCGTCGTTGGACATTTAGGTTGGTTCCAAGTCTTTGCTATTGTGAATAGTGCCGCTATAAACATACGTGTGCATGTGTCTTTATAGCAGCATGATTTATAATCCTTTGGGTATATAGCCAGTAATGGGATGGCTGGGTCAAATGGTATTTCTAGTTCTAGATCCCTGAGGAATCGCCACACTGACTTCCACAATGGTTGAACTACTTTACAGTCCCACCAATAGTGTAAAAGTGCTCCTATTTCTCCACATCCTCTCCAGCACCTGTTGTTTCCTGACTTTTTAATGATTGCCATTCTAACTGGTGTGAGATGGTATCTCATTGTGGTTTTGATTTGCATTTCTCTGATGGCCAGTGATGATGAGCATTTTTTCATGTGTTTTTTGGCTGCATAAATGTCTTCTTTTGAGAAGTGTCTGTTCATATCCTTTGCCCACTTTTTGATGGGGTTGTTTGTTTTTTTCTTGTAAATTTGTTTGAGTTCATTGTAGATTCTGGATATTAGCCCTTTGTCAGATGAGTAGGTTGCAAAAATTTTCTCCCATTCTGTAGGTTGCCTGTTCACTCTGATGGTAGTTTCTTTTGCTGTGCAGAAGCTCTTTAGTTTAATTAGATCCCATTTGTCTATTTTGGCTTTTGTTGCCATTGCTTTTGGTGTTTTAGACATGAAGTCCTTGCCCATGCCTATGTCCTGAATGGTATTGCCTAGGTTTTCTTCTAGGGTTTTTGTGGTTTTAGGTCTAACATGTAAGTCTTTAATCCATCTGGAATTAATTTTTGTATAAGTTGTAAGGAAGGGATCCAGTTTCAGCTTTCTACATATGGCTAGCCAGTTTTCCCAGCACCATTTATTAAATAGGGAATCCTTTCCCCATTGCTTGTTTTTGTCAAGTTTGTCAAAGATCAGATAGTTGTAGATATGCGGCATTATTTCTGAGGGCTCTGTTCTGTTCCATTGGTCTATATCTCTGTTTTGGTACCAGTACCATGCTGTTTTGGTTACTGTAGCCTTGTAGTATAGTTTGAAGTCAGGTAGCATGATGCCTCCAGCTTTGTTCTTTTGGCTTAGGATTGACTTGGCGATGTGGGCTCTTTTTTTGGTTCCATATGAACTTTAAAGTAGTTTTTTCCAATTCTGTGAAGAAAGTCATTGGTAACTTGATGGGGATGGCATTGAATCTATAAATTACCTTGGGCAGTATGGCCATTTTCACGATATTGATTCTTCCTACCCATGAGCATGGAATGTTCTTCCATTTGTTTGTATCCTCTTTTATTTCATTGAGCAGAGGTTTGTAGTTCTCCTTGAAGAGGTCCTTCACATCCCTTGTAAGTTGGATTCCTAGGTATTTTATTCTCTTTGAAGCAATTGTGAATGGGAGTTCACTCATGATTTGGCTCTCTGTTTGTCTGTTATTGGTGTATAAGAATGCTTGTGATTTTTTACATTGATTTTGTATCCTGAGACTTTGCTGAAGTTGCTTATCAGCTTAAGGAGATTTTGTGCTGAGACAATGGGGTTTTCTAGATATACAATCATGTCATCTGCAAACAGGGACAATTTGACTTCCTCTTTTCCTAATTGAATGCCCTTTATTTCCTTCTCCTGCCTGATCGCCCTGGCCAGAACTTCCAACACTATGTTGAATAGGAGTGGTGAGAGAGGGCATCCCTGTCTTGTGCGAGTTTTCAAAGGGAATGCTTCCAGTTTTTGTCCATTCAGTATGATATTGGCTGTGGGTTTGTCATAGATAGCTCTTATTATTTTGAGATATGTCCCATCAATACCTAATTTATTGAGAGTGTTTAGCATGAAGGGTTGTTGAATTTTTTCAAAGGCCTTTTCTGCATCTATTGAGATAATCATGTGGTTTTTGTCTTTGGTTCTGTTTATATGCTGGATTACATTTATTGATTTGCATATGTTGAACCAGCCTTGCATCCCAGGGATGAAGCCCACTTGATCATGATGGATAAAGTTTTTGATGTGCTGCTGGATTTGGTTTGCCAGTATTTTATTGAGGATTTTTGCACTGATGTTCATCAAGGATATTGGTCTAAAATTCTCTTTTTTGGTTGTGTCTCTGCCAGGCTTTGGTATTAGGATGATGCTGGCCTCATAAAATGAGTTAGGGAGGATTCCTTCTTTTTCTATTCATTGGAATTGTTTCAGAAGGAATGGTACCAGCTCCTGTTTGTACCTCTGGTAGAATTCGGCTGTGAATCCATCTGGTCCGGGACTTTTTTGGTTGGTAAGCTATTGATTATTGCCTCAATTTCAGAGCCTGTTATTGGTCTATTCAGAGATTCAACTTTTTTCTGGTTTAGTCTTGGGAGGATGTATGTGTCGAGGAATTTATCCATTTCTTCTAGATTTTCTAGTTTATTTGCGTAGAGCTGTTTATAGTATTCGCTGATGTTAATTTGTATTTCTGTAGGATCGGTGGTGATATCTCCTTTATCATTTTTTATTGCGTCTATTTGATTCTTTTCTTCTTTATTAGTCTTGCTAGCGGTCTATCAATTTTGTTGATCTTTTCAAAAAACCAGCTCCTGGATTCATTAATCTTTTGAAGGGTTTTTTGTGTCTCTATTTCCTTCAGTTCTGCTCTGATTTTAGTTATTTCTTGCCTTCTGCTAGCTTTTGAATGTGTTTGCTCTTGCTTTTCTAGCTCTTTTAATTGTGATGTTAGGGTGTCAATTTTAGATCTTTCCTGCTTTCTCTTGTGGGCATTTAGTGCTATAAATTTCCCTCTACACACTGCTTTGAATGTGTCCCAGAGATTCTGGTATGTTATGTCTTTGTTCTCGTTGGTTTCAAAGAACATCTTTATTTCTGCCTTCATTTCATTATTTACCCAGTAGTCATTCAGGAGCAGGTTGTTCAGTTTCCATGTAGTTGAGCGGTTTTGAGTGAGTTTCTTAATCCTGAGTTCTAGTTTGATTGCACTGTGGTGTGAGAGACAGTTTGTTATAATGTCTGTTCTTTTACATTTGCTGAGGAGTGCTTTACTTCCAACTATGTGGTCAATTTTGGAGTAGGTGTGGTGTGGTGCTGAAAAAAATGTATATTCTGTTGATTTGGGGTGAAGAGTTCTGTAGATGTCTATTAGGTCCACTTGGTGCAGGGCTGAGTTCAATTCCTGGGTATCCTTGTTAACTTTCTGTCTCGTTGATCTGTCTAATGTTGACAGTGGGGTGTTAAAGTCTCCCATTATTGTTGTGTGGGAGTCTAAGTCTCTTTGTAGGTCACTCAGAACTTGCTTTATGAATCTGGGTGCTCCTGTATTGGGTGCATATATATTTAGGATAGTTAGCTCTTCTTGTTGAATTGATTCCTTTACCATTATGTAATGGCCTTCTTTGTCTCTTTTGATCTTTGTTGGTTTAAAGTCTGTTTTATCAGAGACTAGGATTGCAACCCCTGCCTTTTTTTGTTTTCCATTTGCTTGGTAGATCTTCCACCATCCCTTTATTTTGAGCCTATGTGTGTCTCTGCATGTGAGATGGGTTTCCTGAATACAGCACGCTAATGGGTCTTGACTCTTTATCCAATTTGCCAGTCTGTGTCTTTTAATTGGAGCATTTAGCCCATTTACATTTAAAGCTAATATTGTTATGTGTGAATTTGATCCTGTCATTATGATGTTATCTGGTTATTTTGCTCAATAGTTGATGCAGTTTCTTCCTAGCCTTGATGGTCTTTACAATTTGGCATGTTTTTGCAGTGGCTGGTACCAGTTGTTCCTTTCCATGTTTAGTGCTTCCTTCAGGAGCTCTTTTAGGGCAGGCCTGGTGGTGGCAAAATCTCTCAGCATTTGCTTGTCTGTAAAGTATTTTATTTCTCCTTCACTTATGAAGCTTAGTTTGGCTGGATATGAGATTCTGGGTTGAAAATTCTTTTCTTTAAGAATGTTGAATATTGGCTCCCACTCTCTTTTGGCTTGTAGAGTTTCTGCAGAGATATCAGCTGTTAGTCTGATGGGCTTCCCTTTGTGGGTAACCTGACCTTTCTCTCTGGCTGCCCTTAACATTTTTTCCTTCATTTCAACTTTGGTGAATCTGACAATTATGTGTCTTGGAGTTGCTCTTCTCAAGAGTATCTTTGTGGCGTTCTCTGTATTTCCTGAATTTGAATGTTGGTCTGCCTTGCTAGATTGGTGAAGTTCTCCTGGACAATATCCTGCAGAGTGTTTACCAACTTGGTTCCATTCTCCTCGTCACTTTCAGGTACACTAATCAGACGTAGATTTTGTCTTTTCACATAGTCCCATATTTCTTGGAGGCTTTTTTCGTTTCTTTTTATTCTTTTTTTCTCTAAACTTCTCTGCTTGCTTCATTTCATTCATTTCATCTTCCATCACTGATAACCTTTCTTCCAGTTGATCGCATTGGCTACTGAGGCTTCTGCATTCGTCACATAGCTCTCGTGCCTTGGTTTTCAGCTCCATCAGGTCCTTTAAGGACTTCTCTGCATTGGTTATTCTAGTTATCCATTTGTCTAATTTTTTTTCAAAGCTTTTAACTTCTTTGCTATTGGTTCGAATTTCCTCCTGTAGCTAGGAGTAGTTTGATCGTCTGAAGCCTTCTTCTCTCAACTTGTCAAAGTCATTCTCCATCCAGCTTTGTTCCATTGCTGGTGAGGAGCTGCATTCCTTTGGAGGAGGAAAGGCACTCTGATTTTTAGAGTTTCCAGTTTTTCTGCTCTGGGTATCAGCAGCAGTGGCTGCAGAACAGTGGATATTGGTGAACCACAGATGCTGCTGCCTAATCGTTCCTCTGGAAGTTTTGTCTCAGAGGAGTACCTGGCCATGTGAGGTGTCAGTCCGCCCCCTACTGGGGGGTGCCTCCCAGTTAGGCTACTTGGGGGTCAGGGACCCACTTGAGGAGGCAGTCTGCCCGTTCTCAGATCTGAAGCTGCGTGCTGGGAGAACCACTACTCTCTTCAAAGCTGTCAGAGAGGGACATTTAAGTCTGCAGAGGTTATTGCTGTCTTTTTGTCTGTGCCCTGCCCCCAGAGGTGGAGCCTACAGAGGCAGGCAGGCCTCCTTGAGCTGTGGTGGGCTCCACCCAGTTTGAGCTTCCCGGCCGCTTTGTTTACCTAATCAAACAACTAACTCGGCAATGGCAGGCGCCCCTCCCCCAGCCTCGCTGCCGCCTTGCAGTTTGATCTCGGACTGCTGTGCTAGCAATGAGTGAGACTCTGTGGGCGTAGGATCCTCCCAGCCAGGTGCGGGATATAATCCCCTGGTGTGCCGTTTTTTAAGCCAGTTGGAAAAGCGCAATATTAGGGTGGGAGTGAACCGATTCTAGGTGCTGTCTGTCACCGCTTTCTTTGACTAAGAAAGGGAATTCCCTGACCCCTTGCGCTTCCCAGGTGAGGTGATGCCTCGCCCTGCATCGGCTCATGCACGGTGAACTGCACCCACTGTCCTGCACCTACTGTCTGGCACTCCCCAGTGAGATGAACCTGGTAACTCAGTTGGAAATGCATAAATACCCGTCTTCTGCGTCACTCATGCTGGGAGCTGTAGATCGGAGCTGTTCCTATTCGGCCATCTTGTGCAACCCTCTTTTCTTATTCTTGAACTGTTGAATAAGCTACCAGCATTTTAAATAAGTTCAGGATTATGTTGCCAGGAAATAGTCTTTGATATCTGTGACAATTTTGTTGTTGCTGTTTGTTTTTTCTTTCTTTTTTTTTTTTTATGGGGAAAAGCATGAAGTTGTCTTTCTCATTGCCTTTCTCATCATGTTTTAAGTACAGAGTTCTTCTGAAGGGCACACTTTGTGGTTCTCATGGAATGTAAATAGCTCAAATGGCTCCACTTCCAAGAAACCTTCTTTAACCTTAAGGCTGAATGAAGTAAGCGCTTTCTCCTGTTCTCTAGTGTATTCCCAGCAAAACTTTGAGCATACTTTAAAAATGAATTTATTGCACATACTTCCATATCCAGGGAGAGCTCTGATTCCTCCTCTCATACACTCCAAGAGGAAGGGTCAAGGAAGTATTGAACTCAGGAACTTTTTTTAGGGTGGTGGTGTTGGTGAGAATCTCAATATGAAGAAGGAAGATTTCATGTACGTCCGTGTGAAGAGACCACCAAACAGGATTTGTGTGAGCAACATGGCTGTTTGTTTCACCTGGGTGCAGGCGGGCTGAGTCCGAAAAGAGAGTGAGCGAAGGGAGATGGGGTGGGGCCGTTTTATAAGATTTGGGCAGGTAAAGGAAAATTACAGTCAAAGGGGGTTTGTCCTCTGGCGGGCAGGAGTGGGGGTCGCAGGGTGCTCAGTGGGGGAGCTTTTTGAGCCAGGATGAGCCAGGAAAAGGACTTTCACAAGGTAATGTCATCACTTAAGGCAAGGACCGGCCATTTTCACTTCTTTTGTGGTGGAATGTCATCATTTAAGGTGGGGCAGGGCATTTTCACTTCTTTTGTGATTCTTCAGTTACTTCAGGCCATCTGGGCGTATACATGCAAGTCACAGGGGATGCAATGGCTTGGCTTGGGCTCAGAGGCCTGACATTCCTGCCTTCTTATATTAATAAGAAAAATAAAACAAAATAGTGTTGAAGTATTGGGGCGGTAAAAATTTTTGGGGGGTGGTATGGAGAGAGAGAATGGGCGATGTTTCTCAGGGCTGCTTTGAGCGGGATTAGGGGCGGCGTGGGAACCTGGGGTGGGAGAGATTAAGCTGAAGGAAGATTTTGTGGTAAGGGGTGATATTGTGGGGTTGTTAGAAGAAACATTTGTTGTGTAGAATGATTGGTGATGGCCTGGATACGGTTTTATATGAATTGAAAAACTAAATGGAATAAGAGAAAGAGAAAAACAGGTATAAAAGGTCTAAGAATTGGGAGGACCCAGGACATCTGATTGGAGAGTGCCTAAGGAGGTTCAGCATAGTCCTGCCAGCAAAGATTATTTATTTACCTCAAGAGTTTAGAGTGGCGGTTTGGGGATAGCACCAGGAGATATCAGCTGTGATGGCTTGGAGAAACAGTGTAAACTGGCAGTGTAAACAAGAGCAGGGCATGTATGAGTAGTTGAGAACGGTGAATAGGAGTATGACTAGACAGAAGATAGTAGGGATGACAAGTTTTTTGGGGCACAGTCTAAGTTGGTCTGGTGTCTGGAATGAGACTGGGGCCTAATAAAAAGGAGCGTCTATACAGGAGCTTAACTGGGCTGTACCTTGTAGCATTCCGAGGACAGGCCTGAATTCTGAGAAGCGAAAGTGGTTAAAGTATTGTCCAGTCCTTTTTAAGCTGGTGGCTGAGCTTGGTGAGGTGTGTTTTTAAAAGACCATTAGTCTGTTCTACTTTTCCTGAAGACTGAGGACTGTAAGGGATATAAAGGTTTCACTGAATACTAAGAGCCTGAAAAACTGCTTGGCTGATTTGACTAATAAAGGCTGGTCTGTTATCAGACTGTATAGAGGTGGGAAGGCTAAAATGAGGAATTATGTCTGACAGAAGGGAAGAAATGACTGTGGTGGCCTTCTCAGACCCTGTAGGAAAGGCCTCTACTTATCTAGTGAAAGTGTCTACTTAGACTAAGAGGTATTTTAGTTATCTGACTCGGGGCATGTTGAGTAAAGCTAATTTGCCAGTCCTGGATGGGGGCAAATCTTCAAGCTTGATGTGTAGGGAAGGGAGGGGGCCTGAATAATCCCTGAGGAGTAGTAGAATAGCAGATGGAACACTGAGAAGTTATTTCCTTGAGGATAGATTTCCATGATGGAAAGGCAATGAGAGGTTCTAAGAGGCGGGCTAGTGGCTTGTACTATAGCATAGCCTGCCTTTGCTGGTGTGTGGCGATTAGGCCTGGTGGAACTGCCATCAATAAATCAAGCGTGATCAGGGTGAGGAACAGGAAAGAAGGAAATATGGGGAAATGGGGTGAATGTCAGGTGGATCAGAGAGATACAGTCATGGGGGTCAGGTGTGGTATCAGGAATAATGTGGGAGGCCAGATTGAGGTCCGGGCCAAGAACAATGTTAATTGTGGGACTTAACAAAGAGTGAGTACAGCTGAAGGAGCTGGGGAGCAGAAAGTATATGCGTCAGGTATGAGGAAGAAAATAGATTTTGGAAGTTATGAGAAATGTGGAGAGTGAGTTGAGTATAGTTTGTGATTTTTAGGGCCTTTAAAAGTATTAAAGCAGTGGCAGCCACTGCACGCAGACATGAGGGCTAGGCTAAAACAGTAAGGTCAAGTTGTTTGGACAGAAAGGTTACAGGGTGTGGTCCTGGCTCTTGTGTAAGAATTCTGACTGCACTAACCATGCCTAGGAAGGAAAGGAGTTGTTGTTTTGTAAGGGATTGAGGTTTGGGAGATTAATTGGACACGATCAGCAGGGAAAGCATGTGTGTTTTTATGAGAATTATGCCGAGATAGGTAACAGATGAGGATGAAATTTGGGCCTCACTGAAGTAATGGGGGCTGTCTGTGAAGCCTTGTGGCAGTACAGCCCAGGTAATTTGCTGAGCTTGATGGGTGTCAGGGTAGTCTAAGTGAAAGCAAAGAGAGGCTGGGATGAAGGGTGCAAAGGAATAGTAAAGAAAGCATGTTTGAGATCCAGAACAGAATAATGGGTAGTAGAGGGAGGTATTGAGGATAGGAGAGTATATGGGTTTGGCACCACGAGGTGGATAGACAAAACAATTTGGTTGATAAGGCACAGATTCTGAACTAACTTGTAAGCCTTGTCTGGTTTTAGGACAGGTAAAATGGGGGAATTGTAAGGAGAGTTTATAGGCTTTAAAAGGCCATGCCGTAGCAGGCGAGTGATAACAGGCTTTAATCCTTTTAAAGCGTGCTGTGGGATGGGATCTTGGCTTTGAGCAGGGTGAGGGTGATTAGGTTTTAATGAGATGGTAAGGGGTGCATGATGGGTCACCAAGGAGGGAGTAGAGGTGTCTTATACTTGTGGGTTAAGGTCGGGGGGATAAAAGAGGACACAAAGGAGGCTTTGGGTTGGGGAGAAGGGTGGCAATGAGATGCAGCTGTAGTCCAGGAACAGTCAGGGAAGCAGATAATTTAGTTAAAGTGTCTCAGCCTAATAAGGGAACTGGGCAGGTGGGGATAATTAAAAAGGAGTGCTTAAAAGAGTGTTGTCTAAGTTGGCACGAGAGTTGGGGAGTTTTAAGAGGTTTAGAAGCCTGGCTGTCAATACGCACAACAGTTATGGAGGCAAGGGAAAGAGACCCTTGAAAAGAAGGTAATGTGGAGTGGGTAGCCTCCATATTGATTAAGAAGGGGATGGGCTTACCTTCCACTGTGAGAGTTACCTAAAGCTTGGCATCCGTGATGGTCTACAGGGCTTCTGAGGTGATCGGGCAGCATCAGTCTTCAGCCGCTAAGCCGAGAAGGAGTCAGAGAGCCTTGGGCCAGAGTTCCAGGGGCTCTGGGAGTGGCTGCCAGGTGAGTTGAACAGTCCGATTTCCAGTGGGGTCCTACACAGATGGGACGCGGCTTAGGAGGAATCCTGGGCTGAGGGCATTCCTTGGCCTGGTGGCCAGATTTCTGGCACTTGTAGCAAGCTCCTGGGGGAGGAGGTTCTGGAGGAACGCCTGGCCAGTGCGGTTCAGGCGTTTGGAAATTCTTGTGTGCTGGAGATGTGGCTGGGGTTTGTCTCACAGTGGAGGCAAGGAATTGCAACTTTTTTCTATTATTGTACACCTTGAAGGTGAGGTTAATTAAGTCCTGTTGTGGGGTTTGAGGGCCAGATTCTAATTTTTGGAGTTTTATTTAATGTTGGGAGCAGATTGGGTAATAAAATGTATATTGAGAATAAGATGGCCTTTTGACCTTTTAGGGTCTAGGGCTGTAAAGCGTCTCAGGGTTGCTGCCGAACGAGCCATGAACTGGGCTGGGTTTTTCATATTTGATGAAAAAGCCTAAATGCTCAGTGATTTGGGAGAGGTCTGATAAAGAAAAGTAGCATTAACCTTGACTATGCCTTTAGCTCCAGCCACCTTTTTAAGAGTAAATTGCTGGGCAGGTGGGGGAGGGCTAGTCACGAAACGTAACTGTAAGCCGGACCAGTTGTGAGGATGGGAGGTGATAAAAGGATTATAGGGTGGAGGAGCAGAGGCTGAGGAAGAATTGGGACCTAGCTCAGCCTGGCGAGGAGGGGAGAGGTCAGACGGGTCTGTAGAAAAGGAAGATTAGAAAGACTCAGTGATGCTTGGGGTTGGGACTGAGGGGACAGGCAGGAGGTAAAGAAGGAAGATTTGGGATGAGTTGCATTGGGCACAGAGACTAGGAAGGGACTGATGTGTAAAAGAATGCCTGGACGTCAGGCACCTCAGACCATTTGTCTATTTTATGACAAGAATTATTTAGATCTTGCAGGATGGAAAAATTGAAAGTGCTGTTTTCCGGCTATTTGGAACTACTGTCGAGTTTGTATTGGGGTCAAGCGGCATTGCAGAAGAAAATAAGACGCTTAGATTTTAGGTCAGGTGAGAGTTGAAGAGGTTTTAAGTTCTTAAGAACACAGGCTAAGGGACAAGAAGGAGGAATGGAGGGTGGAAGGTTGCCCATAGTGAAGGAGGCAAGCCCAGAGAAAAGAGAGCATAGAGACATGGAGGGAAGGGGTTCAAGTGTTCTTACCCTCCAGAAAAGCGGGAAAGGGGTCGGGGCGTGGAAATAAGGGATTGGGGGTTCTTGTCCCCTAGAAAAGCGGGACTTGCCGCTAAGGGTGAAGGAGAAGGGGTTGAGGGGTAGTGAGGGAAGTTGGAGAAGAGAGTAAAAAGAGGCCACTTACCGGATTTGAAATTGGTGAGACGTTTCTTGGGCTGGTCGGTCTGAGGACTTGAGGTCGTAGGTGGATCTTTCTCACGGAGCAAAGAGCAGGAGGACAGGGGATTGATCTCCCAAGGGAGGTTCCCTGACCCGAGTCATGGCACCAAATTTCATGCGCGTCCATGTGAAGAGACCACCAAACAGGCTTTGTGTGAGCAACATGGCTGTTTATTTCACCTGGGTGCAGGCGGGCTGAGTCCGAAAAGAGAGTCAGCAAAGGGAGATAGGGGTGGGGCCATTTTATAAGATTTGGGCAGGTAAAGGAAAATTACAGTCAGAGGGGGTTTGTTCTCTGGCGGGCAGGAGTGGGGGTAGCAAGGTGCTCAGTGGGGGAGTTTTTGAGCCAGGATGAGCCAGAAAAAGGACTTTCACAAGGTAATGTCATCACTTAAGTCAAGGACCGGCCATTTACACTTCTTTTTTGGTGGAATGTCATCAGTTAAGGTGGGGCAGGGCATTTTCACTTCTTTTGTGATTCTTCAGTTACTTCAGGCCATCTGGGCGGTATATGTGCAAGTCACAGGGGATGCAGTGGCTTGGCTTGGGCTCAGAGGCCCTGACATAAGGTAAAAGAATTGCTTCAGTTTTTGTGGCCTCTGGTCTATGTTTGGGCTTATTGTTTTAGGTTCTTTCCTCATTCATTCATTCATTCATTCATTCGTTTCAACAAATTTTTCTGGAAGGCTTACTTTGTGTCAAGTATTGTCTAGGCCCTGGGAATAGCATAGAGATAATTCAGACAGTGCTCCATGTCCCTATCTTATATTTCAGTAGACTGTCTCTCTTAGGCCTAGATGGTACAATGAGATTACCTTGGGCTTGCCTACCTCTTGGGAGGGGTTCCTTTTTCCTAAGGAGGCCAACTGGGAAGCAGAATGGGTCTTTAAAAAACTAGGTATCATCCATATTAATGCTTCCACAGTCTACCTAGTTAAAGAGCTTATAGCTTAAAAGCTGTCTGTCCCAGCCTACCTTTGCTTTGTGAAGCAAATATGAAGCAACTGCCATGTGCATGGCAGTCAGTATTGAACTTGATTGACATGAAGTCATCAAGACCATGTGTCATGAAGACTATGCGTACCTCCAGCCTCATCTCTGATAACATCTCCCCTGGGAGCCCAAAGTTCTCTGGATTCCCAGGAGGAGGCTGATTGATAAGTCCTCTTCTCGAGTCCCACCATCGCCCTCTTTCTAAGTCATTTTAAAAGCAAAACTAGGCAGGGCACAGTGGCTCACGCCTCTTATCCCAGCACTTCGTGAGGCTGAGGCAGGTGGATCTCTTGAGCCCAAGAGTTCTAGAGCAGCCTGGACAACGTAGTGAGACCTTGTGTCTACAAAAAAAAAAATAAATAAAATTAGCTGGACATGGTGGTTTGTGCCCCTGGTCCCAGCTACTCAGGAGGCTGAGGTGGGAGGATTGCTTGAGCCCAGGAGTTCAAGGCTGCAGTGAGCCATGATTGCACCCTGGTACACAAAACTACCCATTACTACATTGTTGCAATGATTTTCTCAATTTCTTGTGTCCCTACATAAATTCTGGTGGGCAGAGACCATGTTGTCTTTACTCTGGTACCCTGGCAAAAGTACCTTGTATTCTAGCAAAGCTCCTTGTTCTTACTCTTGTGGAAAAAATGAATCTGGAGATACATTCAGGGGGAAACGGAATGATGCTGAAACTATTCTCTTCTGCAGTTCAAATGGCTCTTTTTGTTCTTAACTATGTATCACTTTTGGACTTAGGAAAGTATATGGATATATTGTGAACAGATGAATCAATGTTGACGCATTTCTTTTACTCAAGGTACTCTACTAGATCTGTGAACTACCAAGCAGTAAATTGTCCTGCACTTAGTGCTCAGGGTATATGGTAAGGGAGATAAGACACATATGAACGACCATGATAAAGGATCAGAAATCCTGAGAGTCAATAAAATGCTTCAAAAATTCCGAGGAGGCGAAATGTCCTTAAGATTATTCATATGTTTATTTTTGTTTTTTTTTCCCCCATCACAATAGAGGCTACTGATTTACTTATGGGAATGGGGAAAGGTGAGATTCCAGGATTTGGAGTTGTTTGTTAAGAGGCACGTGTGTCCTAATCTTCATGATTACGAAAATGTTGGTCAGATTCAGGGGACATACCACGGGGTGAGAGTCAAAGGGCAAATCCAGGGCCTTATTTTTCTCTCTCTTCCACATCTCACCGGATCTCGTCTCACCTGCCATACTCAGCTGGGAAGTTGTTAGAACTCAGAACACTCCAAAGGGAACATAAGGTCTTAACTTGTTTTCTGTTATCTCGTCCCCCACCTTATTCTCAACCTGAAAAGAACCTATTTTTTATTCCCCAAGTTTTAGGATGCCTGCATTTTGTGTTGTTTTTGTGTACATTTTCATTCTGACTTCAGTTGCTTAATTCTAGCATTTGATCTGTGTTCTGTATAGTGTCCTCCATTATTCTCAAGCTTGTCTTGATAATAGAGTTTCTCTGATTCATACAAATTTTCATTTATACCGCATGTTAGATAATTGCCTTGAGTTTCATCCTCTAGAAATTGTCTCTGGCTAAAGCTATACCAGGTTAGAAAAATCTGGCTATATGACATTTAATAAAATATAAACACCATGGTGATCATTGTTTACTTGTGAGATCCCAGGTTTCAGAGGTTCTGAGAGGGCTGCAGCTGCCTTAGCAATTGGATAAAGGCTATTTTGAAAACAGTGTCATCACATGCCAGCCTAGTAATCAATGCCAAGTTTGGGACCACTAACAGAGCATGGCTGTCTTCTTACCACTGCCTTTTAACTTAGCCAAAGGATGGCAGGTGGATTCTCTAGGCATTTATAATTTTTTAACTAAAAAGCAATAGGAAAAGAGAAAACTTATTGGCTCACCAGAGGCCATAATAAACATTCAGAAACAGCTCATCTGCCTATGGAGTTCATTTAAGACAGAACCGCAGGAAGGGCTGTAACCCATGTTCATTGGAAGTTATGACTCGGCACATTTTTCCTGCACAGTCTTGTGCGTCAACTTCTGCTCATTTTTTTCAGGGTCAGTGTTCAAAATGACATTTGGAAGATATGCCTGACTTCTGCCTGGCTTTCAACAAATCTGGAATCTTTTGCTTGCAGGCCCATAGCAAATGCTGGCAACATTTTTTGCAAACATGGGCCAAATTTTAGCTTCCTTATAAAATGTAAAGTCAGAGCTGGCTTTGAGTTTTGCTCTAACATTTCACACAAAACTAACTTGCAGTTCTTCCACATGGATTCAGCATCTAGGGCAGACGGCCTACTACTGTAAAATGCATATGGTGTAAGGATAGTGGTAGGGGAGGGGATAGAGTTTGTTCCTATGTGGGAAACAGGAAGGTTTTGGGATTTGTGGCAAGAAAGAGTTAGATTTTAAAAATTACCCCAGCAACAGCAGTTTTATCTAAATAGTTTCAGTATTAGCAAGGGAAAATGGCAGTGAACCGACATTTTATGGATTGATTAGTGCTAGGTATTGTGCGTGACATATATAATCTTATTCAATCATTACAGTAATCCATGAGAGTATCCATTTTTCCTTTTAACTAGAGAAATAACTCATTTACCTCTGGACTCTAAAAATCACCTCTTTTCCTCTGCAATACATCAGATGTGTGTGCACGTGTATTTATCAACCAAAGGATACTTTTTTGGTGAGGAGTCGGAAATACTCTCCAGTTAGAGGCAGACTCAACTTGATTATGTTTCCAGTTCTTGAGCAGGGCTGCCGCACACAGTTGTGCAGGTTGCTTACTGCATGAGGCTTCCTGGCCAGGGGACAGGCCAGGGCTGTAACCCAACCCCCCCTCTACTCACTAAGCTGCACACTTTGGTTCCAGACTATGTCCACAGGAAGAAGGGGCACCTTTTTCTAATTTCCTCCAGTATGTTAGCAGTGACTGCTGATGCAAACAACAAGTTAGCCACCTAGGAAAGAGGCTAGGTAACTTCCCTTTCATCCTGGCATCCTGGGGTATTCCTCTTTTCATTTTTCCCCTTCTCTACCATGCATCCTGGGGCTGTCCGTTGGAACTCCATTTATCCTGACTGCTGATCGCACTCTGGACTAGACTGGGCAGGGGGCTGAAGTGGAAAGTATACACCTGCCTTCCCCTCTCCCTCTCTCTACTATGCACTAGGCTTGGAGACTGGGCACTGATGCGGTACCCCTTGCTCCTTTCTAGGCATTGCTCTGTATAAACTGCTTAGATGCATATTCAGGTTTGTCTTCTCTTATACCCTTTTCTCCAACACTGCATGAGTAGTTAGGAAAGTATACGTATTTTAAATCCCCAGAATTTCAAACTTTAGAAAATAGCATAAAGGAAAATTTGACTGAAGTGTTATTCTTCAATTCTTAAGCAAGTATGTTTAGCTGCATAGATAAATGAGTTAAGAAAAAAACACAAAGAGGGAAAGATTGTTGTAAATTAATTAACAAATGTTTATTGAGCATCTTGCTTTATTCTATTTTTTTTTTTTTGGACAGAGTCTTGCTCTGTTGCCCAGGCTGGAGTGCAGTGGTGTGACCTTGGCTTACTGCAATCTCCACCTCCTGGGCTCAAGCGATTCTCCTGCCTCAGCCTCCCGAGTAGCTGGGATTACAGGTGCCCACCACCACAACCAGCTAATTTTTATATTTTTAGTAGAGACAGGGTTTCACCATGTTGGCCAGGTTGGTCTCCAACTTCTTACCTCAAGTGATCTACCCACCTTGGCCTCCCAAAGTGCTGGGATTACAGGCCTGAGCCAAGGCACCTGGCCCAGCATCTGCTTGCTTCTTAAAATGCATTAAATGCAGGAACAGATATAAAAATTAAGACACAAGAATGGATTTAGTTTAAAAAGATGTGAAAACCAGTAGTGTAATATAACTCGTATATAATCTAAGTGTTGGAAATAGGGACCCCAAGACTCAGATTTGTTCCCCAACTCTGACTCTTAATGTCCCCTACCATCTTAGCAAGTTGGTTGACCACTGGCTTTCATTTTCCTTGTCTGTGAGTCCACTCTCCGTAATACCTTCCTCCAAGGATATTGTGTGCCTGGAATGAGATAATGGATGTGAAATACTTTAAAATGTGTGAGGCTCTTTATACATTTAAGGTTTAATTGTCCTTACAAAGAAAGATGAAAAGATCATTGAGAGTATCTTTAAAACACATACATTTTCCGTTTTAAATAACACATACCTTGAAAAATGTGGAGAGAATAAAGTGTACATTAAAAGAGAAAGCACAAAAATCTACTTATAAGACCCTAGAGATAATTATGGTTAATATTTTGATATATAATTTTGCAGTCTTTTATAAATTTAAATTAGTTCATCACAACTCAGATACTACTGTTTATATATTTTTAAAGCCAGTTTATCACTCAACTTCATATCAATTTAATGATTTACGGTACATGCACAACTATCTTCTGGGCTCTCAGTAAATATCAGCTTT
Source organism: Homo sapiens (assembly GCF_000001405.40). Lineage (NCBI taxonomy): Eukaryota > Metazoa > Chordata > Mammalia > Primates > Hominidae > Homo > Homo sapiens. The sequence continues at coordinate 177,676,057 of NC_000003.12, forward strand.
AGAAATAGTCCAGAGATTTTTGCCTAGTAGCATGTCATAATCTGATTTTCATTAGATTTATACACAAAATAAAGACGTCTCTATAGAGTCATTAATATATAAGCTTAAAATATAGTAATTTTCTTCTTATCAACTCCGTGCTTTCAAATTGTATCCTGTATCAGGAGTTGAGTAACTCAAATAATCTCCAGTAAGATATTCAAATAAGAATATCCTAAGTGGAATGTTAATATAGGCAAATGTTAAAAACTCTGGCTGCTTTCCAGTACCGTTGTCTCTTATTAAGTGGTTGATTTGCTCACGAGAGAATGTAAGCAAAGTGTTAAATACACAGGGGGAGTTCTAAAGTATCCAGACAGTGTAGGGGTTGCAGAAAAAATGATTACTTGGAAATTTAACTCTGTTGCACCTTGGGACTTTTCTTTGTATCACTGCTTTTCTTATTTCAAGCCACACTGGGAGTTTCAAATCATATACACTTAAAAAAAATGAAAAAAACCCTCAATTTACCACGGACATTGGTAAATACACATTGCCCCCTTTGGGCCTTTTAATATGTATCATTTGCCTCATCTTGCTTGGTTAGTCACACTAGTATGCTTATGATTATATAAATTGTCTTAGGTGACATGATTCTCTCTTTCTTAATCATGATTAAATGTAAAATGGCAGAAACATTCGTTTTGGGCAAATTTCTCATTTTAAATGAGTTCTATTTAGAAACAAAACAAATGAAATGGTGGCAATATCAATTACAAGGATGATAAGGCTTTATCTGATCACATCTTCAAGGTTTTATGCCTTTTCCTTCGTGTCCTGTCCTTCCCTCCTCCACTCCCCACTCCTGTTTCTCTGTATGTCAGGTTTCAACAAGGGGAAAAACAAAAACTTTGCAAGGATATTTCGAGGGTGAGAAAATGTTACGATGGACCTGCATTTCTTTATTAATGGTGAGTTGCATAACAAATGCCATGGGGTTGGGGTTGGTAGGTTTTACTGTGTCTGTTAAATATTAACAGTACTTGTACTTTCTGAGGTATTGTTGAATTGCCTGGATACCGCTCAGCCAATCACAAAGAAACAGGTTTCCATGGAAGCATGCTCACGGATTCATTTCATTCACAATGAAATTCACACAGCAAGACAGATCTGTAAAAATAACCCATGAAAAATCGAAGCAAAATATTTCTGGGTGTTTGTTCTATGCCATTTAGTGTGTATGTCTGTTTTCCATTTAAAAAATAATCTAAAAATATCTGGGCCTTCAGGAGAGCTTCCAAAAAAGCTGGAGCTCTTACCTCTGCCTTGCTGTTGGTTGCTATTCTTTTGGGTGTGTATACCTGTGTGCTTGACGTGCCCAACCCCCTTCCTTGTTTGCACTCTTGAACACAACATTTTATACCTAATTTTAAAATGAAAACCAGAATCCTCTGAATGTGTGGAGAGCATAGACTACTTTAAAATGCATTTATATACTACTAATCAATCAGAAGGAAAATAATCAATGATTTTTGATTTTCCTCTATGAAAGGATTTAATAACTCTCTAAATTAGATACTATTATTACCTGTACTTAATAGTTGAAAACAGAAGCTGAGAGAGGTCAAGTAACTTCTTCAAGATTGCACAGCTAATAGGTGGCAGAACTATGTTTCCAGGTTAGATTTGTCTAATGGTGGATGCTGTAATCCCAAATTACTATGCTATGTTTTTATTTTCATGAAGTAGAGCATCAGTATTATCTGTTACTGGAGTCAAAACATATCTATCTCTGGACCTAACTATCTATCTCTCCATGTATTTAATTTCCAGCCAGAAATACATATATGCACACACAAATATACACTACATATATATATGCACACACAATACATATATATACATATATACACATATATTGTTAATGGATCTATATGTATATATGTGTGAGCATACATACATACACACACACACACACACACACACACACACTAAACGATGCTTACTCCTTTTGTCATTGCTCTCATAATAAGTCTTGTGTTTACAGCTCTAACATGGCATTTATTTTATTTCAGTGACTGTCTACTTGGTTCTTCATGGCTAGATTCTGAGTCCAGGTGATCATGGATGGGTTTGTATTGATCTGAATATTTCTTGAGGCTAGAACTGCTTAGCACAATTGCCACTTCATATAAACTTAGTTGATTTAGAATTTACAATAATTTGAGTGACAAACAAAGAATTTTTAGACTCTAAGCAAAAGTAAAAGCAAAATCATATTGAGGCTGGGATGCCATTTGGATAGACAAAAAACCTTTTCACCACTGTATCTCCTGACCAAGAAGTGAAGAAGTGTCCCTGGCATACTTGGATAAATGACTGAAATAGATATATAGAAGCTTTTCAGAAGGATTATTCTTCAACTCTCAATATGTTAATTTGAGAACATGCATATCTAATTATTAGTTATTAAAACAGGTCCTTTAAAATTAAAAATACTCCAAGTACTTGAAAGTAACAAAACTGGAGTAAAAAATAATAGAGTAGACATTTGACAGTTTCTCCCTCTATTGTTCTCAGTTCTTGAACATGGTTAACTAACATACTCACACTTCATCTATTGGTTGACATTCAGGAATAAAGTACTTGCAATGTTTAGATTCTTAAAAATACATTTTATGTATCAAACCTTTCTGAAAACCATTGTTAATGGATAATTATCTAGGATGCATTGCTCATCTTCCTGTCTTATTAAACAGTCTATCAGATATGACCTAACCTTTTCATTAAGACTCAGCACCATCACTTTATTATTTGTAAACTGTTGGGTCACAGAATGGTATCCTCAGGTGTCTGAGCTTATAAAAGGCTGTGGCTGTTTGCCTGATTTCTCTTTTGACTTTTCCTCTGCCATTTCCTATCATTTGACTGGCTTCCCTGGGTCTGCTTCCTACATACAGTCCATTGTATGTTTAATTTCATGTCCTCCGTTGGCTAAAGACATTCTGTTGGTTTCATGAATCCTTGAATATGTCAATTAGTTCTGGCCTTTATGGCTCCAGGGTGACCTTATTTATCGTCTGCTATAAAGTCTATAAACCTGATCTAAGTACATTCCTCTTCAGTGCTAGAGTCTTTTCTTTTTTGTTATTGTTTCTGTTCAGTTCAAGAGGGAAAATGTATTTGGTTGAGTTTCTAGAGAGCTGTCTGCTGAATATGTGAGACGATTATAATTCACAACAAAGACTATAACCTACTCTGTTATTTTGAAGGAAAAACATTTTAAAAGGCAGCTTCCTTTGGGAATATTTCTAGGAATAGTGACTTTACATATGTATGAATGTGTGTATATATGTATATGTATATATATGCATATATATTTATATGAATTCACTTATATTCTATTATTTCTGAAAAAAATATAAGGCAGCAGTAGTGACACTAGGAAAAGAAAAATGGGTAAAATTCATAAGCCTACACAATGGTTGCCAACACTTCCCTTTTATTAACTTGGCAGCCTGGTATTTTGCAGGGTTTTTTGAACACAAACACCCTGAAACTCATCATCGGGTTGTAGCAGGATGTCCCTCCTTAGGCCGTGAGTAACTGCTGGGGCAGGTGTGGTTTGGGTACAGTTACAGTCTTGGAGGAAAAGTTTAATTTTGTTCTTTAGCTATCTGGTGATGTTTTTTCAAAGGCATATATAAGGGACACCACAGACCACTGATGTGTGCTTTCAACTATTAATTTATAAGAAGTGTTTTGAGATAACCAGAAATAGAGGAGTCAGAGTGGTCTAAAGGGAAATGACTCAGGCATCCTTTTGAAAAGATACCAGCTAATGAAACCGTTATCTTTCTGACTGGCCCCAGGCTGAGGTTTTGCCATGAGAGGTCTTTCAGCGTTAATTTAACCAGGACAGTTGCTGTTTTAAAAGGGTTTGCTAGCCAGCCTGCCGGATCTGACAGAAAGAGTAGCTGCCTCCCCTGGTGTGATTTAAAGGGCAGTAAAAGTTCAGCCAGCCCCTGATCTCCTCCCCAGTGGCCTTACTTCACTTAGAAATGTTCATGATTAGAGATACTCCATTGGGCAAAGACCTTGTCTCCAGAAGGCACTAATAAACAAGACTATATTTTACCTGAATTTATCACTAATGCCCTTTCTGAATTCATGAGCAGATGAGTGAGTTAGGCAACCAGCTGGAGCAAAGCCTGATGATTGAGACATGAGATGGGTACACTTATGATGAGAACATCTGAAGCAAGAGCAAGTGGTATTGTCCCTGGATGATGTGGGTAGTAAGGGGTGATTAAAATTTAAAGCCATTGGACCTGAGGAGGGGCATTTGCTGACTATAAGATAATGACAAAAGGGGAGATAAGAAGGTGAGGTTTATTTTACAGTATTGCTCAAGGCTGGTTTTGCTTCTTGGAGTAACAGATAAGCTTATGAAGAACAAACCCAGATCTTTTACTATTATTGACCTTTTCCAATCAGATTATATAATAATTTATAAATAATAACTTTCTTGGCTTCCTGACTCAACATGCCACCTAAATAGCTAAATTCTTTTGAGTTCTTGGTGACTCATCTTTGCTCTTGACTCTGTGACTAGACTGGTTTCCAACTTAAAGTATTTAAAGAAATTCAGCATCTAGTATGTCTTCTTTGTCTTGCTCCAATCTTGTGCCCCAGTTCTAGATTATTTTGTGCTCTTTGTTGCTGAGGCCAAATACTCACTTCGCATCCAAGACATAATCACTAAATTCCAGCTCCATTCATTTATTTATTCATCAAATATTTATCGAATGCTTGCTTGGTGTCAGATACTGTGCTAGGCACTAGAAATACAAGGGTGAATGAAATATGGTCTTTGTGTTTTAGAAGTTCCCTTTAGTGCCCGAGAACTTGCTATGACACTCTGCAGTTCTTGGGGCCCTCCATAATTGGGGTCTAGACTTGTTGAAAACCCCTATCTCCCTGATTCTCTTCCTTTTCCTGAAGAACTGGGATCTGCCCCAGAACAACACTTCATGACCAGAATCCAACTGTCATGTATGACCAAGAGAATATAATTGAAGGTATATGGGGGTTTGGGCTTTGAATGTTTTCAGGAGAAAAATTAATTTAAAAACACTTGGAAGGTCTCCAGAGAGGCTTTGAAATGTTTCTGTTTGTTCCAAGGGTTGTACATTGTCCTCACAGAAGGGACTTGGGATTCAATTGACTAGAAGAAACAACCATTTTAAGACTTCTGCATCCTTGGAATTTCAACCATTAAGGAAAGTCCTTTGGCAGATTGCTTTGTGCTTTTACATGATTGACTGCTTCCTGTGAAGATAATTTTGACAAGGAAAGCTGTTGGAGCTATGACCTTTGACTTATGCTGCTTAGATTCTAAGGGCAATAATTTAGAGGAATTTAAAAAAAAAATGTATGTTAGAAGTGTTGCCATTTCACTAAGATAGTCAGCAGAGTTCCTCTACTTGTTTTTTCATAATCTATGATGTTTTTAGTGGGCTTTATATAATTAAGAAAATGCAAACAAAAGGCTCGATTCCTGCTCCTTGAAGCAATCTTTCCCCATCTCTAGCCCCCATAATGTATTTTCTCTTTGCCTTGCTCTAAAGTTTCTTTTTTCTTTCTTCCGTTCTTCGTTTCTGTTCTTTTTCCTCCTTCCCCCATCCCATGCATCTTTCTTTCTCTTTCTCTCTTATAGCTAATTTTCCACCAAAGATTACTACCTCCTTTCCATAGAGTAGAGCTGTTGCTAGGAACTGTTGCTCAGCTAGGATGGTATTTCTCAGCCCTTGTATCTGTGTGGCTGCTTCTTACCAACACAATGAGAGCAGAAGAGGTGCAGGTCACTTCTGGGCCCAGGTAGCTAAGAAGTAGCAGGCCTCTTCATGCTATCTGCTCCTGCCTGTGCAGGATCCAGCACAGGAGCCATGGCCATGAGAGGTGGCGCCACAAAATGAAAGTTGCCTGGGTCCCTGAAACACCACCTAGATGACAGCCACTTCCCCTTTAAGAACACCCATCAAGGTGGGTGAGAAATAAACTTGTAAGGTGTCAAGAAACTAAGAGCTGGGCATTTATTTTTACTGTAACTAGTATTACTCGCTTGATACTACCTGCTTAGTACAAATTAATAGAACTAGCCACTTACTGTGACACAAAGATGAATGAGACAGTGTTTGCTCTACAACCTAGAAGTTTGGAGGAAAGAATGCAAACAATTATAATGCAAGTCAGAATTTAATCACTTAGAAGTTTAATAAGACTCTTTGAGTTGCAAGTAACGGTCATCCGATTTGAATTGGCTTCATCAAAGGGGAAATTCACTAGCTGGGTACTCATATTATTGATAAAAAAGATTGAAAAATCAAACAAAGAGTCAAGCAAGGATGTAGTTGGTTACAGGAAGAAACTGGCACCGGAGGACTTACATGCTGCTAGGACTCATTCCTTACCAATCAATTATGGTCAGGGGAGTGGGACCATGAAAGAAAGTGCAGTTCCCGTGGGTATTACAGGATTCGAGGTCGGGGGCTGGAAGGAACAACACCCAGAAGTAGAGGAAACCTCTTTTATTCTTAGAAGAAGGGAAGCGTATTTAGCAGACAAAATAATTGGTTTCCTCTACAGATGGATTAATTATTTGCCAACTCACCCCCCTCCCTGTACTTTTTTTTGGGTTTTTGTTTTGTTTGGTATCTTTTGCATTGTTAACACTTCCTGCTTTTATGTCTGGCTCCTGAGCTCAAATTAGATCTTTTCTTTTTGTCCTTCTGCCTTCCCCACCCCCAACAGTGCGTTGCTTATAACAGGGGCTTAACAAAAAAAAAAAATTTTTTTTGACTGAGAGAATATAATTAGAGGAATATAGTGGGCTCAGGTCTCTTAAAGTTGTGTCAAAGACAGACACTCTCTTATCACCATCTCCTGCTCCTTTTCGTGAAACTTCAACTCCAGACAGCCAAGGCTTCTGAAGATGCCTTTTGCAAATAGCCCCCTTTGATATACTATTTCTCTGGTGTTCTCCTTACTCTTGTTTCCCTTGGGAGCCTGGTCTCTTTCTCTCAGCCAGTCCAGAGTCTATCATCCATGCCTTGACAGGTTCACAGCAGGTCCCCTTTCTGCAGGGAAGCCTTCCTAGGCCACCACGTTGCATACTGGCTTTTGCGTCTTCTAAATTCTTATCACTTTGAACCAACTATTGGCAAGTAAACATGTTTTGTTACATTGTCCTTGTAAAAACTACAAAGTATATTATCTCAATTTTATTTTTTTTCTCCAATTAGATTGTAAACTCTTTGAGGAGCAAGAAGACTATCATAGACTCCATAGGAGCTGATACAATAGCTTGAATGATAGACTCCTAATAAGTCTTTGCCAATAGATTGAATCCACTCCTGTTATCAGTTTCAAGATGGTTATCCCATTTGTATGATAGTTGAGACTCTCCAAACATTCCTATTAGTACAGTGGTTTCTTAAATGTGTATATTTTCCTTTCATTTTTATATTAAAAGGATCTGCCAAATGGTTAAGTGGAATATCCTATTCCAGGCATTTTTTTTTTTTTCCAGATACAACCTTAGAGATAATGAAGTCTATTGCACAGAAAGAAACTGGAATCAGGCTGTTTATTGACTGCAGAGAAGTAGCGTCTCTTGAATGGTTAATGGCAATTGTTAATTAGATTGCTTTTCCTACACTGCCCTGTGTGGTGGTGGATGGCATACGTGGTAATCTGAGTGTGGTAAGCATGAAAAGCACAGAATGTGTGAAAGCAGGTGAGAAAAGGCTGGGCTGGGGGAGATGAAGAGCTACCACAGTTTCTGATAGGCTGAGTGTGCAAAGATCAGGAAATACCTAGATCCAGAATACGGAGGCATTAAATATTTGAAAACAAATTTACCTCTCTGTTTCCTTCCTCTCAGCTGCACCGTACATCATCTCCTTGTAGGATTCTATCCCACATCTTGTGCCTTCTAGAGTCTCCTGCTGTTCTTATGGGCTTCTTTTGAATCTTGATTGTCTCCTATTTGCAAATGACACACAGAGTAGAAACTGTTTCTTATTTTGTGGCTCATAAAATTATGAAAAGACTGTCTGCAGTTGGAATAAACAAGTTTTTGTATTAGAGACAAATCTCCTCTCAGTTTCTTCTTCTCCAAAACTGTTTTCATTAATTGCTAAAAAAAAAAGTAACATGGAGTTTGATATTTGAGGAATTTATAGGGTAATAAAAGTTTAAAAAGAAATTGCTTTGGGGTATGTCTTGTTCAGATCCCCTATATTGTAAATTGAAAAAAACAAAAACAAAAAACAAAAAAACAAACCCTAAAGTCTGTATAGCAAAAGTGAAAAAAATTCAGAAAGCAGAGTTCACAGCACTAATGACCACAACTTTACAAGTAAAGTATACATCTTCAATTTTGAAATTCAATTTAAAATTGTGCTACAAATCTGGTAGATAAAATAGTCACCCAGATATACATGAGGTTGTAGTTTACACATAATTACTATATTTTCATTTATTTGGCTTGTTAGCCAAAATGCAAGTGAACAATCATAGTCTCCACTGTGCAAGGGGCCATTATTTCAGTAGACTCCATGTGAGAAGGGCCTGCTCATATATTAATAAATCAACAGGTTCAGGTCAAGGAGGAATGGCCAAACCATTTTCTCGCTAGATTGCACTTTCATTGAAAACCTGCTCATTAACTTATTTATAAAACTGATATCTCTATATTTCATATTCTGATATATTAGCATGATTTAATGTTAGGAAAGATGCTCTATATTTTATTCTTCTCAAAGTCCCTAGGAGATGACTAGAAGAGAGTTAATTGCTTATATTGTAAAGCTGATAGTTACCACATTTATTTTTTCTTTTCTAGCAACAAACTTCACATCCATCAAATTCTTAACATGAACCAGGTTCTTTGCTTACATTCGCATAGGCATATCGGTGAGTGAGGTGCTGTTTATTATTTCCATTTCACTGATGCTAAAACTGGGCCTAGACAGGTTACCCACCTTGTAAGCTGGGAAGCTAAAATTTGAATCCAAAGAGTGTAACTCCAAAGGCTACTTACTATTATGCTAGACTGATTCTCTAGGCAGAGCTCTGTTGTGATCAGGGGAATAGCATCTCTTTCCATTCTAGTTTCAAGCCTAGGAACACACTGAATAAATCAAACGTGTTCAAGAGGACACTGTGTCCTTCAGGATGACCTGGGGAAAAGGAGAATGTGGTCAGGTACATCGATGGTTGTCCCTTTGGAGGGACAGAATAGGGGTAGAGTTAGAGAGCTGGTTTTATTTGGCAATTCTACCCATGACCACAAATGAAGCCTCAAAGTTCAGTTATAGTTTCTCCTATTCAGATCAAGATAAGGACAAGAGGATAACCCTTATAAATGGTAACCACGGGTGTCCATTAAAATAGCTTCCTATTTGCTGTCTTTTGCTTCTCTGCCAAGTGAATGAATACGGTAAGTGCCTGACTTTTTCAGGCTAGTCAAATATTCTGTCCTGTTTTTCCCTCATAGTCCCTAAAGGCCAATGTTTTGTCATTCAAACTCTTTGCTTAAAGATAGCCCAAGGGGAGTCTCAGAAGCCACACAAAAATTTTCTGTGACATACCAGGTTTGATTTTTGGTTTAGAAAATATATGCTTAGAGTAGAGAAATAGCCTTCACACATTCTTCTTAAGAATGATATCTTCAGTGTTAGTTATGAGAACACATTTCATTGCAGCTTCAGATCCAGAAACCTCTGGCCACTCAGTTCTCCTGCAGTCATGGTACCTGGCAAGCAGGTTGCAGATAATTGGCCTGTCTCCCTAGGGAATATGTGCTTTATTTATTGGTAATATGAACTCAAAATAAAATAAAGAACAAAGTTTCAATGGAGCCATTCCTCTCCCCCCCCATGATGTTGTTAATAATAAATGAGGCCCAGAATTTGGTTCAAAACAGGGTTTCTGGAACCTACACTCCTACAGTCAGTAAGTGGACCAGGTTCTTTTTCAGTGCCAGCATCTTCTTTTATACTGTCTTAATTAGGTTATTTGAGGGTAATAAGGACACCTGTGCCTTTCAGCGGAGTCATCCAACAATGCGCTTCCACCAGGCCCAAGGAAACATAGGGGCAGGTAGGGTGGGATTTGAAGGCAGTACCAGCTCCAGCAGATCAGGGGCCACCAGGGCCCAATGGCGGGAGCATGAGTGCAGTAGCCTTGTTCTCCTTTGTTCTTTCCTTTCAGGACCAAGTAGAGGCTCACAGCAAATCAGGTGGGATACAACCCTGACACTTAGAGAATATTTACTGCGATCCAAGTACTTTACCTTAGCCCTTTGAGAATTTGCTCATTTAGTCCTCCAAAGCTACCTGGTGAGGTAGGGACTGTTACTACCTATCCCAACTTAAAGACAAGGAAGCTGAAGCACAGAGAGATTCAATGACTTGCCCTAGGCTATAGAACTGTGAAGTGCCAGAATTGAGGTTTGAACCCAGTTGGTCTAAGAGAGAGAGAGAGTATAGAGCTCCCTCCTGTGTTCCTTGGATCCTAGGGAACTATGCCACATTCTACCCACTGGACTGTACACCCCACCCCATGTCATTTTAAAGGGCAATGTGACTTGCACCAGGAAGCAAAAGACTGGGAGCACTGCTTTCCATCGCTCTGTGGCATGATTTCTAGTGGTGCCCTTCTCACCCCCAGACACTCCCATGATGCAGGAGGTCCCTTCCCCTGGCTGCTCCTGGACCAGGCCACAGCTCAGGCTGAAACCAGGCTGTCTCTGAAAATAGAGGACGTAGGCAGAGAGGTGGCTGGATTCCTTCCGCGCCAAGCAGGCACAGTGCCGCCCCCTCCTTGAAGAACTCTGCCTATTTTCCTTTCTCCTCGACCCAGTGGGCGAAGGAAGTTGAGTCTTCAGGCAATTCTTCATTGCTGTTGAAGACGGAGTCTTATTCTAGAGAGTTGAGAGTGTGAGCATTTACTCTGGGGTATGTTTCTAACAAACTCTGAAAGGTCAGCCTGCCCTTCTTGAATAAAAGCGTTGGTTTTTACCATATGCATGGCCCTGCTGTCTCTCTCTCCCTCTTTCTCTTTGTGTGTGTGTGTGTGTGTGTGTGTGTGTGTGTGTGTGTGTGTGTGTGTGTGTGTGTGTGTGAAGAGTTGCCGAAATAAGAAGAAAAAAAAATCGGGCACTTCACTGAGAATATCTTAATAATATTTGAAGTTGGGCCTGTTTGTTGTCTGAGTATAAAGCATACATGATGTAGAATGATCAAAACAAAAACTGCTGTCCTATTCTGAATTTGAGGTCATTTTTTCTCTGTCAGTAGGTCTGGTTTTACTTGTCAGGAGGGACTGAAGAAAGCACAGGACGTAAGTTCCTCCAAGAGCATTCTTGGAGCAGCATCTCATCGCTGTCCTTGGGTGTAGCCTCCCTTTTGTGAGGTTCACTCCCTCAGCTGGAGGATGAACCACAGTGCTGCTGCAGACCTAGCTGATGTCACAGTTGTTCAAAAGGTACATTTTCTTACCCTGGGGGGTAGAGCAACGTGGCTCCTTCAGTTCTATGAATGCTCCTTACAGCCAGTCACCCTCCCTCCATCAGAGCAGAGCCGAATGCAGCCCTCAGATCCAGGCAAATCCAAAGCCAGTCATTCCTCAGAGCATCCCTCCACCACGCCACTTGTGCCCTGGAGGTCCTGTGCACAGATATATATTCATTCATATATTTGTATAAGTGTGTGTGCACATGCACACATACACACATGTAATATATATCTGGAAGAACAAGGCCCCATGTTTATGCAAATAGTACTCAGATGAGTGACACATACATATTTTCCTTCATAAATGGATTGTGAAAAGGAAAACTACTTCATAGAAATAGTAAAAGAACTGAGAACAATGTTTTCAATTTTCTGGGTGGAAAGTCATTTTCCCAGATTAAATTGTCTGCTACTACCTTACTGGCTGGGCTCTCTCAGGCTAGAATTCTTGGAGTGCCCTTGAATTCATGTCTGTGTTTTGGATGCTTTATTAATGTGTATGTGTGATACTTCATTGCTAGAATTTGGTAAATATTAACAGATTAATGCTTCCTTCCCTCTTTTCCTTTCTGTGGACCTCATCTCTCATAACTCCTCTCTGTTCTCCCCACCTTGGCCTCAGAGACAAGAACACTTATTGCTTTGTTTTACGGCCATCATGAAAATAGACATTGGCTCCAGCATAGTGTAGTATACAGAATTTTAATGAGTACAGAGCAAGCAGTTCAGTCCTTCACTCCGATATGAAAGGGGTGATGTCAACCTATCCAGGAAATATTGAATTGATTTTAAAACTGCTGTAAGGGTGAATAAATCGGTGGTGCTGTGCATTAGCATGAGACTGCCTGCACCCACCCATGTCTCCCCGTTTATTTGTCTTAATGCTAGGATTATTAGAAACCAGCTGAATAGGTGCCCTTCAAAATACAGATCGAGGGATCAGAGAATGTTGATTTTTTTTAAGCCTAAATTTTGTAACTTGGCATTATCCTAGACATATTTAGCTCCCTATTTGCGTATTTTCTTTCCAATTCTAGTATTCGGTTCATTTATGAAAACTGGGAACCGTGCTTTTCCATCATCTCTTTTGCTCCTCTCTCTTCCCATCTCCCTCTGACAAGTTTTCTGAAGCATGTTTTGGTGCCTCAGTAAAAAGGGCACTATATAATGTTTTATTTGTTTCCCGTTCTGCTATATGAAATGAAAAACCCTAGCATCCAGTGTGTGAAAAGCTGCCATTGTGAGCTCTTTGCAGGAAGAGACACTATTCAGGGAGACACAGTCTAATATCAAAGCCAGATAAACTCTCTTGATACCAAAAACCAAACCAACAATAAAAACTCCAGCCCCAGTGCACCACCAAATGAACAACTTCTTCTCTCAACTCTCTAGAATGTGGTTAGGTTTTTAGATTGATACTGTTATAACCATTTGCATTTCTTTTTGCGACCTTCTTTACACCTTGCTGGTTTCGCTCGTGATTTGCTAGTTAGTTAGCAAAGATTTCTAACATTCTTTGAAGAATAAACATACTACTTGTTGCAAGGCAGCATTATGTAACATTAAGAAGATCAATTTAATTCTCCAAGCTTCTTACAAAAAAAAAAAAAAAAAAACCCACTTTTTAAAATTCACCTGCAATGACGTCAGAAATTTTGTTAACCTTTTCAGTAACTAACCTTAGTAACTCAAAGTTTTGATGTTTTGCTTTTTAGTTGATTCCATAGATAATTTTCTACTGGAGATAATTCTCCATCAATATTCTCTATCAATGACCATTACTATAAAGACCATTCTCCTCCCATTCAAGCTAAACTCAAAATTTAATCCTTTGTTAAGCTCTATGATATATACAAAAAATACAGGCCCTATAATTTGTCCTCAAAGAGCTTACAGTATGCATAAAACAATCATTCATAATATAAGACAGGATCTGACACATCAAGTGAGTAGTGTTGAATAATCAGTGTCCTGGGAGTGAAGAGAACCATCTCATTGTGGGTTGTCATAGCTCCCAAAAGGGGTCCAGTGTGGGGCGGGGAGGGGGGAGTGGTTAAACTTCAGGTTGGTCTTCAAAGGATTTATAGTCTTTGTCGAGGTGGAGTTCATTCTAGGTTGAAGGAAAGCTGCCAAATACAGAGGTAGGTATGCTTGATACTGTTTAAAAGTTACTGCATAGACAGGCCTTACTTTAACGCTAGGATCATTCAAGGTTAGGTAAGTTTAGAAAAATACAAATTGTATTTAGCTTATAAAGAAATAGAATATTTTATAATACCCACAGGTACCATAAAATGTAATATTTTATAATACCCAAAGAAGAAATCATTGGATCCTTTATTTCACCACTTTGAAAATGGCAGAAGAGTAATCTTTGTTGGGTAAAAGGATCAACCGATCTACAGTGCAGAAATTATGTCACGATGGAACAAAGGGAAAATAGGACTCAAACTGTGTCTGGTGTGGGAGCAGCATCTGCCTACTCCTTCCTCTTTTCCAATAATTACAAAAGAAGGGGAAAAAAAACCCAACTCAAATCTGTCAAAATGCCTTCCACGTAGCGTTGTTCAATACATACTGAATGGATATATGAATAAATAACCATTTGGTTGATGAACCCAATAAAATGAAAAAGAGCCATCATGTAAAGCCTAGAAGGAAATTGCCTTCATATAACCCACTTTCTACTTCATTAAAAATTAATTCACTTTTATCTACATATGACATGAAGCTGGACAAAGAAATGGATCCTTTTACTCTACATTTGAAAGACAAATGAAGAGCACAGGGAGCAAACTAAAACAAAACAAAACAAAACAAGGCAAGGCAAAAGCCTGATATGTTCCACATGTTAACAAGCTAAAATAATGTATCGCCGATTGGTTGTCCCTTGGGGAAAAAGTAGCTAGACAACCTCTTAAAGAAGTACATTTCAGTGTTTTCCAGGTGGCTTTTACTCTGTACGAACCCATTCTGCTGAATGGGGGATACATATTTACAGGCTGCTAATACTCAGCTGATAAGAAACCATACCTGAATTATTTCTAAGTGTCCTGGGAGCCCAGAGGTAGCTGAAAGCATCTCTGCTTAGATGTCACTCTCAATCAATTGCAGCTGTTACCTGAGTGTCATTTGCCCATAATCAGGGAATAGAACTTGAACCTGAATCAAGCTTCTATTTCCTTGCACGTGAAATTCGGCAAAACAACAAAGAGCTAAATAAAATATAGTATTAGCAATGTAATGGTTGCCTTTTAAAGAGATGAGGTAATATAATAATAAGTTTTGGACCAGTTACTCAGAAACCAAAATTGATTTCTAATCTTGACTAGTTTTCTTTTGACCATTCCTGCAAATGTGGGTCTCCCTTCAATGAGGATTTTATTATTGTCATGATTACTAGATGATGGTTTATATATTGTTGCCATTTGTAAGCTCTTTAGGAAACTCAGGGGACATGGATTAAGCTTATTTTTTTAAATAGAAAATATTACTCATTTTTATTATGCAGGTTCCTCTTGAAGAATGAAATCCTTGGGCTGCCATTAGGAACTGCATGCAGTTAAGCCGTATAACCTCTCTGATTTTTAGTTTCTCCATCTATTTTATAAAATAAAACATTGAACTAAATTATCTCTAAGGCCTATTCTATTATTTTTTATATTATTTTCTAATCCTATGATTTTAATATGGTTTCCATCCAAATTGGCAGTGAGCTCTAAAAGTTCAAACCTGAGGTATGGTAGCACGGTTGCCTTGGTTCATCAACATGTATACTAAGTGGGCTTAAACACGACAAAGCCTATTCACAGGAGTACAATATGACCTTGTTTTTTTTCAGCCATTTGTCCTATTTGGTTACAGAAGTGGTTTCCAGACCAGCACCGGCCGCATCACCTGCAGATTTGTTAGAAATGAAAATTTCAGACCCCGTCCCAGACCTACTAAGCCAGAAATTCTGGGAAGAGACCCAGCTTTCTGAGTTTTAACAAGCATTCCTGGTGATGCTGATTCCTGTTAAAGTTTAAGAACGCTGCCCTAGAGGTTAAAGTTGCAGGTTCAAACTCTGAAGTAGCCACTGATTTAATTCTGTACCCTAACCTTAACTCACAGTATTATAAATAGAGCCTCCATTGTTCATCAAAGATTGGGGTACACTGCTTGGCCAGATCAGCTCTACTGCACCTCGCAGATCTTGAATGATTAATTTGTGTTTTAAAGTGTTTTTCAATAAGCCTTCAAGGGCATCTATTGCTTTGATTCCCAATTCCATACAAATGAAATCTTTTCTTCAATCACTCCACTGTGTCACCCTATCATCTTTGGTTAATCCTGCTTCCTCACTACATACTTCACTCATTTTTGTTCCTTATCACCTCCATAGCTTCTCTATTGCCTAAAATACAGTCTGTATTTTCTTGCTAACAATCCAAATGCATAACACTTGGAGATACTTACCATCTCCAAGAAAGCTGTCATTAATCCCATCCCATGGGTACTTCTTGAAAACCCATAAGCCACATCACCTGGAGCACCATTCCTCAAATGGAACACTACAACCCAATCACCTGAAAGAGGTTTTAAAAATATAGATTCCTGAGTTCCACTCCAACCAACTTACTGAATCAGAATCTCTAGGGTGCAGGATCTCTGTCTTTAACCAGATTCTCAAGGGATAGCTGGGCAGCTAGGTGAGGTGTTTGGAAATTACTGAGATGGAACAGGGGGTGGCAAACCTATTTTGTAAAGGGACACAAGGTAAATATTTTGTAGTGGTGGGCCATACAATCTCTCTGACAATGACTGAATGAGGCTTCAATCTCAGGTTTGCTGTTACAGTGCAAAAGCAGCCATAGACAATATGTACACAAATGGGTATGGCTGTGTTTCAACAAAACTTTATCTACACAAATAGGAAACAGGATGGTAGTATATCGAACCCTAAACTAGAATGTTATTTAATTGGATAAAAATGAACTACAGTGTCTAAAATGTTACTCTGCACTCAGTATGTGCTTTTGAAATGAACTAATAAAGGAACCAAAGTAATGTAGCTGTTGGAGTATTATACATTTGAAATAGATAATTATCACATGATAATGTTACTGTAGTCATATGTTGCTTAACAATGGGGATACATTTTGAGAAATGGGTCGTTAGGCAATTTTGTCATTGTGCCAACATCATAGAATGTACTTAAACCTAGGTAGCATAGCATACTAAACACTGAGGCTATACGATATAGCCTATTGCTCCTAGGTTACAAACCTGCACAACATGGTTATATATTGAATACCATAGGCAGCTATAACACAATGAAAAACATTTTTCCTATCTAAACATAGAGAAGGTACAGTAAAAATATGGCATAAAAGACAAAAAAATGGTATACTTGTACCTGCAGGGTAGTTACCATGAATGAAACTTGTAAGAGTGGGAGTTGTTCTGGGTGAGTGAGTGGTGAGTGAATGTGAAGGACTAGGACATTACTATACACTTCTGCAGACTTTATAAATACTGTATACTTAGGACACACTAAATGTATTAAAACATTTTCTTTCTTTAAATTAATCTGAGCTTACTGTAAATTTTTAAACTTTATAAACTCTTTAATTTTTAAAAAAGCCTTTTTACTCTTGTAGTAACACTTAGCTTAAAAGCCAAGTACATTGTACAACTATATAAGAATATTTTCTTTTTGTATCCTTATTCTATTTTTAAAATCTTTATTTTTACTTTTGCAACTTGTTGTTGTTAAAAACGAAGACACAAGCACACACATTAGCCTAGGTCTATACAGAGTCAGGATCATCAATATTACTGTCTTCCAACTCCACGCCGTGTATCTCAGGGAGGTCAGAGGCAATAACATGCACAGAGCTGTCATCTTGTGTGATAACAGTGCCTTCTTCTGAAATGCCTCTTGAAGGACCTGCCTGAGGCTATTTTACAGTTAACTTTTTCCTCTAATAAGTAGAGAAAGCATACTCTAAAAAAACAGTAAAATATGTAGGGTAGTAAATATATAAACCAGTAATATAGTGGTTTATTATCATTACCCAGTATAATGTGCTGTACGTAACTATGTGCTAGACATTTATACAATTGGCAGCACAGTAGGTTTGTTTACACCAGCCTCCCCACAAACATGTGACTAATGAATTGTACTAGGACATTGTGATGGCTGCGGTGTCACTAGACAATAGGGATTCTTCAGCTTCATTATAATCTTATGGGACCTCTGTTGTATATGAGGTCCGTTGTTGACTGAAGTGTTTTAATGCAGTGTGTGACTGTCTGTAGATGATCTTGAATAAAATCGTGCTGACATATGGAAACTCTTGGTGGTCTGGGGAGAGGGATAATGGGAAGCATGGAGTAAACAATGGGATTCTAATTTGGCCTGCTGATTTTCTTGGTTTTGCATCTGCAAATTATATTCTACCTAATTGACTTACCAACAAAGGGTTTGTTGAGGAGTAATTTGTTTAATGTTTTAAAAATGTTACATAGATGCTAAGTGTTATTACAGATATAGGTTTCTAAGGAAGAACCAAAAATAAGCCACACTAAAGCTATGTTTTTTATTCCTGAGCAAAAGCTTTAGTTAAATGTCTCCTGGAAAGTGGCACTTTGCCCCCAACTCAAATGTCACTCTTTTCTCCTGTTTTACTCAGGAAAACCTCAAATACATCGTGTGGGTGATACTGAAGGATGTCAGGATCAAAGTGCATTTAAAGTTGCTAAGAGGAAGCAGATGTTCTTAGCTGGGCAAAAGATTCTCAGAGTTTCCAGTGAAATATAAACTTCTTGAAGGCCCCATGGGATCATGCCTTAAAATGTCGTGCTTTTGTTTATGCCTCCCATATGCAAAACAGTGGTGAAATGTGTGGTTCTGTGAGAGACAGAGGAAAGTAAATGAGCTAGAAACAATAAGGAACTCTGTACTTCGAAAAAAATTGGAACGGATGTTATCCTTAAAAAAAAAAAACACTAGAGCAGATAAGAATAGTCATTTCCCTCAATTCTGTGTGTGTGTGTGTGTGTATGTGTGTGTGTGTGTGTGTGTGTGTGTGTGTATACATATATATATCTTTAAAGATCTATCTCTGAATTACCCTCTTTGGCTGGATTACCAATTAGTTTTCTTCAAGACTTTCTGCTCTCGTGTATTTCCAAATAGAAGTTTCTTCTTAATTCCCCCATGAATTGTAACTTTTTCACTACAGCTGCTAACCAAGAAATAGTTGCAAAGGAGAGAATAGTTGGTGGCTTTTAAGCTTGTGCTGAAATCCATATGAAACTAATGCTTTGAAGAATGATGCCAATGCAGATAATTATATTTTCAGCCAGAAAAAAAGGTAAAAAGACCTGCATTCCTCCCTGATCACAGTGGCATCGAGTAGTTGACCCTATAGAGAAATGCTAAAGAAATGTAATGTTTTGTATATCTTATTTTCTTAAACTTGAGGACAATGTAAGTCCAGGGAGATGAGATATCATACAAGATTCAAGACCAGCCTAAACATGAGAAGGGAAGCTAGGAAACAACTTGAACATTCTTGGTTCTTGAATTTTTGTAGAATGATGTATCTATTGAGGTCAAAAGTTAGAGTGAAAAACTTGTTTTTTATGTTTACTCTTTCTAGATAAATCATTGAAGAATTAATTGGTCAAACTTGAAGTATAATTATAATAATGATTATGGTGTTTAAATACACAAGGTATTTTATTTGCCATATACTTTGTGGAAATTTATAAATTTAGGAATAGATTCTGGTGTCATCATTGGGAACTAAGGCAAGTATGAATAGGTTTAGAGAAAGAGAGGACTGATCTTCTTTGAAAACCATAGGATATTTATTTATCTTTGAGCTTGTAGGAAGGCCGGCTGGCTTGCATTTTGTGGGGTGGAGGGAGGAAAGTTTATTTAGGATATGCCAAGCAACTACATACGTAAGTAATAACAGGTATCTTAGACTAGAAGCAGCTCATCCTAGGAACCAAGTTTTAACCACATTTCTGTATACAGGCCTGACAGAGAGATGGTAAAGATCTTTTGCATGGATGAATGCCTGCCTATTACATATGAGGTCACAGGGCAGAATTAATGGCTCATCTTTGAAATAGTGGCTGGTTACTGTCTTGTCTTTTCACTTCATCCCAAGAAATTGGATGAATTATTCCACCTTGTCAAGAAGAGTGTCGTAGAGTCATAGAATGTTAGAGTTGGGAGGTACTCTCACTACTTCATTTTTAAGAAAAATTTAGGTTAGTGTAATGCTGAAGTTTGGGCTTCTATTGATCCCATCTCTCCTATTGAACATAGTTTCCAATAGGAGATT
The DNA here is from genome assembly GCF_000001405.40 of Homo sapiens. Taxonomy (NCBI): domain Eukaryota; kingdom Metazoa; phylum Chordata; class Mammalia; order Primates; family Hominidae; genus Homo; species Homo sapiens. The sequence continues at coordinate 177,695,963 of NC_000003.12, forward strand.
TTTCAGTCCTTTCATCTCTCATCCTCTACCCCTTTTTGGATTCCCCAGTGTCTATTGTTCCCATCTTTATGTCCATGTGTACACAATATTTAGCTCCCACTTATAAGTGAGAACATATGGTATTTGGTTTTTTGTTTCTGTGTTAATTCACTTAGGATAATTGCCTCCAGCTGCATCCAGGTTACTGCAAAGGTCATGATTTCATTCTTTTTCACAGTTGCATAGCATTCCTATTCCATAGTATGTACGTACCAGATTTTCTTCATCCAGCCCACCATTGATGAGGACCCAGTTTGGTTCCATGTCTTTACTATTGTGAATAGTGCTGTGATAAACATACAAGACCAGGTGTATTGTTGGTAGAAGGATTTATTTTCTTTTGGTTATGTACCCAGTAATGGGACTGTTGGGTCAAATGGTAGTTCTAGTTTTTGTTCTTTGAGAAATCTCCAAACTGCTTTCCACAGGGTCTGAACTAGCTTGTATTCCCACCAATAGTGTGCAAGTATTTTCTGTTCTTCACATCCTTGCCAACATCTGGTATTTTTTGACTTTTTAAGAACAGTCATTCTGACTGGTGTGAGATGGGTATCTCACTGAGGTTTTGATTTGCATTTCTCTGATGATTGGTGATGTTGAGTGTTTTCTCATATGTTTGTATGTTTGTTGACTGCCTGTAAATCGTCTTTTGAGAAATGTCTGTTTATGTCCTTTGCCCACTTTTCAATGGGGTGATTTGTTTTTTTCTTGCTGATTTGTTTCAGTTGCTTATAGGTTCTGGATATTGGTCCTTTGTCAGATGCATAGTTCACAAATAGTTTCTCCCATTCAGTAGGTTGTCTGTATGCTCTGTTGATAGCTTCTTTTGCTGTGCAGAAGCTCTTTAGTTTAATTAGGTCCCAATTGTAAATTTTTGTTTTTGTTGCAATTGCTTTTGAGCACTTAGTCTTTGCCTCAGCTGATGTCCAGAGAGTATTTCCTAGGTTTTCTTCTAGGATTTTTTTGTAGTTTGAGGTCTTAAATTTGAGTCTTTATTTCATTTTGAGTTAATTTTTGTATATGGTGAGAGGTAGGGGGTCCAGTTTCAATCTTTTGCATATATGGTTAGCCAGTTTTCCCTGCACCATTTATTGAATAGGGGATCTTTCTTCCATTGCTTGCTTTTGTCAACTTTGTTTAATACCAGTTGATTGTAGGTGTGCAGTTTTATTTCTGACTTCTCTATTCTGTTCCACTGTTCTCTGTATCTATTTTTATACCAATGCAAATTTACTTTGTCTCATAATTTTATAGTGGATCTTAAGGTAATATGTTTGTTAAACAGGCATATGAAAAAGTGCTCAACATCATTGATCATCAGAGAAATGCAAATCAAAACTACAATGAGATATAATCTTACCCCAGTTAAAATGGCTTATATCTAAATGTCAGGCAATAACAAATGCTGATGAGGATGTGGAGAAAAGAGAACCCTTGTACACTGTTGGTGAGAATGTAAATTAGTACAACCACTATGGAGAACACTTTGGAGGTTCCTCAGAATAAAAATTGAGCTGCCATATGACCCAGCAATTCTATTTCTGAGTATATACCCAAAAGAAAGGGAATCAGTATATCAAAGAGACATCTGCACTCCTGTGTTTGTTGCTGCACTATTTACAATAGCTAAGACTTGGAAGCAACCTAAGTGTTTATCAACAGATGAATGGATAAAGAAAATGTGGCATACATATACAATGGAGTGTTATTCAGCCATAAAAAAGAATAAGATCTAGTCATTTGCAACCACATGGATGAAACTGGAGGTCACTATGCTAAGTGAAATAAGCGAGGCACAGAAAGACAAACATTGCATGTTCTCACCTATTTGTGGGATCTAAAAATGAAAACAATTGAACTTATGGACATAGAGACTAGAAGGATGGTTACCAGAGGCTGGGAAGGATAGTCGGGGACTGTGGGGCAGGTGGGGATGGTTAATGGGTACAAAATAATAGAAAGAATGAATAAGACTGCTGTTGTGCTATTTGATAGCACAATAGGGTGACTGTAGTCAATAATAATTGTATATTTTAAAATAACTTGAAGATTTGATTGTTTGTAACTCAAAGGATTACAAACAAAAAAGGATTTAAAAAGATCACAAAAAAAGATTGGATTGTTTGTAATTCAAAGTGTAAATGCTTGAAGGGATGGATACCTCATTCTCCATGATATGCTTATTAAACATTGCATGCCTGTATCAAAACATTTCACGTATCCCATAAATATATATACCTACTATGTACCTACAAAAATTAAAAATAAGGCTAGGTGCGGTGGCCCATGCCTGTGACCCCAGCACTTTGAGAGGCTGAGGAGAGCGGATCATCAGTTCAGGAGATCGAGACCATCCTGGCTAACACGGTGAAACCCTGTCTCTACTAAAAATACAAAAAAATTAGCTGGGTGTGGTGGCAACCATCTGTAGTCCCAGCTACTCAGGAAGCTGAGGCAGGGGAATTGCTTGAACCTGGGAGGCGGAGGTTGCAGTGAGCCGAGATTGTGCCACTGCACTCCAGCCTGGGCAACAGGGCAAGACTCTGTCTCAAAAAAGAAAAAAAAAGAATTCATGTTTGTTAAAAACATGAGATTGATAATATTAGATTGATGCAAAGGTGATTGTGGTTTAAGACTGTGAATTTTGAATTATTGTAACTAGGCTCAAACATATCTTTATTAATCAAAATAGAAACCATTATAATCAATACATTTTTACCAATGAGAAATACATTTATTTATTCCGGTAGTGTAAAAATCTCTGCTTTGGGATTTGACAAACTCTTGGAAAGCATTTTCTGCATCCTGCTGGTTGTGGAAGCATTTTCCCTGCAAAAAGTTGTTGAGATGCTTGAAGAAGTGGTAGTCAGTTGGTGAGAGGTCAGGTGAATATGGTGGATGAGGCAAAATTTCAAAGCCCAATTTGTTCAACTTTTGAAGCATTGGTTGTGCGACGTGTGGTTAGGCATTGTCGTGGAGAAATTTGGGCCCTTTCTGTTGACAAATGGCAGCTGCAGGCACTGCAGTTTTTGGTGCATCTCATTGATTTGCTGAAGAGACTTCTCAACTATAATGGTTTTGCCAGGATTCAGAAAGCTGTAGTGGATCAGACTGGCAGCAGATCACCAAACAGTGACCTTGACCTTTCTTTGATGCAAGTTTGGCTTTGGGAAGTGCTTTGGAGCTTCTTCTCAGTCCAATCACTGAGCTGGTCATCACCGTTGTCATATAAAACCACTTTTCGTCACACGTCACTATCTGATCGAGAAATGGTTCATTGTTGCATAGAATAAGAGAAGACAGCACTTCAAAACAATGATTTTTTTTTTTTTTTAATTTTCACTCAGCTCATGAAGCATCCACTTACTGAGCTTTCTCACCTTTCCAATTTGCTTCAGATCCCGAATGACCATAGAGTGGTGGACGTTGAGTTCTTTGGCAACTTCTAGCTTCTAGTGTAATTGTAAGAGGATCAGCTTCAGTGGTGGCTCTCAATTGGTCATTGTCAACTTCCAATCGCCGGCCATGATGCTCCTCATCTTCAAGGCTCTCATCTCCTTTGCAAAACTTCTTGAACCACCACTGCACTGTCACTTTGTTAGCAGTTCCCGGGCCAGATGTGTTGTTGATGTTGCAAGTTGTCTCTGCTACTGCATGACCCATTTTGAACTTGAATGAGAAAATTGCTTGAATTTCCTTTTTGTCTAACATTATTCCCATAGTTTAAAATAAATATAAAATAAACAGCAAGTAATAAGTCTTTAGCAAAAAACTGTAAAGCATGAAATGTGCATTAAAATGGTGTATAACATAACCACATTTATTTAAGAATGAATCCCAATATCAAATGGCAAATTTCAACAATGCAGAAGCTGCAATATCTTTTGCACCAAAGTGCAAGCTTGCCAAGGAATCAGTATGGGAATTCAGAGAGCACAGAGTTACAGAGAAAGAAGTAAATGTTTTTGAACAGATTATGGGGGACAGTAATCACCAGAATGATTCTCACTTTTATGGATTGACACATATATTCTTACTTCTGAAGGAGCTGCATCTAACTTCGGACTTTGGTTCAAAGCAGATGATGTATAAACCAGCAGCAAGTTCATATCCAGGAGAACTGCTCACTGCAAAGGATTTCGCCTCATGGCTGGTGCCATAATTTTGTCTTTCATAGGCTACTCCAAAACTTCTATCATGTTGGTAGATTTCAATGAAGCAGAGCCCCAGGTGCCCACTCCTGCCCGACCCCCAATACGAGCCGGCAGTGGTGCCCACCTTGAACATGCTGAGGTAGAAGCTGCTGGGGCCTGCCTTCCTGCCATTCACCTCCAGGTGCTACGTTACCGTACATCTTGCAGTGGAACTCCACTTTGCTGTCCAGCACTGCTGTCTGGTTGGCCGGTAGCCCCCATGCAGAATAGACCCATGAGAAGATGTTCTGGGAGTGCAGGTGGGTCTGGGAGCTTCCCTCCTACCCACACCTGCAAGGTCCAGTGTGTGCATCCTCTGGATGCTACTGAACTTGTGCAGGTGTAGTGGCTGCCATCCAGGGGCACCACGTTCTTCATGACCAGGCTCCACTGCAGGTGCCACAGCATGATTCCCTGATTCGATGCTCTCCATGGAACTCCTTGTGCTCTTCAGCTGGAAGATAGAGGGAGTGGGGCTGCCACACAACGGAAGCAATTAGGGTTGGTGGCCAGCAGAGCAGCTTCTTCACCATCCAGTAGGGCTGAGTCCAGTAAGGGTCCCCTGCTGTATTTTCAGCCTCGTCCTCCCATCTTCCTTATCTCCCCAGGATGGAGCACCTGTCACACACACATTGACTAGGCACAGCACATGCTAGGTGAGCTGCTGCCAACAGATATTGGCCTCCTACAGCCTGGTGAAAGGCATTCAGCACCTATAGCTGCTGGGGCCCCCACCGGGATGCAGTCCAGGACACCAGCTTTGCGTCATCATTTTCCCAAAGAGTGAGTCCCAGGGAACCACCTCTAGGCTAGTGGTAGCTCAGCTATGTGGTGTCTCTGCTGCCAAAGACCAACTGCTCCTGCTGGCTGGGCTTGGGCCTCACTGTGCATCAACTGGCCAAGCTCACTGCCCACCTAGCCCTCCAGCCTCGGCCTGTGGCCTGTTGGTGAGCTGGAAGTCCCTGTGCACGAGTGAAACTGACTATTCTATTTTTGTAGGTGAATAAATTAAAGTTCAAAGAAGAGAATTTCTTCTCTTAACATTTTTTAGGTTGTTGTTTATTTTAACAAACACTTACATGGAACTTTTCAGTTTACGAAGTGCTTCATTGTTTTTATTTGATCCCTACAACTCTGCAATGTAAATACTGTTGTGATAATAAATCTTTTTCATATATAAGAAAATTGCAGCTGAGGAAGATGAAGTGAATCATCATTTTTGCCTTCTCCCTTTCACCATCCCTTATATCCACTCAATCCCTAAGTCCAGAGGAGACTAAATTTTAAATATTACTTGCCTTTTTTCAAGTTTTGATATCTCCACCACTCCTACTATAGATCAAGTCACCTCACATTTTTCTCTTGATCACAGGAACAGTTCATTATTGACCCATTTGCTTCCAGGCTTGATCCCAAACCATCTCCAAATATTTTAAAACAAAGGTATGATCACATCACTGCTAAGTTTAAAATCTTCAATAATCCCCAGAGTGCTTGTCAATCTATGCAGAGCACATGGGCTAAAAGGCGCCTTCAGATCTGCCTCTGCCTGTGGATTTAGCCTCAGTGCTTACCATTCCTGTCTGCTTTCTCTTCCTCTACCAAATCCATATCCTCTTTTATATTTTGTAGTTCTTCATGTGTCAGGTCAACTGATAATGGGAGAGCAGAAAAGGGAACATTCCTTTCAACTTCAGGTGGGGAGACTGGATTCACCGAATTCACTTGAATCTCTATTGCCTGGCATAGTGTCAGATATTTGATAGATACTCAACAAAGATTTGCTGAATGAATGGATGATTGAAATGTGGGCTCCTTTATTTCCATTCAAGGCCAAAGTTGCAGTGCCTCTAATCGAGTTGCAGTGTCTCTATTTGCTGATGACCGTGAGGCATGGTTTACTTACCCCAGAATTCTTGACATATAATGATAGAGATGGAGCTTTCATTTAGGGTTTTTTCCCCTCCAAACCTATTCGAATACCCGTCAATCACTTTAAACTTTAGATATTGGTTTGGCCATCTCTTGTAGATTGTGTTATTCAGGGTTCTTCAGAGAAATAGAACCAATGGGATGAATATATGAAATCCAGGAAGAGATTTCTTATAAGGTATTGGCTCACATGATTGTAAAGGCTATAAGTCCCACTATCTTCTGTCTATGAGCTGCAGACCCAGGTGTAGTTTGAAGGCCTGAGAGCTAGAAAGTTGATGATATACATTCTAGCATGGCTCCAGAGGTTTGAGAAGCAGAAACACCAAGGGCAGCCGAAGATCAATATCCGGGTTCATGCAGTCAGGCAGAGTTAATGCAAACTTTCTCCATTTTTTTTTTTTTTTTTGTGGTGGTTGTTGTTTTATTGAGGCCCTCAGCAGATTGGATAGTACCCACCCACATTGAAGAGGGCGATCTACTTTACTCAGTCCACCAATTTAAATGTCAATCTATTCTAAAAATACCCTCACAGATGCACACAGAAATAATGTTTAGCTGGATATCTTGGTGTCCTGTGGCCCAGTTCAGCTGATACAAAAGATTAACCATCACATAGATAACTTGTATATCCCTAAATAACTTCACCTTTTAGGATATTTAATTAATATACTATTAATTTATTAAATTGATGTAAGTTGTGAAGCTTGTACAAATAAGCAGTAGAAAGCCCTTTTTTGTATTTGGCAGATGTTAATTTTCTTTTAAGCTTTACTTTTTATATTCAAGTATAAAACATTTTAATGTATGCCTGTTGTTATATTATAGATGAGGATTCCATCTTGTCCATTATTTGAGGTGAGAAACGAAGGACAACTTTTTCCTTAGCCTTCCTTCTGGTCACATTAACATGGACATTTACCTTTAGCAATAATTACCAAGTTCTATTTTCTGGCGAGCATATTAAAGGTGTGTTAATAGTTTTCTCCTGTAATCTTTTCTGGAGAGAGGTTTATCAGTTTCTTAATTGACCTCCAATGTGCTTGAAAATTAAGAGTAATAAATACATGCAAATTAATGCCTGTTTATATTCAACAGAAGAATCCTCTGAGCTGAACAAATGTTTGGCTTAAACACTGCCCATATCATTTGTTTCATTTTTTTTTCTGCTCAAAAGCATGAAAAATTTGCATCTGCAATTTATAACCAAGTACTTTTGCCTTGGTGATGTTATACGTTTTGTTTCATTTTATTTGCCACTAGGTTGGCATTGATAAACACTTTTATTTTTACCTCCAAAATGTTGGCCAGTTATGCTGGGCTTACATATACCTCTTTTGATGGTATTGTCAAACTAATGAAGGTAAGAGTGGTGGAAAAGAAGAAAGGAGAAGGTACTCTCGGCAGGTTAAGTTGGAGGGCATCACTGCCAGTTGAGTGTAATGCACGGCTGTTACAATCCTGCATATCAGACTGGGCACTCTTGGTTCCTTAGAAGAATTTTCTTTGACTGGGATGATGATGTGAAGTATAGATGGTGACAAACCTGGGTGTGGTGCCCACAACTGGTACAGATAGTGTATTTTATCATGTAGCCTGCATTATTTTAACAGAATCTAGGTGTCAAGAAGTGTGGCTCAGTTGTCTTGCTGAGTACTTGCACAAATGGCACAGAGCTACTATAAGTTCTACTCGTGCCACACTAGTTCCTGAGTTAACTCTGCCAGAACAAAGAAGTATTTTATTATAGCCATCTCGCCTGCAACTGCCCCCAGGCCGGGTCATGGGCTGAGAATAGAGTGACATCCATATTTGAGGTCTACTGACCTAGCTGTGACTTAGCTATAACACTGATCATCCTTGGTGCCTGCTGCACAACCTCTATTCTGTCTACCACCTGCAATAAGTGCTGAATGACTGTGCAACCCATGAATCACAGCACTTCCTACCATCCCTTCCTCCACATCATGTCTGGCTGGCTGGCCACTGTTGTCTATCTGTGCAAGTTTGCATTTCTGAATCTGTATTTACTGCCTTAAATCAAGCCAGAACCCAACTGTGTTCTACAACATGTCATCAGTCTCAAATACTTACTGGGGTCCTAATGCGTATACATACCCCAGGATGACTGCTGCTGCCTGGGTCTCTCACCCCTGTGCCTTTCAAACAGGTGAACACTCAAATAATGGGTCTTGTCCCTTTGGATCTTATCCACCCAGAAAACCTGCAGAGCTTGTTACTGTAATTGGGTCAGTTACTCTAGACCTTGTTCTGTCTAAATAATTAGGCTATCTTCCAACTCTTTGTAGCCTCCCTCCTCCCATATTCCTAAACATCCATCGTGACTCCTGCCCAAGTTGGTCTAAATTCTGAAGGCTTTAAAGCCCTACTAATGTGCTTGGTTTGTCCATTGATTTGTAGGTTACAAAAATGTGTCAAATGGATTTGTCCCTGGAAGGCAGAAAATAATATGTTCTAGAAGCAAGGAGACCTTTGGGAGTTTTAGACAGGAATAAAGGTTTCAATAGCTCATGAACTTTCTAATCACACTTTAATGGACATGCTTTTCTTACCTGTCACCGCTTGCTGCCATCAAAACCTCTGTTGTCATTATGTGTCAGAGCTTTAAAAACTCAAGGTTAGCCTCAGAAGTAGAATCATAGTCCAGACAGATAAATTAAGCTTGGGCCTCCTTGGGTGTGAGAAATAGATAGAACATAAACATCATAGGCTGTCTGAAAAGCCCTCCATCTGAATTGGTATAGAGGTTGTCTGAGAAGCAGAGATTTATGCCTGTGTATTATGGACCCTTCTAATGACCCTAGGACAGGAAGGTGACCAGGTGACTGGACTGTGGCGTTGTTCTGAGTGGAAAAGTCTCTGAGGAGAGTTCAGGAGATAGGTAATTTGCATCCTGAGATACAAGCACATCACTGCAGAATGTAAGTGATCTGGAAGTTTCAGGAGAAAACTGCAGACCAGAGAATATTCCTTTGATTCAGTTCATGTTTATTGAAAGGTGGTCTAGGTTGCATTTTTTTTTCCTTTTGCTTTCAACTTTGCTGTCAAATTATTGTGCCAAATCAACAGATATAATTTAAAAACTTAAGTGACCTTTTCTAATTCAGATTTTCTAAAAGTGAACTCTGAGAATTATCTGCATCAGTATCCCCTTGGGTACTTGTAAAAATGCAGATCTGTGCCCTATCTGAGGCCCACTGAGAATGTCAAGGGTGGGCCTCGTCTTACGTACTCTGAAATTGGAAAATAGTTTTTAAAGGCCATTTAGTTTTGTTCAACCAGGGCAACTTTCTTATCACCGTATATATATAACAAGAGTGGGTTCTGTTGAGTAATAGGAAGCCTATGATAAAGTTTAAAGCATGATTTGGTTTGGGAAAATGCTTCTACTCTGTGAAAGGTGGGGATGAAATGCACAAGTGTTTTTGTTGTTGTTTTGTTTTTTGTTTGTTTGTTTTTGTTTTATTTTGTTTTGTTTTTGAGACGGAGTTTCACTGTTGTCATCCAGGCTGGAGTGCAGCGGCACGATCTTGGCTCACTGCAAGCTCTGCCTCTCGGGTTCAAGTGATTCTCCTGCCTCAGCCTCCTGAGTAGCTGGGAGTGCAGGTGCCCACCACCACGCCAAACTAATTTTTTGTATTTTTAGTAGAGATGGGGTTTCACCGTGTTGAGCAGGGTGGTCTCGAACTCCTGACCTCAGGTATTTTTATCTACTGAAAGAGATGGTACAGGGCATGGAAGGAGGATAGGGGAGACAAGGGTGGCCTCAGTGTCAAAAGAGTAAGGCCTACTTTTGGATGGATCAAATTTGGCTACTTTTAGCCTGTAAAACTTAAGCATCTTTGTGGTGTCAATCCAGTTCATGTCCAGGCCAATTTTCAAGGTTAGTTCCTGACACTGCCCTGATTCTACTGAGCATCTGCCTCCTTGTTTGGGAAGAAGTGGGAAAGTGATTTGACACAGTGGCCTACCAGCGAATGTGCTTGTCAGTGTAACAGGTGGCTGCCCTGTGAGGTTGCTAATCAGAACCTGGACTTTTGTATTTTGTTTAGAAAAGCTAAGTCCTTCTAGAGGTCCGTGTAATGCAAATTCATCCAAAGAAGGCAGGCTCAGGAAGGAGGGGGGGAAGCCAGGTGCTTGCTTCATTCAAGTAACCCAACCACAGAATCCAAGTTCTGCAACTCTGATTTGGGCTTAGTAAACCAGACCCACCAATCCAAGAGAATAAAGAATCTCCTGGCAATTGGGCCAGCCAGAATCGTCCTCAGTGATCAAGAGTGTATGGAAAGAGAAGTGGAAGAAATACAAGAGGGTGAGCCAGATGTTTTCAGAGAAAACAGCTCTCTTTGTTTTTGTTCAGAGTCTTCTTTCTCCTTAGGACTCTGATATGAGTACATCTGAAAGAGGCTGGCTTGGGGGATGGGGTGATACCACAGAGTCAAAGCCAGACTTTCCCCCAGATAACTAAGGCTTTTTCTTCTTGGGCCAAGCTTGTCTGACAGTCTCATTCTGTATGAGTTCTTTCCCAGGAGGCTCTTCAGTTTCTGAAACAGACAGTCTCCTGGCAGACCCACCCCACCAGGCAGCCAGGCTTGGCAAAATATACCAGTAGCAAACAACGCAGCTGGGACTCCTGCTATGATAAGATTCATTGGCAGCCTATCATGTGCCAGGAACTTACAGGACATCATTTATTTGATTCCTCATAATAAATCTATGAGAGAGGAGTTGTAATATCCATTCTACAAAGAACTGAAATGAGGTTCTGAAAAGCTAAATAGCTTGCTCAATCTCCCTGAGATATACTGGTGGACAGAGGATTGGAACCCAGATCTATATAACAAAGCTCACCCACATTTCTGCTACTAGACTACACTGCCAATTGGGCTTCATCGTTAGTTTTGGAAACTCAAGGCTTGGCCTCTCTTATTTAGGATTTTGTGCTTGGAGGGATTGTGGGTAGCAAGGGCTGGAGGGAGAGTGAGGTTCCTCAACATTAAACAAGATCCAGGAGGCCGGGTCTTGACAGGAATCCCCACCTTAGTTCTAATTATAACAAATATTCCTGAAAATACTTAGACTAAAAATTTTAGAGCTTTAAACCTGAAAAGCGACGAGAAGAAATAATTTCAAATTGGAACCAGACATGAGTCTCTTGCTTAGGTATCTGTTTTTTCCCATCTGAAATATTCATAATTTCGTGAGGCTGACCTAGATTTATGCAGACAAAAATCACAATGAGCCTACAACTCAAAGAGTTCGTCTTACTTTGAGTATGAGATATAAAAGTGCGGTAAAAAATCAACAGATGAGAGAGCAACTGGAGAAGATTTGAATAAAATCACTCCTTTTCCATGTGGGTCAACACAGTACCAAATAAGAACTGGGCCTTTGATAGAAAATGTAAGGGACACCCTCATAGTGACTTCTTTCCTAGCAGTCTGCCTCTGTTTGCGGTGTTGTCTGGGGTCATTGTTGAAAGTTATTGACATATTTCTGCCTCTTTGTGAGTTATCTGTGAAGCTACGCCACAGTACTCTGTTGTTGGCTATTCTGCATGCTCCCAGTGCTCAGGTGAATTCCTTGGAAGATACTGAGCAAAAACCTAGAGCTTATATGACCATAATATCTAGACCATTAGCATGAACTGGTAAAAACCAAAGTAGAGGAAAAAGATTGAACCAACAACTCAGTAGAAATTGGTAGGTTTATATGAGCTTTGTTTTGTGGCTCGAACATTTTAGATACCCAAAGTCCAAGCATTACTCAGTTGGGACTGGAAATCAGATGAAGTCATCTAACATTTTTCAAGAGATGGAAGCCAAATAATTTGGCTTAGACTTAAGTAGAATACTTGAGAGCCCCACTCCAAGCAGTAGCCTATTTATATGGATTATTTTAATCATTTCTGGGTTAACTAGTAAGGATTATAGTCATCTTTATAAAACAATAACAGCAACAATAGCAGCAGCAACAACAAAAATAGCAAGGACAACATCTACGGAAGCCATTAAAGATGTTGAAGAGGAATAAAAAAGAAATGAGCTCGCTTTAACCATATTATGAAGAAAAGAGAGAATTGCAGATTTCCATGTTTGGCTCAATACATTTTTAAATAGAAATTTAGTTATGAATGATATTGAAGGCCTGTATTTGAGAGTCTAAATACATTCTTATGAAACCAGAGTACATTTTCACATGCAGTGAACTAGCAAACTGTAAGAATGAGTATACGGGAAGAACACATCCTTATATTAAATAGAGAGGAGTTTTTATAAAGATCTTGATTGTACATGTATCTGGGAGACATCTTTAATGTAAACTTCTCCATCAAGCCTAATCCATCGCATCTAATCTATCAGCAAGCCCTGTTGTTTCTATCCTCAAGTCCACTGCCCTGTCTCTGTTTCCACTACAACCACTGAGTCTAGTTACTATCATCTTTGTGTTATATAGTAGCCTCCTAACATGTGGTCTGGCTTCCATGCCGCGTGTCTTCAGTCAGTTCTCCAAAGGGCAGCATGAGAGATTGTTCCGAAACACAGATTGGATTAAACTCCTATCCCCTATCACAGCCCAGCCTACCTGATCTCATCTATGGCTCCTCCCTCCTTTCCTAACAATCCTCCAGCCTTCTTCACTCTTCAGGACTTTAAGCTCTATTTCCTCTACCATCATTTGTCCCACAAAACACATTATATCCTTGCTCTCTTTCTTTTTTTTTTTGAGACGGAGTCTCTCTCTGTCGCCCAGGCTGGAGTGCAGTGGCAGGATCTCGGCTCACTGCAAGCTCCGCCTCCCGGGTTCACGCCATTCTCCTGCCTCAGCCTCCCGAGTAGCTGGGACTACAGGCGCCCACCACTGCGCCTGGCTAATTTTTTGTATTTTTAGTAGAGACGGGTTTCACCGTGTTAGCCAGGATGGTCTCGATCTCCTGACTTCGTGATCCGCCCGCCTCGGCCTCCCAAAGTGCTGGGATTACAGGCGTGAGCCACCGCGCCCGGCCATCCTTGCTCTCTTTCTATGTGATGGATGAGCTCCTTCTTGACTGTCAGATCTTAGTTTGGATGCCACTTCCTTGGAGAAGCCTTCCCTGATTATCCAGTGTGAAATAGGTCTCCAGCTCTTCTCCACCACATGTCACGTTTATTTCCTTGGTAACACTCAGCACACGTTGTGCTTGTTAAATGAACTTGCTTAGTCACTTGCTTGTGCGTCTCTCCATGTATACTCTAGCTCCTGGACAATGGGAGTATGCTGCCTTGATAAGTATTACGGACTCAGTGCCTGGCACATGGTTGATGCTCAATAATCACTTGTTGAATGAAGAATTAATTTACAACGCAGATAAATGAGGAAGCAGTTAATTTTTAAAAATAAATGAGTCTCCGGAGGTTTTCTTTAAATGATGACCATGCTTTGGGTCATTTAACACAATTAATTCACATAAATATAATTCGTATAAAAATTTTTATCTGTAATATCAGGTGAAGTACCTCTGAAATTATTTTGTGCTGAGTTGACTTTTCTTTTCTTTTTTTTTTTGAGATGGAGCTTCACTCTGTCACCCAGGCTGGAGTGCAGTGGCGCAATCTCAGCTCACTGCAGCCTCCGCCTCCGGGGTTCAAGAGATTCTCTTGCTTCAGCCTCCCAAGTAGCTGGGATTACAAGTGTCCACTACCATGCCTGGCTAATTTTTGTATTTTTAGCAGAGACGGGGTTTTGCCATGTTGGCCAGGCTGGTCTTGAACTCCTGACCTCAGGTGATCTGCCCACCTCGGCCTCCCAAAGTGCTGGGATTATAGGTGTGAGCCACTGTGCCCAGCTGAGTTGACTTTTGTTAGTTTGAGTTGCTAAGAAATACTTAGTATATACATTCTTACTACATTTTTCCTGATTTGAAAAGGAAAAAAAAGTCTGTTTTCTCTCTCCCTAGCAAACTATACATTCCAAGCTCCCTAGAACATATTTTACACATAGAAATACCTTTTTACTGTTATAGACATGTTTATGAAAGTTTCTCGAGCACTGAAATTTTCTAAATAAAATTCTATTTCTTATGATTTGTTACTTTATAGATCCTTTATCTTAATTTCTAATGATTTTTAATAGGTGGAATTTCTAATTACTATCCTTTTCTTAATGTAATATAAAAACTTTATATATATATACTTAAATGCAGTAGAGAAAATACTACTTAAAACAACTCAAAATTATTTTGCAAATAAAAAGTTACTAGGCAATGAGAACAATATTCACCTACTGCACCTGTCAGTGTTTGTTGTATTTGAATTTCCTTGTACCATCTTGAAATTTCTGAGGGCAGATCATACTTAATACCTCTTTCTTTATAAGATTTTACAGCACAAATCAAAAATGCAGGTTGAAATGAAATAATGAAAAAAATGATTTTGCTAGTTGTACTCTCTATTACTTGGACTTAAAAAAAAAAAGCAGCTCCTGTATATGTTTAAATCCCCCACTTGGGGATTTGTTTGAAGTCAATTCCCAATAGAATCTTCAGATACACTAGCTTCTGCTGTGGGTTTTGAACTGGCACAGCTTCTGTGTGCATTACTTATGCCTTCCTTGGGGTCTGAACAGAAAGCCTTGTGGATTTAGAATGGATTAATGCTGGCATTTGGGGGATTACAGATGAAACATGAAGAAACTTTATTTCAAATAAGCAGAATGCATGTATTTCATTTGTCTTCTTTTCTGTGGTTCATGAAGGTGAAATGAAAAAATATTTTGCTACTTCTGTTGAAATTAAATGATTGAAATTATGTAATCATGATTTTAAGGGTTTAGTTTTACACATTTGCATTATAAATTTCCCATAATCAACTAAGTTAATTTTAATTCATTTGGCTAAAGTGTTTTAATATGTATCTTGCCCAAATCTTTTATTCACTGAAAGGCAGACAGGGTATCAGCTAATTTTGTTTCTTCATAGGTTTGGCTGAGCTATTCAAATGAGCTGAAGGCCTACTTATTTTATTAGCCTAAGTATTCACATCTGATTAATATTTGGACAGTGTTTAGCTAGTAGTGGGAAAAGGAGTTTTAAAAATTAGCCCTGTCATATTTTAGGAAGCAGTTTAAAATGTGAAGTAGAATAACCTCTAAACTGTCTTCATAAAGCAACTAGAAAATTAGCTGAGTTTAAAATATGTCACAAGATAATTAAGAAAGAACAGTTGAAATACATGCAGGAGATGTGGCTTTGTGGAAAAATACATAGCCACTGAAGTCAGAAGCTACAGATTCAGATTCTGACCCCACCATAATTTCTAGCTGTTCAAAGTTGGGCAAGTTATATAACTTCTGTGAGTTCCAGTTTTCTTAATTATAAAGTGAGGGTAATCATACTGACCTCAAAGGCATATTACAATTAAATGAGATACATATGTGAAAGTGCCTAGCAAAGAGAATTGCAAGCTATAAAGAAAGGCATGAAATGGAAAGTATTATAAAAGGATGAAGAAATGACGGGAGAGAGAACATTTACTTCAGAGGGCAGAGCTCTAATGGTCAATTTCGTCCCTTTCCTCCCTCACTTCACACTACCCCAGAATGATTTAAACACCAGGCTTCTCCCAACTCTCTTTTTTTTTTCTCCTGGGCCCTTTTCACTTGCAGTGGCATGTTTTTCTCCTGTCATTAGCTGTCTGCATTTTCTAAGATAACATCAGAGGGCCTTGCCACTTCTCTAGTTCTCAGGCTTGTTCTTATTGAAATCTGCAGAATAAGGCCCTGGAGCAGCGAGGGGAACTAGAACTCCTCGTGGGCTTCAGGTAGACATGTCCACTTCAGGGGACATGTCCACTTCCCAGACAGAGGCCTGTTTTCTTATTTTCTTTGTCCTCCTGTTTTTTACTTTATTTTTTTTTTTAATGCAGGCCAGAACAATATGACCTACTTAACTCTTCACAAGCTGATAACTTTGTAGTAAGTAGGTAATTGAGAGGGTTTAGACCAGTACTGTCCTGCAGAAATACAATGCGAGCAACAAATGTGAACCACATGTGAACACCACTAGAAAATTTAAAATTTTCTGATAACCACATGAAATTAAAAAGAGATAGGTGAAATTAATTTTAGTAATATATTGTTTTTAACCCGATATATCTAAAATATTTACCCTTTCATTACATAATCAATATTAAAATTGTCTCATTATTAAAAATTATCAATGAGAGATTTTACTTTTTTTTTTTTTGCACATCTCAATTTGAACGAGCCACATTTCAAATGCTTGTTAGTGACGACTGTATTCTACAGTGCTGGTTTAGACAGATTTTCCCTCTTGCACTCTCTCTCAGTGCTGTAGAAGAATTTTTGGAATAAGCTAAATCATCGAGACTGAATTCTTCATATCAGGAAAGTGAGACCTAGAGAGACCAAGTAAATTGTCCCACATGTTAGTGCCACAGCCAGAACTCCAACTCAGTTCTCCCGACTCTCAATACGTGGTGATTTTCCAGTTAAACATCTGAGTTATCTGGGTTTTTTTTTTTTTTTTTTTTTTTTTTTTTTGAGATGAAGTCTCGCTCTTGTTCCGCAGGCTGGAGGACTGCAATGGTGCAATGGTGCAATCTCGGCTCACTGCAACCTCCACCTCCTGGGCTCAAGCAATTCTCTTGCCTCAGCCTCCTGAGTAGCTGGGATTACAGGCATGCGCCACCACGCCCAGCTAATTTTGTTACTTTTAGCAGAGACGAAGTTTCACCATGTTGACCAGGCTGGCCTCGAACTCCTGACCTCAGGTGATCCACCCGCCTCGACCTCCCAAAGTGCTGGGATTACAGGCGTGAGCCACCGTGCCCGGCTGCTTAATCTGTTTTATAGAAACACACTGGAGCTCAGATAAGTGAAGTCATAGTGCATTGGGAGGAACTGAGAAATTTCCCAAGGAGTAAGATGACAAATTTCTGACAGGATTATTTCAGTGTGGCCTCATTCATACCATAAGAAGCCATTCCTCTGAATTGTATGCAAAAAGAAACTAGAAGGCCTAGTTTGTTATTAAAAGACTTCGTAAAAATCCTTTAATGTTTCATCCTCATTTTTATTTTATTTATTTTATTTTATTGAGACAGGGCGTGGCTCTGTCACCCAAGCTGGAGTTCAGTGGGACAATCTCGGCTCACTGCAACCTCCACCTCCCGGGCTCAAGTGATTCTCCAACCTCAGCCTCCCAAGTAGCTGGGACTACAGGTGCGTGCCACCACGCCTGGCTAATTTTTGTATTTTTTGTAGGTATGGGGTTTTGCCATGTTGCCCAGGCTGGTCTTGAACTCCTGAGCTCAAGCAATCTGCCCACCTCAGCCTCCCTATGTGCTGGGATTACAGGCATCAGCCACTGCACCTGGCCCTCATATTGATTGTAATGACTCTTTTAGTGCACAGCACTATGCTTGGCTTATAGAATTTCTCAGTAAACATTTGTTGAATCAATTTAAGAACTCAGCAGAATAGAAAATTAAAACTAGAAGAAATACTGAAAACCATTTAGTAAAGGTAATGATGGTAAAGTAGCCAATAATTCAACAGATTTTACTACTTTCCCCCTTCCCTTTAATGATTCAGAGGAGAGAAGTAACTTGCCCAAGGTCACATTGCTGCTAATTTTGAAGAATCCAGCTCTCTCTCAACTGCTAGTGATTTTTTTAAAACCATGATTTCAACTACTCTGATTAAATGGAATTAAATCTATGGCTAAGCCATATCTTGTGAATGGAGGATGTTTGGAACCTCAAGATATGACATCTAATTTGGAAATTTGGAAAGCTTTTACTGAGACAGAAAGAATGGTCTATTTCTTGAAAGTGCTGTTAAAAAGCGACAGAAATGCAATTATTTTGGATTTGTTTTAGTGCTTCAGTATTTTTAGAATTTCCCCATAAACACCTCCCTTGAGGAGCATACAGCACTTGGCATGCTAAAGTAACTCAGGATGCTTTCAGCAAATGCAGTTGACAGCTTGACCAGACATCTGGATTTGTGTATGTCTGAGAGAGTCCAGATACTTCTCCAAGATATTTTTGCTTTTCAGTCTTCAGTTGAACTAATACTTCCCCTCTTTCTTGAGCCTGAACACCTTCCTAGGGCTGAACCTAGACAACTGTGAAGATGGGGTTCCTTCTGTCCAAACACACTGCTAAAACTAGACTGCTAACTGTTCAGCACGGACCCTGTGTTCCAGATGTATGAGGGTATGTTTGAAGAAGGTCTGCAGCAGCAAGGGCTCTGGAGTGGCATATAGGCTGAAAAATCTGATGAAATCAGGATGCCAGATTACTTGGTCTAGTGCAGTGATATTGTTCTGAGAAGTGAGGTGGAAGAAAATATCCCCAGGATAAAAAAGAACAGGATGAAAAATACTGGTTTAAAAAAAAGATATGGATTTTTCCTTCCCAGACAGATTGTTAAATAGGCTTTTCTTGTTCAGTGGGGTCTGGTAATGAAAGTTGACAGGATATTAAGGTTATTTCAGGTTCTACTGTCTCCCAGGGTCACATAAGCCTTCTGTTATGCATGTTAATCCATCTCAGCATTCCTGCCAGGAGCTGCCTAAAGTAGGGCAATCAGTTTAGTATGCACCTTCCCCTTTACAGTTTAGTTGAGAGGCAAAACCTACCAATTAGCAGACTATGCATTGAAAATCAAGTGATGCTTTTCTATTCTAAAGACATAGCACCAAACTTTGTGATTAATAAGTGATGAACCTAACTGTCGTTCCCTCAAAAATGCAAAGCAAAAAGAAGAAAGCAATACCTCCCTCCTCTCTCCATCTCTTTTTTGGCATAGGCATGCCTGTGCCTGCACACATATACATTTATGTATATATAAAAACTATAAGGTGAATTTAGCATCATAGACTGGAAATACTGGTTGGCTCCTGCAAAGCCCAGCTCATATTCTGACTTTCTCCGTTTAGACATACAGCTTCCTCATTTACAAACCTCCCACCAACTACCCCATTAGTTATAAAAAGGGAACAATATCACCAAGAAAACCCCGGAGATGTAATCAAATCTCGGTGAAGAGGAAATGTGGAAGTTTGATTCTAGCACTAATCCATTAATAACTGGGGTGTGTCCCCACCAACAAACACTATTCTAGATGATTCCCTGATGGATATTATAAATTTCTTGTGGTTATAAGATAACCAGAACAAACTATTCTAGTTGTTGTTATTTCAACTTTCATCTGCTTATTTTCTGCACAACTGATGACAGTAGTGGCAAGAAGTGAAGACTTTGGAATTAAACTGATTGGATTAGAAACCCAGCTTTGTCATTTACTACATGTGTGATGAAAGCAAGTTGTTTAAGCTCTCCAAACTTCAGTTTCGTCATGAGTAAAATGGCAATAATTGTACCTATATCTCAGGATTCTTATAAAGATTAAGTGAGATAGTACACAGTGCTTGGCTCCACAATTGGTAATTCACTGGTAGTCACTGTGCTAAAAATGAAGATAAACAAAAATTCAAGGTTTGTTCTACTGAACTGTTGTTACCTTTTGTCTGCCTCTTGAAGCTTAGTGACTTTGTATTAGAGCAAGGATGTTATATGCCCAAACCTAAGTGGTCAGTACCGAAGGAAAAAATATCTCTTTCTACCCGCATTTATCTATGAGCAAAGCTATAAAAGTGGGCTCCATTCTCTTCTCTTTTGATAAAAGCAAAATGTATTCACTCTAAGTGGCTATTAGAGGGCCAATCTCTGTACAGCCTATTCTATATAATAGGTACTCAAAACTCATTCACTCTGACATGGCTTAATATTTTCTGTGCCGTGACTGGTGGTGGTGTAGGCTCCTGATAAAACATTATATCAACTCTCAAACCTCTGAATTTTTGAAGCAGATGTTTTCCTAACATCCTGTAAATACTCCAATCATCTGAAACTGCTGGGATTTCACCTTTGTACCATTTTTAGTAATATGCCCATTGAGTAATGGGCCTGTCTAATCTGTTTGACGTTTATTGGTGCTCAAAGTGTAGCAAGGTTGGGAGATGTAGCAAAGCACATTCTAAATAAATCAACGGAAGCAAGCAAACTAAATCACAGGGGGGAATTACAGTGTCCAAATCATTTATACACTGGTGATTACCATTTCACCTGGGTCCAACTGATGTCACACTAGAGTTTCCAAAGCTCTAGGAATCATTCATCAATCCAGCGAAACCTGCTCATCCATGGTTCCACATTGAAACTGGCCAACATGGTAAGAATTACAATAGTCCAGGACAGGAAGGTTAATTAGTCACAAGAAAGAACATGTGGAGAAGAAAATGTACTGAGTGGGAGAGGTTCTAGTATCATTCCTGGTATTAGTTAGCAATGCGATCTTAGGGTAGTTGCTTTCTATGTCTGCCTCAGCTGCTTAACAAGAAAATGTGTGTATATCTATGTGTGTGTTGTTTGTGTGTGTGTGAGAGAGGGAGATACGATTGTGATTTTATAGTTTTGAAGAGATCAGAACCTCTATTTCAAATGATATTTAACTCAAAATTCAATATGTAAAATTGATTAAAGCAGAATTGATATGTTTGGAGAAGGGGACCCAGAGCAGACTGGACTTTCACTCAAATATTGTGGGAGTTCTAAATAGTCTTTTATAAACACTCAGAGTTCTCTGTACTCTGTGTGAAAACCTTTGGATTAGATGTTCTGTAAGGTCTCACCGACTCAAGTTTCATTTGAGTCTAGGAGAAGTTCCCCTCAAGATAAAACATTGAACTTATGCAAATAATTTATTTTTAATTTATTAATTAATTAGCAAACTATGCAAATAATTTATTAAAGTAGTTTGGTTTCAAGTCTCATGAGTCAGTGGGTGGTTTTTTTTTTTTTTTTTTTAAATAGGGTCTTACTCAGTCACCCAGGCTAGAGTGAAGTGGTGCAATCATAGCTCACTGCAACCTCAAACTCCTGGGTTCAAGCAATCCTCCTGCCTCAGCCTCCTGAGTAGCTGGAACTACAGGCACGTGCCACCACATCTGGCTAATTTTTTTATTTTTTATTTTTATTAAAGATGAGGTCTTGCTGTGTTGCCCAGGCTGGTTTCAAACTCCTGGGCTCTAATGATCCTCCTGCCTCAGCCTCCCAAAGGGCTGAGATTACAGGTGTGAGCCACTGTGCCTGGCCAAGTTAGTGGTTTAATGTCTTCTTCTTCTTTTTTTTTTTCTCATTTAAAGTCTGAATTAATACAAATGCCTTTTTGTTTCTACCACCTTTTTTATTGTAACAATTGGCTAAATTGTATTATTCATTTTAAACTGTGAGCGTCTGTTTCTATAGGGATGGAGAAAGTCCCAAGAGACCACTGCTCGACAGTGTCACCAACAATGTGGATAAGTTGTTGATGTATAAGATCATAGATTTATTTTGAACCTGCCAGGGATTTGAAGAAATTAAAGAAATCTAAATAAATCAAATCCCAGGAAAGACAAGTTCTTCCTAGTAGAGAGAGGCCCATAGATGCCTCATTCCTGGTGGAGGAGGGGGAGGTAGAATGAATCTGACACATACTGGGGTAAGAAAAAAAACAGGCAAACTTTCCAGGCACAGAAATCTGGTGGTGGGACTGAAAAGAAAATCAAATCCTCAAGTAACTTAAAATTAGAAGCTGGACTGTAAAACACAAAGAGATCTCCAGAGTCTCACAGGTCTCGGATCTCAAGCCTGGCTGAGAGGAAAGTGCCCATTCAGCCCTCAAAACATATGAAGCCAGTGGTGAACTGAATATAACTGTAACGAGGACAAGACCCAACTCAACTAAAAGTTTAGATTGAACTAGCACGTAATACTACTGGCCTGACAGAAGGGAGATATCCTTTCGGCGGTGGGGGGTGGTGGGCAGGATAGGTAAATATGATTTATTTTTGTTTCTACTATTCTTTTTTTTTTGATATGGAGTTTTGCTCTGTTGCCCAGGCTGAAGTACAGTGATGCCATCTCGACTCACTGCAACCTCCGCCTCCCAGGTTCAAGTGACTCTCCTGCCTCAGCCTCCCGAGTAGCTGGGACTACAGGCATGCGGCACCATGCCCAGCTAATTTTTGTATCATTAGTAGAGACAGGGTTTCACCATGTTGGTCAGGCTGGTCTCAAACTCCTGACCTTGTGATCTGCCCACCTTGGCCTCCCAAAGTGCTGGGATTACAGACGCGAGCCACCGTGCCTGGCCTCAACTATTCTTTTACATATAATGTTCAGCATTCAATAAAAAATTGCAAGACGTGAAGAAACTGGAAAGTGTTAACCATAATCAAGAGGAAAAAATGCAGTAGAAGCAGATCAACACATCCCAGATGTTACAACTTTCAAAAAATGAACGTTAACACTACCATGTAAATATACTAAAGTATTAATGGGAAAAGTGGAAAGTATTAATGGAATAGGTAGGGGGTGTTAGCAGAAAATGGAAACTCTAAAAAGAAACAAATGAAAATATTATAAATAAAAAAATGAATATAGTATTTAATTACTACTTTGTTTTTTTTTAAGTAGTTGTTCCTGAGGATACAGTATACACGTATATGCTATCCCAGTCCACCTTCAAATAATGTGAAAGTATTTCACAATGCAAAAACTTTACAACAATGCAATCCATTAATACTCCTTTTACTCTTTGTGCTCACATTATCATATGGGGGTTCATGGAAAATGTATGTTAGGAAAAAAATCACAATCCAAGCAATGGCTACCAAGAGGTGGAAGTGGTCAGTCAAAACAAAAGCAGACTAGTCAAGAGCAAAAGTCATAGCAACAGTTTTTTGGGGATGCTGAAGACATTTTGCTTGTTGACTTTCTGGAGGGCCAATGAATAATGACATCTGATTATTATGAAAGTGTTTTGAGAAGTCAGCCAGAGCTTTAGCAGAAAAATGATCAGGAAAGCTTTGACAGAAGGTCCACCACCACGATGCTCTTGCTCATTCCTCCAAAAGTTCATGGAAAATGTATGTTAGGAAAAAAATATGCATACATTTAAGAAATCTCTACATCAAAATAAACTTTTACTAACTTGTTATAACATGTCTGAACAGAATCTAGTTTGTTGTACTAAGAATGATAAGACATCAGTTAGAAAAGAGCCCCTATCAGAGCAACATGAATTATGCTAAAATTGAAGGAAGACCAAACATCATATTTATGGTAAAGCTTGGGTAGAAGAATGATGAAATCATTAATCCTTTATAAAAAGTTTATGGGGACAATGCCCCAAAGAAATCATCAATTTACAAATGGATAACTTATTTAAAGAAGGGACAAGATGATACTGAAGATAAACCCCGAAGCTGCAGACCATTCATATCAATTTCCAAGGAAAAAATTAATCTTGTTTGTGCCTAACTGAGGAAGACCAATGATTAACAGAAGAAACGATAGCTAACATCATAGACATCTCAATTGGTTCAGCTTACACAATCCTGACTGAAAAATTAAACTTGAGCAAACTTCCAACTCGATGGGTCTGTCACAAAGCCATTGCATTCAGATCAGCTGAAGAAATCAGCAGAGCTGTCAATGGAAATTTTAAACAAGTGAGATCCAAATCCTGAAGCATTTCTTCAAAGCATTGTAATAGGAGATGGAACCTAGCTTTACCAGTGTGATTTTGAAGACAAATCACAATCCAAGCAATGGCTACCAAGAGGTGGAAGTGGTCAGTCAAAACAAAAGCAGACTAGTCAAGAGCAAAAGTCATAGCAACAGTTTTTTGGGGACGCTGAAGATATTTTGCTTGTTGACTTTCCGGAGGGCCAATGAATAATGACATCTGATTAATATGAAAGTGTTTTGAGAAGTCAGCCAGAGCTTTAGCAGAAAAATGATCAGGAAAGCTTTGACAGAAGGTCCACCACCACGATGCTCTTGATCATTCCTCTCATCAAACAAGGATGATTTTGCAGAAGTTTCAGTGGGAAATCATTAGACATTCACATTACAGTCCTTATTTGGCTCCCTCTGGTTTCTTTTTGTTTCCTAATCTTAAAAAATCTTTAAAGATCATCCATTTTTTTGTCAGTTAATGAGGTAAAAAGACTCCATTGGTATCATTAAATTGCCAGGGCCCTCAGATTTTTGTTTGTTTGTTTGTTTTTGAGATGGAGTCTCACTCTGTCACCCAGGCTGGAGTGCAGTGGTGCAATCTCGGCTCACTGCAAACTCCACCTCCCAGGTTCACGCCATTCTCCTGCCTCAGCCTCCCAAGCAGCTGGGACTACAGGCGCCCGCCACCATGCCCGGCTAATTTTTTTGTATTTTTAGTAGAGACAGGGTTTCACCGTGTTAGCCAGGATGGTCTCGATCTCCTGACCTCGTGATCCACCCCTCTCGGCCTCCCAAAGTGCTGGGATTACAGGCGTGAGCTACCGCTCCCGGCCCACCCTCAGATCTTTAATGGCTGGTATCACCACTTACAAAAAGTGCCTTGAACTTGATGGAGCTTACATTGAAAAATAAAGTTTATATTTTTTATTTTTATCTTTTAATTCCATTTTCCCACAAACTTTTTGAAAGCCTCCCCCCTCCCATAAATTTCACTTGTAAATATGTTAAAACTCTAAAATAAATCATCACCATTTTGTTTTAAATAGTTAGCAGTTCAGTTTGGGTCTTTAACATTTTTTTTTCTTTTTTGTTTTTTAATTTTACTTTAAGGTCCGGGATGCATGTGCAGAACGAGCCGGTTTGTTACACAGGTTTACGTGTGCCATGGTGGTTTGCCGCACCTACTGACCCATCCTCTAAGTTCCCTCCCCTCACCCCCTACCACCCCTCCAATAGGCCCTTGCGTGTGTTGTTCCCCTCCCTGTGTCCATGTGTTCTCATTGTTCAAGTCCCACTTATGAGTGAGAACATGAGGTGTTTGGTTTTCTGTTCCGGTGTTAATTTGCTGAGGATGATGGCTTCCACCTTCATCCATGTCCCTGCAAAGGACATAATCTTATTCCTTTTTATGGCTGCATAGTATTCCATGATGTATACGTACCATATTTTCTTTATCCAGTCTATCAGTGATGGGCATTTGGGTTGGTTCCATGATGTTGCTATTGTAAATAGTGCTGCAATAAACATACATGTTCATGTATCTTTATAGTAGAATGATTTATATTCTTTTGGGTATATATCCAGTTATGAGATTGCTGGGTCAAATGGTATTTCTGTTTCTAGATTCTTGAGGAATCACCATACTGTCTTCCACAATGGTTGAACTAACTTACATTCCCACTAACAGTGTGAAAGCATTCCTATTTCTCCACAGCCTCGCCAGCATCTGTTGTTTCTTGACTTTTTAATAATCACCATTCTGACTGGTGTGAGATGGTATCTCACTGTGGTTTTGATTTGCATGAAAATATTTTTCTTGTCTTTATTCAACATGTTCAGTCTTTCCTTAAGCACCAACACATGGAATACAGTCATAACTGTTTTAATGTTCTTGTCTATTAATTTATCATCAACGTTATTTCTTGGTTAATTTTAATTGACTGGCCTCCTCTCACCCACACACACCTGTTATAGATTGTATTACCCTTCTTTGCATGTTGTGTAACTTTTGATTAGATGCCAGACATTGTGAGTTTTATTAATACATTGTTGGGTACTCGATAGTTTTGTTTTTATATAGATAATCTTGAGCTGGAACATATTTAAGTTACTTGGAAACAATTTGACCCTTTTGGCTCTTACTTTAAAAGCAAGCTTTATTAGGTAGGACCAGAGCAGCAATTAGTCTATGGTTAATTTTTTTCCCACTACGTAGACACTTCTTAGTACTTTAGGCATTTCTTAATACTTTATTCCTAGTACTTCAGCCTAGGAGTCAGCAAACTTTTTCTGTAAAGGGTAGATAGTAAATAATTTAGACTTTGTGGGCCATCTGGTTTCAGTTCCAACTACTCAATTCTTGTTATAGCCTGAAAGCAGCCATAGAAGGTACATAAATAAATGGGTGTGGCTGTGTTCCAATAAAACTGTATTTACAAAAATAGGTGGCAGACTGGATTTGGCCTATGGGTCATAGTTTGCCCACTCTTGATCTAATCTATAAACCATGATTTATGAGATTGTCTACTCTGGCTGTGAAGAACAGACACTATTACTGGCTCTGGGTAAGTTCTGGGCACTGATCCCTCAAATCTTTTTGGGTAATTTTCTCATTCTCATTTGCTCATCAGTACTTAGCTGAATACTTGATGGAGACTCTCTGCAAATCTTGAAAGTTTTCTCTCTGGCTTCTCTGGACTCTCATCTCCTTTTCCTCAACTCAGATAGTCTGGCTGCTCTGCCTGGATTCCCTTTCCCTGCAGCACAGCCTGGAATCTTTCTCCAGGGAGTACGCTGGGGGCATTTGCAGGACTCATCTCCTTTGTTCCACATGTCTCAGGAATCACGATCCTTCTTTGCACAATGTCAAATATCTTGAGAGCTGGTTTTTCCAGCTTTTTATTTGTTTCAGGTGGGAAGATAAAATGGATCTATGTTATTTTATCTTTGCTGGAATGCATAGTGTTAATATAGTATATTGTGTTATAGACATAAAGCTACTTCATGCATGCTATTTTTCCCTAGAATGCATAAAGAGGACTCCCTTCTGTAAGCAAAACTAGTTAGCATCAGCATACAACAGATGAATTTAGACATCTGCAAAAATAACTCTATCTTAGAGGACTGTTAGTAAATAAGTTATTGAAGAAGGCTTAGGGAATATGCGGGTCCAATTAAGATTACCATAGTATATCTTCAGAAATTATAGGTAACTAAAGAAACTGCAGTATGATCAATGGAGATGTAACTTGTCTATCTGAAGTAATTTTGAATCGTATTTCTTTATCTATGATGCCTGCCTTCTACCCTAGATTTTTAAGCTCCTTCATGACAAAGGCATAACTCTATTGTCTTTGTTTTAAAACCAACTTCTAGCATGGGGCATAGGAATGTTTTAAATGCTCTCCTAGATGATTCTGATATGCCTACATGTTGACTATAATACTAGTTGAAGAGATATTTATTATTAGAGACACTGCAAACTGTAGCAATATATTTTTTTCATTCAGCAATTATTTACTGAAGGCTTTCTATGTACCAAGCACTAAACAGGTAACCAAAAAGTATGGAATAAATATAATATACAGCCACTTTTCTCAGAATGCTTACTATCTAGTCGAGGAAACAAACATACCTAAAACAATTGGGACCAAACACAAGCTGTGTATACTTAGCTCCTGAATGGAGTGGAGTAATTATATATTATATAAACATTCAGTGAAGTGGAATCAGTTCAGGCTTGCTTGAGTAGACAAGGCAGATTTTCTCAGAATAATTTTTTCTTTTTTCAAATATAATATTCTGGATGTTTAAGAACATTCTTACTTGCTAGATCCAGGTCTCTTTGTCCTCATTTTTGAGATGAATTAGTGGAGAATATGAAAACTAGTTTATTCAGAACACTTGGTGTTAAATATTTCTAACGGTGTTTCAATAATAAATTTACCATCCTCGTCAATGTCTGGAAGTTCTCTTCTTGGCAATTAATTTTTTTCAGCCAAAAGAGCATATCTGATAGCATTATTATTATTTTACTAAATATGAAAATATGAGGGATATCTTACATTTAAAACTAATTGCTTAAAGTGTTTTTTTGAGACATGTAACTTTTTAATACGCTTTTAAGGGGTTTTTGCTATCTATCTATCTATCTATCTATCTATCTATCTATCTATCTATGTATCTATCTATCTATGTATCTACCTACCTATCCATCTATCTATCTGTCAGAAAACCAAGAAATAATTTTGTTTGGGGTAGTAACAGTTAAAGACCAAATAGCGTTCCAGATCAGAAATGTAAGCCAATCTCTCTTCCTGCCCGTATTATCCACTTCCTTCCTGAAATATCATTTGTAAGGCCTGTACACTTGCTCAACGGCCCTTGCCTTCTCTGGCAACTGTAGCTGGAGGACTTTTAAAATAGAAGCAGGGCGCAGCACGTCTTGTCCAAGGAACAGCAGTGTCTGCACTTAGTGCTTGATGCCCCAAGCAGCTGTCTAAGTTGCTTGCCCCCAAACTGCCTTTGGATAGAAGTAAACAAAAGTGGATATCCAATGGAGCATATTTAAAACTGACCTCTGAGGCTATTTTAAGCAGATTGTAATTTTGCAAAAGGCATGGCCCTATTCCAAATGTTTATTTAGTGTTGAACAGTCTCCAATTGGCTGGTTGCTCCACTTTTTTGATGGTGTTAAAGACATTAAGAAAGATGCCAATAATAGATGCTGGATTTGCACTCGACCAGGGGCCCAGCAATTCATTTTGTTGAGTGCCAGATGAAACATTCACTTCAGGGAGAGAGAGGCAAGTAAATCTGGTGATATGGAAACTGGTTTTTATGGCAACCACTATTACCTCCACCCCTCACACCCCAACAGGAAACTCGTTTTGTGAAGATCTTTCCTATGGCCTTCTAAGTTCCTGCCAACATAATTCTTTTTCATAGAATAAATACTATGTGCAAAGCAGTTGGCTAAATTTTAGCATATAGCCTCCTTGTGTCCTTATAACAACTGTAAGAAGCAGATAATATTCCTCTCAATTTAGAGATGAGGAAACTGCAGTGCAGAGGCCTCCAACTATGAGGTTGAAATGAAGATATGACCCAAGGTCTCTTGGGTTCCAGAAGTTGCTTTCATTTTATTTCATGAAATATCCATGTGAATAGAATTCCCCTTCCTCCATGTATGTATTTGTGATGCAGTAATTCTTTTTCTATCTACTTATCCCTGATATGAATTTTGGCACCAGGATGTGACAAAATGAGTACCTGGGGTTGAATCTTATATTTTTTAAAGCAAACGGTAGCAATTTATTGTGCAAAAGGAAGAGCCCTTCTGAAGAATGTACATGTGAATATATTTCCCTATGTGTATTTAGAACAAAAAAAACCTCAACAACAACAACACCACCACCACCCCAAAAAAACCAAACCCTGGCTTTGCATATCATTTCGCCTTAATCCACTTGCCTTTGTGCTCCAAATGTCAATTTGCTTCTAGAAAAAACTTCTCCAAATAGAACCTTGGATTGAAAGAGCCATGGGTTAAATTACTGGCACAGTTGACTACTAAAATTAGTCCCTGTGTGGAGAAGGAAGATTTCTCCAGCCTTGCTCCTTAACCCAGTTTTGTCTAACTTCCTCTTCTCCTCTTCCCTTTTTATCTAAGGTGGTTGGGTCTCTTTCCCTGAGGGAAGTGAATAGTCATTTCTGACACAGCTCCCTGGCCCTTCTGTCCCTAATATCTAGAGCTACCTCCAAAGGCAAATTATTGTAAATGAAAATACCAAGTGTTCCTGTACTTACAAGTCACATCCTTCTCTCTGTAGTCATCTTGGAATTACTTTTACAGCCACAAAGTTCTGCCTCAATGCAAATCTTTTCCTCTCAGCAGCACTTTTAGTAACTTGAAGAATCGCTGAAGGTAGAGAGACATTTTAGGAGATCTAGATTCTAATTAACTTTTCCTCTAATTAACTCTGTCTTCATTCCTTTGTGAATGCAACGGAGACTCTTGAAGATAAAGAGACATGAGGAGGATGGCAGCAGCCCAAGTCCAAGAAGCTCACAGACTCCTCTTTTACAGGATTGTAAAGGAAAAAATCATCATAGGAATATGGGCAGTGTGAGGGAGAAGGGGAGAAGTGATTTTTTAAAAAGGTAAACTGGGTGTTGTCTTTTTCTACAGCACCAAATAATTCCTTTGTAAACCAGTGAATACGTTTTCTCAGTATCTCCGTGTGCCTTCTTTTCTTTGGCATTAAGGGTTCACCATGGGATAGATGATGATTAAGCTTTCAAGTGCTGAAAATCATCTCTTCCCATTTCCCTCCTCTCCTTCATTCTGGCTTTTGTTCAATAAGATTTGTCTTTTCCGTATCTCTGGAATATACTTTCCTGGTCCTAGGCTGTTGTTCATAATGTTTGCATTGTCTAGGAATGCTCAGTTTCTCAGTTCTTTCCTCCTTACCTACTGAAATCCTCCCTATCCTATGATAGGGATATGCCCTCCTCTAGGAAGGTGCTTCACAAAAAGTAGCCCCCCAGCCAATAGTCACTGATGAATTTTCTTGGTTATTCTTGCCGTAGTGAATGGTTACTACTTTTGCAAAACAGATGGAGCTTCCATTTAATTTCAGTCTTATCCAACTCTTATTCCAATTTTTTCTCCCAGTATATGGGTGTTACCACTTGAGTGTGATGTTTCTAGTCAAGGGACCTCTTTACTCTTCACAATTTTTCTGCATGACTACTTAACGCTATTCTCTCCACTCCAGTGAGACTTCATATTTAGAGACCTCAATGCCTTTCCCTTTAAAATCCTCTGTAAGCCATATTTTCTGATTTTTCTCTTACCTTCTATTTCCATGGTTTCAATTTTAGCACATAGCCCAGTTCTTTTTACCGTGGAGTTCTCTTTCTAGTTTCCTCCCATTCCTTTTGCAAAAATCACCTTCAAGTGTTCTCTTCCTCAAAGTCAGTTTTCTTCTCGAGTCAAGCATGCATCTAACTTACCATGCTTGAGTGTTCTTCTGAAACATTGCCTCTCCCTCTTTCTCACCTGCAAATTCTCTCTCCAAACAGCTAGTCAGTTAATGGCCCTGTCTGTGGCTTGGCCTCCTAAAAGCTACTGATTTCTCTTGCAAATGCACAGGCCAAATGCTCCCAGTGGTCTGTCCCCTCCTGCAGAACTCATACTAATGGAACTAGGATTGATGGCCATCCTCAGAGGAACCATATAAGAGCTCAGAGCCTGGGGCAAAACTTAAGTTCAGCTGTGTCTGAGTTCCATTGCCATGCAGCTGCTCCCCTTCAGCTGCTTTGGGTCCCAGGGCACAACCTGCCAAGACCACTGGCCATCCAGTTTCTCAATGACTTGATGAGATCATTTTTGCTCCTAAATTGTCCTTTTGTTTCGTGAAGCTTCTTTGAGCTGCTCATTTACGTCTCGTTAGTTCTTCTTTCTCCCTGACCACTGAGGCCTTGAACTCTTGAGCTCTTGTTGCCTGACCTCTCATCTGGATGCTGCCCCCTCTTTCTCAGACTGCTACAAAGTCTCTCTGCCTAGTCTGTCTTTCCCTTTCTGAGGATATGTTTGCTCTTGCCTTGACTACCCACTTAGTCCTTCAGGCCCAGCCTGACTCTCGGGTCCTCTGGCTTCCATTTTCAGTGCAGATCCTCATCCCACATCAATTTAATGACTACATATTGAGTGCTTATTTTATATAAAGCTTTGTGTAACTTGTATTAATGAAATAAAAATGAGCAATATGAATACCCTCTCACAAGGGGCTTGCAATCTAAGGCCAATTTATTTGCAAAAGGCAGACTGTGATTAAGTTTTCTAAGTGGGATTCAGAAAGGAGAAAAATCAAAGTTCTCTCTCTCTCTCTCTCGTGTGTGTGTGTGTGTGTGTGTGTGTGTGTGTGTGTGTGTGTTAGGGTACAGGGTGGTGATGATCAGTAAAGTTTATTTGGAAGAGATGACACATGGGACTGATTTGAAGATGAATCAGGTCATAACCAAGGTGGTACATATTTGGAAGAAAGATAAAGTTAGATTTGGCCTGATTAGTAGCAGTGTTTCTCAACCAGCTGTTGTGACTGTCTTGTTCCTGGGTTGCTAAATGTCCCACTCAGTAAATGACAGTTGTGATTTCTAGTTACTGAGGCAAACACAACTCTGACAGATTCCAAATGCCCCCATTAAAGAAGAAGTTATTTAATGATACTTGTTAAAGCACAGTGAGAAAGGCTTTATTTTTACCATTGAAATAGATAAAAAGACCACAGTGGGCTGGGCACGGTGGCTCATGCCTGTAATCCCAGCACTTTGGGTGGCCCAGGCGGGCGGATCACCTGAGGTCGGGAGTTCGAGACTAGCCTGACCAACATGGAGAAATCCCGTCTCTACTAAAAATACAAAATTAGCCAGGCGTGGTGGCATATGCCTGTAATCCAAGCTACTTGGGGGGCTGAGACAGGAGAATCACTTGGACGCGGGAGGCGGAGGTTGCTGTGAGCCAAGATCGGGCCATTGCACTCCAGCCTGGGCAACAAGAGCGAAACTCCATCTCAAAAAAAAAAACAAAAAAACAAAAACCCACAATGATGCAATTTTACAGTGGAGTAGAGAGAGTGGGATCAGCTCTGAATTTGGCATGGGCAAGTGAGAATTTATAGTCAAGGAGCAGGCTGGGGTCAATAGATGGAAAATTACTGAGAGGAACCATCAGGGGCAAGGGGGATTCTGGTTAAATGAACTGAACAGCTGA
This sequence comes from Homo sapiens, assembly GCF_000001405.40. Lineage (NCBI taxonomy): Eukaryota > Metazoa > Chordata > Mammalia > Primates > Hominidae > Homo > Homo sapiens. The sequence continues at coordinate 177,728,497 of NC_000003.12, forward strand.
ACAGGATTCTTGCTGGAGACAGGCCAGGGTGGTCAGACATCACCTGGGGGATGGTGGAGGATAAGGAACATGATCAGATATAAAGGGTTATCTGATATCAAGGGTGGGAGAACCCTGCTAAACTGACTTAGCAGGGTTCCCCCTAAAATTTGATTTCACAAGGAAGTGCACAGACAGGCCTAGGAGAAGATTTGGGAAACTGATTCAAGTTTGGTTAAGCAAAGAATTTTTGTCACCCCTGAGGAAAGTAGCAACCTCCAGCCACTGACCTACGGGTGACATAAAAAGGTCTGCCCACATGAGGAGTTTGTTCTAAGTAGGATTCAGTGGGGGAACTGCTAAAGTCCTTGAGCTTGGCATAACAAAATTCAAGATACTCTTTGTAAATAATTAGACTATTACTGTGGCAATGAAATAGAGGACAAGAAAAAGGAGAGACTGATGCAGGAAAAAGAGTTAAGAAGCTGTTGCAATAATGTAAGTAAAAATGACCAGAAGTTATGCTGGTGTCTCCCACAGATCACTTTCACAGAATAAGACAACCAATTAGATGTGGGTGTCAAGAGAGAACTGAGTCAATAGTGTTGCCTAGGTTTGAACCTGATGGTTAGTAGCACAGTGGGGCCGTATAAAGAAATAGGGAAATCAGGCCAGGCGCGTTGGCTCACGCCTGTAATCCAGCACTTTGGGAGGCCGAGGAGGGCGGATCACGAGGTCAGGAGATCGAGACCATCCTGGCTAACACGGTGAAACCCTGTCTCTACTAAAAATGCAAAAAGAAATTAGCTGGGCATGGTGGCAAGCACCTGTAGTCCCAGCTACTTGGGAGGCTGAGGCAAGAGAATGGTGTGAACCCAGGAGGCGGAGCTTGCAGTGAGTCGAGATTGCACCACTGCACTCTAGCCTGGGCAACAGAGCGAGACTCTGTCTCAAAAAAAAAAAAAAAAAAAAAAAAAAAAAGAAAGAAAGAAATAGGGAAATGAGAATGAGAAGAATGCAGTTTCAGGAAAAGACCATGAGTTCAATTTGGAGCATGTCATGTTTATGCAGCCCAGGGGAACATGAATGACTGGAATGATGTCACTAAAGACCAAAGGCTATAGGATACGAATGGTGCTACTTGAAAGACTATTTTTTTAAGGTCTTTGAAACAAATGGCTTCTTGAATAAACTCATCACACACATCTACCCCCTCCCACTCAAAGTCACTTTGTTTGCCTGAATCACCCTCTTTATTTTTCCTTTCTTTTTTTTTCTGCTTTCTGTTTTTGTTTTTCTTTTTTAAGATTGAACATAAGTCAACTTCATTCCAGTTCAGGTCAGAGTGCTCTCTAAATCAAAATTAGCATTTTGAATTGATGAAAGACTGAGCTTTTAATTAAAAAATATTAGGTAATGAATGTACCAGGAATGAACTAAAAAAGATGCAAGCTTTTCTTATACTGACTTCAGTTTTATTCCCCAGTGTCTCCCACTGAGGGAAGGTCATGAGCAACAAGGCACCAGCACACTGGATCCAGAATTGCTAAAGCAAGTTTTCTTCTCCGGCAGAGTCCCTGAGGACGCTGAATCCGGCTGAGCTGTGCAGGGTTTCATATTCTTCCCCTAAGTAAATTAAATCATGAGCACATCTCATCACAGAGGCCTGCACAAAAGCCTGCTCTACCTTTTTGGCAAGCAATGCTTAAAGTGGAGCATTTAGAAATGCTAAAAGCCTGCCTCCCTCAGCCATCTGTGTTGGCTGGCCCAGCTGCGACCACGACCACGGGTGGGCCCTGGGGGTTGGGGAGCGGGTGGGGAAGCAGGGTCATGGTGGCAAATTTCATCCATGTGGGAGCCAAATCGAGTCCAAATGGACTCCTGGCAACGTTTTCTCTCTTTTGGTCAATAATGATGTAATTCTTCCCTGAAGCAGCTAGAGATCCTATTGGATATTTGCATGGAGGAAGAGACTATCTAACCCTTTTTCCCCAACTTTGAAAGTGCTAGAAATGTGAGGGTAAATGAATACAAATAGGAACGTGCTGGGAAGATACAGTAGGGAAGCCTTCTGTGGCTCTGCAAGCTGATACAAATGCTGGCTTAATTAGAAAATCAATCTTGCTGTCCGGCTGATTGATTGCAATCCTCTGCTGGAGGTACGAAAGAGAGTCGAGTCATGACGAGATAATTTTTTCCTATTACTAAAAGAAGGCTTAATGTACATCTCTAAGCAATTCAGCGTGAAGAACTTGTTAAAAACACGACCACATTTTCCCTCTTGTTAATTGAATCTTTGGGGGCGGGGAGGAGAAATAACACAGCAATTTGTGTTTTGTGAAAACGCCTATTATATTTTTTTTCCTGAGGATACCCACGTTCTGACAGGTGATTTAGTAATTGTCTTCAAAGAAATGGAAGCTTTTATTATTATTATTATTATTATAAGAAGGAGGATGGGTGGCGGCTCACCACACGCACAGAACTGACGTAAGAGGGAATGTTTGCATTGGGAAGGATTGACGTTGCTAACCCTCAGTTCACACTTTTTGGTGTCCACAGTGTGCTCACCCAAACATATTGTAAGTATAAAGGTTAGATATTATCTCCTATGCTCAGATGAGGAACAGGCTTTGAGAGTTTAACTTGACCAAGGCCACACAGATGGTGAGTGGAGGTGCCTTGGAGAAGGGTTGCTTGTGCTCAGCTTTGCATTTCACAGATTCCATTTGGCTTCTTTAGAAAGGCGACCATAGCTGATCTGTTTCTGTTCATTCCTTCTTTCATCCTATTGGTTCTCTGGCACCCTCTGATCTGCTTTTAACGCCCAACTCAGGGCGCATCCTTAATTCAGAACACAGGTCTTGATTGCACAGAATTCTCATGCTTCTGCTCTGCATTCGTTTCCTCTCAGTCTTGAAAATGCAAAACATTTCTGCCTCAACTCCAGGACTCCATCAACTGTCTCTCTGTAGCTTTAACTGTTTTATTTGTCATTTCATAGATCTGTATAATGTTGAAGCTATAGCTCTCTTCCACGGAGAGTGATCCCTACTGATTTTTTTTTTTTTCTGCAGAAAAGCCTCTTACAAAATGCTTGCTGCAACTAAGGTTGCAAGGATTTTAGAAACCTTCCTGGCTTTTTAAGGAGATCAGGAAAAAAAAAATCCAAGTCTACGGGTTCCTGGAAGAACTATTCCTTTGCTTAGAAACCCTTTCCTCGAGTTCTTTTCTGTCCTCAATATCTCAATTATTCTTTACACTTTCACCTCCTCTCCCAACCCACATCAGCCCTTAATCTTGAGCTAAAAATTTTTCCCTCTGGTTTCAGTGATATTTTGCTATTCAACCATCTCATGTACTTTAACATGTGGATTACACTTGTAATACTTAGTCATCTCCAAAAAGCCCCCAGCCAAGCCCAAGCTTATTAGTGAAATGCAACCTGCATTCTTTGGACAGTGTTCATCACAAACTTCATTTTTATGAGAAACATAGTGAAGCTTGCTTAATAAAAACAAGAGAGATTATATGTTGCAATGGTCCGAGATAGTAAGAATAATTAAATTATGCAGCTAGCTTTAAAATCTCATTTTCTCATTTTAGGCATCCACTTCAGCTTAATTTATTATATAATGCTATAATTATTAAATTAAATCCTTGAAGACAGACCCAGAGAAGATATCAGCCATCATTTAATTAAACTTACCTAGCTTAAAAAAAAAAAAGGTAACTGAACAGGGGATGTAACTGCTCTAAGATCATGCATGTGGAAATCTCTGAGTCACAAAGGAAACGTATATTTTGAAGGGGCCTCTCATTTGAGGTACCCATGTTTACTCTGTGATCTTCTAGGTATGATGCTAAAAGGCAATGAAATGGGTTAAATGTAGGTTGCAGAAAAAAGAAGGACTAAACCCAAGGATTATGAGAATTTTGTGTGTGTGTTTAAGGAAAAATCCAAGGAGAATAATAAGATTTTTGCATAAATATTCAATACATTGTGGACTTTTACCTCTGCCTATGTGGAACATAGCTCACCTGTTTTTGGGTAGGGAATAATTATTGTGACTATGTTTTCTAAGCCGAAGGTAATGCTACTCAGCCCAATTTATAAATATGGGGACTGAGGCTCAGAAAAGGTAGCTCACTTCCCCAAAGTCACGCAAATGATTCATAGCAAATCTAGGAGATCATTCCATTCTCTCTCTCTGACTCCAAAGCTTGTACTCTTAACTTGCAAAGTAGAGTATACCATGTATACTTACGAATGGAGAAATAAACTTGTTGGAAAAAAGGAAACGTGATACTTGGATATGACATTGTTTTAGAAAATACGTAGTCTCTGGTTTCATGTGTAATGGTCAGTTGTTAAGCTATGAGAAAGGAATAAGTTGAAAACTGATCATGATTTGGGTTTCATTTGCTCTGAAGCCTGGTAAAGCTGATGAAATAATCCTTTAAGCATTGAGGTGTAAAGATATTAAAAATATATTAAAATTCTAAGACAAATTAGCCATAGACTTAAGACATAATAATATTTTCAAATGCTCCAACGTTTTATGGAGGTCTTCACACTTCAGTGATAGGTGATATTTCTCTTTCTAGAGAAAGTCTTGGGATAAAGATTCCTGTCTTAAGTTGCTCCCTTACCCTTTCTGCCTTGGTTTTGAAAGAGACATTTGGGGTCTATTCATTTTATGTCATCAGTGACCTTGTGGACACTCTTAAGATAATAATGATGACAGAAATGACATATGGTATTTGAGTTTTAAGAAGTGGGGGTTGGCAAAAACATAGTCTATTGGAGATGAAAGCTGGTTTGCTTTCCCTAGTAATCTCTTGCACAGTATGCTGGCTGAAAGAGGGAGCCTGAGACCAATCCTGTTTAGGAAATACTTGTTAACATTTTTGGAACTGGCAGAGGACCTCCTTGTTAAACTGGAATTTTCTCCATCTGTGGTTTTCTGTTTATTTCTGTGTAATTCCACACAACAATGTTAAGTTTAAAAATCAGGCAACGTATCATTTGAGTATCCTAGTTTTATGCAAACATGGATGGTATGATGTTAAAGGAATGTAGATTTCTCCTGAAAAATAAAATGAAAGCTCAACATTCCCACAACAACTTTAACCTAATCTGCAACCCAGACCCCATTCCCCTCAGCAATCCCATGTACAGCACTTTGTGACTTGGAAAATTCCAAGAAAGGCCCTTGAAAGCGTCATATACTAAGTGATTGCTTTGGGTGGTCAGACATCTTCATGTTTATTTTCTTCATAACTCTTTCTCACCATCAGTGAATGTGGCAGGAGAGATATCACTGTTCCCATTTCACAGAATAAACGAATTGAAGCAGAGATGTTAATAACATATCCAATGATCACACAGCAAATGGCAGCAGGATTTGACTCCTAGATTGCTTAATTCCAAAGCCCAACCTCCTTTCACTTTGTATCACAACACTCTACATTTCATTAATATGGCCAGTGACTATTCTACACTTGTCTCCTTTTAGAAAAATGAGTGTACAGCTCTGTAAAATTTTGGATAAGAGAATAGGTAAGGTAAGATAAAGCCATTTATAGGCTCAACTAGCGATTTCATAAATAGCCACAATTGACAGATTTCACTGTGGACAGATGGCAGTTTTGGCTAAGAGCAGCTTGATTCCTCGAAGGTAATTCTGTGCCACAGGTGTCAGTCTCTCCTACACTTATTTGGGCTGGCTCAGCTTGGAGTGGTATGGAGGACTCATCTGGCTTGATGTGAATCTTAATATTTCACAGTGGCAGAACTGAAATGAAAGGAAAAGTAATATACTTTATGTATTCTTCCCTCTTTTAAAAAATATTGCCACAAAGGGACTTAGAATATAGGTTGAAGAGAAATACCCTTGGAATTCCTATCTTCTCTCAGGGGTTATTGATACCTGTGGCCAGCACAGACCCAACTTATTTTGAGATCATATATACAGTTGATACACGGATTATATTTTAGGCTTGAATTAAACTCATTTTTCTTCCCAAACAGTCCCAAATCTACTTGGCTAAGCACCTTTCCATTTTATATTCTTGTTTATTTAGAGGAAATATAGTCCATATGTTTCACATTCATTTACACTTAACTCATCAAAATGTTATTTGGCAATGGGTATTTGATGTCCCCTAGAAGAGTCTTGAGGTGCTTTTGATAAGATTTAGTTCTATAACCAGGAAATAATGTTATGTCTGGAGAGAAACATAGTTCCCAAAGGGCCCTGGGTCAGTTCAAAGCTCCACTGAAAATGGTTATGAAAGGCTGAGTTTTGGAAGTGTATTTTTGTATAATTCACTACTCTCCAAAACTGCCAGTGGAGACTGCTGAATATGGGGTGTTGGGCTCTCAAAGCAGCTTGGTTTAATGGCTATTCTGCAGCCACAAATGAACTGATTGATAGAAAAATTATTCTATTTACGCAAATGTGCAATGACATGTTTTAAACACTATGAGCTCTGAATACCTAGTGGAACCTTAAAGATTTGATGGTATAAAAATTAAAAGCACACGACAAAGTGGTAAGTAATGTTAATAACATTATTAGTAATATGTCAAGGGCTCTGTTTAGTATATAAAATAGTGTCTTTATTAATATTTGAAAATATATTTAAAATACATATCTAAAAATAATAATGTGAATATATCAGTAGAAAAATAGGCATAAGACAGAAGGAAACACACACAAACATAAAGCACACAGGTGAATATATTCATATATGTGAAACTTACATGTGCAAAAATCCTTCAGTTTTATTAATAGTAAAGTACATGAAAATTAAAACAACAATACAATTTTATTTTTAAACCAGCAAATTGATGAAACAATGTTAAAATATTAAATGCTCCCAAGGGTTTTTGGATAATCTGTTCCTTGAAGGGTAAATGGGTATGATTTTCCTGGAAATGCATGTAACAGTGTTATGAACTCATTCTTAAAAGAGTTCATGCCTTTTGATGTAATAATTTTACTTCTAGGAATATATTCAAAGTTTTCGAGAAAGATTTACATGCAAAAGTGTTTATTGTATTGCTGTTTTTAATAGTGAAAATAAAAATGTCAACATTTCTAATAACAGAGTTAAATAAATTATGGTTAAATAAATTAGGGTACATTCCATAGGCCATTATTCATCCACCAATGCCCCATTACAGAGTTTAGTGTCATGGGAAAATGCTATTTATATAAATGAGAAAGAAAATGGAAAACAAAACTCTACTATACATTCCCAGTTTTGTAAAAACAAAACCAGACGTGCAAATGCAGGAAAGGAAATTTTTAAGTGAAACCAGTCATTATTGCTTGGTGGTGATTCTAATTGTAATTCTAATTTTCTTCTTTATATCTTTCTGCACTTTAAGAATGATAAACATATATTAACTTTATAATTATAAAAATAATAAATATTTCTTATAGTAGTAGAATTCTTTGCATTTTCAGTAGGTGAAAGCAGCAGATGCATCAGAAACTGAAATGTTGATTTTGAGGCTTTGTGATAACCACCAAGTAACTGATTCACTTTTTTCATCCTATATTCTCATGGCTATAGCACATCATCTTTGAAAAATAGTTTATGCATGGAATTTACTGTCCTGTCTTCATATAAAAATGATAGTCCAGAAGAAAAAAAATTCACTCTACTTTGTCAGTTATATAATCTGGTTGGGAATTTCTTTAGATACTTTGCTCTGTAATTTGAAGGGAAATTTTTCTTTTAAAAGCCAGTTATCTTAAAGAAAACATCTTTTCAGAAGGCGTTTTTCCCATGAGTTTAGATTTGATTGGCTTGATTTATCTACCTCATTAGGTAGAAGGGAGTTTGGATGCACCACATAAGAAGATGTGATTGAGGAATCAGAAACCTATTAAAAATATAATCTAGTCTTGAGAGAGAGCGTCATGTGTGGTATGAATGAAGACCTGAGATTGCATTTTAGTTCTGCTACCTAGCATATGTGTGAGCTTGTGCAGTCACTTGATAGCTCTTGTCTCGTCTACCTTAAAGGGCTCTTATAAAGAATACGTGTAATATTATACGTGAATTATTATCATCAGACAATCTATGGATGATCGCACTAGAAACTGGACTCTCGTCTTACCAGAATATTGGTGAGTTGGGGGCCTAAAGTGTCATGGTAGAAGTTATCCAATAGTCAACTGAAATTTCCACTACAGGCCTTCACAGATGTCCCTAGAAGTTTTAACTGAAGCCTAAAAATTATGAATGTTGTACTTTTGTTTGCTGGTGGCCATACCCTTTAATTTCTCTGGAAACCCCAAAGAACAAATTTTCTTTAAAATATATTTATTTCTCATATATTTACAGTAAACTATGAAAAGAATAAAACATATTTTCATAAGCCACACATTTATTTATTTTATAACCACATCACATCTGTGTGCACCGTAATTGGAAAACAAATCAATAACTGAAATATAATATTCATGAAAAGACCTTTATAAGCTCCTGTATAATGTGTTAATAGTTTTGAAACATTAGAAAAGGAAACTTGGAAGGACCATGTTCTCAGAGGGAGGAGTTCTTAATGGATGGACTGGAAGAGATGGATCCTCATCAGACGGTGGAGTCTCTGTTTGGAGAGACCAGTTCACAATCATGTGTCACAGCAATAGACTTTAGATGGCCTGGTTAGAGAGAAACTAAGAGCAATCAGTTTCAATTCATGAAGTGACAAGGACATTTTTGAAAAGTAATTTAAAACATTTTTTCTTGCTAGCAGATTGGAAGAAAATGAAGGTCAGAAACTCTCACGAATACTGGGGCAGGCCAGATATAGAGGAAAAATGATGACCTTTTATGATTTTAAAAGTTAAATTTAGGCTTCTTAATGGGAAATTACTATTTATTTCATTTTTGCATTTATTTAGGCATTATCTTTTTATAATAAGAAAGTATACGCTGTGTTATTTTCTTAATAAAGACTATTTTTCATCTTTAAAAAACATACAGACAAGCGTTTGTTTTGTTCTATTAAAAAACTGAGTGCCCAGTGGACAAAGGACATCCTAGTCCATTATGAAATTAGTAAGCTTCCTTAGTATTTTAGTCCAGAGGCTATTAGGTAGGGCTGAGAAAAGACTGGCTTCTGTATTGGAAGGTGAGGTTGGGGAGTTGATGGTGGGGAAAGGCTGGCATGAGAAATCTGAGCCTGAGTAGGGTGGGTAGGACATCCATGTGGGATGGGAAACTGTGGCAGTGACAGGAGATTGGATGTATGTATTGGGATATTGACCCAATAAGTAAATAAGATAATGGGAGCCAGATTTCACGCTATTTAAGGAGAGAGTTATACATTTGGAAAAGGAGAAAAATGAAAGAACCAAGTGATATTAGATCAGAATTGGGGTACTGGTAAAACGTCATTGTTTTGAGGAGGAATAGAGAGATAGATAGGCATAGAGAAATAATTATAGATCTAAATATGTGTGTGTATCTAAATATAGGTCTAATTAATGTGTACATATATAAATATAAATAAATATAGGTCTAAATATATGTGTGTGTGCATACACAAACACACACACACACACACACACACACACACACTTCCTAGCTTTGACTGCTCAAAAAGCCCTACAGCAGCGACATCGTAATCATGATGAGCACACATAGAGGCCAGACCTTGATTCCTAAACACCATTCTCTACTAAATGCAACCATGGTGGTTTGGAGAAATGGATAATGCCAGGACTGGGCTAGGGAAAGTGCAAGAGAAGCGTGGAAAATCTTTGTGTCCCAGGATGTAAGGAAGTACTCAAAAGGTGATGGGAACACAGAAGCCTCTTTGAAGGGGCTCACACAAATCTGGAATAAGTTGAGCTTCTAAGTAGAAAATGTTAGCAAAGAATTATAATCTATTCAACAAAACAGAGTTCATGAGTTCATACTACTGTAAATAAATTATTGGATAAATAACTCGGGAGAAGTGAATGCTGGATTAATAAATATAGAAGGAATAATTGCAGTAGAAAATCACCATTTAGCAGCCATAATAATTAAACCAAGAAACATCTATGGGTATTAAAACTAAGTGGGTGGAAGTTTGATGATAAGATATTTACATAGTCTAAAAGAGGTACATTTTGTGAAATATTTATATGCTAAGGAAAAAAAGGAGAAACTGGAGAAACCAGGCAGATAACATCTTAATCTAATTATCACAGTTAACTTACCAGAAAAGAGACAAAAAGCAATTGTGACCATTTGATTGGAAGACATGGAAGAACTGAGCATCATTCTGAGAGATTCCTGCCAACGACATATAACCTGAATCTAATTATGACAAAACATCAGACAAACTCAAATCGAGGTACAGTCTACAAATAACTGGCCTTCTACATTCAAAAGTGTCAAGGTCATCGATGATAAGGGAAGACTGAGGAATTATTTCGGACCAAAGGAGACAGAAGACACTAACAACTAAATGTTTAAATCTGCATTGGATCCTTGTGCTCTAAAGGATGTTACTGGGAAAAATTGGCAATGATTAAATGGGGGCTGAGAGTAGGTGGTAATGACGTATCAGTGTTAATTTCCTTGTTTTGATGGTTATATTGTAGTTATGTAGAAGAATGTCCTTGTCTGGAGGAAATTTACACTAAATTGTTGAGGAATAATAGGGCAGCACGTTGGTAACATACTCTGAAATGGTTCAGAAAAAAAGATTTTAGTATTTGTAATTTTAAAAATAATTTTGAGGCTGAGCCTGGTGGCTCATGCCAGTCATTTCAGCACTTTGGGAGGCTGAGGTGGGCAGATCACTTGAGGCCAGGAGTTCGAGATCAGCCTGGCTAACATGGTGAAACCCCATCTCTACTAAAAACACAAAAAATTAGCCAGGCATGGTAGGATGTGCCTGTAATCCCAGTTACCTGGGAGGCTGAGGCAGGAGAATCTCTTGAACCCAGGAGGCAGAGATTGTAGTGAGCTGAGACTGCGCCACTGCACTCCAGCCTGGGCAACAGAGTGTGACTCTGTTTCAAATAACAATAATAATAATAACAATAATTTTGAAATTATTTTTAGTAAGAAAAAAAGAATAAGAAGTGGCCCTGCCTTTGAGGAGACCACTGGATAGTAGAAAGTACGAGACGATAAGATGACATGAGGTCAGCAGAGCAGAGGGTGGCAGTCTGGTGACATGCATCTGGAGCCAAATGGTGCATGTTCCCATTGAAGTTCTGACACCACCAGCAAGAAGACCTTAGGGGGACGGCATAAAGGGAATGATAATAGTATAAATTCATAGGGTAATTATGAGGTGTACAAAGCACATGGCATGTTCATAATAATTTATAGCTATTGTTATTATTATTAGTTATCGGTGAATAAGTTCATGGTTATTTGTAGTCAGACAGCTACTTCTAAATTCTGGCTCTGCCACTTACCATGTGACCTTCAGCAAGTTACTAATTTTTATGAGGCTCAGGTACTTCATTTAAACTACAAATAATAATCATCGTAATTGTAGCCAGTAAAGAAACAGGGTGGTTGTGAGATTCTGATGAGATAATGCAAAACGCTTAGCACATTGTAAGCACTTGATAAGTGTTAGTTATTGCTACGTAAATATAAGGCCAAAATTTAATAAATGCTATAAGACAAAAAGCATGTGGCAATTCTGAGAAGAAAAAAGCATTTGGGTGAAAGGGTAAAGAAAGCAGTAGATTGTAGGATATTCGCTGGTACAATTGGCATGTTATGACTAGAAGAAGGCAGTGCCATAGGAAAGGGGAAAGACCAGTGTGATGGTCAAGGGAGAAAGAAGAATCAACAACTATCTCTTATCATGAATAGACAAAGTATAAACACAAAGCGAGAGCTGATTTTGGGAAAAGACATTAAAGTGTCAGGGAGACGTTGGCAGGCAATGGAATTTGGCTTGAAAGAGGAGGAGACTGGAGCATGCATATAAATTGAGGTGACAATGCAATTCTGTGAGTGAATGAGGTTTCTAAGGAAGGACACTCCATAGAAGGAAGGAAGGAGTCAGGGCAGAACTTGGGAAAGCATCAACATTTAGGGGAGACAAAGGGGAGGTGTGAGAGTGGGGGAGATGGAAGAGTGAGATGATAGAGGTTGAGAGAGACAGTTGGTGAACGAGTCAGGAAAGTGCTAGTTCAGAGGCAGAAAAACCCAGCTTGGTTCAGCAAAAAAGGCCAAGAGCTTGAGAAGAATAAAGACTGGGAAAAAGGTATCATATTGTTAGGTGGTTAATTGGACCCTGCTGAGTTACAAGAAACTGGAGAAATGAAATTTCAAGAAGTTAGGTGACAGAGGAATGAGTATCTGGGTAAAGAAAGCAGGAGATTTTTCTTGAGGATACTTTAACAGCCAAGGCAGATTTATCATTAAACAAATGAGGCTCCATTCAGGCCCTTTAACTTCCCAGATCTTTCCCGAGCCCTAGGACTTGTCCTAGCAATGCCTTCCCATAGTCATGTGATCTGTGAAACTTACATATGTAAGATTTAATTGCTCTGAGGGGTAAGAACACTCTTTCTCCTCAGGCTGTCCTAAATGAAAAGTGGAATGCCTGCTTCGGATTCAAGCATCAGCTTAGAGAACTAGAGTTAAGGCTTAAGAGTCTCTGCTGTGTGGTTTGCATATGGTAGTTAACATATAGTTAAATTATTGCTAATAGTCACGGGAATTCTTCCTCCACCCACAGGGCCAACTCACCCAGCACTGATGACAATGTGGACATGTCGTTTGACATCGGGCATTTGGAGAAATGTAGGTAGTGGAGGAGAAAAGGTTTGAAATGAACAGAGCCAGAGCTAGTATGTGGAAAGTTCTCCCAATCATGAGATGTGTAAAACTACAAGTAGACGATCTGGTTCTTGTCAAGACCCAATCAGAATGTGAATTCTCACCTATCAGATACGATAACCTAAGATGCATAATATACCACCATCATGAGAAATCAATGACAAACTGGTTAATGGGTGTTGTCAGTTCAAAGAAGATTTAAGATTAGTCACAGCACAAGACAATTTGAAATATTTTGAAATATTTCAGCTCAGATATGAAACTTGATAAGAGATTTTGCAAATTGAAGAAAATTTCTACAACCTTATTTATTATCAATAATGAAATAGGAAGTTAAGACTTTTAAAAACTATAAATGTATAAATATTTTAATTAAATATACTGGATAAAAGATTGAATCCTTGCTAAATAAAGAAGCAAACTGAGAATGCAGCTAAAAAACAGAGGAAGATGTTAGAGGCCAGGCAGTTAATAAAATATTACATTATTTTGTAGATTTTGTGATGTTTGTGGTATTCGTTCATTTTTTAAAAAATGATACTTTATTGCATCTTTTCCTTATCTAAATAAATATTCATTTGCATCTATTTTTTAAATTTATGTATTTAAATTCTTTACCTTAAAGAACCTCTCCTCTCCCCCACCCCCAACTGTATCAGCTTTGGGCCCTTCAAAACCTGAATCCACTCTTATGTAACGGAAGTAGCAGTGCTTCTTGCCAGGAGTGTATTCAGGCTTGAAAAGAGTTAGGATGTCAGCTTTGGGCATGGTGGGATATTAAATATTTCATTATTAGCATTTTTTAGGATAGGGATGACCTCAGCCTTTTGTATGTAGAGGGAAGATGCTGGCTGTAAGAAAAAAAATACTCATGTAATAGGGATACTTTTTGGAACAGGTCTCACAAAAATGGAAATGAACGGGTTAAGACAGAGTGAAGATAATGGCTTTCAAAGGCAAGTTCAGATAGGGAGCTGCGAAGGAGGGAAGAGGGAAAGTGGATTTTGTGGAGGGGTGTGAGGGAGCTTTATTTCTGTGGCCTTAATGTTCTAGTTCATGTGGAGGCCAGGCTATCAACTCAAGTCTCAGGGGTGGGTATTTTTAGGGGTTTTCTGAGCCTGAGAAGGTCACTCATAACTATTTTGCAAAATGAAACTGTTAAATATAGTGATGGGCCTGCTGTCATTTTCTCAAACTCTACCCAGTCATCCTAAGATACTGTACCCAGATACCCTGCTGCAGACTTGGCAGTAACCGTCTCAGATGAAGAGCGAGTTCAGAGGTAATGCTATTCTAGTGTCAGCATGATCAGAGAATACAACTGAGGTAATCAAGTAAGCTTAGTGAGAAGAATGTCGAGTGGTGAGCTTGAGTTGTTGCCTAAAAAAAAGAAACAACAATTTATTTATATATGGCCTTATTCCACACAGGATTTAAGGTAGCTTATAAGAATGCATGCAATAAAATAGCAAGATGTGGTCCATAAATAAAAAATCAAGGCTGGAAAAAGCATAAAATATAGATAAGAAGACTTCAGATGTGGCTTGCCAGTGGTCTTCAAATAACTGAAGCGTTGTCTTGTGGAAGAGCATTTTGGGATATTTGGTATGTGGGTTCGAGAACATGAGGATATGTGTGTTGTAGTCTGTTTGGGCAGCTATAACAAAATACCATGAACCGAGTGGCTTATAAACAACAGAAATTTATTTCTCATATTTCTAGGGACTGGGAAGTCCAAGATCAAGGCACCAGCAGATTTGGTATTTGGTAAGGGCCTGCTTTTTGTTTGATAGATGGTGCCTTCTAGGTGTGTCCTTACATGGTGGAAGGGACAAGGCAGCTCCCTGGGGTCTCTTTTATAAGGGCACTAAGCCCATTCATTAGAGTTCTGCCCTCATAACCTAATTACCTTCCCAAAGCCTTACAACCTCATATCAGTACCTTCAGAGTTAGGATTTCAAGGTATAAATTTTGGAGGTTCACAAACATTCAGACCATAGCTGATGTGTGTGGTTACCGTAAGGCAGACATCAGTGCAACATAAGTCAGAACTTTCTAACAAGTGCAGCTGTTCCACAGTGGCACAGATATCATGAGCTCCTTCTTTATCAGAGGAGGCATTTAAACAGAACTAGGTAACCTCCTTTCTGGCCTCCTGTGGAAGCCAGGAGATGCAATGGGTAAAGACTGGCCTCTGACATACCCTTAGGATCTGGATTCTAATGACTGGGTGACACGAATTGTTCTCAACATTGCTCTATAAAACATGAACTATTCTGAAATGCTCCACACAACCATAAAAACTTGTCAGTGGCCATTCTGAGTACCTCTATGGCCTGTAGCGTTGTCACCCACCTTTGAAATATCACTGCACATTGTAAACCCAAAGTTTCTGAGGCAATATGAGTCAGCTACATATGGGAGGGGAGGTGGAGAGAGAGCTGGATGGGTTTTACCTACCCATCATGCCCCTGCTTTCTGGGTGACCATTCTGTAGTTTGAAGAGCTAGTGGATTCCATTCCCTTATCATTCAATAACAAATGGCTATTGTTCTGCATCCTATGTCAGGCCCATTTTAGATCCCTGCAAGCAGAACAGTGAAAAAGCAGACATGGTCCCTGTTTTCAGAGGGCTTGTTGCTTCATGGGAAAAAAATGACAGTAAAAATAATCACACATGTATATCCTACAAATTGTCACATGCATGATGAAGAAAGAAAAGAATATTCTAGGAGAGAGGATAGCTGTAAGACCTGATATCGCATGAACAAAAACCATCTTTACTGAGGTCAATTAAGTAGGGAAATGTGGGGGCTCAGATGGAGAGATTTCAGGCTGAGGGGACAATGTGCGCAATATGAGGAAGCACAGAGCGTTTGGGGAATGGCCCAAAGGCCAGAATGGCTGAGTGAAACCTGGAGAATGGTGATCCAGTGATGAAAGCAGCGTGAGCAGTTCAGGAGAGAGGGTCCAGGCTGTGCTCATAAGCAACTTCAAGGACTTTTATCTTTATCATGATGGTGCTGAAACTCTTAGGGGTTTTACCAGGGGAGCAATATGATAATACTGGTGTTGTGATTTGTTTTCTTTTTCTATTTAAAAAAATAAAATCACTTTAGCTTTAGAGTAGAGACTGCAGTAGGGGTTGGGGCAAGAATAGATATAGGGAGATTACAGAATAGGCTACACTAGTGATCAATTGACAGATGGTGATGGCTTGGCCAAGGACAGTGGTGGCAAAGATGGAGAGAAGCAAATGGTTTCTCAAGGTGAGCATGGGATAAAAATGAACAGGATTTGGCAATGGGTGGATGGGAGGTAAAGAAGGAAAAGAAAAAGTGGCATCAAAGATGGCACCTTGAAACTGGACAGACTAAGTGTTCCATTCACCGATCAGGCATGTGAAGAGAGGGCTGGTATGAGGCAGTGGCCGGAGCAAAACAGAATTCCTCTGATCTTACCTGATTCAGGATTAGAAAAGGTAACCAGTTGAACTGATTCAAATTCAGTTCAATTCAATCCTATCTGGTTCAACTGAAGTCACCTTATGAAGCATCTACCAGACGAGCCTCTGTGAGTGATTCAGACAAATATAAAAAGCCCTCGAAGGGGTTGCATGATCACATCTTGTACTAGGTTAGTGCCCAAATAACCCAAGCACCCCATGGAATGTGAGAGGTGCCTACAGGGAGAGATGGAATGCCACTGGACTACAGCGGCCAACTCCTCTCACCCCAGAGGGCTTGACTGACCTACAAGAAGAATTGGACTGACTTTATCTCAAAAGGGAGATAAGAGTCCATAGGCTGCCTTTGAGGTTAGTGGGCAATGAGTCATGTGGATGTGGGAAACTCACAGTTTCCCTCCCTTGGTCTACACTGACCAAGCCCCAAGGACTGGAGTATGTACACTTGTTCTCAGCCCCGGCTCCCTCCCGGACTCCCAGCACTTCCTAAAGGATCCTTTGCTTGTGTCTTCATCTCCTCAGATAATAACTACTCTCTAATTATCCCATCTGTATTTTACAAGAGCTAATTAGAAAGTGTCTGATAGCCTGGGAATTTTCTGACAAAGATAGTGCACAAATCTAGCCTGTGTATCTGCGGATGATGCTTCTAGCCACATCACTATTTCTGGTTACAAATGGAAAGTAGGAGCCCGCACCTCCTCTCTCCATCTCCAGCCTTGTCAGACTCATTCACACCACTTCCCACTGACCCCTAGGTGTTCATCTCCCACTCTCCTCCCAACTCCACTCAGAATCTCAGTGTAAATACCATTCTCTAAATGCAAATACTTCTGGGAGAATTCTTATGCTTTTATTTAATTCTGGATTTTAATAATAGTAATTAATGCTTGTACACCTCATTCCATTTTCAAAATGTGTTTCTTTACATATTTCATTTAATACTCACACAATCTTGTGGGGCAAATATCCTTATAACAGTCTTCCCCAGAGAGGCTAAGCTATTTACCCAAAGCCAGAGCACTATGCAGTGACTGAGCGTGAGACTCATTTCATGCTCTCTATTCAACCAGTTGTTTTCTTCTGGTTAAAGCAAACAAATATGTGTCAGGAGGAGAGCTTGAAGATGTGAGCAGAGAGGATTTTTTTTTATTATCCCTTGAAATCATAAATATAAGCAGCAGTCAATTTCTCCCGATTTAATGGTAGTCCCGTTGTCAGCACAATGGCTAAGAGTACATGATGTTGAGGAAATAGGCCTATATTTCAATACTGACCTTCAACCTCATTCTATATGACTTTGAGCAAGTAGTTACAAACTGGGACAGTATTAGTTGCACAAATGTATTCACCTCCTAGGTCATAGGTTTATTGTGAAGAACAATTGAGTTAACGTATATAAGCAATAGTTTCTGAAACATAGTAAATACTTAAAACATATTTGTTTCGTGGGGTTGTTATTTTTCTATTCTGGGGCTCAACTTCCTTTTTGACCTCAGTCTGAACAGGGGAGGCGAATAACTTTGAAGTGCTTCATGCTTCAGTTTGACGAGAAATGACTGACTAAAATATTGTGTTGAGAAGGATTCTGAGGTTTGCTTTGGGCTCAGCTGAAATGAATAAGTGTTCCTCTGTGTGTGCTGCATAATGATGCCCTTTTCTCCAAAGCTGTTTGCAGGGCCTGTCACAGCCCATGCCTTTACCTCTCAGTTTCACTGTCTGCCTTAGGCATTTACTCAAATACTTTTGTCGGGACTAGTCCAGCATGTTTTGACTAAATGTAGTTTCCAGCTCACAGGGGTACTGCCTGCTTGGGTGAGAGCAAAAGAATTTAATGAATAGGAGCTATGTATGGATGGGCTCTAACGAGAAGGGTTAGCAGGCCAGGGATTAAAAAATAACTACACTGCAGCCACTCTGGGTGAGCCAACCCATGATGTATATTTCCATCTAAATAAAATACATTCATTTTGAAGACCGCAAAATAGCTGTAACTTGAGATTCCCACAAATGCTTGGAAAACTGTCAGTCCTTTCTGAGTGGCAGTAGATAGAGAAGCAAGAATGCCAGGAAGAAATGTGAGATGGATTCTGAGAAACAGGGCCTGGATTAGCCTTCCAAGAAGCCAGGATTCTTTAGCACTGATCTAGCTTTCCAGTGTTTTGGGGATAGTATTTTTACAAAGCTTACTGATTAAACATTTGCTGATCTCTCTCCTGGAAGAATTACGGAAATACAATAATTATTATGAATGGTCTCTTAGAGCTGGTCTAATCAAAGATTCCATTCTGTGATCTGCAGAGAATTCTAACAGTGTGCTGTGTTTTTCTTTTTCTTCTACCGAATTTATCAATGTCTTGGGTCATTATTTGCCTGATCATAACAACATACATTCATGAATATGTATCAGCTAAAATCTGCAATTTTATGTGTTAATTTGCTCATGTCTTTAGGTGTTTATAGCAATTAAATAAGACCTTGATAAATTTGGAGGAAATAAAAAAAGCTTTGACATTATGAATGCTTATGTGGTTGAATTGCAGGCACTGAGATAAATTATGTTTTGTGCAACTATTAATTCATTGATTAGCTTATTAGATATTTTTCCATTTAGTTATGTGTCTTCTTAGGAAATAAGTAAGACTAAGTTCTTGACTGCATTGTTTGGCCTTCTGGTGTTCATTTTGGCTTATGAATGCAACCAATCCTTATCTTGGCTAATGTGAATATAAGTGGGCTGTCTTGTTGGGGATTTATCAGGGAGGTATAGAAATTTATTTGTAGTGAATCAGGGCCACCACAGGGAGGGGCAGGTAGAGAGGGGTTCAGTGACATAGAGGTCACCAGTGGAGAGGAGACCGGTGACCAAGGGCTCTGGCTGCCTGACAAGGAAAAGCTAGGAGTAGCAACAGCCCTGTAGAACATGGTAGTGGGAATTCCAGTGGGTGCTGTTCCAAAGGCAGGGCTTGGTAGGGCAGGGATTTGGAGTGGGTTCCAGAGAAGATGCATCATCCTGGGAACTGGGATGTGCCAGGGTGGAAATGGTACCGGGGCCCAGAGGAATGAAAGTGGTGACAATTTGGTCACAGCCCATACTTCCGGGAAGGGATGGAGATGAGGCCAGATTTAGCAAATAAAAATACAGGATGTTCAGTTAAATTTAAATTTTGAATAGACAAAGAATGATTTTAGTATGAGCGTGTCCCATGCAATATCTAGATATATTAAAAATTTACTTGTTGTTTATCTGAAATTCAAATTTAACTGGGCATCCTGCATTTTATCTGCAAACCTTAGTGTGTGTGGATGTGTAGGAGGGACACTGGTCAGCACTTGTGTACTTGGGGAAGCCTCACTGATCTGGGGATGATGGAGGGATTGGCTGTGGGGAGTCAGGGGAAGTAGAAGATGCAGCAGGATGGTTAGTGTGTGTGTGTGTGTGTGTGTGTGTGTGTGTGTGTGTGTGTGTGTGACAGAGAGAGTGAGAGAGAGATAGACTAATTTTATGTTGGTTTTAATTCATTACTTTTTTGTTGTTGTTGTTTTGTTTTGCAAGAACCAGCTGCACTTGGCTTGTGTCAAAGACAGGATATTTGTTGGTTTGTAACATGAAACTGTCAGACCTATGTGTGCCCAGAATGATGACGTTCCATTAAGAATGAAAATTTTAGGCTGGGTGCGGTGGCTCACGCCTGTAATCCCAGCACTTTGGGAGGCCGAAGCAGGCGGATCACCTGAGGTCAGGAGTTCGAGACCAGCCTGACCAACATAGAGATACCCCGTCTCTACTAAAAATACAAAATTAGCTGGGTGTGGTGGCACATGCCTGTAATCCCAGCTGCTCGGGAGGCTGAGGCAGGAGAATCACTTGAACCTGGGAGGCGGAGGTTGCGGTGAGCTGAGATCGCACCATTGCACTCCAGCCTGGGCAACAAGCATGAAACTCCGTCTTGAAAGAAAAAAAAAAAAAGAATGAAAATTTAAATCCCCCAAAATGGTTGTCTAGATAACACTGAACACATGAATACTCAGAGACATTTGGATGATGGGTGTCCTTTGCATAAAAAGCCACATGACTGACAGTATTTTTCCATTTTTATTCAGATATTTTTGAAATAATGTAGACAGCCAACAGGCTCACCTCCAAGAGAGAATACATAATCATTGAGGTGGGAGATTTTCAAAACTACTTCTTATTTTTTTCCAGTTTATGTGATTTGTTTTCATTTCTTCAAATCATTTTAGTGATCTACTCCATCCCCTTCCTAGTGCGCAGCTCACTATCTGGCACATAGCAGATATGAAATAAATTCTCTTAAAATGATGGATGGGTAAATGAATGCATTATTCTTAAATCATTTATCCTTCAGTACAGAAATTATACTAGGGCAATGAGGAACTATTTGTTTAGAAGAGAACAGACATCTATTGAGTGTGCACTATGAGCTAGAAACTGGCCAAGACAATATGTGTGTGTATACACACACACAGACACACACACACACAAACACATAAGTATATATATGTACTTTTACAGCCACCTTGTCCTATGGTTTGAATGTGTTCCCCAAAGATTTTATGTTGGAAACTTGATCCCCAGTGCCATGATGTTGGAAGGTGGGACCTCATAGGAGGTGTTTGCATTGTGGGGCGGATCCCTCATAAATGGATTAACACTGTTATCACAGGAGTGGATTCATTATAAAAGGCCAAATTTAGCCTTGTCTTGCTCTCTCTCCGTTGCTTTGTTTGCCCTTATGCCACAGGATGACACAGTAGGAAGACCTTCACCAGAGTCTGGTCTCTCTATCTTGGTCTTCCCAGCCCCTAGAAGTATGAGAAATATGTGTCTGTTGATTATAAATTACCCAGCCTGTAGATTTTGCTATAGCAGCACAAAATGGACTGAGACATCATGCAAGTGAGCAGTAGTAGCCCCATTACACATTTGAGTAATACTCACAAGAGGATAAGTAAATTGTGAAGAGCCTTATTAATTAAGAAGTAGAGCTGAGCTATGAGCCTGCTATGAGTTGTTAGGACATCTCCATTGACTCTGGGTTGCCTTTCTGAACTAATCTGCAGTAATTGTTAATGTTTTAGGGGTCTCATATTATTTGAGAATTTGATGAATGTCAGGGCCCTCTCCCAGAGACATGAACATAGAAAAATATATTCTCAACTTTACAAGTAACGTAGGTTCATCATGAATCCCTGATGAATAACTCATCATTACAGAATATCAGATTTTTTTCACCTGGAGTCAGGAGAAAAGATGAGAATCAGCTTGAAAGCAGGGCAGGCATAGCATACTTACTATCCTATTCAGGAACCTTCTCTCACTGGGGATAAAGGATCAAGTATCTTCTTTTCATACCAGGTCTTCCTAACCCTCAGGGAGCTCTTATACTTCCTCCATTCTTAGTGGGATAACATACAGTCATGCCACATAATAATGTTTTGTTCAATGATGCATACACCGCGGTGGTCCCATAGATTATAATGGAATTGAAAGGCTCCTATTACCTAGTAATGTGTTAATAATCCTGACCCTCTGTGGATCTAAGCTAATGTGTGTGTTTATGTCTTAGTTTTTAACAAAAAAGTTAAAAAAATTAATAGAAAAGAGCTTATAGAATAAAAATATATAGAAAGAAAATATTTTTGTACAGCTGTACAATGTGTTTGTGTTTTAAGCTAAGTGAGAAAGTTAAAAATATATGATGTTTATAAAGTAAAAAGTTACACTAAGCTTAAGCTAGTTTACTATTGAAGACAGAAATTAAAAAATAAATATAGCATAGTCTAAATGTGCAGTGTTTATAAAGTCTACAGTAGTGTACAGTGATATCCTAGGCCATCATATTCACTCACCACTCATTTGCTGATTCACCCAGAGCAACTTCAAGTCTTGCAAGCTCCATTCATGGTAAGTGCCCTATACAGGTTTACCATTTTTATATCCTTTATACAGTATTTTTACTGTACCTTTTCTACATGTAGATATGTTGGAATACACCAATACCGATTGTTGTGTTACAGTTGTCTACAGTGCTCAGTATAGTAACATGCTGTACAGGTTTGTAGCCTAGGAACAATAGGCTATGCCATATAGTCTAGATGTAGGCTGTACCATCTAGATTTGTGTTAGTACACTCTATGATGTTTGCACAACAATGAAATTACCTAAGGACACATTTCTCAGAATGTATTCCCATAGTTAAGTGACATATGACTGTGGTTCTATTGGTAAATCTATTCTGGTTTAATAGTCAACAAATGTAGATTTTACAATTTTTACTTTGCTTTAATATTCAACAAATGTCGATTTTACAATTTCTACTTTGCTTTATTCAGTGATTAGAAAATTACTCAATAATAGCCACTTAAATAAATTATGTATCAGGTGCTTGGGGCACAGCAGTGAATAATTCAAATACAGTTTCCACCCAGAGGTGCATTCCTCATGAAATAGAAGAAACCTGAGCTTCAGGTCCCCTCGCTAGCACAGCCCCTTCCAAGGTTCTGGGAGATGCCTTAAGATGCATCCACATGATTATATATTTTTTGGTAAAATATACAAAGTAAGGTATTTTTGTATTGTTCTTGAAGAACAAGTCTCCTTCCTACACTGTAGAAGCTGCAGGCACCACAAAACCTTCATCTGCCCCATCACTATCCTCATGGAGATTAGAGTCTAGCATTGAATAAGTGATCACAGGAGTGAAGGGTTTTGGGTTGGGAGGATAAATTAAGAGATTTGGTCTTTTTGAGGGTCAGTAAAGGTTTCTTGGAGAAACTGACATTTAAGCTGAGACCTGAAGGCTTTTATAAAAAATTTTTGTTCTTTGGCATGGAAGTAGCTGCCTCATCAGGCGGAGGGAATTGTGGGTGTCAAGGCCCTGGGCAGGGCTGAGAGAGGGCAGGGCTGGTTTGAGAGCCTGAACTGGGTACCTACAGTTAGCTAGCTGAGCCTAGCTGGTGAGCGGAGACGAATGAAGCATTTTGAACGTTATTCTAAGGACAATGGCATGCTGCTGAAAGGGAGTTACATAATCAGATTTGCATTAAAAAACCGAAAAAACACCACTCTAGCTGTAGGGTGGAGAATGAATTTTGTTTTGTTTTTACCCTCCAGAAACACCACCTGGAACACAGCTGTGACTTGATAAACAAGTGAAACATTCTTTGGTGTGGTGAGGGGAAAACAAATTTCTCAAAGGACACGCACCATGGTGTATGAGAGGACACTGGAGCCCAGCCAGCATCTGACATGCTGAATTCAAAGTGCAGGTGAAAGTAGGACAACTGATTCACAAGCTGGGATGCCTGTGTTGTTGTTTGCCAGTGTGCGTGTGTGTGTTTTCCTGGCACCCTTCATTCATTCCCCAGCACAGTTGACATCAGGTTGGAAGCAGTGAGTTCTGAGGGAGACTGCTAGAGGACCCAACTTGGAGAATCAACGATCTGCGATGAAGATAATGAAGATAAAGACAATGTCAATGTCAGCGTCCAAAATCATAAGGACCCTTTAAGAAGCTTCCAGAGCAGAAGTGACTGTGCAAGAAGGGCCAATAAAGTCTAGGCAATGCACGACCAGGCGCGGTCGCTCACGCCTGTAATCCCAGCACTTTGGGAGGCCGAGGTGGTTGGATTACCTGAGGTTAGGAGTTTGAGACCAGCCTGACCAACATAGTTTCACCCCATCTCTACTAAAAAAAAAAAAAAAAACAAAACAAAAGTTAGCCAGGTGTGGTGCTGCACACCTGTAATCCCAGCTACTCTGGAAGCTGAGGCAGGAGAATCGCTTGAACCCAGGAGGCGGAGGTGGCAGTGAGCTGAGATTGCACCGCTGCACTCCAGCCTGGGCGACAGAGTGAGACTCTGTCTCAAAAATAAATAAATAAATAAATAATAAAGTCTAGGCAATGCAGCAGACTGCAGACAAATGGGTCTCCAGACTCATGAGCACTTGGCTTTTGTTACTCTCACCTCCACCACCCTTTACCTGGTTCTATATCTGTCCTTTGGACCTTCCTGCATTTACCTTCCTGCTTTTGCTCCTTAGTCTGGTTTTGTCCCAGAATTTACTCTCCTACTGCCCGCTCTCCTGTCCCTGATGGTTCATAGTTTCTTACTATCAGGGAGAAACCCTGATATTGACTTGGCCCAGCAGTAATTCTGTCCATGCAATTCTCTTGCATGGGCTGTGACAGGCAGACACCTCACTAATTAGATCAGCACAGGGGTCTGCATACATTTAGTGTGGGGACCTCCAGCCCATCCTGGAGCGCACAAATTTAGTTCAGCACCATTCAGCTGCTGAAATTTGATGCAGTGGCCCTGGATGACCAAAGAATGTGGTGATAATTCTAAACAGGGTGTGTTCATTAAGTGAAGGAAATGTAGAATACGTTTTAGATGAAAAAGAAATTTTTAAGTTTGGAGGGTAAAGATCAATCATCCGTAAAACTAACTGATATATAACAGTTCATTTTTGTTGATACTAGATAAATAAGGAGTGAAGACATTTTCAGAATTACAATGGCATTTATCTGCCTTCATTAAATTAAGCTCAGGAAACTAATGCAGACTCCAAATTGCCCACAGTCTAACACAGTCTCTGCATCTGCGGTTAACAAAATTAAATTTGGGAAAATCAAGAGTAAGACTTTTAATGTTTCTACCACCTGTCAGCCTGGAAAGTTTTCTTAGTTTTTCTTTTTGGAGAGGCATTTGAGATTTGTGTTCCTGTCAACTTGAGAGAGGAATGGAGGAAGTCAAAGGGAAGAAGAGGAGCTGATGTTGCAGTCCGAGGGGAAACAGGAGTGAGGGCAGGGAGCCCAGAAGAGGGTCAGGGTGAAGATGGGTGTGGGGAAGGCAGAGCAAACCAGCTGCTGCTGTCAACCCTGACCTATTTCCTGGAGCTCTGGGAGCCCTCCCATCCCTGCTCTCAGCAACAGTGATGCTGCCTTTGGGCGGCTGTGCAGCCAACCCACACTGAGTGATAGCTGTCCCTGTCATTTTCTTAAATGTCACCAGTGAAAGAGACATTTCCACCTCCCTGGAGTACACATACTCCACTTGTGGATAAGTGGACACTTGGTTCCATTTTCACAGCTTCCAAAAATTGGTCACAGATGACTAACAATTGTGTCAACTTCTCTGGTATGAGAAGCCATAGATGGAGGTATACAGAAATGATTTCTTAAAAAATGTAATGTCCTTTCTATGTGGCAGTAAAACATCTTTCCTGCCACTAGGAGAAATGTGTTCTTTGAATTATTTTCACAGCCATAAAGGCAGACCTGTGAAAGGCTATCTGTACTGGATAGTTCTCTGCTTTCATGGATTTTATTCAGAATCATCCATTCTTGGAAATGGTGGGGAAAGGGGAAATAAAAAGAGAACAAATATATGTTGGATTAGTTAGTATAAATTATAATTCATAAACTACAGTGTCCAAGCAATATTACCTTCCACATATTCTAGAATAGCTTGGTTCCTATTTTTGAGCCCCTGCCTGGTGCCAGTAACGTGTTTTCAGCTAATTCAGGGTTTCTGTCCCCATTTTCCTTGGAGGAATATCTAAGTTCTTTGGGGATATTGCTGGTGCCAAGCATGAAGCTGTTGGAGAACGAGGAGGCTTTGGCATCTTGTCCTCAGCATCACGTAAATCCTATCAGAACTTAGAAGTGAAATGGGAAGGATTGTTTATCTCCTGCCCAACTAGCTGCTGGGTTGTTCCTTACTCCCACTCACAAGGTCTCTTTGTGTCACTCTAGGTCATTTTGCTCTCCTGAGACAGTCTGGGAACCACTTTGAGGCTGTTTGAGTCCAGAGCCATGGCCTAGGCCTCTTGCAGTGTGGGGATCCTGCTGTGTTCCCTCAGCCGAATCAGGGGCACTGGGCAGTGCCTTCCCCTCTCCTGGCCTATTCTCAGCCACGCCTAAGTGATCTTATTTCATCTTGACACTAACCTTGGATATTTGAAATAGAATTATTCATTTACAAAGGAGGAAAATGAGATTCAGACAAGCTAAATACATGCCAAAGCCACATAACTACAAGTGGCAGAGCTCAGTCTGCTTTCCAAACCCATGCGGCTCCCTTCATCACCGTGACTCACCCACTTTATCCCCCAACTTCGAGGAAGTCTCTTCTGATCACCCAAGAATAATGTCTGCCTCCTTAGAAATTTTGTAGCCGTTGGTGTTTCAATTTTGGGAGTGACATCTAATTGTCACACACTGTTTCACATGCTAGCTATCTGTGCACGTATCTAGACAAGCCTGCTTAGGCTGTGGCTCCTGGAAGGCAAAGACCACTTCTTGTGTTTATCTCTATCCCATCTACTAACACCACACTCTGCACATGATAAATGTTTAATATATGATTGATTACAATAAAAACGTGTTAAAAAATTGGTAAATGGATGAACCTCTACTTTCTATATGAATGTATTCTATCTGTGTGCTTACACTGCAATTATAGGCTAGTTAACAATGCATGGCCTATAGATGTCTGCCCTTGTTCTTGCCTTCTAGTTCCACAGTCCTTAATCCACACTGTACTTTGGAGAGCATACAGGTCCAGCAGTGATGCGGCTCTATCTCACGCCTACTCTCTTATTCTACTTACAGAATCTGCTGTCCCCTGACTTTTTAATTTCTCAGTTTTCTGACTCCATTCCCAGGCTCCAGACATAGGCCTCTATGCTCTTCTTTTTAAAGACAAGTCATTTGGACCCTTACTTGGAGCCTTTCTTGCCCTGTGGTAAGATTGAATCTCAACTCTGCATGCTCCCTCAATTGCCAGGGCACCTGGGACTCTGGGAACAGACAGGGTCTGTGCCCACATCAGCCTGGTGGTATTCTCACTGGCTTGGAGTATTCTTGCCAGTGTCCTCATCTTCCCACAGGACAGAAGGATTATCATACGGTGAACATATGGAGTGTTCCCAAGGTGCCTCTTAAAAAATCCCAATAACTGGTTCAATGGTACAGCTTAGAAATGCGTAATTGAATTTTTAAAAATAGTTTAGATTAAAATCTATTTAGAAAAGGGGGAAATGATATATTTTCTTATATATGCTATGGCAAAGTTTAATATCCAAGGATAATCCCTACAGAGTTGTCAGATCTGTTGGTTATAAGGGAGAGATACCTAATTTAAATTAATTTAAGCAAAAGAAGAGAATGAATTGTTTATATAACTGAAAAGTCTAGGGCTTCAGGCACAATAGAATCCAGTGATATCTGTCTTTCTCTAAATCTAGAGACTTTGCTTTCAAACTTTAATTTGGACCCTAACAGGTGGGGCCTCTCTCAGAAGCAGAGATACTTTCTCTCTCAGCATCCAATTAGTTGCTGAAAAAGTACTCTGAGTGGCCCTGCTTGGGTCATGCCCGCTATTAGACCAATCTGTATCCACTGAGAAAGGATATGCTGGTCAGCTTAGATTATGTTTCTTCTACTGTGGTTGTCAATGCAGGATCACATGATTGTGAGGTCCTCTAGAGTCCTCCAGACTAAGTGAGGCAAGGCAGATTCCCAAATGAAACAATGTAGGGAAGACCGAAATACCCAGCACATGCCCATTGTGTTCATGAATTAGGTCCTCCATAATGGTCCCCCCCCATCTCACTACCCCCAGTGAAATGAATCTATGCCCTACAAATGGCTAAAGGGAATTAACATCTGTTGATCTCTTGTTAAGTTCAAGCACTATGCAGGGAATATTAAAAGCATCATATTCTTTAACTCTTATAATTGTCTTCCTTTATTCCACCTTTTTAACAAGTCTGCCACCAGTTCAGCAAGGCAAGCTAGGTCTCGTGTGGAAGGAAAGCCCTGCAGCCCCTCAGCATTCACAGCTCTTATTTTACTCACTGGTATCTGGTCCTGTCCTCGATCACTTTACCCTGACCTAACACCAGTCTCTATTCCACCATCAGTCAGCCCAGTTTTGCTACACCAATTGACCATCTCCAAAGAGTTTCTGACCTACCCCCTCCTTCTACCTGACAGTTCCACACACAGACCCCTTCCTCATTCTCTGTGACTTACTGTATTAGTCTATTCTTGCACTGCTATAAAGAAATATCCGAGACTGGATAATTTATAAAGGATAGAGGTTTAATTGGCTCATAGTTCTATAGTCTGTACAGGAAGCATAGAGGCTTCTGCTTTTGGGGAGGCCTCAGGAAATTTATAATCATGGCAGAAGGTGAAGGAGAAGCAAGCACATCTTACATGGCCAGAGCAGGAGCAAGAGGGTAGGGGAGAGCCTATATACTTTTAAACAACTAGATCTCATGAGAACTCCCTCACCATTGCAACATAGTACCAAGAGGAAAATCCGCCCCCATGATCCAATCACCTCCCACCAGGCCCCACCTCAAACAATAGGGAGGATTACAATTCAACATGAGATTTGGGCAGGGTCACAGATCCAAACCATATCATTCTGCCCCAGCCCCTCCCAAATCTCATGTCCTTCTCACATTTCAAAATACAATCATATTTACCCAATAATGTATTCCCCCAAAATTCCCCAAAGCCTTAGCTCATTTCATCACTTACTCAAAAGTCCACAGTTCAAAGTTTTATGTGAGACAAGTCCCTTCTGCCTATGAGCCTATAAAATTAAAAACAAGTTACTTACTCCCAAGATACAATTGGGGTACAAGCATTGGGTAAATACTCCCATTCCAAAAGGGATAAATTGGCCAAAAGAAAGGGACCCAGCAGGGCAATCATTAAATCTAAAAGCACCAAAATCATCTCCTTTGACTTCCATGCTCCACATCCAGAGCACACTGGTGTGAGGGGTAGGCTCCCAGAGCCTTCTGCAGCTCTATGCCTTTGGCTTTGTAGGGTTCAGCCCCTGAGGCTGCTCTCAAGGGCTGATATTGAGTGTCTGTGGCTTCTCCAGGTGCAAGGTGCAAGCTGTTGGTGGATCTGTCATTATGGGGTCTGGAGGATGGTGGCCATTTTCTCATAGCTCCATTAAGAAGTGTCCCAGTGGGGACTTTGTGTGGGGGACCCAACCCCACATTTTTCCTCTGCACTGCCCTAGTAGAGGTTTTCCATGAGGGCTCCACTCTTGCAGCAGGCTTCTGCCTAGACGTTCTGGCATTTCCATACATCCTCTGAAATCTAGGTGGAGGCTCCCAAGCCTCAACTCTTGCACTTTGTGCACCCACAGGCTTAACACCACATGGAAGCCAACTAGGCTTATGACTTGCATCCTCTGAAGCAGGGGCCCAAGCTGTACCTTGGCCACTTTTAGCCATGGCTGGAGTTGTAGCAACTGGGATGTAGGAAGCTGTGTTCTGAGGCTGCAAAGGGCAGTGGGGCCCTTGGCCTGTCCAGGAAACCATTCAATCCTGTTAGGGCTCTGGGCCTGTGATGGGAGGAGCTGCCATGAAGTTCTCTAAAATGGCTTCAAGGCTTTTTCCTCATTGTCTTGGCTATTAGCATTTGCCTTCCCTTTAGTTATACAAATTTCTGCAGCCTGCTCGAATTTCTCCCCTGAAAATGAGCTACTACTGTTGCAACATAGTACCAAACTTTCCTAACACATGGCCAGGCTGCAAAATTTCCAAACTTGCATGCTATGCTTTTTTTTTTTTTAAATATAAGTTCCAATTTCAGGTAATTTATTTGCTTATGTATATGAGCATAGGTTGTTAGAAGTAGCCAGGTGACATCTGAATGCTGTGCTGCTTAGAAATTTCTTCTGCCAGATATCCCAAATCATCTCTCTCAAGTTCAAAGTTTCACAGATCCTTGGGGTAGGGTCATAATGCCTCCAAATTCTTTGCTAAAACATAACAAAAGTGACCTTTGTTCCAGCTCCCAATAAGTTTCTCATTTCTATCTGAGAACTTCTCAGCCTGGACTTCATTGTCCATATCACTATCAGCATTTTGATTACAGCAATTTAAGAAGTCTCTTGGAAGTTCCAAACTTTCCATCATCTTCCTGTTTTCTCAGCCCTCCAAACTGTTCCAACCTCTTCCCATTATCCAGTTATAAAACTGCTTCTACATTTTCAGGTATCTTTATAACAATGCCCCACTCCTTGGAACCAAAATCTGTATTAGCCCGTTCTCACACTGCTATAAAGAAATACCTGAGACTGGGTAATTTATAAAGAAAAGAGATTTAATTGGCTTATAGTTTTGCAGGCTGTACAGAAAATATACTGGCTTCAGCTTCTGGGGAGGCTTCAGGAAACTTGCAGTCATGGCAGAAGGAGAAGGAGAAATAGGCAGATCTTACATGGCCAAAGCAGGAGCATGAAAGGTGAGATTTCAGAGGTGTTTGAACCAGAGCAACTTCATCTTTAATAGGGACTGGGTAAAATAAGGCTGAGACTTATTGAGCTGCATTCCTGGGAGGTTAGGCATTCTTAGTCACAGGATGAGATAGAAGGTTGGCACAAGATACAGGTCATAAAGACCTTGCTGATAAAACGGGTTGCAGTAAGGAAGCCAGCCAAAACCCACCAAAACCAAGATGGTGATGAGAGTGACCTCTGGTCGTCCTTACTGCTCATTATACGCTAATTATAATGCATTAGCTTGATAAAAGACACTCCCACCAGCACCACAACAGTTTACGGATGCCATGGCAACATCTGAAATTACCCTATATAGTCTAAAAAAGGGAGGAACCATCATCTCCGGGAATGGCCCATCCCTTTCCCAGAAAACTTGTGAATAATCCACCCCTTGTTTAGCATATAATCAAAAGATAACTATAAGCATCCTTAAGCCAGAAGCTCAAGCCACAGCTCTGCCTATGGAGTAGGCATTCTTTTATACTTTTACTTTCTTAGTAAACTAGCTTTCACTTTACTCTATGGACTTGCCCCAAAGTCTTTCTTGGGTGAGATCCAAGAACCCTCTCTTGGGGTCTCGATTGGGACCCCTTTCTGGTAATGGGGAGTGGGGAGGTGCTACATGCTTTTAAACAACCAGATCTCATGAGAACTCACTCACTATTGCAACATAGTACCAAAAGGAAAATCCACCCCCCTGATCCAATCACCTCCCACTAGGCCCCACCTCCAATATTGGGGATTACAGTTTAACATGAGATTTGGGTAGGAACATAGATCCAAACCATATCCCTTACTCTGTGGGCCATTCAAACTGATCACTTAAGGTAACCCTATCTTGGCATATTAGCTAACTCCACACAACTAACATTCTCTGAGGTAGATAAAGTTATCCAGATTTTTCTTCTGGAGACATAAAGATTCCAAGAGGTAAAGGAATTTCTCCAAAGAAAAATCTAGTATTTAACTGAATTACACCCAAAGCCTGATTATAAATTTACCAGGCACTAAGCAAGGTAGAATAATATGTGTGAAGCCCCCGTGAGTTCTTGCAAATTTGGCAAATCAAAGTAAAAATTTTGGTCTAGTCAATAAGATATTGCAGTTTGGTGATATTCTTAGATGATGCTCTTGCCTGAATTTGAGTTGACGAAAACAAGAGTTAAGAATGCATGAAAATAGACACACTATGAATGATTGTGCTGTTTTTCAGAATGGTGGTCCCCAGATTTGTGCAGTACACAACTTGAACAACATTGCACAGTGATCCTGCAGGGAAAATAATAAGTTAGGAACTTCATATAAGAAAAATCACTATTTACATGATTTGCTTGAAAAAAATTAAATTTATTAATTTTTAATTTAATTAAAAAATTAAATCGAAGGCTCGTATATGTACACCTGTAGATTGAAATTCAAAGTAACAGCAAAAGATCTGTGATCTACTTGAGCTCTGCAATTTCTCATATATGATGTATATGCCTATACGGTATCAGATTGTTGATTCTCTGCAGAAGTACAGCTTTCTGAGTCTGAGGAGAAAAAACTTACATAAGCATCAGAATCCAAAGACTTCTTTTATTTCAAACAGCTCTTAACATTTTGACAAGTTAAGCACAAATGAATCATAAATGTATAGATTAAATTTCCATTTGTAACACAAATGGGTCTAAATTGGAGAAGGAAAAAGTGGTTGGCCAAGTGCATTCCTACTTTGCTGAGTCAAGAACTTTGAAAAAATAGCCTACTGTTTGAAAAATCTAAATATACCCTAATAAAACCACAAATTTGAATATTTCCATATTCTAGTGGTCTGCTTTTATTTCAGAGTCAAAATGATTTAGCAAGAATGTTTAAAAAGAAATTCTCTCTCTCCCCCTAATTAATGGTTTTTCTTATCTGGCATTCAACATATTTCTTGAATTTCTCGACTTCATCTTCTGTAGCTAACTAAAAACATAAGCTGAATATTTTCTGATTAAGACCATGCCTGCTACTGTGTGAGCACAGAATCTCCTCAGCTTGTTGCATCCGTTGCATAAGAGGAACACTTATTATTTGGGTAACTGAGTGAAAACCATCAACAAGAAACACTTCCAAAGGGTGAGGAAAAACAAATTACTGCTTACCAGCTATACACCCCAGGTTTTTTAATCATGTGATCTGACTTTAGTTGGATGTATTGAGAAAGAAGTTAAAAGGATTGAAGAAAAGTCAGTAATCCTTAGTAAAGTGAGTTACCTATCTCAGTAAAAGAGTCACCCTTTCACCGATAGTGAGCACTGGATCCCAGAAGTAGAGACTGCTAAGTGTCCACTGTACCCTCTCACTGGGTGAAAAGGGAAGATGTTCATCTTTCCAGGGATAGGCAGAACTAAAGCAGGCATGTGGGCAAAGATGAGGGTTTGGAGTGGTCCAGAGTCAGGTGGTGCTAAGCCAGGGAGGAGGCAGCCTAGGGTGAGCCAGGGACTTAAATAGAACAGAAAAGGGAGGTGTCAAAGAATGAGAAGATAAAAAGATAAATAAGGCTGGGCACGGTGGTTCACGCCTGTAATCCCAGCACTTTGGGAGGCGGAGGCGGGCGGATCACAGGGTCAGGAGATCGAGACCATCCTGGCCAACACAGTGAAACCCCGTCTCCACTACAAATACAAAAAGTTATCCGGGCGTGGTGGCGGGCGCCTGTAGTCCCAGCTACTCGGGAGGCTGAGGCAGGAAAATGGCGTGAACCCGGGAGGCGGAGCTTGCAGTGAGCCGAGATCGAGCCACTGCACTCCAGCCTGGGCGACAGAGCGAGACTCCGTCTCAAAAAAAAAAAAAAAAAAAAAAAGATAAACAAGAAGCCCTTTTCTTGGTAGCAACCATCATTTGTCATTGATAGAGCACAATCTATTGTGAGTATTGCAGAGCCCTTGCTGGTAAGAATTTTATCTTAGTTCTGGTATGACTTTATCTTAGCAGAGTGGTAAGCTTGAAGAAATACGGTGATTAAGTGTCTATTTGACAATGACTATTGGAACAGAATTCATACTCAATGACTTCAACCTTACTACCAACTTTTGATTTTCAATATAAATTTGGAGACTGGCTAGGTATTTTCAATATCTAGGCTGACTTCACTTTGCATTTCCCAGGCAGCTTTCTGTACTGAACCTTGTAATTGTGGTTGTGCCAATTTGAGGTAGAAACGGGTCAAAAAGAAATGAGGTAGAATCTGGTCCAAATAAAATTGCAAGTAATCGTCAGTTTTGCAGAGTACTATAAGAGAATGTGAAGATATTTATTGTTTGTTTCTGGATTCTGGGTCCAGAAAGGAGAGATCCCATTAACTTTGTCTTTTTTTTCTTTTCTTTTTCTTTCTAGCAGGTTGGGGTAAGGGGAAAGATGTCACTCTCTTTTTTTGTCTAAGTATAAATTGGAGTGGAGCAATGGCCAGACTGTGTTGATGGTACTGATTTCAGAGCCATCTTGAACCTCAGTAAAAAACCCATTTCTGTGTTGCCAGAAAGCTCTCTAGCCATCAACTTGCCTTCCTGTGAGAAGGTATCATTATCAGAAACCTCTGTGTAAACTCAGCATCTACCTTTGGTTGGCCTTGTTTCTTGTACTCCTAGAATTTTCGGGTAGGGTCTAGAACAACATTAGACAGCTTCTAAATGGGTAAACATTGTTTTATGATGCAAAGGAACGACCATACAAAGCACATTCAACTGCAGATGGTCCCTGACTTATGATAATTTGAGTTAAGGATTTTTCAACTTTATAATGGTGCAAAAGCAATATGCATTAGAAATAGAATAGAAACTGTACTTTGAATACCTATACATCCAATCGGTTTTCCACTTTTAGTATAATATTCAATAAATTGCATGAGATCTGCAACACTTTATTATAAAATAGACCTTGTGTTACATGCTTTTGCCCAACTGTAGGCTAATGTAAG
The DNA here is from genome assembly GCF_000001405.40 of Homo sapiens. Classification (NCBI taxonomy): domain Eukaryota; kingdom Metazoa; phylum Chordata; class Mammalia; order Primates; family Hominidae; genus Homo; species Homo sapiens. The sequence goes on from NC_000003.12 coordinate 177,763,065, forward strand.
TGTTCCGAGAATGTTTAAGATAGGCCAGGCTAAGCTGTGATTTTTGGTAGGTTGGTTGTTTTAAATGCATTTTCACCTTATGATATTTTCAACTTAATAATGGGTTAGGATGTAACCTCATGGTAAGTCAAAGAGCATCTGTATAGTTATCAAGTCGCCAAATACAAGAAAATATGAGCCCCTTTTCTTTAGATATTTGAACAAGGTGCTTTGCAGATTCACCTCTAGAGGAGTGTCGACCAAGCCTATGCAGCCATGTGGAGGCCCATGGTGTTTTCTATTTAGATATTTCAATAAAACAAGGGAAACAGTGTAGTATAATAAAAGGAACATTATGAGCCTTATATGCAGCCTGGTAGACCTGAGTTTAAATCTCAGCTTTGTTGCTCACTGAGATGTTGATCAAGTCACTTTTAAACTCTTTGGGTCTCAGTTTCTTCACGTGGAGACAATAGCTATCTTTGAAGGCTTGTATCAAAAGAGACACTGTAAGTCAGTCACCCGGAACATATTAGGTACTCAACAAAGATTGGTTTCCTTTCCTTCTTCCTCTCCTCCGAGCTTCCTGACTTGCAGAAAATAATTTCTTGGTCAATGTTTGTAAAAGGCTCAAAAATTCACCCAAACTTTCCAAACAACCCTTTTAACAAGCTTCCCCATAAAAGCATCTAGAACAGAGGCTTCATTTGCTGTAACGAGCCTAAGGATTTAGCAATAGAAAAGTTAACCGAGTACCATGTTTTCGAGCAATGGTTTTAAAGTGGCTAGGAGGTCAAGTCACAAATAATCTAAGGTCTCTTCCAGCTCTAAAATTCTATGGTTCTGTGAAATTGAGGCAGTAGCTGCAAACCAAGGCAGGCTTGTATGACTCAAAGAATTGCATGTGCTGGGCTGGCTGCTCAGCATATTGAGGATTTGATTAAAAACCCACTAGATTCACACTTTAGCTTTGGGATTAGCAGATCAAATAAATGCATGTTACTGCTTTGTCAGATACAGCAAAGTCGTATCTGACTTTTGTATCTGCTAGCGTATTTAATGGGGGGAATACACAATAGCTAAATAGAATAGCAAACAAACAGTCCATGGAGAGGAGAACAGGGTGTCATCACCAGCCCAGTTCCCTGACCTCTTCATTGCTGATCGACATGGTCTATGTGAGAAAATTTAGCTATATGTAAATGTAGACAACTTGGTGAAAAATCTATAAGGGTATCTAATTCTGAAACTAAGAACTTTCAAGAAAATCCGAACAAGAATGCTTAGGTAAAATTGATTTTAATTTCTCTTTGAGATCTCATTAATTTCCATTTAGATGGATTTTTAAAAATTAAGTTGTAGGGCACTTGGTTTTGCAATGCTAAGCATTGTTTGACACAACTTATTTTTAGTGTCTATTTTAACAAGAGAAATGAAATGTAACCACTCAGGATATGGAAATACCTCTTGTAAGGAGTGTGTGGTGTGTGTGTGTGTGTGTTTGTGTGTGTGTGCATGTGTGTATGCCTGTGTGTTTTCTTCGAGAAGATCATTTTTTTTCCCCCTCTGCTTTGGGAGTTTATTCTATTAATAGAAAATACTGCAAGTTTTAAACATCTTTTCATTCAGTGGAAACATGGATTCAATCCAATGGAAACATGGATTCAATCATCCTTCCTTTTCACACTGGGAGTCAGGGAGAGAGCCTGGGTAATTAAGTAACAAGAGCACAGATACCTAAAGACACTTAACAAACAAGATATTCTTGCCTAGAGGAGTAACAGTTACAATGACTGCTGCAAAGACAAACAAACATGTTTTCAGTACCTACTATGTGCCAGGTTCTGGCTTTGACACTTGTGAAGGGGTTAAAATCCTGGTGCTGTGTAAATGTCCCCAGATGATATTCTAATTTAAAGAAGAAACAATATATATTTAGGATAAAGTGGAGTCTCCTACTCAAACCTGAGCAGGTAAGAGATCTAAATTAGGTTAAGCAACACCGAAGAGTATTCAAAGTTAGTGAGAATGGCACTTACTTAATTGTATCTGAATTTTTATCTTTTGGAATATTCACTCATTCAGCAAATTTTTATAGAGTGACTACTGAAGAAGAACTGTGAGAGTATAAACAAGCGACTAAAACGTTTCTGTTTTTCATTACAGTCTAGAAGGGCAGAAAATATATTCTTGCTTTAATTGAATGCTGTATATAATTATTAATGTTATAATTTTTACAACTAAATTTTCATAGATATGTATCTAAGAAAACTACTTGATTTTATGTAAGAAAGCTACTTGATAATTTCAACCATACAAAAATAAAACCACCAAAATATAAAATATCAATCAATCAGTCAAAGTGGAAGTAGAAAAAAAAACCTGCAAGAGTGTGCACTAAAATATTCATAGTAATATTTTTGTGGTGGTGGAAACATGGTAATTTGGGTTTTCATTCTTTTTTTCTTATTTTTTAAGTCTAAACCTAAATTTTTTGTATACTTTCATTATTTAAAATATGATAATCATTAAGAAGACAGAGATGAAGAAAAGAAGGAAGTGGAGGCAATGAGGAAAGGAGGGAAGAAGGAAGGAAGGAAATCATGCTTGAAAGAAGGTATTTGTCTTTTTGCTACTCACATTTATGAAAACCTTGCCTGTTTAGGCCATAAACCAATACCTGCTCATTTTTAGTTGTGGAACATGTCAAGTTTTTTTCCGGATGTGGCGGAGATTATGCAGCTACAATGAAGCCAGATTAAGATTTCAGGAAAATGGACAGATCTCTACGTAAGTTACTATAGGAATAATTGTAATGATGGAATGGCTAAAGTAAACAGGAGGCAAAATTTACAACTGTTGGCACACACAAATGAGAAGCAAGTGAAGGCCCAAATGAAAGGGGGTTGGAGCCTGAAAGTGACAGTTGATGAGGATGGGAGATAGTACCAAGGGCAGGGGAGGGGCGTTGTTTAGGGAGAGACTGGCAGGGATGCCATGGAGTTGAAGGGGGTGCACAGGAGAGTGGTTATTGAGCTGAAGTAAGGCAGGCACTGAGGGTGGGGCCTGAGCCGTCTGCTAGAATGACTCCTAGTTGCTCTAGGGGTACCTTCAAAGACTCCTTGCCAAGTTCAATGTCCCCAGATGATATTCTAATTTAAGGAATTCCAAGTGAAACCTCAAGGGGCTTTTATAAAGTGTTCCATCTCTGAGCAGTCTGCCCATTTTAAAGGCAGGGATCCATTAGCATAGATTTTGCTTCCCCTGCTTGGAGGCCAGCTATGTCTCCGCTGGTATTGCACAGTCCTTCAGACGCATAGAACTATATGTAGGCTCCATTTGCAAAATTGCTGGAGGTGTTGCTATTCAGGATTCCCCCAGACCTAGGCTACTATTGAATACCTTGGGACTGAAGCTCTTTTAATTTCCAAGCTGTATGTGGGCAACATGGAACAGCATGGAAACTGACAGATTGTCGGCATGTTTTAAAGTCAGAGTATGCCACAGAAAAATCTAACTGCCTTATATTTTTTGACAAACCTGAAGACTTGTTAACATTTTAATTGACAATTTCTGCAAAAGTGATGGAATAGAGCTGAACAATGGTATACATTATTTTTCTTCTTCCTATGTGACTAGAATGTTCTCCAAAGAGATTGTTTTGCTTGCCAATAAAAAGAGACACCTGGGAGCACCATACTCTCTCCTGTTCCTCTGGGTATCATATTTCCTTATGACACCTGAAACTCTGATGCCTTCTGGGTCCATGAAAGCAGTGAGATGAGCACAGGAAACCACGCTGAGGATGGTTGAGCAAAAAGGTGACATTGAGCCACTGGATTAACCTGCCCAGAAACAGGATATCTTCAGATTTCTTGTTAAGTAAGAAAATGTAATTTTGTTGATTCTAAGTTACACTTTCTTTTGTTAGTTCAACATCTCTGAAATCAGAACATATTTTGCCATGGTAATATCTTACCATCACTGTAATATGTAATATCCTTACATAGGTGTCATTGCCTATGCATGTGTCAACTTGATTGCTATTCTCTGTGATATGACTGACAACTGCAGCCCTTTGACAGTTCAGTCGACAAACCATTGAAGATTATTAGGGTAAGAAATACTGCTTTCTGTCTGAAAACTTTCCAATGACATCTTCTGAAAAGACAAAGAAAGTATCAGCATCAAAATTTGCGTAATAGGCCGGGCGCGGTGGCTCACGCCTGTAATCCCAGCACTTTGGGAGGCCGAGGCGGGCGGATCACGAGGTCAGGAGATCGAGACCATCCCGGCTAAAACGGTGAAACCCCGTCTCTACTAAAAATACAAAAAATTAGCCGGGCGTAGTGGCGGGCGCCTGTAGTCCCAGCTACTTGGGAGGCTGAGGCAGGAGAATGGCATGAACCTGGGAGGCGGAGCTTGCAGTGAGCCGAGATCCCGCCACTGCACTCCAGCCTGGGCGACAGAGCGAGACTCCGTCTCAAAAAAAAAAAAAAAAAAAAAAAAAAAAAAAAAAAAAATTTGCATAATAATCGTCTGTGCTTAGAAAGAAATCCAAGTGGCAATAGTAGGTCAATCTTTTAAGAAATGTTGCATCACCAATACTTTTGATATTACAGAGGATGATATTGGGAGGAAAAAGCATGAATATTTATGGCTCTGAATTTTAAAAGTGAGTTTGAAGAGTCAGACTCTGAAAGTGAAGACATTTTAAAACCACGAAGCAACATATTTTGATTTATGGTGGTGTATATATATGTATTTGTAATATATATGTGATATATAAAATATACATCTAAATACATTTTTCAATTATCTTGCAATAGGTATAAAATAAAATTTTAAGTTGTTAGAGAGCACTGTGTCAGTTTAATTGACATGTTTTTTGTAGTACTTCATAAAATAATGATGTGTGTTACAATTGGTGTCTTACATTTGGCAAAAACAAGAATAAATTTCTTATTATTTAAGTTGCAGCTTCCATTTCTTGCAACCAAAAGCATTCACCATGATATAACTTAGTTTGTCTCGGTCCATTTAGTGTTGTTATAACAGAATATCTGAAGCTGGGTAATTTATAAAGAAAAGATGTTTATTTGGCTCATGATTCTGGTGGCTGGAAAGTTCAAGATTAGGCAGCTGCATCTGGTAAGGGCCTCATGCTGCTTCAATTCATGACAGAAAGTAGAAGGTGAGTGGGTGCATGCAAAGAGATCACATGTGAAGAGCAGGAGAAAGAGTGAGAAACTGAGGAAGCCAGATGCTTCTTAACAACCTACTTTCCTGGGAATACACCTATTCCCCACAAGAGTGAGAACTCACTGACCCTCACAAGGTGTCATTAATCTATTCATGAAGGATCCAGCCCCATTTTTTTACTGGATGCAGCCCACATGATTGTTCTCATAGGTTGGAGTTGACTGCCTGCAGCTTTTTCTGGCTTAGGTTGCATGCATGCTGCTGGTGGCTCTAAAATTCTGGTGTCCCAGCAGCAGCTTAGCCCTGTGGTTTCACTAGGCATTGCCCCAGTGGGGACTCTTTGTGGCATTTTCAACCCCACATTTCTTGTGGGGCTACTCAGGCAGTCCCTGAGTAGAGGCTCTGTGCAGTGGCTGTACCCCTGTGACAAGGCTTTTCCTGGGCCCGCAGGCTTTTTCATATATCCTTTGAAATCTCAGTGGAGAAAGCCGCATCTCCACAGCTCTTGCATTCTGTGGGCCTGCAGAATTAACATCATGTAGACGTGGATACCACCAAGGCTTACACTTGCACCCTCCAGAGTGGTAGCCTGAGCCATACCTAGGGCTGTTTGAGCCATGGCTGCTCCAACTGGAGCAGCTAGATTGCAGGGCACCTAGCTAGATTGCAGCCTGAGGCACCACAGAACAGTGGTGCCCTGGGTTTCCTCCCAAAACCATTCTCTCCTCCAAGATCTCTGGGTCTGTGATGGGAGAGATGGCCTCAAAGATTTCAAAAATACCTATAGGGTCTTTTTCCTATTGTCTTGAGGATTGGCAACTTTTTTTTTTTTTTTTAATCAGTGCTAATCTCTTTAGCAACTAGTGGCTCCAGCTGCACCCTTGGATTCCTCTTCTGAAAATGTTCTTTTATTCTCTACCACATGGACACACCATAAATCTTCCATATCTTTTTACTCTGCTTTCCTTTTTTTAGCAGCTCACTGTAAGCAGTAAGAAATAACCATGCAGCAGCCTGAGCACTATGCTTCTTAGAAATTTCTTCTGCCAGATATGCTATTACATTGCTCTTAAGTTTGGCCTTCCACAAAACCCTGGAACATGTGTACAATGCAGTCAAATTCTTTGCTTTAACAAGCAAAGTGTAACAAGGATGGCCTTTTCTCTAGTTCCCAATACCTTGTTCTTTATTTCCATCAGAGACATTATCAGAATGGCCTTTATTGTCCATATTTCTATCAACATTTTGGTCCCAGCCACTTAACCAATGTCTAAGAAGTTTCAAACTCTCCTGCATCTTTGTATTCTTCTGAGCCCTCACCAGAACCCCCTTAATATTCCATTCACAGCAACACAGACTTTTCCTAGCTTACTCCTCCAAACTCTTCCAACCTCTGCCCATTACTGAAATTCCCCATTTTTAGGTATCTTTATGACAACACCCCACTCCTCAGTATCAATTTTTGGTCTTAGTCCATTTTGTTTTATTATAACAAAATATCTGAGGCTGGATAATTTATAAAGAAAAGAAGTTTATTTGGCTTATGGTTCTTCAGGCTGGGAAGTTCAAAGGCATGGTGCTGGCTTCTGGTGAGGGGTTTTCTGCTGCACCATAACAGGGTAGAAAGTCAGAGGGAAAGCAAACACGTGTGAAGAAGCCAACCTGTTCCTGAAAGAGCTAATTGATTCCTGTGAGAACTAATCCAGCATTGTGAAGGTGAGAACTCAGAGAACAGCACCAAGACACACACAAGGGAAGATCCCCTTTGACTGAAATGGCTCTTATCGTGTCCTACCTCTTAAAGGCTCCACCTCCCAACATAATTACAATGGCAATTAAATTTCATGAGTTTTGGCAGGGACAAACCACATTATAGCACAGCTTATGAATATTTTACAGTCAATAACTTTCTTTTTAGCTCCCTAAAATAAAAAGCATACAATAGGTTAATATTAACGAAATGTGAGAATCTGAGTTTTCCTTCTGGTGACTTCATAGGTGGACAACAGATACCAGTAGTGACAGAGCTATTAATAGTTTTTGTTAGTATAAGAATATGGTGGGTAGGGTGCACAAAGGGAGACTTGTGTTTCTCTGAGCTACGGAGACATCTCTCACATCCTCCCTTCCAGAAAACCATGCTACTATTCAGCAACTATTAGTTATGCTGATGTATTAATGAGCAGTATCTTCTGGAAATGAAAATGTGCCGGCCTCATCAGTAACAGACTTCTTAATTAACCTGCTGATGCTCTTAGCAACAGAGTTAGCTGTTGTCCTAGAAATGAGTTGTTGGGTTCTTTTGTCCTTCACTATTCCCTTTATTCTCCCTGACTATTATAGGATCAGGGTGCTCTTTGATTAGCCCATCATAGTTTCCTAAAGTAAGCAGGAATTTGAGAAACTGCCCATGGCACATTGTTTCATTGCTTAAACTTGCTGCTGACTCTTTTATCCTTTGACAACTTAGTTCTTCCTTAACCATAGTGTTAATTATACCAGTCATTTATTCTACAACAATGCCTTTTCTCTTGATCTGTTTCATCCTCATAGACAAGATTAGTGGCCTCCTTTCAGAGAAGATTCACCACTGGGCATTCCTTGTTGGAAGCAGAAACATTTCTGCTCTTTAACCCGTGCCTGCCCCAGTTATTCATACCTGAGAAATATTTGCCACAATGCAGTCTTGCTCCTCTAAGAATAACTAAGGCAAGGACAGAGAGTTCCATTCCTATGATTAAGTGCACATTTCCCATTAAATTCAAATGCTTCATTTGAAAAGGTAAATAGAATGTTGTTTTTAAGGAAGAATTCCAGTTGGCTAAATTTAATGTCATATGAAAAAAATTTGATCCAAGAATAGTTTCTGGCTTTGGGCCCATGGTGTTTCTTTCAGCCCAATTCTTGTGAATTGGATGTATTTTTATTCATTTTAAGTGCTTGCTGCTGTGTTTGTCCTTCTGAGAATGCATATTGATGACTTTGTTGGCCTCAATAGTATTTGTCTTTCATTTTAAATGATTTATCCAAACTTTATTATTGCCAAAAAGTGGAATCTTGATTTTATTTTTAATATTTGAGTTTCCTTTAACTGTCTTGCCTCTTCTGTCATAAATTTCCTGCTGCCACCCTCATCTCTTACTAGAAGCCATGTTTTCATCTCCTCCTAGCTCTCCAAAAAGACAGTCTTAAAAGAGAAATCTCAGTATTTTTTGGTAGCAGTTGATTTAGTTTTGAATACTTGACAGTCCATCAATGTCTTGTCAGTCCCCTGACCAGCCTGTGGGTCCTCTTTTGCTTCTCCTATTCAGCTCCTTCTTGGTTCCCTTGATGGTTTCAGGAAGGCAACATCTGTTTTTCAAATGGACATTTTGTGCTCCTGGGTCCCTCCCGGTGTATTATAGACATAATTCTACTTAATTCTTCCAATGACTTTAAAAATAACTATCATTATCCTTGTTTTAAAGGTAAGGAAATCAAAGACCAAAATAATTAGGCATCTAGACTGAAATTACCTAGCCAATTAGGGGCATAGCTCAAATTTACAATAGTATTTGCCTGAATATGAAAAGCTTCCTCTTATTATCAAAGTAACATTCAGGGCCTACTAAAGGATGTATTAATTTTTTCAGTGAAATTTTCTCCTAAATTTTGAGTCTGTATATTTCTTGTCAGAATTCTGCTAAACAATTGGATTTCATAATAGACTGTTTCATAACCCTGATGGAAAATTTTGACTCTAGATCATATTTTCCTGAGATGTGATGAAACATAACGATGATCATCTAAGAGTGCAGATTGGGATAATAAGCGGTCTTTCAGACTTCTGAGGACTCAAACTACATAACAAAAATAAACTTAGTATATGTTATAGAATAGATCTGATCAATTGATGGATTTGCTCAGAAATGCCTTAAAAATAAAAGCAATGCAAATAGCCATGATTTGTTAAATCCAGCAGCATTATCTTCATCTCACAGGCAGGGCAGCTGCCTATTCCTTCTGTGACTCCTCACATTCAGGTGAACATTCAGAAGCCTTTGGGATTTACATGCCAAACTTTGAGGTAGCAAGATTATGGGATAATTTAATTCTGAGATGTCTGCTTCAGAATAAGTTCTGCTCCTGAATATTCTGAACTCCTTCCATAAAGAGGAAGCAATACCAAAGAAGAACTGTTTAACTCAGTCGCCCTAGGGAACAAATCAACTAACGAATTTGGAAGAGAAAGGAAGAAAATTTTATGTGGCTTTTAACAAATTTGCTCATTATCTTTTTAATATTTTCTGGGCTGTGAATAGTGATTAGTATATCAAATTAATCCTTGGATGGTTTGCTTGACACTGAGTTAGGATATTTCTAAGAACAGTATGTGAAGATCATCCTATCCAATTGGATCAGTTTCTTCTCTCCCACACTCTGCATATCATTTTCTCCCCTACACCCAACTATAGCAATGGAACAATCCAGTGTCTTGGCATTGTGTGGACCACAGGGTATCTGACCCCGAGGTCAACCCTTGGGATTTTAGGGAGGTCTGAAATTGCATGAAAAATGTAATGTTCATGAACAGCCAAACATTTTTTCTGGAGAGAGAGAGAGAGAGCATAGTTTTCATCAGATTCTCAAAGACCCTGTGATCTTCATGGTAACAAACATTGCTTAAAAAAAGTAATCATTCAATGAAAATTTTCTTTTTTCCTTGTTGTGTGAAAGTCTATCCATTGATATTATTTATGGAGCTCAGATTGTATTCTAGGTGCTTAGGATACATCAGTGAACAAAACTAAATGCCCCCTCCCCGCAAAGCTGAAGTTCAAATAGGGAAGTAAGATAATTCAAAACCATCCAAGGAGGTGAGTCAAGCACTTGCTAATAATGGTAGAGAGGGAGGATTGCTGGTCTAGGTTTGTGTTTATCCTCAGCTTTGTGGGGTTTGTTTTTGTTTTTTGTTGTATAAACAGTTTTGTGTAGGCATTTCTCCCCCTTGAAGATAGTTTGGGAATCTCGAGGCATTTCTTTGTCTTTCCACTTACTGAGTTTGTGCAGATGTCCAAGTAGTCCCCGGCTTACTTGCCAATCTGTCAAGTGCCTGGCAGCTGCAAACAACACAAGAGCTCACACTCTCCATCCCCATTGACAAAAGAGGAAATGAGAGACATGGACCTTGACAAGTTCTGCTGCATCCAAAAATGAAATTGATTTAGGTCACTAAAAAACTCCAAGCTCTTTCATTAATAGGCCTTGGGAAACCACAATAAATCAGCCTATTAGGGTACAACAGGGGTGCAAATTGGTGTCTCAGTTAATGTAGATAAAGATTTCAGTGTGCACCGCATATATCAAAAATTTAACACAAGCTGCTTGTAGAGTTCTAATGAATACAGAAAGCTCAATTGCTGAAAACCAACACAACCCAGGCATTACTTCATTTAGCTGTCAATAAAATTGTCTCTTATTTTTTTTCTAATGGTTTATCAATACTGGTAATTTGCTGTGGGTTATAAAAAGGGGGATGGGGGAGGAAAAGAATTTAAATAAGTCCTGCTAACTAGAAAAGAGCTTGGTGGGCTATTTTGTACTGCTACATAAGTTAATGACCAGATGATGTGAGGGAGTGAAATTTCCATTTCTTCCTTACACTACAAACATCAACCTCACTTGGAAGAATACATTAGATCAGGGGTGCCCTTTGCTCTGGAAATCTGTTAGTGTCTTTTGATGAGGAGCATTAGGCATTGTAATTCAGCCTCTCTTAAAGGGGCTCTGTCTGATTAAGAAGAAAACAGTTTTGTTTTATTTTGTTTTTCCTTGTATAAGATTGTTTGAGGTTAGCCAGTAGGAGTCGAATGCAAGTTCATCAGCCTTAACCACTTTCTATAAAATACACAGTATACTTAAAGTTGTTTTCTGAAGCAGGGGAGGAAACTTCATCATTGTAGCAGAAATGAACAAGTCTGCTCTGTTTTCCCAGTGCAGGAAAAAAATGGCTTTGAATCATTATTCTTATCTGTGCAATTATGTACGTGTGAAGAGAAGGACATTGTTTTATTTTTCCTAAAATGATATTTATGTCATTAAAACAAAAACAGACTCATGATAATGAACTATGAAAACTCATTCATTGATTGATTCTTCAATAAACATTTGTGGCAGGTCGATGCATTAATAAGTTAATGTAGAAATTAACCTGTGCCTTATATTGTTATTAGTATTAGTACTTTCTTGCTTGAGCAGACTCATCAGAAAATGGATGAAGAAGTAATCGCATCTTTCATCCATAGAGGGAGGGCAACCAGACTTCAATGTTATGAATTTCTGCACTTCTTTCCCCAAGACAGTCTTATCTTCCCCTCTCTTCCTCTTCCCTCTTGCTCTTCCCCACTCTTTCTTTATCCCTCCATTCCTCTCCTTCCTTCCTTCCCTCCCTCTTTCCTTCCTTCCTCCTTTCCCCCTCCCTTCCTCCTTTCCCCCTCCCTCCCTCCTTTCCTTCCTTCCTTCCTTTCCTTTTTTTCTCTGAGGCTGGTGGCGATACACAAGTTTGATGACTTCTTTACTCGGTCCTTTTGGGAAGATATCTAGGGCCTTGAAGGAAGTGAGCCTGAAATGTCCTGCAGTTGGTACAGACCTGCTGCCTGCTCACATTTGCACCTCCTAAAGATGATTGCACTTTGGAAGGAAGATAGCCACCTAGGTGATTTAAGTGGTTGTCCCCAGTGCTGCCATTTTGAAATCAGGGAAAGGGATCCCTGAGGGCCAGGCTAGAGGTGAGAGGAGAGGACTACAATTCCATCACCCTCCTAGAGTGGCAGAAGGAGAAACGGTGTCCAGGATAACTAATGCTGACTAGTGGCCTTAGGGCGAGCCCCCATTTTCATGAACTGCCTGAGTCCAAGGGAGGAAAAAGATGCCCCAATAAATCACTAATGCTGTGTGTTTTTTAAAAATCATCGATTGACAATAGAGAACTTAGAGGAGAGTAAGGTTTCTTATAGAAAGGTAAAGAATTGTGGCACTTCTTGCATCTGTGTTGTTGAGGAATTTCTATTTGTGATACACTTATCAAGCATCTTTTTCTGTCCTATTCCTGGTGCTAGACAGATGGAGAGAATCATTGCCTTCCCTTAATTAAGGGAATCTAAGTCTAGTGGGGAAGGTAGACAAACAGAATTACAACACTAAAGGAAGGGTTCTCTACTAGTCTTATGAGTACCAGGCAGGGACAGTGCAGAGGAATGGTGACTGAATCTGCTTGAACCCTGGAGAAAGGGTATGGGGGAGGAGAAAGGAAAGGCAATTCAGTGAGGGATCAGCATCTGCAAAGCCACAGAGCTGTAGAAGGTTGTCGTGTGTTAGGAACAGGTGAGACGTTCAGTGTGCATGAAGGTGGGGCTGCGGGGTACCTAGTGTGAGGTGGTAAAAGTAGATGCCTTCCCAAGGCCCTAATTAATGAGTATCATCAATTTCAAGAGTATTTCAGATTAGTCTCTGCTCAGGGAAACATGAATGGCTGCAATCTTACAGCTCATATATGAAAGACACTTGGTAGAGGAGCTTCCCCAATTTGGTAATACTAAACATGTACATGATATTGTCAATAATAGGTTGTGAAGCTGAAAGAAATTCTCTCAATTATCATTAATAATAAACAAATTTTGATTAACCATGTTACAGGAAAAATGGAATGATCTTTCTAGTTTCTCTGTAGGAAAGGATATTACAGAATTTTGTCATAAAAAGAAACAGACTCTGCAGCCAAAAATGTAGAATACAGGCATTTAGGGAGACTTGTTAGAACATCAGTACAAATCTTATGTTATCGATACCAATTCATACAAATCTGTTATTTGTTTCTGGGTTTTGTGATATTTCTGGTATTTGTTGGCTTTTTAAAGCTGATATTTTTGCATTTTTCTTTTCTCATTCTGAATAAATATTCACTATTGACTTACTTTTTATAATTTTTCATACAGAGGGCATCATAAATTGTATTAGCTTCTGGTCTCCCTAAACCTCTGTTGGCCAGCAGACAGGAGCTTAGACTAGAAAGGTAGGTTGCCACCAATCTGGAGTCCGAGACTCACAAGATGGTAGAGGACCTGCATGTCCACCTGAGGCTTCCTGTCCTCATCTTACTAAAGAAGAAACTGGGCCCAGAGATGTCGAGTGACTGCTGTAGGTCTCAGAGCCTGCTGATAGCAGAGCCAAGAGTTGGATTTATCTTTGGCTTCCCTAACATGTCTTCCTTATGTCAAGCTCTGCAAAGGGCAAGCATCGGGTAGGAGTCACAAATACGTTGACTCACTTGTTTTGGCCGGTACAATGTTTAAAAAATAACCCAATGTCAATGCTTTTAGGAGGGACTTGCACTCTACCATTCATAGTTTCTTCCATTCCCATCTCCTTACAGCAAGGTGAGGCATGTACTCGCCCTGTGTCACCTGAGAAGGTATCTGGGTTGGGGCAATGGTACTTCCAGAGCAGAGGGGTTTTGAGGCTGTAGGCTTGAGACATTCTCCTCCTGTGACACATTGCTAAGAAATGTGGTGTTCCAAAATGAATCTGCCACAACATCATCTGTCAGCAGCTCTGGTATTTGAGTTCCCGAGTAGGAAAAGAACAAAAGCCACATTCTACCTGTCAGCAATCATGAAATGGTAGGAGGAACTAGCCATGCTGGCTGGTTTGTGGATGTGTGATCACGGGCAGGGAAAACTGGAGGAATGCCAACTCTTTGAGGGAGAAACGCTGCTTGTGACAGCAGCAGACCCACTCAGAGCATATTTCAGCAAGGGGCTGCTTGTATTTAGTTTCAGCCCTTGACCGCACCGTATCTGGCAACTTAAGTTCCAAAGAAAATACAATATTTCAGGTGTTCTTAGCATAACAGTGGACCAAGAGTGGGTATGTTTTCAGTTACAAAAGCAGCTAAAACTTCAATCTCAAAAAACAGGAATCCAAACCATTACATTGCTATAAAATTCTGGCTAATGGACATAGGAAACAGTCTTGTTAGCTGTTGCCAATCCACACCAAGAAATCATCTAAAAAGAATGGTTGTGTATTTGGTCCAGTTCAGTTCTCTCCTGATATCAGACTCTAAGGCCTTCTATAAAGCAGTCTAGACTATTTTACTTGGGGACATATCTAAGGATTTAGCATATATTACATATTATGACCTTTTATATTGTTCTTAACAAAGTCTACATTTATCTAAGACTTAACTATATGCATGGGCTTTACATTTATTATATCAAATTCATGTAACAATCTTGCACTCTTTTCATTTTATAAATAAAGTATCTGATGCTCAGAGAGGTCATATCTTGTATATGATACCGTGATGCAAGACCACATATTTATCAGCAGAGCTAGGACTAGAGCTCAGGTCTCTTGTTCCAAAGTCATGACATACTCCTGCCTCAACACAACTGCCATAAAGAAAAGCTCAAACCAATGTGTACCAGTCAATGTGACTCCCCTGAAGGCTTGTGTTGCACCCAGGTATGGTCCATGGGACTAGGGTCATCACCCTTTAGGCCGGTTGGTTGCATTCACTCTAGGTTGTCTTGCTGAGCTTGCAAGGATTGGCTGGGCAGCTGCCATAATGTCCAATGACTGCCTGCTGCTGAACATAGTTATCTTTTTCCTTCTAGGGAGATGTGGAGCACCAGGGAACAGGTTCACTGAGCCACCTTGTGTCCATCTCTGGGGACTGCATCTTCCCCCACATTCTAGCACCTAAAGATATAGGGGACTCCATCTTCCTTTGCTACCACCATTCTTACATTCTAACCTGAAAGAGACTTTGCCTACATGCCTTTGGTTTTCATCAACCTCCCAGTACCAGCTTATACCTTTGGTGGACAGACTACCTGCTGTCTTAGGACTTGGGGTAATTTATGTAGATTACCAAAGAATATTTTAAATAGTTGGTCGTCACAAACTCTAAATTCTAGGAGAAATTCAGGCTCTGTCCTCTCAACTCCCGTCACAGTCTTGCAAGGAGAAGGAGCTCAGACATGAACAAAGACAAAATTGAATCTTCAAGGACACACAGTGTTGCTTCCCAAAAAGGGGGCAGAAATTTTCAGCAGGAATTGTAGTGATCATAAATAGAACAGAGGAAATTCTCTGAGTCACTTTGGATTCTATCTTTCATCTTTAATTCAGCCATTGTGGAAGCACATACAAAATGATTACATAGTGGTTAAGAGAGTGTGCTCTAAATTGGAAGCATTGGTATGAACTCATTTCTAAAATAAATGTATGTGTATATACATGCAGGTGTGCTCAGGTAAATGTGTGTATGTGTGTATACATATGTGCATATGCATATTGTAAGTGTATATGTATATTTGTGTACATACATATATACATGCATCTATTTCCCAACTCTAGCTGCTGAAAAGACCTAGAAGAAAAAAAAAGTCTAGTAGCAATGAGCACACCTAGTACTCAGATTTTGTCCTCTAATACCATTCTCTACTGAAAGAACAAGGGCTCTTCTCCTCAGAGAAGTGACTAAATGTAGGCCTGGGACAGGGAAAGTTCTAGAAGCTAATGAAACATCTTGTTATGTCGATGAGAAGGGAAGTGTTAAAAAAAATGCTGAGGGCATGTCACAGGAAAAGAGCTGGCAGGAAGTGGCTCCTGTTGCCCAAAACTGAAACAATTTAAATACCAAAATATATAAGGACAGTATGACCATAAACCACTGAAGAAAACAGGAATCCATGAATCTGAACTAATTTATTTAATAATTAGATAAATAAATAAGTGAATAAACAGAGGAAAAAGGAGGACTCTTGCTTGTTGTAGAATGCCAGGTGCTGACTGGTAAATGTGGAGAAACTGCTGGAGTTAGAAAATTATTATTTTATAGCTGTCATAGTCAAGATTGGTCCAGGGCCAAATTACCAATGGATATTAAATCTAAGGAAGAATTTTGATGAGGAGCAGGATATTTTTATGTTTTTAAACTGACTCCCAACAGATTGCCTATTAGTTTCAAGGGAATAATTATATCTACACAGTGTAGAAATCAGACAATGCCTTGATTAGGTAAACAAAATAAAGAAGCAAATAAGCTTTAAAAAATTTTTTAATTTGAGGTGGAGTATCACTCTGTCACCCAGGCTGGAGTGCAGTGGCACAATCTCAGCTCACTACAATCTCTGCCTCTTGGGTTCAAGTGATTCTCCTGCCTCAGCCTCTCAAGTAGCTGGGATTACAGGCATGCACCACCACACCCAACTAATTTTTATATTTTTAGTACAGATGGAGTTTCACCATGTTGGCCAGGGTGTCCTCTAACTCCTGACCTCAGGTGATCCACTCACCTTGGCTTCCCAAAGTGCTGGGACTGCAGGCGTGAGCTATCGTGCCCTGCACAAATAAATATTTTGTACTTCCAGGATATAATACTACGAGAAGAACACAATATTACTTGTGGGGTATTCTGGCTGGATGTATAGCATAAATGTAAGTATAAGGAAACTTCAAAAAACTGAAAATTAGATATTTTCTGTTAGAAAAAGGAGGAAGGAACAGTATTCTTTTTTTTTTTTTTTTTTTTTTTGAGACGGAGACTTGCTTTGTTGCCCAGGCTGGAGTGCAGTGGCTCGATCTCGGCTCACTGCAAGCTCCGCCTCCCGGGTTCACGCCATTCTCCTGCCTCAGCCTCCTGAGTAGCTGGGACTACAGGCGCCCACCACCACACCTGGCTAGTTTTTTGTATTTTTTTTTTAGTAGAGACGGGGTTTCACTGTGTTAGTCAGGATGGTCTCGATCTCCTGACCTCTTGATCTGCCCACCTCAACCTCCCCTGTATTTTTTAAAATGTCAATGACATTAAAAAAAGAAAAAAAAAAAGAAAGAAAGAAGGCTGCAGAAATGTCCCAGATTAAAGGAGACTAAAGAAAGATGACCAGTGCAATACCTGATTCTGCACTGAATCCTGTACTGGAGGAAAAAAATTATGATATAAAAGACATTTTTAGGCCAATTGGAAAAATTAGACTATGGACATAGTCTAGATTAAATAGATTGGATTAAAATTTTATGTTAATGTTAAGTTTCCTGAATTAGATAATTCTGCTGTGATTATGTAAGAGAATCTCTCTCAGGAAATACACATTGAATTATTTAAGGGTAAAGGGGCTTGATGTATTCAACTTCCATATGGCTTAGAAAAAACATATCATATATAATATCTTATGTATTTTAATATCTATTTATTAGATTATGTAATATGTGTTGTATAATATAAAATTTTATTTATGTAGATAGAGATGAGATGGAGAGTGCAAATGATAAAGCAAATAGGGTAAATATTAACAGATAAATCTGAGTAAATAGTATGTCAGTGTTCTTTGTACTATTCTTATTCTTGCCAATTTTTGTAAGTTTGAAATTATTTACAAGCAAAAGGCTTTTTAAAAAGGGAGTGAAAGAATGAGAGAGAGAGAGAGAGAGAGAGAGAGAATCTGTGTACCAGTGATGATTATTATAGTTCAAAATCTGACTATTTTACTAGCTGTGGGATCTTTAACAAGCTAATTGCTCTGTGCCTCAGTTTCCTTAACTGGAAAATTAAAATGATAGTACCTGCCCTATGGGGGCAGGTGTTTATCATAATTATGGTTCTAATTTTGTCTGTTGCCTAGGCTGGAGTGCAGTGGAACGATTTCGGCTCACTGCAGCCTTGACCTCCCAGGCTCCAGTGATCCTCTCACCTCAACCTCTGAAGTAGCTGGGACTACAGATGCTCACCACTACGCCTGGCTAATCTTTGCATTTTTTGTTGAGACAGGGTTTGCCATGTTGCCTGGGCTGGTCTGGAACTCCTGAGCTCAAGCAATTCACCCCAGCCTCTCAAAGTGCTGGGATTACAGGCATGCGCCACTGTGCCCAGCCCAGGCTGTTTATTATTGTTGACTCAAATGTCTTTATTTTGTTAAAGAGATACCTTAGCTGTGGGAGATAAATTAGGAACTAGGGTAAAGCTTGGGGTTTGAGGCACCTAGCAGGATCTGAGGCAGGTCTCTAGTTGACGACGGAATGTGCATGAGATACCGCTGGGAGGAGGATCATTCAGATCATTCATATCCCAAATTCAAAGATTTGGAGCTGCAGTCAGAGGCGATAGTGAAGAGTGAGCATGCATAAATACCCACTATGAATCCCGCAGAGCTGATGGTGACTCTGCTAATTATTCAGTAAGAGATTCTGAGACTCAGGAGCCTGGTGATTTTTCTAGAAAATAAAATTCAAGAGGACCAGAGTCTTTGGGTGAGGGGAGAGTGTTTCCCAATAATAAAAGCAGCAGCGAAAATAACAAATTTGATGCTTGGAAATAGGACAATTATAAATAAACCTGGTACAAGTTCTCCAAAAACAGAGATTGCCTTGTGAAAAATTCTGTCAGTTAGCAGGATGCTTAAATGACAGTATCAGGCAAGAGGAGAAGAATGTTGGCAGCGTGTGGGAGAGGTTGAAGGCCACTCCTGCCGTGCCTACGTTGGTTTCCTAATTTGGGTTGTTTCTCTCACAAGTTCCTTATTTGAAGACAGCTTGGACAGTGTTATGATTAGAAACATAATCCATTCCACATGTCCCTGGAAGCCTGAGAGGCCCAATTGCAAGGTTTTTAGGGATGAATGCCAAGGAGGCCCCCTGGAAATCTGTGACCCTGGAGCAAGTCACAGTTCATCTGGCCAGACTTGAATAGTGGCTCTTAGTGGGGGCCAGGGCAGGGTCTTGACAGACCTCCTTTACTTCTCCCCTCTGTTCTGATCTCCCTCATGACTGGGGGAGAGGGAGGAGGAGAAAGAGAGCTTGTTTGTGACCAAGGAGATGAGGCAGCAGGGAGGAGGGGCAGGTTTCTTGTGTCCTTTCTCTTTCTGCTGACTGCCCCGCTTCATCCCTGAACTTTTCAGCTGCTGTGTTATTTTTCTGCAATAGAACAACCCTAACCTCACCTCATCAGAGAGGTGTGCCGAGGAAGAGGCCCAGTCTTAAGCCGAAATTCGTCAGCTCTGCTACTTACTTGCTTAACCACTTTGAACCTGTTTTCTCAGCTGCAAAATGGGATAATTCCTTCCAGGGCCGTTGTGAGGGTTTTGAAAGGAGGTAATGTGCATTAAAAGTCTAGGACCAGGCCTGGCTTTGGAAGGTGCCCAGTGGATGGTCATCAGCATTATTCTGATTCTCGCCTGAGTAGAGGTGTGGCTCGCCCTCTCTAACTCAGTGTCTGGTGCTCCTAGGTCCTATCACAGCTCTGTAGTTATAAGTCCATCCTGAAAGTCCATCACCTGGATAGTATCTACTTACCCTTACCCCTTTTCTTTATGGCTTTAATGATACTAATGCTAAAACTTGCCTTTCCTTTAACCCTCTGGAATAGCAAGCCAAGCTGAACCTGCTCGTTTCTAACATAATTAATAGTCCGCATTTTGGTGGTAGGCCTCCGCTTAAATTATGTAGTTAAATCATACTCATACCTGATTTACACTTCTTGCTATAGCCATAGGAACAGCTTCACTTCTTTTTCTAGGAGTCAGACTGACCACTCCTGAGCCGATGAGAAACTCAAAGGTTTTTTCAGGGTTTATTACATCTGATGATTACGTATATATATATATATTCATTTTCAGATAAAACCAGATCTTGTTGAGATAGCTGTTTTCATGTTTCCCAGTTGAGCCTAAAGTCTTAATAGTTTGGGTGAATTATTTTTCATCTTCCTCTTACCCTATGCAACAATATGAAGCACTGTGAGTTTCTGTCTGATTTGAAATATGGATAAAATACCCTCTTATCAACTGCTAGTCAGAAGTGTAGCAACAAAAGAACTGGATTTAGAGTCAGAAGATCATTTGAGTCTTGGCTTCACCACTTACTAGTTCCACAATCTTAGTTGTAAATTCACCTCTCTGAGCCTCAATTTCATCTAGAAAATGGAGATAAAAATACCCTTGCCCATAGTAGTGTTGAGGATTAGAAATGGCAGCATAGAGGTGGCCATGGCAAACTGCAAAGTACATGACAATGTTCGTTTAATTTATTGTATTTATTGATTTTTCCACTGTGCAACTGAGGATTTTCAAAAGAAGGAGAAAACACAATTTTTGTCTTCAATGTGTGGCAATTTTAAAGTTAGATGCTAGGCCTTTTCTTATTTTGGCTTACCTTCTCTGCTGATAACTGTGGCTTAAAGCTTTACGCTTCTCTACTACTAATAATAGCATAGTAGTATCTGTCTCTTTTGAAAGGACAAATGAGCCAATAGCTAGAAGAACATTTTGTACTTCGGGGAGGAAATATGTCAGGGACATCTCAGGTAGCACTCTTATTGTTAGTATCATTCACCTGGATCATTTTTGTGCTGATACAATAACACCATCCCCACTCAAAGTGGAAAAAAATAAATTATTGATGGCTTTGCATACTCAAGCTGGGTTCCAGAAATGGCTTGTGAATAGCAAGGACTTGAGCTGAACTCTCCAAAGGAACAATGAGGGTGGTTGGAGTACAGTGGAAATGCGACCTCGGGGGATCAGTTTTCAGCTGCATTGTGGCCGAATTAATAATTCAAGATTATTGTTTTGGGCTAGGTATCCTTTTCAGCATCTTTAAAAACCTCTCTTTCTACCATGGTGGGATTGCTTCACTATTCAATGTCATGCCAAGGATTTTTTTCTTGAATGCAATGCTGTATAGTAGCAACGTGAAATATGTGAGTGTTCCTTGTAGATTACAATATACTCATTAGATCAAAATGTTTATTACAATCTCAATCTCTAAAAAATTGAGA
Organism: Homo sapiens; assembly: GCF_000001405.40. NCBI lineage: Eukaryota > Metazoa > Chordata > Mammalia > Primates > Hominidae > Homo > Homo sapiens. The sequence continues at coordinate 177,784,063 of NC_000003.12, forward strand.
CATGTGTTTTGGATTCAGAATGTCTAGTATTTTATTCAATCGATTTCCCATCTTAGATTGTAGGCATTAGGATAAGGGTAGGAAAGTGAGATTCATATATGACACAGCTGCTTACCAGATAAGCTGCAGATGTTTTAGTCACCTCCATATTTTCTAATATCAAACATTTTATTTTTGTAGCTAACAGCGTTCTTTATGGCATTGTTTAGAAAGCTTTATACTAAAGTTATTTGTGATTGCCTTTTCCATAAAAGGATTGGGGGTGGCTTAAAAAGAAAGATACTAGGTTGAGAGAAAATATACATGTAAGAAGATGGAGACAATGTTTATTTGCCAGGCTTTCTCTTGGGGAGAACTGTGTTTGGATTACATTGATGACCTTCCCAGTGTGGAAAGAGAAATCCCAAAAGCACGCTTAAATATCCAAAGGTGATCCCTAAACTGCCATGCACATGCCAAAAAGAAAAATCTGTGTTGCTCCCGAAGAGATGGGAAAAATGTAAGGAGGGAAACAGAATTGATGACTCAAGTGAGTTAGATTCTTAAATGATGGAGGTTGCCATGTTTGAGATTTCCTTATGATTCTATTATCCTCTAGTGATCTGCAGCAATTCAAATTTCTCCAAAAGGTTAATATTGTGGCTTTCTGGCATCAACCAATGATGGACATGAGCTTGGAGTCACAGAGAGTGAAATAAAAGATGCCGGTTGGGAGAGGATGGAGGCTTTAGTTGATATGTGGGTTAAAGAGATATAGAAACAGAAAATAAAGCCCAAGAAAACAGGCAGGGTAAAAATTTATCAGTAATCACAATTGTTAATAGAGGGCTGTGATTTACTTATCACTCTGGCTTGGAGTTTCTTGATAGCCATTGTAGGAAGGGAAGCATAGTCAGTTCCATATTTCTTGTTTTCAGAAAGGGAGATGCATATTATCTCCAAGAGACGTTTAAAATTCAACTTTAATTCTGGAAGGATAGTCTTATGAGAGGCTTTCCACAGACGACTCCAGGTGACATAAGAAAAACAATGCCTTCAAGAACTGTTTGTCAGTCACTGTAGGAGCAAAATTTATGTGGCTTATCCTTGAACTACCCTTGATTAAAGTACAGGACATGGGAGCTAAAGCCCGAACCAGTGAAAAGAATTCTCTGTGGGAATAAATTAATCTGGTCTGTGCGTGGCAGTGTTTGTAGTTGATGTTTGTGGCTGATGTGCCAACATCAACTCATCCCGGTTGATCAGTCTAAGCTTATCAAGGTAATTCCATTCCTCCTGTCAATAATTCAGTCAGGAATGAGTCTGTGACCTAATCCTGGCCACTGAGAAGTGAGAGCAGAAAAATCTAGAGACTCTGGGAAAGGTTTTCTCCAGTAGGAAATGCAGGAAGAGAACATCTTTCTTCTTTCATGGGACATTGTTGTGCAGGGATGGGACATCATGGAATGAAGCCAACACTGAGCATGGCTGAGTGGATAAACAGAAAAAGCTCTTCTTGAGCTACTGACTCAGTCAGCCCTGGAGACCTTCTAGTTTTATGCAAGCTCATATATTCCTAATTGTTAAGTCCTTTTGAGCTGGAAATTATTTTACTTGCAGTCAGAAACAGCTTGACTGATAGGTCTTTCAATAATCTGTCTTTAACCAAGTTATTAAATAATAGAAATCATTACAGGGGTGAAAAAAAAGCAAGTGGGAGAGGTCATGACCCATTTTAGGCTTACCTCTCCAATCAGCCTCATTTTTTTTTTTCAACCACTCTTCACCTCCTATTATACTTCTATGTTCCAGGAATACTAAACTTGCTTTCTCTTGCCATTACTCTCTTGCACAGACTATCCCTATCCCAAGAATAGCTCCCTTACACCCTTGAGTGTGTATGCATACACGTGCACACACACACACACACACACACACCCCTCCAGCCTGGAAAGTTCTGCTCAGCCTTCTTTTTCAAGTTCATCCAGATACCACTTCCTGAGAGGTGAGGGTGGGGTGGCTCTTTTGACCTATACCCCCAACCCCTGCTCATTTAGAGTTTCTGTGGTAGGAAGTCTCTAAGTTGGCCCCAGTGATCTTTTCTTAAGGAATTTCTTCCCTTTGATGTGAGTTGAATTAATGAAATATAAATGACTGAAATACACTGAAAGTATTTCCTACTTATAATGTCACTTCCAAGATTAGGTTACAAAAAGACAATGGCTTTTGTGTCCAGCACCCTTTCTCACTGTTTGACTCTCGCTTTCTTGGATCATCAATTGCCAGAGGCCCCTCAAACATCTATAGAGATGCTCATGTGGTAAGGAAACTAGGCCTGCCAACTATGCCAGTGAGCTTGGAAACAAATCTTTTCAGGCTTGCAAAAAGTTACATAAGTTAGCTTGGAAACAGATGCCCCCTCATTCCCAAATGAGCCTTCAGATGAAAGCATAGCCCTTGTTGAAGCTTGGCTTCAGCCTTATGAGAGATGAGCCAGAGGAACCCAGCTCATCTGTGCCTGCATTCTTGATCCAAATAAATAAAGTGATGGCAAATATTTGTTGTTTTGAACCACTAAATTTTGGGGTAATGTGTTACACAGCACAGGTAACAAATACAGTATCTCTTCTCTGGGTTCCCACAAAAATCTGTAGTTTCCCCATCACAGCACTTACCACTCTGTATTATAATTATCTGGTTATTCATCTAACCATTTAACTAGATTGTACAGTCTGTGAAGATAAAGACATTGTTTTGTGCAGCACTGTATCTTCAGCAAATAACACTGTCTTGGTACATAAAAGTATGCTAATTCTCACTGAATAATAATAGAAGTTTGGGACTCTATAAAGTATGTGGCACAAACATGGCTGTGGACATAGGAAGTTGGGTCAAGGAGGTGAGTACCATAGAGAAGGACAATAAAATTAATATCAAATTATAAAATATTTATTAATATAAAAGATGTATAAACAGACTGAGCACCAACTAAGATGGTACTAATAGATAAAGTAACATTTTGAATATTATATCCTGATAATGCACTGATGTTGTGGTAAATGGTCATTGAGGAGAAAGGGCATCACGTGGTGTAAAGAACACTGGCCAGGTAAGCAAAGAATCAGAATTCTGCACCCTGCCTTTCTACTGAAGAGCACTGGACCTGGGCAGATGGCCTGACTTTCTGGGCCTCAGTTTCTTAATGGTGAGGTCAAAGAAGGCATGACATCTTAAAGGTTCCTTTTAGCTCCAATACTTTGCTTTACATATAACTTTATTCTGTGAGCACTTATCTCAAACTAGTTCAGAGCAGTGGTCCTTGATCTTTTTGTCTTTTCATCTCATCATATTTGAAGGAACACGTGTCCTTGTGAAACAGTAATTCTCAGTCTCTATGGAGGAAAGTGACATATCACGTGACGGGCCTGTTAGAATTTCTGAGTAATATGTGTAGTGTGAAAAGATTTCCCAGATGACTCTGACCTGCTTGATACCCACTTTTGAAAACCTCTGAGGTAATACAAAATGACAGACCAATAAGTTTTGGTCAACAGACCAGAGATTCTGCTGTTTGATAAAAATGAATACAGTAGAATTTAACTATATGTTTAGTTAGAAGCTTAAAAGAAATGGCTGAAAAATAATCTCAGTTAAAAAAAAAAATCAACAAGTAAACCACTCTGGTAGAGTTGCTGTCAGAATATGGTTCTTGGAAACAGCATCACAAACTTTCCTATTTTCTGAAGTTTCTGTACTTACATGAGTCTCTGAAACTGGAGATCTATCATGTACTTAGAAGGCCGTACTTCAAGGCATTTACCACATCACCAGATTCCTATATCTACAAGAGATTGTTGTCAATATCTTGAGTGAAAGACTCATAATGCTCTAAATAGTTTACAGCTGGTTCTTCTAAGCTGTCATAATAATCACGGTAACAATAATACCTAGCATTTAATTCTTTCATTTTCCAAAATGCTTTTCACCTGTCATTGCATTAGCCTCACAATGTACCTGTTAGGCAAACAGCGCAGGTGTCCTGAACATTATGTTTTCCCTGCAAGTTCACTCACTTAGTCAATGTACACAGTAATCCAGAGCCCCTGTTTGTCAGAGGACTCAACAGAGATAAAATGCTGAATAAGACACGGTTGATGCTCTCGGGGTCTGAGAATATATAAGGATAGGTAGGTATTTAAACAAATAATTTCAATGCTCTCAGGTACTTTGCTTTCTTTTCCTATTGTGGCCTGTGCATCTATCCTTTACCTGGCCCAGACCTGGTGCCAAGAGTGGAATCATTTAGACTTTAGTGCATCAGCAAATATCCCTTCACTCATATACCATCCTATGATGAAAAAAATAATTGCTTTTATTTTAAAGTTAAAAACTTCAGTTCTTCCACAAATTCCAGAAACATAAGAAATATGTGGTTCACTGTTTAACAAAGCCATTTCTCATGAGTACTGATGTTCCTTTGATTAGTTAGAGGGACCTTCTCTCAGAAGAAGCTCTCAAGTCTAGAAGCTCAATAAGTGGGATGTGAGAAGTTTTAATCTTTGAAGGAAGCCACTGTTACGTTGGAACTGGTGTAATGGCTCCTGAGAGCTAAATGTATATGTGTTTTCCCAACTCAGTGTCCAGAAATGTCAGACTGATAGCTTGAAATTTTCCTTGGTGGGAGTATTTTCACCTAGAAAATTGAAAACCCCTGAAAATCCGAACTTTTTTCCTCCTGGAGAGCCAATTGTTAAATATTTACCAGCATACCACTGACGGTAGCTTGCCTTCCTTCACCTGGGACTTGATGAAGTTGATGGATTTACTAAACTATTCTGCATATGATATGCATAACAATCTCTTAATTTGGGTTTGAATATAATTATACACTCTGTATTAATTTCTTTTCCCCTCCCCCACATATATGGGTTAAAAATTCACTTAATTTGACATGTAAATGTATGCAAAGTAGCAAACAATTCATGTTTTTCGCTGAGAAGCCTGGAACATTAATAACACTGCAATCTTAATTACGCAGCTACCAAACCAATGCTCATTCGAAACCACCCTCCTATATTGCCACCTATGGAAAATACCCTGCTGAAATGAACTTTTCTTCTATGATTGACAAAGACATAGCTTTCATCTTGCTGAAAAAAAAAATCAAATCAAAACAGGAACATGCAAGTAAATATCTTCATCTTGAAGATTTTGTAAATCATCATTTTGAACACCTTAATTCTTTTCTTTAATATATGCCTCAAACCAAAGCACTTCTCTGGAAAGATGTTCCTGTTCCTGTCAACGGTCTTACGGTTTTCTCAGTAATCATGCTGGAAATTTCAATGTCCTCTGAGTGCTAACTAGAGCACTAGAGCCACAGAAGAGGTTCAATAAATATGTATTGACTAGATCAATTTTAAAAACTTCTTTGTAATCCTATGCAACAAAGTAGCAAGCATGGAGTTTTTTTTATTATTATTATTTTTTGTCAGAATGTGCATCTTTTTTTCACTGCCAATACTAATGTAAGTCCTTGTTACCACAGCTTTTCCTAGCTACTTATCTCACGCTGGACTCTCTCCACTATTAAGCATTCACACAAAAGGCTTTAACTGAATTTATGTTGTGGAGTGAGTACTGGTTTTAGGACTGACATGAACCAGATATTCTGTCATCAAGATGGGGGAGACACGAATGGACACAAAACCCTGTCTGCAATATGGCAAAGGCTGTAACCACAGCAAACACAGAATGCTATAAAAGCAGAGAGGAGAGGGATTAGAACTCTTTTAAGTGGTAGAGAGTCTTGAACTGACTTTTGCAGTATGCCTAGAACTTTGCTAGGGGAACAAAGTGGAAAACATAGCCCAGGGAGAGGGGAAATAGTATGGGCTGCATTTGGTCTTGAGCAAAAGCAGTCAGGATTCAGATTACTTGAGTTAAATCTGATTTGCCACTCTCTGAGTGACCTTAGGCAAATTACCTAAAACTCATTTTATAGATGAGCCACAGTTGCCTTGTCTATAGAAGGGGGTCTTGTAGCTTATAAGATTGTAAAGAAGATTAATCGGGCTAATGAATGGAGATTTCTTAAGATGGAGCCTACCACACGTTAAATGCTCCATAAATGCTAGAATTTTTTTCTACTAGTCCAGATAAAGGGAACGGCATTTGAAAAATTATGGAGGTGAGAAAAAAGCAGTCTGTTTCAGGAAGGGCAAGCTTACCTTATAGCAGAAATACTGAGTGTTGGTTGGAGAGTGGAGAAAGACGAAGCTGGAGTGGCAGATGACAACCAGAACCTGGAGGACCTTGTGTGACATGCTCAATTCTTTGGACTTTAAGCTGGATGTGATAAGGATCTATTAAAGGATTTTAAGGGGACAGAGACCCATTTTGCTTCCTGCTACTAAGCTGAACATTATTTTTATTATCACTCTGCTTCCCCAAACCATCAAATAAAAACAGAGACAATGTTTATTCAAGATAGAAAAACATTTTATTTAGGATACTGCAGTGGGGGAAAGAGACTCCAGTTGAACTCAACTCCACTAAAAAAAAAAAAAAAGAAAAATAAAGAAAAAAATGGAAGACTTTATAAACACTGGTATGCTAAAGGAAAAATACTGAAGGATATTGGTTGGGGGTGGCGTTGGCCAGTGTGATTAGGCCGTTTGTGTTTGCTAACTGGTACTTATGGAAGTTAAGGTTCCCACCTTCCCAAAAAGACCGAGCAATGGAAATCCTATTCTTCCTGATGACCTCAAAGGGATGGATCCTAGGTCCTTGAGAAGCACATTCCTGGGTTGTAGAAGATACATCTCAAAGGGACAGAAAAGATTGTCAATTGCAAGTTTTCTGAAGTAAATGCTCTAAGAGAAAGATGCCAGAGGCCTACGGTCTGGGTTTAGCTGAAAAAATAGTAAATTCTTTTGGCAGTGTTGAGCTTTCCTCAAGCAGATATTTTCAGGGGACTGAGGTCATCCTAAGAACATGGCCTTGGGCGGATAGAAGGCATGCTGGAGCTTAAGTCTCGTAGTGTGGAGGTGAGGATGGACAAAATCATTTTTTCTCAGAGTTTGCAGTTCTCGTAGGCCAAGGTTGAGACCTAGACCTAGTTGTGAAGATGGCTCAGAGGAACCTGTCTAAAGTTTGGTCAAGGACAGAATCTTTGTCAACACCTTCCAGTAGCTCTTTTTCTTACTGCCTGGCATCTGACAGTTTTTTTGCTTAACTTTCTAGACCCTTCATAATCCGATCCTCTCTGCTTGGGAATACTCTCTTGTTTTGGATTCTGGGTTTTTACCTTTGTTGTTTCCTTTCTCCTCTGCCCCTTGCATCATATTCAGCCTTCAAAGCCCCACTCAGTGAAGACCCTATCTCTGCAAAGGCTTATTTGATAATTCTACACCCTCTTCAGTGAACTAGAAGCTTCTGTTTTCTTGCCACACAAATTAGCACTTAATTATCACACACACTGTGCTTGGAAGATTTGAAATTATGGAAAGTTTACTGGGCTTAGAGTTCAGAGGGGTTTGAATCTCACTTCTTCCACTGATCACCTGTCTGGACACAAGCAAATCACATCTCTGAGGTTTAATTTCTTTATTTGTAAAATGATGATAATACTAACCCCCAAATATTGTTATAATTGAATTAGATTACATAATATTTGTGAAGGTCCCCAACATGGCGCATAGCCTAAAGTTCACGTACACTAGATGTTTATTGATCTTTTATCATTTTATGTATACTAATATATCATTTTCCTAATTGAATTTTAAGCTTTTCCAGAGCCAAAAATATGGCTAATATTCTTCTCATCTACAATCTCTATCAGAGCATTGAGAGTATAACAGGCACTCAATAAATCCTAGCTGAAAGAATTGATTAATTGCATTCTTAGAAGAAAGGGGCTGAGTGTGTTGTACATTCTGTGAAGAGTTCAAGAGATGCTCTATAAGGAAATGAATCCTCCAGATACCTACAAAATAGAGGCTGAAATAATATAGTTTTAGGAAGTATTAATTTAGATGAATAGACTTTTTGATCTCAAAAGACTCTCCAATAGCATTTTAGACACTAGAACAGTCTAAGCAGAAGTCTTAAAGAAAACTAGGAAACAGATATAATTGTGTGTAACTCTGAAAAAAATCTGGCTGAATATTAGGCCCAGCATTAAAAAAAAATTGCAATCAAAACTGGAATTCCTCATCCCCTGACTCCATTCTTGCTGGGTTGGCTATCTCAGAGTATTAACTTCTAAGCATCCTCATGTAATAAATGAATAGACCAGCAGACTCTGAGAGTGATTTATTATTCATCATGAATAGCAAGTGAATGAAATAATTTAACATCCACTAATCTCTAAAAGGGACCCACTCATTTTTAATCATCTAGTGTGACATGTGATCACTCATTCACTTACATCCCCCCGAGCACATCCTACTGCATAGTGAGCAGCAGAACGCTATTTATGTACTTCTGTGACATGAGTGTATCATTAGGTGGATATTACAGCCTGTGGAATTGGGACCATGTTTTTGTGCAATGTGACAACTTGACACAATCCATACACGTGTCACCTTTTGCATCCCATTAGTATCAAGGGATCCCACAAATGCTAATATGGCATAGTGATAATTACACGGCTCACAGTTCTGAGGCTAGGATTAGAAATGGCAACCAGGTTGACGGTTACAGATTGTGGTGGGTTTGTCACATGAGAGAGAATGCTAAGGGAATGGTAACTGGATGATAATCTTTGTCACGAGACAAAGCCTAACTGAAGAATTTCCTATTCTAATTATAATTGCACTGGTGAATATTATACTGTTTATTTTTGAGCCACAGGAGAATGTAGAATCAGTATGTTAATGTCTGGAGTATTTGGAGAATTTCCTTTATCTAGCCACATTGGGTATATTTCTTAAAAATTTAAGAAATATAGAGCCAAGTTTTGCTGTAATTATAAATCTACATATTTCTAAAAGGGCAGAGGAGAAAATTAAATTGACTAAGAGGCCAGTTAAATTGGCCAGTTAATGTACTTTGGCTCTGGTACAAAAATTAGTAATAATTGTCATGAATACAGCCTAGTATTTTTTGAGTGCCTGCGTGGTGCCAGGCACTGTTCACACATTATCTTATTTAATTCTCATCACAATACTGTGAGGTGGGCAATATTATTCCTATTTATACATGAAGGAATGCCTTCACTCAACCTGTGGTTATATCAATGTTGACCAAACAGTTTAGGAAACAAAAATTTGACTTTGATCATTGTGACTTATTTAAAAAAATTAAGTTTAAAATTATCCCCATTCTCCTTTTAAGATGAGTCTTTTTATTTGGATATAACTTTGGTGTAATGATTATTTTGTGGAAATTTATTATTTTAAAGTTATTTCTACTATTACATTATTATTTTTTAGTGCAATTATTATTTCTAGTATAAACTCCAAGAAAAGGAATATTTCTTTTTTGTTCCAAGGTTCAATAGGTCAATGTATATGAATGAGTATATGAGTCACCTAGGGTAGAATCTCGTTAATATGCAGATTCTGATGCAGCGGTAACAAAAGGTGCATTATGAGATTCTGCACTTCTAAGAAACTCCACAGTGATATTAATACTGCTGGTCCAGAGACTACACATGGGTTAAGAAGTAACGTGAGGTAGATTGAATTCAAACTCTCTATAAAGCAGTCACCATTCTGGCTTGGAAGTTAAAGGAGCCATAGCATAGCTTTTTCTTTTCTCTGTTTTATTGGGGTGGTTAAATGCTTTCTTTTTTTTTTCTCCATGAGTCTTGTAGATCAAGGTAGAATCAATAATTTTTCTTATTGCTCTTCAGACATATTGATATTTCATTGAGATTATCTTTAGTTTTTCATATGAGACCACCCCTGACAGGGTACATTGGTAGTTATAGTAAAAGAGTGACCCATAACTCTTCTAAACTCCGGGAAGTGCAAACAGGTGCAATTAATTTGAAGTAAAAAGACCAAGCAATAGAATATACAGGACAGGAAAAGTCCATTCTGGGTGGCTTTTACCAAGCCATTGATGGGCAGTTTGACAGGGGAGCACTAAGGATTTAAACCTGTGCATTACTTAGAGTGTTTGGAGGATATTACTTGTGTAAAAGACACTAACCTATATAAGCTTCTATGGTTCATAGGACTGGTTCCGTCTTTGACTTGAAAGCCTACCTTCAATGTAATGAAGGCTTTACGTGTGTCAGAATGTGAAGCAAGTGTCTTGTAGGTAGGCATTTCTAACAGTATAGGTGACTGTCAAAAACCAAGGACCCTTAATATGCCTTCTTCATGTGAAAGACTTGCCTTGGTGTTTTACAAGAATGAAAGAATATGTTTTGAGATGCATGGCCAGTGGAGGAGTGCTAATCTCACCAGATCTTGGATGAAGCCAAATATTTACTGAAAACAAGTCAGGTTCATGGAGGTAGCAAGTGATAGCAAAAGAGAAGAGGCTCTATGGTCAAACCCAATTGGGTTTGAATTGTGGCTTTGCCTCTACTTGGTCATGAGACCTTGACCAACACACACATTTTCCTCTTCAAAATGGACAATATTGCTGCCACATAAGTTAGTGTAAGGGGAATGCTGTCTCCAGCGTTAAAGACCTCACCCCAAGTAAGTGCTCTATTAATTGTAGTTTCCTTTTCCCCTTTGCATGCACCAAGCATGGGCATTTTAGATATAACTGCAAGCCACACTTTTCCTGGCCAAGCATGGCTGATTTGTGAGAGGAAGGTATTGATACATTTCATTAACAACGTTTAAATCACATCCTCTTAACCTCTGGTAATATCAATGTCAGTAAAAACCAGCTTAGGAAAGGAAAATTGGAATTCAATCACACAGCGTATTTTGAAAATAAAAAAGCTTTGGATCCCTCCTCCTCTTCCCTTCTCTTCTCCTTTTCCTCTAGCTCTTTCTCCTCCTCTTCCTTTTCTTCTTTTCTTATTCTCTGCCTCCTTTTCTCCTTTCCCAATTCCTTCAACTTTTCTTCCTCTCCTTCTCTTTTCTTTAAAGTTTATATTTAGGTAAAACTTTGGTGTCATCATTTCATTTACCACTATAATCTATAAGAAGAGAAATACTTCTCTTCTTTGTCCAAAAACTAAAGGAACCTGAAAAACTCAACTGACTTTTTAATATATTTCCATATATAGATATATAGATATATTTCACAAATTATGCCCACATCCATGTAATTCCTCACAGCAGGCAAAGTCCAGCCTCCTGGTGTACACTTCTCTCAGAGGCTTATTTTAGATTTAAGAAGATTTATGGATAAAAAAGGCAATATCCTGAAATACGTACTTTTTTCCTTCCTCTTATAAAAGTATGAATAGAATTTGTACCAGAGGATGCAAGATCATTCTTTCCATTTAAAGAATAACTATGAAATCTCAATTCTTCCAAGATTAGTGATTCAATAGGTCAAAGACCTTAATCTGATTTTGTTTTAGGATCTTTTCCCATGAATTTGTCATTTTTTTCTCTTTAGTAAACCTTAGTAATTTTGATACAATTTTTTGGTTTGTTCTTTCTCATTGCTTAAAATCTTTCAATTTGAGGATTCAAATACTTGCTTAAAATAGGGACCCTTTATGGAAATAAGAGAGGATTAGTATTCAGAGAAGAGAGTAAGAACTTAAGACTTGGTTTCCTGAGGTTACTTTAAGAAGTAGAATCTGGGCAAGAATCTGACTCCTAAGTCTTCATTTCTTTGATTGACCAACAAACCACATTGCCTATAATTGGGCACTACAGTGCTGGACCATTAAATAGGATGAAGACTAATATAAGAATGAGAAAATTAATATGTCTTGGAGTTCAAAAAATATATCAAATCCCTTCTATATTTGGAAACCTTTTCTCTCCCATGACATATAACATTATCTTATACTTCTAATGGTCTAGGCCACTTTCAATTTCTCATTTGTGAGGTCACAAATCAAATTTGAGATCTTCATTTGCATGACTAGGAAAACTACTTTCCCCTACTTCTGGCTTGCCCTTTGACTATCACTTCTTAGTTTGACTTGACTCATTTGCATATAAAAATACTCCATTTTAGATGAAAGCTTTGTTGTGTTTTATATTTTTCCATTCTGATGAGTTTCTATGCTCCCCTTTTTTCCAGTTCCCCACTAAGACTTGCCTTCTCTGTCTCTTTGGTAGACTTTCTTCATAGCTTTTGAGCTCCTGGCTGCCTCTTTGAGGATGGGGGTCTGTCTGCCAGAGGCGGCTTTCAGCCCCGTCTGCTTCTGAGAATAGAACTTCTCTTGGAGATCTTTTCTTTTCTATTTCTGCCTTATTCCAAACCAGTGTTTAACCCCTCTAAGGCTTTCTCCTTTTCATCAAATCAGCACAAGAGAGGAAATTCCTCTTCCCTGGAATTATTCAGTAGTGTCCCTAGATCCTATGTGGTCCCTCTCTAGACAGGATTTTTTGCTTACTTGTTTGCTTTTTGTTTTTTTAAGTCAAGGCCATTTTCTGAGATTTTTACATAAATTAAAACAACAACAACAACAATGCAGTTTTCTACCATACATCACAAAGAGGCCCAAAAGCCTAGGTTTTGATTGCTAGCAACCAGATCTTAAAATAATGTTGGTGTTTTACCCCCCTATAAGTTGAAGCACAAATGGTGGTTCTACCATTGAAAGTTCTCTGTATTGCATTCACAGTTAGGACTTTGCAGCATTTGAGTTTGACTCCTACTTAATACTTTACTTTCCCAGTCTTATTTGGCAAATATGGTTAATTAATAGCCTTACTTTAATGGGGAAGCAAAGTTTCTCCTCCTTAGGCTTTATTAAGAGACCAATTGAGAAAAGAACAAAGGAAAAGTCTGCCTCAGGCACAGAGAAATATAAAGGATAATGACATTCCTTTGAACATGTTAGGTGGACATTTTTCCAGCTCCTATTTTTTCCCAAATAGTACATCAGCTTTTAGTGTATAAGAAAACATTAAGTAGTATTGGAGACACTTCTATTTGGGCCAGATTTCTTTCTATAATAATAGTTGTAGGGCTTTCAAATAATTCAAATTGCATATGTTTCACTTTATAATATTTTCCCCTTTCCAAGTCATCTGCCCAATATAAGAGAAATATTTGGATAATATCGTCCTCTTCCTCTTCTTCTTCCCCCTCCTTTTTCTCTTCCTCTTCTATGGCAAATTTCTATGCAGGCATAATATGTCTGATATTTCTATGAGGAAGTATAAAAAGAATATTCATGTCAACTGTAAACTTTCCAACCTAAAATTCCATAGGATATTAAATAGAATAAACATAAAAAGATATAGAGAAAATAGTACTGTGTTGGGCAAAGATAGGATTATTCTTATTCTTGGCTTAGCCCATGATTTCACGTGTGAAAAGGTTGTTTATGGATTATCTGTTTAACAAATTTCTAAGAATTTTCCTAGACTAATCTATTATTTCAAAAAATAGCCATATAGTTTCACTTAGTGATCCCTGAGATTATGTCTTATATCAGTTTCCGAAAAAAGATAGATTGCATTAATTCTTGAAAAATTATCTTTTTGTTAGCATGAACTTTGTATTTCTGGTTTCTCTCTAGTCCCTCACTTTTCCTGAAAAAACTCTGGCTAAGCCATTCCCATTTACTACACAACTACCTTAATTACAATTTAGAGAACCGACTGTGGCTGGGTTGAATGCATCAAAAAATACGTCTTCTGGTGATGAATCCTATCATTTACTCTGAACCAACACAGCTATAAGCTTTGCTTTTCACCTTCCTAATTAACAAGGAAAAACAAGGTTGAATTGTTAAGATACTTCCTTGTGTTAAAGCTGCATCTCAAGTCTCCATAAACATAAAATGCTTTTCTACCAGTCAGGGTAGTTTTGTAGATTACAATGCTTCCTCATCTCAAGGAATCAATCTAAGAGTACTGATGCATTTCATCACTGACTGAGTAAAGTCAAATTTATTATCATATTCATAAGTGGTATCAACCCTGTCTTTATCCTTAGCATAATAATATCAGTTGCAACTTATTATACATTAGTGAATCATTCTCTTTTTTCTTTTAGCTCATTATATGGGGAGAATCCTATTAGAAGAGGCCCACATTTTAAAATATTAAATATACCATTGTTCCTTCTCTCTGAATTGCTTTCTTATTTCAGGCCTGAGGGCAAAGATAGGAGTTTTAGCTCATACCATTCTTTCACAAACTTTGACTTTCACTAACATGTGTTAAGAAACATTGCCTACTTGGAAAGAAGGCAAAAAGAGGGTGACATGTTCTTTCAATATCATATCAGACCTTTAACAGGCCTGTCCAAGTATTATTTAATTATTCAGGACAATATACCTCTGTTTGATTATATCTAACTATTGATTAAAAATCCATTTTCTGTGAAGTTGCATGTTTTCTGGTAAATTTTTATCTGGTAGAGATTCAAATGATTTCTGCCCAGTAGAAAAGATAACCCCAAAGGTTATGGTTTTATTGCTCTATAGGATATATTAACCAGTTTTGTACGTGATACCATCTTATTCAAATGTTTTTGCTCCCATGCCTATATAATTCCCCTGCTCTACTCCTTTGAATCAGCGTTACTGTCTAGCTGGTTCTCTTATTAATAAGTTAAATAAATATTTAACTCATGCTCATTGTGTATTTGTATACATTATGTTACATAACTTCTTGAAAATTATACTTTGACAAGTGCCTCTCAAATGCATATATATATATATATATATATATATATATTTATGTTGGTGTGAGAGTTTTTTTCTAAAAAGTAATCAGCCAGAGAAGCAATCACTAATTAGTTTAGACAAATGAAAATTCATTTAAATCTATTTTAGTATCCAACACTACCTCAAGGACATATAAATCTCATTATTTAAAATATTGACTTTCTAACAATATGTTAAGGAATTGTCTTGGGTTCAATGCAACAGATGGAAGATCCTTAAGGCATGCTACCCTTAGTAGTGCAATTAACAGAAACATAGTCAAGCAGTCACCTTTATCCAGTGAGCGTTTCAAAAGAATTTTGATTACCATGGCTTGCATGAGAAAATATAAATTCCCTTCAATTTCTTCAACAACAATTTTATCCATACTGGAATTGAATTCATTTTTTAAAACAAACAAATGGCAGTACCTTTCTGCTTAAACTGATTATCCACGTAAGCCTATGCAGCCCTTTGTCGTTACTGTTGCTGTTGTTTTAATTCCCCATGTGACTGGTTTGTTAAAAAAAAAAAAAATTAAATGTTTTGAGCAGGTGATACCTAATGAACAAATATTTACAAAGTCAAAAAATATAACAATGTATACAGTAAAAAATTTTGCTTTTACTGCTGTCCCCATCATGCTATCACCGCACTTTCCCTTACTGGAAGTATCCTTCCAGGTCTTATTTATGAAAATAATAGCACCTATGACTATATCCTTATTTGACTCTCATTTCTACACATAAAGAAGCAAGCTATGCACAACGCTTGGTACTTTATCATTTTACTAAGGTAAATGGATATATTGGCGGTCTATTCATAGCAGTACATAAAATACTTTCTCACATATATATTCTAAACACAATGTAGCCTTCCTTACCTTAGGTAACAAATGATAACTTTAGTAATGAAATCTCAGATGAACACATAAGGGTACCATTCAATGCACTAAACATTTAAAATACCATTGAATATTCTAGGTGCTTGAGGTACAAAATATAATAAGACCCTGATCTGATCTTCAAAAAACTCAACAAAAGCAATAGGGAAAAGAATGCTTATTCAATAAATGGTGCTGGGTAATTGGCTATCCGTATAAAGTGACAAAAGTGGACTCAAGATGGATTAAAAACTTAAATGTGAGACCTCAAACTATAAAAATCCTAGAAGAAAACCTAGGAAATACCATTCTTGATATCAGCCTTGGCAAAGAATTTATGGTTAAGTCCTCAAAAGCAATTGCAACAAAAACAAAAATTCACAAGTGGGACCTAATTAAACTAAAGAGCTTCTGCACAGCAAGAGAAACTATCAAGGGAGTAAACAGACAACCTACAGTGGAAAAAATATTTGCAAATTATGCACCCAACAAAGGTCTAATATCCAGAATCTATAAGGAACTTAAGCAAATCAAAAAGCAAATAATCCCATGAAAATGTGAGCAAAGAACATGAACAGACGCTTCTCAAAAAAATGATACACAAGTGGCCCAAAACATATGAAAAAATGCTCATCATCACTAGTCATCAGAGAAATGCAACTCAAAACCACAATGAGATAGTATCTCACACCAGTCAGAATGCCTTTTCTTTCTTTCTTTCTCTCTCTCTTTCTTTCTTTCTCTCTCTCTTTCTTTTCTTTCTTTCTTTTTTTTTTTTTTTTTTGAGACACAGTCTCGCTCTGTCACTCAGCCTGTAGTGCAGTGACAACAATCTCGGCTCACTACAACCTCTGCCTCCTGGGTTCAAGTGATTCTCCTGCCTCAGCCTTCTGAGTAGCTGGGACTACAGGCATGTGCCACCACGCCTGGTTCATTTTTTTACTTTTAGTAGAGATGGAGTTTTGCCATGTTAGCCAGGCTGGTCTCAAACTCCTGGCTTCAAGTGATCCACCCTTCTCAGCCTCCCAAAGTACTGGGATTACAGGTGTGAGTCACCACTCCTGGCAGCAAGACTATTCTTAAAAAGTCAGAAAATAGCAGATGGTGAGGCCATGGAGAAAAGGGGACACTTATACACTGTCAGTGGGAGTATAAATTAGCCCAACCACGGTAGACAGCAGTTTGGAGATTTCTCAAAGAAATACAAGTTGAACTACCATTCGAGCCAACAATCCCATTACTGGGTATATTCCCAAAGGAAAAGAAATTGTTCCACTACAATGACACACACACCTTATGTCCATCACAGGACTATTCACAATAGCAAAAACATGGAATCGACCCAAGTGCCCAAGAACAGTGAATTGGATAAAAAAAAAAAGTGGTACATATATACCATGAAACACTACACAGCCATAAAAAAGAAGGAAATCATGTCCTTTGCAGCAACATGGATGCAGCTGGAGGCTAAGTGAACTAACACAAAAACAGAAAACCAAATATGGCATGTTCTCACTTATACGTGGGAGGTAAGCATAGGGTACTCATGGATATAAAGATGGAAACTATAGACATTGGGGACTATTAGAGGGTGGAGAGAGGGAGGGGGACACAGGCTGAAAAACTACCTATCGGGTATTATGCTCACTACTTGGGTGATGGGGTCAGTCCTACCCTAAACCATAAACCTACATATGCACCCCTTGATTCTAAAATAAACATTGAAAAAGGAAAAAAAAAAAGGAGAAACTCACTCTCTTGTAATAGAATCAGATATAACTAAAGTGCAGAGTGGTCAGTGCTATAATAAAAGCATTTTTTAAATGCACTGAGGAGATAATCCAAAGAGTGATTAATTCTGCCCTGGGGAATGTGGGAGAGAAGAAGTCGAAAAGACAACAAAGCACTTTGGGAGGCCGAGGTGGGTGGATCACCTGAGGTCAGGAGTTCAAGACCAGCCTGGCCAACATGGCAAAACCCTGTCTCTACTAAAAATACAAAAATTAGCCAGGCATGGTGGCATGCGCCTGTAAAAGCAGCTACTCGAGACGCTGAGCCAGGAGAATCACTGGAACCCGGGAGGCGGAGGTTGCAGTGAGCTGAGACTGCACCATTGCACTCCAGCCTGGGCAAAAAGAGCAAAACTCCATCTCAAACAAAAACAAAAACAAACAACAACAACAAACATATAAAACCCCACCAAAATATCATGACATTTGAGCAGTGGGTCTTGAAATAATAATATGATGCATACCTGAGTCATTTCTTAGTCTAAATGGCGAGGCTCACAATTTTTTAAAGAAATTATTTGACTCTAATTATCCTTTTTAAACTTTCCTCCCATTAGTCTACCCTAGGATATCAGGATAAGTAATTTTGCACTCTCCTTGGTGTTCACATCTTTTAAGTGTTTATAGATTGTTTCATGCTTTATCATCAGTTTGCCAAGCCCACCTAGCTTAGTGCCTTTCAATTCTTCTCCTGTGCCAGCTGCCTTTCTTCCATTCATGAGTGCAGCCTGTTCCTGACTTTCCAGCCCACATGACGCTGCTATATATTCTGAAAACAGATGTTCAGAAGCAGCCCTTTTCTAAATCTGAATATAAACAATTCCCTGGTATAGGGTTTCCTACCTTTCCAATGATTCCTGCCAGCTTAGTTCATTTGCACATTTCATTCCCAATCTATTTATCCCAATGTAATAGCTTAGTCACCAAGCTCTCATGCTAAATAAGAGCTCTTCAAATGCCAACCTGAACTCCTCCCAGTATGACTTGCTATCCATTTATTTTCATTCGTTTACAGTCTATTCAACCTTTCAGCTGGCTTTTCAACCATGAGATAGTGTCCATATAGATGTCAATTTTTATTAAGCTCCTAACTAATTTTAAAGCACTACACAAGCTGTTTTTCTGAAGTTCTGTACATCTGCTACTCTGCACTCCCACGTTCCTTAATGGTGTAATTCTCTAGAAATGACCTATCAAATATGATGAAGCTCATTGCTCATGATCTGCATTTTATGCCTCTTCTTTTCTCTTCCTGACCCAGGTCTGTGTGCTGGGACCACAATGACACTTAGTGGTCAGGCTAGAATGTTGGCTGGCCTAACGAGCCACTGTTATTCTTCACCAACTGTGGTGACTCCGTGGGGCACAATATTTTTAAAACTCTCTTTCCCCAAGATTCTCACCAGCCTAGAAATTGGCTGGCGTTCTGCTATTATTCTCATCTGAGAGCAATCAGTGAAGAGGTTTCAAGTACAGAGGCACAGTACATCACCTCCTTGAACTGCCAGCTTTGATTTAAGGACGAGAAAATCTTGAGCAGCCAAACAGAGCTCAAGGTTGAATTGTTTTACAAAAGTCTGACAATTTTGCCCAAATGCATCAATTTCTTTGATAGCATCAAATGATATTAACATGGCACACTATTTAAATTACAACCCCCAATATTCCTGACCTCCTTTTTCTGCTTTTTCTATTTAGCATTAGTCCCATGTGATATACTTTATATTATACCTACGTTTTATTTTTCTGTCTTTGCCTCCCCCCCTTTAATGTAAGCTCCATGAGGGAAGGGATTTTCCTCATGACTGTTTTCCTTTATGTTCAGTACCCAAAAAGGTGCCTTGAACATAGGAATTTCACAGTAGGTGTTGGATGGCTGAATGTATGAAGGAATGATTTTATATACAGTGCACATCAGCTTAATAAATTATTCTTTTTCTCTACTAGGCTCAGTCCACTTTTTTCTGTTTCTACTGATATACTGCCTTTTCTCTTCCTCATCTCTAATATACATTTGAATACTTCCTCCATATTTGTTACCTCTTGGAAACTTTTCTTGAACCACCGCAGGGAGGTCTACTCCCCTTAGTTCTCAATTTATGTTTATGTTGTTCAGTTTTTGAGGACAGCAACTCTTTCACATGAGGCTACCTTCTTTTCCAAATGCCTTAATATGCTGGGTGGTAAATGCTGCCAGAATTGTTATTTCTGCCACATCAGCACATGTGTCACGGGAAGAAAAACACTGTTTGGTTTCCAGATTTGAAGAGCAAAATGTGTATTATGCAAAATGGCGCTTTGTCTTTAACGGGAGTAGTTCCAGTTTTAAATCCCAGCTGCCTTTACCATCTATTTGACCCTAAATAGTTGTTAAAACCTTCTGATCCCTAATGCCTTCATCTATAAGATGAAGTTAATAATATTAATACCTTCCTTGCAGGGTGAATGTGGGGCCTGGGGCTAATATGTATCAAACCCCAGGCTTGACAGATAAGACATTACCACTAACTGGCTATTATTAGTGTTGTTGTTGTTGTTATTGCTACTGTTACTATTACTGTATCATTCCTCCTTCCTCTGATTTACCACCTATACTGTGCAGGAATCTCCACTTCAGTAGAAAAAATACATTCAGCTATTTCAATTTGGGATTAAATTTTCCATCCATTCGTTTATTCAACAAGCATTTTTTGAGAGCCTAGCATGTGCCAAGTACAACACTGATTGCAAGGAATACAAAAATGAATACACATTAGTCCCTGCACCTTCATAGCTTTCAGTCTGTGGAATTTATTTACTTATTCAGCGGAATAGTTCAACAAATATTTAGCGAGCATTGATTGAGTCCCAGCTGCAGTTATGGGGACCAGGAATACATGAGTGAAAAAAGAAGATGGGGATTACTTTCTAGTGGAAGGAGATGGAAAATAAACATAAATACATAAATAAGTGAATTCTGTAGTATGCTACAATGTGATAAGGGCTAGTGACACCTAGTGAAGCAGAGGAAAACGGACCCGGGGTGTTAAGTTGGTGGAGGGGGGGTTCAGGGGCCAGGGGATTTGCAATTTTTAAGTAAGGTGGTAAAGGCAGACTTTCCTGGGAATGTGACATTTGAGCAAAGACTCAAGGAAATGAAGAAATGAGCCACATGGATATCTGGGGGAAGAACATTTCAGCAGAGGGAATATGAGCAGAGCAGGGAGCAGGGGGCTGTTGTAACAGAGGGCTGCTTTAAAATGCCGTGGCATGGGAATGCAGGGTGCAGGAAAGAGAGATGTAGAAGCGGGGATCTTGGTTGCGTTTTCCACTGACCAAGTCTTAGTCATTTTCTATTATTCCTATGACTGAACTGCCTAGGTTCCTCCCTTGGCTAGAAAGGCTAGATCTGGGAACAATGAATGGAGAATGCGTGATGTGTCTGCTGACTACACCTAATCATCCACTTCCAAGGCTTTTTTTTTTTTTTTCTCACCTCTATGACTCTAGGATCCTTTATTTCAGTGGTTTTTGTACGCGACAGAAGAATGTTGCCGCCAGAAGTCTGAATTAAGACCCCGCGGACATGGAAGATCCCCTTTTGACTTTCTGGTTGTAGTCCCATGAGTCAAATGACAAAAAAAAGAGGTGGTGGTATTGGGAAAGGTTTCTGTGGTTGCCTAGGACAATAGGCCTGATATTTCAGGGAACATCTTTGTATTGGGAGGCATAGATGAAATGTTAGAATTTCCGTGGAGGCCAGGAGCGGGGCGGTGGCTCATGCCTGTAATCCCAGCACTTTGGGAGGCCCAGGCAGGTGGATCACGAGGTCAGAAGTTCAAGACCAGCCTGGCCAAGATGGTGAAATCCTCTCTGTACTAAAAATACAAAAAATAGCCGAGTGTGGTGGCAGGCACCTGTAATCCCAGTTACTTTGGAGACTGAGGCAGGAGAATCGCTTGAACCTGGGAGGTGGAGGTTGTAGGGAGTTGAGATCACGCCACTGCACTCCAGCCTGGGCAACAAGAGCAAAACTCCGTCTAAAAAAAAAAAAAAAAAAAAAAGAATTTCCCTGGAATCCCTATGCAGACTTTCATATCAGTAGTAAAGTTTATCTAATGGGGAGATCAGACTTCCTTGTCACCAGCCATTCAGTCTTTCTTCTTCAAGGGCTCTGACGGTCCAGTCAAACCACTAGTTTCTCCTCATAAACGTGTGGCTTCTTACCCCAACCAACTCCCCTTTCACGCAAAGTAGACGCAGATGACCTTGAAGTTCTGTATACCATGAATCTTTCTCTTCTGTGGTGTTTACAGTCACAGCTGAGTACCACTACTCGCCAATTCAGATTATTGTGCAAAGTTCACCAACTTTTTCTTCTTGGATATCCTAGGCCACTTTGCTTAACATACTTGAAGTAGCTAGCTTCTCTGATTGAAAATCAGACCAGTTTATCTGTAAATTCAGTCAAGGTTTTCACTGAACAGTTATCCTCATGTTTACACTGATTATTTTCTCAGTTTTTAACCATTCATTTTTAAGCAGGAAGTAATCATAGTTGGGCCTTTTTACTTGACTCATTGGATTTGCCAGACATGGAGAAGTTTTACGTTCTTTGATTAAAACTTCAGTCACATATTTTCTTTATGTTTTTTGCTGTTCTCCAATATAAAAGTTAGACTCTTTAAAAATATTTAGGAATTTTGCAGTCTCCTTTCTTGAAGTATAACTTACTACAGTAAAATGCCCAAATCTTAACTTATAAGCTGATTGACTTCAAACATATCTACATCCTCTTGTAATTACTCCTAGATAAAGATTAAGATAATTTCCATCAACTTAGAAAGCTTCACCATGCCCCTTCCCAGGCAATATTCCACCTCAGAGGAAACCATTGTTCTGACTTCTATCTCCATAGATTAGTTTTGTTTATTCTTCAGCTAAATAATTACATAATACAGTATGTATTTTTTCTGCCTTCTTTTATTTAACACAGAATTTTTGAGGTTCATCTACATTGATGTATTAGTAATTTGCCCTTTCTAAATTGCTGAAAGTATTTCATTGTGTAGATATACATGGTATTTATCCATTCTCCGATTGATGAACTAGAGAACTGTCAGCAGCCCTTCACTCTGGTGAAGACTAGAAAAACTTTCAATTTTTTTTCTAGTTTATGGCTATAAAAAAGCTTCTATAAATATTCTTAACATAAATTTTCATTTTGTTTATTTTTAAGATAGACACATGCATGTATTTCTCTTAGTTGCATATCAAAGAGTGGAGTTGGTGAGCCATGGGGTGTGTTTAATTCTTCAGGAGACTGCCAAATAATCTTCCAAAGTGGTTGGATTGTTACATATTCCCAACAGCAACAGAAAAAAGTTCCAGGTGCTCCTGTTCTCACCAACACTTGGTATTCTCAGTGTTTTTTTTCTTAGCTTTAGCTATTAAAATGCCTAATTAGTGAGAAAAGTGTACATTTTGATGCCCTTAAGGAAATATGCCTGCTACTGAACTCAGATAAGGAGCTGAGCATGAAAGGACTCAAAGGGAAAAAAGAATTCTGTTTAGACAGAAAAAAAAGTTTCAAGTCTGCAGATTTTTTTTATCAACATCTGAAGAGGGATGCCATGCCGTGAATTTTCCTTCAGCCATGAATTGTGATAACATAAGAAAATGAAAACACAAGCGAAATCTATTCACAAAAAGGTAGAATCTGGTGTGAAGAACCTTAACTGGCAAAAAGGAAGATTTAATTTGCAGTTATTTGAACTGAGCGTTCTTTTTTTGATCCTTTGATTTTTGATCACTCTGTTCTCTCTACGTGGGTGCTATTGCAAACACGCTTGTCTTCAAACTCCTTGACATAGCTATGTGTCATTCTTATGGGAAAATTTCCCAACTCTAACTTGCGAGACTGGCCCTAAATGGAACACGCTGTGCTATAAAAATGAAAGACACTTTATAAATGTATCTCTTCTAAGAGGTGTGTTATTTTGCATAAAATAGAGTTAACAAATGATCTGCTTTTAGAGTATGAGTTAACACTAAAATTTTAATATTTGTTCCAGTTTCATATTTTAAAATTATTTTCAACTTAGTCTTTTTGAGAATGTCATAGAAGAATACATTTATTTGAAGAATCAAGAAAAAATCCAGCCTACTCTACTTAAGAGTCAACGATTCTACTAGCACATTCCAAAAATGTCTTTCCTTTGAATCCTCATTGTATCTTATGGATTTATCACACATACTTAACTTTTTCTTTACAAACCTGTTTCTATCTGCTAGATAATGGCAATCTTGCTGGCAGTGATCATAGCCCATTCTCCACTCCCGGGGCCTGGTATGGGGTCTATAACATACTGAGTCCAGAATTGGTGGGTTCTTGGTCTCACTGACTTCAAGAATGAAGTCGCGAACCCTCGCGGTGAGTGTTACAGTTCTTAAAGGCGGTGTGTCTGGAGTTTATTCCTTCTGATGTTCGGATGTGTCCGGAGTTTGTTTCTTCTGGTGGGTTCATGGTCTCGCTGGCTCAGGAGTGAAGCTGCAGACCTTCGCGGTGAGTGTTACAGCTCTTAATGTGGCGCGTCTGGAGTTGTTCATTCCTCCCAGTGGGTTCGTGGTCTCGCTGGCTTCAGGAGTGAAGCTGCAGACCTTCATGGTGAGTGTTACAGCTTGTAAAGGCAGTGTGGACCCAACGACTGAGCAGTAGCAAGATTTATTGCAAAGAACGAATAACAAAGCTTCCACAGTCTGGAATGGGACAGGGCCCTAGGGTTGCCACTGCTGGCTCAGGCAGCCTGCTTTTATTCTCTTATCCGGCCTCACCCACATACTGCTGATTGGTCCATTTTACAGAGAGCCAATTGGTCTGTTTTACAGAGAGCTGATTGGTCCATTTTGACAGGGTGCTGATTGGTGTGTTTACAATCCATGAGCTAGACACAAAAGTTCTCCACCTCCCCACTAGATGAGCTAGATACAGAGTGCCGATTGGCGTATTTACAAACCCTAAGCTAGACAGAGTGCTGATTGGTGCATTTACAAACCTTGAGCTAGATACAGAGTGCCAATTGGTGCATTCACAATCCCTTAGCTAGACACAAAGATTCTCCAAGTCCCCACCAGATTAGCTAGACACAGAGCACTGATTGGTGCATTTACAAACCTTGAGCTAGACACAGAGTGCCAACTGGTGCATTCACAATCCCTTAGCTAGACATAAAGATTCTCCAAGTGCCCACCAGATTAGCTAGATAGAGTGCCAACTGGTGCATCCACAAACCCTGAGCTAGACACAGGGTGCTGATTGGTGTGACAAACCTTGAGCTAGGCAGAGTGCTGATTGGTGCACTCACAATCCCTTAGCTAGACACAAAGGTTCTCCAAGTCCCCACTAGACTCAGGAGCCCAGCTGGCCTCACCCAGTGGATCTTGCACCGGGGCTGCAGGTGGAGCTGCCTGCCAGCCATGCACCCGCACTCCTCAGCCCTTGGGCGGTCGATGGGACCCGGCACCGTGGAGCAGGGGGCGGTGCTCCTCTGGGCACGGGGGTGGGGGCGGGGGCGGGGGGAGGAGGGAGAGACTCAGGCATGGCAGGCTGCGGGTCCCTAGCCCTGCTTGTGGGGAGGCGGCTAAGGCCCGGTGAGAAATCGAGCACAGCAGCTGCTGGCCCAGGTGCTAAGCCCCTCACTGCCCGGGGCCAGCGGGATTGGCCGGCCACTCTGAGTGTGGGGCCC
The DNA here is from genome assembly GCF_000001405.40 of Homo sapiens. Taxonomy (NCBI): domain Eukaryota; kingdom Metazoa; phylum Chordata; class Mammalia; order Primates; family Hominidae; genus Homo; species Homo sapiens. The sequence goes on from NC_000003.12 coordinate 177,809,203, forward strand.
GCGGAGCCCATGCCCACCCGGAACTCGGCTGGCCCGCAAGTGCCCTGGGCAGCCTGGTTCCCACCCACGCCTCTCCCTCCACACCTCCCGGCAAGCTGAGGGAGCCGGCTCAGGCCTTGGCCAGTCCAGAAAGGGGCTCCCACAGTGCAGCGGCAGGCTGAAGGGCTCCTCAAGTGCGACCAGAGTGGGCGCCAAGGCCGAGGAGGTGCCCAGAGCGAGCGAGGGCTGCGAGGGCTGACAGCACGCTGTCACCTCTCAATACTAATTGATAATAAATGTTTCTGGAATGCTGAATTGCATGAAGGAAATGAGAGAAAATCACATAAGCTGCTTTCAAGTCCCGACCTCTGAGAACAATGCATATACCTTTGGACAGCTTATTAAAAGGAAAATTTCAGGATGTGTACAATGTTATTTTCTGTTTATTCCTGGACATGAACATAATATTTAATTAAACTCTGAGAGGTAATACTAATAATATTTGTGAGACTGTACACTAGCTATAGAATGACAAAAGTTACAGCTTTCATAATCTTTTCCTGTGGAATAACACATACTAACAGAAAATTGTTTGCTATTTTCCCTTTAGCAAGGCTAAGGTATTGTCCAGTGGTTTGGCCAGTGAAGTCAAAATATCCCCACCATTTACTTGGTGAAAACCACTGAATCAGTTTCTACGAGGTAGAGAGAAATAACCTCAGAAGCTAGCCTTATAGACTCAATTTATAAAGTCATGGTAAGTCTAAAACAAACAAACAAAAAACAAACAAACAAAAACCTCCCCACCAAATGTAAGAGAAATGAAGAAACAAGATTCCAGATTCAATTTATATAAGTTTTCTCTTCGAAAAAGTTATTTCTAAGAGCCCTGAAAATAAAAACCATTTTACCTAGTTATAGAGAAAATTATTTTTCCAGATTTTTTTGGCAGTGTTTTAGGTAGAAAAAAAGTTTTGTAATGAGATTCTCCTTCCATAATTATTCGTATCTGTGCATTTGGTAGGTACTGAACACACTCCACTGTATCTCAGAAGGGATCTACAGATAAAGATGACTCAGCACAAACAGTTCCAATCTGAAGCATTCAGAGAATCTCTTCTTTCCTTGTTCTCAGATGTTTTGAAATAAACATTGGCAGTGTTTATTTATGAAGGTTCGGGACTTTTTGAATGTGTCAGCAGCATGCCTTGACTCTAAACAGACTATGTTGCAATTTTTTTCCCTGATGATTCAAAACTATAAACTTAAAATTACCTAATTAAAAAGATACTGAACTACAATAAACTTGGACTACAACTTCAGTTATGTACCTTGTCTGAAATTAGATCATTTCAATAACCCCTCTTCATGCCAAAGACAGCGTTTCCTCTTAGTGCATAAACATCCTCTGAACTCTGACTGAGGGTTCTTTGTTGCTTGATCATTGTTGTTTTGAACGATATAATTTTAATTCTTTCCCTGTTTTGTTAAATTGAGGATTTTGGCTCAAATTTATTTTTCTTAATAGGCTATGAGTTACACGGAGAAGTAGAAAGAAAATAGCTCAAGAGAAGTGTCAACAAATACTGTTGGGGGGGTACTCAATTGTTTAAATAAGAATTTAAAGCTTAAGTTTATTGTGAATAATTCTCATTCTGGAGAGATGAAACGAAGAACCTATATATACTGCAGTCTAATGATAAATATTTAAAATCCAACGAGAAACACTCATCCGACATACATATTTCTAGCATTTTCCTGATGTTGGTAATGCATTAATAATGCTTCAATTGATTGGCATATATTTTGGTGGATAGGCCAAAAACAGGATGTCAATTGCTAGAAAGCAAGATGCCTTCTCTCCTCTATTTTCTCTTTTCTTTAGGTCCCATGAAACCTCAGCTTCCCTATTTGTTTAATGGAGATAATCATTCTTTCTTCATTTTTTCATAGTCAAATTGGCTGTAGAGTTCACCCAAAATGATGTCTATGGACATATTTAAAGATATCACAGGCCATAGAAATGTGTTAAACTTTTTTGTTAATGCTGGATAATATGGCCTGATCTCGTACTTTCTTCTTGTAGTAATTTTTACTTCCTCATTTTGCTCCTGTAAAGTATCTATGTTGAAGGGAGAATTGTGAGCTCACTCATCCATGAAGAAAAGAGGTGAGAGAGACTGAAACGGAGGCGAAGAGGAAGAAGATTATTATCCCTTATCTCTAACTTTTCTACAAGTATTTGCTTCTAGAGAGACATGAATAATAGTGAGAAAAGTAGGAAATTTCCTTTCTTTCCTTTTCTTTTTTGAGATGGCATCTCACTATGTTGCCCAGGCTACCTTTCAACTAACTCCTGGGCTCAAGTGATCCTTCTGCCTCACTTACCTGAGTAGCTGGGACTACAAGTGTGCTCCACTGCACTTAGCTTAAATGTCTTTTCCAATAAATAAATACATAAATAAAAGGCTGGAATCTATTTTTAAAAAATTTGTGTCAACCCAGAATACAATAAAGAGATAAAAGGTTTAAACAGTGTCTATATCTTCTGCCATCCCAAGAGCCACTTAAGAGGAATGCTAGAACTCAATAGGTAACAGACTGAAGATAATTATCCTAATCATAACTTCTAGGGGATTGTGGGTAGAAAGGGGGTGCTGGTGTGAAGTTATTGCATTTAACTTTACACAACCATACAGGGTAGTTATGTTTAGGCTGATATTACGAGAGCTAAAAGTGAAAGCCCAAGGAGGTTAAATTCCTAGGTTACAGTGAAACCAGTGTCCAAACTAAGATTTGTTTTTAAAGACTGTTCTCTGGCTATGGCAGAATCCAGTCACATACAAGGTACAGCCCCTAGCATTGTGGTTTGTGAAAAATAGATGCCTAACAATTGCATGTTGAGTCAGAGGTCACAGTAGCTGGAAAGGGTAATGGTGTTTGGTAAATTGGATAAATTCACTTTATATTGTTGATTTCTTTCTGTAATTTTTTTTTTTACTGCATCTGTAAGCTATCTGAAATGTGAGCACTGAATTTTATCTATTTGTCTTTTTGGTTACAGTAAGAAGTACAGATACTTTGCTCGGTTGGTGGAACAAAATTATAGATGAGATGTGTCAATATTGTGGTTGTCTCTAAATTTGTTTATGAGAGATTTTTGTAAAAATATCTTTTGCCTTGGAATAAAAAGAAGATAAAAAATTTTGATATTGGAGTTGTATGCAAATCTGCAAAACTTTCATCTATTATTGCCATGAAATTACTATGTTTAGAACAATCCTTAACCTACACTTATCTATGACATTGCCTGTCAATTTTATGAAATGGAAAGATGGCTTGGGTGACTTGAACCGCCGGTAAGAACGTCAGAGAAAAGTTGATTTCCTATTCTGACCGTAAGACCAGCTTATAAACTGTTCTTTAAAAACTACTCTTGGCAACTTCTGTTTTCATCCATGACAGAATAACTGGTACCAATCCATATCTCCTGCCAAAAACCAACTATAAAACTGAGCAAAATGCATGAGGTAACTTTTTCCAGGCATTGGAAAACAGTCAATGTAGTACTGAGAGCCTGAGAAGTTAGTGCCACGATGGGCTCTGCTTTCTCCCTTGGGGGCACCTTGCCACTGGGCAGGGAGGAGGAGCCAGGTAGAGTGGTGGTCTCAGTGACTGGTCTCAATATTGACTGGTGCAAGATATGTGGATTTGAAATCCCAGAGAAAGGGGCAAACGAGAACTGAGTAGAAAATGTATCTGAGAAGTAGAAACCAAAAAATACCTACATTTCAAAGGACATATCAACTTACAAATCCAAGAGGCTGAACACAAGGATAGCTACAAGTAAAACCACACCTAGGCATAACATATTCAAGCTCCTGGAAACCAAAGTTAAAGAGAAAAGTAATTATTAGTACGAAAGAGCAGTGTTACAAAAGATAGCTGCTTTCTCAGACAGTGGGGACTTAAATACAATGAAATAACACTTTAAAAGTGTTGAAAGGAGGGGAAAAATCTGTGACTTTAAATTTTATACTCTGATTAAATATTGTGATAGGCAGAATAATGGCCCCCTCCCCTCCCCTCAAAATGTCCACCATAGTCTCATCCCCAGAACCTGTGAATATGTTACCTTACATGACAAAGGGGACTTTTGCAGATGTGATTAAGGTTGCAGACTTTGGGATGGATATATTTATTCTGAATTATCTTGGTGGGCCAAGTACAATCACATGGGTATTTAAAAGAAGAGAATCTTTCCCAGCTGTGGCCAGAGGGAGACGTGACTATGTAAGAAAGGTCAGAGAGATGTGACATTGTTGGCTTTGAGGATGGCCATGAGCCAAGGAATGCAGGTGGCCTCTAGAAGCTTGAAAAGACAAGGAAATGGATTCTGTCCTAGAGCTCCCAGAAAGAACACAGCTCTGCTGACGCATTGATTTTAGCCCAGTGAGACCCAGGTTGGATTTCTGAACTGTACAATAATAAATTTTTGCTGTTTTGAGGCGTTAAATTTGTGGTCATTTTTTATGGTAGCAATGGGAAACTAATATAATATCCTTCAAAAATAAAGGTGAAATTGTACATATTTATGGGGTACAGTGTGACTCTTTGATACATGTGTACATTGTGTAAAATCAAATCAGGGTATTTAGCACATCCATTACCTGACACATGTATTATTTCCTTATTGTCATTAAAAAATAAAAATAAAATCTAAAGGTGCCGTGGAGACATTTTCACATAAGCAGAAGTTGAGAGAATTCAGAATTCATCTTTAGTGGACCCGCATTACCGGACATTTTCACAAAGCAAAAGGTGAGAGAATTTGTCACCAGCAGAATTAAGCTGTAAGAAGTACTCAGGGAAGTTCTTCCACCTGAAGAAAATGAAATTAGGACGGTGGAATGGAGTAAATAGCATTGGAAATGATACATATGTCCTTCGTTGCTGTTGTTTCTGCATTAAAGATGGAGCAGCACTCTTTCCAACTCTCTACATCCCCAGTGGGTGCTGCAAGTAAGGGCAATAGCATGGACTAAAACTAAAAGTATGGCAAAAGATAACCCATGCCAAAAGTAAACATAAGAAAGCTGGCCTGGCTATATTAATATCAGACAAAGTGGATTGTCAGACCAAGATCATTACCAGAGGTAAAGAGGATACTTTCAGAATAATAAAAGGCCCAATTTATCAGTAAGGCATAAAACTCTTAAATGTGTAGGCATCAAATAAAAGAACTTCATAATTCCTGAAGTAAAAATCTGGCATAACTTTAGGAAAATACATATAAATCTAGAATTTCAGTTAGATGTTCTAGAAATCTCTCAGTAATTTTGTCTGCTCATTGACAGAATAAGCAGACAAAAAATTGAGGAAGACTATATATACAGAATATCTGAACATCACCAACTGCCTGAACCTAATCACTATTGACAGAACACTGTACCTGATAATTGCAGAGTGCACATTCCTTCCAGTACTCATGGACTATTCACCTAGATCATATTCCGGACCTTAATAGGAATCTCAATCAATTTGAAAAGACTAAAATCTTACAGAGTATGTTCCCTGACCGCAGTATAACTGAATTAGGAATCAATAACAAAATGATCTCAAGGAAACTTTCATATATTTGGAAATTAACAACACACTTCCAAATAACCCATAGATCAAAGAAGTACTTATAAGAGAAGTCAGAAAATATTTTGAACTAAATGATAATAAAAGCACAAAATATCAATATTTGTGAGATGTAGCTAAAACCATTCTTAGAAGAAAATTTGTAGAAGAAAACACTAACAAAGGAAGAAAAATAGTCACTTTCTGGTGCTCAATAAATTATTAGTTTTTAATCATTATTAATAGTATCATATACATAGCAAACTTAGTTTAGACAAATTTACAAAACGTGTGTGTCAGGGTAATGTTACCTATGGCATTCGTTATCAACAATTACCTCTTAAATTTGGCAAGGAATTTCATTAACATAGATTCCATTTCCTAGTGAAAGAGAAGAGCAAAGCATCTGCAGCTTAAAGACCTGGTTCCATCTTCTTCTTCTGCCATTTACTACTGTTCTGACTTTCTCTCTCTTGGTGGCAACTTTCTCAACTGTAGTGGAAAAAATGATATCTGCCTAATCTATGTCACAAAGTCACTCTAGAAAATAGAATGCCATATGAAAACGGACTTAGTGCCAAAAACAGTTAAGGCAATTATTCTTACTCATGAAGGAAGCTAGAGAGTGTTCCTGCTTCTTTTATATATTGCTTGTTTCACTGACGCTATCATTCTCTCTGATTTTTATATGTGGCCTTGAACTCAACAAAGGTTTATATTAAAGATCTTCTATGTAAATAATTGCAAAATTAGACCAGAAGAGAAACTAATGGGCAACTATGGCGTTAGAAGCTTGAACCACTTTCACAGCCTGCAACACCTGTTGAGTCACGTTCATGCTCCTAGGTGTAACATTCAGGGTCTCCATCACCTGGTTTCTCTCTGTTCTCCGGCCTCATTTTAACCTACTTAGCTCTAAAACTTTTAGACTGTTTCATGCCTTTGAATATTTAATCATGCAGTACCCACTGCCTTGAATGTTTTGCAAACTTTTTTTTTTTTAACTTGAAAAACCTGCTATGATTCCCTCTAGTTCTAGTTCCAGGCATCATCTTCCCCAGGAAGCTTTTCCCTAATCTCCTTAGGAGTTAAGGGCCCCTTCCTTCTACCCCCACAGAATCCTGCACAAAATACTGTCTTATAACCCCTGATATTGTGTTGTATTTTCTGTGTAGGAGTCTGTCTCATCACCCAGACTCTTGAGTTACACAAGGGAAGGACATGTTTTATTCATTTTTGTAGATTTAGTACAAAAGAGTACATTATAATAGGGTGCCTAGTGCATATTAAGAAATCAATAAATATCCATTACTTTCTTTAAAAAAAAATGAATTGCTTACACTTATAAATCTATTGAAAGTATCATGGCAAGAAGCAAAGCTCTTAAAAACCATAAAGAAATTATGAATTTTTCAGGGTTTTTGGAATGTGGTTGCCACTTAACATTCAAACTATTAATAAAATACTAATGTGGGTATAAACTGAAAACTCAGGTGTGTTTTTCTTTAAATAAATTTGGTGCAAGGAAATCTGTGATTATGTTGTTAAAATTGAGAATTAGAAAGCGGTTCTTCATTTAATGAAGAAGACTTTCTTTATACAAAATAAGCCATAAGATTAAATGGTGAACTGCTTGTGGACATTAAATTGACTAAAAAAGAGGTTTAAATTCCCATACAAGGAATACGTGATATGCACTAACTTATGTATATCTATATCTTAATAGAATGTGTTGGGCACGTCTACAAGATTTTCCTTAAAATGTAGAAGAAGCCTAGAGTATAATATTTAAGAAAGATTACATATTATTCCAGTTAAAACTTTCAAATTAGGATTGATTGCCAAGACTACTTCAACTCATGTGGGGAAATTGGAGGAGTGTTTTGACGGGGGAAAAGACAAAACAGAAAATGCCAGAGCCCAAAATAAGTTCCCCAGAGAAGCTGGGAGTCTTTGCCTTGATTGGATACAGACTGGGAACTTTCTCATTGCTTTGGAATTTGGGCTAACGTCCAAAACTGAGGGTAACCTGTGACAATTGCATTGCACATTCTGAAGAAAGGTACTTAGACATGTTCCCCACAGGATGTGTTAAGGTGTTGGCCAATCATCAAATATTGTCACTCCAAAGAACACATTTAACAGCCGGGAAGAAAATTGTAGGAAAAGAGAGCACTTTGGCACGGAAGGGTAAGCTGCTATGTGACTTCGTCTTGATCCAAGAGAGGAAATTGAGAGAAAACCCTCTGGAGCAAAGGTGGTGAGGACAGAGAGGCTCACTAGTGGGGAATACTGCCATCTTACAGAGTTCGAGAAATTTCCTCAGAGAGTTTGAAGGGTGCCCTCTAGAGCAGGACTTTGCAAACTTTCTGTGATAAAGGACCAACCTGTTTCAATTTCCAGTCCATCATGGAGTGACAGGTTTATAGATTTACTAGAACTGAATTTTTAGAAAAATGAAATGGAAACAATGTTCAGAGGTTACATACTCTGTATTGTAACATCAAATTGCTATAAAAATTTCTGAACAGTACTCTTAATTCCTGCACTTATTTTGTCATGAACTGGTAACAGACTGTTAAGAATCAACATGAGTGCTGAGACCTCAGAATAAGTACCTCTATCCTACATCAGAACTTCACCCAGAGATCTGGTTAAAATGACAATTCTGAGCACTACTGCCAGTCCAAGCTCTCTGCTACTAAGAGGCTCCTGGGCGATGCCAGTGCTCTGGTCGGGGGCATTCTTTGTGTCCAAGGCTCTAGAGAAGTGCAGGCCGATAGAAATATGATGTGAGCCACACATGTAATTTATTTTTTAGTAGCCTATTTAAAAAACAGGGAAAGGAAATGGGTGATTAATTTTACTAATACATTTTATTTAAGCCAATATATCCAAAATATTATCACGTGGTTGATATAAAAATTAGTGATGAGACATCTTGCTCTGTGTGTGCGTGTGTGTGTGTGTGTGTGTGTGTTTTAATACTAAAGCTTTGAGATCTCAATTTGGACTGGCACATTTCAAGTGTTCAATGGACACATGTGGTTAATGGCTTCAGTGTTTAGCCAGGCAGTGCTTGAATGTGGGCAGCACAGGGCCTGGTGCCTGACTCTGCAGGAGAAATCACAGGTATGAGGTGGCTGAAGATGCGCAGCATGACAGAGTGAGGCCAAAAGGCAGCAGTGCTTGAAGTTTGAGAACATGATGGGGGAGGATGTGTTCATTTTCCTGCAGGACAAGTAGCACTGTGCAAGTTAGTGCAAGTTATTTGAAGGGCCTCCCACCATTTCACAGCAAGAGGGGTGCATGCTGGAATGAAGGAATCCCAAGCACCTTCTGGTACAGGAGTCAAGGTTCTTACAAAAGATTAACGAGAGAGTGTTTTGAATGCATCAGGAAATGTTAAATGTATGAGTCCCTGAAAGGGTCTCCAAAGAATTAACAGAGGTACTTCATGAAAAAGACTTCTTGGAACATCTGTCCTACACAGGGCATTTGACAACAAAGAAAGACACAAATGCACTTGAGCTGGGGAGGAAAAACATTGATTTCAAGAATAAATTGAAGTTTTGGTATCTGATTGGGTTAGAGTTTTTTGATTCCTGAAAATAAGTTCTATAGTACTTGAAAGTAAACAGAAAGTCGTGGATCTGCCCAAGAGGTCGTTGAGGGGAGAAGAAAACTCTGACGGTAGTTTTGAGAAAGGTTGTGGAGAGAGACTGAATTTTTTTTTGTCCAATTTGATTTATTAAATCGACCATCATCTGTGTGAGCTCGTGTTGCAAAAATGACAACACAGATCATTTAAATGCTTTGTCGTTCACATCTCTACTCGGCAGCCTGACGCTGACAACACTGCCAGGCACATGAAGCAATCCCTCCAAGATACATTTCAGATATTAATGTTTTGGTATTGTTAAATCATATTATTTTTATTTCTATAAATTTATCTTGTTCCCCATGTTAATGGCAGAAAGTTTCAAGTTAAAATCAAGGGTAAACACATTGGCTTAGGACTCTGTCTTCTTCTGAAAGGCCTAAGCCAGGAAGGTGGATACAATTGAAGGAAGCCAAGAGAAATTGGTTAGCCTGCTACTGGCTGCAAAGAATAGAATCCCAGAGGCCAAGTATCTAAAATGACAATAGTAACTTCTCCCATAGCTAAGACTCACGTAGGGTGAATCTCATGGCTGGTTGATACTGTGACTCAATGACATTTAGGTTTTTACACAAAATATTTCTTCACTCTGCTATCTTTTGAGCTAGTTTCCTCTTTAGAATGGTAGCAAGAAGGCTATGCCAGATCTAAGCAGTATACTTATGGGCAATAATACCCAGGAGAAGAAAGAGTCACTTCTCAGGCTTCTCTTTCTCTCTCTCACTCTTTTTTTTTTTTTTTTTTTTTGAGAAGGAATCTCTCTCTGTCGCCCAGGCTGGAGTGCAGTGGTGCAATCTCAGCTCACTGCAACCTCCACCCACTGGGTTCAAGCAATTCTCCTGCCTCAGCCTCCCAAGTAGCTGGGATTACAGGAACATGCCGCCACGCCTGGCTAATTTTTTGTATTTTAGTAGAGACGGGGTTTCACCATATTGGCCAGCCTGGTCTTGAACTCCTGACCTCAAGTGATCCTCCCGCCTTGGCCTTCCAAAGTGCTGGGATTACAGGCATGAGCCACTGCACCTGGCCGCTTCTCTCTTTTTCTCAAATTTTTCTGACAGCCTCTCCCCCTGTCTCATTGTCCACAGTTAGATCACATGTCCATTCCTGAATTAATTACTGCAAGGGAAATAGAGACCAACGAGTAAATCTATATTCCAATGAGACTACCCCTGGAGTTGAGGTTCATGACTATGAGAAGGAAAGATGGATATGTGGACAAAATTAGATTCTATTAAAAAAAGAAAGAAGAGGCAATGAATGTCAGGTAAGCACCAATACTATTCACCAAATATCCTATGTAGGTTTCTAATCCAAGTAAAAGCATGCTTCCAATGGATAGAGATCTACCACATACTCTATGACAAACGTCTAAGCCAAACCAGGTTGTCCATGTGAACACAAACCTATTACTGAAACTGCTTCCTGGATAATATCACATTAAATTAAAACTTGGATCATGAAAAGGCTTTTGCAAAGACACAGTATTTCAGTGGAGGGACTTCGTAAAACAAACAAACAAACAAACAAACAAAAACCACAAAGTTCTCCCAGATACTCAACTGAGTTAATCTTGCATTGGATGTCCACATTTAATGTGTCACATTGGAGTCTTAAAGTACCTTCTGCTAGTTGTGTCAGAATTTTGCTTCAGAGTAGGATATAAAAAGAAAAAATATCTTCTTATAAATGTGATTGTTTTTCTGCCTTTGTTATAAATGAAAAGTTATGAACGTTTCAAGATGTACTTTCTTTTTAAGCAGTTAACTGTCAGTTTACTGTAGCTGGGCCCTGAGACAGAGATAAAGTCTTTATAAAACCTAAAACAATTTTAGAAGATTATTCAAACTTGTGGGTTTTTACACATATTTTTCCAGCATTAATTTGTTTCTATTTTTCTTGGAGCCGTAATGTATGGTTCTTGCTTTTCCAGTACACTACCTGAGTATAACAGTATGGTTAGAAGTTTCATTCTAACAGATCTGTTATTCTACATGGTGATAGCAATGGTTAATGCCAGACTAGTCTCCATACAAATAGTACTTGAGGAAAATTTTCTCTTCTTTCATTGGTAGTTTATATTAATATTCTTCACCTTGAATGCCAAATTTAGAAAAAAAGAGAAACCTCAGAAGAAAGACACTGTTTTCTCCCTTTTCTTAGGATACATATTTTGCTCCATAGTTTTTCTTGGTCAAATGGTTTTCTTTTAAGTTCTCTTCTCCATCTTTCTTTCTTGTTTACTCCAGGAATGCAAACTTGATCTTGACTTTAAGGTCAAAGCATTTTCAGAATGTGCAGTCAGCAGAGAATTGAAAAAAAAAATCAATGTGAAACATATTAGAGAAGAATAAGGGGAAGAGTGATGCAGAAGTGCTGGGAAGTCATGCAGGGATTGGAAACCACAAAGATTCTACAGAAAGTAAGAACGTCCTGCACCGAGATGTTTATGATTCCTTTTGCTTTTACTTCCCTTTTCTTACATAGGGGTAGGTGAAAATTATGGTAATTTGAGGTCTGGACCACTTTCAAAGCATTTTCAGGGGATGAAAATGACTTTTGACCTCTAAAAATGAGACATGTTTCTTTTTTTTTTTTTCCTGAAACCCTTTTTTCTTTTCCTGTTTTGTTCATGGTAGGGGAGATGACTATATTCCATACCTGTTATGCACACAAACTTAGAAGGGTTTATTGCAGCTCCATGGCTGAAAATAGCAATGAAAATTGTGAGACCTTTTATGTCAGCATTGGAAATAAACTTAATTTTAAATGAGAACACCTTTGATTTTATAAAGAGACTTATCCAGTGTAAAAGCTGGAAAGTTAAATAGAATCATAGTGGAAATGTTGATTCTAAAATTCTAGTATCTAGCCACAGACCTTGAAAAGAAGAAAGAAAGCTAGAAAGATGAAAGAAAGAAAGAAGAGGCCGGGCGTGGTGGCTCACGCCTGTAATCCCAGCACTTTGGGAGGCCGAGGCGGGTGGATCACGAGGTCAGGAGATTGAGACCATCCTGGCTAATATGGTGAAACCCCGCCTCTACTAAAAAATACAAAAACAAAAACAAAAACAAAAACAAAAAAAACAATTAGCCAGGCGTGGTGGTGGGCGCCTGTAGTCCCAGCTACTCGGGAGGCTGAGGCAGGAGAATGGCGTGAACCTGGAAGGCGGAGCTTGCAGTGAGCTGAGATCGCACCACTGCACTCCAGCCTGGGCAACAGAGCGAGACTCTGTCTCAGAAAAAGAAAAAAAGAAAGAAGAAAAGATCAATTGTCCTTTATGACAAGGATTATCATCTCTTTCCTTATTTATCATTGGACTCGAGAACAAATTAGATATAGAAAAAAATCCCATTACTTTGTGAAGCTTAATATTTACTGTAACTTACTGATCTAGAGAATGATCAGAGAAAATTTTAACTTTTATATATGTATACATATTCTGTATGTATATGTAAATGTGAAAAGACAAACAGGTTCTTAATCATCTTTCCATATGGCTGATTTAAAGTAATTATAAAGCCAAAACATTACTGAGTTATCTGGAAAATATGAAATGTTCTCTCAAACATTAACTATATTAATATTAATATAATCAAAGATTAATATTAACTATATGGCAAATTTTCTAAAAATCTAACTAATCTAAACATTTGCACTGGGGATAGACAGAACTGTCTTATTACAGATTTCTAGACATATATATTATAGATGATTATGTTTAGAATAAAGCATTTGTTAGGTAACATTCTTTCACTGTTTGTTACTTTTGCACTGACCTCACATACTTAAATTTTATAACAGCACAACAAGAATGTGCTGAGAACAGAGCTTGGCATAAGCTCATTGATAACCGTGAGTGTGAATTACTGGCAGAAATAGATATTGATGATTTAGTCCGTATCACAGTGGAAAGGGAGGAAAATTGAAAAGCTTTTTTTTCACTCTTTAGAAACATTTGAAATCATTCCTTGGAAAAGAAAAATCTATATTAGGGGCTGAGTAGGGGAAGATACAGGTTGAGTCATTAATTTGATCAGTACAGTAAGTTCAAAGATTGTTTCCACTACAACATCTCATCTGAAATTTTACAGATTCCCTTAAAGGGGGCCAAAAAAAAAAAAAAAAAGATAGTGATTTCTAAGCTGAATCAAATATGTGCACTTTACTTCATGGAAAATCAGTAGGGAAACAAGAAAGATTCTCTCTGCTAACATCGATTTTCCTTATATTTATTTTTTCAGTCGGAACACTCTAGGCAAAAATTCACTTGGCTTCAACTAATTTGCAAATGCCATCATTCACTGCTGTTTTGCTACCCATTTCTCAAATCTCAATTAAATGTGATGACAGTTTACTTGCCAGAAACACACAGAAAGGTTCTTTTCCAACCAGAGGTCTTCACTCATTTCCTGCTTGTGGACTTGGCAAGTGGGGTCAAAACATCCATTACTGAGGCTGAATCTTAATTTAGAAGGTTATCACCAGAGTCAGCAAAATAATTATAAAAATACTTTCCAAATGCAAACTGCAATAGACATGCACAGTAACAGCTGAAAACAATATATACATCATAAAGCCTGTTTACAATGGAATTTTAAAAGGGTGAATGTTTGGTTTGTACTTGTTGAAAGCTTGTATAACTCACTCCTAGGATGGACCCGAAACTGTCTTCTCTCTGCAACTATTCTTTACATTAAAACCAAAAATAACAACAAAAAATTACGCTACAAGTCTTGATGTTCTGGCTCAGACACCAAATTCCCTATAAAACTAAAAGTGAAGGGTGAGGTGAGACAAAATTTTGGCTTAAAGAAACACCAGTTGAGAAATGAAAGAAAGTACTGCTCACTTTTCCCTTATTTCTTCTATGTAAATAAGTTTCCTCATACAATTTATATAGTATTGCTTTAAATATATGGGATCTTTAGAAATCATAGAATGTTAAAAATATCAATATGTGTAAATGGGTACTCACTTCACATAATAGGTACTCAATAAATATTAGCTACAAAAGATAAAAACAAACTATAAGACATCTTTGTAGAGACAATTTGCTCAACCTTCTTCTCTCTCCCTTTTTTTTTTTCTTTTTGAGATAGAATTTCACTCTTGTTGCCCAGGCTGGAGTGCAATGGCATGATCTTGGCTCACTGCAACCTCCGCCTCCCAGGTTCAAGTGATTCTCCTGCCTCAGCCCCCGAGTAGTTGGGATTACAGGCATGCACCATCATGCCCGGCTAATTTTGTATTTTTAGTAGAGACAGGGTTTCTCCATGTTGGCGAGACTGGTCTCGAACTCCCAGCCTCAGGTGATTGGCCCCCCTCGGCCTCGCAAAGTGCTGGGATTACAGGTGCGAGTCCCTGCACCCGACCAACCCTCCTATTTATAGCTGAAGAACTGAGGGCTAAGTGGTTGAAAGACTTGCACAGCTCCTACACTGGCCTGCTGAAAGCCAGGGCTGCAACGCATTTCTTCTCACAGGTTCAGAGACTCCTGTACCTCATCACTGTTACAGAACCTCTCTGGGCCTCAGTTCATCATTTGATAACAAGAGTAACTCAACCTGCCCAGGGGTTATCCATCAAAGGCAATCGAGGTTGCAAGAATTCCTTTAAAATTTTAATTTACAGTATAGCACCTTGCAGGTAGCAGGCACTCCATAAATCTCTGAGGAATGGAATTTGCTGAAGAACAGTGGCAAAGGCTAGCTCTGATTCATTCCCCAAAGCTCATGGTGCTTGTCCAAACTGTTTAATCAGGCTTATGCAACCAACTCCTCTGACCTTTATTACGGGGTGGGTGCAATCACATGCGCTGTGGGAGGAGGGGCAGGTGGCCTCGGCCTGATCAGGGAGCACTAGAATGGGGACAACATTTTCTATTGTTCAGAAACTAAAAGGACTCTGCTTGACCCCAGTGTAAGCCTTTCACTGCAGTAGTTGGGAGCCAAGCTTTCTCTTCCAACCTATCTGTCCTGGCGATCTTCATTTTCTCTGTTTTTTTCCTAAGACAGAAATATCAGCTAGAAGGCATTTCCCTCACTGGATTCATCCAGCCCTGATGTGAGAGTGCTGGGGGCAGACTGAGATCATGTGTGATGCCTGTCAGGCTGCCTGCCAGGCCATGTATATTGTTTTGGTGGACTGGCTTCTGCAGGAACATAGAGAAGACATGGGAATAGATTCTGAAAAGGGGGGTGGGGGACAGGAAAAAATGCCAAAAGCCCACTTAATACTGAAAAGTCTTACACTTCCAAGTCCTTGTTACTGCTGGCCAGAGAATGGGTTGTTGCCCTGTGTTTTTTTTTTTTTTTTTTTTTTTCCCCAGGAAAGCTGCCACGGCTTTTCTTTATTCAATAAGTACATGACTGCATTTGGTGAATTGTGTTTACACGTTCTGGTGAAATGAGATTTTAAAAAGAAAATGAATCAGGGAGTGTTTTTAAAGAGCACAGAGTGAGGAGAGGAGGTGGGGAGCGCTGCTGCCAGTCCTGTTCTGTTCTCTGCCTTTTGTCATCCTTCCCCCTCTGTATCTCTCTCCTCCATCTTCTCCTCCAAGGAATCACTATGCTCCTGGCAGGACATCCCTGGCGTCTGTCAGGGGAGAGAAGGAGGAGGAGAAATAGGAGAAGGAGAAGAGAAGAAAAAACAAAAGAGAAGAAAAGAACATCACAATTGACGTTGGAGAGTGATCTGTGCTAGGAGGAGTTCATCTCTGCACTTCCCCATTGGAATGACAGTCTCAACTTTACCCCAACTAGCCCCCCACCTTACATGAGCTGTAGGATCGACGTCGAATCTCTTGGCCTCTCTGAGCCTCAGTTTCCTCAGCTATTAGATGAGGATAATACCTGTACTGTTTTTGCCAGAGTGGTTGTAAGAAAGAAATGAGAAGCTTACGAAACCATAAAGCATGATGCCAGTCAAAAACATATAGTGATTTATATCTTAAAAAGATTTATTAGTCCTGGCACGGTGGCTCACACCTGTAATCCCAGCACTTTGGGAGGCCGAGGCGGGGAGATCACGAGGTCAGGAGATCGAGACCATCCTGGCTAACACGGTGAAACCCCATCTCTACTAAAAATACAAAAAATTAGCCAGGCCTGGGGGCACATGCCTGTAGTCCCAGCTACTCAGGAGGCTGAGGCAGGAGAATGGCTTGAACCTGGGAGGTGGTGGTTGCAGTGAGCCAAGATTGCACCAATGCACTCCAGCCTGGGTGACAGAGAGATACTCCGTCTCAAAAAAAAAAAATTATTAATATTCATTATTTATTTTAGAGACAGAGTCTCGCTCTGTCGCCCAGGCTGGAGTGCAGTACGATCACAGCTCACAGCAGCCTCAAACTCCTGGGCTCCAGCGATCTTCCTGCCTCAGCCTCCTGAGGAGCTGGGACTCTAGGCATGTGCCACCACCCCCAGCTAATTTTTTTTTTCTTTTAAGATATGGGGTCTCACTGTTTTGCCCAGGCTGGTCTTGAGCTCCTGGCCTCAAGTGATCCCTCTACTTTTACTCTCAAAGCACTGGGATTACAGGCATGAGCCACCATACCTGGCCTAAAAATATACAGTAATTTATAATTTTATTTCTATTTTCTCTTACAGGATAATTTATAAATTGAGTGTGTTTAGATTTCCCCAGCATATGGGCTCAGGTGATTTCACATTTAGAGTTAAACCTGAATTTTGCAGTCGATAAAAGAACATTTTGTTGGCTGTAAGCTCAGCTCATTCACACAGGCATGTCTATCCCTGCAAAGTTCATCCCTGATGCTTCTGTGGGCCCCAAGTGGTAACTTTATGTGCCTTCACAGATCCAGTTGAGGGCTCCCCTCACCAGTGCCCTTGCTGCTTCCCCAGCCTCCACCTTGCTGAAGAGCAGACCTGACCTCGCAGCTGAGCTTCAAAGCGCTCAGTGCTCACGGCTCACAAGCTGGCAGTCCTTTGGGAAGTGAGAAGGGAAGGGCTTCCTGGCTGTGCAGTTACACCCGGTTAAGTGGACCCCTCGGTGGTACTGGGGAGCACGGCGTAGCTCATGCCTACGACACTCGTGGGGCAGGGGCACTGAGGCAGCACCAGGACCAGCTGGTGTTCCTGACCCCTCTTGCTCCTCCTGCTCAGCCTTATGGTTGAGACTGGCTTGTCAGGCCTACCTCCGTCCTCTCTAGAACACTTTCTCACAGAGATTTAGCCAAATTCTCTTGGCACCTTGGTTGCTTTCTCTCCATGCCATTCCCAGTCCCCTATTCGTTCCCGCATAGATCTAATCCCCAACTGGGAATACATCTTGCAATTTTTTAGAAGATTCCTCATCTACCATGTAAATCACCAGATGAATAGAAACACCATAATGGACAGCAGTTTCTTCTAAAGCCAAAGCCAGGTATTCCTGGATTTCCGTTCCAGGCTGGTTGGGACTGTCTCCCCTCACCTCATTCACACTTTTTATGGTGAAATCTCCTGTGAATGGCATCATAATTGGCCCTTTACAGTCAAACAGAAGAACAGAAATCTTTTAAGTAATCTCCCAGATAATTGTCTTTTATTTTTCCAATACCTATTATACCTGGGAGTCACTATATATTTAAGGTGATGGAGATTTAAAATAGGGAATATGAGAAAGCTTAATATCCTTTTATGTCACTGAAGAAATAACAAAAGTTAAATCTCTAGTTGATGAATTATGAAGTAGCTGGTTCCTTATGAAACAGGATTCATAGGATTTAAAATAAATTTTTGTAGTTGGCAGAACTTTTATTTTTATGTGTCTCCTAGCATATGACTTCAGCAACACATAAACCCTTCTTTCCATTTTTCTTAAAATTCTAAGTAGTTCATTCACTTTATCATGTCTGTATTGTTCAATGTTAGCCCTATATAAGATGGTAAGTACAGTCTTTATCCATTATAAACTTAAAGTCTATAGCCATAGAGTAATTTATGAAACCAGTCACTCGTCCAGCATATATTTATTGAGTGTTTATTATGTGCCGGATGCTGGAGTGACAAAAAAATGAACAAGATGTAGATCCGGCCTTCAAGTGTAGCTGGTGATTTTCCACAAAACCCTCTATTATTGTATCTTAACATCCAGGAGTCAGCCAGGAGTTACACTGATCATAAATCGATAACCTCATTTCAAAGCTCAAACACAGAGATGGCAAATAAAGCCCTGGGCAGCACTGACTGAAGCAACAGATGACTCATTAATAGCAGGAGGCAATGAATAACTTTGCCACTGAGAGTGAAAGAAAATTCCCCCTTTGCACAATGCCTTTCACTTAAATAGCATTTGGATTTCTTAAAATCCACAAAGTTTATATTAGAGCGTCATCCATTAATGCTTTGGCTAGGAGGGGTAAGTGCTGGGAAATGTCATCTTAAGAACAGTGGGATTTGTGGGGGCAATTGTCTTTTACTTGCAGCGGCATAACTGATCATCTGTTCACCATTTACCTCTTATTACTTGCAGTAGTTCTTGAACAATGCTGGGAGCTAATATTTCAATGTTAAGGACTCGGAAGAGACAGCATAGTTGAGGCAGTGTAGCAAAGTGGTTAGGGGCACAACTCTGGAGCCAGCCAGCCTTGGTTTCAATGCTGGTTCTGTCATGTACTTGTGGTGTGATCTTGGGAAAGTTACCAAATGCCTGAGTTCCTCAGTTTGCTTATCTCTAATATGGAATGATAATGACAGTGTCATCTTTTACGGTTGTTGTTAAGATTCAATGGTGATAAGTTCTTAGTACAGTGCCGGCCCATAGTAAGTGCTGTATGTGTTGATCATATTATTATATATCACAGCTCTTAAAATACAGAGATTGTCTTGAAGACAATTATTCATCTTCTCACTCTTTTTTCCCCATTAGCCACTAGCTAACTTGGAAGTGTGTAGTAATAAGGCCAGATGACTAAATGGAAAGCAAAAGTTATCTTTTAAGCATGAGCAAAATTATGAACAATCTATAGAGTGATTAAAGTTGTGATTCAGTAATAACAATTTAAAGAAATTTATCAATAGCAAATGTAAAAATAATTTAAATCAAGAATTAGTTTCAATCAAGAAAATTTCAGATTTTATTTTATTATTCATTTATATTTGTTATATCTGTGGATCTGTTTTATTTATGTTCATGAGGACCTGTTTGGTCTGAAAGTAATTTAAGATAGCTTACAAAGAAGCATATTATATATAGTAAAATGATATTAAATTTAAATTAATAGGAAAAGTTAGATAAATGGAAAACAAAGGTAGAAAAGAAGGAGATGGTGTTTTGAATATGAAATTGTATCTTGAATCCCCCATGCTTGCTACAAGTGGTAATGAGAGTGGTAATATAATTCAAGAAGATGATTGTGTAAAACAAACTGGTTGCTTAGGCAGAGGACATCCATTATTGATACTGTGATAAGAGTAATTTCTGCCATGTTGCTCAGTTTCAGTATTCACCAGAATCTTAAGCATTAAACTTGAATATTAAACCAGGAACTTGGAATATGGTCTTTAATAAATTCATGCAGTAATTGTTTATTGAAATAGTTTCTGACCCACAGAAATTATTGTGTTAGGTGCTACAGAGAAGAGAGACATGTCTCAAACTATCCCTGCTCTTGAATAATATGCATTAAAGAAAGAATATAAGTAATACATTAATAAACTACATTCATCAGGAGGCTGAAGCCAGAGGATCACGTGACGCTAGCAGTTCAAGACCAGCCTGGGCAATACAGTGAGACCCTCTCTCAAGCAACAACAGAAATTAGCTGGGCATGGTGGTGCGCAGCTGCAGTCCTAGCTTCCTGGGAGGCTGAGGCAGGAGGACTGCTTGAGCTCAGGAGTTTGAGGCTTCAGTGACCTATATGATCTGTTACTCCAGCCTGGGTGACAGAGAGAGACACTATCTTTAAAAAAATTAATAGAGGCTGGGTGCGGTGGCTTGTGCCTGTAATCCTAACACTTTGGGAGGCCAAGGTGGGCGGATCACTTGAGATCGGGAGTTTGAGACCAGCCTGGCCAACATGGTGAAACTCTGTCACTTCTAAACATACAAAAATTAGCTGGGCAAGGTGGCATACGCCTGTAATCCCAGCTACTTGGGAGGCTGAGGCAGGAGAATTGGTTCAATGTGGGAGGTGGAGGTTGCAGTGAGCCGAGATCACGCCACCTCATTCCAGCCTGGGCAACATTGAGCGAGACTCCATCTCAAAACAAACAAACAAACAAACAAACAAAGTTCAAAGTAGATAGTGATGATGAGAGGTACACGTGTGGTGTTAAAAGTAGCTCCCCATTTATATCTTACCGCATTCTGTGGACCACCCCACAGAAGATATTGTAACAAATAAAATCTTTATACTTTCTAACATATTAACTCTTTTAATTTCTTAATGGTGGCTTTTAAATACTTAATGATTCTTTTATGTGGATTTCAAAAGCCAGACAGTGCAGTATCCATGCATAGCCACCCAGGACTACTAAAGGTCATAGTGGAGAAGACTTGTCATAAATATTATAATCCCATGGATAATTCTGTCCTTTAACTCTGTATGCAACTTAGATCATAAACTTGCAAAGTGGATGCCAAGCCTCATATTAGTTCTTCATCTCAATTTGTCAAAAATTGATTTCACCAAGTTCAGAGAGAGAGAAAATAAAGCACAAATGCACTGTTTTCCTAGAGGGCATGTGCATATTTTCTATACATTCGTTCAACATTATTAAACATTTATTATATTATGGGAATGGTACTGAGCATGGAATTATAACAAAAGTAAATTTTTTAAAATTTTCCTCAAGGAAAATAATTTATTGTTTAGGTGGAGAGACAGATATATAAACGAATAGTTATAGCAATGAGAGAAGTACAGATAGACATTTGTAAGAAGGGAAAAGGCAAGCTCTGCCTAGCAGGATAGAGAAAAGGCCACATTGAACTGGCGTTTGAATTTCCTCTTGAAAGATGTGCATTTTGCCAAGTGGAGATTGTACAATAGGAATGATATTCATCCTGGTTAGGAAATGTTCTTGGAGCACCTCCCAGCCTTTCGGTCTAATATTTCCTGAGTACCTCTCAAGGATTCAGTGTGGGATTAGGTGATGTGGTAATTATAAAGAAATAGAAGCCTTGTTACTCGTCTTCAGAATGTTTACTCATAAGGGGTAGTAAATTTCCCTCCCCACACTTTCAACAGTGATTAAGAGGTCATGACTGTCAGTCCTAAATTGTGTGTCACGTCATAAATTCTGTAGATTAGAGAGCATGATCATGTAATTCACAGCAACCAGGGCAAGCCTCACAGATGGGGTAAGGCCTAATCTGTTCCTTGGAAACTGGGATGAGGTTTGGATGTGGGAGAGAGAATGCTTTAACAGTCAAGCCACAAACCTGTATTGAGGGCCTACCATGTGTCAGGCTCATGAATAAAGAAGCAGCATGGGAGTGGGGAAAAAACTGGGATTGAGGTTACATGTGTTTGTGGAAAAACCTGGCTGGACTAGTGAGTTTGAGGTGAGGGATGGCGGGCAATAAGTATAGAGTGAAACGAGTTTGGGCAAGAAAACTGCAGCTAGATTAAAAGGTGCTCTGAAGGACAGGCAGTGGCTTTTGGGTTTGGCATTTATGAAAATGGGGAGTCACCAAAGGTTTTTGAGTATGGGAGAGAGCTGCTGAAAGAAGTACACAAATAAAAGTAACCTTCTTTAGGGAAGTTACATTGGAACAGCTGGAAGGGCTTGTAGAGATCCCTTTACTCACTACCCCATCTGAATATCCTTCAGATGGCCATCATTTGACTGAAAAGGCAATGAAGGCCCACAGAGGTTATAGGATTTGCTTAAGACAAATAGAGTAATCTTGTCTCCATTTCAGGCTCCTTCTTTTGATCTTAACAGTGTGTGTGTTCTAGGCTGGGTGGATGGACAGTAAAGGGAGTAGGAGCATCGAGGTCCAGGACCAGCCAGGCTGAATGAGAGGGCAAACAGGAAGCAGCCGTGACCCAGATTATGTTACAGCCATAGAATGAGCATATTAGAACTCGTAGAAGACCTAAATGCCATCCAGCCTTATCCTATTGCTTTGCAGAGAGGGACAGTTGAGGGCCCAGAGGGAAAGTGACTCACACAACAGAGCGATCTAATGACCTGACTTTAAGTCCAGCTATTTTCCCTGTGTCCACCTCCCTTCCTCCTTCAGATTCTATGGTTGTGTGGATGGGCTCTATTTTCTGTCCCCAGCTAGTTACCTGTTCATGCACTACACCCCTTGGATCCTCTGTTAAAGAGAGACTTAGTAATTGGGATACCTGCGCTGCCGATGGATTTGCCACATCTATTCTGTTCTCAGGTTGTATGTTGTTTGTGTGTGTGTGCTTGTGTGTGTGCATGTGTGTGTGTGTGTGTGAGAGAGATGTGCTACAAAAAGAAAGCTAAGGGAGGCATGCAGAAGACTGCACCAGAATGAGTTTGTACCTTTATCCAAAAAAGCCACAGTTTCCTTCATTCTTTCTCCTCCCTAGAAGGAGACCAGTTCTTATAGCTGCAGAGAAGGGTAGGGAATGACAGTAGGAAAGGGGCATTGCTAGAGTCAGAGGCACAGGTGGCATGAGAAGTGCAGACCAGTCAGAAACAAGGCCCATCACACTCTTACCCTCAGCCCTGTGCTCTGGGATCCTCTCTGTGATCCTGATCGTGATCGTGTAAGGGTAAGAAGTTGGGAGGAAGGAACCTCAGCAACATCTCCTCTCTTGCCCTACTGAACTCTGGAAGCCACGTTGTTTTCCAGGAGAGGTGGAGGAGGTCAGGGCCTAGCTAATATCTGGTGCTGCTGGAGAAGATGCTTTCCAAATGGACAGTTAAGAAGAGTGACGAAGGTATTTAAGAAATTTAGCCACAAAAGCACTTGTAAATAGTGTTAAAAGGCAGTGGGAAAGAGATATTTAGATTTGGTAATTTAAAAAAGTCAATGCACACCTATATGAATAAAGTTTTGAGTAGCCTCTCCCCTGCCCCTAAGAATTCGGACATTTATTTAACTGTGGCCCGAATAGTGAATGGAGATGTACATTTTAGCCTTCAGGGATCAACAAATGAGTCCTTAAAGAAACAACAGGCCTCTAAATAACTAAGGGAAGATCAATATAAAATTATTCCTGAGTATAAATAATAAAATATAGTTGAAAAATTAAATTACCTTATCAGAACTTTGGTTGTTCTAGCAAATATTTTTTGCACAGTATAAAATTCCAGAATGCACACTTAAGGCCGTTCAGCTATTTACATGCTAATATACATTTATTATTAATGTGCACATTGAAATATTTTTTTCTCATTTAAGGTATATGTATATGTTTATAATAGAGTGAATATCCCTGAACTCCATTCACACAACGTACAGTATTTTTTCATTCATTTAAACTAAGATTTATCTATATAGTTTATATTTTATATTTGGGGAAAGCTAAGTAGCAGAAATTTTATAACATAGACAATGATATTCACATATTCAGATCTACAACTCAGCCCTCACTGCTTTACACATGTAATTAGGTTGTTTCCATGGTAATGATCTAATTATGGGCTTCTCCTTGGCCTTGTGTAATCACATTTGCTGCGTTTTGGCAGAGATGTTTTCCTTATTTTGTTGAACTGCAACACTTGACAAGATGTTCTCTCTTAAGATGAATAATGATTTTTCTTGGGAGACAAAAACAAAAAACGAAATAACACCATCAAAGTTGATTTGAGAGGGATTATAGGTATTTGACAAATCATGCCAGTAATAAAATATCTATTACCCTTGAAAGCATACTCTATTTTTATCTTTGTGTGTGTTATTACTGATGGAAATCATAGGAGGTTCTCATTTTAAAAAACCATGTGTGCTATTTAAATATATGATTTTCATGGGGCCCAGAGGCTTGAAGGAAAAGAGATGTTAGGCCAGAGAAGAGAAAGCTCCTGAGAGCTTTGTAGAAAGAGAACTGGAGACTGTATTCAGTGAGAATATTATATTGCAATTGACAAAGCTATTCATGAAAAGATATTTGGTTATGGTTGCCATGGCAGTAGGAAACACCTGAAAAAAATCAATTAAGACTTATCTTGGCAGGGATTCAAATGCAATCCTTTATGCACGTGCAGAAGAAGACAGGAGATGTAAATACTTGCAGAAAGACAGCTTTATCATCACGTGGTCCCCTCAGAAAAACCCTGGAATATGAGAAAAATAAAAGTTTAGCTCTTTTATGTGCATAAAATGACACTGTGCTATAAAGCATTTTTTATAGGAAACTCATTCTTACAGTGGAAAGGATGCATATAATGGGTGGTGCAGGCTTATTGTTTTAGGGTTAGCAAGAAGGTGTGTGGGCTCCAATGTCACAGTGCCCAAGGTCCAGATACCTGGTATTCAGGGGCTGGGAATTCAAAGCTTGCTTCTTCAACTATTATGGAGACAGCTTCAAATCCAAAATTAGTGGACCAGATGTCTAAGAGTCCAGAATGTTGAAACTGCTTTCTGAGTATCATTTTGTGGGAATAGGGTGGGTGGATATAGTTTTTGGTAACCTAATTTATTAAAGGGCATAGATATAGCATGATGCTTGGGAATAATAATGTTAATAACCTGATTTTCAATTTATAGCAAACCAACCCCTATGAAATATTATACGGCTTGGTTTTAGGCTTATATAGTGTTATTTTCTCAGGGGGGAAATGATATTCATAGGATGTTTAGTAATTATAGGCAATTAACAAGAAATTTTTAATTTAATGTATTTATTTATTTATTGAAAAAATATTTATTTACTACTTATCACGTGTCAGGCACAGTACAAGGGCCTGGGAATAGAGCAGTGAATCAGAAAGACATGATTGCTGCTCTCAAGTTTTTTATCATTTTATAGAGAAAGTGGCGAAAACAAACAAATAAAGAAACAAACAAACAAAGAAAAAAGGCCAATTTCAATTCTGGCCTAAGCAGTGTTAAGTAGGGAAATGTAGGGTCCAAGGAGAACAAAGAGGAGGGTGGTGTCTGACAGGGTGACATTCATTCTAGCAGAGGGAACAGAGACCAAAGACAACATGGAACATGGACCCAACATCACAGATCAACTCCAAACAGGACAGTGTGATGGGATCCTGTGGAGTATAAGTGGGAATGATGAGAGGTGAGACAGGCAGGCAAGCAAGACCAGAGAGTTGAAGTGCTAGTAAACTACACTGACAAGCTTGGCCCCTCAGCCCAACCAGAATCCATTCAAAGGTCTCAAGCAAGGGAGCAACATGGCCTGATTTGCAATACCTGCTGCTGTTAGCTTTAGTGGTTTTGAAGCAGTGATTTTGGAAAAATCAATCGAATGATTTTCATTCTGAAGTATTTTGGCTGCTAACTGGGACTTCCATTGTGTGGTCTAAGGTGAGTTACTTTACCTCTCTAGTATCCCGTGTTTTCCTCTACATGGGCCCTTTTAGCTTTGTTTCTCTATGATGCGATTTCTCAGTTGTGTTTGTTTTTTGTTGATAGACACACTTGCTTACAGTGTGACTACACATGCACCCAGGAGTGAATTATCTTTGATTACTTGAAGTTCTGCCCTATCCACCAGCTGGCTGGTCTAAAACCCTTTAAACTCCTTTACTCTCACCATGAGGTCTTGCCTCCCAGTAGGATTAAGCCAGGAGGGCAACCGCGCCTGTCAGGGAGAAGGATGTGGGTTTGCCTGAGTCACTGTGTGTGAGAGTGAATGATGGTTTTAGGAAGTAGCCATAAAGCATTGGGAGAATGGCTGTGAATGGCTTTCATATTCTCTGCTCTGTTTTTGATTACACCAAAGACAGCTTGTTATTGAGTAGCTTATAGCATGTGGCTATGTTTTAAGTACTTGAGTAACACAGTCAAAATAAACCAGCTCACTCTGTTTGGTGAGCAAGTCTAACAAACATATAAAGAACATAAATGTACTTCTTGTAAGTCACAAATATATCTAGAAGTTAAAAGGAAGATCAGAATATGTTAGTTGGTCTTAGAATAAACTTTCCCTTAAGGGTTTGGTTTATAATGTGGGCGTGAAATTCAGTTTTCTTATGAACAATTTTACATTATCGTTAATAATGAACAATTTGTTAAGTATTAGCATCAACAATGTGATATAAATAACACTGTGTGT
This sequence comes from Homo sapiens, assembly GCF_000001405.40. NCBI lineage: Eukaryota > Metazoa > Chordata > Mammalia > Primates > Hominidae > Homo > Homo sapiens. Next base: position 177,835,638 of record NC_000003.12, read on the forward strand.
TTGATGTTGGTGTACAGGTGATTGGTGTACTGAAGAAAGGTAACGATGTATTTATTCAGTGTTGCTATGTATCTAATATAAATTAGGTATTTGGCATAATCAGATGAAAAAACTGTTGCGCAGAAGTTCATTCTATAATGCACAGTTAATTATTGCATAGTATAATAAGTATGGTATAAAATATACTTAATGGAACACAGGTAATGGCATTTAGCCTAGCTTTGTAGGTTAGGGTAAGAGGTAGTTAGCGGTGGGATTGTTACCTGTTTCTCCAATATTCTTAATCATTCAAGTCTAATTCCAGTCTAACTATGCCATATAAAAATCCCAAAGTAACCATGAGAATTTAGACATTAAGGGAAAATGAAATATTTAAAAGAATCCCTTGAATCTGGTCTTGTTGGGTTTCTTTCTGTAAAAATGAAGAGAATGTTCTGACTGGTCACTTAGTCATTCGTTCCTTCACTCAACATGTTCAAGTCTCTATGTTCCAGGCACTCTTCCTGGGCCTGTGGTTACAGAGATAAACAAGACTGACAAGGTCTTGGCTGTCATGGAGCCTAACTTCTAGGGGATCCCATGACTTAAGAACTCTACCTCCTCTCTTACATGAAAAAACAATCTTGTATTAAAATCAGACCTCTGTTAGATCTTGGAACAGTAAAAGTACATCAGTGGAAGAAATGGAATCTGAATAAATTTTGTAGTTTAGTAAACAGTATTGTAGCAATGTTAATTTCTCAGCTTTGATAATTGTATGATGGTTATGCAAAATGTCGACATTAAGGGAAGCTGGGTGAAGGCTCTAAGAAAATCCTCTGTACTATTTTGCAACTCTTCTGTATGTCTAACATCGTCTCAAAAAAGAAAAAAAAATCCTAACACTAAACAAATAAAAAACCTTGGGCCTTGATTATTTTACTTATGTATTTACAATGTACAATATCAGATCCTGTTAGGAAGTTTAACAAAAAATAACCCTGTGGGCAGCAGTGTACGTGAGTGCCAAGAAATGTTGGCTGAACTAGATTATTCACTGAAGATTAATCAAAATATTCCCGTCTTCCACAATTAATTTTGAAGATTCTACATGTTTGGATTGCCACCAAAACAAAAAGTGCCAAAATAGCACTGTCGTACACAGCTTTGTTACCTAAGAGACTGAAATGTAGCTCAAGTGTCCAGCTTGTTTCTTTAATGTGCATTAGGCGAGGCCCACATATCCACAGAAGTCATATAAATGAGCCACTTACAAGGCTTACCAATTCTTGCTCAATACCACAAAGACTGTGTGTCAAAGAGAATGGTTGTAAATTAAAGCTGACACACGGCAGCTGTGACCGTAGTCAGTGTCAAATCCCAGTTTGTTTTCTTGTCTTTCAGATAAGCTCAGTGAGTTGATCAATAAATCCAGATAATTACTACTATTAGAAATGTTAAAAGTGTTTTCTTCTTTCTTGGCCTGTATAATTTCCTCTGGGGTATCATGACTGCTGGTCCAGTCTCACCGGGGTACATATTTCATTCAACCCAGTGACTACCACCTAAGGCACTGTGGCTCAGCCCAACACCCTTTTCCTTGAGTTCACCTTCTTGCCCATCAAATGCCTCTTGAACTGGCCTGGGGCCTTGGCTGTGGCAGCCTGTTTGCACTGCAGAGCGTGGTCTCAGACTTTGGATTGCTCTAAGAATTGTCATTCTCTTCAGGGGCTGAAATCCTCACATTTTAACATCATTATGTATATTTTGTCTTGGATCAAATTGATTAATGAATGATAGATTACCCCAAATCTCGCTCTGGTGTGGAGCTTTCCATCTGTCTTATTTTTTTCAGTGAACATCTTTCCAAATTTCAGCCTCTTCTCCACCCACCCCCCACCGTAGCGCCCTGCCTCCTCTCCATTTGCCTCCTCTTACCTTTCTGCTGTATCTTTTTCCTTATTCTCCTTTTTTGTTCTCCACCAAGTATCTTCAGAGAACCTCACTGTGCCTGGAGCAGAGTTAGGTCCTGGGGACACAAAGATGAATGGGACGCACTCTCTGCTTATCAGGTGTGTACCTCTTGGCTGTCACCCTCTCCTGGCCATGCTCTCCCTGTCCCTGCCTGATGGGGGGTGGGCCTGACTCCTCCTTGGCATCTTCCCCTCTCTCTCCATACACTGTAAACCTCCGTTTACACCAGACAGTCTCTAAGGTAACACACTGATGAGGAATAACTGTCAAACAGCATGAAGATATTTAATGATGGCTTAAAAAGAGCCTGGGAATAAAGTCATATGAGAAATTGGTTACATATTTAATTTAGGAAAGATTGTTACAGTATCAGGGGAGAAAAGGAAGAAAATACATTGCTTCCCATAAAAATGCAGTAAAAGATAAAGCACAAACAGCCCCTCTGTATGTTGAAATATTGTCATTCTGTGATTAAAGGGAAGCAAGGTGTTTTCTGTTCAGCACTTGTGCCAGGGAGGCGTGGGGGAGGGATAAAGGCATCCGGGCTACAAGTTTGAATTTCTAGAGCTCTGAGGAAATTAAAATGCAAACAAAGAATAGTGAGATTCTGAGGCTTTTCAGAGGAGGAGTCCAGTACTTGGTGAGCCAGATGGGCCATGAAATGAACTTAAATTTCAGGCCATTTGACACCTCTCGATTTTCCTCAGCTTGACAGCACTAATAGGAAACAAGGTCACATCATTTTTTTTTTCAATGTACAAAAACTTATATTATGTGTTTTCTACCCCGAGAATCTAAGAAAAGAACCATCTTGCAAATGAGTCAGCCTGGAGTATCCAGATAGCTCAGTCAATTTTTGGCTCTGTGCTTTAGCACATTTCCTTAATGGGGTGGATTGCGCTTGTGTGTAAGGCATCAAAAAGTGGCAGGCATTTCCTAGTCCATCACTCATTTGAGCTACTGAACCTGGAATCAATAAATATTCCATTACTGCATTATTTATGGCCAACTATAAACAATTTCTATCATTAAATCTTTGCCTTTTAGTTGTTCCTCATTAGCAAGGGATCAATTTCAGATCCCAGTCTAGGTCGTGCCCAGAATTAAAGAAGAGCAATGTGTGAGAATGTTTATTCATATACATATTTATATTTTATATTAAAATAGATGCATGATGAAAATTATTTCTGCATCTAATATTTTCATAGTGTTTCAGTTCCAAAAGTCACCTTGAACTTCAGTTCGGATGTGGTGGTGGCTTGGGAAAAGCACTGGACAGCATTTAGACGAGTTTGGGTTCTTACATCTCCAAATCTCCAGTAACCAGCTGTGTGCTTTCAAGTGAATCATTTGCCCCAGTTTCTTCATCTGTAAAACGAGTGGATTAGAATGGATGATGCCTAAGTTTTTCTTTAGGTCGTAAATTCAGTGAATGGAAGAGGATTGTAGAAAGGAGCAGTAGATGACATGTGGGAACAGGGTCATTTGCAAATGTGCAGAATTCGTATTACGGGAGTGATAATGCTGGTCATTGTCTTGAGTCTGAGTGCCCTCTGGGAGATCTGCATTCAGTGATTAACTGTTTTCTTGTATGAGGAGTCATTCTGTCTGGGAGGACATCAGTCTAACCAGAGACGGGAGACTGTCTGTGAGCTGGAGATATTGAGGACATGTTTTTTTGTTTTGCTTTTTGTGAGAATTTGAATGCTTTGGATGGGCTTGCACTATAGTTTACTACAGTTCCCACCACTTGGCCTCCTTTACTCCTGACCTCTCCGCCCCAGAGGTATTTGAATTGGTAACACCTAGTCCAAGTAACTCGGAAGGCAGAGCTGGGCAGTCACTCAGGCAGCAGTTACTGAGCACCTACCATGTGCCAGGCACAGTGGGTGGCACTCGGGATACCAAGGGAGACATGTTGGGTGCAACTTCTCCCCAGCAGAGCATACACGCTAGCGAGGAACATGGAACACATGTCTTTTTACAAACACTTAGATAATTACAAGTGTGCTAAGAGCTGCAAAGGAGCGTGTAGTGTGCTGTGCCTGGGTATAACAGGAGCATCTAATTGAGTCTAGGAGTAAGGGAAGACTTCCCCAAGAAAGGAGTTTTTAAGCTGAGACATAAAATATAAGACAAGACTATTCAATAGAGACTATCAGAGAAAATGTTGGGAGAGAGAGGCAGAACAAGTTCGAAAATAAAGAGGTGATGTCTTGAGCAAGATTAACATGGATTAGCAAACACATCTCTGTGCTTGTTTCTTCGAAATTCATCAATAAAAGACTATGAAGAAAACAAAAAAGGGATTCCTCATCCTTTCTTCTGAAACTCGCTCCCTGCCCATTTAGGTCGGTGACTGATTCATAGATTCTCCCTTACCTGTCTGGCAGCCTAGGAGTTGTCCTTGCCTCTTCTTTGCCATCTCACTGCACAGCTCTCTGGTCTCCAAATCAGTCTCACTTCTACTTTCCTTACGTTTTACTTGCTCCCCTTCTTGTTTCAAAGCCCTCACACCTGTACAATTGATCTTTCCCACTGGAGTCTGAGCTACTGTCTTTGCCCATAAGGGTCCCCATTCCTTATCTAGTTTAGGACACATCTTCCTAAAATACATCCTTACACTGCCTGACCTTTTCAAGAGCTGCCTCTGGTCTCCTGTCATCTAAAGCACAAATGCTCAATCTCTTAATCTTCTGCCGAGAGCACTGAAGCACATGAGAACTTACGCACCTGAGTTCTTCAGTCCGGCCACTCTGGAGTATGCAGATGATGTAGTATCGTGAGTGAGCATTTTGGAAGAGAAAAACAGTGTAGCTACAACAGACGTTTGGAAGAATTACATGATTCTTTAACCCCAGTACTCTAGTACACTAGTGATTTTCTTTCCTATACTGTATATTCTTTTTGTTCATGTGCACATATATGTAACAGATTTTAATTGCAATATAATAGACCCTTGAATCCTGCTTATTATACCTTGTGGTAGATGGTGTTTCTCAAGATAGTCGCAACAAGATTTCCCATTCATCATGCCCTTCCTCCAATATGACATTGACCCTCCTATTCAGAGGAAGGGATGATGTTCTCTCCTCTCGAATCTGAATGGGTCTGTGACTACAGCCAAAGTGATGCGACGTGACTTCTGATTCTAGGTCATAAAAAGTGATCTGGCTCTGCCTGGCTTTCCTGAGGTGCTTGATTTTGGAACTGAGGCACCATGTCATGAGGAAGCAGGAAGCACACATGGAAAGTCCTGTGTAGGTGTTCTGGGCAAGAACTCCAACTGAGAGCTCAGTCTGCAGCTGGCATCAACCACTAGACTTGCCAACATGGAAGCTTTGAGATGACTTCAGCACTAGCTACTAGCCGTCTGAAACCACCCAGAGACAGGGCTGCCCAGTTGAGCCCAGTCAACACCTAGAACTGTGAGGAATAATGAAAAAGCAATTGTTGTTTTAAGCCACGTAGTTTTTGGATGACTTATTATTACAGCAATAGATAACCAGATACATACCTCAAACCAGTAAAATATAGACATAATTGTACATTAGAAATGTACGCTGAGAAAAAATCTCAAAAGGCAAAAGAAAGGCTTTATTACAAATATACCAACATTACTCGTAACCTGGAAATAATGAGGACAGAAACTCAGATGTCCAATTTTTGTTTAGTTTTTATAACTAGGCACATTTGCTTTACCATCTAGCTTGTCAACTCCTTGAACACATGGACTGTGTTTTAAACTTGACATAAGTAGGTTCCTCTCTACTGTATATTTTTTTAACAAAATAATGTATTCTATAAATTTGTTGATGATTCATTTTAATAATTTTTCAAAGGATATTTGAATTATTTTATTTAATCCTTTCAAAGCCTTGTCTGATTTTACGGGTGAAGTTAAGAGCCTTCTAAGGTCATACAGGTTGCAGGGGTAGCACTGTGTCTTGTATGTACTTAGATCTGACTTCAATTCTGGGACATCTTTTACGACACCACGAGGGCTGTTTGTCCTGCAATTTCTTTCTAAGAATATCTGTAGAAACATGATGGATATTCATGCATCTCGAGAGGACTATGTCTTTGTTCTGTAGCTTTGATGTGCTTTCAAATGGCTTTACTGTAGCTTTATAGAAACCAATAGCTCAGAACAGGACTCAAGATGGAAAAAGTGCCCATTGTTCTTGCTGAGGGCTGCATTTCCGGCTCAGTCATAATATGTAAGAAGGGCTGTATCCTACAGATACCCTAAGGATGAAATACAAACATCATCAGTTACTCTGGTATCTTTAATAACTGATCTTTGCAAAAATTGAGAATAAGGGAAGGATAAGGCAAAAAGCACATTCAATGCGGAGTCAGACAGGTCTAGATTTGAAGCATGATTGCCGCATGCCATTTCTATGGCTTCAAACCACAGGGCCTCCCAGGGCCTCAGCTTCCTCACCTCTTAAATGGGAAACACGGTAGTTTTCATCTCATTGGGTTGACAGGAGACAAAGAGATGGTGTATATGAAATACTCTCTAAAATGCCTAGTTCTTAATCCAAATGGAGAATTAGTAGCTTATTATATATAACAGCAAAACAATCATTTTTGTTAAACTTTTTAAAAATATAAGAACTTAAATATCACCTGCAACTATCTAGAGATTCTTATTCCAAGTTTTTGTGTGACTTTGGGTAAATCACTTCACAACTCTGGGCCTCAGGAAAGATTTGGCTAGAGGATTTCCAAGATTCCTATCCTCTGAATTTAAAATTCTGACTTTTAAACAGTTAGTTATATGACATTATGCCATTTGGGGTTTGTTAATCTTCTAATTGGTTTCATTGTAATTACCATTGAGCCATCATAGTTTGTCTTTCAAATACCAAGTGACCTTCTGCCATTCCGGTACTTGATTTGCTGACAGTTGTAAAATGTTTACCCTCTGCAAACATTCATTAGTAATGGTCACAATTTTTACAGTGTCACTGCATTTTTGCAAAGAATCTGATAGCTCCTTTATCATTGTGGTACATCATTCAATTGGAGAGTGAATTTGAGAAAGTGTCAAAGCCATTCTTAAGGGTATGTTGACTTTCTGCTGGTGATATGTAGAACTGTTTGCCTGTTTTCTTATTTTTTTCAGTCTGAATTAAATAAAATTAAAATCACAACTGTCATTTGTGATTCACAGAGGAAATCTGTGATTTGCAAAGGGTTACAACATAGTACTATAAATTTGATATTATCCACATTTACAGAAGGGAAACTAAGCCTCAGTTCGTGACTTGTCACACAAATGCAGTCACGTGTCACTTAACGATGGGCATATGTTCTAAGAAATGCATCATTCGGTGATTTTGTCAGTGTACTTACACAAACCTAGATGGTATAACCTACTACATACTTAAGCTAAATGGTATAGCCTATTGTTCCTGGGCTACAAATCTGTATGGCATGTAACTGTAGTGAATACTGTAGGCAATTTTAACAGAATGATAATTTGTTCATCTAAACATATCAAAGCATAGAAAGGGTAAAGTAAAAATACAGTATTATAATCTTACGGGACTATCATTTTACATGCAATTTGTCATGGACCGAAACATTATGTGACACATAACTGTAAGGAACAAGTAATTTCAGAGCTGAGTCTCTAAGCCTTGTATTGGTTCTTGAAATTGCTCATCTAACTACACCATGTGTTTCTCTGTTGGAGAGAGATTCACTGTCATTGATACACTCTTGGTTGAAGAAAACATTGCTAAGCAATCTCTAAATATTTCTGTTGAATATAAATTAAAATTTCAGAAAAATAAAAATGGGGATACAATGGAGCTGGGAGAAAATCAGGGAAAAAATAGTCTTTAAAAATGACACCTTTCCACAATTAGGAAAAAGAAATAGATTGACGTAGCACTTGTCAAAATTATGGTGAGGCAATCTCAGAGATTGCACAACAGCGGCAAGACCAGGGCCATTAAGAGGAGGTGGTGGGAGTGTGGTGCCTTTGTATTGTCTTCCAACCTTGCAAGCCCCACTCTCTAGCTATTTCCTGTCCAGTCACTTCTGAGCTAGATCCCTACCACCCCAGCCACACCTCTTGTTTAAATATCTGGAAAACTAGAATTTTTTTGTTATTATGGTATGGTAAATCAGAACAATGTAGTGAGTACGCTATAGTGAGTGTAACTGAGTGATACAGGGAAAATTGGCATGGTCAGGGAGGCAGGAGACCTCTCAAAGCTCTAGTTTCCTTTCATTCATCTCTAATGTTCTATGACTGTAACAGTAAAACAGTTCCTAGTGATTAAAGTTAGAATGGAAGTCAGTCCATGAATTGAATGTAAGTCCCGGCCATGCTGCTGAACATACTTAATGTGCAACATCACATCTAGGCTTTGTTGACCCCATTTACTTTGCCAGGAATTAGAAATTAGAGCAACTCATCTCATATGCGATGATACTTACATAAATCAAATACAAATAATGAATATCCTGCCCTCTCATATGTTCCTTCTCAGGGAAGAGCTTTGGAGTGCAACATGGACTTGAGAGTTCAGAAAGGTATGATCAGAGGGAGAGGGAGTTGATTGAAAAATGTGAGTAGAATGAACAATGAGGAAAGAAGAGTAGCATGAAAGAGAGGTTTGTTGAGTATTTAACATGTGTAAGTGTTTTACACACATCATTTCTAGTTTTTTTTAGTAGCTCTGAAAGGAAGATAATTTTATCTTCATTTTACAGATATGAAAGCAGAAGTTCAAACAGATTAAGAAACTTGCTTAAAAACCCTAGAAAGTAATCAGGAGATTAATATTCTTTTATTTTTAGCTTCTTTTTCCATCAGAAGCTAAAAATAGTTGATAGTGTCACTTGGCCTGAGAGTAGGGCAGGTAGTCATCTATTCCCCTTGACCCTCTAGCAGATCTTAGTAGAGACAGAGAAAATATTATGAAACTAAGAATTTTTAAGGGATTGGAAAATCTGAGGATGGGGAACAGACTTTTGGTTTTTGGGGGTCTTTGGCCTCTTGGCATTTTGATCACAGACTGTTGAATTGGAAGCTTTGAGACTTCTTGGAGTGTGAGCTACTTGAACACCTTTGAACTAGGTGGCTATGTCTTTGGAGCTAGAGAAGTTTCTGGGAAGGCAGTCATGCTTGGTTCTGTGAGCAGACAGGTCCAAAGGCAAGGCAGATTGAAACATCTGTTTAAGGGTACTCTCTGCTCAAGGAAAAGAGGGAAGGTGTTGCTCAGTTTACCAGATAGGAAATCCCAGACACAGGACAGATGCTTTTCTCAAAAATAGAGCATTTGCATTACATGGTCCCACTTTTTTACTGTGCCTATAAAAACTGAGATGTGACATGGACTGCATAAAATGAGGAATCCTAGCTATGGCTACATTAAAAAAAATATGCACAGAAGGATATCCAATTATACAGATTCAGGCTATACTGGCTCATGTACACTCTCTATGGTATAATCAACATAACATAGCTATTATATGCCCAGCCATAAGTTGAAATAATTTAATACCCATTTGTCAGATCTATGACACATATTTTAAAATGTGGAATGTTTACCTATTATAAAACTGATCATAAGAAAATCAGAAGACAAGCCACAGACTGGGAGAAAATATTTGCAAAAGACATATCTAAAAAAGGACTGCTATCTGAAATATACAAAAAACTCTTAAAATTCAGTAAGAAATGAACAACTCAACTTAAAAATTGGCAAAAGACCTGAATAGACACCTCACCAAAGCAGATGTATAGATGGCAAATAAGCATAGGAAAAGATGCTTAAAATTGTATGTCATAGGAAATTGCAAAGTAAAACAATGAGCTACTATACCCCTATTAAATTGGTGAAAATCCAGAACACTGGCAAAACCAAATGTAGTGAATATACAGAACAACAGGAACTTTCATTCATTGCTGTCATGAATGTGAAATGGTACAGCCACTTTAGAAGACAGTTTGGTAGTTTCTTACGAAACTAATAATACTCTGATCATACAATACAGCAACTGTACCCAAATAAGTTGAAAATGTATGTCTACACACAAAAACCTGCACACAAATGTTTATAGCAGCTTTATTCATAATTACCCAAACTTGGGAGCAACCAAAATGCCCATTAGTAGGTGAGTGGATAAGTAAGCTGTGGTACATCTTGACAATGGAATATTATTAAGTACTAAACAGAATGCATTATCAAGCCGTGAAAAGACACGAAGGAACCTTAGATGAATATTACTAAGTGAAAAAAGTCAATCTGAAAAGACTACAGGCTGTATGAATCCAATTATATGGCATTTTGGAAAAGTCAAAACTATGGAGAGTTAAAAAAAATCAGCTGTCAGAGATTAGTGGGGAGGGAAGGATGAATAAGGACAGAGAATTTTTAGAGCGGTGAAACTATTCTGTATGATACTCTAATGATGGATACATGTCATTATACATTTGTCCTAACCCATAGAATGTACACTGAGAATGACCCCTAATGTAAACGATGGACTTTGAGTGATAACTGATGTATCAATGTGGCTTCATCCCTTGTAACAAATGCACCACTCTGGTGGGGGGATGTTGGTAGTGGGAGAGGCGGCTGTGAGTGTGCAGGGGAAAGGAGTGCATCCCATTTAATTTTGCTGTGACCTTAAAACTGCTCTAAACATAACATATTTTAAAAATGCACAAAAGAAGAAACAAATCACCCCAAATTTCACCATACAGTGATAATTACCACTTACTTTAGTATACATCTTTATCATTCATTCCACAATTATTCATGAAACACCTACTATATATTGCGGGTTGTTCTAGGCACTGGGGATATAGCAGCGACTCAAACACAGAAAAATCCTTACTCTGTGGAGCTTATGTTGACCTCTCTCAAATAGAGGGAGGGCTCAGAAAATAAGCAAATTATACAGTATAGATGTTAGTAAATGCTACGAAAGATTGCAAGCAAGGGGAATAGGGAGAATATGTAGGAAAGGGGATTCTAGTTTAAATAGAGCATTTAGAGAATTCTCTATTTTTGACATTTAAGGCAAGACTTGAAGGAGGTGAGAAAATGAGCTATGAAGATATTTGAGGGTAAGGTATTTTGGGCAAAAGGAAGAGCAAGTGAGGACCCTGAGGTTTAAGAAACAAGGAGGCAAGTATAGCTGGAGTGTATTAAGCAACCAAGAGATGGTGGAAGGTGTTCATAATGATAAGGGTCAGCCAGATCAAGTAGGACATTATATCCCATGGGGATAATTTGGCTTTTATTAATAACTGGAGTGAGACAGGAAGTCATTGAATGACTTTGAGCAGAAGAGTGATGTGTTCTAACTTATGTTTTAATATGGTGACTCTGGTTGCTATTTAGAGAATGCTCAACAAGGAAGAGGTTAAAAGATGGAGATTAGGCTATTTTAACAACCTAGATGAGCAATATTGTTGGCTTGAACCACAGTGGTATCAATGGAGGTAAAGAGAAGTGGTTACACTCTGGGCATGTTGTGAAAAAAGGGCTGACAGGATTTTTCAGTGGATACGTAGGATATAAACACTAGTGTTGAGTCAAGGATAACTCTAAGGTTTTCTGGCTTGAGTATCTTGAAATATAGAGCTGGCATTAATTGAGATGAGACAGACTTTAGAAGAAACAGCTTTCACGGGGACCAAGAACTCGGGAGTTAGGATTGGGGCATGTTAAGTTTGAGACATTTTCTATCCAAGTGGAGATTTGGATAGATGGATTTAGAAGATAGAAAGAAGTCTAGTCTAGAAATATTTATTTGGGAACTGTGTAGAGTAAATATGTTGTTTAAAGCCTTGAGGCTGGTTGGGATCACCCAGGACACTGGTATTGAGGGGATATTGAAGTACTGATTCTTGAATTCTACAAAAGAAATAAAGCAGAGATGTGAAAGGAATTTCTTCAACTATACACATTTTGACATAATCATCTTCTAACATGGTGTTTAATTTGCTCTGCTTCACTTAGCAATGATATAATGAATATTTCCCATTTTATTATATATTCTACAATATCACTTTGAATGACTCTCTTAAGAGTGTATTATAACACATGAACCTAGCCCCCTATTGTCAAGTCTTTTGAGTTGCTTATAATTTTCTCATATTACAACATTTTCAGTGAATATTCCTATACATGCATGCTAGAATACAGAAGTAGAATTGCAGGATCTTTTGTTGCATTTTTCAAATTTCTCTCCAGAAAATTTATAATAAGAAGTTATACAAGAAAATCCTATTTATTTACACCTTCCCCAAACAAGGTGCTAATAATATTTGTAATCTCCAATCTGTTAGATGAAAATGATTGAATATAAAATTTCATTTTTTCACTTTAGTGTTTTCCTGATTGGTAATACAGTTGAACGTCTTTTTGTTTGTTTGTTTGTGTGTTTATTGGTAATTTGGAGAACATGATTTCTTTTGCTTGTTACTTATGGTCAGTTATAGGTTAAGATGACCACAGAGTACTTTCTACCCACCTCTTCTCTCAGTCCAGCTCAGGTTGGGGTTGGTTGTCCTTAGTGTAAGTATTAGGATCTGATTCAAAGACGATCTTCACCTTTGTATCTCCAGTGAATATGGTTGGTTTTGGCCTTAGGGAGGGCTCTTTTTGTAAGTTTGCTGTTTATTAACTCCACACGTAAACAGTGTACTAAATAGTAAGAGGAATCCTCTGCTAATGTTCTGCCTCAAACCTAAGTTCATAAGTTCAAGAATACAAGATCTTTAAGTCAGACCCAGTCAAAGATTAGTCAGCACAAACATATTGTAATTCTTATATTTATTTTTTCCCTCATTTAAGAAATTGTTAACTGCTCGAGTTCATTCCAGAAAAAGTTAACTCCAGTATTTTTACATATTGAAAAGACAAATCATATTTGGAACTTGGCATATAGTTTCAACTATTTTTATTTTATTTTTTGCCTAAATGTTTCAGGCCTTGGCAAAATGGAAAGCAATCTGTGCCAAGCCTCTCTCTACCTTTATTTTCTAACCCATGTGTATTTTTTTAAAAATTCTATCTGCCTGATTTTTATTCCCTTACTCTTAAATTGTCACATGGAGTTTATTAAGACATCCTGGATGTTCAAAAGAATTTGAGGCTTTCCCCTTTTGATAGAACCAGGATATCTGGATATCTCGTTTTGTTGGCTGTAAATACAACTTGAACCTTAAGAGGATAAAATTCAATCTGAAAATTTCAAAATATTTCAAAATCATGAACTAAGAGAATAACCATTTTGGTGTTTTCTTTTTCTGGTTATTTTTATATATTTGATTCTTAGTTGTTATTTAAAAAAAAGAAAGTAAAGTTTTATAGAAAACATATGGATCAATTATACCCCAAGTCATAAAGACTAACTCAGAATTAAAAATATGAGTCTTCTGATTTTTCAAGAGGCTTCTGAGAAAACTGAAGTGAGATTATATTAATAGCATTTTCAAGAGGCCTATTCCAAGATGCTAACTGACTCTAGTATATACTGACTCTCTTGGAATGATCTAGCTTTTGTGATGTGTTCACAAGTAGGCCAATGAATAAGCAATTTTTCATAAATTTTATTGCCTCAAGCCATTAGTAAGCCTAAGGCACATTTGGAATCATAATAGTTTTTTAAATTTTAATTTAATTATGATGATTACTTGACTATAATATTGCTATTTCTCTATAATTTTATGCTTGAAGAGTCAATCTTTCAGTGAGAATTCTTCATTTATTTACCAAAAGGAAAAAAAGAAAATTATCAAAAAAGATAATCATTCTACCACAGCAATAGTATAAAGCAAAAACCAGGACCAGATGGTGAGAGTGGAGGGACTTTCGTCATCTTCTGAACTCCATGCTGTACGCATCATTCAGTTTTTCATCTTTGCTCTTATTTTCTTTAATTTGCAAAAAGATAACTCTATGGAAATGGTAGTTTTAAGTAACATTTAAACATTGGCTTTTGTTTACTTTTTCTGTTTGAAAATGGCAGCCTAAACACAATTTGTGGTCTGCCTCTTAAGTCCACATATTTAGAAATAATAGAGAAAATTTTTGTTTGTTCATGTCTTTTACTGATTAAATATATAGTTCATGTTCAGAACAACTCTTGGTATATTACAAAATGGGAAAATTCTTAGGAGAAGGGAGACATCATAATCCTGGGAGGAAAGTGCTGAACAAAGCGGATGCAGGACAAGGGTGCTTCATGTAGTTTGTGAAAGCAAAAGGCAAGAGGTAATCCAGGGACAACAATGAGATTGTCTATCTCTAGGTGGGGCAAGGAGCATGGGACTTTCGGGAACAGAGGCAAGGTGGTGCTCTTAGTAGCTAGCTGATGATAACCTGGAAAGGAAAGGAACTCTCATTCTCAGAAGACCAAGCTATAGCATACATAGCCCAGTGGCACGTGGGCCTTTCCCCTGTCCCTATAGATACACACCCAAAGCACTGGGCTATGCAAGTTTTCAGTGACTTGAACCCCTCCCTGTAGACAATGTGGGCAAACAGATGCAGAAGATAATTGAAAAGAGTCATCAACCACAAAATATAGTAAATCTAATTAATATTTAGAGAAATGTAAAGGATAATGCAATAATGTAAAACCAGAATAGACAGTTATAAAAAGAACTAGAAATCTTGGAAATAAAACTATAATTGCTGAAAGTAATTTGCAGCTGGGCTAGAAGAAATACATGCTCATTGTAGAAAGCTGAGAAATTGCTGAAAGTTATTAAAAAGTTAGAAATATCACCCTAAATCTACCATTTAGAGATTACTGCTATTAATATTTGCATATATTTTATTATAGTCATTTTTTTCACATTTTTATATAATTCTTGACATATACTAAATATCGTACTTCTACTTGCTAACCCTCCTCCCCTCCTGGACAATTTAGGAAAAAAGGCAACTTAAGTTGCTGCTAGGTGCCTTTTTCACTAATGTATTTTTTCCATTGACTTTTTATCATAGATCATTTTATTATAATGTCTTAATTTAATAAAGATCCCAAACACAGGGCTTGTGCTTAGCTCTTTAACATTCTGCTGGCTGCTGTGTTGTCTTCTTTTCACATTAAGCTTGGTAAAGATGTGAGCACACACTTCGTCTTTAAGTGTAGAGTGTTAGTTTCATGCTTAATATTTATGACTCTTATAATTACTCTTATAAGAGATCCACTATTACTAGAAACTTCAGCTCTCAGGTTAATAATCCTGCATTTTAATGAGCTCTAGGTAATTATACTTTGAAGTCCAAGACTTCTTTTCAAAAATTGTAAATTGAGTTTCTTTTTTTTATAACTATGTAATTTTAATTTCATGTTGAAGCGCAATGAAAATTTGCACATTATAGTACAACTGTAATTTTAGAGGGAAAAATCAGTAATAGACTAGGTAATTTTAATTCAGGTCACTTCTACAAAGGATATACTGAGAAAAGTCAAAATACGCTGAGAAAAATTTTCTTCAGAGGCTACAGAATTAATCTATTAGTCACCTTGACAATACAGCATACGAATAGGAAAACGTATGGAATGAGCTGGTTTTCTGCTTTATGAAAATGGTTTTGTTAAAGCCAAGTTTCATAAGTGTCAAATGGAAAGTAGATATTTCAATTGCTAGCTTTCCTCCAACCAGGTAACGCAGCCAAATTGACATGACCAGAATCATAGGAACTTTGAGTCTTAAAGTAGGCACATTCTGCTCCCTTTCCTCCATTAAGCTGATTCCCTGCTGCCAGCTGACCTTGCTTATGACAGGTGTCTCTACTTGTACTTTACTGAATCTCAAGGCTTAGTGGCAGGTAAAGTTTCTAGTTATGTAAAATCATGTTAATGCTCCCAGGCAAATTTAAGCTTTTATCTTGGCTTATTTTGACGGCAAGGCAGTTGAATGCCTCCATGCTTCCCTCCCCAAATGTCCAAGCACCTGGCCTTGGAATGAGTGGAGTACTGGAATGAAGAGGCCTTGGAACAAACTCAATATACCTAGGATGATACTACCCTGTAGTGTTGCGTCCTATCAGATAGGAGATTATAAATAACTCAAAGCAGGAACTCAGGCTTAGAGATCTTCCATCCGCTTAGCTCCTGCCACAATATCTTACAAATAATATAGTGGATAAGAGCAAGCTTGTGAAGGCAAGTTCCGACTGTTAGATTCGTGTCTGTAAAACTTGATTGTGTGACCTTAGATAATTTAACTTCTCCAAGTCTGAGTTTTATCTCTATAAAATGGGATCAATAATAACACCTTCCCTACATGGTTTTGATTAAATAAATAATGTAATCTGTGTAAAGTGCTTAGCATCGTAGTTCTAAGTGTTTGACAGAGATTTGTTCTCAAGTAATTGTAGTACTGACTCTGCTTAGAAGTACTTGATGTGTTGAAAATTTATCTTTCTTCAAAAATTTTATGCTCCTCAAGGTTGAACAGTTATCGTTTAGTTAAATAGCATTGACAGCATATTTTCCATATTAGCAAGATTAGTTGGCACATAGGAAAGATTGGGGGAAGTGCATTTTTAACTAGCCAGGCAACTGAAGGCATTCTCACTGATACCTACAATGCAGGATTGGATGAAGATCAGTTTCATAGTAAATAGACCTTGCTTTTTCTATATGAAGCAGCTTATCTCCCTAGACTGTCTGCCAAATAAACATTACTTTGTGAGGTCAAATTCTAAAAGACATAACATATTTTGTTATCTTCCTCTAGAAACATGTGCCTCATTTCCTTGAGCAACCTTGCTATCAGTTCACAGATTATATACCTTTTTGAAAGTTTTTCTGGCAAGAAGAGATTTATTTTATGGAGAAATTAGCTAGAGCAAAAAATTCTACTTAGGCAGTACTGAATATATACATTCCCCTTTTGTTTAAAATTAACCTCTTGTCCCTACTCGTTATATTTATGAGGACTACTACAAGATGACCATAGCTTTGCGACTTTTTTAAACAACTAAAGCTAAACACAATAAAGAAAACCATAAAAAGCAAAGTTTACTCTGTCTCCTGCTCTCTCTGTGATGTGTTTGTAGTATGAATCACACTGGATAACCTTGTCACACTTTTATTTGAAATGGTAGCCTCTTGAATGAACACTCTTTACAGGAATATTATTTAGGTTTTAATTAATAATGAAAAATTCACTAATTCATGGTATCTTATTTCTAATTGTTTATATATTAATTAGGTCATTTAAAAAAACCTTTATTTTCCTAGGATGCAAGGGAAAGCACAAACTTGCAGGTTTATGCAAACTTTAATTAGGCATATAGAAAAACACATTAGCGTTGTAGAAAGGGAAATGTACTTAAGAAAAAACATAACTTTTTAAAAAACTTTTTTAGCTTTTAAAAAATTGTATGTTTGTTTCACAACACACACGGAGGCCTGTTGCGGGGTTGGGGGAGGGGGAGGAAAAGCATTAGGAGAAATACCTAATGTGGATGACGGGTTGATGGGTGCAGCAAACCACCATGGCACATGTATACCTATGTAACAAACCTGCACGGTCTGCACATGTATCCCGGAACTTAAAGTATAATAAAAAAAATAAAAATAACTGTATGTTTGTTTCTTAAATACATTTTCCTTTCTAAAATGCGAATGTTGACCCATTAAGCAATGTCAAGAGAAAGTCAAAAAACTTAAACCACTAGACAATTGGGTCTGTGTCACGAGGAAACTGGAGTGTCAAGCAAGTAACTCTGAGCAAAATCCGTGCTTCACATGAGATTATGCCACAACCTCCACTTTTCTACCAGTTTCCATTACTGAGGCAGGGAGACAGTGTCCATGCAATTTAATGACCAAGTATAGGAAGAAGAATGGCTCTTTCCACATTGGATTTTTCTCTATAAGTGAGAGGGTCCACAATGGCCTTGATAAGAAACAGCTCTTCATTGAGACTTTGCTGCTCTAGGTGGGATGCAGATAGGAGGCTGATGGAGGCAGGACCTGGAGACATATGCAAGTAACAGATATCCTTAAAAGATTATGGATTTCTTGGAAGTCAAGTTCTCATGCATTTTGATCATCATGTGTATTAAACTTTGAACAAGTCCACTATACCACTTTGTCTAGCCATCATTATAATCATTATAATAGGCAACATACTGAACACTTGTGATATATCAGAGACTGTTGTATAACCCACCTAGTTCTTACAAACGTCACATGTAGGTAATCATTATTATCACCTTTGTAGAAGAGGAAACTGAGGCCTAGAAAGTTTAAGTCATAGGTCCAAGGTCATGGAACTAGTAAATGGGGGACTGCATTTCAAGGAAATCTGAATCTTAAGTTAGAGTAAAGATGAAAGCCCATAATAATAATAATAAAAAATCACAGTAGCTACTATTATTGCTTTACGATACTATCTTATATAATCATCGTAAACTCACTAAGAGGTGTTAATCTCACTGAATTATGGAGATAAATAAACAGGGTAATAAAGAATAAATAATTTTCCCAAAGTCCTCTAGCTGGAAAATGAGAGAGCCACTTATGTTTGTCCAATTCTAAAGCTCTTTGTTATACATAGAGTCTTAGAAAATTACTTTTGCTGTCTCTATGTATGCTTGGGGACTAGGTTTTGTCTTCTTCAAGTATTTGAACTTCTGAGTTCAACTCTTTAATTTAGTGAAGCAATTTGCCGCTGGGTATTCTTAGACAAGTTACTCAAACCTCAGTCTTTTCATCTGTGAAGTGGAAATAATAATAACAGAACCTACCTCATCAAATGAAATCATTCTTGTAGAGGTCACAGTTGCTGATACACGGAAGTGCTCAGTCTATGTTAGCTGACTTTGGTATTATTAAGAAAATTAGACACCAAGTAGTATGGTGCTAAAGGAGTCAAATTATAAATGTTCTATAGAAAAACTAAAGCTGTCCCGTAAATCTTTAAAGAAATTTCAAAAATTCAAAACCAAACAAATAGTTTTCTTTAAAATTAGCTTTCCTATGAAGAAAACAATTCTGTACAGCTGAAGAATGGGAATTCTCTTCAAAAGTTAAGAGTTGAGAAGGGAAGGCAAGTCTGACCCTGACTGCGGCAGAGAGATTGTTCAAACAATTGTTCTAAATAGATTATGATCCTTGTGGATGAGGAGGTCATGAGCTGAAAGGAAGACTTTGTAGATAAAGTTTTAGCTAAATTAGAAGAGGCAAGCTATCTCCTGTGATCTTAGAAAGGGAATTTCAGTAACTCAAGACTTTTTGATACTTAAGTAAGCTTGAAGAAATTATTTACATTACTATGGAAAGCAACTAGACATGAATAGAGAAAAACAGACAAAATTCACCTTTTCTTTTTCTTTTGACTTCTTTAATCATTTGTTTAAATAAGACTGGGAAAGACTTCAGTATGCGTGAGACTATAAACACAGAAAAGGAAGATTCTGTGAGAGTGTATATAATTATGCAGTCGCCAGTAAATTTGAAAAAAAAATCTGTTGCTAAAATGTTAAAATAAACTGCATTCTGAAAAGTCTTGATGTATCTCACCCAAGCTATTCAACTTTGTCTCCACACAGTCTTGCCTTTAGTTTGGCTCTTGCATACTTCCCACGACATTCTATTCTCTTTACCAAGAATGTGTTCTGCTCTTGGAACCTGTTCACCAACCCAAAGTTCATCAGTCTTTCTAAGTCAGCTCAATTCTCAATTGATCTAAAAATGTGTGCTTTAATTACTTTAAGCATTTTGGTGAGTAGAAAAAAATGTAGACTCTTAAATAAGACTTGTCTTTGTTCAAATCATGGCTAGGTCATTTTTATTTAACTGACTTGACTTCAACCTCTCTGGTCTCAGTTTTCTCATCTTTGGAATATAGTGCTTTATAGAAATTTGTCATTGTGAAACATAATAATGGTAACTATTTTTATTCTTGGTCTTTTGTTGCTTTATGCTCTTATTACATCTTATTTTATAACTATATAGTTTGGACTTAGGTTTGCAATTCTGGCCATGATAGAATAAGATGTATCAGACTTACCCTTCAAATATTACAAAACTAGAAAAACTACATGCAACGTGTGTTTTCAGTCTTTGCACAATGTATAGCATAGTACTGGGATCACTGACAGAAGGAAAACACATGAGGTAAGCTCCATATTCATTCAGGCTTTCTGCATGGAAGTCCTTACAAAACTGCAGTCTCTGATTGTGGAGCCCAAAGAGAGAACAGTGGTCTTATGAGATATAGAAAATAAAAATTGTAGATGGGGACTGGTGAAGCAGCTGGAATTTGTGGATCAGGGCAGTGAAGAAGAGGGAATGTTTAGAGAAAGAGCTCCAGAAATCTGCACTGGAGCTGTCTTGAGTCTCTGGCTGAATACTAAGATGTGTACATATAAGGCAAGATTCCATGAGGTCTGGTGGAGAATGACTACTGGGATGTGTAAGCTGAGCAGTGTAATTCTAAATATTTCACTGTGCTAAAAGACTCGAGTGAAAGGCCACAACTTAGAAATAGTAAGGATTGGCTGGATGCGGTGGCTCACACCTGTAATCCCAGCACTTTGGGAGGCTGAGGCAGGTGGATCTCTTGAGGTCAGGAGTTCAAGACCAGCCTGGCCAACATGGCGAAAGCCTGTCTCTACTAAAAAATACAAAAAATTACCCGGGTGTGGTGGTGGGCACCTGTAATCCCAGTGGCTTTGGAGGCTGAGGCAGGAGAATCGCTTGATCCCAGGAGGCAGAGGTTGCAGTGAGCCGAGATCGCACCACTGCACTCCAGCCGGGGCAACAGAGAGAGACTCCATCTCAATATAATAATAATAACAACAATAATAAAGAAATAGTAATAGTAAGGATGTAAGGATTCCTCTGGACCCAACCTACCAAAATCTATAATTAAGCCTAAGTGGGACCAAAATAATCCACGAGTAAATTAATTGGCTAGTAATGCAAAACTTAAGACTTTCTAAAGATAAAATAAAAATCTAGAATCTCAACAACATTTCTAGAAGAAGCAGGAAAATGTGACATATAACCTGGAGAAAACTAATCAATGGAAATAAATGTAAAGATATTACAAATATTGACACTGACAACTATTCAAAATAGCTATGTTAAATTTATTTAAGAATTTAGAAGAAACTACAAAACACTGCTGAAAGAAATCATAGATGACACAAACAAATGAAACACAACCCTTGCTCATGAATGGATACAATCAATATTGTGAAAATGACCATACCGACTTGATCATTGTGGATAACCTTTTTGATGTGTTGCTGGATTCCTTTTGCCAGCATTTTATTGAGGATTTTTGCATTGTTGTTCATCAGGGATATTGTCCTGAAGTTTTCTTTTTTTGTTGTGTCTCTTCCCAGCTTTCGTATCAGGATGACGCTGGCTTCATAAAATGAGTTAGGGACGAGTCCCTCCTTTCAATTGTTTGGAATAGTTTCAGAAGGAATGGTATTAGCTTCTCTTTGTATTTCTGGTAGAATTCAGCTGTGAATCTGTCTGGTCCTAGGATTTTTTTGATTGGTAGGCTATTAATTACTGCCCCTATTTCAGAGCTTGTTTTGGTCTATTCAGGGATTCGACTTCTTCCTGGTTTAGTCTTGGTAGGGTGTATGCATCCATGAAGGTATCCATTTCTTCTAGATTTTCTAGTTTATTTGTGTAGAGGTGTTTATAGTATTCTCTGATGGTAGTTTGTATTTCTGTGGGGTCAGTGATGATATCCCCTTTATCATTTTTTATTGTGCCTATTTGATTCTTCTCTCTCTTCTTCTTTATTAATCTAGCTAATGGTCTATTTGGTTGATTTTTTTCAAAAAACCAGCTCCTGGATTCATTGATTTTTTGGAGGGTATTTCATGTCTCTGTCTTCTTCAATTCTTCTCTGATCTTAGTTATTTCTTGTCTTCTGCTAGCTTTTGGATTAGTTTGCTCTTGCCTCTCTAGCTCTTTTAATTGTGATGTTAGGGTGTCTATTTGAGATATTTCTAGCTTTCTGATGTGGGCATTTAGTGCTGTAAATTTGCCTCTTAACACTGCTTTAGCTGGGTCCCAGAGATCCTGGTACATTGTCTCTTTGTTCTCATTAGTTTCAAGGAAGTTCTTGATTTCTCCCTTAATTTCATTTTTTGCCCAGGAATCATTCAGGAGCAGATCATTCAATTTCCATGAAATTGTGTGGTTTTGAGTGAGTTTCTTAATCCTGATTTCTAATTTGATTGCACTGTGGTCTGAGAGACTGTCATGATTTCAGTTCTTTTGCTTTTGATAAGGAGTGTTTTACTTCCAACTATGCGGTCAATTTTAGAATAAGTGCCATGTGGCACTGAGAAGAATGTATATTCTGTTGATTTGGGGTGGAGAGTTCTGTAGACATCTACAAGGTCCACTTGATCCAGAGCTGATTTCAAGTCCTGAATATCCTTGTTAATTTTCTGATAGTGGGGCATTAAAATATCCCACTATTATTGTGTGGGAGTCTAAGTCTCTTTGTAGGTCTCTAAGAACTTGTTTCATGAGTCTAGGTGCTCCTGTATTGGGCACGTATATATTTAGAATAGTTAGCTCTTGTTGAATTGTTCCCTTTACCATTATGTAATTATCTTCTTTGTATTTTTTTTATCTTTATTGGTTTAAAGTCTGTTTTGTCAGAGACTAGGATTGCAACCCCTGCTTTTTTTTGCTTTCCATTTGCTTGGTAAATTTTCCTCTATCCCTTTATTTTGAGCCTGAGTGTGTCTTTGCATGTAAGGTGGGTCTCCTGAATACAGCACACTGATGGGTCTTGACTTCTTATCCAATTTGCCAGTCTGTGTCTTTTAACTGGGGCATTTAGCCCATTTACATTTAAGATTAATATTGTTATGTGTGAATTTGATCCTGTCATCATGATGTTAGCTGGTTATTTTGCACATTAGTTGATGCAGTTTCTTCAGAGTGTCACTGGTCTTTATATTTTGGTGTGTTTTTGCAGTGGCTGTTACCAGTTTTTTCCTTTCCATATTTAATGCATCTTCCAGGAGCTCTTGCAGGGCAGGCCAGGTGGTAATGAAATCCCTCAGCATTTGCTTGTCTGGAAGTGATTTTATTTCTCCTTTGCTTATGCAGCTTAGTTGGGCTGGATATGAAATTCTGGATTAAAAATTATTTTATTTAAGAATGTTGAATATTGGCCCCCAATCTCTTCTGGCTTGTAGGGTTTCTGCTGAGAGATCTGCCGTTAGTCTGATGGGCTTCCCTTTGTAGGTGACCTGGCCTTTCTCTCTGGCTGCCTTTAATAGTTTTTCCTTCATTTTGATCTTGGAGAATCTGATGATTATGTGTCTTGTGGTTGATCTTCTTATGGAGTATCTTAATGGTGTTCTCTGTATTTCCTGAATTTGAATGTTGTCCTGTCTTGCTAGTTGGGGAAGTTCTCCTGGATAATAGCCTGAAGTGTGTTTTCCAGTTTGTTTCCATTCTCCCTGTCTCCTTCTGGTATTCCAATCTACCTTAGGTTCTGTCTTTTTATGAAGTCCCATATTTCTTGGAGGCTTTGTTCATTCCCTTTCATTCTTTTTTCCTATTCTTGTCTGCATGTCTTATTTCAGGAAGGTGGGCTTCAGATGCTGATATCCTTTCATCTGCTTGGTTGATTTGGCTATTGATGATTGTGTATACATCACAAAGTTCTCACACCATATTTCAGCTCCATCAGGTGATTTATGTTCCTCTCTAAACTGGTTATTCTAGTTAGCAACTCTTCTAACCTTTTATCAAGGTTCTCAGCTTCTTTGCAATAGACTAGAACATGCTCCTTTAGCTCAGCATAGGTTTTTATTACCCATCTTCTGAAGCCTACTTCTGTCATTTCATTCATCTGATCCTCCATCCAGTTCTGTGCCTTTGATGGAGAGACGTTGTTATGATTTGGAGGAGATGGTCTTTTGGGTTTTTAGTATTTTTTCATGGATTCTTTTTCATCTTCGTGAGTTTGTCTAGTTTTGGTCTTTGAGGCTGCTGACCCTTGGATGGGGTTTTTGCAGGGGTCTTTTTTGTGTTGCTGTTGTTGTTGATGCTGTTGTTGTCACTTTCTGCTTGTTCAGTTTCTTTCAATAGTCAGGTCCCTCTTCTGTAGGGCTGCTGCATTTTGCTGGGGTTTCACTTCAGGCACTTTTCATTTGATTCACTCCTGTGCCTGGAGATGTCATTCAAGGAGGCTGGAGAACAGCAAAGATGGGTTCCTGCTCCTTCTTCTGGGATCTTTGGCCTTGAGGGGTACCAACCTGATGCCAGAGGAATTGCTCCTGTCTAGGGTGTCTGACAACCCCTGTTAGAGGGTCTCACTCAGCTGGGTGGCATGGGGAGCAGGACCTGTTTAACAAAGCACTTTGTCCCTTGGTGGAGAGGGTGTGTTTTGCTGGAGGGAAACCCACTCGTTGGGCCACCTGGATTCCTCAGAACTACCAAGAGGAGAGGCTAAGTCAGCTGGTCTGCAGAGACTTTGGCCACCCCTCCCCCTAGGGGCTCAGGCCCAGGGAGATCCGAATTCTGTCTCTGAGCCTCTGGCTGGAGTTATTGGAGTTCCTGCAGGGAAGTTCCACCCAATGAGGAGGGATGGGTCAGGGTTAAGCCTGAAGAGGCACTCTGGCTGCTGATTGCCAATAGTGGGTGTGTTCAGCTGTGGGGACAAGCCTTGGGACCAAATTGTCTAGCCTCCCTGGCTCCAGCAAGGGAAAAGCGCAGCCTGGAGCTATAGAAATGGGTGCCGCCCTTGCCTCGCCCTGGAGCTTAGTGTGTTAAGCAGTTGGGATTCCCAGTGCTGGCTGCTGCCCCTCCGCCAAGGAGCTCAAATGGCTTAGCAGGCAGCTGCAGCTGGTGCTGGTCGCCCCTCCCACCGGGAATTGGTAGGCTTAAGTAGATTCCAGCTGAGAGTCTTTAAGAATCTGTGCATTCTGGGGTTGGGACGCTAGGCCCAGGTGGCGTGGGTCTGCAAGTGGGATCTTCCCACCCTTGAGTTGCACAGTTCCATGGGAAAAGCAGTTTCCCTGGCTGGGTAGTGCACTAACTCACCACCCACCTTGGCTTGGGGGAGGAGGTTCCCCTTTCCCGGTGTGGCTCTCAGGTGGGCCCCACACCACACTGTTCTTCCGAATTCTCTCCATGGGTCAAGCCAGCCTTCTAGTCAATTTTGATGAGAGAAGCTGGATACCTTGGTTACTGGTGATGATTTTTTTTTTTTGATGGGAGCCTCCGAACACCACTGCTATAGTTGGCCATTGTGGCCCCTTTCCCCCGTGTTTACATTTTCATTTGTCTCAAGATATATTAAAATTTTCTAATTTCTTTATTCACCCATTGGATGTTCAGGAGCATGTTGTTTAGTTTCCATGTATTTATAATTTTTCTGAAAAAGTTCTGTTATTGATTTCTAGTTTTATACGATTGTGGTCAGAAAAGATACTTGATATGATTTCAATCTTAAATTTGCTAAGGATTGTCTTGTGGTCTAACATATGATCTCTCCTAGAGAATGTTCTGTGTGCATTTGAAAAGACTCTATCCCTTCAGATCCTTGAATATTCGCTTTACATATTTAGGTGCTCCACTGTTGGGTGTATATATATTTACGATTGTAATATCTTCTTGATAAATAAGTCCTTTATTATTACAAAATGTCTTTTTTTGGTCTACTTTTACAGTTTTTGACCTAAAGTGTATTTTGTCTGATATAAGAATTGCTACTCACACTCACTTGCAGTTTCTATTTGCATGGAATATCTTTTTCCATCCCTTCACTTTCAGCCTATGTGCATCCTTAAAAATGAAGTTTCTTGTAAACAGCATATAGCTGGCTTTTCTTTTTTTTTAATTCATGCATTCACATGATATCTTTTGATTAGAATATTTAATCCATTTCCATTCAAGGTAATTATAGATATGTGGAAACTTTCTGCTGCCATTTTGTTAATTATTTTCTGATTGTTTTGTCCCCTTTTCCTCTCTTGCCATCTTCCTTTAAGACTTAATAATTTTCTATTTCCTATGGTGATATGTTTTGAATCTTTAATTTTTGCTTTGGTTATCATGAGAATTTTATAGAATATCTTACATTTATAACAGTCTATTTCAAACTGAAAACAGCTTAATTTTGATTGCTTACAATTCTTCTACACTTTTATTCCCCCCCTCAATTTTATGTTTTCAATGCCTAAATTTACATTCTTTTGTAATGTGTGTCCCTTGACTATTTTAGCTATAGTCATTATTAATAATTTCTTTAATCCTTGTTCTAGAGATAAAATTACTTTATATACCACCATTATGGTCCTGAGTATTCTACATATTGTCTGTATTACTTATACTATTAGGTTTTGTGCATTTGTAAGTTTTATGTTATTAATTAGGAGCCTTTTGTTTCAGTTTAAAGACCTCCCTTTAACAATATCTATAAGACAGGCTTGTTGGTGAAGAACTTCCTAGCTTTTGTTTGCCTGGAAAAGTTTTTATTACTCCCTTATTTCTGAAAGACATTTTTGCTGGGTAAAGTATTCTTGTTTGGCAGTTTTTTCCCTTTAATATTTAAAATACATCGTCTTATTTTTAAATAGTCTGCAGGGTTTTTGCTGAGAAGACTGCTGATAGTCATATTGGGACTTTTTTGTATGCAATGTATTTCTTTTATCTTTTGTTGCTTTCAGAATTTTCCTTTTGTCTTTGATTTTTGCCAGTTTGATTATTATATATCTTGATAAATTCCTCTTTTGGTGTAATTTAATTTGTGACATCTGTACTTAGTGTACCTGAATTTTGGCTTTTTTTCCCTGATATTAGGAAGTTTTTATCCATTATTTCCTTAAATATGCTTTCTGGCCCTTTCTCTTTTTCTTCTCCTGGAATGCTATTAAGCATAGATTAGGTCTCTTGATGGTTCCCATAATTCCTATGGGCTATCTTCATTCTCTTCCATCTGTTTTTCATTTTGCTTCTTGATTGCATAATTTCAAATGATTCATCTTTGAATTTACTGACTCTTTAGCTTGATCAAGCTGGCCATTTAAGCTTTCTATTACATTTTTTTTTCCAATTCAGTCATTGTATTCTTCATCTCTAGGATTTCTATTTGTTTTTTTAAAAAATTAGTTCTATTTTTTTTGTCACAGCTCATGTGAAAAGAAATATGGAAACAATTATTTTCCAAATAATTTAATTTTTTATCTTTATATTCCTGAAGCTCACTAAACTTTATTAAAAAGGATTATTCTGAATCCTTTTCCTGTCATTTTTAAACTTCCTTTTTATAGTGGTCCATTGTTGTAGCTTTGTTAGTTTTTTCTGGAGATGTCATGATATCCAAAGTCTTTGAATTCCCTGTGTTTTTGCATTGGAGTTTATGCATTTACAGAAAAGGTCACTTTTTTCAGCTTTTACAGGAGTTCTTGGCAGGTAAAAACCTTCACTAATTAGTCTAGATAATGATTCTAAATAGGCCAGTGGGTCATAACCCTGGAAAGCACAGCTTCCTTTCAGATCCTCTAGATGGCTAGGCTGCTGCCTTTGCTATGAAGTCAGGTGAGGCACCTGGCTAGTCTCTGCTATTTGGCAAGACCACAGGCTGAACTCTGCTATCAGGCTGGGCTGCTATATAGGCACTGCATCTACTTCTGATTTGGGTGAGCCACAGGCCATATTCCTTGGCTAGAGGTACTGATATTTGAGTTCAGCAGTTGGACAGGGTTGCAGGAGAGGCTCCAGGGTTAAGTGAATCAGAATGGATGAACCAACTACTATGCTCAGTAAAAATCCAAGACTCAGATTTGCCTCCTTCCCTGT
This sequence comes from Homo sapiens, assembly GCF_000001405.40. NCBI lineage: Eukaryota > Metazoa > Chordata > Mammalia > Primates > Hominidae > Homo > Homo sapiens. The sequence goes on from NC_000003.12 coordinate 177,863,406, forward strand.
GTAGGCTCTGGGGGAGCACATTAAACTTCTGGGCATGGGAAAACAGTGCCTATTTGCCCAACTGCAGTGGTTCAGACAACTGCAGTGGTTGTCTTCCTTCTTAGGTGGGGTCTGGTGGTAGACTTTGAGGCTGTGGGGAACACTGATTAAGCTCTTAGATATGGCAGATCTAATACCTTTTTGTTGTGGAAATTTGCTTGTGGTAGATCTCCGTCCCTGGCCAGAACCCTGGGGTAGGGTCTGAGGCTGGGCCTGGAGGTTAACCATCTAGGGATTCAAGCCAGATAGCACTTCCAACCACTTCTGAGAGTGACCAACTCAGCTCTGCAGGTAGGCTATGCTATTAGCTAGTACCCCTGATTGAATACCACTGCTTGATATATTGAGCTTACATCAAAATCTGCATGCTGGTCTCTGTGAGCAATACCTCTTTGCTTTGTTTCTATCTGACCCTAGGTGGTCTAGCTGTGCAGTTTCCTCCTATATTTTCTGTTCCCCATGAGGAAAAATGAAATGGGTTTCCTGGGAAGCATCTCAGTATGTTAAAGAAGCTGGATGTCTACCACCCAGGTTCTCTTTCCCCACTGTAGAAACCATGAGCCCTGGAGGATCCTCTCTGTGTGGGACTGTGCCAACTTGGGGGAGGGAGAGGGGTGACATGGTCAAAGTGAGACCATTTCTCCTACTTTTTAATGCAAATTTTTATTCAGTTTCATAAGTCATGCAGGTGATTCTGGCTTATTCCCACATGTTTGGGTTTTCATCAAGGTGTTTTTGTCTGTGGGTAATTGCTAGTTAGTATTTCTGTGGGGAGAGTGAAGCCTGCAACATATTATTCCACCATATTGCCAATGTCACTCTCTCCCCAGTTCTAAATGTTTATGCAACTCATGACAGAACTTCAAAATACATGAGGCAAAAGTGGATGGAATTAAATGGAGAAATAGACAAATTCAAAATTTGACTTTTGTATTTTAATAGTCCTCTCTTAGTAACTGCTGGAACAAGTATACAAAAATAATCAATGAAGATACAGAGATTTAAACATAACTAATAAAATGAACATAACTAATATTTATAAGAAATTACACTAAACTCCTGCTGAATACACATTATTTTCAAGCAAATGTAGAACATTCATAAGATAAAAACATGTGCTATTTTATGTTTATAAAACGAGATAGGTCATAAACCAAGTCATAAATTTAAAAGTATCTTTTTTTCACCACAGTGGAGTGAAATTAGGAATTGATTAAAAAATCCTCAAAAATTTACAAACATTTCTAAATTAAGAAACACACATCTAAATAGCCTATTTATCAAAGAAGAAATCAAGAGTAATGTAAAATTTTTAAAGTAAATTATAGTAAACCAACAACATATTGAAATTGATAGGATGCCATTAAAATAATGTTCAGTGGGAGTTTTACTGTTTTAACCTAATCAGAAAACGGCAACGAGATACAATCAATCCTGTAAGTTTTACCTTAAGAAACTAGACAAAGAAGAAAAAATTAAACACAGTAAGCTGAAGAAAGAAAATAAAGATAAAATAAAAAAATCAATGAAGTGGTAAATAGACAAACAATAGAAAAAAAATCAGTGGAACAAAAAATTGGTTCTTGGAAAAGATCAATAAAATTGAAAAACCGCTGGCTAGACTGTTTAAAGAAAAAAGAAATAACACACAAATTGCAATTGTCCAGAATTAAATATGAGGCAAATCTGCAAATCTTATTGACATTGAAAGGATAACAATAGGATATTATAAATAATTTTTGAATAATAACTATAATAACTTAGATAAAATAAAAATATCTTAGAATATATTACTTACCAATACTGGTACAAGAAAAAAATCAGGAAACCTGAGTAGATCTATACATATCAAAGAGATTTAATCTATATTTAATAACATTCCCACGAAAAACTCCATTTTCAGATAGCTTCACTTGTGAATTCTATCAAATGTAAGAAAATGTAATGACTACCTTAACTAACTCAAAACACAAAGCAGTCAGATCTGGCAAGATGGCTAAATAGGAAAAGCTCTGGTCTGCAGCTCCTAGCGAGACCAATGCAGAAGGTGGTTGATTTCTGCATTTCCAACTAAGGTACCCGGCTCATCTCATTGGGACTGGTTAGATAGTGGGTGCAGCCCACAGAGGGCGAGCAGAAGCAGGGTGGGGCATCACCACACCCAGGAAGTGCAAGAAGTGGGGGCCTCCCTTTCCCAGCCAAGGGAAGCCATGAGGGACTATGCTATCCAGCCCAGATACTACGCTTTTCCCATGGTTTTTGCAACCCACAGACCAGGAGATTCTCTTGTGTACCTACACCACCAGGGCTCTGGGTTTCAAGCACAAATCTGGGCAGCTGCTTGGACAAACATCAAGCTAGCTGCAGGATTTTTTTTTCCCCCCCGGTGACTCCTGGAACCCCAGCAAGACAGAACTGTTCACTCCCCTGGAAAGGGGGCTGAAGCTGGAAAGCCAAATGGTCTTGCTCAGCAGGTCCCACTCCCATGGAGCCCTGCAAGCTAAGAACCACTGGCTTGAAATTCTTGCTGCCAGCACAGCAGTCTGAAGTTGACCTGGGATGATCGAGCTAGTTAGGGTAGGTGCATCCACCATTACTGAGTCTTGAGTAGGCAGTTTTCCCCTGACTGCTAAAAAGGCCTGGAAGTTCAGACTGCGTGGAACCCAACACAGTGTGGCAAAGCAACTGTGGCCAGAGTGCCTCTCTAGATTCCTCTTCACTGGGCAGGGCATCTCTGAAAGAAAGGCAGCAGCCCCAGTCAGGGGCTTATAAATAAAACTCCCATCTCCCTGGGACAGAGCCCTGAGGAAAGGGGCAGCTGTGGGATCAGCTTCAGCACACTTAAACTTTCCTGCCTGCCGGCTTTGAAGAGAGCAGTGTATCCTGACAAAGAGGGTTCTCCCAGCACAGCGCTCAAGCTCTGCTAAGGGACAGACTGCCTCCTCAAATGGGTTCCTGACCCCCATGCCTCCTGACTGGGAGAGATGTCCCAACAGGGGTTGACAGACACCTCATATAGGAGAGCTCCAGCTGGAATTAGGCTGGTGCCCCTCTGGGATGAAGCTTCCAGAGGAAGGAGCAGGCAGCAATCTTTGCTGTTCTGCAGCCTCCGCTGGTGATACTCAGACAAATAGGGTCTGGAGTGGACCTCCAGCAAATTCCAGCAGACCTGCAGAAGAGGAGCCTGACTGTTAGAAGAAAAACTAACAAACAGAAAGCAATAACATCAACATCAACAAACCAAGGACCCCCCTCCAAGAAACCCCATCCAAAGATCATCAGCCTCAAAAATCAAAGGTAGATAAATCCAAAAAGATGAGGAAAAACCAGTGCAAAAATGCTGAAAATTCCAAAAACCAAAATGCCTCTTCTCCAAATGACTGCAACTCCTCTCCCGCAAGGGCACAAAACTGGACAGAGAATGAGTTTGATGAATTGACAGAAGTAGGCTTCAGCAGGTGGGTAATAACAAACTCCTCTGAGGTAAAGGAGCATGTTCTAACCCAATGGAAGGAAGCTAAAACCTTGACAAAGAGTACAGGAACTGCTAACTAGAATAACCAGTTTAGAGAAGAACATAAATGACCTGATGGAGCTGAAAAACATAGCACAAGAACTTCGTGTAGCATACACAAGTATCATAGCCAAATCAATCAAGTGGAAGAAAGGATATCAGAGACTGAAGATCAACTTAATGAAATAGACATGAAAACAAGATTAGACAAAGAAGAATGAAAAAGAATGAACAAAGCCTGCAAGAAATATGGGACTATGTGAAAAGACCAAACCTGTGATTGATTGGTATCCCTGAAAATGATGGGGAGAATAGAACCAAGTTGGAAAACACACTTCAGGCTATTATCCTGGAGGATTTCCCAAGCTAGCAAGACAGGCCAACATTCAAATTCAGGAAATTCAAAGAACACCATTAAGATACTTCTCAAGAAGAGCAACCCCAGGACACATAGTCGCCAGATTCTCCGAGGTTGAAATGAAGGAAAAAATGTTAAGGGCAGTCAGAGAAAGGTTGGGTTACCTACAAAGGGAAGCCCATCAGACTAACAACAGATCTCTCTGCAGAAACCCTACAAACCAGAAGAGATTGGGACCCACTATTCAACATTCTCAAAGAAAAGAATTTTCAACCCAAAATATCATATCCAGCCACAGTAAGTTTCATAACTGAAGGAGAAATAGAATCCTTTTTAAACAAGCAAAAGTTGAGAGATTTTGTCACCACCAGGCCTACCCTACAAGAGGTCTTGGAGGAAGCACTAAATATGGAAAGGAAAAACCAGTACCAGCCACTGCAAAGACACACCAAAATATAAAGACCAATGACACTATGAAGAAACTGCATCAACTAATGTGCAAAATAACCAGCTAGCATCATGATGACAGGATCAAATTCACACATAACAATATTAACCTTAAATATAAATGGGCTAAATACCCCAATTAAAAGACATAGACTAGCAAGTTGGATAAAAAGTCAAGACCTATCAGTGTGTTGTATTCAGGAGACCCATCTCACATGCAAAGACACACATAGGCTCAAAATAAAGAGATGGAGGAATATTTGCCAAGATAATGGAAGGTAAAAAAAGGCAGGAGTTGCAATCCTAGTCTCTGATAAAATAGACTTTAAACAAACAAAGATCAAAAAAGACAAGGGCATTACATAATAGTAAAGGGATCAATGCAACAAGAGAAGCTAACTATCCTAAATATACATGCACCCAATACAGGAGCACCCAGATTCATAAAACAAGTTCCTGGAGACCTACAAAGATACTTAGACCATAACATCACTGTCAATATTAGACAGATCAATGAGACCAAAAATTAACAAGGATATTCAGGACTTGAACTCAGCTCTGGGCCAAGCAGACCTAATAGATATCTACAGAACTCTTGACCCCACATCAACAGAATATACATTTTTCTAAGCACCATATAGCACTTACTCAAAAATTGACCACATAATTGGAAGTAAAACACTCCTCAGCAAGTGCAAAAGAATGGAAATAATAATAAACAGTCTCTCAGACCACTGTGCAATCAAATTAGAACTCAGGATTAAGAAACTCACTGAAAACCACAGAACTACATGGAAACTGAACAACCAGCTCCTGAATGACTACTGGGTAAATAATTAAATTAAGGCAGAGATAGCGAAGTTCTTTGAAGCCAATGATAACAAAGCAACAGCATACCAGAATCTCTGGGACACAGATAAAGCAGTGTTTAGAGGGAAATTAATAGCACTAAATGCCCACATCAGAAAGTGGGAAAGATATAAAATCGACACCCTAACATCACAATTAAAAGAACTGGAGAAGCAAGAGCAAACAAATTCAAAAGCTAACAGAAGACATGAAATAACTAAGATCAGAGCAGAACTCAAGGAGATAGAGACATGAAAAACTCTGCAAAACATCAATGAATCCAGGAGCTGGTTTTTTGAAGAGATTAACAAAATACATAGACCACTAGCTAGACTAATAAAGAAGAAAAGAAAGAATCAAATAGATACAATAAAAAATGATAAAGGGGATATCACCACTGATCCCACAGAAATACAAACTACCATCAGAAAATACTATAAACACCTCTATGCAAATCAACTAGAAAATCTAGAACAAATGAATAAATTCCTGGACACATACACCCTCCCAAGACCAGAAAGATATCGAATCTCTGAGTAGACCAATAACAATTTCTGAAATTGAGGCAGTAATTAGTAGCTTACCCACCAAAAAAAGCCTGGGACCAGACGGATTTACAGCCAGATTCAACTCAAGATGGATTAAAGACTTAAACAAATTCTACCTCTGTCCAGCATCATTCTGATTCCAAAACCTGGCAGAGAGACAACAACAATAAATTTCAGGCCAATGTCTGTAATAAACATTGATGCGAAAATCCTCAATAAAATACTGGCAAACCGAACCCAGCAGCACATCAAAAAGCTTATTCACCATGATCAAGTTAGCTTCAGCCCTGGGATGCAAGGCTGGTTCAACATACACAAATCCATAAACGTAATCTATTACATAAACAGAATCAATGACAAAAACCACATGATTATCTCAATAGACGCAGAAAAGCCCTCCAGTAAAATTCAACATTTCTTAATGTTAAAAACTCTCAAGAAACTAGGATTGATGGAACATATCTCAAAATAGTAAGCGCTATTTACGACAAATTCATAGCCAATATCATACTGAATGGGCAAAAGCTGGAAGCATTCCCTTTGAAAACCAGCACACGACACGATGCCCTCTCACTACTCCTATTAAACATAGTGTTGGAAGTTCTGGCCAAAGCAATCAGGCAAGAGAAAGAAATAAAGGGTGTTCAAATAGAAATAGAGAAGTCAAATTGTCTCTGTTTGCAGATGACATAATTGTATATTTAGAAAACCCCATTGTCTCAGCCCAAAAACTCCTTAAGCTGATAAACAACTTTGGCAAAGTCTCAGGATACAAAATCAATGTGCAAAAATCACAAGCATTCCTATACACCAATAACAGACAAGCAGAGAGCCAAATCATGAATGGACTTCTATTCACAATTGCTACAAAGAAAATAAAATACCTAGGAATACAACTTACAAAAGATGTGAAGGACCTCTTCAAGGAGAACTACAAACCACTGCTCAAGGAAATAAGAGAGGACACAAACAAATGGAAAAATATTCGTTGCTCAGGGATAGGAAGAATCAATATCATGAAAATGGCCATACTGCCAAAAGTAATTACAGATTCAATGCTATTCCCATCAAGCTACCACTGACTTTCTTCACAGAAATAGAAAAAACTACTTTAAATTTCATATGGAATGAAAAAGAGCCCATATGGCCAGGACAATCCTAGGCAAAAGCAACAAAGCTGGAAGCATTACACTACCTGACTTCAAACTATACTACAAGGCTACAGTAACCAAAACGGCATGGTACTGGTACCAAAACAGATATGTATATATAGACCAATGGAACAGAACAGAGGCCTCAGAAATAACACCACACATCTACAACCATCTGATCTTTGACAAACCTGACAAAAACAAGCTGTGGGTAAAAGATTCCCTATTTAATAAATGGTGTTGGGAAAACTGGCTAGCCATATGCAGAAAACTGAAGCTGGACCCCTTCTTTACATCTTATACAAAAATTAACTTAAGGTGGATTAAAGACTTAAACGTAAGACCTAAAACCATAAAAAACCCTAGAAGAAAACCTAGGCAGTACCATTTAGGACATAGGCATGGGCAAAGACTTTATGACTAAAACACCAAAAGCAATTTTAACAAAAGCCAAAATTAACAAATGGGATCTAATTAAACTAAAGAGCTTCTGCTCAGCAAAAGAAACTATCATCAGAGTGATCAGGCAACCTACAGAATGGAGAAAATGTTTGGAATCTATCCATCTGACAAAGGTCTGATATTCAGAATCTACAAGGAACTTAAACCAATTTACAAGAAAAAAACAAACAACCCCATCAAAAAGCGGGTGAAGGATATGAACGGACACTTCACAAAAGAAGATATTTATGTGGCCAACAAACATGAAAAAAAACTGATTATCACTGGTCATTAGAGAAATGCAATTCAAAACCACAATGGGACACTGTCTTACTCCAGTTAGAATGGCGATCATTAAAAAGTCAAGAAACAACAGATGTTGGTGTGGATTTGAGAAATAAGAATGCTTTTACACTGTTGGTAGGAGTGTAAATTAGCTCAACCATTGTGGCAGACAGTGTGGCCATTCCTCAAGGATATAGAACCAGAAATACCATTTGACCCACCAATCCCATTACTGGGTATATACCCAAAGGATAATAAATCATTCTACTATAAAGACACATGCATACATATTTTTATTGCAGCACTATTTACAATAGCAAAGATTTGGAACCAACCCAAATGCCCATCAATGATAGACTGGATAAAGAAAATATGGCACATCTACACCATGGAATACTATGCAGCCATAAAAAAGGATGGGTTTATGTCCTTTGCAGGGACATGGATGAAACTGGAAACCATCATCCTCGGCAAACGAACACAGGAACAGACAACCAAACATCACATGTTCTCACTCATAAGTGGGAACTGAACAATGAGAACACATGGATACAGGGAGAGGAGCATCATACACTGGGGCCTGTTATGAGGTCGGGGCCAAGGAGTGGGAGAGCATTAGGACAAATGCTTAATGCATGTGGAGCTTAAAACCTAAATGACAGGTTGATGGTTGCAGCAAACCACCACGGCACACGTATACTGATGTAACAAATGTTCACATTCAGCACATGTATTCCAGAGCTTAAAGTAAAATAAAAAATAAAAAGCAGAATGTGAAAAAAAGCAAAGAAGTCAAAATTTTTCAGCTAAGTTAATGAGGTCAATGTAACCCTCATACCAAAATAATTGAAAAAACATTATGAAAAAATATATTACAGATTAATATTTTTCATGAGCATAGAGATAAAAAATTTTTATCAAAATGTTAGCTAGTCAAATCCTACCATATATAAAAAGCATAATACATCATGACTAAGTGGATTTACACTAGGAATGTAAGAATCATTTAATATTTTTAAATGATTTAATATATTTCTTCATGTTAACAAAATAAGGGAGTAAAGTCTTGATCATCTCAATAAACAACACTGGCAAAATTCACGGCCTATTTAAGATTAACATAAATAAATAAATAAATAAATAAATAAATAAATAATCTCAGCAAACTAAGAATAGAAGGCAACTTCTTCAACTTAATGAAGAATATTTTTGAAAAAACCTAAAAGTAGCATCATGTTAATATGAAAGACTTGATTACCATAAGATCCGGATAAGGAGAGCATATCTTCTCCTACCAATTTTATTAAACATTTGTAATCAGGATCTTCTCTAGTGCAATAAGGCAAAAAAAAAAAAAAAAAGTAAAAGTTTTGCACATTGGAAAGGAGAAAGTAAAATGTCAGATAACATAATCTGTGTTCATAACAATTCAAAGAAATCTACAAAAAAGCTACTAGAACAAATGAGTTTAATGATGCTGCAGGATACAAATCAATATTTGAAAATCAATTGTAGTTTTACATTTCATCTATAAAACCATGTCATTTACAATTGCATAAAAACTATTTTGTGATACATTTAACAAAGTATATGCAAATCCATGATTTTAAAAGTATAGTACTTTGCTAAAGAAAGTGAAATGTTTTATAAATTAAATAAAGATTAACTAAGTAGGGAGATATACCATCTCCATTAATTGGAAGATTCAATATTTTTAAGACATAAATGATCCCCAAATTGTTCTACAGATTCCATGCCATTGCAATCAAGATTGCAGCAGCTTTTTCCTTCTTTTTTATTTTGGTAGAAATGGACTGATTTTAAAACTTATATACCCTGAAAACAGCCAGAATAATCTTTTTTTTAATTTTTTTTTTTTTTTTTTTTGAGACGGAGTCTCGCTCTGTCGCCCGCTAATTTTTTTTTTTTATTTTTAGTAGAGACGGGGTTTCACCGTGTTAGCCAGGATGGTCTCGATCTCTTGACCTCATGATCCACCCGCCTCGGCCTCCCAAAGTGCTGGGATTACAGGTGTGAACCACCGTGCCTGGCACAAAATAATCTTTAAAAGATTTACAGTACCACATTTACACTATCTCAAGTCTTGCTATAAAGCTACAGTAAGAATACTTACAATGTCTTCATTTGTAATAGCCCAGAATAAGAAATAACTCATACATCCATCAACAGAAGAATGAGTAAACAAACAGCAGTATATTCATATAATGGAATATTACTCAACAATAAAAAGAACTGATATAGGCAAAACCAAGAATAATCTCAAAGGCATAGTGCTGAGCAAAAAAAAAAAAAAAAAAAGCAAGCTATAAAGAGTGCATACTGTATAATTCTACTGATATGAAGTTCTAGAGTACATAAAATATAGAATAGTATAAATCAGAGCAGTGGTTGCCTCTGGCAAGTGTGGGGGTGGGGATTGACTGAGATAAGGCGGGAGGGAAATTTCTGGGGTGATGGAAAAGTTTATATCTTGTTAGGAATGTGGTATTTACACAGGTATATGCATCTGTCAACATCATCAAACTGTATACTGTATGTAAATTATATTTCAATAAATAATCCATTTTTAATTTGAATAAATAGATACTACTCTGTATTTTTGTGTGTTTTTAAAACAAATATTGCTTTGCTTTTAAGTACACGCATTTAAAAAATAGGCTAATCCCAGAACTTTGGGAGGCCTAGGCGGGTGGATCACGATGTCAGGAGTTCAAGAACAGCCTGGCCAAGATGGTGAAACCCCGTCTCTATTAAAAATACAAAAATTAGCTGGGCATGGTGGCAGGTGCCTGTAATCCCAGTTACTCAGTAGGCTGAGGCAGGAGAATTGCTTGAACCCAGGCGGCAGAGGTTGCGGTGAGCCGAGATCTCACCATTGCACTCCAGCCTGGGCAATAGAGTGAGATTCCATCTCAAAACAAAAAACAGAAAACAAAAACAAACAAAGAAACAAATATACAGGCTAGTACCTAGATGTCTTGTAGGTATTCAAGGCACATAAGCTGTGTGTCTATATTTTAGCAAAACTGGGTTCACAGTACATAATTGCAAAGTAAATCCTTGTTGATTGATAAAAAATTTAAAAATTGTCTTTTGCATTATGTAGAATTTTATTAGAAATGTGGGTTAGTGAGGGAGGATGGGTTGGAGTAGCAGTTTTAAACATGTTAGCAAGACCTTCACAAATCCCAAGAAATAAAAGTAGAGCAGGAAGATGCGGTCTTTTTACCAGGTGACAGTCATAATATTTGTAAAATAGGGTCATATCTTAACCATGTTGAATTTTTCTGTGTTTAATAACACCTAGCAGAAAGTTTAGTGTATATTTGAGGAATTAAAATAACCAATTTTCTATGGCAAACCCCATTTAGCAAGATCAAATTTTATACTTTAACTATTTTTTCAAATGTTCTTTTTTGTGTCCCAAAACAAGTTATTCAAAACATAAATTGACCCCCAAAAGGAATACATGAGTTTGAAGTAGGGAGATTCAAATTACATATTGCTAAGAAATACTTTCAGATAACTTGGTTTCTCAACTCAAGGAATATGCTTCTAGCTTTTCTTCTTCTTCTCCTTCTTCTCCTTGTTCCCCTTCTTTTTCTTCTCTTTCTCCTTCTTCTCCTTCTTCTGCTTCTGTTTCTGCTTCTGCTTCTCTTCTTCTTCTTTTTTTTTTTTGAAATCTTGAAGGAATTAGTACCTATTTCCATGGAATTAGCCCAATTTTCTTCCTCTTCCTGGTATTGAGTATGCTATGTTAAAATAAAGAGGAGGCTGGGCACAGTGGTTCATGCCTGTAATCCCAGCATTTTGGGAGGCTGAGGCAGGTGGATCACCTGAGGTCGGGAATTTGAGACCAGCCTGACCAACATGGAGAAACCCTGTCTCTACTAAAAATACAAAATTAAGTGGGCGTGGTGGTGCATGCCTGTAATCCCAGCTACCTGGGAGGCTGATGCAAGAGGATTGCTTGAACCCGAGAGGCGGAGGTTGCAGTGAGCCGAGATTGCACCATTGCATTCCAGCCTGGGCAACAAGAGTGAAACTCTTTCTCAAAAAAAAAAAAAAAAAAAAAAAAAAGAAGAGGAAAGAGATCTCAGGCATGGATACACAGGTTCATGTTGGGAATGGCTAAAAGTAACACTGGTTAGCAGGTTTGAAGTTACTTCCAATTCTCTTTCTCATTCATTCAAAATGTTCATTGGGGAATGGTATAACAAGACAATGTGCTCAGTGCTAGTCATAAAAATGAACAAAGGAAAGTTAGTACCCTCTAAGAGATCCACAGGCCAGTGGAAAAGACAAAATGAATAACTGAATACATAACTGAATATATGATTATAAGCATACTCCATTCTATTATTGTTTATAAATTAATTTCTGTATTAATCATTATAACCATATACAGGGCATCTGTCTGGTGTTTTACAGATGTTGTTCTATTTGTACCTTCAAAGTAGGTGTTATCCTAATTTCAGAGCAGTGGAAACCAAGGCTTAGAGAGGATATACCACAGACATGTCTAGGATGTAGTTAAGATTTGAACTCATTCTGTCTGACTTTCTAGTCCTCAGTCTTTCAACCAGAGCCCTCTACCATCTAAGACGGACTTTAGCCAAACTTTTCAGCCTGCAGTATGAATGCATAACTTTGTAACCATGCCCAGGGTAAAAAACTTCAAAGGAGCTTGAAACTGATTTTCCCTTGTTTTGGTAATTTGTATTTTATTCTTTCTTAAACTCGGATAAATAAATAATCACCAAACACACAGAGGAAAAAAATCAGATTTGTTTTGTGTTAGCCATATGTTTCCATTTAAAATATCATGTTGGGAGAGGATGGTGGTTAGGAGCAGCAGGCATGTGGTGATTTTGCACATAATGGCACATGCTGGGTCTGTGTTCTGACAGGAAGTTTCAGCTTCTCTTTGAAGCTGTGCTTTCTACTTAGTGGAGTCATGCAAAGGCTTTCTTTGTCCCAACTTCAATTCTATAGCAACCAGAGTAGATGATTGGCCTGGGCACTAAGAGCCTCGTGCACAATTTAGTGTTGTAAACGTGTTGGCTCTCTGCTATGCTGAAGAGACTGAGCTAGCTGCTGGGAGGGCTACAGTTCCTTGGTCCCTTGCTATCCTGTAGCTTGCTTTCTGGTGGGGGAAAGCCTCCTATGACGAGGGATATATTAAGACTAAGAGAAGTCAGAGCATAATGCTCTAAGAGCGTGACCTCCAGTAATCTCAAAGGAGTACTAATTGTCAAGGGGAAGCTCACTTTCAGGCAGAAGCATGAAGAAAGGAAAGCAAAATTTATTGACTGTACTATGCAATATTGCTTACTCCTCAACACAACAATGTGAGGGATGTGCACTTCTTGTATTTTTTTTTTTTTTTTTTTGAGATGGAGTCTCACTCTGTCACCCAGGCTGGACTGCAGTGACACGATCTCTGCCCACTGCCACCACTGCCTCCCAGGTTCAAGCAATTCTCCTGCCTCAGCCTCCTGAGTAGCTGGGATTACAGCCACCATACCCAACTATTTTTTAAAAATATTTTTAGTAGAGACAGGGTTTCACCATGTCAGCTAGGCTGGTATCGAACTCCTGACCTCAAGTGATTTGCCTACCTCGACCTCCCAAAGTGCTGGGATTATAGGTGTGAGCCACCATGCCTAGCCTTGTATATTTTTTGTTTAAAAAATGAGATAAGTGTAACTGAAAATTAAAAATGTGTTAGAGCATATACAATGAAAAATAACTCCTCATCTCACTTCAATCTCTTAGTCTATCCCCAAGAGCAAGCAGAGTAAAAGATTCCTGTTTATTTTCCTGGTAATATTCTAATTAAATGTATGTGCATTTCATTGTATGCATCCTTTATTTCTATACAAATAAGAGTACACTAAATACCCTGTTCTGGACCTGACAGTTTTCCCTCAACAGCATATCCTAAAGTACTTTAAGTGACAATAGGTACATATGGCTTCACCTGTATATTTTTGTTTGTTCGTTTGTTTATGGCTACATAGTTTTCAATATATACGTTGGATTTTTGACAGACCAATAAATAGTGTCCCTCTATCTCTGCCCCCTTCCCATGGGTTCTGAAGAGTTTGAGAAGGAAAACAAATAGTTGGCATAAGGAGGCCACAAATTTAATTTTATTGCAGATAGAGGCAAGACTAGAAGTTAGAGTTTTGTGTGAATAGTCAAGCAGGCTTGTTATTACTGAAGCTGTGTATGTAGATCTTGTTGTGTAGCCTACAGCAGTTCCCAAAATGAAAAGTACAGTTGGGACAAGATCTACCAGTCAGATAAGTGATACCACCTTCTCACAGGTGGAGTGAGTCAAGGGCAAAAGCAAGATCATCAGGGTGCTTTAAAAACTCCTTTGCACAAAAACCTGAATAGAGTAGAAGGTACTCCTCTCTAACTGTATAGGCGGAGAGCATCCTTATTTAGCTAGTCCCCTGTGGATGGTAGTTTAGGTTAGTTCCATTCCTGCTACTGAGCATGCATTTTTGTTATTCTTTTTCTTTTCTTTTTTTTTTTTTTTTTTGAGTCTCACCCTATCACCCAGGCAGGAGTGCAATGGCGCAATTTTGGCTCACTGCAACCTCCACCTCCCGGGTTCAAATGATTCTCCTTCTCCTGCCTCAGCCTCCCAAGTAGTTGGGATTACAGGTGCCCGCCACCATGCCTGGCTATTTTTTGTATTTTTAGTAGAGACGGGGTTTCACCATATTGGCCGGGCTGGTCTCGAACTCCTGAGCTCGTGATCCGCCCACCTCAGCCTCCCAAAGTGCTGGGATTACAGGCGTGAGCCACCGCACCCGGCCTGTCATTCTTTTTTTTACAGAAAAAGAAACTGTGGTTCTGTGAGTTTAAGTGTTCATGGTTACACAGCTAATGAGAGGGGGAGTCAGAATTCTGATTCACATCTGACTTCAATTCCAGGGCTCATCATTTCTCACATCCTCTACTCACCCAATTACTAGCATCTGTATGGAAAATCAGTAAGAGTCTGAGTCCATTTTTACTAAATCAGTAACAGTCTGAGTCCATTTTTATTAAATCTTCTTATTGTTTTCCTCATAATCCCCATGTGAGGCAGTTGAAGCAGGAGTATGGTCTCTATTTTCTAGAAAAATAAATGGAGATTCAAAAAGGTTGTTACTTCTTTACTTAACATCACTAGTTAATGGCCAGGTCTAAGACTCAACCTCCTTTCACTTCAGACCCTTCTCCTGTATGTCAGAGAGCCTTGGACTAGCCAGTGAAATATGAATGCAGACCAAGGGATTAGTGTTATCGGTGGCACGTTGATGGGAAAGAGCGGTGTTTGCTCCAGGAGTGACAAGGAGTCTCCTTTCAATGATATCTAGATTATATCCTTTTTAGGCATCTGTGTTTGTGGTCTGTGTGTCAGAGCTTCCTGGGAAATGTCTAAAATGTAAATTCCTAGACTTCACTTAGACCTACAGACTATATGGAAAGAAAACCTGGAATCTGCATTTTAACAAGATACCTAAGATATTCTGATGGAAGTTAGTCTATGAATTGGGATGGAAGAACCCTGCTTTGAGGAATTTTAAAAAGTTTTGTTTTTTGGTATATAGTAAATGAGTCATAATCAGAATTGTGTCTTCAGGCAGTGTGTTATTGTGGAAAGAACATGGGCTTTGGCATTAGCTAAACTTAAATTGATTCCTCATTCTGCCATTTATTAGGTGGGTGAACTTGGAGAAGTTATGAGTCTCACTGAATCTCAGCCAGCTCACGTACATCACAGGTCTGCAATGAGGATTAAATGAGATGATGTATGTTAAGAGCCTGCCCTCAGGCTCTACAAATGTGACTTCCTCTCCATTTTGTTTTCTTCTAGTATTTTTTTCAATAATCTATCTCATCTTCTCCACCCATGATCACTCTGAAAGCAGTTTCTTGGTTTTATTTATCATCTCATTGCTATTACTTATGGTCCCTGCTATAGAAAAAAAGGACAGATGCCCAGCAGGGTCAGGTTTTCTTTAACCAGACTGCTGCATGCACAGGCCTTGTTACTCTACTCGTTCTGTAAGATCCATGGAGGAAGATAAGCAAAGCGCGTTTACCATGTGCCTTCTCAGAGGACATGTACATTTGTTAGTGAATTCTGAGTCATTAACAAAACGTTGCCTTAAAATGGTTTGCATTAAAATGAAATTTTACTTGTGTTCCTTAAATGTCTTGGAATGTGCTGGGACTGCTGTAGGCAAGCTTTGGAAGCAGGCCCTTCTCATTTTCCTGTTACCTTCCATCTCTCTGGGTTCAGTGGGCTTCAGTGTGTTCAGCAGCTACCAGGGCTCACCTAAGCAGCATTTAGGATCTTTCCTTTCTCTTGTTACAGCTTCAAACCTGACAGCTCCTGTGTGCAACCCCCTTAGCATCCTCTAAGGAACACAGTGGCTTACACCTGTAATCCCAGCACATTGGGAGCCCAAGGCAGGAAGATTGCTTAAGTCCAAGAGTTTGAGACCAGCATGGGCAACATAGCAAGAATCTATCTCTACAAAAAAAAATAAAAAATTAGCCAAACCTGGTGACATACATCCGTGGTCCTATAGCTACTCAGGAGGCTGAGGTAGGAGGATCACTTGAGCCTGGGAGGTCGAGGCTGCAGTGAGCAATGATTGTACAACTGCACTCCAGCCTGGCCGACAGAGCAAGATCCTGTCTCAAAACAAAACAAAACTAACAAAGACAAAAACCATGAAACAGTCCCAACAAGGGTGTTCATTCTAATCATAACTTGGTATGGTAATTGCCTGCCTTTTGAAAAGAGCCTTTATAAAAAGTAAAACAAAATGAAAGAAAACCACTGAAATTTTGTATATCTTAGCAGCTTTAGGACAACATCATGGAAGAGGGTAAAGTTCCAAAAAAATAATAATAATAATAATAACCTTTTGAGGGAGTGCATAATCTCGAGATGGGTGAGACTTGCTTTACAAACATATTCATGTCTTTAATAGACAGAAGAACAAGATACAGGAATAGAAAGATAGGAACATTCTTATGGAAACAGTGTGAGGAAATAGTCTACATCACAATTAGACTATATATATGATAACAGATGTGAACCTAGTGCTGTAAAATTATACTTTTAATTTTGCAAACTTCAATGTGCAATTAACCTGAATTTTTACCTGATAGAAAAGTGATTTACTTACCATGAACAATCACTTTAAAAGAAAAAACAACAAAGATAAAATACACTTATAAAACTTACTTTTCTTTCTTATGACAAAGGCAATACACATTTTTAGTTGAATATATAGAAAATATTTAGAAAATTTAGAATAAAAGAAGAACATAAAAAGTACAGCACCCCAAGATCATTACTGCTTACATTTTCATGTATATCCATCGACTCTTTTCTTCTATCCATGTAGTCATACTTGAGAGAGTCAAAAATGGAATCATAATATACATATTTTTCTTTTGCTTAAAAAAATACAGCATATGCCAGTGCTTCTCAAATGGTAATGCATGTAGAAATCATTTGGGGAACTTTGTTAAAATGCAGATTCCTATTCAGTAGGTCTGGGTGGGACCTGGAATTCTGCATGTCTAACAAGTTCCTGGGAAGCACATGCTGCCGGTCGCGGGAACACACTTGGAGTAGCAGGTGTGTACCCCATTACATGTCATTACTGATTCCTTACCAAGTTATTATTATTATTTGAGATGGAGTCTTGCTCTGTCACCCAGGCTGGAGTGCAGTAGCACAATTTCGGCGCACTGCAAATTCTGCCTCCCCAGTTCAAGCAATTCTCCTGCCTCAGCCTCCCAAGTAGCTGGATTACAGGAGCATGCCACCACGCCTGGCTCATTTTTGTATTTTTAGTAGAGATGGGGTTTCACCATGCTGACCAGGCTGGTCTCGAACTCCTGACCTCTAGTGATCTGCCTGCCTTGGCCTTCCAAAGTGCTGGGATTACAGGCATGAGCCACTGTGCCTGGCCTTACCAACTTATTTTTAATC
Organism: Homo sapiens; assembly: GCF_000001405.40. Taxonomy (NCBI): domain Eukaryota; kingdom Metazoa; phylum Chordata; class Mammalia; order Primates; family Hominidae; genus Homo; species Homo sapiens. The sequence goes on from NC_000003.12 coordinate 177,881,080, forward strand.
ACTGCAAATCTTCCATTATACAATGTATGTATCTCAACACTGTCATGAAATTGGCTAGTTAAGTTTACTCCTTTGCTCTTATTATACCAGAAAAAAAACTATGATAGACATTTTTGGGGTGAGAAATCTTTACACATGTCCATTGACATTTCCTTAAGGGAATTTTCTTGAAATGGAAGTGCTTCATCAGATTTATTCAGAATTTTAAAAACATTTAATACACACTGCCAACTAGCTCTTAGGAAGAAAACAATGCAGTTTTGAAAGGTACACATTAACCAGTTAGTTACATTACCTTGACCTGAAATTTCTTTTGGTTTGTTGTTTCCATTTCCATAATAACCCCACTGAGTTCTCTTGTATCTTTTTTAGTATTCTATAATCGATGTTTGCTCATGAGGATGTCTGCCCCAAGCTGGCCAGACTATTAGCCTGAATGCTCAGCACAGCACTAGACGCTAAAGAGATGAGAGAAGGATGAATAGTTAAATGGAAACATATGCCTTTCACTAGATAAATACTTCTTTAGAGCACTGTAGTGGAGGCAGTATCAATTTAATTTCTGACACATTAGACACTTTGACCACTAATTAAAACCTAAGCATGAAAAATTACTTGCTGCTTCTTATGGAAAATAACCCACAACATCCTTTGGCGTTAAACTATTTCCTAAAACTCCCAAATCTGTGCATAGCTGGCCAAAGTTTTAAAACTACATGCACCAACACCGGTGGGCTGTTATTATTATGCTTAAGGTTTTATTAGTGGCATTACATAATAATGCTTTTGTAATATTTTGATATAATATAGCTCATCATATAATAATTCTCATATAATATTTTGCAAATCCATCCCACACGGACCATGTTTTTATTTATATTTGTGGTATTTTATTCATCATGATTTTTTGTATTAATTTTGATTTTTAAAAATATCTCCTTAAATGTTACTTGGACCCCTTAAGTCTTGCACCCAATATGACTGCCTGACTTGCTTTACCCTAGTTCTAGTCCTAGAAGTTAACTGTAACTTAAGATTTTTGAGCAGTAAGATGAAAGTTATAACTTAAATTTTATACAGGTAATATCAAGTAATATCACTTAATCAAATAACATTTGCTTTAATTTTTACTGGTATAGTTAATTATTTTTCTTCTAGGTGTTACTATGTAATCAAGAACATATTCAAGTCACTGTACCTGTGGGCGTGGTATGAAATATGCTTGCTTTTCGTAGGCAACAACAGGGGACGTTTTGAGTCAGGGAGCTATTCATACCAATACTTTCCTTTATCCATTCAAAGTTCTTCCTTTTGTTCAATTACTAATTCAAAAAATACCCTTTGATTGCTGTTGTGTGATAGGAACCATGACAGGTAAATGCTATGTATGAATAAAAATGAGTAAAACATAATGTTTACCATCAAGTTGTTCCACGTTTGCTAGTGGAGGGACACAGTCCGTATGAAGATCAAATTAAACCCAGAGTTTAAATGGGACCAGAGAGGAAAGATGGGGACACCTGGAACACAGGAAAGATGTGGTCATGCCTAAGTTGTCTCTTCAGGAGTGAATTTTGTGCATGTGTTACACTCACCACACGCCACCACACACACCCCCACACAAACACACACAGAGATGCATTCTTTAGAATTTAGCCCATAACCATTGCCTTGGGAAGACTTAGATGTTTTGGCCAATGTACATTTAATCTAGGTCAAATTTTGCAAAACAAAACATGGAGTGCATTTGTTTGAGCAGGGGAATAATGCTGTCTTGGTCTTGAAGCCCATATGGCATCATGCATAGATTGAGAATCATCATGTCTGCTGAATTATGTTATCACTGACTTCAAAGTTTATCATTGATGAGCAGCAGCTGTTGCCAGGAATAGTAAATCACATCTTGCATTTTTATAAGAAATGGTATCATGGCTTTTCTGAATAACTGATTTTTAATAGAAGGCATAAGTCATCACTACACTATATATAGGAAGGGTATAGATTTACTTATTCATTTTTGACAATTTTATTTGATTTCAAAATATTTCATTGAATGTTCACTATGTGCACATGAATAAGCTTAAGTCCCTATTTTTAAGGAGCTTAAAATCCATTTAGGAAAAGGACATGTCTGTAACTAGAGTTTAAAGCCCAATGTCGTATGTGTTGAGTACAGATACAAATCACTTGGATGGGAAATGAGTGGGAAAAACAAAAAGCTCAGGCCAGAACTAGGGAAGAAAAGAGGACTTTGTAGAGAAGGGAGCATTTGGCTCGAACTTTGTTGGCTGTGCAGGATTTGTTTCATTTAGGTGGTAAAACACTGCAAGGCATTTGATGCCAAGAAGATAGGATGGGCAAGAAAATTATGAAGGTAAATAAATGCCAGTTTGGGGAATTGGGAAGTAATTAGGCATTGCTATTGATCAGTGCTTCTCAACCCTGGCTGCACACTGGAATCATCAGGAGAGTCTTGAAAATACTGGTGCCTGAGTTTAACCCTCAGAGACTCTGATTTAATTGGTTTTTGGTATGGCTTATGCATCAGAATTTTTAAAAGTTCCCCAAATTATTCTCATATGCAGCCAGGGTTGAGAACTTCTGCTGTAGACTAATAACTTAGCCTGGTTCTACGGGAGGTAAGGCAGGAAAAAAAAAAAAAAAAAAAAAAAGGAAAACAGAACATGCTTTTCCTGTGCTGAAAAAGAGCAGAGAATTTAAAAGAATATTCCTATTAGTTCATGTGGAAAATGTTAAGAGTCAGGGATTCTCATTTACATTTACAAATGAAAAAATGAGCTAGTCAAAGAAGGCTTGAAACTAAGGTAACATGACCGGTCTCTAGAACTCATCGTGAGAAAGGACAGGGTTTGAGGATAAGGAGAGAAAACTTTGATTACAAGAGTAAGAAAATTATAATGAAAAGAGGAGTCAGCAGTTTGGCTCTTCATGTTTGTCTTTGGCTTGAATTGGAAAGTATGGAAACTTCATCTAAAACTAGTCTTTTTTTTTTTTTTTTTTCCTTTCATCAACTACCAAATGTGTATATGAGAAAGGGCACACACAAAGGGAAGTGAATAAAGTAGGGCGGGTGAGCTTTACTCAGAATAGATGAAGGGGAAGTACACAGCCACTGTGATATCCTTTCTCACCTTGAATTGGTCTTGTAGGCACAAGGCTTCCTGGATTCTTGAAAAATTCCTACCTTCTCACCATTCAGGTCTTGTTAATTCTGCCTTCTTAATTCAGTAGTGACTCCTACATTCTGTCAGATGATAGCCTTCTTTAGGAAACAAAACGAAACCTGCTCATCCAAAACTTGGATAAATACGCCGGGTGCACTGGCTCACGCCTGTAATTCCAGCACTTTGGGAGGCCGAGGCGGGCGGATCACTTGAGGTCAGTTGTTTGAGACCAGCCTGGCCAATATGGTGAAACCTCATCTCTACTAAAAATATAAAAATTAGCTGGACGTGGTGGCACATGCCTGTAATCCCAGCTACTCAGGAGGCTGAGGCAGGAGAATCCCTTGAACCCCAGAAGCGGAGGTTGCAGTGAGCCAAGATTGCTTCATTGCACTCCAGTCTGGGCATCACAGCAAGACTCCATCTCAAAAACAAACAAACAAACAAACAACAACAACAACTTGGAAAAATAAAATTGAATCTTCTTCTTCAAAAAATATATATACTTCCAAGCCAGTGTTTCTCAACTTTTGGGATTATTCTAGCACTCAGACATGCTTCAGCCATGACATGCTCACCCATTCCCCACTGCAGTTACAACTCTTCACACTGCATTGTGTGCTCTTTAATGGTCCCAGTGGTCATAGTTGTTTTGTTTTATTTTCATTGCCTAGCACAATGCCACACATATATTCAATAAATGTAATACTTTTACTTCTAGGTTCCAAACAAGACCTTGTTTCCATGGACTTGTAATACCTAAATAAAGAACAAACTCTTGTAACATTTAATTTTCATTAATTTTCTGTCTTTCCATATTCCATAGTGTCCTCCCACTTCATTCTGGTTTTCACCATAAAAGATTTAGTTTATAACAGTTTTTTTTTTTTTTTGTGGTAGTAAATATCTGAATTTTTTTCCCTTCATTGTTATCTTTAGTGAACGGCTCTTGCAGGAAGTTTATCAGTGTCAACTCACTCATCTGCATCTGAAACGTTCGATGATGGATTGTCACTCAAGGGAACCATTATATTTCCATACGTAGAGAAGTTCCTTTGCCAATCACAACAAAATGATACAATAACCGTTAATACAGAAAGAATGAGTATGCCTCTACCTGCTCTTATCTTACTGCTTCTCTTTAGGTCCTACTCAGTACTTCCTTTCTAAAGAGACAGCTTCCTAATTTCCCTACCTCCTAATGTATCCACTGTCTTCCCTCTCCATTTCCTTCAAATACATAACTGCCAGATACATTTTTCTTAACTAGAGGTATGATAGTCATTTTCTTACTCAAATCTTTCAGTGGATCTCTATTTCTAACTCAGATGTGTCCTTCTGACTTGGATATTTGTAAAGAACTTCACGCTCTCGCCCAGCTTTCCCTTCCCGAAGCTTGTCCTGCTCACCTTTACATGAGGCTCCAGCTTATTGTGCCTATTAGGTGCACTTTCAATACAGCACATTCTTTCCTGCCACCTTGGCTTTGTCTTAGCTACTTCCTTCCTATGAAATGTCTGGATTCCCATCAATAGAACATTAACTCATCCTCAAGGTCAGTTCAAAATCAGTTCCTTCATGAGGAATTCCCCAATTCCTGTAAATAAACATGATCTCTCCCTTCCTAATCTCTCCTTAGATTAGGAAATCTCAGTTCTGAGAAATAGAACTGTCTTTCTGTTTCTCTCAGGGTCTTCCGCTTGGCTTGTTTTATAAATATCTATAGCCTACACTATCTCCTGAGATGATAAAGGCCTTGAGGAAATGGTAGGTACATTTGGTACCTACCTTGAGGAAATGGTAGCAACACAGTAGGCATGCCTCAAGTATTTGAGACATGTTTCCTTAAAGTGTAGTGAAATATTAGGGCTTAGGGGGATAAGTTATATTCTTTTACATTCGAAATATTAGAAAGGAAGCCTAATGGGAAGGCAAAGAAATTACCTAATATAGGGCTTTGTATTCCTATAATTTTGAACTCTAAAATCACTATGTTTTTCCTTGCACCAGCCTTCACCTCCCTACCCCCATATACACACTCACATATGTACACACGGGTATAGAGGGGACTTTTGGTCTGCATAAAAGATAAGCAGACTAACTCACTATGATTATTCTGAATCAGATAAAAATATGTAACACCCTTGACATGAAAACAGTCTTTGGTGAAGAAGAAAAACTTCATTAACGGTTCTTTAAAACAGTTATAATCCCTTTACTATGCTACTTTGGAAAGGAAATATAAAACAGTATGATTACATATTTAAGAAGAAAACTATAATGTATTTCAGCTCCTCCTGGTAAAATGTGGAATAAAAAGTAATCTGGACCTACCAAAAAAAAAAAAAAAAAAAAAAAAAAAAAAAGCCCAAACAGCTTCTGCTCAGTACACGGCAAAACTGTGAACATTTGAACATTTAGTGACATCTGGGCAAGAAAAGTCAGCCGGAAAAACAATCTGTTTTTGTGACACATTTTTGAGATGAATTCAAAGAGCAACTTTTAAGGACAAAAAAGCAAATTAGTGTTTTATGTTGGGGAGAATATTTTATTCTTCCTTTTTCAGGGCTGCAACTCAGTAACCGCATCCCATATAATGCTGGCACTTATGTCTCATAAATACTCTGTAGGTTTAGTGACATGGCTCTTCTGGGAGCTTTCCCTAGGCAACTAACATTGCCACTTCTAGATTTTGCTTTCAATGATAGGCCTAGTAAAAGTTGGATGTCCCTGATATGTAATGGTAACAACTGAAAATGCCATTCTAATATTTTCTGTAGCAAAGAATGAAAGAGCTAAAGGGGTTTTCTTTATTAAGTCAGCCTAGGTAACTCAAATATTCTCCTTCATTCTCCTTTCCAGCTTTCTGTTGATTTTATTGCGATTAAAACACCATCAAATGAAAAGATGAATTTACTGTTAAAACTTAAAGTTTCTTATGTACAGTCCAGCTATTGCATTACCAAAAGATGCCAAAGGAAAATGAAGTGTTCTCTCTATATGGAGATTGAATTTAAAAATTCATCTTATTTTTTAAATGCCTGGCACATTAGCCTACACATACTTTTAAACTGTGTTCCCTCTTCACCAGCTCTACTCTTACTGTTTCGATTCAAGTCCTGGAATGGAGAGGATTACTTTCTTCTGGATGTATCCCTGCCTCCTCCCTCACCCTCATCAAATTCACCCTCCACTCTGCCACCACAGAGATGCTTCAAAAAGTACATTAGATCATGTCATCTGTTGAAATTCTGAGGTTTCTCTTTGTCAGGCCATCTAAGGCTTGTGAAGACCTGGCCTTGCCTTAGTTCTCACCATTTTTCCTCTTGCAGCCCTGTCCCCAGTACATACAGTCAGGCCAGACTGCGTCCTGTCCCCTGAACCTATGATACTCTGCTGGGCTTTCATTTCCTCTCCTGAATGTTCTCGCTTTTTGCTCCCAGGCTGTTTCCTATTCAACCTCTCATTCTCAGTTCAGGCCTCACCTCTGTAGAGATGCTTTCTTGGCCCCCTCTCATGTGCCACAGCCTCTTGTGATTCTTCTTTCATAGATCTTGCCCCACTATACTGTGATAGTGACTTCCTGCCTCTCCATCTAGGCAGTGAGCTCCATGAGGATCACTTGCTATGTCTTTTTTTGGTCTGTCTTTCAATATTTCCCAGAACAGGACCATGAACTGGGGAGGTGTTGATTATGTCTTTGTTAAAATAACATCCAATCTATATTGCTTAAAAGTAGCTCACACAGGCCAGGTGCGGTGGCTCACGCCTGTAATCGCAGCACTTTGGGAGGCCAAGGTGGGCGGATCACGAGGTCAGGAGATCAAGACCATCTGGCTAACACAGTGAAACCCCGTCTCTACTAAAAATACAAAAAAAATTAGCCAGGCGTGCTGGCAGGCGCCTGTAGTCCCAGCTACTGGGGAGGCTGAGGCAGAAGAATGGCACAAACCCAGGAGGCGGAACTTTCAGTGAGCCAAGATGGCGCCACTGCACTCCAGCCTGGGCAACAGAGTGAGACTCTGTCTCAAAAAAAAAAAAAAAAAGTAGCTCACATATTTTACACCCCCACTCATTTCTCTTTTAAATTAATTATCCTTTTTCTATACCTGCTTCAAAACAAATAATACAGTACCCAAAGCCATTCAACAGGCTTGAGCACAAGACCATAAACAAATCAGTTTAGTTCACTAAACACTCTTCATTTTCTAATACACAGCAGATATTTCTGATTTCAGTTGCAGAGCTATTCTGATTGGCTCATTTTAGTAGTTATGTTTGATCAAATTGATTAGAGGAAACCACACTCCATGAAGGGGTGATCAGAAAAATTGGTGCTTGTTGGTCTCTGATGAAAAATGGACAAGCCTATTTAGCATATCACCTAAAGCTACCTCAGGAATGTTTTGGAAAACTGTTCTGCAGCTGAGTCTGCAGTCAGGGTCCACAGCCTAGAGAGGAAATCACATACTTGGAGGCGGTGCTCTAAAGAAGTGTTACTGATGGTGATGAAAATGTGCACCGAAAGAGATCAATGAAACAGGAGCTGTTTGACCCATTGCATGAACTGCACTCCACGTTAGGTTTCCGTTGTGTACACTCCTCATTGTATTCACCATCTATTCCCACTCTCCAGGATATACGCACTCACACAGACAAAACAGACACACAAACACACACACTCCAGCAAGATTTAGGTAGGAAGTAACCCAGCCAGGAGAGATAGACACAGTGAGATCTAGAGATTCTATTTTTATAAAGGCCTTGCAACTTGCAATCAGAAATGATGTCAGGGAAAGTGGCGATTGCTGTTTGATTGGGTGAATCTACCATTAATTAGTAAGAAAAGCACTGTTGGTATTTTGAACAAAAGTTATTATTATGATTAGGACAGTTGCCTCATTTGTCAGGAAATTCAAACTGTAATTTTTAGCGGTGATTTAAGGTTAACAGGTGAAGAAGCTATGCTCCCAAGTTCAATTAAAGAAAAGATAACTAAGGATTTACGTATGTTACTATATATGTCTTTCCCGTCAGGCTCTAAATTCCTTGAAGGCAGATATGAAAGTACAGCTACTGCACTGATGGTGACCAAAATTCCATGCCTCTTGTACATGACTATGTCTAGACTGGGGCATTTCTTATCATAGAAAAATATGAGCCTGGCTCAAATATTGTTTTATTTTTACTTGAAGTGCAATCTCTTTTGGAGTGGATCTGTTTAGATTATTTCCAAGGGTTTTTTTGAAGAGTCATAAAGGATGCACTTGAAGGCTGTCTGATCATTCCTTGACATGGGCAGAATTATGGGGAGCATTTGATGAACTGAGTACCCAGCTAAGTCAGGCAGCTGTGGGCAGTGGAAAAGAATGATGGATGTGAGCTGGGCTGGGAGGCAGGGAATGGGAAGCAGTCAGAGGAGGGAGGGGCTTTCTTATGCTTTATTTCACCAAATCCTCACAAGAAACTTGCAATGGAAATTGTATTGTTCCCTTTTATATGTGAAAAAACGGAGGCTCCTGGAGACTGAGAGATTTGTTTGCATAGGCGATGCATGGAAGAGGCAGGGTCTAAACCCAGGTAGTTTGAAGCAGTGCTCTTCTTTACATGCTACAATACATAGCCTTACCCACAGCAGACTTGGAAGTCACTGTGCTTGAATTTTCTTTGGCTTTGACAGTGTGTGGCATTGGGCAAATCACTTAATGTCTCAGGATTTGTTTCCTCAGCACCCAGCACAACAATGCCTTCCCTGTGTTCATTACAGTAGTGTTGCAGTGGCCTAACAAAATAGCACAAGTCAGAAATCACTTTGTATTTGTAAATTACAAAACATGAAATGAATATAAAGGGTTATTATTATACTTACGGCCCTCAGCCTACACCTGAAGAAAGAGCAAAGCAATTTGAGAGACACTGCTAGTGTGGAGTATGAACTTGCATTTGCAATTTCATAAAGACTTTTTTTTTTTTTTTTGCTGCAAGGGTCTATTGATTATAACTGCCAGTCTTCAGTGCACTGCTTATCTTACATACAATTAATTATTCCATAAATCAAATAAGCGAGTTGTTGGCAAATGACATCTGCAATCTTTGAGCTGACAGCAAAATATATTATGAACCATAAATATCTCAGGCCAACTTTTCTTTTCTAGACATTTTGGTGCTGCTACCCAGGAAGAGATTATTACCGTGAAAAAACACTTGTGCTTGCTGATGATAACAGAACATGTTCAGCCCTCTCAGCAACCGAGGGGGCAGCTCTTTAATTTCTGATCTCAGGTCAGCAGGCTCATTTGACAAGACCAAAGTGGGATAATAGAGACATCATCAAAATAATTTGTCAGGCCTGCTAACATACTTTGTTCTGAGAACTCTGGTCTCTGAATACTACTTTTCTGATCTTATGTGACCCTAATTCCTGCCTTTGCTAACACACCTGGAATAGTGCCTGGCACATAGTAGATACTCAACAAATGTCTACCTCAAACTCCAGTCTTAGACTATTTACTTTCTATTTCCTCAGCACTGTTGTCTGATTGTTTCTTCTCCTGAACATCACTTGATTAATCTCTAGCATCTTATACTGTGTGCAGACCCTGCTGTGTTCTTCTGGGTTGAGTCTTAGCCTAAGGCCTTGGTTGTCTTATCGGCTTCCAGTCAGCTCACAACTGACCAGTTACAGTTTTGCACATGTTCCTGGCCCTCTACTGCTCTCTACCCTCCTGTGAAAGCATTGGCCTACCCAGGGGGAAGGGTGACGCTTTGCATAGCAATTGTAGTTGGGTGATTTTTATTTATTTATTTATTTATTTATTTATTTATTTTTTTATTGATCATTCTTGGGTGTTTCTCGCAGAGGGGGATTTGGCAGGGTCACAGGACAATAGTGGAGGGAAGGTCAGCAGATAAACAAGTGAACAAAGGTCTCTGGTTTTCCTAGGCAGAGGACCCTGCGGCCTTCCGCAGTGTTTGTGTCCCGCAGTGTTTGTGAGATTAGGGAGTGGTGATGACTCTTAATGAGCATGCTGCCTTCAAGCATCTGTTTAACAAAGCACATCTTGCACTGCCCTTAATCCATTTAACCCTGAGTGGACACAGCACATGTTTCAGAGAGCACAGGGTTGGGGGTAAGATCACAGATCAACAGGATCCCAAGGCAGAAACATTTTTCTTAGTACAGAACAAAATGAAAAGTCTCCCATGTCTACCTCTTTCTACACAGACACGGCAACCATCCGATTTCTCAATCTTTTCTCCACCTTTCCCCCCTTTCTATTCCACAAAACTGCCATTGTCATCATGGCCCGTTCTCAATGAGCTGTTGGGTACACCTCCCAGACGGGGTGGTGGCCGGGCAGAGGGGCTCCTCACTTCCCAGTAGGGGCGGCCGGGCAGAGGCGCCCCTCACCTTCCGGACGGGGCGGCTGGCCCGGCGGGGGGCTGACCCCCCCACCTCCCTCCCGGATGGGGCGGCTGGCCGGGCGGGGGGCTGACCCCCACACCTCCCTCCTGGACGGGGTGGCTGCCGGGCGGAGACGCTCCTTACTTCCCAGACGGGGTGGCTGCTGGGCGGAGGGGCTCCTCACTTCTCAGACAGGGCGGTTGCCAGGCAGAGGGTCTCCTCACTTCTCAGACGGGGCGGCCGGGCAGAGACGCTCCTCACATCCCGGACGGGGCGACAGGGCAGAGGCACTCCCCACATCTCAGACGATGGGTGGCCGGGCAGAGACGCTCCTCACTTCCTAGATGGGATGGCGGCGGGGAAGAGGCGCTCCTCACTTCCTAGATGGGATGGCGGCTGGGCAGAGACGCTCCTCACTTTCCAGACTGGGCAGCCAGGCAGAGGGGCTCCTCACATCCCAGACGATGGGCGGCCAGGCAGAGACACTCCTCACTTCCCAGACGGGGTGGCGGCCGGGCAGAGGCTGCAATCTCGGCACTTTGGGAGGCCAAGGCAGGCTGCTGAGAGGTGGATGTTGTAGCGAGCCGAGATCACACCACTGCACTCCAGCCTGGGCACCATTGAGCACTGAGTGAAGGAGACTCCGTCTGCAATCCCGGCACCTCGGGAGGCCGAGGCTGGCGGATCACTCGTGGTTAGGAGCTGGAGACCAGCCCGGCCAACACAGCGAAACCCCGTCTCCACCCAAAAAATATGAAAACCAGTCAGGCGTGGCGGCACGCGCCTGCAATCGCAGGCACTCGGCAGGCTGAGGCAGGAGAATCAGGCAGGGAGGTTGCAGTGAGCTGAGATGGCAGCAGTACAGTCCAGCTTCGGCTCGGCATCAGAGGGAGACCGTGGAAAGAGGGGAGAGGGAGAGGGAGAGGGAGAGGGAGAGGGAGAGGGAGAGCGGGTGATTTTGACAGAATACAGTCACTCCTGGTGGCTTGATTTAATGTATTTTAACATAATCCACAAAATATGTTTTTCAATTTTTCAACAGGGTTACACTTCTTAAGGAAATTTGCAATGTAATCTACTCATGACCTAAAGAGATATAAGTAGTTTTCAGTTATTTAACTTAGTAAATTGTCTGTATATTGGTAGATTATAAAATATCTCTTTCAGTCTTTTACCATTCTAGTATTCCTTTGCTCTTTTTTCTTTACACATTATGCCAATTACAATGGAAATATCAATTTATTTCAACTTATCAATGTTTCTTTAAAACATCAAACTGCTCTGTATGCCCGTGCATACCAGCATAAAAAGGCCATACCATCACAATCTGTCATGAAATGTGTACTGTATTCCGTTGATTCTAACATGCACATCTTTTAACATGTTAATATCTCTAAAATTGGCTGCATTTTACAATTGAAGGCATCTTAGTACTATTTCAGGATTGAATGGACCGTAATTTTTGTCTCTTAGGACTATATAAAATAGTGGCATATTATGCAACCAAAGGTACCTTAGAATTGATGAAAACCAGTCTAAATCTAATCATAGCTAAAAGTTTTAATTCATGTTTGGCAGATATTGTATGGTGTCTCATTCAGTCTCCCTCCATTCTCCTTTTGCTGTGCTTCTCTGTACTGTGGAAATTCCAATGCTTAAAATTTTTTAATTTTCAATGTAGCTAGAGTTCTAACTAAGAATGGGGTTTAGCCAAATAGATGAGCACGCAAAACTTGGAATGTGGAAATGAGACAAAGAGTGTCTTCCTGTCATTTTTGGGTGTGTGCTACTGGCAATCGGGATTCTGAAGACAGTATGTTCCTCTGCAAGAACATTCCAGTATCCTTTTTCCAGCTTCCTGTGTCCTAGAGGCAGCTATGGAAATGGCAGCAGCAAGTGGAATTTCAGCTTCCTGATCTCTGGAGCACTGTTCTGGGGTGTGCTTTCCCACTCAATAGTTCCAATGGTGGTATCAAAGTAGTGACTTTGTGTTGCTTTAGAAAAAATTCCTGGAGGCCCAGCCCATAATCAACTCTTCTAGCCTTTCCAACAATTTCATAAACACTGAATTCCCTTTATTGAATCCCTTGCTGCTTAGAATACCTAGAGTAGTTTTGGTTTTCTTTACTGGTGTATTTGACAATTACATCAGATTATTATATGTACCCTAACACAAATAAATCTATCAGAGAAATAAGAGGACCTTTACCTGTTTTCTTTACATCGACTGTAGTTATTTATTTATTTTTTTGAGACGGAGTCTCGCTCTCTCTCCAGGCTGGTGTGCAGTGGTGCAATCTCGCCTCACTGCAATCTCCACCTCCCGGGTTCAAGTGATTCTCCTGCCTCAGTCTCCCAAGTAGCTGGAACTACAGGCACGCACCACCACACCCAGCTAATTTTTTTGTATTTTTAGTAGAGATGGGGTTTCACCCTGTTGGCCGGGATGGTCTTGATCTCTTGACCTCATGATCCACCCGCCTTGGCCTCCCAAAGTGTGATATACAAGCATCAAGGTTTGTCATCGTGATTAAAGTAAATGCAATGCAAACAATTTCCTTCAGAAAAACAACAGCACTTAGAATTTCTATAGCCTCATCATACGACTATAAAAATAAACATTATTGTTTTAATAACATCTTTAAGTTCTTTAAGGTCAAGAAGGATAAGCAAACAAATAGATGGACACATAAATAAATCATTGTTTATGAAAAAAGAATTCACAAAATATTTTCACATTTATCTCTCCATTTGTCACTTGGAGAACTGGAGTTTGAAAAAAAAAGCAAAAAAAAACACTATATGGGATATCAACATGAACCATCTGTCTGACCTTAAATAAGTCATTTCATTTTGCTGTGACTCAGATCCTTTTTCTATAAAATATGGAAAATAAGACCTGTCAATCGCCTGGATTTCAAAGATATTGTCAAGAAAAATATTACATAATGCCCTTGCATATGCTTGAGAAAGAACTTGGAAGTTTTGGATATTATTAAACTTGGATTGTGTACTTTTAGTATTATTGTTAATACTTCATAAAGTGTCACAAAAATTTGAAATTAACCATATATAGGAAATTGATCTAATTAAATAGAACACATCTACCTCATTTTCTTTCTCAAAATTATAGTTTCAATCTGCACTGTGAAAGAGCTCTGTCCATAGATGTGATAATGAATTATATTCCAAGGTTAAACCAGGACTTCTCTGAAAGCCATTAGGGATCAGTTTGATGCTAAAAATAATCCACTAATAAATGTTCCTCATTTTAAGTTCCCTTCTCAGAAATAATTAAAGGGTACATCTCAGAGGCCAGTAATTTTCAGGCTAACTGCCACTTTTTAATCTAAGTTTTTCTTTTTTTTTTTGTTTAAATTTATGATACTTAAGCCACACATCAACGTATTCAGTGAAAACACTTCTTTAGGATATGTCAGTTATGCTGAACAAAGAGAGAAGAATTAATTACATATCTTTGCCTTAGAATAAGATTTTCATTTCTATTAATTCTTATACATAAAATCAAACTGATGCCTCTTGCAAGCATCTTTTGTATGATTTTTCATTGGTTTAAGCAGAGTTAGATGTCAGAGTTCATTTTAATTTAAAAAAATTTAAGCTTTAGGATTTGACAAATGTATTTCTTTCAGTATGCAGCTGTGGAAGACACTGAAATATGTGAGCTATTATATCTATTTTAAGTAGCAAGAATAGAAATTTCAAAATAATTACATTTCTATAGCTAATGCTTGAAGATAGTTTAATGTGGTGGTTGGATGCACAAACTCTGGAGATGACTTCATGAACTTAAATTCTGTATTTCTCCATTTGTAAAAGGAGACAATGATAATATTTGCTTTTCAAGGTTTTCATAAGCATAAGCATTAAATGAATTAATACACTTAACAAGGGTCTTTTTTTTTTTTTTTTTTTGAGACAGGGTCTATCGCCCTGGTTGGAGTGCAGCAGTGTAATCATAGCTCACTGCTGCCATGAACTTCTGGGCTCAAGCGATCCTCCCACCTCAGCCTCCCTGTGTGCTGGGATTAAAAGTGTGAGCCACCGTGCCTCATCGTAAGGGTCTTAAAAGAAACCCTATTTCATGTAAGTGCTCACTAAACAGTTACCACTTACTGTGACAAGATACAATATTGTCTCTTTTTTTGTCCACAGGGCCTGTCATATTTAGAAACGTGACTTCTGGTATGTCCAGGGCCAAATAAAAATGTTTTCTTACACTTCACACATAATACATTATATTAAATGGCAGAAATCAAAACAATAGGAAATAATCACAAATTAGTGAGCTCAGGGATTGGACTTGTCTTTAATTTCAAATATGTGCCATGATTTTCTATGTAATTAGAGTACATGAAAAGAGAATAAACCAAATCTAGACATCTCTAATTCTAATATTACAAACAAAACATATTTGAAAACATTCAACCACTTGATTGTATTCCTCAGCTTTCCTAAAATGGTTACTAAATTGCAGACTTGGATGAAGCATTTGCCCCCAAATGTGTGTCTGTTAAACTTTAGTTTCTTAGGATGCTCAATGAAAATAAAAACAGAGTACCATAGTCAAATAAGTTAAATAAATTGAGAAAAATTGCATAGTATATTCTTTCTTGTAAATTCACATTGTTCATTAGCATATTATAGTCTTAAAATAAAGAAACTAATTTGATTATGTTTAACCAACTTCTCCAAAATATTTGATTATAAGATCAAATTTGTCCTCATTTGTGGGATATTCTACAGAACTGATGATCCAAAGGATGTACATTTGAAAATGACAGCATAAAAATGAAAATGAGGTCTCTAAGTATGCTTATTTATGCAAAAATTATACTAACTAAATATCAAACTATTGTTTTCATTTATTCAGACTTTCTTGATGCACTTGATATGGATTATATAAATCTATGGACAAAAATGACATCAGTACAATGGAATATTGGAGTTTTCTACCATAATCTCTGCATAGTGCACTGATTTTGACAATCACCTATGGATGAAAATACATTTGCCAGAGTCTAGGAGTTAAATGGAAAAGTTAACAGCACACCGTTGGAGAAAAATATCTGGGAGTAGATGCATTCAAGGGAGTAAGAAGAACAATTACCTGCATCACCTCACCCCCAGGGTCCACTTCTTAGTGCCAAGATAGACTCCCTTCAGCAGGCAATTTCTCCCATGGGGAAAAGGAGAGTATAATGAGTGAGTATCCAGCTTTTCCAGCTGTGTGAGGCACATCCCAAGAAGCCCATCTTTCTTTCACTCAACTCAGAATATTGAGGGTATTAGCATGGCTAAGTGGCTGGGACAGGGCAGTAGCAGGAAAGAAAGGAGAGGACTCACAGCAACCAGGACTTGAAACTCAGTACAGGGTACATATCCTTTGAAGCATTTCACAGAGCCCATCAGGAGGCCCACCCATGAACCACTTGGGACACCATATCTGTAGCATCTCCCTGCAACTGGCCCATAGGAGCCCCCGATGTTTTGTGCATATTCCCCTTCCCTTTCTCCTATAGTCAGTTGCCTGCACATGCACTCCAGATGGTGAGTGTGAGCATTTACCTACAGCTTTTGAGTACATGCAGTCAGCAGGCTCAACTTTGAAGGATTGGGAGGAATACAAAATTGAGCATTTCAGGGCACTGTCCTAGAGGAAACAAACAGAAAGCTTTCAGGACCCAGTTTGGTTTTGTGGATTTAAGAGAAGACACACAATCATCAGAATTTCTTCTCCACCCATCCAAGAAGTGTGGATTGGGTGAATCCATAGAAAAGATCTGAGAGAGCCTCAGATTCCCTATAGGCTCACTGTTGAAGATATTTCTCTCAAATCCAGTCAGTAAAGACTAGAGAAAGTGACTCTTTCTTCAAATGTGAAGACAGCAGTGCAAGACTTTGAGGAACATGAAAAATCAAGGACACCTAGTACCACCAAAGGAACATAATTTTCTGGTACCCAACCACAAAGAAATGGAGATACACAAATTGTCTGACAAAGAATTCACAACAATTGTTTTAAGGAAGTCAGTAAGCTACAAGAGAACACAGAGAACTTAATGATATTAAGAAAGCGACACATGAACAAAATAAGATGTTCAACAAAAAGATAGAAATTATTAAAAACAACCATGATTTTCGAGCTGAGAATACAATGAATGAAATGGAAAACACAATAGAGTTTCAATAGCAGACTTGATCAAGCAGAAGAAAGGGTCTGTCAACTCAAATACTAGTCATTTGAAATTATTCAGTAAAAGAAATAAAAAGGAATGAAAAATGCTTATGCGATTGATGCAACACCATGAAGAGTAGTCATATATGCACTATGGGAGTCTCAGAAAAAGAAAGAGATAAAGGGGAAGAAAACTAACTTAAAGAACTAGATCAGTCTCTCCTTATCTGTAGTTTTGCTTTCCTTGGTTTCAGGTACAGTACAATGATATGTTTTAAGAGACAGACAATGAAAGAGAACATGCAAATATTGACATAATTTTTATTACAGTATATTGTCATAGTTTTTCTATTTTGTTATTAGTTGTTATTCTCTTACTGTGCCTAATTTATACATTAAACTTTATCATAGGAATAGTGGTGGTGGCCTGTCTGGAGTGGCCACTGCCAGGATGCCAGCTGCAGCAGGGGAGGTGTAGCTGGGGCTGTGCACTCCGCAGAGCTGGGGGGGGCCAGGAACAGGTGATCCTAGTGGGAGCCCTATATGCTACTGAGTTAGTGGGGTGGGAGCCTGTGCTCCCAGGCATAGCTGCAGCTGCCCAGCCATGGCTCCAGCCCTAGGCATACCTGTGCTCTCAGGGGCCCTGGAAGTCCCCTGCCCTTACAGGCTTGGAAGTGCCTGCTCCCATTCCCTGGCCTCTTTCCACTGCTGGCACCTGCTCTGTGGCAGAGCAAAGTTGTGGATGTGTTGTGATAGCTGAGCCTGGGAGCTGTTGTGACGTGGTCAGGTGTGTGTGTTCAGGGCAGTTCTGATACACCAGACTCCCCACTGCCTTTGCCCCCTCTGGAAACTGCTTCTGAGGCTGAAACTTTGGATATTAATGAGCAAGGATGGTGGGGGAGGCCAGGACGGCTGAGGGCAGCTAGGTGTGGGCCTGTGGACACCCCTTAGTGCGGACAGTCTGGGTGCTGTGGATGGCATGTTGATGGCAGCGAGAGGCAGACATGTTCCTAGGTGGGAACGGGTGGGTCCCTGGTGAAACCTCACCTTCAAGCCAGGGACAGCTTGAAGCATGGGGGCCTGGCTGCCAGTTCCGGTTGCAGTCTGTGACCTGGAGTGAAAACTTCATTGATGTCTTTCAGCCAATTGGATGGTGCTTTTTCCAGACCCACAAATGGCTGCCCATGGACCAAGCAGTATGTACTTCCTCCATTCTGAGCCCATGAAAACCCCAGACTCAGTCAGACTCTGACACTCATCAGGATGACAAGCCTGCAAATAGGATCTACCCATTTTGGGTATGCACTCCACTGAGAGCTATTCTGTCACTCAATAAAGCTCCTTTCTGCCTTGCTCACCCTCCAGTTATTCACATAACCTCATTCTTCCTGGATGTGGGACAAGAACTCAGGACCTGCTGAATGGTGGGAGGGAAAGAAGCTGTAACATGTTCCTGGCCAGCTCACCAAGCTGCAGGTGGTGACATACTCCTGGACTATGGGAGTGAAGAGTAGTGACCCTTCTGGGGGCCCAGACCTTGAGATTCTCCGAGCCAGAGCTGCAGTAACACTATAGCTCTCCTGCCCTCTGCTGGTGCTGGGTGGCCCCCCAATGCAACAGGACGCAGCAGCAGGCCTGGGCCAGCCCAGGAGCTGGGAGCCTGAGTGGGGTGGTGGAACTGAAAGGGCTATAACACAAACCAACCAAAACATGCCCCACTCACTTGCTGCACTGTGGGTGAGGAGAAGGAGAAAAGAGCTGCAGCCCTTCTAGGAAGCCAGACTTTGGGGCTCCCTGAACTAGGGCTGTGACATGCTGTAACACCTTCTTTAGGATTCTGCACTTCCTGGCCTCTCTGAGATTTTGGATGCCACCGTGTTCCCTTTGTCCAGATGCTGGTGTCCGCAGCAGAAGCCACTTGTGATATATCTGGTCCAGCTGCAGCTTCACATGGATGAGGTGCCTGTGCCGGTGCCTGTGCCAGTGCCTGGAGCTGCCCGCCCCACCACAGCAGCTAGCATGCCTGGCTGTGTGCAGTGCCAGATCCCACACTTGCTCACTCACACACACCTCACCGCTCCATGCCTGGCTTGCCCTTGGAAGGAGTACGATCCAGGCCGGTAGCATGAGCCAAGTGCAGCCTGCCAGCCTGAGTGGACAGAACAAGCCCAGGGGGCATGAACAAAACTCAAGCAGAAGCACTGCTGTCCACAGAGGTTTCTGGCTGGCAAAGCAACACCCTAAGGATCCTATGACAATAGGTATATATGTATAGGCAGAAACATAGTATATATTGGTTTTAGTACTATCCATGGTTTCAGGCAGCCACCAGGGGCTTGGAATGTGTCCCTGTAGATAAGGGAGGAGGATTTTAATAGCTGAAAACTTCTCCAATCTTGGGGAAGATAGGGGCATTTGGGTACATGAGGCTTAAATGTGCCCAAATAGGTTTGACTTAAAGAGGACTTCACTGAGACACATTATAATCAAATTGTCAAACATCAAAGATAATTTTGAAAGCAGTAAGAGAAAAGAAACTCATCACATACAAAGAAACCCCATTAGACTATCAGATTTCTAAGCATGAATCTTGCAGGCCAGGAGAGAGCGAGATGACATATTTCAAGTGCTGAAAGAAGAAAGAATTGTCAACCAAGAATACTTTACCTTGCAAAACTATCTTCCAGAAATGAAGGAGAGATAAAGACTTTGCCAGATAAAGAAAATATGAGGGATTTTATCACCACTACATATGCCTTATAAAAAATGTTAGAGGGAGTTCTTCAAATGGAAAAGTAAGGATTCTAATTAGTAACATGAAAACATATGAAAGTGCAAAACTCACTGGTAAAGGTAGCATATATTGTCAAGTTCAGAATACTCTAATGCTGTAATGGTGGTGTATAAACCACTTTTACTCTAGGATAGAGGTGAAAAGACAAAATTATTAAAAATAATCACAATATGCTGGTGCGGTGGCTCACACCTGTAATCCCAACACTTTGGGAGGCTGAGGCAGGCAAATCATGAGGTCAGAAGTTTGAGACCAGTCTGGCCAACATAATGAAACCCCATCTCTATTAAAAATACAAAAAATTAGCTGGATGTGGTGGTGTGTGGCTGTAATCCCAGCTACTTGGGAGGCTGAGGCAGGAGAATGGCATGAACCTGGGAGGCGGAGGTTGCGGTGAACTAAGATCACCCCATTGCACTCCAGCCTGGGCAACAGTGCAAGACTCCATCTCAAAAAAAAATTCACTATAATAATTCGTTAATGAATATACAATATTAAAAAAGTAAATTATGATATCCAAAACTTAAAATGTGGAATAGGGGAGTAAACATGTAAAGTATATGCAATCAAAGTTGAAATCAGTTTAAAATAGACTGTTATAAATATAAGATATTTTCTGTAAGCCCCATGGTAGCCACAAAGTAAAAACTTTAGTAGATACAGAATAATTAAAGATAAAGATAATAAATTAAAGCATGCCACTGCAGAAAATCATGAAATTACAAAGGAAGAGCAAGAGAGGAAAAAAGGAACAAAATAACTACAGAAGAGAAAACAATTACCAAAGTGGCAATAATAAATCCTAACGTATCAATAATTACTTTATAAATGAACTAAATTCTGTAATCAAAAGACCTACAATGGCAAAATGGATAAAAACAAACAAGTAAGATTCAATAATATGATGTCTACAAGAGACTTGTTTTAGCTTTGAGGACACACATAGGCTAAAAGTGAAGAGATGGAAAAAATATATTCCATGCAAATGGAAACTAAAAAAGAGCAGGATGAGTATCTGCTATTTATATAACATAAAATAGATTTTAAGTCAAAAACTGTGCAAAGAGACAAAGATATTTATAATATAATACATAATATCTCTATAAGCTTATAATCATATATAATGTATATTATGTTATATAATGTATATCCTTATATCTAATATATATCCTTATATCTTTATATTTATTATTATATATGCCATATATAACTGTAAATATATGATATATATAATTATAAATATCTTTGTCTCTTTTTGCAGTTCGACTTAAAGTCTATTTTATCTTATGTAAATAACGGATGTGTTTATCTTATTATATATTTATATAATAAGAAAGGGGTTAATTCATGAAAAGGATATAACAATTGTAAATATATAGGCATCCAACATCACAGCACCTAAATATATCAATCAAATATAAACTAGTCTGAAGGGATAAATAGATAATACAATAATAGTATTTCAAGATAATATGCATGGTAGACCACATATAATCTATTGAAATTGTAAAAAATAAAGAAAAACACAAGAGGACTTCCTCATAGTTACACATTGGTGAAAAGAAAGTGTTCTAGTTACCACTCTTGTACATTTGGTGGATATTCTCAATGTCCTGCACTATGCTAGGTCTTAAAGAAGTATAAGACTTGCACATGTATCTTGAAAGAGTAGCTCATTGCCCAGCATAGAAAGAAAGAGGAGTAGAAAATTTCAGGCATGGATAAAGGTGCAGAGGTGCAAATATATATACACTACTCAATAGTAGGTAAGGGAGTAATGGCAACTAACGTTAAGGAACATTGTCTACCGTATTGTGAAGGGTGACAAAGGTCATGCGTACTAATATGATGATTAACTGTCTATAGCAAGGCTATGAGTAAAATTTAAATTATATGCAGCCTAGGTATTGAAATTTGACAACCAATATAAATGAATTCATATGTTTATGAAACATTCTTTATTTCTTTTTATCAATGACCTAGTAGATTCAGAATCAATTTTTCAGTGCTTTTCAAGATAATTTTGATACGATTGGAAATAAATAGTTCTAAATATTAAAAGAAAACCTGAATTTTTGCAATGTCCTTTCTAAATTTATAAACACAAAATTTTCATACTGCAGAGATACTTGGGAAAAAAAATATTTGTTGTTTATATATACTCACCCAGAATCTACACAATTACAAATTTCCTTAAGTTTCTGACAGCAAAAAAGAACATGAATAACTAAATACAGAGAATCATAATTGGAACATATTCAAGAGGTGGAGAATCTATTTAAAACCGACAACTCAACAGATGTAGTCTAGTCAATGGTTATATTTGCATAAGCATGAAAGCCAAACAAACATGTCTGAAATCTCATTGGTAAAACACTGTATGATTTAAAAAATTTTGGGGGGGTTGTCAGAACTCCTTTTTAGATTTATTGCATCCCCTCAACAGAAGAACCGACTGCCGAGAAATTCAAAACACATCCGTGAAAGCAGAAAATTATAATGTGACAAGTGAAGAATTGAAATGGATTCACCCTAAAAGCAGAGCCAAATATCAGCCATTGTCATGGGCCCCTAGGAGGACTGAGTCTGGTGATGCACGAATACCAGAATGCAAGTGTGGTGCAATGACAGCAATAACACATGTGTGCACCTTGAAGCCAGAGGGATGGAAACCCCAGCCAATGTCTCTTTCTCTTTTCAGCCATGTAAATTCCAATCTTGATCAATAAGCAATCCAGGTGTCAATGAAAGTGGAAGGAATACATATTCCTCCTCCCACAAATCTTAAACATTAATAGCAGCAGGATTCTCCTTTCACAGAAAAGCATGATTTTAAGGTTTTGGTCCCCACTGAACACAAATTCCCAAGATACAAATAAAAGTACTTTGATTTATAGATTAATCCAGACATTTTTATGTTCTGTAGGCCTGACATATGCTTGACAGAAACCCCACAAGGTCAGAAAGTCCTGTTGTCTAAGAAAGAATTTCTCTTCTGCTTTCTTGCTCATTTTGGCCTGAGAGGAAGGTGATACTACAGTTAGTTGTGGTCTTAATAAAGAGCATTGAAGTCAGAATTCATAAATTTAGGCTTTTTTCTTTCTCAGGAATTATTGAAAAGAATGGCTTACAATTTTTTAAAATTTATTTTGGGAGAGATAATCATATTATTTAGGGAGAGAGATAGTTATATTATTTTTCTGAATCTCTCAAGCTTCACATAACAGTGAAAGATTCATGAACCACTGATTTAAAAAAGGTACAAAAGCAACAGTTTTTAAACCACCTGCTATATACTCATTTGACAATATTAAGGGGCAATGCTTCTGGTGTTTTCAAAGAAATTGGAGTAGTGGGCAGGAGAGCTATAATTAAGGAGGAGCACTGCACTGGGATTGGACCAAGGTTTTATATTAAGAACAACATTCTGTTTTATCCTAACTAGTGTAACTTATTCATTCCACAAACATGTATTGAATAACTTCTGAAAATAAGGCTCTTTTTGCCTTCAATAAGATCTCTGCATGTAAAAGAAAAATACTAGTACTAGTTATACAAAAACTTTGAAATAATATATCAGCAGGAGGCAAAATCAAAACAAAATAAGGCCTGGTGTGGTGGCTCATGCACTTTGGGAGACTGAGGTGGGAGAATTGCCTTAGACCAGGAGTTTGAAACCAGCCTGGGCAACATAGAGACCTTGTCTCTACAAAAAATAAATACACTAGCAGGGTGTGGTGGTGGATGCCTGTAGTCCTAGCTACTTGGAAGGCTGAGGTGGGAGGATCACTTGAGCCCAGAAGGTAGAGGCTGCAGTGAACTATGATCATGCCTTTGCACTCAAGCCTGGGCAACAGAGCAAAACCCTATCTTTAAGCAAACAAACAAACCAACAAAACAACAGGACCCCTGTCGTATCTCTCCCCATGAATAATATAACAGGCAATTTCTTGAATATTAAAACTGGTATTCCTTATAGATTATTACAGTGGCCTCACTTTAAACAGAAGAACCTGAAGCCCAAAAAGGTGAGGTCACTGCTTTAAATTAATAGTTAGAAAGCTGCAGAATCAAACAGACTCAGTTCTCTAGATTCCTAGCCCAGTTACATTTTTTTAGTATGACACTATCACCCTTAACAACAACCAACAAAACCCAAACTGCTTAAAACATTTTAATCCAAGGCAAATCTTTAGTTCTTCTGGTTTGCTGGAGTGGGAGGTGGGGTGGAGGGACTGGGGAAACAGTAGGATGAGGCAGTGGAGATTTAACATTCTTGTATGTGCTGGAGTGCTGTGCTAGGTGCTTCCATTTTTAATCTCTTTAAATGCAAGAACTTTGTGAGATCAGTGCTATTCCCTCCATTTTCCAGGTGAGGAACCATGAGTCTCAGAGAAGCTAAGAAGTTTATCCAGACACCCACATTTTTGTGAGTGGTGGACTTAAGATTTGAACCTGTTTTGGTTTCCAAGTTCTTTGGTCTTTTTACTGTTCCTTAATTGTTGCCTGTTACAGGATGCCTTGCATTTCTTCATAAATGAGTCCAATTTTTGCCTGCCACCTGGTTTATATGACTGTCCAGATTGATTTTTCTTTTAAATTTACATTTTGCAACTGTAGGCTTTTTTCCTTTCCATTTACCTCCTGCCTCAGTCATGAGGTTGGAAAAAATGAGAAGTATGCTGGTTTTGTTTGGACTGAGAACATTCCAAAATGTTTGGCTGCACCTCAAAACCCTGTTAAAATAATATTATTTATAACTTTCTGCTTGGTCAATTTTGTTTTAAGTTTGGCTATCTCCCATAGGAGGTTATTCTTTCTCCTTGATGGTAAGGTTTGCTGCTTGAAAGCCTTAATCTTAAACATTTTTCAAGTAAGACTCAGGTCCTTGCCTGAATACAAACTCGTTAGATAATAGCCCCAACCACTCTGAAGCAGTTCATTGCAGAAGCTCACTCTCAGCTGTTGTGGGTGGGGTGTTAGCAGAATGAATGCCATAGGTTTACATGTGAACCATCAGCCCTGCTCACAAAATATAATCTGTCCAGCACCGCGATAGGTTGCATTTTAGAGCTGGGCTTTAGTATGGTGTGACTGTTTACCAGAATGCCTTCTGAGGAATACAAAGTAATTTTTTTTTTTTTACATTCCTCCTCAGTAAGGTTATTGTTGTTAGCAGATTTATTTAGCTGCCCTAGCAGCTTAAGACATTTCATTGACTTTTGAGCAGACGATTTGATTTTTCAGGCACAGATGGGGGAAAAACAGCTAGCAGAATCATTAGAATGGATACCTACCACAAGTAGTAGGGAGGCAGGCTTTTAACAGGACATAGCTAAAGAGAAGACCTGTCTTTGCCTCAATGTGTAATTGAACACTGTCTAAAATTGATGGCAAAGCAATGTGAATTATAGGGGCCAAGGATTTGCTATTTAGAAACTTAAACAAATCTGCTTTTTCTAAAAGGCCTTTCTTTTTCACACAAAAACGATGGTCAGTGAAGTGGCAATTCTCAGTGAAACGACAATGCTTCTCCCTCAGGAGCAGCTACCCTCAAGGAAACAGAGCCAAAACACAGAGACTGAATCATTAACCTAAAAATGTAGTTACATAACTGCTAAAATTCCACACTTTGCAGGCCTGTGGCCTGACTTTAGCCTTTAGAGACATTCCTAGCCCAGTGGTTGCTAGTAGCCACTGCTCACATTTCTCCATCTCTCTGCCTCCCAGGAGCTAAACTCCTATTGATTTTCCCAGAACCCTGAGCTGTCTCCATAATAGAATGATTTGGTGGGCGTCCTGTCAAATGCAAAAGGAAGCCTCTGCCAGACTGAGCATTAGAACACGGTGTTTTTAAATAGAAATGTGAAATATCAGTGCAATTACAAATCAATAAAAACCCAGAGGGAAAGAGAATCTCATTTGAGGAAAGATCTTTAAGTTTTTTTCCTTTCTTTTTTCTCGTAATGAAAAATTAGATCAGGGAACCAAATTTATGAGGTAAAAACTGTCAACAAAGTATTCCTAGCTGTTGCTGAGGCTGAGAAAAAAGAAAGCTAAATCATGCATGCAGTGTGAGTATGTGAATGACACATTTTAATATATTAGGGAGTCAAAATACCTCTCATTTTTTACTTGTGTTTTTGGCTGTTGCCCAAATCGTTATTGTTTTATTTATTTTGCTAATGTCATTCTCTTATGCCTTTTTCCAAATTCCATATTTTCTCCTAGGTTTGCTTTCCATATGCTGGATGATGTGTGTGGATTTTCAGTGTGTGTTTCAGAGTCTTAAAAGCTCATGCTAGCTTGCTTAACATACCTGCCATAACTCATGATATAGAACCCTATGGAGAACTGTGTTGCAACATGGATGCAGTGCCTATACTAAGGCACATTGCCAAGCTGAAGACTGTCAGAGAGCATCACTAACGGAGGTAAGCCAGTAGGGTCTAAAAATCTTCACAGAGAGAAGGTATGACCAGATGATAGTCCATTAAATTGCGTTGAGGTGCAGCACTATGTTCTAAATTGGTGTACCCCACGAATTTATATGTTGAGGCCTAATACCCAATGTGATAGTATTAAGAGGTATGGCCTTTAGGAAGTGATTAAGTCATAAGGTGAGGGCTTGACCCTTATGAATGAGAATAGTGACCTTATAAAAGAGGCTTGAGTGAGCTCTCTGGCTCTTTTTTGCCATGTAAGGATGCAGCAACAAGTCACCATCTATTAAGCCAATTACCAGACACCAAATCTACTGGTGCTTTGATGTTGGACTTCCCAGCCTCCAGACCTCTAAGAAATAAATCTCTGTTGTTTATAAATTACTGAGTCTAAAGTACTTTGTTATAGCAGCCTGAATAGACTAAGACATGCAGCAAGTGAATAGATCACTCACTGTAGCCTGGATCTCTCCTTCATTATGACAGGGTTGTTTCTCGTACTGGACATAGGTCACCTTTGCTAACCTCTTACAGAAATTCTAAACTTTGTGAGAGGAAATGCAGAAATGTGAGAGAAGAACAAGGAGCTATGTGAAGAAGAGAGATGGAAATGGATTGAGACTGTTGAAATAGGAGAAAATATCTTGGTTTTGACATCATTTCCAAAGAATCATAGTTATCAAATAAAAAATTTCACAATTATCCAAAATTATAATAAAAATTCAGTGGCTGGCAAAATGGCTGAATAGGATCAGCTCTGGTGTGCAGCTCCCAGTGAGATCCACACAGAAGATGAGTAATTTCTGCATTTCCAACTGAGGTACTTGGCTCATCTCATTGGGACTGGCTAGACAGTGAGTGAAACCCATGGAGGGCAAGCTGAAGCAGGGTGGGACATTGCCTTACCTGGGAAGTGCAAGGGGTCAGGGAACTCCCTCCCCTAGCCAAGGGAAGCCATGAAGGACTCTGACATGAAGACTGGTGCACTCCAGCCCAGATACTACGCTTTTCCCATGGTCTATGCAACCCACAGACCAGGAGATTCCCTCGGGTGCCTATGCCACCAGGGCCCTGAGTTTCATAAAACTGGGCAGCCATCCCGAGCTAGCTGCAGGAATTTCTTTTCATACCCCAGTGGTACCAGGAACATTTAAGTCTGCTGAAGCTGCGCCCACAGCTGCCCCTTCCCCCAAGTGATCTGTCCCAGGGAGATGGGAGATTTATCTGTAAGCCCCTGATTGGGGCTGCTGCCTTTCTTTCAGAGATGCCCTGCCCAGAGAGGAGTCTAGAGAGGCAATCTGGCTACAGCAGTTTTGAGGCGCTGCAGTGGTATCCACCCAGTCTGAACTTCCAAGCAGTTTTGTTTACACTGTGAGGGGAAAACTGCCTACTCAAGCCTCAGTAATGGCAAATGCTCCTCCTGGCAGCAAGTTTGAGCATCCCAGGTCGACTTCAGACTGCTGTGCTGGCAGCGAGAATTTCAAGCCAGTGGATATAAGCTTGCCAGTGAGATAGAACCGTTCAGTCCCCTGGAAAGGGGGCTCAAGCTAGGGAGCCAAGTGGCCTAGCTCAGCGGATCCCACTCCCATGGATCCCAGCAAGCTAAGATCCACTGGCTTGAAATTCTTGCTGCCAGCACAGCAGTCTGAAGTTGACCTGGGATGCTCAAGCTTGCTGTGGGGAGGACCATTTGCCATTACTGAGGCTTGAGTAGGTGGTTTTCCCCTCACAGTGTAAACAAAACTGCTAGGAAGTTTGGACTGGGTGGAGCCCACCGCAGCGCCTCAAAGCTGCTGTAGCCCGACTGCCTCTCTAGACTCCTCACTGGCAGGGCATCTCTGAAAGGAAGGCAGCAGCCCCAGTCAGGGGCTTTTAGATAAAACTCCCATCTCTCTGGGACAGAGCACCTGGGGGAAGGGGCGGCTGTGGGCTCAGCTTCAGCAGACTTAAACGTTCCTGCTTGGTGGCTCTTAAGAGAGGAGTGGATCTCTCAGCACAGCGCTCCAGCTTTGCTAAGGGATAGACTGCCTCCTCAAGTGGGTCCCTGACCCCCACGCCTCCTGACTGGGAGACACCTCCCAGCAGGAGTTGACAGACACCTCATACAGGAGAGCTCCAGCTGGCATCTGGCAGGGGCCCCTCTGGGATGAATTTTCCAGAGGAAGGAACAGGCAGCAATCTTTGCTGTTTTGTAGCCTCTGCTGGTGATACCCAGGCAAACAGGAGCCAGAGTGGACCTCCAGGAATCTCCAGAAGACCTGCAGCAGAGAGGCCCGACTGTTAGAAGGAAAAATAACAAACAGAAAGGAATAGCATCAACATTAACAAAAAAGGATGTCCACACAGAAACCCCATCCAAAAGTCACCAACATCAAAGACCAAAGGTAGATAAATCCACGAAGATGAGGAAAAACCAGTGTAAAAAGGCTGAAAATTCCGAAAACCAGAACGTCTTTTCTCTTCCAAAGGATCACAACTTCTTGCCAGCAAGGGAACAAAACTGGATGGAGAATGATTTTGGCTAACAGACAGAAGTAGGTTTCAGAAGGTGGGTAATAACAAACTCCTCTGAGCTAATGGAGCATGTTCTAATCCAATGGAAAAAAGCTATGAACCTTGATAAAAGGTTAGAGGAATTGTTAACTAGAATAACCAGTTTAGAGAAGAACATAAATGACCTGATGGAGCTGAAAAACACAGCATGAGAACTTCGTGAAGCATATACAAGTATTAATAGCTGAATCGATCGAGCGGAAGAAAGGATATCAGAATTGAAGATCAACTTAATGAAATAAAACATGAAGCCAAGATTAGAGAAAAAAGAATGAAAAGGAACAAACAAAGCTACAAGAAATATGGGACTATGTGAAAAGACCAAACCTGTTTGATTGGTGTGCCTGAAAGTGACAGGGAGAATGAAACCAAATTGGAAAACACTCTTCAGGATATTATCCAGGAGAAGTTCCCCAGTCTAGCAAGATGGGCCAACATTCAAATTCAGGAAATACAGAGAACACCACAAAGATACTCTTCGAGAAGAGCAACCCCAAGACACATAATCGTCAGATTCACCAAGGTTAAAATGGAGGAAAACATGTTAAAGGCAGCCAAAATAAAGGTCTGGTTACCCACAAAGGGAAGCCCATCAAACTAACAGTGGATCTCTTGGCAGAAACCCTACAAGCCAGAAGAGAGTGGGGGCCAATATTCAACATTCTCAAAGAAAAGGATGTTCAACCCAGAATTTTTTATCCAGTCAAACTAAGCTTCATAAATGAAGGAGAAATAAAACCCTTTACAGACAAGCAAATGCTGAGAGATTTTGTCACCAGATGTGCCTTACAGGAGCTCTTGAAGGAAGCACTAAATATGGAAAGGAAAAACCAGTACTAGCCACTGCACAAACATACCAAATTGTAAAGACAATCGACACTGAAGAAACTGCATCAACTAACGGGTAAAATAACCAGCTAGCATCATAATGACAGCATCAGATTCACACATAATCATATTAACCTTAAATGTAAAGGGGCTAAATGCCCCAATTAAAAGACACAGATGGCAAATTGGATAGAACCAAGAGCCATCAGTATGCTGTATTCAGGAGACCCATCTCATGTGCAAAGACACAAATAGGCCCAAAATAAAGGGATGGAGGAATATTTAAACAAAACAAATGGAAAGCAAAAAACAAAAAGAAAACAAAAAAGCAGGGGTTGCAATTCTAGTCTCTGGTAAAACAGACTTTAAACCAACAAAGATCAAAAAAGAAAAAGAAGGGCATTATGTAATAGTAAAGGGATCAATGCAACAAGAAGAGCTAACTATCCTAAATATATATGCATCCAATACAGAAGAATCCAGATTCATAAAGCAAGTTCTTAGAGACCTACAAAGAGACTTAGAGTCCCACACAATAATAGTGGGAGACCTAACACCCCACTGTCAATGTTAGACAGATCAACAAGACAGAAAATTAATAAGGATATTCAGGACTTGAACTCAACTCTGGATCAAGCAGAAGTAATAGATATCTACAGAACTCTCCACCCCAAATCAACAGAATATACATTCTTCTCTGCACCACATAGCACTTACTCTAAAATTGACCACATATTTGGAAGTAAAATATTCCTCAGCAAATGCAAAAGAACTAAATGATAACACAGTCTCTCAGACCACAGTGCAATCTAATTAGAACTCAGGATTAAGAAACTCACTCAAAACTGCACAACTACATGGAAACTGAACAACTGCTCCTGAATGACTACTGGGTTAATAATGAAATTAAGGCAGAAATAAATAACAGTTCTTTGAAACCAATAAGAACAAAGACACAATGATGCAGAATGTTTGGGACACAGCTAAAGCAGTGTTTAGAGAGAAATTTATAGCACTAAATGGGAAAGATCTAAAGTTGACACCCTAACATCACAATTACAAGAACTAGAGAAACAAGAGCAAACAAATTCAAAAGCTAGCAGAAGACAAGAAATAACTAAGATGAGAGCAGAACTGAAGGAGATAGAGACACGAAAAACTTCAAAAATCAATGAATCCAAGAGGTGTTTTTTTTAAAGATTAACAAAATAGATAGACTGCTAGCCAGACTAATAAAGAAGAAAAGAGAGAAGAATCAAATAGATGCAATAAAAAATGATAAAGGGGATATCACCACTGATCCCACAGAAATACAAACTACTATCAGAGAATACTATAAATACCTCTACACAAATAAACTAGAAAATCTAGAAGAAATGGATAAATTCCTGGACACATACACCCTCCCAAGACTAAACCAGGAAGAAGTCGAATCCCTGAATAGACCAATAACAAGTTCTGAAACAGAGGTAGTAATTAATAGCCTTCCAACCAAAATAAATCCCAGGACCAGAAGGATTCAGAGCCGAATTCTACCAGAGATACAAAGAGGAGCTGGTACCATTCCTTCTGAAACTATTCCAAACAACAGAAAAAGACGACTCATCCCTAACTCATTTTATGAGGCCATCATCATCCTGATACCAAAACCTGGCAGAGACACAACAAAACAAGAAAATTTCAAGCCAATATCCCTGATGAACATCAATGAGAAAATCCTCAATAAAATACTGGCAAACCGAATCCAGCAGCATATCAAAAAGCTTATCCACCATGATCAAGTCGGCTTCATCCCTGAGATGTGAGAGTGTTTCAACATACTCAGATTAATAAATGTAATCCATCACATAAACAGAAGCAATGACAAAAACCACATGATTATCTCAATAAATGGAGAAAAAGCCTTCGATAAAATTCAACACCCCTTCATGCTAAAAACTCTGAATAAACTCGGTTTTGATGGAATGTATCTCAAAATAATAAGAGCTATTTATGACAAACCCACAGCCAATATCATACTGAATGGGCAAAAGCTGGAAGCATTCCCTTTGAAAACCAGCAGAAGACAAGGATGCCCTCTCTCACCACTCCTATTCAACATAGTATTGAAAGTTCTGGCCAGGGCAATCAGGCAAGAGAGAGAAATAAAGGATATTCAAATAGGAAGAGAGGAAGTAAAATTGTCTCTCTTTGCAGATGCCATGACTGTTCATTTAGAAAACCCCATTGTCTCAGCCCAAAATCTCCTTAAGCTGATAAGCAACTTCAGCAAAACTTCACAAAATCAATGTGCAAAAATCACAAGCATTCCTATACACCAATAATAGACAAACACAGAGCCAAATCATGAGTGAACTCCCATTCACTATTGCTACAAAGAGAATAAAATATCTAGGAATGCACCTTACCAGGGATGTGAAGGACCTCTTCAAGGAGAACTACAAAACACTGCTCAAGGAAATAAGAGAGGACACAAACAAATGGAATGTTATCCCCATCAAGCTACCATTGACTTTCTTCACAGAAATTGAAAAAACTACTTCAAATTTCATATGGAATCAAAAAAGAGCCTGCATAGCCACGACAATCCTAAGCAAAAAGAACAAAGCTGGAGGCATCACACTACCTGACCTGAAACTATACTACAAGGCTACAGTAACCAAAACAGCATGGTACTGGTACTAAAACAGATATGTGGACCAATGGAACAGAGCAGAGGTCTCAGAAATAACACCACACATCTACAATCATATGATCTTTGACAAACCTGACAAAAGCAAACTATGGGGAAAGGATTTCCTATTTAATAATTGGTGTTGGGAAAACTGGCTAGCCATATGCAGAAAACTGAAAGTGGACCCCTTCCTTACACTTTATACAAAAATTAACTCAAGATGGATTAAAGACTTAAACGTAAGACCTAAAACCATAAACCCTAGAAGAAAACCTAGGCAATACCATTCAGGACATAGGCACGGGCAAAGACTTCATGACTAAAACACCAAAATCAATGGCAACAAAAGCCAAAATTGACAAATGGGGTCTAATTAAACTAAAGAGCTCCTGCACAGCAAAAGAAACTATCATCAGGGTGAACAAGCAACCTACAGAATGGGAGAAAATTTTTGCAATCTATTCATCTGACAAAGGGCTAATATCCAGAATCTACAAAAAATTTAAACAGATTTACAAGAATGAAACAACCCCATCAAAAAGTGGGTGAAGGATATTAACAGACACTTCTCAAAAGAAGACATTTATGTGGCCAACAAACATTTGAAAAAAAGCTCATCATCACTGGTCATTAGAGAAATGCAAATCAAAACCACAATGAGATACCATCGCACTCCAGTTAGAATGGCGATCATTAAAAAGTCAGGAAACAACAGATGCTGCAGAGGATGTGGAGAAATAGAAACACTTTTACACTGTTGGTGGGAGTGTAATTAGTTCAACCATTGTGGCAGACAGTGTGGCGATTCCTCAAGGATCTAGAACCAGAAATATCATTTGACCCAGCAATTTCATTACTGGGTATATACCTAAAGGATTATAGTCATTCTACTATAAAGACCCATGCGCGCGCACACACACACACACACACACACACACACACATATATTTTGATAAAAAGTAAACTTTAATGTCGAAAATGCAAACTTGGGGAGTGCAGAAGTATCACACGCAAGGCTGTCACTTCACACTTGGAGAGTTTCACAGCGCCCAGGCAGAGGTGCTCCTTACATCCCAGATGATGCGGGGGCCGGGCAGAGCCGCTCCTCACTTCCCAGAGGGTGGGCGATGGGCAGAGGTGCTCCTCACTTCCCAGATGGTGGGCAGCTGGGCAGAAGCACTCCTCACTTCCTAGACAGGGCAGTGGCCAGGCAGAGGGGCTCCTCACTTCCCAGTCAGTTGGGTGGCCAGACAGAGGCGCTCCTCACTTTCCAGACAGGGCGGCAGCCAGAGAGAGGTGCTCCTCACTTGCCAGATGGGGCAGCAGCCAGGCAGAGGCACTCCTCATTTGCTAGATGGTGGGGCCGCCGGGCAGAGGGGCATTTCACTTCCCAGACAGGGCAGCAGCCAGGTAGAGGAGGCACACGTATTTTTATTGCCGCACTGTTCACAATAGCAAAGACTTGGAGCCAATCCAAATGCCAATCAATGATAGACTGGATAAAGAAAATGTGGCACATATACACCATGGAACACTATGCAGCCATAAAAAAGCATGACTTCATGTCCTTTGCAGGGACATGGATGAAGCTGGAAACCATCATTCTCAGCAAACTAACACAGGAACAGAAAACCAAACACCACATGTTCTCACTCATAAGTGAGAGCTGAACAATGAGAACACATGGATACAGGGAGGGGGCCATCACACACTGGGGCCTGTTGGTGGGTAGGGGGCGAGAGGAGGGATAGCATTAGGAGAAATACCTAATGTAGATGATGGGTTGATGGGTACAGCAAACCAAGATGACATGTGTATACCTATGTAACAAACCTGCACGTTCTGCACATGTATCCCAGAACTTAAATTATAATAAACTAAATAAATAAAAATTCTGATATTTTTAATCCAAGAGGGGTAAAGATGGGAAAATAAGAAGACAAATACAGTCATGCTCTGCATAATGAGGTTTCATTCAACAATGGAGCACATATACAATGGTGGTCCCATAAGATTACAATATCAAGTTGGTGCAAACATAATTGTAGTTTTTGCAATTACTTTTAATAGCAAAAACCACAATTACATTCGCATGAACCTAATAAAATATTTTTACTGTAACATTTCTATGGTTAGATATATTTGTATACACAAATAGTTGCCACTGTGTTGCAATTGCCTACAGTATTCAGCACAGTAACATGTTGTACCAATTTGTAGTGTGTAGTAGACTATACCATCTAGGTGTGTGTAATTACAATCACTCTATGATGTTTGCACAACCGCAAAATCACCTAATAATGTATTTCTCAGATTGTATCACATCATGAAGTAATGTATGACTATAATCATATATATGATGGTGGCAAGGGAACACAATCACTATGTCATCTCCAGATGCTTTGAGCCAATAGTTTTTCTTGTTTCTTTTTCTATGTCAACAAAAAATTGTGAAGTTTTAAATAATTTCTCAAGATTAATAGTAATAACATATTTCACAATTTATTGAGCTGACTTCATGTACTTTAAAAATTTCTCTCATATTTTCAACAACTGCAACTTTCGGACTTCTAGAAAGCTCAAAGAGATGAACAGTCCATGTACTGACCTGTTCCTGATTTCTACAGCCTCACCTCTGCCACCACATCTGCCTCTTACACATCTCTATGTTTTTGGTTTACAACTTGATGTAAGATGGTAGGTGGTGGGTCGAGTTCTGGGAGATTCCTGAAAAATGTAGCCTTAATGAGAGAAATCAACATATATTCCAAAAATTAGGGGTTTAGTAGTGAGGAATGGGTGGTTTCATCTTCATTTGCCTTTCCTTGTATATTTTGTACACTTCTTAAAACTAAAATTGTAATACAACTGCATTAAGGGTGATTGGAATTTAGGGACTGCAGAGGGGAAAAAGACAGCATCTGGTTTGATGTACTGTAAATCTCAGGGAATCTAACCAATGGTATGTTTATTAAAATTATAATCTGTACTTTTCCTAGAAGCGGTAGTTAATGCAAGAATTAAACATTTGTAAATATTGCATAGTGAATTCATTTTTGAAAAAGTTTGCTATGAGTTCTTCACAGAAATTATATGGGTATCTAACTCAGGATGTTCCTGCAGCCTAAAGCAGTATACCGAATCCTAAGTCTACACTAAAATTTGAAGTGAATGTCTAGATCCATCCTTAGGGTAGGGGCAAATGTAACACAAAGATGGTTTTTATATTTAAAGTTCAAATGGAAACATTACTTAAGAAACCCAAGCTTTGCCAAAGGGCCATTTGATTTTCACTTGGCTTTGGAAAATAATATAAGAAACCCATTTTCCTCAGAAGGCTGGGAAGGAATTGAAATAGAAAACCATTTGCCCTTCAAAGGAACGTATCCAGTTGTCTAGATCTGGAAATGTTAGATGACAATATTGCTTTCTTTGAAGTGACTGAGTCATGTGGGTCAAAATTCCTCATGAAAAATATGTTTAGACATGTCCTAAATTATTTAGAATAAGGCTCAATACTTCCATTACTAAGGAAAGTATATAAGGGGCCTTACACAGTCAATGCATAGTGCCTGAGTGAGGTATTCACCAAGAACTTGGAAATGGTATCACCCTTAGGGAGTTCATCTAATAAAATCTACACATGACAGATTTGATTACCATTCACTATGGGTAAACCAGGAGATATTTGTAAATGTAAGACTGGAACATCTTTTTAACACCTAAAACTCCAACAAGGGAATGTCTTAGAAAAGTAGAATGGGAAGATGCTTGTGGTATATAGTAAGCTAAATTTGATCAATCTTATGATACACTTTTGTAGAAAGGCCGTGTTAAAAGAAGAGAGATGGTTAGACTGGAATAATTAAAAAGAAGTATCAAGAACTAATATTTGTCAGAATATCTTCAGCAGTCCCAGGGTTCTTGTTAGTTCTTCAAATTCCCCAGACCTTATGGCAGGCAAAATCTACAAAGTGGATAAATGCATTTGGCCTTTATAGCTCCAAGACACACATCATTAAGGCTGCCTACCTCAAGAAAGTTACTGATTATAATTTAGTTTCCCATGCATATTATCTTACAGGAAAGTAATGTCTGACTAACTGATGCGAACTTTCTTATCTTCTTAGTGATGGCAGCAGCAGCCCATCCAGAATGGCTGCTGCCAACATACGGGCTGCAGTGGGGAGGCACAGCCAGTCCTCCCACTCCACAGAGCAGGCAGGAGTCCCGCCCCTGGGCCCCAGGCCTCCTGCTCCAAGGGACAAGTGCAAGCCCTGCCCCTTCCGAATTGGCAGGGCAGGAGCTCCTCATGGGCAGCTGCAGTCACCCAAGCCCGGCTGTGGACCTGGGCATCTCTGTGCTCTTGTGGGGCTGGGAAGGCCTCCCTACCCCCGACTCCCCACAGACTCTGAATTGCCTCGTCCCACTGTCTGGCCTCTCCCCACTCCTGGCACCCACTCAGATCATGGAGCAAGGTGGGAGCCTGCTGAGTGGGGCATGCTTGGGTCAGCACTGACATGTCAGCCCCACTGCCACCTTGGCCCCCTCCAGACATTGGGTGCTGATGAGCACGGGGGGGACTCAAAGCAGGGCTGAAGGCAGCTCAGTGCTGGCCTGCAGGTGCCCCTTGGTATGAATAGCCTGGGTGCCATGAACAGCAGGAAAGGCAAACAGGCTCCTGGGCTGAAGAGGGTGGGTCCCCAGTGAAGCCCCACCCTCAAGCTGGGGAAGCCTTGAGGCCTGGGGGCCTGGCTGCCAGTCCTGTGGACTGAAGGGGGAAGTGGTGGTGCTTTTTCCTGGGCCCACCCATGGCTGCTGATGGACCAGTCAGCGCACACTTTCCCACTTCCCCACAAGACTGTAAAAACCCCAGACTCAGCGAGAGCAGAGCAGATATCTGGACCAGCAGCTACAGAGAGGAGCTCCCTGCTCCAGGGCCCCCTCTCTACTGAGAGATGTGAACAATTTGACAACCAGCAGCACAAAGGAGCTACCTTCCCTGCTGAGAGCTGAACATTTGTCAGGACAAGCTATCTGCAGAGAGGAACCACCCACTCCAGGCCTCCTCTTTGCTGAGAGCTGAACACTCAACAGGATGACCAGCTGCAGAGAGGGGCCACTCACTCCAGGGCTTCCTCTCTGCTGAGAGCTGCAGAGATGATGGGATTACCTGCCTACAGAGAGGAGCCACCCACTCCAGGCCTCCTCTCTGCTGAGAGCTGAACACTGACAGGATAACCTGCCTGTAGAGAGGAGCTATCCACTATGGGTCTCCTCTGAGCTTTTCTAACACTCAATAAAGCTCCTCTTCATCTTGCTCACCCTCCACTTGTCTGCCTCATTCTTCCTGGACACAGGACAAGAACTCGGGCCAAGGCGCCATTGTCCGCAGATATTTCTGGCCAGGAAAGCAACACCCCAAAGATCCCATAACATTAGTAGATCTTTTCCTCTTAGTATGTTGATAATTGACTTGCTGGTTTCTATATCAAGTTCTTAATGATTTGATTAATAGGAGCCAGATCCCCAGAGCTTGATCCCTTCTAGATGCAATGACACACTGAGTTCTAAAGTTAAAGTGCTGGTGACCCCATGGTGACACACTTTGGCCTTCCCTTGGTAGCCAAGGAGACTGATGTTAATGCTATTTCATTTTGTCCTAACTGAGCATCAAGTATTCTCAAATTCAGTAAAGTGGTTTCTAAGTGAAGAGAATGGAGTTTGAGAAAGACTAGGGTGGCGAAAAATAGTGTTTAATAAAATCAGATGCTAAGGGAATAGAAACTGGGATAAAAAATATTGGGTGAAATGAAACAGAAAAAGGATTTTATTATACTTTATAGTTTATTGTATTTTATTTTATTTTTATTTATCTATTTGAGACGTAGTCTTGCTCTGTTGCCCAGGCTGGAGTGCAGTGGTGCGATCTTGGCTCACTGCAACCTCCACCTCCCAGGTTCAAGTGATTCACCTGCTTCAGCCTCCTGAGTAGCTGGGATTACAGGTATGCCCCACCACACCCAGTTAATTTTTGTATTTTTGGTAGAGACAGGTTTCACCATGTTGGCCAGGCTGGTCTTGAATTCCTGACCTCAGATGATCCACCTGCCTCGACCTTTCAAAATGTTGGGATTACAGCCATGAGTTACTGCACCCGGCAGTATTCCTTATATTTTAATATTACATATTTATAATTTTCAGGTAATATACAATGAAAATTCATTGCAATTAGAGTGTTAAAATAAAATAGTGTATGTTAAGAAGAAATACAATGCAGATGCTTTTTTTTCTCCCCAGTCCTTAATTATCTCTAACCTTATATTTACACTGGTATCTCTGAGTGATTCAGATATAATTAACATTTACTGAGCATACAGTGTTTGCAGGTAATGTGGTAGTCATTTTAAACACTATATATCATGGAATTATTTTGCCAAAACTAATTGATCAATTCATCAATAAGTATTTAGAATGACTATTTTCCTCTTATCTTGAGTCTGCTTTTAAATGACCTCAAAAAGACTAATTTAGGTCCCCTTCCCTCCCAACCTCCACAAAATGGAATATCAATTGTTATTATTTTATTAGCAATGCAAAACCAGTAAAAAGCTTGACTGGATTTCTCATTCTACAGGGGGAGTGAGAGAGTGACTGGTGAAGCATCTGAATGCAAAACTGAAGGGATCCAAGGAAAGCTCAGCTATGGGGCAGTTTTCCTATCTAAAAAGGACTAACAGTTCTCTGTTAACCTTCTTTTGTGTCAAATACAGGAAATTAATGCGGTTTTAAAAATATCTCCTGCAAGTTGATCAGTGTCCTTTTATTTTTTGTTTTTCTGATTTTATCCCTTCATGAGTATTGTTCCCTTTTGCTATGCAGGCAACCAGCCTGATGGGCTAGTTTTCCAGGTAATCCAACTTGGCTCCACGGCTTTAAGACTCTGTTGAATCAAGCTGGTTTCTTCCTTGCATATCTTCTTCTGTTTAGAAACCTTATTCCTTGTTGGTGATTTTGTCAGTTTTGTGCTTCGATTGCTTTGTGTCATAAAACCTTTTTAGATAAAACTATATGTGTTGGGGAAGGAGACCAACAAAAATATATTATTCAATTACCTTAATCAAATCTCTTTGGGTTAATGAGTGTGGCCTCAGTTATGGCAATTTTTAGAAATGTAGCTTTTGAATTGAAGTTCTTTTGAAAAAATAAAACTACTTATTAGGGGCAAAAAAACAAGGAATAGTTGTGTTCTACTTTTGAAACACTGTCAGATTTAAATAGTACTGGTACAATAGAAATCTTGTGGCTTGGGATTCAGAGATCTGAGTTCCAGTTTTCGCTTTACTCGT
Organism: Homo sapiens; assembly: GCF_000001405.40. NCBI lineage: Eukaryota > Metazoa > Chordata > Mammalia > Primates > Hominidae > Homo > Homo sapiens. Next base: position 177,920,510 of record NC_000003.12, read on the forward strand.
AAGTAATATTAAGGTGATCAGGTAAACTCCTCTTAGTTTCTTTCTCTAAAAAGATGGGATTAAATTAGATGATTTTTTAGGATATCTAGAAATTCTAAGACTCTGTAACACACTGTGTTATGACAAGGTCCTTTTAGACATAAATCAAAATTATTCTGAAATTATTTCATATTTTAGAGGCATCAGTAGGGCTTATTATAAAATGAACTGGTATGAAATGACATTATTATCTTTATTTCACATGCTGTAGATATAAATACATACTCTAATGAGCTTCAAATAACATTAATTAAACTGTTTGAGAAGAGTCACCCTCTAATCTTTTTTGAAAACAAAGCTGCCCAGTAGAAATATGTGAGCCATACATGTAATTTATATTTTCTAGTAGTCACATTAAAAAGTAAAAAAAGTAAAATTAATTTTACTATCATATTTTAGTTAATCCGATACGTCCAAAATATTATTGCTTCAATAGGTAATCAGTTAAAAATTAATGAGTTATTTTGCATTCATTTTCTTAATAAAACAATTTTAAAATGTCTGGTGCATATTTTATACTTACAGCATACCTTATTTTGGATTAGCCACATTCCAAGTGCTCTATAGCCACACATAGCTGGTGGCTACCATAAGTGGTCAGTGCTAATCTAGATAAAATACTTTATTCCAATCATAACTTTAAAACTGTGTATTAAAAGTATGTGAGAAAAACTCTTCGTTCTTTGTATTCAACTGAATTCCAATTAACCTTTTGAGAAGATTGTGTTTGCCCAGGTTTTGACAACGTGGCCACTTTCACACAGTACAAACTGCAGGGATGTCAATCATCTTTCAGAGAATGTAGGTTGTGCAACGAATCCCAATTATCCAGCATCCATGACAGAGGCTGTGATGGCTTTGCCTGGAATTTCAAAAATGGTCTCAACTTAAAAGTGACATATTTCATTGTGTTCATTGAAAAACTGATGCCTTATCAGAAAACCTATTTTTTTTACTGCCTCTAGAATACTGACCATTGCAAACAGATTTTTAAAGGTTTCATATATACTGTGGACAGTTCTTTCAAAGCCCCAAAACAGAGAAAATTAGTCCAAATTTGCTCTTTGTTGCAAACATTTTGCACAACATTGGGCTATGTATTTGAATAGTGGTGTTACATAGTAAATTAGCTTTTTGAACTAAAACATTTAAACAAACTTTCTGTGCCTTTGTTTTGGCTCCATATTTATTTATTGAAACTTATTATTATTATTTTTTATTGATAAACCATAATTGTCTACATTTATGAGGTACAGCATGATGTTTTGATATATGTATATATACAATGTGGCATAATTAAATCAAGCTAGTTAACGTGCTTATCACCTTGCTTACCTATTATCTTTATAATACATTTAAAATTTTCTGTTATTTAAAAATATATATTATTATTGACTATAGTCACCCTGCTGAGAAACAACTCTCAAAACGTATTACTCTTGTTTATCTGAAACTTCGTACCCTTTGATTACCTGTCATCATTCCCTTTCTTCCTAACCCTCCCTACCTGCCACCCTAGCCTCTGCTAACCATTGCTCTACTCTACTTCTATGAATTCAATTTACTTTTTTAAATTAAATTAAATTTAATTTTAACTTCTGGGAGTGTTCAACTTTATTAGATTTCACATACGGGTGAGACCATGCAGTATTTGTCTTTCTGTGCTTGACTTATTTCACTTAGCTCCATGTCCTCCAAATTCATCCGTGTCATCACAAATGACAGGATTTCCCTCCTTTGTAGGACCGAATAGTATTCCGTCATGTATGTGTACCCACATTTTCTTTATCCATTCATCTACTGATGGACATTTGGGTTGTTTCCATATCTTGGCTATTGTGAACAATGCTGCAATTAGCATAGCAGTGCAGATATCCCTTTGACATACTGATTTCAGTTTCTTTGGATATATACCCAGAAGTGAGATTACTGGGTTGAATCATAATTCTATGTTTGGTTTTTCTGGGAAGCTCCATACCCTGTTTTCATAAAAGCTGTATTAATTTTTATTCTCACCAACAACATATAAAAGTTCAATTTTTCTGCATCCTCTTAATGGTTATCTTTCATCTTTTTGATAAAAGCCATTATATCAGATGTGAGGTAATATTTCATTGTGGTTTTAATTTATATTTTTCTAATTAGTGATGCTAAGCATTTTTCCATGTACCTATTAGCCATTTGTGTGTCTTCTTTTGAAAAATATCTGGGCCATTTTCTCATTTTTAAGTTATTTGTTTTCTTGTTTTAAGTTGTTTGAGTTTCTTATGTATTTTGCATAGTAACCCCTTATCAGATGTATAATTTGCAAGTATTTTCTCCTATTCTGTGGGTTGTTTTTTCACTTTGTTAATTATTTCTTTTGCTGTGCAGAATATTTTAGTTGGATGCCACCCCATTTGTCTATTTTTATTTCATTGCCTGTGCTTCAGGGGTGATATCCAAGAAATGACTGTCTAGACCAATGTCATGAAGATTTTCTTCTTTGTTTTCTTTTAGTAGTTTTACAGGTTCAGGTGTCTTCTATGTAAGTCTTTAATTCATTTTGAGTTGATTTTTGTATGTGGTATAAGATAAAGGTCTAATTTTATTCTTCTGCATGGGGATATCCAATTTTCCCAACAACAATTATTGAAGAGATTGTCCTTTCCGCATTGTGTATTCTTGGCAACTTTGTCAAAAATCAGTTAGCCGTCAAATGCATAGGTTTATTTCTGGGTTTTCTATCTTGCTCCATTGATCAACGTATCTGTTTTTATGCAAGTACCATGCAGCTTTGATTACAATCACTTTATAATATGTTTTGAAATCAAGGCATGTGATACTTCCAGCTCTGTTATTTTTGCTCAAGATTGTTTTGGCAATTCCTAACTCAGTGCCCTGACCAACTGTATTGAAATCATCTACAGTGCTGACCATAAATATGGATTTCTGGTTTCTTTCCTCACTCTCAAATCAAGATCTTTCAAGGTAGTTCTCAATATTTTAATTTTCATCAAAGCCCCCATGTTATTTTTCTATAGCTAGGTGAAAGAACGCCCCCCATCTTTTGTTCCATAGCTGAAAAAATAGAAGATGAAATAATTTAAACTATTTGCCTCATATTCTAAAACTAGTAAATATCAGACCTAGAATCAGAGCCTACCTAAGCTTTCTCTCTTAATAATATTTCTGAAATGACCGTGTCCATTAATAATGTTCAACACCATATACTGAACTAATTAAAGGAGAAAAAAGGACATATTTTAGACACATTTTTAACAATAAAGATTTTTAAAAATAGAGTCACTTGAATTAAATTTAATCAGATTATGTTTCCACAGTTACTCTATTTAATCAAGCTTTTACTATCAAACTTTGCAGTAGCATTCTTCAGAGAACCTTGCAAGCAAGTTCTCTTAAGCACTTCTCTCGAAGGTATATGAGATTTAAATAATGGAAGAAGATACCCATATATTTTTCCCCTGGTAGTTGAAATCATTTAGATAGTTTTATGTAAATTTTATGCAAATGGAACACATTTTATGCCCCCAAACTTATGGTGATCATAACTACTTTATTCACCAAAAGTTGGCCTTCAGCAAGATTCTACTGAGGACTGATGATCTATGCAGTCTCCTTCTGCCTGGATTTTTGTGACATTTATCATCATCCTACTTGGATACTCAAAAGACTTGCAATATGTGAATATAGGACTGAAATAAGACCCTGATTTTCCTTCAGCCAAGCCTGAACTACCTACCACAAGCACCTGGGGATCATTTTTTGTAGTTTCTTCTCTAGTTTCTTAGTACAAATCATCTTGATTCATTTATGTCATAAAGTAATAGACATTCAAATTATAATTTTACTGAGTAAAAAGACACACCCTGGTATGTATGGAAAGTATTACTAAATTTTATTAGTTTTTAAGAGTGACTGTTTGCCAATAGCTAAATTTAGAAAGAATATGTTCCTAACAGTGCAGCTCTAGAGAAAATGTTAAGGCGTGATGATTTCATTAATTTTCAGAGCATTACAGCCAGCTGGCAAAGCCTTTTCTATACCATTGTGGCTTACTGCCTTTGAAATTACTTTCTTTTCTTAAATTAACCTGACGATGTTAAAGTGACAAAATAGCAATAACGGTGTGATAAAATTGGCCTCTTTGTATAATCTTAAAGTAACTTAACTAACTTAAATAATAGTACCCTGAGTTTATGACTGCTGCAGTGTACTCCATAAAAAGAAATTGGTGTTAAGAACATTTACAGAGCCCCATATTAGTTTTATTGATAGATAAATAACATTTAAAAATTTGAATCATATGTAAAATAGAAGGAGACTTCTAGCTCAAAAAGAAATTCCCCATTTAAACCCTCAGGACCTAGTTGTCTCACCTGTGGTGGTGGAAAGAGCACCAAGCTTGGAACCAGAGGGCCCAGGTTCGGGTCACTGTCATCATGTGAGCATGGGCAGGTAAGAGAATTTCTCTGGGTCTCAGTTTCCACATCTGCAAAATGGGGATACTAATATTAACGCTGCCTTCTTCTCAGGTTGTTATACAAATAAAATAATAAATGTGAGTGACAACAGAAGAAACATATTCCCAAGATTTCTGAGGAGTTTGTCTCATAGAGAGGAAATAAGTCAGAATGAGTGGTTAGACTTTGTAGAATATGCACATCCTACAGTGTGTGCAGGGGAGGGTGCTAAATGAGGACAATAATGTCTGAGCAGCAGCAAGGAAGGGAGGACACAGGGAAAGATAATGTCATGGGAACCATGAGGATGGTGCTTCTGGGAAAGAGGGGTTCAGAGGGAATTTTTTTTATAAGGATAATGAATGAATGAATGGTTAGATGTTGGATGGACAAATGGATGGTTGGTTGAATGGTAGGATGGATGGTTGAATGGTAGGATGGATGGATGGACTAGATAAACCCCTGAACCACCCTGTAAAGAAAACCATCAGTCAAAATCTCCTTTAGGGTGGCTGTTCAATGGGCAGAGAAGGCCTCAGGGTGGCCCAGAATTCTTCAGGTTTAACATGTAAGTCTTTTGGTCAGTTTTATTTTAAACTTTTGTACAAATACCAAATATAGCTGTTTCTTGAATATGGACAATGGTGGCTGAGCTGGCTACTTTAGGAGGAGCCTCATTCCGTTGTTGGAAGGCTTGGCTTTCTTTTAAGTTGAACTGAAATCTTGACCCTGGCAACTGCTACCTTGGGTCCTGAAATCTTGACCCTGGTGACTGTACCTTTGGAGTCACAGAACATTTTCTTCCTTTTGACATATAGCAACACTTCTCTAAACAGCATGTTCTAGACCTAGATAGGGTGGAGATCTGCATTCTGTTTGTTAGCCCATGATTATCAGCATTTAAAACCTCCATAAAACATTACAAGTCATGTTAGACTTATAGTACCGAAAGTTAATTTCTACTTTATCTTTCGGATATTCTCCAATTCATAAACACAAAAAGCAGATATACAAGCCATGCACTAGTCAGGGTTTTCAAGATGAGAGCACCACTCAGAATGTTCAAAGTGTCAAGTTATCACAACAGGAATAAACAGGCCACAAAAGTTTACTTTATCCATGTTGTTTGTGAAGTAGAGTAATACATTAATTTTTAAAAATATAGTAGCTTTCTATATAGTACTATGTTATCATTGAAAAATGGAATTTTCATCAAAAACCTATCTTCTACTTTTTCAGTGATATGAAGGAAAAATTCTTTATCCCAGACATTTATCATTCACCCTTTAATATTCATCTACTTCTTTATTTATACATCGTTCATTCACCAAGCACTTATCTAATTTCTACTATATACTGGGCATTTGGCTAAGTGCTAGTGCTAGAGGTACTAATTATAATAAGGCATGATTTTTGGTCTAAAAGGGTCTGGTCATCAAGTGTCTGAAGTAAGAGGCCAAGATGAGGTGTTAGGAATGAGGATAAGAAAAAGAGTTTGCAGGCTGGACGCAGTGGCTCACGCTTGTAATCTCAGCACTTTGAGAGGCCCAGGCGGGTGGATCACTTGAGGTCAGGAGTTCGAGACCAGCCTGACCAACATGGTGAAACCCCATCTCTACTAAAAATACAAAATTAGTCGGGCATAGTGGCACACGCTTGTAATCCCAGCTACTTGGGAGGCTGAGAGGCAGGAGAATTGCTTGAACTGGGAAGGCGGAGGCTGCAGTGAGTTGAGATCCCGCCACTGTACTCCAGCCTGGGCAACAACAGTGAAACTCTGTCTCAAAAAAAAAAAAAAAAAAAAAGAAAGAAAAAGAAAGAAAGAAAAAAGAAAAAAAAACATAGCAAGTAACCAGTAAGTGAAAGAAGAAAAGGAAAGATTTGTAGTGGGAATAGCAGGGCAATATGGAATGTCCACATGGAGCTAGGACCTGCCAGAGCTATAAACCTGTAGCATTGGAAGAATCATATTGCTCTAAATTCTTTATCTACCATAAGAGAAAACAGAGATTCTGGGGGATATAAGGCAATGGATGATTTCCTCAGGGCTAGGTCATTTCAATCCTTTCCAGTGGTTCGATATAACACCAGATCACCTCATCGTGCTAGTGGAAGGCATCAGGCAACTGGGAACTACCTATTCCCTATAGGATTTTGTTCTACTGTATTGCCGTATTGCAATGCCATCCATAGTAGCATACTTTTTATTTTCTGTTATAAATATATAATCTCATAGAATAAGAATGTATTCTTTCAGCTGCTCATTAGTTGAGTCTAGTTCTCCTCATATAAAGACTTAAAAAAAAAAAAACAAACACCTATTTTAGTAACACTTTCTGGAACATCTTTAATTTTCCAGATGAATTGTTCACTAATTAGTATCCCAGGAGTGTGAGTGCTATAAATGATAGATACTCTTTTAATTTTAAAACTAAGATGGCTTGGAGAATTTTTAAATTTAAGTCCCAAGAAAATTTAACAGAAATGCTGATAAAAATGGTATGTCATTCTATGCTTATGTTCAGTGAAAGAAATCGAATACATTTATTTTTCCCAAATAGTTAAGTTTACAGAGTTTCCTAATAAAGAGTGGTGATATAGTCTGGGTCTGCATCCCCACCCAAATCTCATGTCAAATTGTAATCCCCAGTGTTGGAGGTGGGGCCTGGTGGGAGGGGATTGGATCATGGGGGCAGTTTGCCCCTCAGTGCTGCTCAGTGATAGTGAGTGAGTGCTCATGAGATTTGTTTGTTTAAAAGTGTGTGGCACCTCTCCCCTCTCTCTCTTCCTTCTGCTCTGGCCTGCTGCCCCTTCACCTTCCACCATGATTGTAAGTTTCCCAAGGTCTCCCCAGCCATGCTTCTTGTACAGCCTGTGGAACCATGAGCCAATTAAACCTCTTTTCCTAATAAGTTACCCAGTCTCAGGTATTTCTTTATAGCAGTCTGAGAATAGACTAATACAAGTGGTATGCCCTAAATTACCATGCAACCTAAAACTTAAAGGGAGAGATTAAATAAAACAACATTTTTGTTTATTAAAATAACCATCTATTTAAAAATGTTCATTACTTAATAATGACCTATAATATCCATTTAAGCATCAAATTGGGCAAAAATTATTTACAAAGTTCTACTTTTGTTTCTCTCTTTAAATAAAATATTGGCTTCAGAGCACTCATAAGTTAATAGACCAAAGAGAATTCTAATCTTTCGATTCTCGGCCTAATTTTCTCCTTTCATTTTCAGTATGAACATAGGGGTTCCAGGTAGACATTGAAACAAAACTTTAGAAGGATTAAAGAAGGAAGTAAGAGCCAAACAAGGAAAAAATAAGAAACAAAAAAGAATGGGGTAATCTCTCCCATGACAAGCCCTGAATATAAATAAGGGTGCGGTCTTAAAGTGAGTCATTACTCCATTGCCTACTCCTTTCATGGCAGAGACAGTGATGTCGTGGAATAGAAGCTGTTAAAGAGGCTTTATATAACTATTAGCCTCTGAAACAATAGACAGGCAGCAGGGTGTTGTTCCAGAAAATGTTCAAAGAGGAGGAGTAATTTTGTCCTTTACAAATTTAATATCTTCTCTTTTCTCCTATATCATTTGGAGGAAGCGCCTTTTTCCTTTTTCTCTTTTTTAAGCAAAATAAGCGTTATGCACTAGTAGGTAGTGAGTGAATTCTCTTTGCCAGCAGGAAGAAAAGCAATTTTTGAATGCCAAAAATAGCTCCTTTGTGTGAAAATATCACATAGCCCAAGACATTTTTGGGAGAAAGCAAAGATTCATGTTCTGAATTATTGTTTTTTAAATATACAGGCAGAGAAATGTTAATAATAGAAAAGACAGAAATTGATGGTCATTTCAAAGTCTGAATGTTTATCCTGTTTACGACACACTCAGACTTTTGTGTGGTCTCAGTCATAATTCCTCTCCCAGGCTATGTCTCTAGGAGATAGGTATTCCTAATCATTCTGTTTGGGTCAAGACATTTTATTCCTTCCCTACCTTTTACTACTTGTTCCTATGCAACATTACAAACCAGCAAAGTATGAACTGACCTGGATATAGGAGATGGCCCTAGAGCTGTAGACAGAATTAAAAATCGTATCTTTTTTTTTTTTTTTTGTAAAGCACCCCGACATCTTTGGGAACCGTTCACTCTAGGGAATCTTTTTATCCATTATTTGCAAATAGCAGACCATCAGCCAGTTACAAAGACTTTTGATAGAGGTGGTGGGCATCTTTTACTTTCACCCAACCAGTATCCCTTTCTGCTTCATTTGATAGTAACATATCCTTTTCTTTTGAAAAACTAACCATTCTTATTACATGTCATTTTGATGGCACTGTCAGTCCAACTGTACTGCCTTCCTTCTGGCCAGTGAGTGGATGGCCATGTGAACCAGGCTGGGACAGTGAGATGTTTTCCTATGAACGTGAGTATTGAATGGAATGACACAAGAATGGAACATGGTCACTGACTCACTTTGCTAGTGGTTCTACTTGTCTGACTGCTGAATGAATTCTAACTCCTGACTGACAGATTTTGGAACCTGGAAGTAGAGTGCTCTTATAGCAAAATCTAAAATGAGACAGTGGTTTTGGAAATAGGCGGTGTGTAGAAGGTGGAAACTGTGAGAATTTTGAGTAGAGTATTGGTGAAAGATCAAGTACCTTGAACCCATTGTGCATACAATTTTGAATTATGAGGAGGCTGGCAGTGAGGCCTTAAAGGAATGGGAGAAAAATCTTATTGGAAACTGGAGGGAAGGGCAGAAACTTAACAATACACTTGTCTGCAGGAACATGGAAAGTAGAAAATGTGCCTGATAAACTAGGGGATCTAGCTGAGATTTCCAAGCAGAACGGTTAGTTACCACCCATTTTTTTTTTCTTGCTGCTTATAGTAAAACATGAGATGAGAGAAAGCTAAACTAAGGGAAGGACTGTTAAACAAAAAGAAGCTGGATCTTGATGGTTCTGAAAGCTCTCACACTATTCAGAAAGTCGGAGATGCTAAAACGGAGATAATGTCTAGGGTGTGGCCATAAATCTTTTTATTAAGATCTTCACAATTCTCTGGTACCTCAGAGAACCTTCAGTCAGACTGAAGGGCCCCTTAAGGAGATTAAGAGTGTGCCACACAGATTCTCTCAGCCAAAGAGTAGAGCTTCTAAGAAGCCTAAGGGCATTGTCCCCAGTCATCTCAGCAGAAGCCCAAGGTGGAAGGGAGATTATCTGTAAGAGGTGTGTGGGTGGGGCTTTTGTCTGATGGATTTAACCTGGAGAAGTTTCACAGGAAACCCATAAGGTTCTCAAAAGAGATAGATACAGAAACATTACCACTTGGATGGAATGGGACAGTGCAGAACAGTACAGAATGAAGACAGGGCTTTGAAGGCCCAGAATTTTAACACCTGCTATATTTTGCAAAACTAGAAAGAAGACTAGGAGGGTGAAACCAAGAGCCCAGAGGGCAGAGTGGAGAAACACGAAGAATTATTTCAGATATGAGACCTAATCAAGGATCTTCCAACATTTGCCTGGCTCAATTTTAGAACTGCCATGGACCTGTAACCCCTATGTCTTCCATCCCCTACCCCTTCTTTGAACAGGGTCATATAAGTGCTTATCTTATATCTGTCCCGCTGTTGCATGTTGGCAGAGGAAGACATAATTTGCTCTTGTTTTATGGGTTTAAAAATAACAAGGAATTGTATTTGAAGAGCTGTGCTTAAAGAACTACACTTGAGAAACCACATTCATACTTGGACCTGATTTAGATGACGAGATTATGGACTTGAAGCTGATATTGCAATGGAATGAGAATTTTGAAGTCTTTGGGGGCAGTGAGTACATTTTGCATTTGAGAGGTAAATAAATCATTGGGCACCAGAGGATACACTGTGGTGGGCAGCCTATAAGGTGGCTCCTAGTGATCCTTGCCTTCTGGTATTCACATCGTTTTGTAATACCTTCTTGCTGAGTGTGGGCTGGGCTTGTTGACTCACATATAACAAATAGAATACCTGGGAAGTGATAGGACAGTAATTGAGGGATTAGGTTATAAAAGGCTGCAGTTTTCATCTTGGAGGCTCTCTCTCACTCTCTTTTGAATGACTTACCCTGGGGAAGCCAGCTGCCATGCTATAAAGCATAAGGCAGCCCTGTGGCAAGTCCCATGGAAATGGACTTGAAAATAGACTTTCTGAGACCTGCCCATAGCTATGTGAATGGGCTTGGAAGCAGATATCCTTGAGATAACTGTAGTCTCAGCCAAAACCTTGATTGTAGCCCATGAAAGAATCTGTGCCAAAACGACACAGCTAAGCTGCTCCTGATTCGTGAGCTACAGAAACTTTTGAAAAATAATTGTTTGCTATTTTCAGCCTCTAAATGTTGAGATAATTTGTTATGCAGAAATGGATAAAAATACACTCATATTCTAGAGGATACACTATGCTATAATGCTCTAATTGCTATTATTCAACATTTTGTGAAAAGGCAATTCCACTGTGTTTAAGAGGATGACATTGTCAATGAATCTTTTAGTCACTATTTAGTCACTATTTGAAGAGTGCCAACTTTGACCACAATTTTATTTTTAAAAATTGTGCTAATGCCAAATTCCTTTTTAAATCTGATTTCTCAAATATCGTGAAATATAAAGTTTGGTCTCCTACCTCTCCACTGTCTTAACTGATCTTTTGATTAATTCTTTTCTTTAATTACAAAACGATAGCTTAAAATGGCATGAGGGCATGGTGTTCCCTTGGTCCTTGGAATTATCCCAGGTTGGAGTGCTCAAAGATAGGCTAGATTTATATATAATAATGTTACCTTTATGAGATGCTTATGTGTAACAGGAACTTTGAAACTTGCTTTCTGTCATCATTTTAGACAATTCTCATACCAATTGTTTGAATTAGGCATCATTATTATTCCTCCTTTAAAGAGAGTTGCCCAATGTCATACATCAGTGAGAGGTGGATCTGAGATTTGAACCCAGATCTGCCTATCTTCAAGAAATCCTGAGCTCTTAATCACTTTAGGCAAAGAAGATGTCCTGTGCCTCTTTGCATGAATTAATAAGCTGTGATAAGTGGATTCGCTCCATGGCCCAGTGGTTACAAAACAGAACCTGTGCGAGCCCATTTCATATCCTCCTGGATGCAGCCTGTGAGGGGTTTTGAATCCAGAGAAGCCCTTTTGTCACATGTGAGCCCAGGACATTTTTGAAGAGAGAAGTCCATGCCCAATCTGAAATAAACTCTGTCACCAGGTTATAGCCTCTGCCTTTAAGAAAACTTTGGGCAATCTTAAACATTATTCAGAATGTGGGAGATACTTGAAGTGGTCAGTTATATTGATTTTTCAGGATCAAGAGTACATGAATTCTAAGAGAGAAATCAGAGGGTTTCAACAGGCATTTGGATGGAGTGGAACAAAAACTCCCTGGCTATGCCTGTGACCAAGACTATCACTGTTTGTTTTCCGCTAAGGGAAAACAGGGGCTAGCATGTTTGGTAAACTGTTACATGCCAGAGTGTTCACTAAATGCTTTATGCATTTGGGTCATTCTGACAAACATTGACTCATTTGTTGGTTATTTAAAAGGGACAATTGAAATATAAAATATGATGAAATTCCTGATATTAATAAGTGTCTTTGTTCTATTTGAGAAATCAGATTAAAAAAAGAATTTGGCATTAGCACAATTTTTAAAAATAAAATTGTGGTCAAAGTCATTAATGAAATATTTATTTTTATTTGCTTTCTTCCCTCACTAATTTTCCAACAGACTTAATTTCTTCAAAATCGAATCCTTTATATTTCTTAAAGCTTCAGCATAATTTTACAAATTGTTGAAAATACATTCCATGTTTTCCTGGTCATGTTTCTCATACCTAGACTATGTATTCAGTCAAACAGGGTGATGGTCAGGCCAAAGTTTATCTTATCACACCAGAGTTTTTAGGTCATTTCCAGTTTTCTTATTTTTTTTTTCTTTTCAAACTTTCACTTGAAAAGAAATTAATTGGAAAACACTAGCAAAGCTTTTTTCCTTCCTCTTTTGGCTACTTAACTGCCAACTGCCAATTGTTTCTGCATTCTTTATCTGATGTGCACAAGATACAGGAAAATTGTGGCTGTATTTGGAGTTGGCAATAGTTAAATGGAATTATAGAGAGTGACTAAAACCAACATGTATTTTGTAGAGTCTTTTGATTACACACAGCTTTCTCTGAGACATAAAAAAAAAAACCTCTTGAAGGATTAGCTTTCTAGGGAGAATTACCATTTTGAAAGATTTTTGCCACATTTCAATGACAAAATTATTCAGAAAAAAAAGTGCCTCTCTGTAAATAGTCTCTAAAGTCTCACAAACATCTGAGCTCTTGGGGGCCAGAATCAGGGCACAATTTGCGTAAATTAAATACACACACACATTTGATAATCCAAAGGTCTCTCAGATGTGTTTTGACCCCTCTGGAAAGTATCATCAAAATAACTGTACCATCTCTTCAAAAAAGCGCCTGTGACACGGACCATGAAAACACGGTTGTAGAAATCTTATTTTAACCATTGATGTATTACAGCTATGTTAAAGTGGCAGCTGAATTAACTTGGTTGAAAACCAAGTATGTTATATGTATCTTTTCCTCAACAGACCAGTGTGAAATATAAAGCTTATTTTTTTATGTAACTCCTTAAATGATCTAAATCCTTTATTTAAAACAACTTACCTTATGATAACTCTTCTGACAGATTTAAATACTCTTTTTATAATATGAGACTTTGCATATTTCTATTGAGATAGCTACATCAACACATTTCCTGAAATTTTTCTTAATAATTAATTTTAATAACATGTGATATGCTGGTTGGAATTTGTGGTTGTTTCATGTGCCTATCTTATTAGAATTTCAAGCATTCCCAAAGCATTCATGTTGGAAAATGACTTAGACAAAATTTTGTGCAATTGGTTAATTTCTCATCAGAAAAAGTCCTGAGAGGTTGAGTAATTTTGCAGTTAACTAATGCCAGACCACTGTAAACAAGAAACAAAATGTGAATCAGATGCTACCTTCTCTGAAGATGGAATCCATATCAAGCAAAAAATCTGACTTCAGAAATTCGCTTTGCAAATTAGTCCAGTAGCTGTCTATCACGTCACCTGGCATCGGTCCACAGCCTCCCAGTAAGACACTTGATAGAGGAAAGACAGCAGAGTGAGAATGTGGTATCCTCCCTCGTCTAAGCCCTCCTTAGGCAAGCTCCCTCATTCCAGCTCTCTCATCCCAATACAAGTTGGGGTAAGATAAGCTCTAGTTGTGAAATGCTCTATGACAAGAAAAATTCAGAGAATGTGCTTTTGTGACCATGAGAGTGTGTTTTACTGCTGGGATGAGGTGAGCCATACAGAGAGGCAGGTGGAGGGGGAGAAGAGAGCTGTGATCTTCCTGGAAATAATTTGCTCCCATGTCACCCCCGGAAAAGGCATCTCCCTTAAATCAGGCAGGCATAATGAATGGTGTGATACCCGGCGGCCTGCACAGTTATAAATACACAACCTTTCATTCTAGAGATGGCCCATTACCACTCACTAAAACAGTCTGTCACAGTGGTGCTCTGGGGCCATTCATTTTTCATGACCTTCTTGGAGACGTGACTGGGATTTCCTGAAACCACGCATAGGTCCCTGCCCAGCAAGCGCTCTGCATTAACATCCCTTAATTCTTCTCTTCCAAAGGTTATCATGTCCTGTGGGGGGATATGTGTGTGTGTGTGTGTGTGTGTGTGTGTGTGTGTATGTCTTCCCTAGCAGGCAGAGAAACAAACAGCACAAACTAAGCTTGACCTTGTTGGAAATACAGTTTATCCACAGAGTGAATGTTGGCTAAAATTTAATCTTATGACATCAGGAATGTTCAAAGTTTACACAGGAGGTAAGAAATTTTAAAAATCAGTTTAAAAAATTATCTCACTATTCCCAAGGTTCAGATTTCACATCATGAGAGGCACACTTTAGCGGAGCAATTGCAGCAAAGCAGGACCTTCTCATTTGCTGGCTGCTTCAAATAACAGTTGTCCCTTTGATAATATTGACACCTATCTCCTTCACAATCTAGTGCTTCTCCTGCACTTTGTAACATATCCCATCTGTTTTTTTAGGGCCACTGTCATAAGGACGCCTGGAAGAGTGAAGAAAGGCCTGATTGATCACAAGGTCCTATCAAATGTCAAAGCTGGCCCTGGCTGACCTCCCATCTATTCAGAGCTGCTTTGATTTAATCTCCAAACTGGCTGCTTCTCCAGGCTGTGAGTTCTATCTGCAACCCATGTGTCAGCATTGAGATATGACCTGCTTCACGCTCCATTCATCTCATTTGAAGGACGGAAATTAAACTCGAGGGTCGAAGAGGGGAACTGCTCAAAATACACACACACATTAACTGAAGCCTTTTGTGTGGGTACATTATAGGAGTTTGAACAACCATTAAAAATTATATTAAAATGAACTTGATCTTTACTCCACTGAAATGGTTTAGAACTCTTCCTCCCCTCACTGCCCCTTCGTCTATTCTTTTTTCCCTCTCATATTTGTAGTAATCATATGAACCTGATCTTATTAAGATTCAAAGTGAAAGAAGAGAAAAATTTACATTTTTTCAGTTTCTTTAAAAATGGTGTCCTTTAGAAAATTCACTTTGCCTGTAGTTTGCACAGTAAATATTTTTTTTAAAGAGATAGGAGAAGCCAGAACCAGACTAATAGAAATGCAGACTGCTTTGTTTAGCATTATTGATTCATTTAAGTTTCACCTTGTAAGGTTTTTAAAAAAATTAATTAAAACTCAAACTTTGGGAACAGTTCTATAACCATCAGGACACATTGGTATGGTATAAATCTATATATCCTAGGTTCCATTTCTTATTTCTAAACTCTTCTTTCTCTTTTCATTGGCCCTTTTATACTATCAAGGCTAATAACTAAGTGAAACTTGATTCCTTATAGATTTGTTTGCATAAAAATTTCAAGAACAAGCTCTACGTTATTTACTAGAAGTACCTCAAAAGTATTGAAATAAAATAATTATAAGTGTGTTAGAAAAGTTAGTTATACTTATTTCTGTGTTTATTCATTTGCTTATGCATTCATACATTTAAACTCTGTATGATAATGGCATCCAGGTAGGAAAAATGTTGTTGCTTGTTTAGTTAAAAGGATATACTGTACATTTCCACTGTAAGAGTAGTACATATTCAATATAGAAAAGACAATTGGCAAAGACAGGCAAGAAAGAGGGAATAGCAGACATCAAAAATACTATTGACCAGAAGTAAACAACATAAATACCTTTGTGTTTATCCTTTCTTTTTTTTTTTGTAGATGCCCACTTTTTATTTTCCTTATATAAAATCATACTGTTTCTGCTTGGGAGAAGACTGCATTTTTGATTGTTATATCACCTTTTATGGAAATGATTATTTTGCTTGGTAATATTGTATGAATAGCAATTCAGATTTTTAAGTTTTTTCACTATTATGAATATTTTTATGTAAAAATATAATTATATATAGTATGTTATTTATGTTTCCTTTATTTTCTCCAAAATACTCTAATTTGGGAAAAAAAGATGTGCTCAATTTACTGGTATAGTTAAAACTATAGTCTTTTCTTTTACGGTTTTTCATTTGAATACTCACTTGGAAATAATTTTCCTTCTTAAATAATCACTCGTGTTTTCTTTAAGACATGTCATTTGTTTTATATGTAATATATGTACAATGGAATGAGTACTATAGTGAATACTGATACTATTTCTACATAAACAATTTCATGGGACTTATGAAAAATCTTTCTGACTACGGTCATATGGAGAGAAACATTTGAGCATCTGAGGCATTCAAATAATGCTGTTTAAACATCTAGTTTTGCAAGTAGGGAAGTGGAAGAACACAGGATGATTGTATCTGTCTTGTACTTCTCAGTAAAATCTCTCTTTCTTCATATCCTTATGTTGATATCTTATTATTCATGGCAGAAATGTTGAATAAATGCACTTTGCAAGTTAACTCATTCTTTGCAGTGCCAGGTGGAAAGTAGGCTCATTCTTTTAATATGGTATAGCATTTTGCAAGAGAACTTTTTACAATGGTGGAAATATTCTATAATTGAACTGTTCAACATGGTAGCCACCAGCTACATGTGGCTATTGAACACATGAAATGTGACTCATGTAACTGAGAAACTGAATAAAAAATTTTATGTAATTTAAATTTAAATCAATTAAACCGCATGTGACTAGTGGCTATCATATTGGACAACACAGCCTTAATAGTCTTAGCATTGTTAAGACCATTTTAATAGTTTGTGAAGCATTGTAGATGTTTACCCAGTTACTCAAGTTTATTTCATTGAAGAATAAATATAAGATGATGAAGAACTTACAGTCTCTGAATATAATAACAATAAACAATTACATTTGTCCTGAGAGATGTTTTTCATGGTTTCTTTCAGAGAAGAGAATTGAAAATTTCAAGAAGGCAAAGGTGATGGAAGTGTCTTCATGAGACCCTTGGGTAACATAAATTGGCAAAGAATTGGATGATCTGGGTTCTAAGATCTGGCCTTAAAACTAGCCATCTATTGACTGAGTAAGTTACTTCACTTTTTGGTGGTCTTAGTCTCTTGATATTCACCACACAGGGTTTGGAAAAAATGTATTTCTTTGTTCCTACTATGGCTAAATTATATGGATTTTTTCTGTCCTGTATTCAGAATCAAATACTAGTTTTTCCTTCATACCTCAATAATGTGTATAAGCACCTAGGGCCAGATACATTCTAAGTGTTCAATAAGTATTTGTTGAGTGAATGGATGTACTTAGTTGTCTGCCTGGATCAATAGCTCCTTTAACACTCCATTATTAAAGCTTGATATTTTCCACACCTAGACTTAAGCAAAGTATTAAAACATGGATGTTTTTGATGCAGGTGAAATATTTTGCTACAGAGTGGTAGAGGATCACTAGGCACAACCCTCTGCTCTTGAGTTGCTAAAAGGGCCTACTTCCAGAGATGGCCAAGAAAGTTTGGGACTCTAGCACTCAGCTGATTTTCCTAAAGAAAAGCCCTCAGGATGTGCTCAAAGACCTGGATCAGGCACACTGAGGTGATGATGGGAGGTCAGGAAAATGGCCAGAATGGAACTAAGATTTAACTTCCCAGAACACTCATATATGATTTTTCTGAAAAGTTTTTTCCGCACCTTAGCAATATTAACTACTTTGAATACTCAAGTCCAGAATAATTACATTTTCCTTCTTTCACATTCTGACACTTATATATATATCACTTATGAGATATTTAATACTACTCTTTTGAGAATAAATAGTTTATTTTTAGTGTGATGATGTCTTTTTAATCCAATGAAACTGTTAGCATCAATAAGGACAGAGATACTACCTTTATTTCTGGCACACAGTTCTCTGTATCTCGCAAACTCCAGCACAGTATAATCTACTCAGCATCAGACACATGGGAAAACACTATCTAAACAGGAAAGCATTGTACAAACATTAGTAGTTGTTATTATGATTAGAATTGATGTTTCAGGTAATTTAATAATTACTCTTACTTCTGGTACATACCCTCCTCCAGGAATGTAAAAGCTCGTCAGTGTTTACTGGGCTTAGCATAGATGTCCTGAGATCTTAGCATTTCTAAGATTTCAAACTGTACAAGAATATACAAAAGAACATTTATCATGCTCTCCATTCAGAAGGATAATATTAAAAATTAATAAGCATTTTAGTCTGCTGGGATGCAACATAATTCAGGGGAGGGGAGGAGGTCCGTCGCTATCTTTTTCAAGGGCAATTCACAACAACACTTTGCATGATAAATTCCTGAAGCTTGATGTTCTCCTCACCATTATACAATGTGAGTGCTGACAAGGTCTTTTAAAAATAACAATACTTTATTTTAAATTAGTTCATCTGTTTGGGGAAAAAGGCAGCAGTGTGCACCTATATAGGTGTCATATCCTTTAGTCCCATAAATTTCACAACTAAAACTATATCTTCTTTTTTTGTTTGTTTGAAATGGAGTCTCACTCTGTTACCCAGGCTGAAATGCAGTGGCACAATTTCGGCTCACTGCAGCCTCCACCTCCTGGGCTCAAGTGATTCCCCTGCCTCAGTCTCCTGAGTAGCTGGGATTACAGGTGGCCACCACCGCACCCAGCTAATGTTTGTATTTTTAGTAAAGATGGGGTTTTACCATGTTGGCCAAGCTGGTCTTGAACTCCTGACCTCAGGTGAACCACCTGCCTTGGCCTCCCAAAGTGCTGGGATTACAGAAATGAGCCACCACGCCTGGCCTAAAACTATATCTTAAAAAAAATAGTTCACGTAAGAAACAAAAATCTTAAGGAAGGAATGACTTTACTTGTGACTTATTGATGATAAAAGGAACTTGGAAACAATTTGGATGCCCAATATTAGAAATGCTTAAATAAATTATACTAGCAAGAAAACACATTAGAAAGATGTTAACATTTAGCACTTTAGAGCTTAGACAAATATATAGAAAAATTTTTTTTGGAAAAGCTTAATGCGATATTTGTACACAAGTATGTGAAATGCTATATATGAATGCTAACATTCCCCAAAAGCAAAGACTTATTTTACTGGGTAGGCTGTTTGCATTGTATAAAAAACATGAGTTTAGAATTAGAGCTAGATTTAAATTCCAGTTCTTCCATAAGCTGTGTGACACTTGCAAATTATTAATCCTCTCTGGATATCTATTTCCTTATTAGCAAGTGTGTGTGTGTGTGTGTGTGTGTGTGTGTGTGTGTGTGTGTGTGTGTTAAGCAAAGCCACTTTAAGAGTCTAGGACATAGTAGGAGCTCAATGCTATTATTTCCCTTTCCCTTTACTAAATACCTGAGACTCCCTTGGTTTAAAAAGTTTTGTTCAAATTGACTGACTTTTATAGAAATTTCAATGTCGTTGTTTTTGACCCATGCAAGAATTTCTAACAGATGAGACTCTATTAATTAATGTGATGATTCTCCTGTAATTGGTCAATAATCTTTACATTTGAATAGATTTCAGAACAGTATTAAATATCTTGGGTTGGAGGTTAATTTCTATAAACAGAAATGTATATCCAACAGTGTTGCATTTTAGCTGATCTTGACTATAAACGAGTGCAATTTGTGTTCATTTCCCATATATCATTGACACTAAATTTTGGAACACTTACATCTGGGTTATGTTTGAGTAACCTTCTGGGAGTATCTCTCCATAGATTTGGGAATGAAATATCTCCCAAATATAATGCAATTTCAGAATGCCTAGAAACTCACTACGTAGTATATATGCGTATTTAAAAGAAACTGGTCTCATACATGATAAAAGAAGGTTAATGCTAGACATAATGACTATTGCCACTTGGTAGCAGGGGCCAGAGAGAACAGGAAAAAGATTAAACAAGAGGATTAAAATTATTTTTCAAGTAAGGCTATACCTCTGTATACGTGCTTAATTACAAAAGGAAATTAGGAGCAAGTGCATGTATATTACTGCATGTATAAACATAGAGTTTAATCGGTTTGGAGTAACTTAATGACTGCTTGCAATATTTCTGGCGATTTGTTCTAAGCTTTGTGATTTTAAATTGGTTTCTTGAAAATGCTGGATAAAACATTTGAATTCACACATTGCTTTAGGAATTGATTTGGAGATAATAAAATATAATGAAATGTTTCACCTCAGATGGATCTAATTTATATTTGCTCTGTACCCTTTTTTAAAACCTGAATGCAAATAATAAGGACACTGCTAGGATGTTTAGAGGAGCTGTAACTGCAAGTTACTCTTATTTCTTTTTATTGGGTGAACTCTTTCAAAATTCCATTCTCTCGAGGTGGTAGAGAACAAGGACAAATCCTACAGGGGTTTCCCCTTTTTATCCACAAAAATTATATATGAAATTGAAAGGCAAGGAGGTAAAAATCTGGCAACTCAGGAAAGAAATGATTATAAAAGTCTAAGAATAGGGACATTTACATTTCGACCACTAAGGAGAAGTTTCATGAGTTCTCAGATAGTCTCTGATAGTGACAGGACTACATTTGATCAACTATCAAAAGGAGATGATGACAGTCAGTATTACCTGATGTGAAAATGACCTGCAAATGATTCTGGAAAAAAATGATAGCTATTCTTCCAAGACAGTCAAGAAGAATAAAGCAAAGGTGTTTATTATCATCCTATTTTTTGATTTATAAATATTATTTTCCTGATCTGACAATATATACTTGGAAGTATTTAAAAAAAAAGAAGTCTGGGCATATGAAACCACTCGAGGCACATATGGCCCCTTTATGTCAGGGAAAGTATCATGGTATTATATTCTTCTTTTTTTCCTTGTTAGCTGGGTATCCATTTCCTGTTGGATTTCTTTAATCCAACTAAGATTTTCAGCTTTCAGGAGTACAGTCACCCCAAATTTGCTCACTCTCTTTTTGGGATCTTCTTTTGCCATTGTTTTTTCTTTTATAATTGATTAGGTAGTAATAGGACTTAAAAAATAACTCTTGAATAGATTATAACTCAAGTGTCCCAGAATTTGTGCCCAGATTACCAATCATATGACTGCTAGCAAAGCAGTCTATTTTTTCTTAAACTTTGTTTTCCATTTCTGTGATTATCCTACATTTTATGAATTTTTTTCATAGGTACCTAATCTTCTCATGCTAATTATTTTCTCTCACCTTCAAGCAAGAAAGACTGTTCCTAAAAAACTCCTTTCCCAACTCCACCTCCTTTCTGTTTCTTCTCGTTGAAGTTTGCACTTCAATGAGTTTGGGAGTTTATTGCATTATGCATTGCAGCTTTTGACATACAAATTTGATCTCCCATTAGCCAGTGACCTCCTTGAAAGCAAGAATGTATGTTATTACTCTTTGTAGCTTAGTTATGTTCATAGCACATAGTAGGTACTCAATACATGCTAACTTATTTAGAATAAGGTGCAATGAGTAATAAAAATCATCCTTTTTATTCCTAATGCATTGCAACAAGTGTAGATGTCCAGAGATAAACTTTATACTACAAAAGTATAAATTTTGTTTTGGAGAATTTTGAACATTAGTAAGTATGAAGACAACTTGAGTCTTATTTTTGTCTTTAATCAGAGGAGCCATTTTGGCATATCGAAAGTCACATCACAAAAATGCCTTCCCTCTTTTCCTACCTCTGAAGACTTTGATGTATTTCTGAGTTTTTTGTTTCCAATCTCACTTTCCAACAGTTTCATTCTTGGTTATTTGCTGGAAACTTAAAGGGGTAAGGGGTCAGTAATGCATGGGAGTGTGTAGGCAGGTGGGGGGTAGTCTTTTTTGTTTCTTTTATTTTTATTTGTTCTTTTTTTTTTCCTTTTCCTTCTTTTTTTTTTTGGAACAAAGAGCTTTTCCTAGCGCTATTAGGCTTCCTTACTGCCACCTTTTCCTTTTTAAGGTAGCAGGAAAGATAATAGTAACATGATTTCAGTTTTTAAAAATGAAAGTTCAGAGAGTCTGAGTTGCTTGAACTCACTAAGAATGAAAAACCAGAATTCTTATCACTTCTCTTCATTTTCCAAATTCGGTACCCTCTTATAGTATAAAACTTTACACAGCATGTCATTGTCTTAGGATATTTTCTCAGTTACTTAAAGGTCAAGTACACAGAATTAGACGTGATGGAATGGCCTGGTTGAATAACTCTTTATTACGCTGGACTTACTGCTCTTAAAACCTAAGCAATGTTCATGTCCATCAACAGACTAAGATCTATTTGTCTAAGTTTAAATAGTGTATTAATTTAATTCATTTGTCAACACAGCTGGTCTCTTTAGGTATTTTTAAAACATCAGCACAATGATTAAAATAATAATAATCTGTAGAAAGTTAAGATTAAATACATGTCTATGTTAAAATTGGCCATACTTCACAGAACCATTTTCATATGCTTAGCACTAGATAAATTTATGTGACAAGAGTAAAATTAGACAATCTATGACGTATGTCATCGAAACATATGTCATCAATTAATAGGCTGAATTTTCAAGTCCCATTGCTAGAAGACTGTTAATAACTCCTATGCTTTCTTTATTCTTGTAATTTAGGTGAGCATCACCATGTTCAATGATTAGACCTAACTCATACTTGAAAACAGAGATCATTGAAAAATTCATATGAATGATACAACTAAATGTACTTCCTTTTTATATGGAAAAACCTCATAATATCTAACAGAGATAGATCCACTAGAAGATAGTAACAACAGCAAAGATAGCAGTTATACCACGTAGGGGGGGTCTCTTCTTTACTGAAATCAAGATCTTCTAAAAAGTGAACATAACATTTCTTTCTCTATTTCAGTTAGAAATTAGAGGCTGACTTTTCAGATGTGGATGCTGAACCTTGCCAACCTCAGTCAACCAAAGCTATTTTAAACATTTTCAGTCTGGCCTATCCACTTGTAACCAAACTTCTTAGGACTTGACACCCATACCCCTACTTCTTGGATCAAGGCTTGAGCCCGATTATTCCTTTTTGCTTTCTGGTGTCTGGTGACAGCTTTACTCATAGTTTGTTTTCAGCCCTCCCCAGTAGGCTTTATTTTGGAGTGCAATTCTTTTTTTTCTTTTTTTTTTTTTCTTAGATGGAATCTCGCTCTGTCGCCCGGGCTGGAGTGCAGTGGCACAATCTCAGCCTACTGCAACCTCCATCTCCCGGGTTCAAGCAATTCTCCTGCCTCAGCCTCCTGAGTAACTGGGACTACAGAGGCACACCACCACGCCCAGCTAATTTTTGTATTTTTAGTAGAGACGGGGTTTCACCATGTTGGCCAGGGTGATCTCGATCTCTTGACTTTGTGATCTGCCCACCTCTGCTTCCCAAAGTGCTGGGATTACAGGCGTGAGCCATCACACCCAGAGTGCAATTCTTTAGTTACTTCCGATTCCTTTTTCTTTTCTGGATATTTGGCCTTGGTCTTGTTTGGGCAGTCCTATGGCATTCTGTCTCCACAGTATTTAGAACTCTTTTGATTGAAATAATGAATGCCCAATTTAGACTAACGTGGAGTAGAGCACATTGCATCCAGGCCCAAGGAATAATTGGTACAGAGACACACAATGCCACCAACATTCTTTCTCTTGTCTCTGCTTCTCTTTCACTCTATTTCTTTCTTTTCTCAAGTTGCAGACTTGACTTCTCTCTTTTATAGTTATGACAGGAAGTGGTTTTTGAATTCGTTTCCCCCAAATTCATCACTTCCTTTTAAGAAAGCTGTCAAAGCAAGCAGGAACTTTTGGATCCATTCCAAATTCTCAGAGAAGTGTGATTTGCTTAGCCTGAGCCAGATGCCCATCCGAAGGCCAATGACTGTAACAAGCAGATGGAGTCACATTATACTCTTAGGGAAGCCCTATAGTAACCATATAGATATAGATGGTTTTGAGGGGTTGAAGAGTAACTGTAGTTTCCAGACAAAAGATGAGGCAGTCTTAGGGTAGATTCTGTGCCCTTTAGAACAGACCTCTATGACACTTTTTCTTCTCACTGCTTGCTACATCATTTCCTCAAGAATCACAGGACTTTACAGTCTGTGCCGAAAGCAGCCAAAAACCAGTGGTTTTATGCCATTTTCCCTTGAATCCCTGCTGGTAAGCTTTTTAACATCTATCTTGCCTTTTGAAAGTGAAATGTTATTTTTTATGTCTTCAGCTCTCATAATTAGCTCAAGAACGTAGCTTTCTCAGCTAGCATTTTTTTACTCTTTTTAGACAGAACAACAATACCAAGTTTTCTGGATGCCTCTCTGTCTCCATCTGCTTTACCATCTCCCCTTAATTGAGGAAAAATTCTAAGTAACCCTGATGGTCATTACTCGGTGTCAGTCTTGCCACTATGTCACAGCCTGTCATAATTACATGATGTCACTCTATGCTAAATTCCCCCTCCTAATGAATGCTTCATTATCCAAAAGAGAATATATTATATTAAATCTACATTTTGCAGTTTTGGCATTTTGCTAAAGATTATGCTTTATCTGGACCTTGAGAATACCAGAGGTTCTTCCCTTTGACTTTGTATGCTTAAGTAGGCCTTGACCTTTCCCTTTTTGAAAACCATTGTTTGATGCTAAAATTTTAGTCACACTCTAGTTGCCTTCCATGGAGCATTAGGTAAAGCAGAAGTAGCAACACAACCCCAAAACACTAATTTAATAATTGTTGGTGGACTCTAGCTAAAACGTCTTAACTTGAATTATGATTGGAGGCATGAAAACATGAAGCAACATTTCAGATACTCCTGGAAAATTACACATTTGACTGTAGTAGTTAATAAGCATAGAATTAATTATCAGAATTTTCAAGGTATAAGGTCGTCATAAACCAAAGACAGTATTTAGGCATATGTTAACTTTCCAACATACTTTAGTATAGTGGTTCCCAATTCTGACTGACTATAAGAATTAACTAAATAACTATTTAAAAATACCCAGATTCTTAAACTCTGCCCAAGACCTACTGAATGAGGATCTTTGGGAGAGGAATTTTATATAATATTTGATTTTGATTTTGAGGAAGAGAGATTTTAATGTTCTCCCAAGTGATAGTGATGCTCAGCTAAACTAGAAATCACTTATTTCTATTACAGCTCTACTCTTTCCTTTAAGTGAACTCCAGGAAGTCATTTTGCTCACAGATGTGACACTGGCAGATTAGAAGTACACTTCACTGATAAGTCCGGAGAGTTACCCATCAATGTGTCCCCATAGTCCCAGCCCAGGCTCTTCTGCCCTCCTCATTCTTCATTAGTTACAATTGACACCTCTTTATAAAAACTAGGGCCTACTCCAACAAGTTTGAGAAGAAAGAGAATGGCTCGTCCCACACCCCAAATCTGGGCTCATTTGAGAGGGGAGAACCATACTTCCCTCGGCTGTAGAGTATCCAGGAGATGAAATACGAAAAAGCACTGAGAGGCAGACGCTGCCTGTCTCAGCCTCTTGGACTGTTCTTAGCCCGAACCTCTTGCAATCCTGCCTGTAGCTTCAGCCCCACCCTACTCCTTAAGACCAACCTAATCTTGGACATGATAGTCTTTACACAACTTCTGGGGCATCACTCCCAGGCTGGAGATATCGTGACCTGACTCTGGTAACTAGGTTTCAGCATTTCTCTACACGTCAGAGTCTTTATCTCGGCAACCTGCCTGATACCTCGGTTTTCCCAGATCACACTTCTCAGTGTGGTATGGGACATCCTTCACCAGGATCTTCAAAGGTGCCTATCAAAAAAATGCCAGTAATGAGCTTGCACCCAGACCTATTAAATCAGAATCCTTATGGCTGGAGTCCAAGAAGCGTATTTAAAAATAAGTGAACAGTCAAGTTGTTTTACAGAGTCCTCAGCTTCTCTAATCTGGAAATTCTGGAATCCCTTAATCTCTTTGTATCTGATATTTCTGATTATTTTCATTATTATTATTATTCTGACTTTTGGAGTAGTGTAATATAGTACAATAGTTGTACATTTCTTTTTTAGCAGAGCCATTCATAAGATATCACCCCTGAATTTGGCTGGGGGTTGTATTGTGCATATGAAATTTTTGGCTGCAGGACATTCTAGTACTCTACTCAAAAATATGTTTTTATTGCATACTGGAGAGATTTAATCATGTTACCAAACATACTCATTCAGAAGCATTACGAAATACAACTCACTCTAATTACTTTTTATCATTATTATTGTAATTATTTTATTATTTATTATCCCCATTAAGAACAATTAATATGATATACTACTATCAATCATTTGACTATAATAATAACAGCAACATCTGAAATTTTCAAAGCATCTTTTTTAAAAGAGTCCAAATAGAATGAAAAAAAAATGAGTTGTGTCTTTAAAAGTATTTTCTGAGTGTTTTTCTAGTAAGCCACCACCATTTACGTATTTATGAGAAATATATTCACATGCACGCTACTTGTGTGATGACAAAATTATTCTCTCAAAGCCGAATACAAATTAGAAAGTCAGGGCAAGGGCTTTATTTTATATCAGATCCAATAATTGTGAAATACTTTGGCAAGCACTACTAAGAATAAGTGAAATTGTGTTATTGCAAAATAATCAGATCTGACTTCAGTAAACTCCACTCAGTGATATTTAAGTTGGATGACAAAGCTAAAATTTCTGCAAACTATTATTTGTACCCAGACTGACATGAATTAGAATTAGTAACTCACAATGGGCATTCAACTATAAGGTACAAACTAGAGGTGATTTATTTAGTGGTTTGAAATCTAGGAAGGAGTTTTATACTTCGACTGTATGTAAAGGCTGTTTCTGTTTTTACAAATGCTAATTACAAAAAATTATAACATAACTCATCTGAATTGTCACTGAACTGCCTAGGGAAACTCACATAAATTTTCTTCCCTAAATAAGTCTGCTAATACAGCATGCAACAATAACAAGGGTAAATAAGACCAATGTTTTCAAATATAAAGGGAGATGGTGGTATTCTTCTAAATTTATTTGATGAATTTGATAACATTTCAAATACATCACGAACTAATTTTTTGTGGCTGGATTGCATTTTATTTATATACATAACATTTTTTCTAGATATAATAGTATGTCATGCAGATTTTTTTTGAGGAAGTGGAAATGATTCTCCAGTGGAATTGGAAGAATAAGATTTAATTTTGTTATCTTTTATATGCATCATTTTTCTATCCTTGAGATAATTTTTTTAAATACCTGAGATCTTTTGCAATAGAATTCTTTTCACCCATGTAGGTCAGAGATCCCCACTTCCAGTGACCACATTACTCATAAATATCAATATTATGATAGTTAATTAAAGAGGGAGGCTCTGAAAGGGGAGAGTTTCAGAAAACCTGATATATGTTCAAAGGTCTGCAGGTGCACTATGCGAATATATCCAGGTTGAAAGAAGATGACCATTGCCCCTGCAATGTCAAACCAGCATTCCCTGGTGATGACAGTGGTGGAGACTTCCCTAGTCATTCATCTATTCATTCCTCAAGTATTAATTGACATCTACCATGTGTAAGGTGCTGTGCTGGATGCAATGGTTATAAAGACAGGAAAGCAGTTTTGCCCCTAAGGAACACACACACTAGAGAAGGAAACATAAATTGATACATCAGCGCCAAGTGGAACACACAATATAACATCATGATTGAGTACAGACTTCAGAGCCAGATTGTTTATGTTTGAATCCCACTGTCATTTACTACGTGACCTTAAGGAATTACTTTATTTCTCTTTCCTCAGCTTCATCATCTGCAAAATGGGGATGCCTACCCTATAGGTTTATTATAAAAATTACGTAAATTAATGTATGTATTAAGTTGAACCATACAAAATTGCTGATTTTGTGGTTATAAAACCATTTGAATAAACAACATACAAAAAGTGCTAACCGTGAAAAATTAATAAATTGGAGTTAATTGAATCTAAACACTTTTACTCATCAATAGATAGATGCTTTAAAAGTGTGAAAGGCAAGCCACAGACTTAAGTGGTGAAGCATCACTGACAGCCTTGAAAGAAGGTCAAAAGTCTCATGTAATAGAGCTACCAGGACCAGGCAGGGACGATATCCCATGCAATGTGACTCCCTTCACCCCAAGGCAAACAGGTCAATTTTGGAAGGAGTCTCGTCATACACGCAACAGCAGCCTCTGCATCAGAAACATCAAGTCCTTTACTTTGTGGTAATCTATGGTGATGGATATATTTCCATGCCCGTTATGATGATGATGATGGTCAGGTAGCAGCTGTAGCAGTGAAAGTGGTACTGGCTTATTTGGCAGCTTGATTCCAGTCAGTCTCATCAGAGAACAGCTGTTCACTGTGGTCATCTACACAAGTGACCTACACAGTTGCTTAGCAGCTGTGATTTACTTCCACACTTTTCAGTCTCAAAGAGGGGTGTCTTTAACCTGCCAGTCTTAGCTTTCTAAGTGACAATTTAAAGAGCTAGGCTATTGACAACATTACAAGAGTTAGTAAAAATAAAACAAAGCTCATCAAGGGGAGTATTGCCTAGAGTTCAAAGAGCGACTCTGAGTTCCACTCACTGAGTAGAGGGACCACTTCCATTTTCTGTTCTTCACAGCTGGTGCTGAGGTTAAACAGCCACAGTCAGCCAGTGCATACCATCAAGTTTTAACTTAGCTAAACTGTCAGTGCCCAAGTTTGTTGAAAAACTTCTTCCTTCAAAGAGATAGCTGCCACATTTTCATGTAAAGCCAAGTTATAACACTGGTACCATTTCCACTTGACCAAGAAGTTTTATTGGGCCCTTCCTATGCCATTACTGAGTTTGAGTTCAGCCCCCAAAATAAGAATATCAAGCTGGAGTCACAAGGCCTCCGTTTGTTAGATGTTCAGATGTCAGATGTCCAGAAAACCCCAGAAGAAAACTAATAGCTTCAAAACCTATACCTAGTAGCCCTGTCAGGGAAGCAGCCCCAAGGGGAACCTCCAGATGGAGGGTGCCTCCTTTTGCCTGAGGCCTGAGTTGGTGAAATCATCAGTCACAAAGACGTTCAGCACAATAGGGTCATTAGGGCTTTGGGTCTCAAGAGTGGAACACGTGCCATAGCTTGCACAACTCCCCACACGGCTTCTTGCACTGGGTCTATTCTCAAAAGATGTTGATGTGCAGGTTAGTTGATGTAAAAGACCAAATAGAAAGCCCAAATGAGGCATACGCTGTCTCTCTCTTCAATACCCGACAAGTGTAATAAGGTACTCAGCTTCATTTTGGATGGTGGAGGTTTATAGACAGAGCAGTTTTTCTTGACTCCCAGAGGGACTGAGCATTGTAAATCTACCCACATGGTTTCAAGAAGCTTTATTTTGTAAGCGTGTCCCTGAGGGCTGTTTATTTATATCAGCAAGCAGGCCACCACCCTTCAGGTCCCCTCACTGTTGGTGGAGGTTTGGTAACACCACAGTCTAGGCTGTAGTGACCAAGACTTCTGATTCACCAATCAACGGGGCATTATTGGAATGAAAGCTTTGGGTAGGGCTACTCGTACTAAATCCAGACTGACTCCCTGGTAGAAAAAGACAGTGAGTGACTTACTGGTAGCAAAGGCAGTGCATCTTGGGGAGCACCTTGTCATAAATGGGAGTTAGGGAGCAATTTATATGTCACACTGCTACTTCTCTACCTGTGGGTCTTCCTGAATTAAAGAGTCCCCTCTGGAATATATGGAGCAGCAAAACATGTAACACATTGATTCCTCTGCATTCAGATGTAGAAGCAAAAGCAATAGTGCATTAAATTTTTAAAAGGTCACACCCACAAGACCACCTTAGCTTCCCTTCCCCACTGTAAAACCACCCCACACTCCATTAGCAGAACCCAGGTGGATTTTATTTCCAAGTGTCTGGTAGGACAGTAACTTGCTTGCCTGTCTCAAATTGAGTTAATGTAGTTTGAGCCCCTTGCTTCCCCAATCTTTGGGTCAGTTTCTTATTATCTAGTAGGTTATCTTCATCAACACTATTAACCCAATCTAGAACACTAAGTGCCTAAATAATTGTTAATGCCTAATCTGTCGTTTCCCATGTGCTATGATTTGAATTCCAAATTCATATGTTGAAGCCCTAACCTCCAGGACCTCTGAATGTGACCTTATTTGAAGACAGGGTATTTATGGAGATAATCAAGTTAAAATCAGCCTATCAGGGGAGGGTCTAATTTAATGCGACTGCTGTTCTTATAAAAGGGGAAATGTAGACACAGAGGCAAACACACCTGCAGGGACAATGATATAAAGAGACAGGGAGAAGGCAGCCAACTCTAAGCAAAAGAGAGAGGCATAGAATGGATCCTTCTCTCACAGAACTTGGAAGGAACAACCCTGCCAAAACCTTGATTCTTGGACTTCTTCTAGTCCCCACAACCATGAAATAATACATTGTTGTTGTTGAAGCCACCCGGTTTGTTGTACCTTGTTACAGCAGTCTTTGCAAAGTAATATATCATGGGAGCTTGACTTTCTCCAAGAAAATATCCGCAAGAGGCCAAAGCTCCCTTATGGTAGCCTAGATCCACTGCAAAAAAAACCTGAGACATTTTACTATTATCCCTAAATAAATCCAAGATTGGAATAATAGACTGCAGGTGGGAAATAAGCATTAAGAAATACTTTTCTTTAACAAGCATTTCACACCTTGGCCCTCTCATAGCCCAAGGGAACCAGCCAAACTTCTAACAGTTGATGAAAAGTCCCTTCTCCCAAGGAAGTTGCAGCCACAGCCAGAGCAGCCATTGCTGAACCTATTTTTCAGTATTCGAGTACCTGTCCTGCACCCACCTTCCCATTTCTGATTAATGGTCAGTAAGGTCACTTATTGCCTAGTTAACACCACATTATTTTGTTCCATGTTTTCTACTGTTTCCATGTCCCATTAATTGATTCCCAAGGCCTTCATCTTTCCCATTCCAGAAAGCCATGTCTGTAAGCATCCCATCCTCGCCCTTTACATACTTCAGACTCCTATTTGTCTCTGATTGTTTGGTAGACTTATCACCACTTTCTGAACAGATCTCTTTTTCCTCTTCAGTTTTTTAAGCATCTAGCATCCACTTGGATTTGCATTGACTGATACAAGCATGCGTTTTGCTTTGGTCATGACTTTGACGAACTGTTCAGTGTGTAAGTACTGT
This sequence comes from Homo sapiens, assembly GCF_000001405.40. Classification (NCBI taxonomy): domain Eukaryota; kingdom Metazoa; phylum Chordata; class Mammalia; order Primates; family Hominidae; genus Homo; species Homo sapiens. The sequence goes on from NC_000003.12 coordinate 177,951,807, forward strand.
CTTCCTGTACATAATTGTGCCCTTGACTCTGGTTTGTAACTCCTTACTGCGTCATAGTCTTACTTAGTCTCTTGATTATACAGTTATAGCAATTATATCCTTTTGTAATTAAAATCTTTGGTTGACTATATTAGTCTCATCTTAATGATTCTTTCTAAAACAAAGGGATAATAAATAATCACTCTGATACTAATACTATTAATCACGTCTGTATATTATTCTTAAGTTTTCTTCAAGATCAGATACTATGACATGGGTTATAGATTATTTCCATCATCTTTCTTCTCCTTGCCATGTGAAGATCTATGATAAGCAGTATTTTAAAATGTGTGTGTGTGTATTTGTGTGTATATTTATATGCATATGTTTTAATTGAATAGCTATTATTTGGTCTAATGTTGTAGCCAGGAGCAGATTTTATCTGTTAGATGGACGATGTTGGATAGATGATTATGTTTATTAAAAGATACTAATAGTCACAGTCATGAGCTATTTCTTGAACAGTTTCATGCTCTATATTAATTACAATTTTTATTTTGAAATAATTGCAGATTCACATACAATTGTCTACCCTTTGCTCAATTTCACCCAGTGGTAACATTTCTCCGAGATATAATACAATATTATACCTAGGATCTTGGTGTTGATACAGTCAAGATACAGAACAGTTTTATCACCACAGAAATCCCTCATGCTGCTCTTTACGTTCACATCCACCTCTTTTCTGCCCTGCCCATGCCCTGGCAACCACTAATCTCTTCTTTTCTATAATTTTGTCCCTTCAAGAATGTTATGTAAAGGGAATCATATAGTATGTAGCCTTTTAGATTTGGCTTTTTTTTTTTTTCATTCAGAGTAATTCTGGAAATTCGCCCAAATTGTTACATGTATCAATAGTTTGTTCCTTTTTATTGTTGAGTAATAATCCATGGCTGGATATGGTGGTTTGCTTAACCATTCAATCTTCGAAGGATATCTGAGTTATTTCCAGTTTTATGGCTACTATGAATAAAGTTACTGTGAAGATTCATGTGCAGATTTATATTAAAATATACCTGGGGTTTTGTCTTTATTCAGGTATGATGAGCCCAACAGATCAGGAGACATTGCCATTAGAAAGTTTATTATTCAAAGTTCCCAAGAGGAGGGTAGAGTGTCATTCCTCACAGGACCATACTAGAGAACAACAACATCAGTTGCAGGCAAAGAGAGAGCAAGGGAAACTTCAGGAAAGCTTTTACTATAGTTTTCTTGGAAGAAATGGGTCATTTGCTCTAAAGCAAATGGGCTAAGCAAGTTTAGAACTCTTGGCTAATATGAATAATTTCAGTATGCTTCAGGGTGTTGAAGCTGGCTGATGCTTAGTCTTGGGGTGATTAGGGCAGGTGAATAGTGTCTTACAAGAGTAAGAACCCCTGAAAGAACAGGCAGGTCAGGGGTGTGGATTTTGGATCAGTTTGTTTACATATTGATATGGTTTGGCTTTGTGTTCCCACCCAAATCTCATCTCAAATTGTAATCCTCACAAGTTGAGGGTGGGTCTGGGTGGGAGGTGATTGGATCATGGGGGTGATTTCTCCCATGCTATTCTTGTGATAGCGAGTGAATTGTCACGAGATCTGATGGTTTTAAAGTGTGGTACTTGCATTGTTCACTCTCTCTCTCCTTCCACTGTATAAGAAGTGCCTTGCTTCCTTTTCACTTTCCACCATGATTGTAAGTTTCCTGAGGCCTCCCCAGCCATGCGGAACTGTGAGTCAAACCACTTTCCTTTGTAAATTACCTAGTCTCAGATATTCTTTATAGCAGCGTGAAATGGGCTGATACAGACAATAGCAGCGTGAAAAGGGACTAACACACATATGAAAGGTACACTCTAATGAGAGTCAAAAAGCCTTCTGCTAACTCTAGGAATTCCAACTGCTAAACCTGTGGGAGGGGCAGTCTCTTCCTACTAACAAGGCCTAAGATGTCAAAACATCATATACAGAAACTTGAAAACATGGATAATACAAGTTTTTTGTGTGAACTTAAGTTTTCAGTTCTCTGGGATAAATGCCCAGGAGTGCAATTTCTGGGTCATATGGTAATTTCATGTTTAGTTTTATAGGAAAATGCCAAACAATTTTCCAGAGTGGTTGAACAATTTTCCATTACCACCAGAAATGTCTAGATGATTCTGTTTCTCTAATCCTGTAGATTTATAAAGTGTATGGGAGGGAATAAAGGGTTTTTTTTTTATTATTAACACTTCAGGCATTTAGGTAAACCATGACAATGATTTTTTATTTAGCAAGTACAATCTGTAGTACACCGAACTGGGAACTGTGAAAGATCCAAAGGTGAAGAGGTAGATAATTTTGCTCAAGGAGCCTCCAGTCCCTCAGTGGAAGCAGGCCTGTAAATGTTGAACAAAAAATAATAAAAATGGGTGGTACATGTACATTCAACCAGTCTGCAGTGTAGGCACAGTGGAAATGCTAAGTATTTGAAATAATGGATATGCTAATTAGCTTGATTCAATGATGCTGCATTGTATACATATATCACAGTATCACTTTTTACCTCATAAATAGATATAATTTATTAAACTCAATACAATTTAAAAAATAAGTAATGTTTAAGAATTCTGAGGGTGTGGCTGGTGAGGCCTGATGTAGGTAGTAATCTCTGAGCAGTGTTTGAAGAATAAATATAATTTTAAAAGTAAAGAAAAAAAGTGCAAAAGGCATTTAACATTCAAAATATTTTGTGTGCTGGGTGCACCAGGGGTATTCTGATGGGATTAGAGCCCTAGTACAGTGGGGAGATGGATGGAGCAATGAAAGTGAGAAACAGAATTGAAGAAAGGTCATGAGTAAACTGGAATGACCTGTGAAGAAGCTAGACTTGGTTTGGTAGCTGATGTGAAGTCACTGAATTTGGAGAAGATGAATACCAGTTGGCCTGCATTTTAAGATATTGACGAAGTTCACTGAAAACAGTCAAGATCAAAGGTGAAGAGAACTGAGGGGAAGCTATTGTGGTAGTTTAGGTGAAAGATGCTGAGAGCATGAGCTCATTGCAGACCCTTTAAAATGTCATTGTGCTATTTTTTTAATTAAGTCAACTACAAAAAAATGCATGTTCCTTGCAAGCACATCAGAAAACAAAGCAAAAAAATAAACAGAAATCACCCTTGATCACCACAGCAAACATTTTGAAATATTTTAATAAAAATGTTTGTAATCTTTTTAGCTATATTGCCATGAGTGCATGTATGTATAATTTTAAGCATATATCAGTGACAGCATATATAATGTTTATGTCATATTTATAACATTTTTTCATCAAGTGTATTATAACATCTTTTAGTATATAAATGTATTTATTCACTATCACCTAAATTATTCTCATTGTATGGAAACACTGTAACTAAATCAACTCCTCCCCACCGCAGGATATTTAAGTGGTTTTGTTTAATTTTGTTTGACTATTTTACTATTTCTAGCTTTTTATTTACATTCAAAACCTCATTTGCAGACTTGGAATAAGAAAGGAGATTCTCTATCTGTGGTTCTGTCTCTTGCCCATGCTCATGGAAGACGAAGTTGGGGCTCTGCAGACATCCTGAGATGCACACATTTTGTGCTGGCATTGCACATTGAGTGGCCTTGCCTCACCCCTCCAGCACTGAAAATAGTATGGCTTACGTTGAATTAGAGACCAATATGCTTATGATTCTCTAGCTGCTGCAATTTCTACTCAAGCTCTTTTATCTCATGTCGAGTTCCCAAAACTAGACTGTGCATCAAATTATCCACAGATCTTTTTACAAATGAAATGCTGAGGACCCACCATAAAAGACTGTGATTCAGTTGGTCTGGAGTCAGGTCAGGGAACTGTGTTTTTTACTCTTCCCTAGGGAATTTGACCATTCAGCCAAGGTGAAAACCATGGTGCTAGACCTTTCTTTCCCCCCTTTTACTGATATAACTGTCTCCACTGACTGTGAGTTTGCCTACGTGGTGACAGAACAATTTAAGCTAAGATGGGGCTCAGCGATGGCGGCTTGATGTGTTCCTTTCTGGGAAGTTCAATGTTTTCAACCAAAAGGGAGCCAAACTCATGCAAACCAGTGACAGATGAGGAGCAGGAATAGTTTTAGAAAGGGAGTTTCTTTAAAAAAAATTTTTAATCTGAGACTGGGCTCCTAGGGGATATCCTACCAAGTGTGGATCTTTTGCTTTTCCAAAGTATTTCCTGATCTTTCTGATTGGGTGATGAAACCTTTTGACACCCTTACTAAAAAGGAGGAAAATAGGCTGGGTGCGGTGGCTCACGCCTGTAATCCCAGCACTTTGGGAGGCCGAGGCAGGTGGATCACAAGGTCAGGAGATCGAGACCATCCTGGCTAACATGGTGAAACACGGTCTCTACTAAAAATACAAAAAAAAAATTAGCCAGGCGTGGTGGTGGGCGCCTGTAGTCCCAGCTACTCGGGAGGCTGAGGCAGGAGAATGGCCTGAACCTGGGAGGCGGAGCTTGCAGTGAGCTAAGATTGTGCCACTGCACTCCAGCCTGGGGGATAGAGTGAGACTCTGTCTCAAAAGAAAAAAAAAAGGAGGAAAATATGGACATTGGGGTGTACATGACTATCTCATTTCTGAGCCCATATTTTATGCAGGTGGTTGGATACTGCGATTACATGAAAGACAAATGGAAGCATCTCAGAGTAGGGACAGAAGGACACAGTAGAGAGGCTTATGTTGTTGGGGACAAATTTTGTTCATTGGGTTCTTTTCCTTGAGGTGGCCTCTCAAATGCTACCCAAAGAACGTTGACCTGAGGATGACATGAGGAAGTCTGCAGAAGTACGGCTTTAGGCCATTAACACAGGCTAAGCCATCACTGCACAGTGGACAGAGCCCCTAGGTGGATTCCCTCCTCTCATGGCTGGCTCCTTCTGTCATCACTGCCAGCTCAAAGTAGAGATGCATCCTCCTCACTCATGCCTGTTGTCCATGTTCCCTGTTAGAACTAAGATATCCTGCAGATATTTCTGTAATCGATCTTGCTGCATTGCAGTCCTGTGCTGCCCTGACCTCCAGCTCTGCCTTCCTCCTTGGATCTCTGAAAGTGTAACCTAGGTATCCTCCCTGTTTCTGGTTTCACTTGCCTGAAACACATCCCCTTCTTGGTGGACCAGAATCAGCTCCAATATTTCTTTAATTCCATTACAGGGGCTGAGGTATCCTCCTGGCTGCAAAGAGGATAACAGAGTTTGCAGCTCCAGTCACACAGTTCTCTATAAACCTCAAGAAATTGCTTGGCACAGGTTAATTTTCCCCATCTTTAGAGAAAAATACTACCGTGTTACCAACACTTACTGATACACTGAAAGCATCAGATTAAAATAAAATGGTTAGCTGCACTTTAAAGAATGGAAAAGATCTGTAGCATCAATATTAATCTTGCAAAATCTGTGTGTCAATAATATGGCATAAAAAACAAAGTTATTGCAAAAAAGGATATTTTTACAAAAAAGGATCAATATGACCTGCCTGGAAAATCAACACTGTGACTTCTCATCATTTATAATGTATTAGCTAAAAGGTCTAAACCATCTCAATCAGGAGACATGCTTTGAATTTTCTACATGAGGATCTGAAATGATGTAATGATAGCAACATTCATTACCTACCATGAGTGAGTATTATGCTTAAATCACTCTCATTCGATTCTATGGCATCCCTGGAAGGGAACTGGTATCATTCCTTGTTTTGCAGATGAAGTATCTCAGAGAGAACCTCTACTCAAAATCAACACTAATTAGATGTTTCTGCAGGGCCTATGGGTTTTCCCAGCACACCACAGGTTCTCTCTGGTTCACTCGTGTACAAAGTCCCAGAATTCTCAAAGCTTGCACCCAGTGTGGCTGCAGTGGTATTGCTTTCTTCCAATTCTCCTCTTTTACTTTGTTTTGTGTGAGGGAGACTAGTAGGTAATGTTTGATGCAGGTCAATCAACTCCTGTCGTCCTGATCATATGGCTGTTGGTGGGGGTTGAAAAGGTGGATTCAGGGTTTAAAATAAGGAAAAAGCAAAGCAGGTAATGAGGGACAAAGGTTTACTTGACAAACATGAGTGTCCAGAAAGAGATTACATTTCTAGAGGAAAATCAAATAAACCTCCATGAAGATGGTTCTATTCTTAGCACTTAACCTGTTGTATTTTAGGAGATCAAATACTGTTCAACTAATTCAAATAGAGATCATCTTAGTGGTATTTTAAAGGTGATATGAAAACAAGCTATAAAAAGAAAAAAATTAGATGTATCTTTATTCTTTATATCCAGAAAGAACCATCTTAATGTTTTGGCATGTACTGAGACAGAGAGAGAGAGAGAGAGAGAGAGAGAGAGAGAGAGAGAGAGAGAGACAGGCAGAAAGACAGATACAGCTAGAAACATTTTATAAAACAGAGATCATAGATTTTATATATATATAAAATTAATCTTTTTTTCAGTTATGAGAATTTTCCCTTGTCATTATCTTTTGAAAAATTTTAAAAATGACTTGATATTTTATTATACGAGCAACAATTTAATGATTGCCCTATTTGGGGTCATTTACATTTTCCAACCTGTTTTTTTCCTTTGCTATTATAAACACTTCAGTGAATATCTTTGAAAATGTATCCTCATCCACATCTTGAATCATCCACATCTTGAGTCAATAGAATTGTAGACATGTAATTATGGCTTTAAAAATGGCTCTTAATGTATATTATCAAATTGTTTTCCAAGAATTTGGTACTATAAATACTTCTACCAGCAATATTTAAGAATGACTGACTTATACATTTTTATTTCAAAAAGTTGACAAGTGTGAAAACTGTTACATAATAGTTTAACATTTTATTTTTTCAATTACTGAGGTTGAATATAGCCCACATGTTTATTAGCAACGATGCCTTTTTGGTAAATTATCTGTTCATGTCTAGAGTCAGTTTTTTGATAGATTTTCTTCCTATTGACACCTTGTATGTTAATTTTTTTTTCCAATTTGTAAGTTATCTTTTAATTATATTTAATAAAATTTTCAGGTATTTTAAAGAGCTGGATTTACAATAAATGTAACCAAGAAAACTCTACATGAATTTTGACCTGATATTGGATGGTGGAGAATTTTTCTAAGCACAAAATAATAAAATAAATAATGAAGAGAAATATTAAATTGAACTGCAACCAAATGTAAACCATTTGGTTTGCAAAACAATATCAAAATACAGTATGTGATAAGCAACAATTATAGAACTGAACATAAAGTAAAATTACCATTTTTGAAAAACAAACATCTAATGTCAATTTTAAAAAAATTATACTAGTTTATATTCCCACTTCCCAGGAAACAATTGTAATGGTGAATTAATTGCATATTCAAGAGAGTTCATAGCAACATAATTTGCAGTAGTTAAAAACTAGAAAAAAAAAACTGTTTAAATATCCACCAAATAAGAGAATGGATTCATTGTTCATTTTCATACCTGGGACGCTTTAGAGAAGTGAAAATAAATGGGTTAGAGCATCACACACCATCACGTATGAATTCCATAAATAGAAGAGAGCAAGATATACAGAATACATGCAGTGTGATTCCGTTTATATAAGGTTCATGCACAACTAAACAGTAAATTGCTGGGGACACATATATATGTCATAAAACTCTAAAGAAAAGTCAAGGAATGAGAAACACAAAACGCTATTGTTTAGATTACTGCTGCTCAGCTCTGGCTGCGCATTAGCAGTAACCAGGGAGCTTTTAAAAAATACTGATGCACAGGACCCAGCCCAGAAGAATTAAATTAGAATCACCTTACTCAATGGCTTAGTTAAGACTTCCAGTAAACAAATACTTACTGCAGCATTAAGGAAATTAGGGTCATCCTTTCTCAGTACCTCAAGATCTTTGCTTCGGCAATTATTCCCTCTCTCCTGCAGCATCAATTTCTTCCTCACTATTGGGTTACTCTCTTTTCTGTATGCACATGCATGCCTAGTATCGGCCATCCTAAAAGAAACAATAAAACAAAGAAAGAAAAATCAGTCCCTCGACAGTATGTCTTCCACATACCATCTACCAACTTTTCTTTTTCTCTGCTTTTAAAGTCATACTCCTGGAAACAATTGTCTACACTTCTTCTTTCTTCTTGCTTATGTTTATGTTTATGTCCTTCAGCTCACTTTACTGAAGCTTGCATCTCCAGCATTGCTACAAAACAGCTTTCATTTAGATCAGCAGCAATGACCTCTGTCCTACCAGACCCTCCAGTCAATTCTTGGACTTCATCATGTTTTACGTCTCAGCAGCATTTGACACAGTTGGTCACATCCTTTCTGCTTTTCCTAGCTCACTGTCATTCCTTACGTTGAATTTCTTCTTTTCCTGACCTCAAGATATTGGCTTAAGGCCACAGCTTGGCCCTTGGCCCTGTTCTGTAACTGTCTTCTTTCCTCAGATGAGCTCATTCTGTCCCATGCCTTTAAATATCATCTACAAGCTATTGGCTACTAATTGTTTTTCTTCAACTCTATTATCTTTCCTGAACTTGGACATAAATATCCAACTATATACCCATATAAACTAGTAATTGATTTCAACACCAAACTAATTGATACCTTTTACTCAGTTGCTTCGGACAAACAACAATGACGTCTCATTTGTCAACAATTCTTTTTAGGATGACCTTCAAATTATAGAATGAATGGATCACTTCCACTGTATCCACTGCTACTACCTTAATGTAAGACATGCCTGAGCTAATGCAACAGCTTCCTATCTGTTCTTTCTGCGTCCACTCTTTATCCCCCTACAGCTTTCCTAGAGCAGCTTGATCCTCTCAAAATACAAATCAGATTATGTGTCTTTTCTATTAAAAACTCTCCACTAGTGTCCCATGGCTGAGCTACTCACCATGGCCTAGGAGGTGTACAAGAGGTGGCCATTTTCCAGATTTCTTACCATTCTCATCTTGGTTGTGGGAATTTAGACCCACTATTCTTCCACCCTGTGGAAATGCCTGGCCTCTTCAGTCACAATGTCTGGGCACCAGCTCTTCTCTTTGCCAAGAATGCAGAACTGGCCCCTTCCTGTGAGTAATTCAGGTTCTCAGCTCAGATGTCCCCTTCTCTACAGAGAGCCTTCCCTCATCATTCAGCTCATAAAGTGTTGTCCAAGCACACTCAACTTCTAGCATATTAACCCATTTTCTATTGCTACTAAAATATCAATCACCATATAAAGTTATTTGTGTATAACTGTAGTCTCTCTCTCTCTCGCTAGCCTCATTAGAATAGCAGCTCCAAAAAAGCAGGGGGTTTGTCTTCATTACAGCTGAATGCTTAGTATTTAGAGCAATGCCTAACAATCTGTCAGGTCATGATAAATGTTTGAAATGAATAAATAAATAATAACTCAACCTAAACTTTCCACTACTTAATGTACTATTTGGGTGTCTGTGTCTTATGCTTACGTTGGCTGTGTTTTTTTTTTCTCAATTTTCTTTGCAAACCTTCTTGATGATTACTTAAAATGAGAAAGTCACAGTTCATTTCCTGAATATTAAACACTTTATTTGCTTCAATATTATTCTTTTATAGAAAAAGCATAACTGAGAAAACATTCATGAAACAGCTTCTCCCATCTATGAAACCACACCTCTCAACTTGAAGTACACCTGCTTATAGATTTCCCTGCTTTTGGTTTTTACCACAATCCCCCAGCTGGGTATTTCTTGGCCTGCTGTGATTCCCAGATGTTTACCATTCACTTGTCACCTTTACCATCCTCACACTTTCTTACTTTTGCAGGCCTTCTTTTTCTCTTCAGCATCCTTTGTGACTTTTGTATGCTTTGTATGAACATGCATTATTTTAGCATCTCCACAGTCGGATAATAGGGCACATCATCAGAATTTTTCTTTCTCTCTTATCTGACTTTCTAGCCTTTTGCAGGATGGACTCATCTTTTGAAAGAAAGCTTAGGTGGTTAACATTGACAATTTGAACCAGATATCTTGGAGACCTAAGATATTTCACTAGATGTAATTCTGGGCTTAGTCAAGATATTAACTAACGGGATTGTTCCTATTTATTATGTTATTTATTATCCAATCATCACCGTGTAACATTACGCTGATTATGCATTATACATGTGCAGTACTTTGGGTGAACATTTCACTTGGCTATGACTTGAGGAAAACACAGTGTTATTTTAAAGTATAAGTGTTCCTAACTTAAATGTTCCTGAAGTGAATTAAATGGCAATTTTGTGCTATTCTTAAGAGAAAGGATTTACACCTACATTGTAAATTATAAAGCAAGCTGCAGTGTTCTCAGCACCCACTTCATGCTGTTTCTGTTAAGAATTCCCAGAAGGGCTGCTTAGAATATACTAGCGATTAAGTGAGTTACAGTACATTCTAAAAGATTTTATAATACCACAGAGAAATAAAAATAAATGCAAAAATATATTTAAATTGTAAAAATGCTTTTTGAAAAATTAAAGTTATGATTTATTTGATAGTTCATTTCTCATATTAACATAGGATTTCTGGCCCCACTCCCTATTAAGAATGTTTCAAGAGGCAATATTTAATGGTGCAAACTCTGTTTTTCTGGGCAACCAAATATAAAATATCAAAAGACCGAATGTCACCCTTGACTCAAGTATTTGTGACGTTTACAAAATAATTAGACTGTCATTAAGCTGAAATATTGTTGAATTACCATGAAAGTAAAAATATTACTGCAACAAAGTACAAAATACGAAATATATCATCCTTAACTCTTTTGTTTTTCAAATAGACATGAGAAAGAGTAAAGTCTCTTCTTTATTATAGAAGCACAGAAAAAAGTTGTTTCTTTGAAATCATCCTCCATCTCTCCCAGATTGCAGACCTTTGTCCAAATGTTGAAGTACAGCTCATCTTTTAAGGCTATGAGCAATGACATTAAGATGTGTCGCCTACTGCAATTGAGGCTTTCCTACATTTATCCTTTGGAAACTCTTTCCCTGTCCCTCTATCTCTTCCCCACTTGCACCTCTGGTTTTAAACAGCATTTTTATTTCCCTCTTTTTGGTATTCACTGCAATGTGTCTTTATTCTCTGTTATTTAATAGAATTCAAGGCAGGGAACTTATTTTATTTATCTTGGTATTACATGCGCCACCAGAGTATTTTCTTGAAACAGGTGCTTTGTGAAAGTTTGAATTGAATTGCATTGATTTGACCAACATTAACTATCAATAAATATCTCAGAGCACTCAGAGTAGTTCTATAGCTCATGACTATAGAGTTTTAGCAACAAATCAAGCATTAATAATTACATAATGTCTTTTATGCTGAAGGTACTAACACCTGTGGAAAAGTAAAGACATCTAATAAATTATGAAGTCTGTAGTAACGATGGGGAAAAGTTGAAGGTGTATTTGACTTTATACAAAACAATAAATAGCAAAACACACTTTTCTTTTTCAAAACCACTAGGGTTTGCCTTATGGTGGTATGTGCCTATAGTCCCAGCTACTCGAGATGTTGAAGTGGGAGAATTGTTTGAGCCCAGAAGCTTAAGACCAGTCTAAGAAAGGTAGTAACAACCCATCTCAAACAAACGACAAAACAAAAAACCACCACAAAACAAAGTCAGTAGGATTTAAGAGGAGGTTATGGGCACTCTCATTCTATCCAGAATCTTATCTAGATAGGATTATCATCCACTGTTGAAATTTTAAGTAAAAATCCATTTTAAAAATCATACAACTATAATATATGTCTAGAAAATATAAATAATTTAGAATACAGTAATTTCTCACTTAACATAGTTGATAGGTTCTTGGTAACTGCAACTTTAAGTAAACCTACACATAATGAAACCAATTTTACCATAGGCTAATTGATGTAAATAAGAGTTTAGTTTCTATGGTCACAAAAACATTACCAATCTTCTAAAGAATGACCAAAATACTTTTAGTATTAAACTTTGAAATAAATGTCTACTCTATGTACATTTAAGACAGGTTAAAAAAAAGAAGCAAGATGATTATTTACTCAATTATTCCAGTTCGAGGTCACAGGTGGCTGAAGCCTATCCCAGCAGCTCAGCATAAGGTGGAATCAACCTTGGCCAGGATACCATTTTATCACAGAGTGCTCTCACACCTACACCCACACTCACTCAGATTGGGGCAATTTAGACATGCCAATTCACCTAACATACCTTTGAGATATGGGAGGAAATGAGTGCCTGGAGAAAACCCACACAAATGTGGGGAGAACGTGCAAATGCCACACAGACAGTAGCCCCTGTGGAAATAATTTTTTAAATTTTTTCTCTCAACGTTATAAAGAAAAAACATGATTTGAGATCCTGCTGTATATTTTACATAAAGATAATGATGTTTTAACATTTTACTACAGATAATTTAAAACACTCAAGTAGAGTGAATATGTATCTGTCATCCAGCTTAAACAATTACCAGTCATGGCCAATATTGTTCCATTTAAGTGATTATTGACTTCACCCCTTCCCATACTTTGAATTATTTTGAGACAAATTGCAGATATCACATCATTTTAACAACACATATTTGAGGGGTTTCTTTAAAATGTCTAAAAAATTTAAAATAATGCATTACAAAGTCCAAATTCTCAAAGTGATGCATAATTCATTTTTTAATGTTTATTTGATTGAATCAAGATTCCCTTGAGGTTTAGACATTAAGTATCTCTTTTATTCTTTCTCTATTTTTAACATTACATTTATGCAAGAGACAGCAAGAAAGGACCACAGAATGTTTTGGGTTTCCAGTACCAGAGGAAGAGGTCATAGCAAGAGAAAAGGAAAGAAAGCAGGAAATTGGCAGAGATTCAGGAAATGGGCAGAGATTCAGAATCTAGGCCTGTGCATATTGACCCATTCTCTGGAGACCTCTCAGTTCCTGGGGCTGTCTTTGGGAGTCTAAATATCCTCTTTCTAGGTTTCTTCAGGGCGTGTTCCACTGGCTCCCTGGGCCCAGAAACCTGGACTGGATTAGATTATCTCTGGGCAGTTATTCTGTTTTTCTCCAGCCATTTCTAAGGAAACACCACAGCACCTTTTCTTCCCCTCCTCCGAGCTAGTCCTTGGTGCTGTTTCTTGATGCCTCCTGTGTTCTTTGGCTTAAATTGCTTAGTGCGAGTAGATGTATGAAAGCAGCACTGGTGTTTCCAGGTGGAGTAGGTTGGGAATTTGCATTTCTGAAACCTCCCATCTCCTCATATATCTTTTAAGTGTATAGGTTCATCTTGCTTTTTCCTCATGCTGTTCATTTCTTGAATAAACCAGGATGTTTGTTTTGTAGTTTCCCTCTATCAAGTGATTTTTTCACTATGTTTCCATGGTATGATTTAATATGTTCTTTTATTCTGTATCCTATGAATTGGGTAGTAGCTGTAGAATCTTCCCCAGGTTCAGATTTGAGATTTTGGTAAGAATACTTCTTAGGTGATATTGTGTACTGCCAGCAGGGGACACATCATACGTGGTTCTCATTTTTTTGTTGTGTGATCTTAGTTGCCATCAGTATTCATAGACTACAGTCAGTATTTCATTAGGCTCACACTTGTAATCCCAGCACTTTGGGAGGCCAAGGCAGGTGTATCACCTGAGGTCAGGAGTTCAAGACCAGCCTGGCCAACATGGTGAAACCCCGTCTTTACTAAAAATACAAAAATTAGCTGGGCGTGGTGGCGGGCACCTGTAATCCCAGCTACTCGGGAGGCTGAGACAAGAGAAGAGCTAAAACCCAGGAGGTGGAGTTTGCAGTGGAGCCGAGATCACACCAGTGTACTCCAGCCAGGGTGACAGAGCGAGATTCCGTCTTAAAAAAATAAAAGAAAAGAAAAGAAAAAAGGAAAAAAATTAATATTCAAATTCTATTAGTCTATCTTTGCTTATCAGTTGAAATAATTTTCTAAAGAAAAACTTCCCTTGTCTACTATTTGGTTATAGGAAAGGCAGAAAGTATATTTAAAATTTTCCCTATATTTCCTGGTTATGAAAATGATAATTTAGTCCCACAGTATCTGCCAAAGATGACTGATGAATTATTTTCTTTGTCTCGTTCATGAACTCATAGATTTAGGTATAGTTGATGTTCATCAATGCATCACATAATTATTATTCTACTAATACTCCAATATCCCATCTTTGGCAAGTAGAAAATTCTTCAGTTGGTTGATGAATATTTTTGAAATAATCATAGTAGAGTTTTTCCTTTTTCTTATAACAAGATGTTTCAAGAACCAGCCATTTTTTCAAAAGAAGCAGCCGTTTCTTAAAAAACAAAAACAAAAATAAGAAGTCAAAGTATTTGTCTGCTTTATTTACTGTTGTATCCTCAGTAGCCAGTTCCTGTAAAGTAGTTGGTATCAGTAGAAATTACTTTAATAATGTATATTTAAAAGGTAAAATTAATGTGAAAAACAAAAAAAAAAATTAAAAATTAATTCAGAGTTTTGCTTTCTTCCAAGATGCGATAACAAGGAGATTTACCCTCTTACCTGAAATTCCTAAAACAAAAGCAAAAACAAAAAAAAATGGTAATATGTATAAAACAATGATTCTTAAGACATTGGACAATAGATAATGAAGCTCATTGATCCCTGAGAGATGGGAAACAAGCTAGGTGAGCCCTATGATTGTCCAGCTTATTGGGCACTGTACAGGGCAGGGGACTCAGGATGAATGTGACAATCTATCTTTGTTGAGAAATTGAGTAAAGGTGGTTAAACTTCACAGAGAAGAACATCAGAGAGGAGGCAACTTCAAAGAGGAAGAAGTCTGAGATCTGTAGACGGGTCCCTTTGAATATTGAGAACTGATGAACACAGTCATGGGAAGAAATGACCCAATACTGGGGATAGGACCTTTGCAAAGATCAAAGGGAAGAATCTCATAAACCTGCCCAGTGCTGGCATCAGTGCCATTCTGAGTGGAAATCTTCATTATTCATGCAGAGGTGGCTTGAGTGCTAAGAAAGGTTTTGCTACAGTAATGGGAAAAAATCAATTATAAAATAAATGCTGGTCAGCTTCAACCTAATAAACTTAAATGTAAGATCTGAAATGATCAAACTGCTTTCCCAAAACAAAGCTGAAAAATATTTACATGAAAGCAAACATTTTGAACATATAGCAAAGTAAAATTCACAATGCATGGAATCCAATAAAAAATTTACTAGGCATGCAAAAATCATAAAAACATGACTGATGATAAAAATAAAAATTAATACATATTGACACAGATGATGGAATTTGTAGACAAAGACATTAAAAGAGTATTGTAATTGAATTATAGATATTCAAGAAGCAAGAGAAAAGACTAAACATGCTAAGGAGAAAAATTAAAGATATAAAATATAGATTAAACTAAATTTCTGGAGATGAAAATAATAATATCTGAGATGAAGACGACGCTAATGGAATTAGTAGCAGTTTATACATTGGGAAGAAAAGACTAGTGAACATAAAAGCATGACCATAGGAACCACTGAAAATAAAACACATTAAAAGACAAACAAACAATAAGCAGAACATCCTGCAAATCAGTGAGGTATAGGAAAATTTAAACAGCCTAATATAGATGTAATTGGAGTCTCTGAAAGGGGGGAATGCAGCAAAAACAGATTTGAAAAAATAATGGCTAAGTTATTTTTAAAGTTAAGAAAACTATAAACTTGAAGATCCATTAAGAAACAAATCCCATGGACACAAAAACTGGAGAAAATTACACCAAGAGCTATCATAATCAAATTGATTAAAAACAGTGATAAAAAATTGAAAGAAACCAGAGAAAATATGTTACATTTTGAAGAACCAAAGGTAATGGAGACAAATTTCTTGTAAAAAATGGTGCAAATTAAAAGACTGCTGAGCAACATATTTGAAATACAGAAAGAAAAGAACTGAGAACCTAGAACTATTTACCAAGCAAAATTTTTTTTTCCTAAAGGAAGGCCCTGGGCTTTTTCAGACATACAAAAGCTGAAAGAATTTATTATAGCACACTTGCACTGTAAGAAATGTTAAAGGAAGTTTATGAAGTAAAAGAAAAAAATCATAACAGATGGAAATCTGGATGTACAAAGAATGAATAGCTTAAAAATAGTAAAAGATAATTAACTTTTAAGCAAAAAATAGTGATGTACTGTGGGTTTTATAACACTTGTGTAAGTAATATATAGATAGCAATAACACAAAGGCTGGGAGGAGAGAAATCAAGGTATAGTACTTAAAGCTCTTATCCTATGTGTGAAGCAGTAAAATATCACTTAAGGGTAGATTGTTATGTTAAGGATGTATTCCATAAACTCCAAGGCAACGAGTCAAGTAACAATAGTTATAGTAATAAATAAACAAAGAAATAAAATGGAATTATAAAAATCCAAAAGAAGGTAGTAAAAGAGGGAAAATAAGCCAATAACAGAATGGACAAATAGAAAACAAATAGAGAGATAGTAAACTTAAGCCTACCTCATCACAAATCTTATGAAATATAAATGGTCTCAATATCCAATTACTAGATTGTCATATTGGATTAAGAAAGGCATGACTCAACCGAATGCTACACAAACTCACATTTTAAATATAAAGAACCAAATAGACTAAAAGTAAAAGGATGAAAAATGATATATCATGGTAAGACTAATGAAAAGAAGGCTGGAGTGGCTATAAGGTAGATTTCAAAAGAATTATCAAAGTTGAAAAGAGTAATCTCAAAATAATAAAGAAGTCAATGATCAAGAGTGCATAGCAATTTTAAACATTCATGCGCTTAACAAAAATGCATCACAATACATGAAGCAAACAAAAAAAAACCTCAAAAAACAAAAAGAACTGCAAGAAAAGTATACAAATCCACAATTACAGCCAGAGATTTCAGTAACCTTTTCGTAATAATTAATAGAACTCATAGAAAAAAATCACAGCCCCATCAATCAATTTAAATGAAAACTTGTAAAACATTATCAACAAATTTGACTTAATTCATATTATAGAACATTCTACTTGACAACAGCAGTAAACACATTTTTATTTTATTTATTTATTTATTATTATTTTATTTTACTTTAAGTTCCAGGACACATGTACAGAATGTGCAGGTTTGTTACATAGGTATACGTGTGCCGTGGTGATTTGCTGCATCTATTGACTCATCCTATAAGTTCCCTCCCTCACTGCCCACCTCCCAACAGGTTCTGGTGTGTGTTGTCCTCCTCCCTGTATCCATGAAACACATTTTTTTCCAAGTGTATATGAATATTTGCCAAGGTAGGTCATATTCTGAGTCATTAAAAAAGGATCCAATAAGTTAAAAAGTAACAAGTCATACAAAGTGTATTTCATTTTATTTTTATTTTATTTTATTTTATTTTTGAGACAGAGTTTCACTCTTTTTGCCCAGGCTGGAGTGCAATGGCGCTATCTTGGCTCACTGTAACCTCCGCCTCCCGGGTTCAAGCGATTCTCCTGCCTCAACCTTCCAAGTAGCTGGGATTACAGGCGCCTGCCACCACGTCCAGCTAATTTTTTTTTTTGTATTTTTAGTAGAGACGGGGTTTCACCATGTTGGCCAGGGTGGTCTCAATCTCTCGACCTCTTGATCCGCCCGCCTCGGCCTCCCAAAGTGCTGGGATTACAGGCGTGAGCCACCGCGCCCGGCCAAAGTGTATTTTGTGACCACACTTAAATAAAACAAAGATATCTGAAAAACTCATAAATATTGGAAACTAAATAATATACTTTTACATAACCCTTGAGTATAAAAGAAATGAAACAGCATATTAGAAAATATTTTGACCTAAATAAAAAGAGAAACACAATATATCAACATTTGTGGAATAGGGCTAAAATAGTACTTAGAGATAATTTTTTTAGCATTAGACACCCATGTTACACAAGAAGAAAAAAATGTTCTCAGTCTCTATCTTAAGAATCCAGAGAACATAGAGCAAATAAAACCTAAGGTAAGCAAAAGAAATAAACATAAAAATCAGGAGGTAGAAGTGAATAAAATAGAAAACAGAAACACAATAAAGAAAAATAATTAAACACAAAATCTGACTTTTGAGGAGGTAAATAAAATTGATAAACCACTAGCCAGACTGATCAGGAACAAAAAAATTGAAAGCATAAACAAAAGAAGGGACTAATATCAGAAGTGGAGAGGTGTTGTCACTCTAGACAATATAGATATCAAAAGAAAAATAAAAGGATAGTATAAAAAACTTAATGGCAATAAATTTGACAGTCTAGTTGAAGTGAATAAATTCCTTGAGAGTTACAAATTACCAAACATCTCCTTATTTAAATAATTTGAATAGACATGCCCATTAAATAAATACGTTTCTGGTTAAAAATTATCCCATGTTTAGGTTGCTCCATTGAGGATGTCTGCCAAATATTTTAGAAAGAGCCAATATCAATTTATATGACTTTTTCCATAAATTGAAAACGAGAGACTGTTTCCCAGCTCATTTTATAAGGCTAGCATTACTCTTATTCCAGACCAAAGACATCACAACATTAAAGTACAGACCAATATTCCTCATGAAAGTTGACAAAAAAAATTCTTAACAAATTTTTAGTAATTCAGATCCATCAGCATGTAAAAAGGATAATGCATCATGATCAAATGAACCCTATCTCAGGAATACTAAATTGGTTTAATATTTGAAAATTAATCAATGTAATTCACCATATTAATGGACTACCAAAGAGGGGAAACCCATACGATTACCTTAATAGACACAGAAATTGTTTTTGAAAGAATCCAACATTCATTCCTCATACAAATTCTTAGCAAACTTGAAATAGAAAGGAACCTCTTCAATCTGATAGAGTGAAAAACTAAATACTTTCGCCAAAGACCTGAAACAAGGCAAGGGTACCTATCCACTCTCAACAGTTCCATTCAACATTTTATTAGCCCATGCAATAGGGGATATGCAATTCAGATGGGAAAGGAAGAAGTAAACCTGTATTCAGTTGCAGATCACATAATGGCCTATGCAGTAAACCTCTCTAAAACTAATAAATGAGTTTAGCAACTTTGTAAGATACCATATCAATATGCACAACAATATTTCTATAAATTAGTAATGCATAATCCAAAATTCTAATTTTATATTCTATAAATTAGTAATGAATAATCAGAAATTCTAATTTTGAAATCTTTTTAATAGTATCAAAACTATGAAATGGTTAATGATAAATCTGGCAGTTATGCAAGACCGTCACAGAGCATTTCTGAGTTACCATTTGGTATACATTCCCACCAGCAGTTTGGCAGTTTCTTAGTAAAAGTGTACCTTCCATGGGAGCTACCATTTCACATACATTTTTTGTAGAAAAATGTAGGCATATGTCCATGCAGACCTCAACATGAATGTTCAAGCAACTTTATTTGTAATAGACAAAAAACAGAAACAGCCTCAAGTTCTACAGGCTAAAGAATAAACACACTGGTGTGTTCATAAAATGAATACGAATCAACAGACTATTGATATATACCATAGCATAGATAAAGTGCAACATAATTATTCCAAGTAAAAGAAGCCAGACCAAAAAAGAGTATATCCTATATGATTTCATTGATCTACAATGATGGAAAAAAACAAACTAATTTGAAGTGAAAGATACATATCAAGGTTTCCTGGGGACTGGTAAGAGGGATAGGAGGAGGAGATTACAAAGGAGCAGGGGAAACTTTTGAGGCTGATGAAGATGTTAATTTTTGTCTTCATTATGAGATGATTTCATGGGTAATACATATGTCAAAATTTATCAAATTGGGTATTTGTAATATGTGCAGTTTATTGTATAGTATCAATTATACCTCAGTAAAACTGTGAAAATTACCCATCATCTCACCAGTAAGAGGTAATTACCACTATCCTAGTAGTATATTCCTCAGTGTGCACAGGAGCCATACAAAGATGTTTGATAAACTACTTTTATCTCTTAACAATGCATCATAAATACCTTTGTAAGTAAAACATGTTAGAGATAATTTTGTCAGCAATTATACAGGGGCTTACAATGTTGTTCCTTCTTATCACTTATGAATCCACAACTGAAAAGAGCTCTACACAAATTGTTTATACTGTTTTATGTTTTTATTTATTTTTAGTAGCAAAGACCAAGAAAGCAACCAAATTATCAATAAGAAAAAAAGGAATATGGTTTAGTAAATTATGGTGCATTGACACAATGGAATATTATTAAGCCATTTAAACAATTAGACATTTATAACAATATGGGAAAATGTTTCTTTTATAACATTTAACATAAGATTTAGGTTAAAATCTACCATTGGTGGTTGGAAGTACAAGAGATAACATTTAAAACAGTGACAAAATGTGAATTAGTATGACACTCGGATACTCTGATACAAATATAGCACATAAGAACAACAATAAAATATTGTATCTTCATTTCCATACATGGGTGTGTAGGTTCTTACTAAAAATTGTATCTAGCTCTGAACTTCATAATTTTGAAAAAAGCTAGAATATTTGTATTCAGCAACAAAAATAATTCAAAATCTAAACATTCACCATTATCAGAAAACGTTAAAGATGTTAGAATAGTTTAGCCTGCATAAGCCAGAAAATGCATACTATTTGTACATAAAGAAATGTCTTTGGGCACATATTATCTATATTTTATTATTACATATACTTAAATATAATACATATTACTGAAATATACATAAAATATTATAATTAAAGATAATTATAAATTAATTAAAGATACTTAATTATAAATATCCTTAAGTATAATTATTAAAATCCTCATTGAATATGTACATTATAAATGATAGAACTATCAACAAGGTTTTCATATAACAACATTTTCGTTTAACATTATTAGACATCTTGGTGACAGTTTGTCCTAGTTGCTGCTGGAGATCTTGATTTGAGATCTGCTGTAGCTATCTTTTTGTTTTTCTTAAATAAGAATAGGTTGATCCTGGAAAGGACATCAGAGATGATCTATTTCAATATCTGAATTTAATGGTGAGTAAACTGTGGTGAAAAGACATCAAAGCTCACGGGGCTAATTATTGGGAAGAATTCAACCCAGATTTACTTACTCCTAATATACAGTCACCCTCATTTAAAAAACAAATTATTACATTCTGTTTTATAGTGAACTGTTCACTTTAAGAAGCTACTCTTTTGGTAAGACAATTCTTCTGAAGATAGAAATTTAATTGTTTGTTCCAATAAAATGGGGTTGCTGAAGGTCTTGCCCAAATTATTCTATTGGCAATCTTAATAATAACAATCCAGATTCCTGAAATCCAGAATCCTGAACTCAAAAGTCCATTGGTTTTCCCTTATCAGTTCTCAGGGCTAATAACTTAACTAAAAAAATTACTGTGTTTTCACTGCATTTACCACCATGCTGGGCACTGGTAGTATCACAGGTAAATAGGATAGAGCTGAATCAGACAAACCCACTCTGGCCTAAAAGTGCACATGGCTGAAATGCACACCAAGGTGATGACTTAGTGATTAATCAGCATAGGGACAATGAGCACATTTTCTCACCTTACTAAATCCGCAAGGGAAGCTGAGGATAACCTGGCAATGCCAGTTTGCCCTAGGGACCCCCAGGCTCTGCCTTTTTCTGTGCTTCTGTAACTGATCAACCTCCTTGTTAGTAAAATATTCTATCTTTAGAAATGTTCATACATTTAATCCAGCCTTAGTCAAACCCTGCAGGCCTAGGAGTCATTCTGTTCCTATGAGGTAACTTTGCATACTTCTATTCTGCTGTACTTTGATCTCTCAGCTTAACCCTCAGAGCCAGTCTTAGTCTCTCATTTTCGAATTATTGGGGGCATCATTTTGTAGCCTCCTGAATTCACAACCTTCAGAAAGAGTTTTAACTCTTTTTCTATGTCTGTTTAAGATAGGGATTCTGAAATACACATTTTAACACATTCCTTTTAACATTA
Source organism: Homo sapiens (assembly GCF_000001405.40). NCBI lineage: Eukaryota > Metazoa > Chordata > Mammalia > Primates > Hominidae > Homo > Homo sapiens. The sequence continues at coordinate 177,973,854 of NC_000003.12, forward strand.
CTCTGTGTACTCAGCTATATAACAATGATGATGTTTCAATCCTCTCAATTCTGTCAAGAGCTATTAGTGATGATTAGTACAGTAGATATTGCTCCTGTAGTAGCTGTTTTTAGCCTGTAAAAATAGGTAGAATTTAGGCAGTAATTTCACAGTAATGAAATGAGAAATGAATACTCTTGAATCTTTTATGATTACCATTGTAGCTTTATGGAGACTCAGGATTTACATATGCTTTGGGCAAAAGAGTCGATTAAGTAATAGAGAAAGAAAATGAAATTACTTTTCATTCTGGATAACCAAATAGATGCTTTTTAATTTTATTTTTAAAGGAATTTCTTTTAAAACAAATTTAAGATCTACACATTTTTTTTTCCGGAAGAGTCTTGAGTCATCTGGTTTAGCCTCCTGTCTCTAAATATGTCTATGCCCACAAAACTATTTTTGAAGATTTAGAGATGAAGAACTCAGAATGTCCTTTGTATATTGTTTTTAGGTTCAATTTCCTATGCGGTCCTTAGGTCTAATTAAACTCTCTCTTGCTTTGATTATATTCTGTTCTCTTTTCAGTTTTCTTTGGAGAAGAACAGTCAATCTTCAATTCTTGTAATAGTGCTGATTGCACTGAGAAAAATTTGAGAGTTGTTTTCTAGCCCTCTCTTTTTGTTAGTAGATAACCCTAGTTTCCTTCTCTTTCCAGATATATTACACTTTTCTCTTTTTTTTTTTTTTTTTTTTCTTTGAGACAAAGTCTCACTCTGTTGCCCAGGCTGGAGTGCAGTGGCATGATCTTGGTTCACTGCAACCTCCACCTCCCGGGTTCACGCCATTCTCCTGCCTCAGCCTCCCGAGTAGCTGGGACTACGGGCGCCCGCCAGCATGCCTGGCTAAATTTTTTGTACTTTTAGTAGAGACGGGGTTTCACTGTGTTAGCCAGGATGGTCTCGATCTCCTGACCTCGTGATCCACCCACCTCGGCCTCCCAAAGTGCTGGGATAACAGGCGTGAGCCACCGCGCCTGGCTATATTATACTTTTCTACCCCATAATCATTTTCATTGCTCTGGGCCACCTTAGTTTAACAGAGGTCAACAATGGGGCAATTCACCTAAGAAGAGATGGCTGCTCTAGGGTACAGTAGAAGGCTGACTTCCTGAGCACTGAACACCTAGTTCCCATGAACAGATCACAGTACCACCAGACTTTTAGAACAACGCCATTAGCAGTTTGGGATGATTTCTGCTCCAGCCTTTTCCTGTTGCATCTGGCCCCCGCTAGCCTGCTTCTGTATTGTTCTGAAGACAAAGAACAAAAGCCATAAAATTGGAAAAGCCAATTTTATGTAAGCCAGTTTTTTTTTTAATCAGTATATCAATAAAAGCCAAAAGAAGAAACTCGATAGCTCATCTAATCTCTGGAAACTGAGGCCTGGAGAAAATAAATTTCCCCTATTCGCAGTGCTACTGTGGTGATGTGGATACATGAACTCATCTCTTCAGACTGGCAAGCCAGTATTTGTTTTTCATCATCATGCAATGTATTTCATAGTTTATTTTTGTTGTCGTTGTTGTTCCAAACTGAGTTGTTCTATTTTTATGGACGCCTTTCTGAAGCAAAAGATTGAATTCAAAGTGCTCTGTAGAGACAAAAAATAGTCTCAAGCCTGCATTATTTATTTCAGCTGAAAGCCCAATTAACAGCCCCTTACTTATGTTATTTGCCTTAGGAATTATAATATTATTTGATATCAATTCCAATCTCAACCCTCTTGGATAATTACTCGATATCCAATATCTTAGAAGGTGGAACAAATTGAGCAATTTGAGGGTATTGTTAGTGTTCACTTACATAGTGAACGATCCTTAAGCCTTAGTAAAATTTGGTTTTGGGTGTGGCAGGAGGAGCTAGAAAAAAAATCAAGGCTTACTGAAAGATGTACGCTCATAGGAATGGAAGTATTAGGTGATCCTGCAAACACTGAAGTTTCAGATGAAGACCCTGTCATCTCTTCACTATTCAATTCCAGAAATCATCACAAAACCTTTGCAACTGAAAGATATCTCATAGCAATGTTGGGTCCATGAACTGAGAATCACTGTGCATGGGAGGACACTGCATCACGACTGCATGTGGGAGCTTTAGAAATCATTCCACTCACACTATACCTCAGACCAATTAAACCAGAATCTCTAGGGGTGGGTTCAGCCATCAATATTTTATAAAGCTTCCGTGCACTCAAAGTTGAGAACTTCTCACTGTCGTCAAGTGCCAAGTACTTTTGGCAGTTTTAATATCTTCTTTACAGTTTATCTTTCCCCCATTTTTGACTTAGGTGATACTATCCTCATTGATTATAAAAAGATAACTTTTTTCAGAACCATAGTTTATGATAGTTTAAATCATAATGTAAATATATTATATATATTATTGTCTTTCACTAATTCATTTAACATTGACTTATTGTGCCTACATTGAGCCAGAAAACGTTTTCCTTGCCAAGGATTGTACTGGTAAATAAAACTTGCAGAAAGTGCTCGAAATGAAGTGATAGAGAAATATTAGGGATGATGGGAATGATTGGAAAATACTTCTACAGGGAATGCCTCTTTGAGAAAGTCACAGTTAAAAGCAGATTAGGAGGAAGAGAGGAGAACATTATTGAGTTAATTTAGCAATTCCAGAGAGGCCATTATATGCCAGAAAATGCAGCCATAAAGATATACAAGATGTGGCTCTGTCTTCTAGAAACTCACAGCTTGGTAGAGAAGCTAAATAAATACACTAATAATTAAATACAACAAGACAAATGTTAATAGAGGAATGTACCAACTGCCATGGGGGCACAGGGTCAGACAAAGCTTCAGAAGGTAATCTTGGAAAAACTTAGAGACCTTCATGAATTTGCACAGGCTCTATACACAGGGCTGTGTAAATCTCTAATTTTAGCACATGTACTATAATGCCTGCTCTTTCTGTGTTGTTAAGTTTGATCCTGGGATGGAAAGGGATTGTAATTTCCTCTCATTAACTCCTCTTTATAAAACATTCCGTATGCATATAGATATCCATATGCCTACGTCTGTAACAGGTAAACAATAATTATAATGAATCTCTAAGTCTATACTTGAGAGGGGAAAAAAATGACTTATTTTTATGAACAGGGAAAGTCCAACATGTTTCAAGATGATGGCTCAGGGGTTTATGTTTGTCAGTGTAACCATGTCCAGTTTAGCAAGAGTTTATATGAACTCAGTCATCTGAAAGTTTTATTTTTTCAAAGTCTAGAGTTGCAAATATTTGATCACCAAAGCACTGTGACAATTACTTCTGTCTAAAAATGTCTAGGGTCTACAGCCCTGATTTTTCTGCTTTACTGATGGCTTGGATATGGATAGAGCAATAGATCTTACTTATATAGTAATCTTACTTATATAATAATCTTACTTATAAAATCACCCAGAAGGCCACTATTACTCCAATTGGATCTTTATGCTGTTTGGGTGTCCTAAGTGTGTCTTTCCTCACAGTAAATGAGATAGCCTAGATGCCAGTAGGATACTACTCTTTGGTGTTCAAGTAATCAGACCAATAGGGAGGTTAACAGAAAATATATTTAAGTCGTTGAGCAAATGACTCCCTTATGATCCTTTTTATCTAGTTGTCCAATGTATTTTCTATGAGAAATAATGAATCATCTCTTTCTAGGCTTCATAAATTCCTCTCAATTTTTAACTGAGCTCTAGCTCTCATTTCCCCCTGTCTCTGTTTTTGTGCTGGATACTGCTGTCTGCTAATTCTATTGCTCTGTTTTAACAGAATTCCAGTTTTTTGTCTGTGGTTTCAATGTATGCAGCTAAAATCCACACTAATTTCACAGGTTCCCTTATAATAAAGGAGGCTCATATGACACTGTCCTAGTAAGGAAGTGGAACTCAGTAGGGGACACTGCTGCGACAGCTGTTATTTTCTCAATAAAATACAGATTCACAAGTACATTCCCTTTGCCCTTCACTTTTCACCACTTCTTGCCTGGAGAAGAGGATTGATGACCAGTGAGGGGAGTCACATCTTGGAACCATGGGGGCTGAGGCCACATTCTAAAGAGAATGAATCAGAGTTAGATTATGCTTCATTCTGTAATGACTTCCTTGATCCACCATATGAGTGCTAGATTGCTCAACTCTGGACTTCTTAGTCTATGTAAACAATAAGCCCCTATTGAGTTGAGTCATTGTGGATAAATTTTGTTACCACTAACTGAAGGCATTGATAACTGATAAACTAATTTTCATTTTGTCTGGGTCAACATTTCAATATTATGGAAAAAGAGATTTTGGAGTGAGACATACTTGAACTAAAATTACAATTCTGCTTCTTACCAGCTGTGTGATCTTAGGCAAGTTATTTTACTGATCTGAGTTAGTTTTCTTATATGTAAAACAGAAATAGTAATACCTTGTTTTTAAAATTATTACAATATTAAAAGAGATTGTATATATCAAGGCATTTTAAAATAGTGTTATTCAATAAATGTCCTTTCTGGCATCATGCACCAAAACATCATTATTATCATCATCCATAAATATTTGTTAATTCTGTACTACATAAAGCTCTCCACTTGAAACATACTTGGGTTAAGGTCCTAGATTTCTACCTCATTTCACAATATAAAGCACAGAAGCTAAACTACGAATAAATGAGCCCTTGTTTTCTCATAAACAAAAGTTATAAAAAGTAGAGATCTTAAACATTTGTTTTATTGAAGTAGAGCTGCTTGATTTATATCCTGTCCTTAATCTCTGTTTCCCTGAAATTGGTGTCAGAATAATATACATGGAGAAAGAAATGGATGAATATTGGCTACAACAACACATAAACTAATAGATTTTTAAAATGAAATAAAATAATTTCTGTTAGAATAGAGTAAAATTCCCTTCACCTTAGGAGGCAGGAAGCCAGGAAGAGAGGTAGGGAATTTGGACTCCAGTATACTTGGGTTCTAAATTCAGTTTCATCACTTACCAGCTAGCTGTGTGACCTCAGCCAGTTTCTAAGTTAGGAAGCTTCAGTTTCTATTCAATGGAGCTATATTAAATATTTGAAAAGATTAGACATATTAAGTATATAATATAATTTTTAGCACAAAACAGGTATTTAATTTTAAAAAAGCTATTATTGTTTTAAATAAATATAACAGAAGAACAGATGTTTATGCTATTATGGCCATGGACCATTCTGAAGCAACTGTGCTGCTGGCCATAAAATCTCATATTACAGTGGGTTATGGAGCCAGTAGCTTTTCCAGAGTCACTTTATTACACTGTGCAAATTTTACAACCCAGAAAGCCCAAGCTTGTTCCTGAGGCCATAATCAGCTGCTGGAGGATATTACTAAAACATCGGAAATTATTTTTAAATCCTTGACAATTGAAAAATAGTTCAACACATGGAAACTCCTTAAAATGGTCTTTCTCTACCACAGATTGACAAGAAATGAGAAAACGACCTTTAGTAATCCTGAAAATAATTTATTTTGAAATTCCTTAGGCAGATATTTCTTTTCTATTGAAGGAAAGATGGAGGGAAGAAGGAAGGAAGGAAGGGAGAGAGGGAGGGAGGGAGGGAGGGAGGAAAGAAGCAGGCAAGCACTTATATTAGGATGATGATTGAGAGAAAATTGTCTACAGTGGAACTTCTCTAAAACATCACTCTGCCTGTTGGGTGACTGAGAAGGTCCTTTCTGTACTGGGGATTCTGTACTGTGCTGATGAGTACCCACCTTTGCTGGTTTCCTGAAGGCAAACGCCTGAAGGCAATCCCTTGTCCATAGGTACAGGCAAAGGAAGCAAAAATAACATATACAGCTGAGTTTGTTCCATCCACTGCTACAAATGGCAAACAACCAAATGAAATGTTTTCTTCACAATTGTCATCAATTACTTATGAGCAAAGATTTTGTAGAATATCTTATATAATCCAACCTGTTATTAATGCCAAATTATGACATCATGCCAACAAATTAAAAAAAATCATTAATGGATATGCTGACACATTGCTGTTATCCAAAATGTGTGTCTGTGAAGAATGCTACTGATAATCATCATTTCCTATGAGAAAACCATCTGTCAGTGTGATATGACAGAATGCAGTTTTACTAGGCATAGCACTTTTAACGACCTAACTAGAACTTTGAACAGTGTGTTGCAGATAATACATGCAGAGTATTTGTTGATGAATCAGATTCCAAGATATTATATAGCTCACAAACCCACATAAACCCTCTTTAACAAAAGAAATAGGTGGGGATGGAATAATTTTCTTTTTGAGATTCAGTAAAAATGACGGGATTTGTATTCAATCATTATTTTTCTTAGAGGTATTTACTCTGTTAAACTGCAATAGAAATTATGGTCATTCTACAGACTATTTTATTTTTGAAATGGTTACTTTTCTTACCACTTAGAGAAGTAAATTTATTTCATTTTATTATTTATTTATTTCTATTGAGATAGAGTCTCACTCTGTCATGCAGGCTGGAGTGCAGTGGCACGATCTCTGCCTCTGGATTCAAGCGATTCTCCTGCCTCACGCTCCGGAGTAGCTGGGATTACAGGCACATGCCACCGTGCCCAGCTAATTTTTGTATTTTAAGTGGTGACTTGGTTTCACCATGTTGGCCAAGCTGTTCTTGAACTCCTGACCTCAGGTGATCTGCCTGCCTCGGCCTCCGAAAGTGCTGGGATCACAAGCGTGAGCCACCACACCCGGCCTCAGAAGTTAAATTAACCTTTGATAAAATAGAGCATCCCTGACAACACCATATTTTGTCTTTATTTTATTTATTTATTTATTTAGAGACAGAGTCTCACACTGTCACCTGGGCTGGAGTGCAATGGTGTGATCTTGGCTCACTGCAACCTCTGCCTCCTGGATTCAAGTGATTCTCCTGCCTCAGCCTCCCAAGTAGCTGTGATTACAGGCGCCAGCCACAATGCCCAGTGCAGCCTCATACTTTGTCTTTATATCTGCTATGGGAATGTGAACTGACTGCAGTTATAAAGAGAAGAAGATAAACAGCTTCATAGAAGTGCTATTTGAACTAGGTCTTTAAGATGAATTAGAATTTGCTAACCAGAGTATGTAGAAAGGAAAAATCCAGGCTAAAACAATGTCATAGGCAGAGTCTTGGAACTGAGATCAAGAAGGGCATGTTCAGTGAATGGTAAGAAGTTTCTTGAACATGGACTACAGAGGATAGGCAGAGAAGTGGAGTGACACAGTCAAGCAGGGGTAGAAATATAGGCCTAGAAAGATACATTGGAGACATATTATGTTATCATAGCTAATCATAACAGCAGTGGTGACAATTTGATTGAATTTCTGTAGAAGAATTATTCACATATATATGAATAATCTACTGGTTGGGAGTGATTAAGGTGGAGGGTAGAGCAGATGGGGACAAACCCTATGTTTTTGGGAGATGGATTGTGGGGACAATTAGCCAAGAAAGGGAACACTGCAGTAGAAGCAAGATGAAGAAGAGAGATAGTAAAATTCATTTTGGATACATTGAGTTGGAAATTTCTATGAGGTACCAGGGGCAGTTAACATTTGGATGTCTTTTTATAGGCTCACTACTTTCTGGCTCATCCTACTCAGAACCAGGAAAATGTTGTTAGATTCATTTTCCAAGGTCTAAACCTGATGTCTGAAGCAAGGGGAAAACTGATGTCTGAAGTGAGGTGAACAAAAATGCCTGTAAACACTAGGGTTGTGCACCTCTGGAATACATGAAGGACAAAAATCATTGAGAGTTTTAAGACTAATGACATAGAACATGAAAAGGAATACAGCTCTTGCCTCTCTCTGGCCCTGGGACTGGTGCAAGAGATGACTGGGTAGGAAACAGGCTCAGGGTTCCTCAGCCATGCCTTTTCTCACTCTGTCAGTCCTCCAGGCCCACTGGGGCATAGAGGTGTAAATCAAAGACTGGCTTTAGAGCCAACAAAGGAGCTTCTACAAGTTATGGCTGCCTGAGTCTGGACTTCTTAAATGAGATACTTGGGTATCAGCATCAGGAGTATGCTTTAAAATCTCTATAGGTAACAAAAATCATAACATTTATAATAGCTAACATTTAGTGAACACTTGTGGCAGTCCCTTTCTAAGTGCTATGAATAGATTAACACAGTTAATCCACCTTACAACATTGGAACCCTGATAGATTCGTTCTAAAGATTTACCCACCAGTGAGGTAGTTTGCTCTATCTCACTCATATCCACTTCTCTTTGCCATAGAAGGTAAGTGACCTTGTGAACATTGTTTGCACATTTTTCTCATATGCTAAGAATATATAATTGCTTAGTCATAACATAATTCTTGTGGAAAGTAACCACATAGTGACAATAATAACATATTGTAGATTTATAAGTGCTGCTGCCCTATTGTAATTTTCAACAAGAAACATTTGTTCAAATGCCTGCTATGTATTGGACAGCATGCTAAGTGCTCAGGATAAAAAAGTAAAGTAATATGTGGTCTCCCTGACCTGGAGGAACTAATAGAAAAAAAAAAAACACAACACCAACCTTTCATTTCATTTGTCACCAACATTTATTCTGCTCTATAAATTTGTATCCCCAAAGGGTCTCATTTCTCTCATGTGACAATCCCATCAGGGAAGAGTTTAAGATCCTTTAAGTCCTAAATTAATTCCTTGATATATATATTATCTTCCCATCACCCACATCATTGCAATTATGGCTCCTTCCTGGCTCCTTCTCCCAATATCAAGCCCCAAGGCATCTATAGAGAGGAATTAGAAATTATATCAAGTATAATAGAGCCAGATTGGGAAAGCTAGAACAAATAGGGTTCTAAAAGACAAAGATTGATGCCAATTAAAGTCTTAATCAGGTCAAGTAGCTAAATCAGTGAAAGTAATCAAGAAACAGCAGGATTATGTAAAGCAAAGTTGGAAATCAAAAGGTAGTGAGGCACGGTGGACCAGACATCCAAATAAAGGGGAGAGGCCCCTTAATTACAGAATGAAACTTGAGGACAAGGATTGGTGGGCAGGGGAGAATGAAAAGGTCATTGATGCTTTCTTTATTATGGTTTGATGCAAATAATATTCAGCTGTGGCAGCATATAGAAATTGGGGGAAAGAATAGAATGCCAAATTAGAAAGTGAGGATTCAAAAAATATTTTGCAAAACTGGATATTTCAAATAAGAGTGACCAAATGGCAAAAAGCCAGAGCTGTCTCAGAATGCAAGGCGATTGAATTTTTTTTTTCTATTTGCCCTTAATTAACTCTTGAGCAGGACAAACTGTTTTGAAAGTATCATGATAACAAATAATCAGACTTTTCCTATTGCAAAAATGTGGTTAGAATCCAATAGGAAAGTATCTTAGGAAAATCTCCATATAATGATAATAATCCTAATATAGTAGTTACATTTACTTATTCAAAAATATTAACTAAGCACCTACTATAAGGCCAGGTTCTGCTCTAGGTGTTGAGGATATAGCAGTTAATATAACAGACAAAAATGTCTGCTCTCATAGAGTTTACATTCTAGTGGGGTGAGACAGACAATAAGCATAATGAATAATTTATAGCGTGGTTTGAGGGGTGAATAAGTGAGATGGAAAAAAGTACAGCAGACTAGGAGGGTGGGGAGTGCTGGGGGCAAGGAGTGATTGTAATTACATAGAAGTGTCACTGGAGAGGGAAAGAAAGCCAACCATTCACCCGAAAAGAGCTTTCCCAATGGAAGCAATGGCCAATGCGAAGGATGGAGGCAAGTATGTAAGATTAATAAGAGGATTGGTGTGGCTGGAAGAGAGAGAGGGAGGGATTGGGTGGTTGGAGAGGAGACTAGATGGAGAGAAGAGAGGGAGGAGGAGAGAGGGCAGCTCACAGGGCTGTGTGTTTCCAAGGAATTTGGAATGAAATGAAGAGACACTGGGGAGTTTCAAGTATAGGAATAATGTGATCCAACTTCCCTTTTAACATGATGGCTGTGAAACTAGACCATGGGAGACAAAAGTGGCAGTAGGAGTGTCAGATGAGGGTTACTGAGTGTTTACTAAGCCCCTGTTCCAATGCTGTAGATTGTGCATAAGATTCAATCATAAGACTTTGAGGAATGAGACTACATTTTACAGATAAGAAAACTGAGGCTCAGAGAAACTATAGTTCCAGACCCCACTGCTGATAAGGTCTGTTGAGCTCTTAAAATCATACTCTTAGGTGTTTTCTATAACATTAAAAATTTACAAATAACACATATTCTACAAATATGCCCCTGAATCTATGAGGATACAGCAGTGAGCAAGAGAGACATGGTCCACGTTCTTATGCAGAGCCTACTGGAGGAGGTGGACATTTAGAAATCTATCAAATTGATAAATATATAATCATAAATTATGACTAATGCTCTAGAGAAAAATGCAAAGTGTAATGGAGTTCAGTGGCTTGATCCCGGCCCACAGCAACCTCCGCCTCCCGGGTTCAAGCAATTCTCCTGTCTCAGCCTCCCGGGTAGCTGGGATTACAGGCAGGTGCCACCGTGCCCGGCTAATTTTTGTATTTTTAGTAGAGACAGGGTTTCACCATGTCGGCCAGGCTGGTCTTGAACTCCTGACCTCAGGTGATCTGCCCGCCTCAGCCTCCCAAAGTGCTGGGACTACAAGCGCGAGCCACTGTGCCTGGCCCTGAAGACTCCTTTTCTCAAGGATCCTGGGCTCAGAAGAACTTTTGGCCTCACCTGTCCCCAACTCTGGCTCCCCGCTACCGTTAGCCTGCTGCTGTGACAGCGCCGCATGGGGACATTCTGTGCGAGAGCCACTCCCTGGCTGGGCACGGTGGCTCTTGCCTGTAATCCCAGCACTTTGGGAGGCTGAGGCAGGTGGATCGCCTGAGGTCAGGAGTTCAAGAGCCACTCCTGCTGGCTCTCTCACTGAGGGTTCCCCAAAGACCCTAACCCAGAGGCCCCTGACCTCTTGGGGCCTCCCCGGCACCCCAGCCCACCTCACTCCTCACCCCGTCACTATAAAAATGCATCAAACAATTTAGATGGAGAGGTTATGAGAGGAAAGGCTTTGCAACAGAAGTGAGAATTAAGCTGAAACCTGATGAAGACAAAGTTATTCAAGGAAAGAAATGATGAAAGATTATTTCAGACAAATGCATTAAGGCGGCAAAGAGATTAAACTTTCTAGGAACTGAGGGAAGGCCAGTGACATGAAGAGGAGGAGAGTGGTGAGACATGTGGCAGGATCAGTAGGTAGATGCCAGGTCATGCAGGGTGTGGTTGGCCAGAGTTGGAGTTTGAATTTTACTCTAAACGCAGAGAAGCTATGGGTGTGTTTTAAACAGCAAGTGGCATAATTTGATTTGAGTTTTTCAGGATTACTTTGGATTTGTTGGAAGAGGGGTTGTTTGACCCCTTAAGATATTCCTTTTCCTAGGGCCATTTTTGGGGGGCTTGGCAGGCCCCAAAGCTAGGACAACAAAATTAAGAAAGAATTTTGATTTTGAAGAAGAACAAGAGATATTTCTAGGAACAGTAAAAGAAAGTGCAGCTTGACAGTAGGGAAAATCTTCTAACTGATATTCATCTTCCCTCCCCACTTCCAACCACCAGGCTTATTTAGATAGAATATAATAACCCAATAGAACCAAATGAGTATCACCTCAAAGTAGGAAATGAGGAGCAAATATGGGAGATTGGAAGGATTAAAGGGAAGAGAAGACATTCATAATAGGATTGTTTTGTAATGAATGGGAAAGACATGCTCCCAGAACGGCAGCCATGAAAAGCAGAGACAAAAGGACCCACACTTACTGAGGAACCATGGAGGAGGATGAGTTGAAAGAGTAGAGGAGCCATTCTCCTCTACTTCACTGTAGACCCTACACGGATTGGATGATTGTAAAAGACAATTATTTAAATTAAAATGAAGGCTTCTCAGGTAATAGCAACTACAACAGAAACACTTATTGATGTTACACTATTGATCATTACTTTGCTAAATTTAGCCAATGTCCAAAGTAATTGCCTGTATTAACTCATCAAAACTCACAGCAACACTGTGAGGTAGGGACTCTTAGAGTCCCTTTTATAGAGGAGCTAATGGAGGCACAATGAGATTAGGGAACTTGCCCAAGGTCTCTAAATTGGAAAGTGGTGTTTATGTATACATCATACTTTCTATTCCCTTTGCAACATCGTTATAGTTTTTCCTGCTCATTTGAGTTTCAGGATTAATGTCCATTAATGGGTTGATTTTTTGAAGTCACATGGCTTCATTAGCAAGAGAGCCTGGATAAGACTATAGTTAAATATAATGTGCAACTGCAGAAAACTGTGTCCTTCACAGCCCTCTCTATGATTTGCTTCCACTCCACTTCAATCAGCCGTGGGAACATGGATAGCTCCTCAGGGATAATGATGAATTACTAATGTAATTGTGTATTTCAAAGACCAGTAATAGTTCCAGTGCCAGGCAGATGATACAACTCTTACATATGATTGTTTTAGTTTTGACTGATGTTTAATCCTATTTTTATAGTTTTCAGGAAATGTATTGCAGTTTTTTTTTCCCCAAGAAACTAGTACTACTTAAGATTAACTGATGAAACTGTGGAAAATAGCTGCCATGAAAACAGTCATTACTATTAGGAAATGTAGAGCATAAATCTGAAATAAAGATCAAGCTCTTCTTTTCCTTATTAAAGCATAATTTTATGCATTGGTTGAATGCCTCCTTGAGTCATGGTGAAATTGAGCCACTTAATGATGTGGAAATATTTAGAATGTTCAAAAAGGAAACATATTACAAGGGGCATCAGCACCTAGAAAAATGTCTATCTTTCATTTCTACAATTACAATTTTCCCAGTTACATTTTTTTTGCAGAGATTTCTAATATATTTGAACCCACAGCCAATATATTGATTAGAGATCCATAGTGAATACCATGATACTTGGGTAAGATTCCTGCATTCTTACCCAAGTATCATGGTATTCACTATGGATCTCTAATCAATATAATTTTATTGACAAACATAGCCTCTATTATGTGCAAAACAAGTGCTTGGAAAAATAGAGACAACAGATCCTTAAGGATGGGAGAGGGCAAGTAGACCAAAAAATATAATTCAAAACAAATGAAGTAATGCTTATAAAATACGTTGAAAGAAAAATCTGCAAGGCTGCAAAGAAGGTAAGGTTAAGAAGCATAAGAATTTCCTGAAAGAGGTGCTATTGAGTAGAATCTTGAATAATATGGATTTCAAGTGTAAAATATTTCAAGTGTATATTAAGTCCCCGAGAAATATCGGCTATATGAGTGAAGTTAAAAATCTAGTGGGGAATAAAAGAAAGGAGAAGGTTTCAGGGCTCAGGAAATGACAAATGGGGATATTATTTCAGACGGAGACAGATCCTTCCCTGCTCACCTGCTCCTTCTAGTAAGAACTTACACCTGTAGTGAGATGTCAAGAAAGCTTAATTGAAATACAGGTTTTGACTGTCAGATAGTGAAGAAACAATTGGCTGTTATTTGATACATTGAAGAAATGTGGTGTTCAGAAAGGCTTGTAAACATAATTTAGAATATATGATTATTTTCTTTCTCTGTCTCCGGGGATGGTTTTACCATCCATTCAGCCGTGCAAGTGGGATTCCTAGAAATGGTCCCTGGCCCCTCTTTTCCAGGCTTCCATGAGCTCTGTTGATGTTATGTCCTAATGCTGCCAAACAATCCACTCTTTTGCATCTTTACCACCTCCAATGCAGTCTTTTCTCACTTTGGCTTTTAAAAATTCCTTCTTCCACATCCATCCATGCTCTTTCAATTATGTTTTCTACATTGCAACCAAAGTGATCTTTTAAAAGAGCTGTTTATTTATTTTATTTTATTTTATTTTATTTTTTTTTGCTAAAACTTGCAAGAGGCTCCTCCTTAACATGGTACAAAAATCCTCCAGGGTTTATTCCCTGCCTATAAGTCTGGTCTTACTTTACACGATTTTCCTATATCATTATACAATTTCTTTCACAGGACTAATCACCATTTACATTTGTATATTCTTGTGTGATCAGTTTCTCCCTTTCTTACCAGGGGAATCCACATACATACTCCGTGAACTCTGATTTTGTGTCCCAGTGGTGTGATTCTCAGAGTTATTTAAACATTATCCCTAGTTTTATCATCTGAAAGAAGGAGAAGGAGAAGAAAAAAAGAAGTTCTCATGGAGTGGTTACAGATTACACGGACTAATACCTGCAAGAATTCTTAAAACTGTGCCTGACACATAGTACATGCTCAATAGATGAAAAAACTACTAGTTATAGAATGTAAATACTATCAATACATGTATCAAAATTTGTTTGGCACATCAGCGCTTTGCATAATGCCTAACACAATTGTTTAATTCCTCAATAACTGTCAATTAAATAAATAATAAAGAATACAAACATAAAAGTGAACATTTGATTACACCATGTAATACTTATGAAATTAAAGGTATAGTGTAGATATCTGAAATACTGACAAGGGAGTCCAGCTAATTTCTGTTCTGGAGCCTTACAAGATGATCTAGGTGTAAATCCTTAACCTGCAGGCCAAGAAACACAAATTTTGGCAGTGTTCTGATTAAGCTGATTTGGTGATGGTTTTCCACAATTAGAGTCACAAGAGATGGTTATTAAAACAATATTTGTTCTTTTTAAAATGAGATATTTATTATTTTATTTTATCTTTTTTGATACAGAGTCTCGCTCTGTCACCCAGACTGGAGTGCAGTGGCGCGATCTCTGCTCACTGCAACCTCCACCTCCTGGGTTCAAGCGATTCTCCTGCCTCAGCCTCCCAAGTAGCTGGGATTACAGGTCCCTGCCAACATACCTGGTTAATTTTTTTATTTTTAGTAGAGACAGGGTTCACCATGCTGGCCAGGCTGGTCTCCAACAGCTGACCTGAGGTGATCCGCCCGCCTCGTCCTCCCAAAGTGCTGAGATTACAGGCCTGAGCCACTGCACGCGGCAGAGATATTTATACAATGTAAAACACAATTTATATTTTGGTTAGCACATCCTTTCCTTTCTAGGAAAGTATATGTAAAAACCAAATTATTATAAGAAATATATTCATTGATCATGGAATAAAAGCAAAGGGAGCAGTGGGATGACCTTTATAATTAATGACATCAGGCTTACAAAACTGTGATCCAGCTCTCTTCACTTTAGGGATACAGCAACCAATGGGCAGACCATCTCTTCCTGGATTGTTCTGACTCAGTCTTCATCTTGGTGATCGCACATGTTTTGCTGGACAATATGTAGGCCACTTGTTTGTATTCACGTTTTCTTCTTTTTCCCTAAACCATTATTTAGACTCTACTCGATATGGCTAGATTTAAATCCTAAGGAAACGTAATCATTTTTGTAATAGACTTAGGCATTTCCCAAATCTCTCATAGTTCTACGGATTTGTTTCAGTTTGGCTTTGTTGTTGTTGTTGTTTGTTTTTTAATTTATTTTAACCAAGAGTTAGTTTCATCCTTTATGCTACGGTTTTACTACTCTCACCTGAGCAGTCTGGAGTCATTTACTGATGCCCACAATATGCCAAATGTTACCCTAATGCTCAAGAAACCTGATATTTTAAAAATACCTTCTCATTTCAATTTTGGACTAATTTTTACATAGGAAGCATTACTTAGGTTTTGGTATCATTGTTGTTTTCAATTTTTACTAGTTATGATAATCAAAGAAACCTTTCAAAAATCAATTTTGGGAGGTTTGTAGAGTAACTGAGAAATGCAAGAAACAATGTACAGACTTGGTGGCAGCATTTCAGATAAACCTAAACTGGAGATTTACTTGCACAGAACCCCAGAGAAAACCACGGATACTACTTTCTTTAATTTATGGGCAGTCATAGAATTGAATTTTTTAAAAAAAATAAAATGAATGTTGCCTCGTTATGAATAAACCTTCACAAATTAATTAAACCTTTTAATTTTCCTTGCCATTAGATCATAGGAAGAAATGTCATTTCATATTTTTAATGAGTATTCATTTATTTGAGATGTGGCTTTATAACTAGTGTTAGGTATAGTAAAATTTCCCTCTATTTGGACTAAACAAGGAGAGGAAGCTAGTTTGAATTTAATGAGTCTGAAATAATTTTTATTATTTTCAAATGTACTGGTAACTAAATCAGTCTAACTCCATGCCCTATAATGAGACATAGCAAAGGATTTGTAGTTAGCATATTGATTGCTTTAAAATGCCGTTAATACCTAAATAGGAGCTCAGAAGACACATTAAAAATAGTTATGGAAACAAACAGAATTCCTGCTATTGATTTTTCAAACCTATTTTTCAATATCACACAAAATTATATTTTGTCAAAGAACCATTTCAAATTTTCATAAGTTTCAGATTTGTAAGGCATAATTAAAAGCTTTAAACTAATTTTGTAGGTGGAAAGTTTAAGTAGTTTTTTTTTAAATAGTAGCTTTATGTGTTTAATGATCTTTTGGATTTTTAATGCCTGCAGATTCCTAATTACGATTACAATTATGGGCTCAGTTAAAGTTGAATGCATGATTATGTGGGAGTATTTCAGGTAATAAGTTAGATATTTTAACTCAGTAATTGCCAGTGATTAATTCTATTTTTTTCCCAGATTGTTTTTTGTTTGAATTTGAAAAGTTAGCTTATTATTTCCTTGAACTGTAATTGCCTCTAAATTATGCACAAGGCTTTAAGTTCTGAGTTAATTATATCCTAGTGCATTCTTTTAAATCAAACTTAGAAATTTCAAGGTGCACACATCATAAGAATCCATAAAGTCCTTTAACATGTGCCTGGATAAAGAACTGCCATGCATGATTGATGACAGTAGGTTTTTTGAAGTTCTTTCAATTCTGTGGTGCCAATCATTAAAGGCATTAGAAATTCATCTCTATCGAAGAATTTATGGAGATTCAAATATTAAAATTAAGCTGTCGAGTCTCCGGTCAATACCTTTTAGTCCAACTTCTTTGAAAAACAAGAAGCTTCAGTGTGAATTATATTTTATAAATGTAGGTATAGAAAGCATCAGGAAAAAACTATTTTTTTAAAACCTGCATTTATTATATATCCAAAACCCAAAACCAAAATAGCTTCATAAAAAGCAGAGTAAGAAATCTTAAGGCAAAGTTGGGACATGTTATGATGATGTTACAATTGATACCTAAAATAAGTAGGTGATTATAATGAAATGTCCTGTATTTATCTGTTTATTTATTCATTTAAAAAGTGACATGGAGTTCTTACTTCAGAGAGTAAGTGGAGAAAACTCATTCACTTTCATTCCTTCTGATCCTGTGTAGAAATAAACGTTGAGATTTTTAAAGTATAAACCCTAAATAACAACATGAACCATGAGACAAAATTGGAGCATGAGAAGGGAGAGAGATAAATATGTTTCTGGAAGATTGAAAGCAGTTGGAAATATATTGACATGTTTAAAGGCAAAATAAAGCAAACCAAACTATATTTCCCAACATGCACAATGAAATTTCAGCAGAGACAAGAGTCTACCTTTGAGGGTAAAGGCAAGAGAGACTGAAAGACTAAAAACAAGGGGCTAATTGATGCCATCTTTTGGACAGTTGCTCCCCTGCACATCGACTTTTAACTCTTCTATAAATGAAAAAAAAAAAAAAAACACACACAAACTGGCATCATGCTTACCAGCAGCAGCATTGTTGATAATGTTGATAAATTTAAAAAATCATCCATTTGGAAAAACACTTTTAAACACAATTTTTGAGACTTAAGTATTGATCAGGAGTGAAAGCAAAATAGATGTTTTTAGACTTGTACGAATTCGTAAATTTTACTTCTCCTTTACCCTTTCTGAGAAAGTTATTTGAGGAGGGTACATCAGTAAAATAGAGGATAAAACTAAGAAAGAAATGTTATGAGATAAAGGCACTAGCCTTGGAATGAAGTAGTAGTGGTGTTAAAATGAGAGCTTCAAAGCCGACCTGGCAACTGGACCTAATTGCTTAAAGGGTAAGGGATGGGGCAGACATTTGTATTCAGAAAAAGAACCTTTCCAGTGAAAGTTAATGATAAAAATAAAGCCCGCGTTAGACACATTTTGATGAAATCACAGAACACAAAAGACAAAGAAGTTCAATACCCTTACTCCTTAGCAGAAAGAACAATCCCTTCATAAAGTCTTCTACTTATTTCTACAAGCCTATCTCTGGATATGCATATCTAGTTACATAGTTTTAACTAGTCATATTCCCTCTCATGTTTTGGTTTCCTGCAATGCTAATGCTAATTGCGTTTGTTTATGCCACGCTGTCTGTCTAAATACTTTTCTTTTATCAGTGCTTACTAGATATGTCTGGAGACTATACTATAACTAATGACCACTTATCATTTAATAGCAAGCTCAGTTGTTGTTAGCTTGAGTTATGCATTCCAGGCTGAGTTATACACCAGCTTGAGTTATACACCCAGGCTGAAAATGACATCCATTTTCTGTCTCTCTATCACTCCTTCTTCTGTGGTAGTGTCCAGATCATAAGATATTATAAACCTCTATCAAGGTTGATATCAGTTCTTGCATGGGGGCAGGAATTGTGTCATGTTTAACAGTGAGGTCCCAGTGCCCAGAATAGTGCAGACATATAGTCAGGGCACAACAGAAGCTTATTAAATTGGAGTAACCCATTTAACACAAAATAGTCAGAAGTAAATTCATTTTTTTCCCTGAACGCTTGTCTCAACCGCCCAGGGCATGCTCCAAACTCCACGACATTGGGTCCTTGCTAGTGGTCTTTGCTAATGACAAATGCTTATTTAATGTACCTGCTCTATCTTTCCCTCAGAGGGAGACTGAAGCACATTCTTTTAAGTTAGTTAACTATTTTATTGCAACTAAATCTTTGTGTAGGAATACGGTCACATGCCAATACATAACTTCTCAACAGGAGGGAAATGAAAGAATATATCTCTTTGTCTTTACACTACAAAATTGTGGAGTTCTCTTTTTTTTCTGTCATGTCCTAGCAACATCTACTGACAAACATTTAAAAAAAACATATAAAAAAGGATGTAACCTTATAAAAGTAAAAATAGAAAAAGTGCAAAAAAGAATTATAAAATATATTTAAAAGTTATTAATATTTGATGACATGTACCTAATGTTTATTAGAGAAACAATTACAACAGCACCCTTGTAATTTCCTGGCTATCACCCTCAGTTACTGGGCCTGATTGGTTGTGCTTCCTACTCCATTCCTAACCCCGGTGTGAAGGTCCGATAAGTAAGCTTGTGCAATTCTCTTTGTCCCAGTGAATAAGCTTTTTGTTAGACACTCACCCATAATAACATATGAGCATGATAATGATCAGTCATATTTGATCACTGCGGTTCATTAAGTCTTAGCAAGTCATTAACATAGGGAATCTGCTTCTTAAAATAATTCTTATTATTTGGTCAAGCACTCTGGAGAAGCACACAGAATTAAAGCTATTAAATAAATAACTGTTCTGACTGATGGAAAAAGTTTCCCAAAACAGGACCAAGAGGGATTTTCCTCACACTCACCTTTGGCCCTGCTATCAAGAGTAGCTTTGACCATTGCCTGTTCTTACCCAACGATAAAAATTCCTTAAAGTGATACAGATCTTGACAGTTTACAGATTGCTCTAATATACATTTTCTTGGGTAATTCACCCAACACCTCTTTGATGGAGGTCGTTTTCATCATTCTCCTTTTGTACAGGGACAGGCTAAGGTCTCCAGAAGGTAGCTTGGCCCACTTGACTCGAAAGCTTTAGTGTTGAGGTGCAAACTAAGACAGGTGATTCCAGAAAGAGGGCACTTTTCCATGAATCAACACTGAAACCAAGCAACTCATGCTGTGGCAGTGGTGGTCAAACTCCAAAGGGCTGTTTACATTTTAGATACTGTAGTATGATATACTATAAACTACTGGTGAAAGGGTAAAATCATGACCTCTAAAATTTCTTGCTCCTGTGATACATCTTGGAATGTTCAGCCTGTCATTGGATAAGAGTTGAAGACAAACAACATGCATCTATCAAACTCTACCACAAGAAGGAGAACCACATGACACTAATGGCATACTTTACTCTTTTTTGTTTGTTTGTTTGTTTGAGATGGAGTCTTGCTCTGTGTCCCAGGCTGGACACAGTGGCGCAACATCAGCTCACTGCAAGCTCCGCCTCCCGGGTTCCCGCCATTCTCCTGCCTCAGCCTCCCGAGTAGCTGTGACTACACGAGCCCACCACCACGCCTGGCTAATTTTTTGTATTTTTAGTAGAGACAGGGTTTCACTGTGTTAGCCAGGATTAGTCTCGATCTCCTGACCTCGTGATCTGCCTGCCTCAGCCTCCCAAAGTGCTGGGATTACAGGGGTGAGCCACCGCACCCGGGCTCTTTTTTTTTTTTTTTGAGATGGAGTCTCCCTCTGTGGCCCAGGCTGAAGTGCAGTGGGGCGATCTCGGCTCACTGCAGCCTCTGCCTCCTGGGTTCAAGCGATTCTCCTACCTCAGCCTCCCGAGTAGCCACGATAACAGGCATACACCACCACACCCAGCTAATTTTTGTATTTTCATTAGAGAGGGGGTTTCACCATATTGGCCAGTCTGGTCTAGAACTCCTGACCTGAGGTGATCCTCCCCCTTCGGCCTCCCAAAGTGCTGGGATTACAGGCCTGAGCCACCATGCCCAGCCATTAATTTACTCTTAATCGGACCTCTGTGACCAGGGTGCAAGTCTTATATTTACTCTGTGCCATAAGAGAAAAAGTAGATTTACTTAGAGTTTCTGGTATTACCTTAAAAATTGTATTTCTACCAAGGGCAATATTCTCTGTGCACTAATTCTATCTCACATTTATGTTATTGGCAATTGCATGCAACTTCTGATGGAAACATTTATTTCTAGGATTAGTTTGACCAAATTATAAATGCCTCTAATAGAACAGCTTATACTAATAGATAAATCCCCCTTTCACTTCAAAACCTACTGCTACATGATTTTTAAAGAGCATTTATCAGAAACCCCTAGACAATCCTCCAACTTCAATTGAACCAATTAATTTTATGCAATGAAAAATCTGAAGGAAGTCTCTTGACTGCCTCTCTGACACTTTATATCCTGTGATATTTCATTTTTAGCAATAAGTGATTGAGAGCAACAGACATGACTTTTTAAAAAAATGGTATGTGGGACTCCAACCTACATTTTTTTTTTTATTTGTTAGCAGTATTCTTCTGCCTAACACCCACTCACACTTTGAAATCTTACCTCATTGTGTCATAACAATGATGTGTCATTCTTCATTTGGAAAATCTGAAAAAGAAATCAGGTTATCTGAAGAAAGAATTAAAAATATCCATTACATAGTAGACTCTTTGGAGGTTTTTATGAACACAGCTTAGCCACAAGTATCTTATTTGATTGGGTGAGTGGGCTTTAAAACCTAAAAGTAGAATGTGAAATTTTTTTACATTGTGATGTTGACCCACAAAGTACATGAAACCATTTATCTTTTTCAAGAAATATGTATTTTTAAGATTATAAAAATGTACTTCTCCGAGTACCAAGAAACATTATGTTTCTGGTTCTGATGGGTGTCAGATAATAGAAAGGGTATCTGTCTCTCTCAGATCTTTGCCTTATAAAGGATGGAGTGCTTGTTATTATTATGTGCTGTTACTGAGCAACTTTTCTATTTTGGTTTCAGTTCTTCAGAACTTATTTTATAAAAGCAATGAAACATTTTTATTTTATAAAAGCAATGAAACAATGAAACATAAAAGCAATGAAAAATAAGGTTTGAGGGGCAGAAGGATGCTATCTTAATATTTAGCTATGTGAAAGCTGACAATACTCACCTACTATCATCTGTATGTATTCCCATACTTACTTCTTTCCTTCTATAAAGACAGTAAAAGTGCCTGTTTACCAACATTAGACTAGTTCTGCCACTGTGGGTATGAATCACATTTCTTTCCACTAAAATTAACCCTATCACAGTCTCTCACCCATCTTTAATCATTTCTTCTTACCAATATTTTCCACAACTGCCTTTAACAAATTCTAATTTCTCAATTAAAGCCAAAAAGAGCAACTAATTCCTTTTCCAATTCTAGTTCACCTAACTTTCTCCTTTATTTTGCAGCTAAGTTTTTTGAAAGAGTACATTATATGCTCTTTCCAATGCTTCATATATCATTTACTGTTTTAAAATTTTGTCTTTTGTGTGCTGTAATTTCATCAAAGTGTGTTTAGCTAGGGCCTTGATTTTATATATTCTGTTTTTATGATGTATCGTAGAGCTTGTATTTTTCACATATATGGATATAAGTTATTTAATCATCAGTTCTGGAATATTCTCAGCCAAAATCTAGTTGAATATTATCTTGCATCCATCTCTTTATTCTCTCTTTCCATAACTCCTATTAGATACATTTTGGACTTCTGATTCTGTTCTCCATCTCTCTCTATGACATTCTGGGTGATTTCCTCAGATCCTCAAATCTGACTTAGGGTCTGTGCTTAAATTCACCTTCACAGAAAAGCTTCCCCAATAACCATATCCAAATAGCACCTGCTCCTTCAGCATTCTTTATAGTGTCTTCCTAATTTACTTTTTCTTAGCATTTTTCACTATTATTGTTTTATTAAATATTAAGTTTGTAATTGTCTTTCTCCCTTATTAAGAATAAGCTCTGTGTGAATAGACACTGTAATTTCTAAAAGTTTATTTATTTATTTGTTTATTTATTTTCAAATCTGCTTGCCTTTTAACCATCTTATCATGTTGGTTTATGGTTAGATTTAATTTTAAGTCTCTTTAATAATTTTAAATAAAAATTTAATAGTTTGAAGTTGTCAAGTTTTGATATCAGACTAATATTGACCTCATAAAATGAGTATCAAAATGTTTCCTCTTCCTCTATACTCTGAAAAAGTTGTTAAGTTTTGGAATAAATATTTGGTAAGATTTACCAATGAAGCCATCTGAGCCCAGTAGTTTACTTATTGGAAGAGTTTAACTCTGAATTCAAGGTCTTTAAGAGATATAGAACTATTCAGTTTATCAATTTCTTCTTGAGAATGTTTTGTAATTTTTGTCTTTCAAGGAATTTGCTAGTTTATCTAAGTTATCAAATTTACTGGTTGTGATGGTAAATATTGAGTCAACTTGATCAGATTAAAGGATGCAAAGTATTGTTTCTGGGTGTGTCTGTGAAGGTGTTGGCAAAAGAGATTAGCAGTTGAGTCAGTGGACTGGAAGAGGCAGACCCGACCTCAATCTGGGTGGGCACCATCTAATCAGCTGCCAGCATGGCTAGAATAAAAGCAGGCAGAGGAACATGGAAGAACTAGACTGGCTTAGTCTCCTGTCCTACATCTTCCTCCCATGCTGGATGCTTCCTGCCCTCGAACATCAGACTCCAAGTTCTACTCTTGAACCTTGGACCCCCAACTGAGAGCTGCACTGTCAGCTTCCCTACTTTTGAGGTTTTGGGACTCAGATTGGCTTCCTTACTCCTCAGCTTGCAGATGGCCTATTGTGGGACTTTACCTTGTGATTGTGTGAGTCAATAATCCTTAATAAACCCCCCTTTATATACATCTATCCTATTAGTTCTGTCCCTCTAGAGAACCTGACTAATACACTGGTAGAAGGTTATTCATAATATTCTGTTATTATCCTTTCAGTTTCTGTAGAATATATAGTGAAGTCCTCTCTTTATTTCCTATATTGATTTTATTTTTCTTCTCTCATTCTTTTTCCCACTTTTTTGATAAGTTTGGCTATGTTTTTAAGTGTTATTGATCTTTTCAAGAAATCAGTATGGTTTTATTGATTGTTTTTGTGTGCTCAATTCTATTTATTTCTGCTCTTGTTTGTATAATTAGAAAAAATTGTAAAATTTCTTTTGTTTGTGTTAGATTTAATTTGCCCCTCTTTTTATAGTTTGAAGAGTTTGATTCAAAATCTCTGTTATTTTCTAATGTTTGCATTTAATAATATAAATTTTCATCTAAGCATTGCTTTAGCGGAATCTAACACATTTTTGTAAGTTAGATTTTCATTTTTATTTAAATTAAAATCTTTTCTAATTTCCTTTGTGGTTTTCTCTTTGGCTTCCATGACATTATGTTGGTTAAGTCCCAATATTTGAACATTTTCCATATATCTTTCTATTACTGGTTGTTAGGTTAAAGCTGCTGTGGCCTGAGAACATACTGTGTTTGATTTCAATTCATTTAAATATCTTGAAGTTTATTTTTGACACAAAAAATGGCCTATCTTTCTCAATATTGCATGTGCACTGAAAAAATTATGTACACTACTTTTGCATGGAAATATTCTATAAATTAGATCAAATTAGTTGATAGTATAGTTCAGGTCTTTTATAACCTCACTGATTTTTTAAAAATCAACTTGTTCTATTGATTTCTGAGAAGGAAGTACTGAAGTCTCCAAGTATAATTGATTTGTCTGTTTATCCTTCA
This sequence comes from Homo sapiens, assembly GCF_000001405.40. Lineage (NCBI taxonomy): Eukaryota > Metazoa > Chordata > Mammalia > Primates > Hominidae > Homo > Homo sapiens. Next base: position 177,998,444 of record NC_000003.12, read on the forward strand.
GTTCTACTGGTTTTGTTTTAGGAATTTATATTCTCTGTTTCCGGGTATATCTGCATGTAAGATTGTCATATCTTCTGGATGGATTGTTGATTAATTCTTTATTGATATGTATGTCCCTCTTTGTCTCTTGTAATCTTTCTAGATTTGAAGTCTACTTTTTTGGTATTAATATAGCCACTCTAGTATTATTTTGATTGATATTTTTATGAAATTACTTTTAAACCTTCACTTTTAACCTATATATGCATTCATATTAAAGATAACTTCTGTAGAGCATATAGTTGGGTAAACCTTTGTATTCAGTCTGATGATATCTGCTTTTTAAATGTGATTTTTGGAATGTTTTATTTGACATAATTATGTATGCAGTTGGATTCAAATCTACCATTTTGATAATTGTTTTCTGCTGGTCTCATCCGTTCTTTGTTTTTCCTTTCTTTGCCTTCTTTTGGATTATTTTAATTCCATCTTACCTTCATTTATAAGAAGGCTTAATAGTTATGTGTATTTTTCACGATTGCTCTAGGGTTTATATTATACATTTTATCTTATCATTCTCTACATTCAAATAATATCACATTATTTAATGTAGGAACTTTACCATAATCAAATTCTAGTTCTTCTCTTTGATCCTATGAATTATTGTTGGCATATTTTGCTTCAACACATGGTACAATATATTGTTTCACTTTTTGCCTTAAGCAATCAACTATCCTTTAAAGTGAATTTTGAAAGAAAATATCTTATATTTGTGTTCATTTTTACTATTTTTAATGATTCTCTTTACTTTGTGTAAATCTAGGTTTTTATTTAGTACCAAAATTTCTGCCTGAAGAACTTCCTTTAACGTTTCTTCTAGCACAGGTTTGCTGGCAAAGATTCCTCTCTGTGTTTGTTGGTATGTAAGAAGAATCCTTGTTTTGTCTTCATTTTGGAATGTAAGAAGAATCCTTGTCTTCATTTTGAAAGGTAGTTTTATTGGGTATACAGTTCTGGGTTGACAATTTTTTCTTAAAACCCTTTAAAGATGTCACTCTTCTGTCTTGTCTTCTGCTTTGCTGCATTCCTATCTTTGTTTCTTTGCATGTAATGCTTTTCTTTCCTCTGTTTGCCTTCAAGATATTTTTCTTTAATTTTAAGCATTTTTGATGTAATATCTAGGTGTGTGTGTCCTCTGAGCTTCTTAGATCTATGATTTGCTTTGTTCGTTTAATTTGAAGAGTTCTCAATCTTTACCTCTTTAAATATGTCTTCTACCTCATTCTGTCTCTCTTCTATTGGGACCCCAATCACACATACCTTAGGCCAATTGATACTATCCCACAGCTTTTGGGTGCTCTGTTCTTGTTTTTCTTCTCTTTGTTTTCTTTCTTTTCTGTTTCATTTTGGGCAATTTTTATTTACCTATGTTCTAACTAACTTGATTGGTTTTTCAGTAGTATATGGTCTGCTGATAAGCTCAGTAAAGGAAATCTTCATCTTTGATAGCATTTTCTCTTTCTACTAGCATGTGTATTTGACTTAAAAAAAATACTAGGTCTCACTCTGTGATGTAGTTTGGATTTGTGCCCCACCCAAATCCTTGTCAAATTGTAATCCCCAGTTTTGGAGGAGGGCCTGCAGGAAGGTGATTGGATCATGTGGGCTGATTTCCCCCTTGCTGTTCTCATGATAGTGAGTGAGTTCTCACGAGATCTGGTTGTTTAAAAGTGTAAAGCAACTCCCCCTTCACTCTCTTACTCCTGCCTCTGACGTGTAAGATGCGTCTCCTGGAGGGGTTCTGTGGCTCATGCCTGTAATCCCAGCACTTTGGGAAGCTGAGACAGGTGGATTGCCTGAGGTCAGGAGTTTGAGACCAGCCTGGCCAACGTGGCAAAACTCTGTCTCTACTAAAAATACACAAATTAGCCATGTGTGGTAGCAGGCACCTGTAATCCCAGCTACTTGGGAGGCTGAGGCAGGAGAATCACTTGAACCCGGGAGGTGGAAGTTGCTGTGAGCCAAGATTGTGCCACTGCACTCTAGCCTGGGCAAAAGAGCGAAACTCCTTAAAAAAAAAAAAGCACCTCCTTCCCCTTCTGCCATGATTATAAATTTCCTGAGGCCTCCCCAGAAGCAGAAGTCTGTATAGCCTGCAGAATTGTAAGCCATTTAAGCCTCTTTTCTTTGTAAATTACCCAGTCTCAGGTAGTTCTTTATAGCAGTGCAAGAATGTACTAATGCATTCTGCTGCACAGGCTGGGGTGCAGTGGCGCAATCATAGCTCACTGCAGCCTCAAACTCCTGAGCTCAAGCAATCTTCCCATCTTAGTCTCCTGAGTAGCACAGACTACAGGTGCATGCCACTATGACTAGCTAATTATTTTATTTTTTGTAGAGACGGGGTCTCACTATCTTATCCAGGCTGGTCTCAAACTCCTGGTTTCAAGTGATCCTCCCACTTTGGCCTTCCAAAATGCTGGAATTACAGGCATGAACCACCACTACCTGGCCCATACTTGATTTTTTTTTTTTTTTTTTTGAGACGGAGTCTTGCTCTGTTGCCCAAGCTGGAATGCAGTGGCGTAATCTCGGCTCAATGCAAGCTCCGCCTCCCGGGTTCATGCCATTCTCCTGCCTCAGCCTACCGAGTAGCTGGGACTACAGGAGCCCGCCACCACGCCTGGCTGATTTTTTGTATTTTTAGTAAAGACGGGGTTTCACCATGTTAGCCAGGATGATCTCGATCTCCTGACCTCGTGATCCACCTGCCTCGGCCTCCCAAAGTGCTGCGATTACAGGCGTGAGCCACCGTGCCCAGCCTTGATTTTTTAAAGGTAGTTTCTATCTGTTGTAATTACTATTTGTTCCTATATATAATCCGTCTTTCCTACTAGATACCTTAACATATTAATAATGGCTATTTTATTCATCTGATTGCTTTAAAATCTAGGTCATTTCTTTGGTTTTGTGGATTGCTTTTACCATTAACAATTGATAGCTCTTTTTGGGTTTCATTTGTGTGCCTTGTAGTTTCAATTGAGTGATTCCATTGTGTGAAAAGGAATTACTGGGTCTGAGATTAATAGTATTTATGTCTGGAAAAGGACTTGCATCTTCTTTGGTGAAGTTCTTAGCATGGTGAGTGGATTTAATATAGTTAGTTGTTGATCTGGGCTTGGATTATTTTCCTTGATAATGCTGTTCTAATGTAGCACTGGCTTTAAATCTTACAGCATTTGTCTTCCATTAGCTTGTGCTTAGTGTGGTGCCTGGGGACCTGGAGGATCTTTCTCAGTGCTGGAGTTGTACTCTCTGGTTTTGGTAGAACCACCCTGCATAGCTGTGCCACACAGGGAGTTTCTCTCCTAGCTCGTGACCAGCAGTACACTGTTGTTGCATGTTAGTTTTGCTAGGTTTGTAATGGAATGATGGCATTTTTGTTTTGTTTTATTTTCCTGGTCAGTCTTAGGCAAGATTTGTGTGCCTGGGCCTCAGGGGTGGGGCTTTCTCTACATCCTGTTCTTCTTTTTCACCCCAGCCAAACACTGCTTTATATTTTTTTGTGGTCTTAGGTAGGAGTTTCCTGTTCTTCCTCCAGTTATGACAGATCTCTTTGTGTTATGAGTGTAGGATGCTAGGTTCAAGACAATTTCTTGCCTTTCCCCCAATGTCTTAGTCCATTTGGGGAGCTATAACAGAATGCTATTGACTGGGTGACTTATAAACAACAAATTTATTTCTTACAGTTCTAGAGGCTGGAAAGTACAAGATCAAGGTGAAATCAGACTCTGTGTCTGGTGAGGGTCCTCTTCCTGGTTCCTAGAAGGTCATCTCCTTTCTGCATCCCCACATTGCAGGAGGGTTGAGTGATCTCTCTGGGGTCTCATTATGAGGACACTAATTCCATTTCTGAGTGCTTTACTCTCATGATCTAATTACCTCCCAAAGGCACCAGCACACTGAGGATTAAGTTTCAACATATGAATTTTGAGGAGATACAAACATTCAGTGTATGGCACTCAAGTAGAAGGACTTTTGCTTTTACTTCCATCTCAGCAAGAATGGAGGCTGTGTCCTAAGGATGAGAAGCTTTTCTACTCCTTTCCCAATAAAATGTTGGTTTTATTCTACTCCTATACCAGAAGCAATGCATCTTTACCCATTTGCTGAGAGTGAGAGCGTTCATTGCCCTTCTCTAGAATATTAAGGCTTTTGTTTTGTAGGAAAGAACAGTTCAGGGAAGTAGGCACAGCTCTGGCCTGGTCATTAGTAACTGCCAATCATCTCCTTTATGCCTGTGCCACACTGAGTGGCACTCTTCCCTGTAACCTGCTCATCCTCCAGTCTTTCTTGTAAGCATCTGATAGAAGTCTGTGGAATAGAAAATGTGAGTGTTGGCTTCCCTACATCTGGTTCTACCAGCTCTTCTAAACTTACATGCTTGACCACACTTAGTATTGAAGAATTTATTAAGCTTTTGCTAAGTTGTTTTTATCCATTTTATGTTGTATACTCTGATGTAGGTGAATAAGTTTGTGTATCTGTTTTTTTTTTTTTTTTTTTTTTGAGGCTTGCCCTTCTTTGGAATTGCATTTATTTGATTGTCTTATATCATGAATTGAGTGTTGGTATCTCCCAAAATTTCATATGTTGAAATCCTAACCCTCAACATGATGGTATCAGAGGTAAGTCCTTTGGGAGGCGATTAGGTAATGAGGGTGGAGTCCTCATGAGAAGGGTTAGTGCCCTTACATGAAGAGACATGACACCTTGCTCTTTCTCTACTCTCCACCAAATGAGGATACAATGAAATGAAGGCCATATACAAACCAGGGAAAGTATTCTCACTGTAGACTGGATCTGCCAGCACCTTGGTCTTGGACATCTCTGCCTCCCAACCTGTGAACAATAAATGCTTGTTTTTTAAGCCATCCAATCTATGGTATTCTGTTATAACAGTCCTAATGTACTTCGTATACCTTTTGATCTCAGTTTTCTGATGGGCCCAAGAAAAGTTAACGTTTTGTAGATTATATGGCTTTTCTTTTTTAGGAAAAGAGCAATGTTTTGCATCTTTCAACATCTTTAAAGAAAAGTAATCTTGAAGTGAATGCCAGTACTTTGGCAGGTGCTTAGTAAACTTCTGAAACCATGTTTTCACTGTTTCTCTAGCCCACCCTCCCTCCCCAACTCCTCCCCTAAAGCTTTTGCTCCCCTTCATTTTTAAAGTCTTGCCAGAAGAAAGACTGCCCAGATGGTGAGTGGAAAATGTAGAGGAAGGCTCTGTGCCTTATATAGCCCGAACTATAAACTTGTAAAGACACTGAGTTTTACTTACTTAAATCTATTTTATTTAAAATGTAAATATAAAATATTTTATTTCTATTTTGGACAATATAGTAGGTAGCTAGCAGATCAGTAAAATTACAAATAGAGCAAGTGCAAAAGAAGAACAGGTGGAAGACAACAGGAAATGTAGGTGCTGACTCAGCCTCACTTATATGATGTAGAAGAATTTGGGAAATGAAGCCATTAGGTTAGGCAACTCTCTCTCTCTCTGTCGTCACGTTCACATGTGTTAGAGAAAGGAGTGGTTTGGTAAAATATGTCTTCAACCACAAAATTTGACAGTTTTGGAGAATAAGATATCTGATATTCAACTCCACAAATGTGGTGATAAACATAAGTGATATTTAGCCCTCTTAATAACATGAAAAACACTCACACACATGGAGCTGGATTTTCTCCTGGAAAAGATAGGTTTTAAGTTTTACATGAATTTGTTAACTCTCTGCTACTAGACATGGAGGGCACTTGGTTTCCCAGACAAGGTGTTGGGAATGAGAATCCTACGTCTGCCAAACCTATTTGAACTTGTTGCCTTGTTGTGAATCTCTACTAGATCGTTTGGCATCTCATGCACAATTTTTTAATCTTATAAATGAGAGATTCATGTAAATGTTTAACTCAGTCTGAAAGAAGAAATCTTGAAAGGGCAGCCAGGGAGAGTGAGAGCAGTGTCAAAGAGGCAAAAAGAGGTCAGACTTATTTCCTTATCTAAAAGGATTTTATATATCACAACTTCAGGTCTCTTTTCACCCTGCCTGGGGAAGCTCTTCAGCTCGTCTTTAGGAAGCCATGCTCTATCATTGCCCCATTAGGTGGACTTTCTTCTTACAACAGCTGCCATGTGAAATACTGGGCTTGGGTTATTATCACAATTTCTGTGTTTCACATACATTCTGCCTGTGTCACAGCAAATCGATTTCTCTAAAGGGATCATCAATCCAAGACTATGGGAACAAGCAAATTCTCCTTGGCAAGTCATTTCTAATTATCAAAATGTTCCAGATAAGTGATTACTTCTCTAGGAATGTTCTAAATGTGAGCTCATATGAAGAGGTTTGTGTCTGTAGAATGGAAGGGATTTTTATTGACCATCTAGTCTGCCTACTGACTAAAGATCTTTTTTTTTTTAATTTTCTGACTAAAGATCTTTAGGAACGATCATGCAAACTCCACTTTGATATCTACTGTTGTGAACTGACCTAAAAAAATTAGATGTAAAAATATTAGCCTCCTTTGAGTAGAGATTAATAGCCTATAGTTTTTATCTGCTCTTATACCATCTTTCTAAGTAATTGAAAATAAAATTCTTCTTCAAATATAGACATTTAATAGCAAGTATACACAACATAAGCTCTACGAATTCTTGGCTTTATCTTTTTGTGTGTGTGTGTGCTAAGACTGTACTAAGGATGGTAGATTCCCCTGAAGGCAAACGCAGCAAATGCAATATGATTCCAACAGTAGGACTCGGCTGATGTTCTAGTTAGACTTGGGTGGCCAAAAATCCCCCAATCCAATGTCTGGACAGAGGTCTCTATAGAAATCAAGTCTCGGGTGCAATTCTTACAGCTAAATTTTGAAAGGCTAGTTAGATTCTTAAACTATAGTCTTCCAACAGACTAAATGCCTCTAACAGTTTTTGCGTCTATTTGAAAAAATCACTAATCCCTAATTTCAACAACAGAAATCTATTTCTAATATTATTTTGTTAACCTAGAAAGGCTATGGTGTTGACTGGCCAGTAAAGATGCTTAAAGCTCTTGTAGTAGCCACCTTTATCATGTGTCACTTTAATTATGCCTTGATTTATGCTCATTTCAAATTATTCATCTCTCTGTTTCAGCAGGCGTCTGTCTTTGAAAATAGTGAGGGTAATGCTGGTGGATAAAGGGAAGGCTTGCAGGTAACAGTTAGTCTGGGCAAAGGTAGTTTGAGGTCAGCTCTTTAGAGTGGGGATTTCACTGGATCCTCTGAGGAACCTGAACTTTTCATATTTCTCTAATAAATGAGGAAGTTTAGGGACATTATTACCTTTGAACAATCTACATAAGTCATAAATACATCTTCTCCCTTGATGTAAGGGAATACTAAAAGCAAAAAATACTAATAGTTTTCCAGCCTAAAATCCCATTTGGAGAAGGATGGGCATAAAATATTGATCTGTATCTTCTACAGTCCAACCTCTTTGAATTCATCTCATAAAAGCAGACCTGGAACTATTTTTGGTGCATTAGTTTTATGAAAGAGACCATACAAACTCCTATTAGAGACTTGGTCAAAAGAGTCAGTTTAAGTTTTTTTCTGGTCTCCATAAAAATTCAAATTAATTTCCTGTATAATCTACATCAATGGGGATACACAGAAGTTAAAAAAAAACTCTCAAAGAAAGATTTAATTGTATTCATCACAGTAAACTTACATAAACCAGGATGTGGTTCAATTTATTTTGAAAGGATTTTCAGCATTAAAGGTTAAAACAAAAAGAAGTCTCTAGTTAACCTTCAATTAACCATAGCTGCCTGGCACTTTCTATTAATCAAGATTTTACTCCTTCTCGCATTATTTTTATGACATCCAATTTTATTTGGTTTCTTCAATATATTTCTCAGAAGTGAAATAGCTCTATTTTATGGATGAAAATCGAATCAAAATGTAGAAGGCTTACTGTGACCTTCATAAAGTCATCTCCCTGAGGTTCTTTTCTTATTTTTAAAATGACAATAACGAGGTCTACTCCAGTGTGCTGTGTAAGAATGGAATGAAATCTTGCAGAGAGGCAAGGTAGCATTGGAAAGACTAAAGGTTTAGGAGTCAGGTAGATGTAGTTTTCACCACATATGAGCTACGTGACATTGGGCAAGGAATTGACATTTATAAGCCTCAGTTTCCTTATGAATAAAATAAAAACATAAATCCTCATTGGGACATTGCCATGTTAGATGAGGTAATATTTGCAAAGGTCTTGGCATATAAAAGGCAAAATAAGGTAGCTTTTTTTTTTTCATTTGAGAGAAGACCCTGAATATGACTACAAAAAAGTATGAGAACCAGTGTTAGAACTTGCGTGTTTTATTATCATCTTGTGTCTCTCTGGAAATGTTTCTTTCTCTGTAGTCAATATCCATATCATGAACATGCACTGTGTAACTAGTTTCCCTCTTGAAAAATTCTTAGTCTATTTTTGTTTTCTTTTAAGTCCTGATTAAGGATAAGGTTAGGCTTCTGTGAGTTCTTGTCTCACAATTTTGTTCCTTTCAAAGCAGCAAAAGAATTTAGGTGTTGGGAGGAAAAGTCATAGTTGTATCTTAAAGCAGTGGTTCTTAAGCCACTTTGAATCGGATTTACCTGGAAGGCTCTTAAATAATCCCAGATTTAAGGTCCCCATTCCTGATTCAGTAAATCTGAAGTACATCACTAAAATTTGTATTTGCCTAAGTGATTTAAAAAATTCTCTGTAATCATGGTAAAATATACATAGCATAAAATTTGCCATCTTAACCATTTTTAAGTGTGCAGTCAATGGTGTTAAGTAAATTTTCATTGCTGTGCAACCACTACTATCCATTTCCAGAACACTTACCTTGCAAAACGGAAACTCTATTTACATTGAACAATAACTCTCCATTTACCTCTCTCCCCAGCCGCTGACAACCACTATTCTATTTTCCATTTCTATGAATTTAGCTATTCTAGGTTCCTCATATAAGTGGAAGCGTACATTATTTGTCTTTTTGTGACCGGCTTATTTCACTGAACGTCATGAAATCAAGGTTCATCCATGTTGTAGCATGTGTCAGAATTTCCTTTCTTTTTAATGCTGAGTGATATTTCATTGTATATATGGATCACATGTACTTTATCCATTTATCTGATGATTACTCTTCCCCAAGTCATTTTTAAAATATGAAATACTTCACAAATTGGCATATCATTTTTGCACAGGTGCCATGCTAATTTTCTTTGTATCATTCCAATTTGAGTACACATACTGCCAAAGCCAAGGACCCCAAATTATTTTTGAAATCACTGATAAGGCAATTTTTTCAGATGCACATTGGTGGGACATTAAATCAATCTAATTTGGTGACCAATATTTTTTAAAAACATAGAATAGAAGAAAATAAAATAGGTAAAAATTGTAATAATAGGGAAATATATTATTTTAAGTATTTTATTTCTGTATGTGTGTTATTGTGGGAGAGAGGGGTTATGTGAACTAAATCAGGACATACTAGCTGTTCTCAGTTTAAAAAGAATAAAGGCCACCTGTCCAGAGACCTAGAATATAGAATCTAGTTGGATGATATGTAAATTAACATAGTGTTCTCAGCTCAAAATGTGTAGAGGTACTATAGTCCTGATTTTACTTTTAAGATACTTAAAATTTAAGATTGAGAACAGCCTTCTATAGACTGATGTGGACTCCATGCTTCATCATAGAAGTCTGAGTATTGCTTATTAATGAATCATTTTCATAACATTGTATTAGGAGTTACATATAAATTTGGCATCACTTTGATACACTAAGCTTTTATAGACTCCAGAAGTAGATAAAGAATTTCTAACAGCAGTAATGGAGAGGTGTGAATGCCACCAGCAATTCAAGATTCTGTTCCAACTCAGGAAACATACTACCCCAATCAAAATTAATTTCCTCCCCCTTTGGCATTTTTCTCAACCATATGTAGTTTTAAAATTATTGTGGTGACTTCTATCGCTCTTTTGAAAATATACAGGATGTATTTATCGAAGATAAATATAATTTTACTTAGTATGTTTTCTGAAATGATAGCACACAATATATATCAGAAAATAAGGCAATTATATGATAACTGTTTGTGAACTGTATTTGATTCTGCCAGATTTTATGAAAGATATATGTTTAACATATGTAAATGTTTATATTAGATCATATGGAATATAATTTTCGTATGCCTTTTAAAGAATTATGGAATTCATGTTCTTCCTCAGGAGAGTGATTTCCAAAGTGTCTTAGATTTTTGCGTATGACTCCACTTCAAATCCTCTGTGATTTGCATCATGCTGTACCATTTGACCCAGCAATCCCATTACTGGGTATATATATAAATCATTCCATTATAAAGATACATGCAGACATAAGTTCACTGAAGCACTATTCATAATAGCAAAGACATGCAATCGACCCAAATGCCCATCAATGATAGACTGGATAAAGAAAGTGTGGTACATACACACCATGGAATATTATGCAGCCATAAAAGGGAACGAGATCATGTCCTTTGCAGGGACATGTATAGAGCTGGAAGCCATTATCCTTAGCAAACTAACCCAGGAACAGAAAACTAAACACCCTATGTTCTTAATTATAAGTAGGAGCTAAATAATGAAAACACATGGACACAGAGAGTGGAACAACATACACTGAGGCCTGTCGGAGGGGCCGGGGAAGGGAGAGCTTCAGGATAAATAGTTGATGCATGCGGGGCTTAATACCTAGATGATGGGTTGATAGGTGCAGCAAACCACCATGGCACACGTTACCTATGTAACAAACCTGCATGTCCTGCACATGTATTCCAGAACTTAAAATTAACTTTTTTTAAAGTGCATAATCTTCCCAAATAACTGAAGTTATTTGTCTTCTGTTAATTCACAGAGAAAATAGTGGCATAGATGGATGCATAGATAGACGAATAGATGGATAGATAAATATATAGATAGATAGAAGATAGATAGTTAATACATATAAAATAATATCATCTAAATACAGAATTAAGACTTCAAAAATTACAGTAAATGGAGACACAATTAGACTTTAAATACATAATGAGAGTTATGTTCAGAACTATAACCCTTAGCAGTCTGTAAGAACATTTTACATTGTGGATCTTTATTGGTTCCCACAATTATGTGAAAAAAGGCCAAACTATATACATTTTACAGAAGAGAAAACAGGTACCAACATTAACAACCTTGCTGAGTTGCAGGCCATGGTTACGTCAGAGTCAGGAATTGATTTCTGCAGAATTGCTCCAAGTCCAGATGTTATCCTGCTAGACTGTGTTTCACGAGACAAGTAGAATTCTTCCCTATGGTTTAGTTTTCCTTAAAGTCCTTTCAATTTCAGAATGAGACACTCTTGAGCAAATCATGAAGAATTTAAGAAAGTAAGAAATTATTGATAATAATTACAAATTTATTTAAAAATGCAGAGTAATAATAATTTTATTCTCTCCCTATTTTCAAACCTACCCTCAGCAGAGATTTCAAACTTGGATGATGCTCAGAATCAGCTTCAGGGCTTTTGGAAGATAGTGATTTCTACACCCCAGACTTACATATTGCCCAGGAATCTCTGTTTTTGTAAAGGTCCATAGCTGATTCTGATGCTGAGCTAGGTTTGAGAACTGCTGCTTTAGAAAAATATGTTAGAGTAATTTTGGTGGAAAACCTATTAGAAAAATCAAATAGAAGACAGTACATAATGTATTTACATACCATAGTCCACAGTTCTGAAGAAAGTGCAGATTTTGTGTAGCCAGAGTTTATATCAATCAGGGAAACTTCTTTTTTTAAGAAAAAGAAAACATAATTATCAAGATGAAATTAGTTTTAAAGAAAGAATATTTACTAAGAGTGAGAAAAGTAATCACAACAAATTATACATTTTAAAGAAGCTTAAACCTACCACAAACATTATTAATTGCCTAACGCAACACTGTGCTTCACAATATCCTAGAAATTGCTCCACATTATTCAACAAACAACTTCCTTATTCTGTTAAAGGAAATAATGTGCACTGTGTAGATCTACCATAGTTTATTCAATCACTCTCTTATAAATGGGCATTTACATTGTTTCTAAGATGTTGCGATGACAATGAATGATTTTTTTTGTGTGTGTTTGTATGTGTGTGTGTGTGTGTGTGTGTGTGTGTGTATCTTCATAGTATTGGATGTGCAACTTCAGAAAAAAATCCTAAAATTGGGATCATTGGGTCGTAATGTAAACATATATGTAATCATTTGGATATTACCAAATTTTATCCCCTAAGGTTTGCACCAATTTTCTTTCCCACCAGCAATATATGAGGGTGCTTGTGTTTCCACAGCCTAGTAAGAGTACTGTTATTTTTTTTAATTTTTACTGATCTGGTAGGTGAGAGTCGGCATCTTAGTTTTGTTTTAATTTGCATTTCCCTTTTCTCATATCCTGAATGAGGTTGAACATCTATTCATATGCTTAAAGGTTATTTTTATATCTGTCTTGTGAATTGATATCTTTTAAAATAAAGAATTGAAATATTTCAGGGTTTTCCTCCCAGGTGTGATAAATATACTGCAAAATTCTATATGCTGATTTCTACCTCCATAAAATATATTTCACAGTTATTGTAAAGACAGCAATTATATAATTGAACTGTGAATAATGGCTTGTTGTTTGTTATTGAATGATACATCTTAAAGGTATATATCTTAACTTCCACAATTCATAGCGAGCCCCAGAGGAGGAAAATAAATGAGCCAATTCCATCAATAGGCATTGGCAATTGTAGTGACATTTATTACCATATTTCTTACATTGCTGTATGTGTTTGGCCATTCTAGTATCACTGTTTGAAATAATTTTTACAAAATCTAGAAATGTTCCACTATTTCATATCATTTTGTGCTAAAAGGGCCACAAAAATATGCCTCAAAACATCATTTCAGTGTTCTATATCAGCATTTACTTGTTTTTATTTAAAACTATTGTTTGCTATTTATTCAATTATTTCCATTCTAGTAGTTGCACAAATGCTTATGTGCAAATGATGCAAATGACGTTTCATGTTTTTGTGGTGTGTGTGTGAGTGTGTGTGTTTGTATTATCAACAACCTAAATGTTTTCTGTCACAAATATTACATTGTTCCAAACCGATCTGAGAAGATTTGTTGAGAAGCAGGTAAGAATAATAGTAAAATATTTTGTCTGTGGAATTAGAATAGAAAGGGCAATTTTATTTTATTTTAAACTTTTATTTTAAGTTCAGGGGTACAAGTGCAGGTTTGTTACATAGGTAGCTTGTGTCATGGGGGTTTGTTGTACAGATTATTTCATCACCCAGGTATTAAGCCTAGTACCCATTAGTTATTTTTCCTCATCCTCTCCCTCCTCCCACCCTTCACCCTTCAAAAGGCCCCAGTGTGTGTTGTTCCCCTGTATATATGTTCTCATCATGTAGCTCCCACTTCCAATTGAGAATATGCAGTATTTGCTTTTCTGTTTCCGTGTTAGTTTGCTAAGGATAATAACCTCTAGCTCCATCCACGTACAGAAATACCGTTTGACCCAGCAATCCCATTACTGGTTACATACCCAAAGGAATATGAATAATTCTATTATAAAAACACATGTATGCATATGTTTGTTGCAGCACTATTCACAATAGCAAAGACATGGAATCAAGCTAAATGCCCATCAACGATAGACTGGATAAAGAGAATGTGGCACATATACACCATGGAATACTCTGCTTCCATGGTATTAGTATGCAGCCAAAAGAATGAGTATCTTGTTCTTATTCAAAAAAAAGAATGAGAAAGGGCATTTTCATAGTTTCTTTTTCCATTTGAAGAAACTGTAGTGTCAAACAAAATTTTCTGCAATGTTCATCCAATAGAAAATCAAAATAAATGATTTGAATCATATTGTGTTTTTCTAGAAAATGTTCATATCGTCAGAATGATGCAATGGCAATTTTCTAGGATAATATTCTAAAAAACATAGTAAGTCTCCCAAGTTTCTTTAAAATAAAATTTTCTGATTTCATGAATGCAGTTTGTCCTAATGGGCAGGCCGTAGTTGTATTTGTTGCTTCTGAGTTGGGAAATTGATATGAATAATGTTTTTTTTTTATTCCCACTGTTTTGCTCAGCAATCAAAATCTTCGCGTAGTACAGAAATTACATGATCAATTCAAGTTTTGTATTTGATGAAAATAATATTCTTTCTCACTGTCATTACTTTGATCCTTATTTTTTATTAAAAATTATTTTGTAATATTTTGCTTTAAAAATGTCATATAATTTATGTTCAGCAGAAGCCTCTTTTGTTTTCAGTTTTTAAACAGTTAAGCAGATAACTTCTTTGGGGTTTTAAATATTTTCTTTTTCAGTTTTTTTCCTTTTCTCAGCTCAAAGGTATTTTCTATTCCAATTATGATTTGATGTTTTAATTCACATTGATCTCAAAGATTAGAAAATAGTAATAAGGTTTCATTCAACGTACACAGAATGTGAATATATATTCTTCAAAATGCAAATTAAAGCAAATGCAAGAAGTTGAAAATGTGAAAGAGTTTTATGTTATCAAAATTGTTCTTTCAAAAATATTTCAAATTTCCATTAAAGTAAAATAAAATTCATATTTAATATAGGTTAGAATTTGAAGTCAAAATGATTAACACCTGAATTTTAAAATTTAACCTTATAAAACATTTTTATAAAATAAAACTATTTGCAATTCTATTTGCCAATATAAAGAATTAGTAACCTGTTTTTATATACATACATATTCACAAATTTATAAAAATATAAATTGTTTAATATTGTACAATATTTCAACATTTCTCAGACACTATATGCACCTGTTGCAAATACCATGATAATTTGATGGCAATTCCAGAAACGTGATTTAGAACACCATGAAAGACTGATAAATGGTCACTTGGCATTACTTGGAAACTGTTTCACATTCTACCAGAATCTATTTTATTCACATTATCTGAGGGGAAGAATGAGTTTTTATTGTCTTTTACCTGAGTGCTGCCACCACTTAACTCTTTCTGGTATTCCTTAGCAGGGTCTGTTCCCTACCTCTGCCTCACAGCAAACATTCATGGAATTTAAGCCCAGTTGCTTTTTGTTTTTTTTTGTTTTTTGTTTTTTTTGTTATTATTATACTTTAAGTTTTAGGGTACATGTGCACAATGTGCAAGTTAGTTACATATGTATACATGTGCCATGCTGGTGCGCTGCACCCACTAACTTGTCATCTAGCATTAGGTATATCTCCCAATGCTATCCCTCCCACCCCCCACCCCACAACAGTCCCCAGAGTGTGATGTTCCCCTTCCTGTGTCCATGTGTTCTCATTGTTCAATTCCCACCTATGAGTGAGAATATGTGGTGTTTGGTTTTTTGTTCTTGCGATAGTTTACTGGGAATGATGATTTCCAATTTCATCCATGTCCCTACAAAGGACATGAACTCATCATTTTTTATGGCTGCATAGTATTCCATGGTGTATATGTGCCACATTTTCTTAATCCACTCTATCATTGTTGGACATTTGCGTTGGTTCCAAGTCTTTGCTATCGTGAATAACGCCACAATAAACATACGTGTGCATGTGTCTTTATAGCAGCATGATTTATAATCCTTTGGGTATATACCCAGTAATGGGATGGCTGAGTCAAATGGTATTTCTAGTTCTAGATCCCTGAGGAATTGCCACACTGACTTCCACAATGGTTAAACTAGTTTACAGTCCCACCAACAGTGTAAAAGTGTTCCTATTTCTCCACATCCTCTCCAGCACCTGTTGTTTCCTGACTTTTTAATGATTGCCATTCTAACTGGTGTGAGATGGTATCCATGTGGTTTTGATTTGCATTTCTCTGATGGCCAGTGATGGTGAGCATTTTTTCATGTGTTTTTTGGCTGCATAAATGTCTTCTTTTGAGAAGTGTCTGTTCATGTCCTTCGCCCACTTTTTGATGGGGTTGTTTGTTTTTTTCTTGTAAATTTGTTTGAGTTCATTGTAGATTCTGGATATTAGCCCTTTGTCAGATGAGTAGGTTGCGAAAATTTTCTCCCATTTTGTGGGTTGCCTGTTCACTCTGATGGTAGTTTCTTTTGCTGTGCAGAAGCTCTTTAGTTTAATTAGATCCCATTTGTCAATTTTGGCTTTTATTGCCATTGCTTTTGGTGTTCTAGACATGAAGTCCTTGCCCATGCCTATGTCCTGAATGGTAATGCCTAGGTTTTCTTCTAGGGTTTTTATGGTTTTAGGTCTAACGTTTAAGTCTTTAATCCATCTTGAATTGATTTTTGTATAAGGTGTAAGGAAGGGATCCAGTTTCAGCTTTCTACATATGGCTAGCCAGTTTTCCCAGCACCATTTATTAAATAGGGAATCCTTTCCCCAATGCTTGTTTTTCTCAGGTTTGTCAAAGATCAGATAGTTGTAGATATACGGCGTTATTTCTGAGGGCTCTGTTCTGTTCCATTGATCTATATCTCTGTTTTGGTAGTAGTACCATGCTGTTTTGGTTACTGTAGCCTTGTAGTATAGTTTGAAGTCAGGTAGTGTGATGCCTCCAGCTTTGTTCTTTTGGCTTAGGATTGACTTGGCGATGCGGGCTCTTTTTTGGTTCCATATGAACTTTAAAGTAGTTTTTTCCAATTCTGTGAAGAAAGGCATTGGTAGCTTGATGGGGATGGCATTGAATCTGTAAATTACCTTGGGCAGTATGGCCATTTTCACGATATTGATTCTTCCTACCCATGAGCACGGAATGTTCTTCCATTTGTTTGTATCCTCTTTTATTTCCTTGAGCAGTGGTTTGCAGTTCTCCTTGAAGAGGTCCTTCCCATCCCTTGTAAGTTGGATTCCTAGGTATTTTATTCTCTTTGAAGCAATTGTGAATGGGAGTTCACTCATGATTTGGCTCTCTGTTTGTCTGTTGTTGGTGTATAAGAATGCTTGTGATTTTTGTACATTGATTTTGTATCCTGAGACTTTGCTGAAGTTGCTTGTCAGCTTAAGGAGATTTTGGGCTGAGATGATGGGGTTTTCTAGATACACAATCATGTTGTCTGCAAACAGGAACAATTTGACTTCCTCTTTTCCTAATTGAATACCCTTTATTTCCTTCTCCTGCCTAATTGCCCTGGCCAGAACTTCCAACACTATGTTGAATAGGAGTGGTGAGAGAGGGTACCCTGTCTTGTGCCAGTTTTCAAAGGGAATGCTTCCAGTTTTTGCCCATTCAGTATGATATTGTTTTGAGGCCAAGGTGAAGAGCCCTAGAGAGGCATTCTCTGGAGCCGAGCAGTGTTACAGGAGCAGATCTTCAGTCTTAGTATTACAGGTTAGTACATTTCTGTTGTATGTTGCAGTGCTTCCTAAAGTGTGGGGCTTTGAGAATGGCCCCTCTCACCTGGATCAAAGCCTTATCTTGAAGTATAAAGGGAAAAGAATATTAACAGCATTATTTTGACTCCACATACTTTGTTAATACATATGTTTACCACAGTGAGTCTTGAATAATTGTTCTTCCCATTTTACCCAAGCCCCCTTTAATGTAACAGCAGGATTAGTCCCATCTGGCCATCTTCATTCACTAGATTATATTCCTGTAGCAAATGTGAATATATTTGCTTTGAAAATTGGGAGAAAGAAATCATATTCTATAATCAACGTTTCTTTTTTTCTGACAATTAACACAGTAGTTTGGAAACGAATATTTTATGGTATATTTTATTAGCTAATCTGAGCTACTTTCATGTCCTTGATCTAAAGGCAACTTATTTTTCTTAGGAATAAAAACAAAGAATGTATTGATATTTTCTCTCTTTCAAAATTCCCTGAGCCTTTATATAAAAGCTGAACCATTTTATTCTTCTAAAGAACTCTGAAAAGAGAAAAATTAAAAAATTAAAATGCCTTTTTCACTTGAGATATATTCAGATCAACAACCTGAAAGGCAAGATTAAAGGCAGTTCATTATTTCTTAGGGCCTTTATACAGTGCGGTCATTGATTTGGGTTCAAACACCTGGCTGGGACTTATATCTTTCAAATCTTTCTCTTCTATCTAGAACTTCTAATTAAACAGTTTCCACTTTTGGTGATATTTATAAATTACTCACTGCTTAAAAGGATTGACTGATGTTGGTTGGGAATCAAATCTCCAAGAGATCTGCCATTTCTACCTTTTTACACACTGCAGACTCACTGGGTGGCTCAGCCACTGATACATATAATTATTTTAAGTTTATGATATTATTCTTAATTTGAAAAAGTTAAGAATTACTCAGAATCCAATGTGCAGAATCAGTATTCATGTGCCCAGACTCCTGCTGGATTGAGAGCTGGGGGTTGAGACACAAATGGAACCTGGAGTTAATATTACTGTCACGGTAGTAGAACAAGCAGAGCTAGTCCTCTCAACTGAAGCAGAGAGGCAGGTAATAACTATTGGTTCTGCTGCTCCAGAGGCCAGCAGACTGATCCTAACATGGAATGAATCTTTGTGGGATCCCCTGTGGTCCCTGAAGTTCAGGGGAAGTTTCCTTATTCTAAAAGACTGCAGAAATTATTTCATGGTACTGTGCCTGTCATTGACTTGAGCTGTCACAAAGCTAAGAGTCTATGACCAATTGCCGCTATAGCAATTGTCTGCAGCAACCCCTCTGAATTCCCTCCAAAAGTTAATTGCCCGCAATGCAAGCCAAAGAAGAATGAATGAGGCAACCAATGTACCTGAGGTATACTTTAGGTGGCAGCATGAAGAAATTAAAAGGGCAGTGAATTTAGATTTGGAAGACTTTATTTCAATTCCTGTCTCTGCACTTAGCTATATGATCTGAGTAAGTCGCTTGACCATTATGAGTCTCAGTTTTCCTCATCTATAAGATGGGAACAAGAATAGCTATTGACCTACCTATAATGAAATTAAGAATGCTTTATAGTTCCCAGAAACAAAATTTGTAACTTGAAAGAAACAGAGATATACAGAATGCTATATTGTTTCTCCTACCATATTTCAATGTAAATATTGTAATTAATAGTAAATGTATCCCATTTTATATTATGGAACACATAATATAAAATTATTATGAGCTGTGTGAAAATGAGGTATATAGAGTGATGAAAGGAAAATGAAAAATGGTCAATAAAATACTACAATTTGCACATAGACATGACGTATAAATTATGATGAGAAATAATTAAAATTAATAGTTAAAGAAATGAAGTTAAAATATAACTGTGTGATCTTAGGTATAGTTCTTACTTTCAATTAATTCACTGGCATTCTGTTTCCTAAAAATATTTTTCACTTCGCTGAGAATAATGCTGTGATAAAATATTAAATAATGATAGCAGACACTCTGAGATCTTCCACTGTTTCCTGTGCTGGCAACTTCCAAATAAATAAAAGAACAAAAAGAAAAATGAAAACAAAAAGAATGCTTTATAAACCTTAAGTGATGAGGTTAAGTGTTTTTATTTTTCTCCTGGAAGTTATTTGAGGGCAGGAGTTGTGTTTTATTCAATGTGAAGTAGATTTTGTTGTTGTTGTTATAAGTAAACTTATTTTTGGCAATTCTAGTGTCTTCTTGTTAAGTATACTCTCTTTTTGAGGCAATTGCATCTCTTTAGACTTAATCTTATACTGGCTCTTCCCATCTTTCAAAGTCGGCTTTGAAGAAATATACAAACCCAGCCTCTTATATCTTGATCATGACACAGGCAGACACAGGCTGGAGATATAATGGAGCTCTCTGCATAAGCCGATAGGGAAGAAAAGCCCTAAGGGAACCATGCTTGAGGAAGGTGCCATAGCTCTGGGTTTTAGGCCAGGCCTTCAATGAGTGTCCGATGATTAATGAAGGTAGCAAATTCAGCCTTAAAATTAGTATGCATTGAAGAAGGTTCTAGACTGTCAAACCCCGTTATGGCAGTAATAGCAACACGTTTCCAGGCAAATCATCAGTCTGAAGTGGAGAGATGGTTTGCTTTAAGATCTAGGCCATAAGCAACCATGTTTTGTGTGGGATTGAGTTCAATTTGTAGTGTGCAAGGTAAACCAAAATTCATTTTACTTGTTTTCAACTTAATGTTTGAAACAATTGTTTCTTTTCAACATGTTCTTGAGTTTCTAAATTATAAAATTTGTTATTTTATTTGCTTTAAAAATATTCACAGTTACTCTATCAAATCTGTTTTCAAATTTAATCATCTTTTGGTCTTGAATTGTTTGTTGTCTCGATTAATATCTCCTTCCTATATATTTTTTTCTATGTTTGTTAATAAATATTTTATTCTTTCTTCTCTCTCTCTCTCTCTTTTTTTTTTTTCCCGAGATGGAGTCTCGCTCTGTCGCCCAGGCTGGAGTGCAGTGCTGCAATCTTGGCTCACTGCAACCTCCGCCTCCTGGGTTCAAGCGATTCTCCTGCCTCAGCCTCTCCAGTAGCTGGGATTACAGGCGTGGACCACCATGCCCAGCTACTTTTTGTATTTTTAGTAGAGACGAGGTTTCACCATGTTGGTCATGCTGGTCTCGAACTCCTGACCTCGTGATCTGCCTGCCTCGGCCTCCCAAAGTGCTGGGATTACAGGAGTTAGCCACCGCGTCCAGCCTTCCTTCTCTATTCTTACTTTAATTTTTACATATTATTTTGTAAGAGACTTTGATTTTGCTGGTTTGAGTTTGATTTTTTTCCATTGGGAAAAGTTCTATCTCTTATACAGGTGGTTCAGTCTACTCACAATTATTATTGTCTACCTGATATTTTGGTTAATTTGCTCATTTTTGTAAATGCTATATAATTTATACTCTTTCCTTATTACTTTCTTTTTATACATGAATTATATTTTGTATAGTTTTACTTTCTTCTGTGATTTTGACTTGCAAGTTTCATGTTTTATAATTCTGAAACAAGTCACCTTTAGGTATTACAGATATCCTATATTTCTGAAATCATCAAACTCAAGAATTAAATGATACATTTAAAAGTATTCCATAATTAAAATAAGAAATTTATTTTACTTTAATTCCTTTTTCCTCTCATTCCTGATGTTTCCCTTGCTTCACTTTATATTTATGTGTTGTAATTAGGACTCAGATAATTATCACAGAACATCACTCTTATATTACCTATCTTTTATTTTAAGAAATCCTTTGATATTTACTTTACACCATATATTAAAAATGTAACTAGGTTTAGCTCTATGTTTAACAGGCTTGAGCGCTTATCACAGTCTTTTTGAACAGAAACATAGTTTCGCATTCTTATGTTGATCACCTTTCAGTAAGTTGAATACACTTTCAGAAATTTTTTCCAAGAGTCGAGTGATCTATTTCCTCAGTCGTTCTGCATCTGAAAGTGTGTCTCTATTGACTTGATCTATGATGAAAAACTTAATTGCAAATGACATTCTTTGCAAAGAGATTTCCTCCTTCAAATATGAGTATATATAAATTTATTTTCTTCTATATTTATTGTGCAAAGGAAAAATTGGAAGCTTTGTTTCTTTTTGTGTTTTAAAAATAATAGACAATTTTTAAAATATAACTTTTAACTTACTCAACAAGCATTTATTGAATGACTAGTGTAAGCCTTGGGCCAAGTTCTAATCTTGTCACTGGGGACATGGTCGGAAAAAAACATACAAACATTTCAGTCCTCATGGGATTACATTTTTTTCTCTTAAATGCTTACAGGATTTTAAATTTGATTATTATATTTATTTTTTTCTTGAACATGACTTGTTTGAGCTATTTGTTCATAAATTTTGCCTAGGGTAAGTTGGAGGTAGTTTGCTTAAAATGACAAAAGCAAATGTATTTTCAGCTTTGATCTGTGCTTTCTACTTACGCCTAAATTTTTCAAACTTTCTCCTTGAGAGAACCTATGATCCTTAGCTGTGTCTTTATTTTATATATCAGCTTTACTGTGAAAATTTGTATAAGCCGTAAAGTTTTCATTTGTTTCTGCATTCTTAGAGGGCTCTAAAAATTACTTTATAAAGCTCACTAGAGTTCTGAATATTAATTTTACTATTCAATATTTTATTTTCAGGTTTTATTTTTGCTGTTGTAGTTCATGTCATTACAATTGTTCATTCCCACGTTGAGTGCTCTGTGTACCTCTTCCTATTATTTTTTGTCTGCTGATTCATTTTTGTCTCTTCAGTCATTTTTGTCCCTTTGCAGTTTGGTATTGAACTAAAATATAAGTACAGAAAAGTGTATTTATCAAAATATACATTCTGATCAATTTTTACATTCTGCCCACACTTGTGTAATCAGCTCAGAAATCAACACTCAGAACATCACCATCTTTCAGAAACACCCTTTATGTTCCTTTCCAATCACTGCTCCCCTCAAAAGTTACCTTATTGTTTTACATATCATAATATTTTTCCATATCTTTTTTTTAAATATAGGTGCCATGTCTATCATCTCCTGGTGGGCATACAGAGTATTTTTCTTGAATTTTCTCCAGGGTCCTGCAGTATCTTATCTTTAGAGTTATGCTCTTTTACTAAATTTTCATGATTCTTCCTTTCTTTCTTTCATTGGTAATTTATCATAGGCTCAGCTCCTACCCTGCCTTTTTTTGAGAAAATGAGGCAACAATCATATTAAGTCAGTTTGCTCAGATAGGTTAGGCAGATTTCCTGTGGTTCTCATAAGCACCTGCTACCTGAATCCATTTATCAGGTCTTCAGCTGATTATCTAAAGAATTTAACTGTTCATCTATTGTTATCCTGCTCTGCAGTGGTGAAATTTTTCACTACTTCTACTGTCTCCTTCTATGATGTTATATACCAATTAAAGACTTAAAAAAATTAAAAAAAATGTATTTGCACCCTGCTATAGGTCAGTTTTAAAAATCCTGCCTGCTATGGTTTGCTTGTTGAAGCCACATCCACTGAGGTATATTCTGTCTGCATTTTCTATATCACTCAGCTTTCAGATCCACTCCATCAACTTGCAGTCTTGACATGGATGTAGAAAGATGGGAATACTGCAATAATAGTACCTTGGTCACTTTCAAATGTGATATTCACAAAGTAGTGAGAAGCTTGGCTAATTTACAATCATCTAGCTTCTTTCTACTCATGTGTGGTCCTTCCACAAGAAACATCAGCATTCACCTGTAGTTTCTTTGAACTCTCAGGCCTCATCTCAGATCTGCTGATCAGAATCTTTTCACATTTTCACAAGATGTCAGAAATGCAGATTCTTATCAAATTAATGTGATTCCTATGTACATTGATCTGATAAGGACTGACCTAGGAAGCTTTTGAAAAACACATTGCTCCCTGGCCTTATACTAAGTTTTTTTTTTTTTTTTGAGTTAAGCTACATATTACTGTTGGATTGCTACTGTAACAAATTACCACATGCTTAATGGCTTAAAACTATACAAATTTATTATATTATATCTCTGTCAGTCAGAAGTCCAGAAGTCCAGTGGACTCAGCTGGTTTCTCTGCTCATTCTCAAGGTCCATATGAAGTTGTTGGCAGGGCTGTGTTCTTTTCTGGAGGCTGTCAGAGACAATCTGCTCCCAAGCTCATTCGGATTGTTGGTGGAATTTGTTTTCATGCAAAAGTGAAAGGGAGGTCTCTGTTTCTTTGCTGGCTGTGGCTGAGAATCATATTCAGCTTCTGAGGCCTCCTTGGATCATGGCCCCTCGTCTCCAAAGCCAGCAATGATGGGTTGAGTTCTTCCAGTGCTTCAGGTTTCCTTGACCTCCATTTCTGCCCTCCTTCTCCTGTCTTTTCTTCTGCCATATTATCTTTGAATCTTCTGCTTTTCAGGGCCCATATAATTACACTGGCACACCTGGATAATTCAGGATAATCTCCCTGCTTTTAAATTAGTTGATTAGTAACTATCCTTAATTGTATCTACAAAATCCTTTCACATTAATATGTAGATTAACATTTGATCAGATGACCAAGCATGGCAATGTTGTGGAGGGGGAGGCGTTTTTAGATTATTCTATCTACCTCAAGTCAGCCCCATGGGCTTCTAATATGTAGCCAGGATGGAGAGCCACTAGGAGAGACCTTGGAATTTTTATCTAGGAAGAGAGAAATGGGTGTTTTTTCTACCTTCTTTCAGGAATAAGGGAATGCTCTGTTTTTAGGACGTTTAAAAAAAAAGAAAAATAGGCACTATATTTTTTTCTCCATTGACATTTGCCTTATTCTTGGAAAGAATGCCTCTGGTGGTTGCCTGTAGGTGTCTGCATCTGGATACCATCACAGACTGTGTGTGGGTGTGTGCCTAGACTGAATCAGGCAAAGGCAGTTATCATGCTAGCCTGGTAGCAAATTAAGCCAGAAACCTCCACATCTTATTGAGGCAAAGATTTTACTACTTTAATTTTGATTTTTTATTTTTCAACCAGGAAAATTCAGGCTTGAAGAGATTAAAGGCTCTTGCAGAGCATATATATATATATATATATATATATATATATATATATATATATATATATATATATAAAATGAAAGAAGTCACTTGGTCTGCTTAAAAAAAAAATCCCTTAACATTTACCTTCTGGGGAAATGAGCTGTATTTTGTGCAATCCACTTTTATTTCTTTTGAATCTCAAATACATTATTATAACTTGAGGGGCAAAATATATATTCCAGTCTAAAATATACACTTTTAACAGAGCTGGTTAAATTTCTGCGATGTTAAGGGATGTTTGAGGAGTGGTGAAGTCTTATGAGCATTTTGTAGAGCCTTTATTAACAAAAGAGGGAAAAGTTAGGTTTGAATTCACTGCAAAAGTTCAGAGTATCCAGATTTGGGGTTTCATAATTTAGAATCAGTACTGAGCTACTTTCATTCTCCAAATCCCAGAGACAGAATTTCCAGAAAACCATGTGCATTTTTGCCTTTTAAGACCTCTGAAAGAACAGTGAAGCCACAGGGTCTCCTTTTCCACTGGTAAGTCCACTGGTAATGGTTTCATTTTAGTTGAGCTTTAAATTGGCATATTTAATGAGCACTAATTCTTGAGGATCAGTGGTAACAGGGAAAGGGGAAATTTAAGACACTTAGAATCCCTTGATAATCATTTTAGCCATAGAAAAAATTTAATCTGTTTCTTCCATTCCTGGTTCTTCAAACCAGTCCTTTTCAGGCATGCCCAGCCTGCTATAACACAAATGCTAGATCACGACTTTGGAATAACTCAAAAGATTCTTTTGATTCTTTTACTTCTGATTTATTTTGTTTTACTCCTGTCTCTATTGTCCTGAATGTTGAATTCATAATTTACTCTTGGGTTTCAGCCTCTGGTCTCACAAAGTTAACTGATCTTTTTGACTTGCTGTCTTGTCACCTTGGACCTTGGCACTATTGCAGTTTTACTTATTTATTCCACTGGCTTTAGTGTCTCTTATTTCTTGGTGTGGATGCCAGACTCTGCTTATTATTACAGCAGAACATCCCATAATGGTGACCTGACTTGGAGAGTTTTAGCCATTCTTACAATTGTAAAAGTAAGAAGATATTCAGTCATTGCTGAGCAGTGAGTTGAATTAATAAAAGAGAACTAAGTTTAATAACTTGTCTCTACTCAGTACTCCTTCACTATTCCACCAACAATACTCAAAATGTAGTGTGTAAGAATAAATGGTTTAGAAAAAAACCGCATGGATAATAACCATGTAGTATTATTGGCTGTATTCTATTTTACGAAGGTATAGTCTATCCTAACATTAACACTAATTCCTAAAATCAGGCTTTTAGAACAAGAAGAATTTTAGCGATTCAGTGAACTAGTCTAGTATTTGGTTCATGAGAGTTCCTTGAGATCCCCGATTCCTCAAGAGGCTACCACAGGAAGCTGGGGTATGAGAAAGACGGATGAGTAAAGATGGAGTGAGTTGGAAGAAGTGGAAGAACACCCACCCTGTTTAAGCAGCAGAATCTTAGCCATTACTTGTTTTGCTTACGTTAAGTTCCAAGAAAGATTTTGTTTGAACAAAAACGACTGTGATTTTTAAAATATTGACAACTATGGATCTGGTTCAATTCATCATTCTTCACTTGAGAAAATAGAGGCTCAAAGAGATTAAGTGGATAAGATTACAAGAAAGCAAAAGTCACACAGTTACTGTCAAAGCTCTAACCAGATTGCAGGACTCTAGGGCCTCATGCTAGTACTCTTCCCGTTGACCCACAGGCTGCCTTCCATGGAATGGTTTCCATAACAATGAAATAACAGTGGTCATAACCCTTATACTGCTCTGGGTAACCAATAAATAATGATACATGGATTTCATATTTACAAATTGTTAAAAAAATTCTAATTTCATATTTATATCCCAAGGCTAGAGTACTTTTATTGATTCTTAGAAATTAACATTTCACAGTTTTTCATTCAATAAACATTTTGGTGGAAGATGAAGACAATACCAAGATGAAGGACATGTGTTTCCAGGTCTTTAAAAAAGTTCATTATTTTGTGATAGAATCTATTTCAGAGAGAAAAATAATCACAGAACCCTGGAATTACAGACACTCAAGATTGAAGGGTAGTTCAAAACAACTCATTTTAATATGATTTGATACAATTTAAACACATTTTTCATGAATGAATGAATGCTGTTAACATAAATATTTTAATTATATTATCTCAGGATTGATGGCAATTTTTATATTAATACTTGCATAAAACAACCATAGAAATGAAATTATAAAAATGAAATTGCACATGTATTAGGGAGTAAATGCTATGACTTTATACAATTCCATTATTGGAAGTTATGCATATTTTTTTCTTAACTTTCTCTCTATTTTGAAAAAATTGTAGAAAATAGCATATGATTATCTCTAAACTGCATTTCATATTTCCAAATATATGAGGGCCCAATCTTGGGTCAGTTGCTATCAGTAGTTAATCTATGCAGTTAATTCCTAAGTAGAGTAAACTCACTTTGTAAACATTGTGTATATATTCATATATGCTATCATAAGTATTTCTATTACACTGATTCACTTATTTATTCACAAAAATTTACTCAAATCTTGCTATGTCCCAGGCACTGTGCTAGGAACTAGATTCCTTCCCCTCAAGGAACTTGTAGCCTAGTAGGAGGTGTTTCTGTTTTCTTCTCCAGATAAAAATAGCAAATTGTGCATTGAAAGAAAGATGGTCTCAACCAATGATTAATGTATAAATACATAATTTAAAAATGCTTTCATTATAAAGCAAACATATTATTCCAGGATAAAACAAACCATGGATGCCTTTTGAATTAGAGGAGAAAACAGTCTTTTGCTATAGAAACATATAGGGATAAACCCTACAAACTAATATAAAAGCTATAAAAGTCCAATGAAAAAAATAGCTATTATTTAAAATGATGTGTTGGATAGATTTACCAGCCAGTAAAGTAAAAGTAGGAGCAACAGAATCTCTGTAACTCCAAATCAATATATTTCCCTTCTTAGTGAAAGTGGCAAAGGGGACATCATCAGCTCATTTGCAAACTTATACATAGTAATTTTGGTTTTGAT
Organism: Homo sapiens; assembly: GCF_000001405.40. Lineage (NCBI taxonomy): Eukaryota > Metazoa > Chordata > Mammalia > Primates > Hominidae > Homo > Homo sapiens. The sequence continues at coordinate 178,026,084 of NC_000003.12, forward strand.
ACTTGCTCTTTCTCACCTCCCTAATACAGCATCATCTAGATTGTGTCAAAGTAATCACGCACAGGAGACCACTTCTGAAGGAGTTATGGGGCTTCCCAGGAAGGGATTCAAGCTGATCAAAGGAGGGAAAGTGATGCATTGATTGGTTTCATAATGACATTCATATATCTAATGACCTTCTATCATGCAATTTGATTTCTTTTTTTTTTAAATGCAATTCTTTAGGTGAGTGTGAAGAGAAAAAAGAAATCAGGTATTATCAAGGAGGCTTTTCAACATGGTATCACTTGGCCAGAGATTTAGGTCATGACAGTGGAAATAACTTTGAGCCTTTGTGCACTGAGCTGCTCCTAGACACAGTTAATGTGTAGATGTGTCCGCAGCTGGCAGACAGCAAGGTCTATAGTTCAGATTGTTTCAAGAAGTCATAATGAATCCACAAGAGCCTCGTTCTTTATGATAGAAATGTCAGCTCCTAGAAAGTCTCTTAAACTGTAAAGACACTTCATTACATAGAAGATCTGACTTAATATACTTTGCAAATAACTTCATAACATTCAAATTTGAGAATCATTTTCGCTCTTTTATTCACAGTACATAGGGAAATTAGCTGAAATATTTATCTTTGCTCCTCTTTAAGTTTTATAGCACTAGTCTAAAACTAATTAGACTCTGGCATTAAATTCTGCATGCATGCCTCTTTTTTTTTCCTCAAGGAGTGTTACTTGTAATGTAACTTCCTTCCTTTAGCAGAGAGTGGCCTTTTTAATTTAAAGGATCTCAATTTAGGCTTTCTAAATGCCAGATGTATTCACTTTTTTATGTATATCTGACAGGTATTTCAGAAAAGAGAAAAGAGAGGGAACCAATCACCAAAACCAGTAGGTATTCTAATGAAGCGTGATCCACAAAGTAGGTAGGAAGATTTCCTGCTATTTCAGGCCACTAGGCAAGTAGGAGACCTCTCAGAGATGCCCCTCAAACCCGCTTGCTACCTGAGAAGGTGAGGTATGCTATGGGGCAAGTTCAAGTTTATATTAACCCATAAATTCAGGGCAAGTATGTTTCCCTTTTCTCCTGAAGAAGAGTCTCAAAATATGTATGTCTGCATCACTTGTTCCCCTTGGAATCTTCCTTTTGGAATTACTTGATCTGATTGTTGGCTTCTTGTTTTGTATGATATATAAATTTTGGGCTACTCCCCAAAAGAGGGGACCTTATTGCATTAGGAAGGCTCAGCGGTGTGTTCATTAGGTGAACTCTGCTCTAAACCCAAAGGGAAAATTCTTTCTTTCCTTTGATATTTTCCCCCACCGGGGATTACTTTTGGCCATCCCATTGGCAAGATCTTGAGGGCCAAAATTAAGATTTGGATCTACCATAAAGTGTTTAAGAAAGGTTTTTTTTTTTCCTTTTATTCTAGGTTTTAGACTAAAGGCCTAATATTTTCACTGTGGCTTGCAAGTGATTTGACCCATCTCACTAGAGCTGGGAAATTTACAGAAAGGTTTGTGGCCACAGCAGCACAAGAGAATGATATTTTGTAGTAGTATGTCTGATATTCAGATTTCCCTTGAAAATCTGGTAGTAGAAAGACGCTTATTAAATATTAGAGACATGGAATCCCAGCCACCTTTAACTCTTTCTTCAGAAAATTGACCAATATGCATTTTCTCCATTTCAAAATAAATTGAAACAATGAAAAAGCATGTTACCATAAACTACACCAGGCAAATGCTTGGTTGATCTTAGGGTCAGTTTGTACCAGTGAGATAAGGCTGTTTGGTTATGAGCATCCATACATGTAGGAATTAGCACTGAGATTTGTAATAAAAAGTATGAGAAAAGATAGAGAAGACACTGGCTCTATATTCTATACATTTATAACCTACTCATATGCACAGCTGGATATAAGAATAGAGAAAGGCTGAGAAGCCAAAGCTAGAAGCATCATCAAGTTTAAACAATGGCACATTTTAATTTATCCCTTTACTCAATCATGTATTTGTGTGCATTTTACATCAGTACAATGCATTGATCTCATAAACAATGCAAAGATAAATCAGACATGATTCAAGGAGTTACTTGTTTAAAAAGGGAATTAAATATTTATACAAATAACAAAACTAGTATTTTAATTTTCAAAAAGGGAGAAATGACTTCTATCTCCCTGTGTTGGATGGAAAGCTTTGCAATGCTTTGTAAAGAAGGGACTTGAAGTAGTAAAGAAGGGACTTGAAGTAGGTCCTAAAAGCAAATAGAAAAGGGGCACTTAATTAAAGAGAGCATATGTGAAACCTGTTTGTAAATGAAGAGAAAGTTTTTGGAGTTTAGGAAGTTCTGTTTTGTCATGCATGGTAAACAGAATTCTAAACTGGGCACCAAGATTTTTGCTTTCTAGGGTTTATACACTATGCAATCCTATCCCTTGAGTATGGGTGAAAGCTTAGCAAATATGATGGATGCCATTCTTTGATTGTTTTATATTATATGGAGAGGGTGAAGGGATTTTTGCAGGCATAATTAAGGTCCCTAATTAGTTCACTTCGAGTTAATCAAAAGAGAGATTATGCTGGATGGGTCTTACCTAATCAGGTGAGTCATTTAAAAGTGGGTCTAACAATCAGAAACTCAGAGCAGTACAAAATCTCTCTTCCTGACCTAGAAAAAGCAAATCACCATAAATATTTCAACTGTGGGGAAATGTCTGCCAATATACATGTGGGTTCAAAAGAGGACTCTGAATCTTAGATGAGCTGCAACTCTGACCAGAGACCCTGAAGAGAAAACTCAACTAAAGTGTGTCCAGACTCTTGACCCACAGAAACTGTGAGATAATAAATGGGTGGTGGTGTTGGAAGCTTCTAAGCATGTATTAAATTGTTACACAGCAACAACAACAACAAAATACACTCAAATATAGATTATATCATGGCCTTTAAACTGAGATACATGTGTTCTTGCTGTAGACAGAGGCTTTCCAAGGGTTAACAGCCACAGATTTAATGAAATCACTTCTCACATCCCCAACACTTATGTCTTTCCTGAAAGTCATCTGAAAATGTGTTGGTTCTCCTTTCTTACCTCCTCTTGAACAATCACTCTTCTTCCATTTTGACAAGAAAGGTCACCTCTCTCTCATTCTAATTTACTGGTATACTGCACTGGGGTAAAAATACTCTGTGATACCAAGCAGAAAACAAAAATGTTTGAAATAACCGAGGTCTGCAAAGCCTTCTGTAATCAAGGTATCTTCAGTCTGTGGTTGGGCTCCATATCTTCTTCCCATCTTATACATATTTGGGTTGATGCAAAGCTTGGCATTAGAAGCAGGATATTATGACTTGGATGAAGAGGATAGGAATTCATAAATGTTGTGGAATTGGCCAACAGAGTTGGTGATGGCACATTTTGTTTAATAAGCAAACTTCTTTCATCTTAAATGTTGTTAAATACTGCATTTCTCCTGAGGATTGGTTCTGATAGTAAGAAGTACTGGAGGTTGTGACATCTTATTTTATCTAGACAAAAAAGTCATGACAATGCTCAATATAATATGTTTCTCTACTTTTGAGTTAGAATAATTAAGATTTGTAAAAAGAATGCTGGTATATACCAATCTCTTTAAAGTGCTTTCTTCGCACTTGACAATCTGTCTTGAGAACTTGGTGAATGATTTCAGCCACCTGTGTTTCTCTCTGCATCCCAGGGACATATTTTGCATGATTTCAAAAAAAAGGAAGAATTAACCAAAACTTTACTTCCAATAGCTTATTACATATTTGAGTAAAAGAAACACATATGAGAGGTAATTTAGCCTTTTCTATTTCACTGAAAAGTTATTCAGACTTCTAGAAGATTATTGCCATTTACTTTTGCCAAAAAATTTCAGATTATTGGCTAATTTAATATTTAATGCTTTGTCTCTTGTGACTGCAGGGAAAAATACATGTAGATAGATAGTTGTTTCAGAAACATAGGAAAAGATCAATAAAAAACTTTCAAGTAGAAAACTACATTAAGATAAAATTCTGAGGGAGAATAACGAAAATGTGAGTTTCAAGGAGAAAAATGAGTTATGTGAAAATTCTGTTAAGATAATGTTTAAGAACATTTAAAATAAGTTATAGTGGTTATCAAACTACTATACTATTTAAATTTCATTGGGTACTTATAAAGTAATATAAAAATAATATGGTAAATTATTATGTTTATTAAAGACATAATATTTAGAATTACATTTTTGTAACTTTTTAAACCCACAGTAAAATTTGTTCAATACCAACTTAAAAATGGATGAGGTTATAAATGGTTTTTAAACATTCTTTTAGGAGAGTTGTGAACAAAAATTTCAAGACCAAAAGGTGAGAGGCAATGTTCGAAAGGCAATTTAGTATTTAATTTAATCCACTGGGATAAAGCGCATCGATTTTATTTCATAAGCAATAGGAAGCCAGTGACAGTTTGGGAAACACAATGATATTCTTTGTGCAGGATGCCTTGAGTGAGTTCCTCATAGGTGCCATATACTCTGCAAAGCTCTGTGGTCAGAGTTGTGTACTTCAGGAGAGTCTGGGTGATAAATAAATCAAACTTCATATTGTCAGCAAAAATTTCATTATTGAATTAATTTGGAAAAATAACTTTCTGAATTATTTTCTGTTGACCATATGTTTGATTACCCCTATGCATGCACCCAACCCTTCTGAACAATACTGAGAACAATATCAAGAGCTGTGACTATCCCAGGCTAACTTACCCAGGGGGCCAGAGGTGGAAGTGAACAGCCGTTTCCCCCGGTCCTTAATTCCTGGGCAACCAACTGGGTGAGTAGAATATACCAGACATGTTAGCTAAATAACTTCACAATTTATTTCCTATACCATTTTGACCACTATCAGTGGAAGAAGCAGGAGGTCAGCAGTAACCAGAGCTGAACTCTCACCTCAACACTTTTATACACACGTCAAATTCTTACCTTTCATGATGTCATTCCCTGTGGCACAGATCCCTTCTATACCTTTCCTCTGACCTTTCATGAAGAAGTTTATGAAGCCAAGTATTTTATTGCCTCTAATTCATTGTTTCTATTTGCATATGCTTTTTCTCATTATAATATCACAAACATGCTATCATTATAATGGATAAGGATCCCCATTGTCAATAGGAGAATAACACGAGCATTTCATGCTCAGTCAGGCTTTCCACTTTATTACATAAAATCTATTTGCTTAGAGCATCCCACTTCTGCAAATGCAAATGTTCTATGGTGTAACCTTCCTTATCCTACCTCTCCAATAGATTTTATTAACTTTACAGATAATCCAGAATTCATTCTTCCGAAAATTTTATGCTTGCTAAACTCCTCCACATCTTATCAAGTAGTGAATTCAGTCTCTGAATAATGATGCCATATTAGCATTTTTCTAACTTTACAAAGGAGATGACTATAGTGGCATTCAACTTATTTATTAGAATATGGTCTACACACCCTATTGCTTAACGGAGAGCTATAATGGTAAATGGAAAGAAAGAATTTGGAAGGGGTTGTTGGTAAAAGCAGGTGGTAGACACTGAGTTTTTCCATGAAAATGAAATAAATGAGTCCAGTTGCCTTGCATGATTTTAAAAGGTATGTTTTTACTCCCTGTGGACCCAGAACAGAAGTATGCATTTAGAAGTTGAAAAAATAAGCTGAGACCCTTTAAAGAAAAAAAATTACTTTAATGTGATTAAAACATGACTGACTTCAAATTTGGGCAGAAGAGTTGTTTCTACTTATGTAGGTCAGGGCTATTTCTACATTGGTGGCTTTATTAGTGAACAGATTGGTTCTTCTCTGGCAGTTCCTCATTCATCTCTTAATTTAATGTCAGTCTAATCAAACATTGGTACCTATCTATAAAAAGCCTTCAAGGAGGATTTGTTCACAGTCAGCTTAATAAAATAGAATTGTTAGTGTAATTGGTTTGTTTAATCACAATTACACATTTTCCCAGAAATTTTCAATGTCATTTGTTGTTCATCTTTCTATTTAAAGATTCACACATTTTCTTGTTTGGGGCTGAATATCTAGACATGAAGAAAACAAAATGGAACAGGTTATTACCGTCACAATCAATGAATTGCCACTTAGGGTTACTAGTATTGTTTTCTGACATAGGGATCCTAAAAGGTTCACCAAGCATAATATAACTATATTATATATATATATGGCAGCATTTAAAGAGGTGCCCCATTTTTCACACAAATCTTGTAAAAATAAATTTTATAAAAGGAAAATGCAACTTTTAGCACAGAGAGTTTTTTACAGAGCCCTATGTATGAATTTTGTTTTTCTTCAAAGATACTAATACTTTATATATTTTGATGCCTGTTAAGAAGATAGATTTGAATTATTCTCACTTGCTAGATCCCAAAAATCTTTTAGCATCATCTTTTAGCTAGTTATATTTGATAAATGTTTTTCAAAACAAAACTTGGTTTGTTTGCATAAAGTGGATTTGTATTCTTGCTTCATACTTAATTTTGTGCATATTGTAGACCAGAGTTTTGCATTTTAATTGCCTATTCATTATAACTGATCGACTAAATAAATCTTCCCCAAGTTCATCCCACTAACTGCCTACTTGCTTGTTTGTATAAATTGTCTATACGTTTATGTTACCATAAGATGAATAAAAGGAGATTTATTTTCTACTCACCAGTTACAAATTGGTACAACTATAGTTGAATAGTTGAATAGAGATGACAATAAATGATATTTTATTTTCTAAATTCTCGAATTCAATTTGTCATTCAATAAATAAACTATTGTTGTACTTATAGACTGTATTAAGGAAAATAGCCCAGGATTTGTTTACATTTTGCATAATAAGTTACATTTAAAAAAACCAACCAGTACCAATTAATTAATTGATAATTATTTGATGATTTAACAAAAAATTACTAGAAAATTATCACCCAAATTTAATGAATGAAACAAATAAAAATATCGCTAAATCCCAATGTAATGTCATAGAAGGCAACAGTATTCATAAGAATGAAATTTTATTACTATGAATATAATGTGGAGAATTATAGCCATAATTCTCAGAAGCACTAGTTGAAACTGGGTTGATCAAATGTAAAGAAAATCACAAAATTGAAGATAGTATGAAAAGAGAGACAATAATATTGGCATCCTATTATCATTCTTTCATTGGGTCCAAGAATTTTCTCGAGCGACTGGTCAGGATGAAAGAGGAATAGAGACTTAAGAATAATTGCTGCTTAATGGAAAAATATAAGACCTCTAAGCACAGGCTAGCTGAACTTTCTTGTCCCCTGTGCTGCAGTGAAATAATATACCATTTGATATTTTCCCTAGAGATAGCAAATGATCCATGAACAGAAAGCAAACACTTCTTTTACAATAGTATTTCTTGTGAAAAATACAGAAAATATTTATTCCAAATTTTATTTAAGTAATGGTTTGCTTTATAGAACAATGTAAAGGATTGATCTGTATCAAAATTTGAAACACTGAAACAAATATTATTGATGAACTTTTTGTTTTATACTGATTAGCAGAATAAGTATGTTATTTTATATTTTTAGGCAGAAAAATATTACCAATGAATATGTTCTGAATAAATAAAATGCCTCTTCTGATTCTTCCTCTGCAGATTGGCATCCCAGAGTTATTATCTTTGTCAACTAAAGACTTAACAATGTGATTTTTACTTTTCCTCTGTAATTATCTGAATGCATGGCATTTACACGTGGATTAGCTTAAGGAAAGATTAAACATAAATGTTCTAATAGCTACTATTCTTATGTATGGATTATTTTAATATTTCTTAGGCTTTTTATGTATGTATTCTGCTATGAGAATTAATGCTAACAGTCTGATTTGTTAGTGACTGATTGTTGAGGGCCATGTTCTGAGTAAAGATTCTAACTTTTGAAAATAAATCTTACTAGTTGCCTATTAATTTCTATATTTAATGTAAACATAAAAGCTTTATTATTGAAAAGCACATCTTCCTTTTAAGGAAGCCGAAACCCTAAAATAAAATCTAAAAGTCATTGCTAATCCTGAGCATCTAATAGAGCTCCTTCATCTAAACATTTGGATCAGTTTTGTATATTCAAAGGTATTTCTGGAGCTGAGTTCATAAGGTGGGAGCTAAAGAGAGCCGGATATTATAGTGCGAAGTTGGAGTTAGGAATAGTCTGAGAAGGATGGATTGGGCAAAGGAGAAAAAAAAATGAGAGCTAAGAGAGAAGAGAGTCAGCAATATCACCAAGGCTGGATGCTCCATGGGTTCATGTATTTGGTGAAAACCCAGTTGCAGGCTAAACAAAAGGGCTCTGAAACAGGAAAATCCAATGTTCGACTTTCAGTTCTTGACCTTGTGCATATAAATCCCATGTTGATTTATAAGTCCATGTTGATTTAAATTTAATGATGGCTTATGTTTATATAAAAGTTTTCTATCAGTGACTTTTCTTATTGGCTTCCATCTTTTTGTAATTTCCCATTTATTTATTTTTTGTCGACAAATAATTATACATATTCATGGAGTGCTTAGTGATGTTTCAACACATATAATGTATAGGGATCAGATCCAGGTACTCAGCATATACATCATCTCAAAAATTGATCATTTCATTGATAAATATTTATCATTTTCTTTTCACCTAATCATATCCTATTTCTAGCTATTTGAAACTATATCATATATTATTATTACCTGTACTCACCAATTGTACATTGGTATAGAACACTAGAACTTATTCCTTCTATCTAGCTGTAATTTTGCATCTTTTAACAATCTTTCCCTATCCTTTCCTTCCCCCATTCTTCCCAGCCTCTAGTATCCTCTGTTCTATTTTTCACTCCCATGAGATCAACTTGTTTTAGTTTCCACATATGAGTGAGAACATGTGACATTTAACTTTTTGTTTCTGGATTATTTCACTTAACGTAATGTCCTCCAATTCTATGCATGTTGCCTTGAACCACAAAATTTATTTTTTATGACTGAATAGTATTCCATTGTGTATATATACCAAAAATTGAAAATGCATTTATCTGTTGTTGGACACCTAGGTAGATTCCATATCTTGGGTATTGTGAATAGCGCTGCAATAAACATGGGGGTACAACCGTCTCTTCAATATACTGATCTTCTCTCCTTTGGTTAAATGCCCAGTAGTAGGATTGCTGGATCTTATGGTAGTTCTACTTGCAGTTTTTTGAGGAAACTGTATACTGTTCTCATAGTGGCTGTACTACTTTACATTTCCGCCAACAGTGTATAAGAGTTCCCTTTTCTCTGCATACTTGCCAGCATTTTTTTTTGAGTATTAATTCTTATATTTGTTTGCCATTTGTATGTCTTCTTTTGAGAAATGCCTGTTCAGATCATTTGACCATTTTAAATTGGATTGTTTATTTTTATGCTGTTGAGATGTTAGATTTCCTTATATATTCTGGATGTTAATCCTGAGTCAGATGAGTAGTTTACAAATATTTTCTCCCATTCTGTAGGTTGTCTTTTTACTTTGTTGATTATTTCTTTATTTTTCAGAAGGTTTTTAGTTTGATATGCTCCCATATGTCGACTTTTGCTTTTGTTGCCGTGTTTTTGAGTTCTTATTCATAAAATCTTTTTCAAGATCAATGTCCAGACCTGTTCCCATGTTTTTTTCTAGTAGTGTTTAAAGTTTCAGGTCTTAGATTTAGGTCTTTAATCCCTTTTGGGTTGCTTTTTGTATATGGAGAGAGGTGGTCTAGTTTCATTCCTTTGCATATGGATATCCAGTTTTCCCAGCACCATTTATTAGAGGCTCTCCTTTCCTCAGTGAGTGTCCTTAGCACCTTTGTTGAAAATCAGTTGGCTATAAATACATAGATTAATTTCTGGGTTCTCTATTCTGTTCCATTGGACTAAGTGTCTATTTTTGTGCTAGTACCATGATGTTTTGGTTACTACAGCTTCATAGTATTTTGAGGTCTGGTAAGGTCATGGTTCCGACTGTGTTCTCTGCTCAGTAATTCTTTGGTTATTTAGGGTCTTTTGCAGTTCCATAGAAATTTTAGAATTTTTTTTTCTATTTCTGGGAAAAATGTTATTGGTATTTTGACAGGGATTGCATTAAATCTGTAGATTGCTTGGAGTAATATTGTCGTATTAACAACATTAATTATGCTGATCCATGAGCACGGAATTTTTTTCCATTTATTTGTATCCTCTTCAATTTTCTTTAATCGGTGTTTTGTAGTTTTCCTTGTAGAGGCGTTTCACCTCCTTGGTTAAATTTATTCATAAGTATTTTTTTGTAGTTATTGTAAATGAGATTGCCCTCTTGATTTCTTTTTCAGCTAGTTCATTGTTTGCATATAGAAATGCTTCTGGTTTTTGTATATTAATTTTGTATCCTGCATCTTTATTGAACTTGTTTATGGAGTTCTAAGTGTTTTTTTTTTTTTGTAGAGTCTTTAGGTTTTTTTTATATGTAAGATTATGTCATCTGCTGTTGGCTTACATTTTAACTAATGACCATAGCTGAGTGGCATGTTTGTGTTGATACAGAGAAGAAAAGGCACAACATGCAGAAGACATCCTAACTCTTCTTAATGTAATTCTGTAGAAACATGTAGACTCAGAGGTGAGCATGAGAAACAGTTCTCATGCTCCCTGGAAATTTGCAGAAATCTTTGATGGTGCACTGTTCTTTCCTCAAGGCATCGATAGGGAAAGGGCTTGCCTCATTCTAAAAAGTTGGGTAACTGCAGCCGACACTGTTTCATAAATATTTAAAATTATAAGGAATAATGACATAAGCAGGTTTAGGAAAATTGAATTCTATTCTCTGCAGTAGCCACAATCTTCCAAAACAAATACCTAGCCATCACATTCTAGCATTTTTCGTATTAGAAATATGCATTCCTCAACTGTTTGGTAAGTGACTATTATGATCTGCTTTATACCAGAAACTGTGTTAGGTTCTGGAAATGCGAACATGAATAAAATTGTCACTACCCTTAATAACTTCATAGTTCTGTTTCTCTTTCAGAGAAAAACATATACATAATTACAATGCGGTATGATATAATAAGAATAGAGTTATACAAAAACTGTGGTAGGTATCCAAGACAAATAGAAAGTAATTATTACTGTGACCACTGGCAAATCTTTAGAGTAAAGGCAGAATTCATTGGGAACTTCAGGTTCAAAATGTGGGGGACTGCAGCCTGACCAACATGGAGAAGCCCGTCTCTACTAAAAATACAAAATTAGCCAGGCGTGGTGGGCATGCCAGTAACCTCAGCTACTCTGGCGGAGGCAAGAGAATCGCTTGAACCCGGGAGGCAGAGGTTGCGGTGAGCCGAGATCGCGCCATCGCACTCCAGGCTGGGCAACAAGAGCGAAATTCCGTCTCAAAAAAAAAAAAAAAAAAAAAAAAAAAAAAAAAAAGTTGGGGGGAACTGATATCTACTTTTAATTCTCATCTGTTCTCAAGTCTCATTGAAGTGACCTAAGAAATCCATAGCAATCCTGAAGAGCTGGGAAGGATGCCGTCAGAAGATCAGGGACTCTGGAAATATTAGAAAGGGAAAACTGATCAGTTTGGATTGATGCTGAGGGGAGCTGTAGTAATTGAGAGACACTGCTGAAAACATCCAGTGCTGCTTTTCCTAAAGGAACACTGAAAGACGGAGAGATGAGAGCATGCAGAGCCTGATGTTTAAGCACAGGAAAATTGGCAGGTAAATCACTGAACGATTTCTAGGTCAGCAGTCACCCTTTACAGAGTGCCTACATGAAGTTTTTGCCTCCAGATTATAGCTAGCAATATAGATTTCTAAGTAAAATGGAGTCTACCACAGTGGACTCCCAGTATGGGCATCAGGCCTGAAAAAATAAGCAGGACTGGTAACTCCTGTCTTCTACAATTTATGTCATGAAAATGTCATGGGCATGGAAGGAAGGTCATCGGTCCCTATGCTGCATTTTCCTTCCCACCTTCAGCTTATGCAATTTTGAGTTATATTTACTGACAGACGAAAAGTGATTTTTCGCAAGTGTTGAGGAAACATAAGCTCCCTATATGAATTAATTCTAGATGCTAATGAGTAACTCTGAGGAAATAACAAAAAATCACTTCAAACAAAAGGAGGTCATAATGTAAACACATAACTAATCTCTGAAGAAACAATGCATAAAATGCAACTTTAAAATAAGTCTACTTAATATTCTTAGAGTGTTTTATGGGGATATCATATCCAAACGTAAAGTTATAAACATAAAGCATAGTCTGTTGATGGAGGGAGGAGAATAAAGAATAAAAAAATTGGAAAAAGTAAAAATCATTATTATTTATAGAGGGCAGTAGAAAATTTGAATAGCAAAAGGGATATGGCTGATAGCTAAACTATTAATCTAGAAGTGAATATATTAAGAACAAATGCAATAATACAGCATTATTATTATATGAGAAAAGAGACAAGACAGATGTAAAACATCTGATGCCAATTTAACAGACAATCTAGAAGACGATATGTAAGGAAGAAAAAAATAATATAGTAAAAGAAAAAATTCAGATCTTCCTTCAGACACAAAGAACTTTTCCAATATTTTAAGATAACATTGTGGAAGAGGAAAATAAAAAATATAGATTTAATAAATATTGGTAAAATTTGTGAATTCCAAACTAAAGAAAATCTAAAAGACAGAAGAGGGTCCTTACAAATGAATTATTAGTTCTTAAACTGATTGCTAAGGATTATGGCAAAATGTCTATAATTTAATAATAGGATTTTGATCCTAGAATTCTATACCAAAATATAACTAAAAATAAAATCAGTATGCTACATGAGCACTTACGGGAAAAAAAATTCAAGATAAGGATGCAGTAAAACAAAACAAAAAATGAATTCAAGAGTTAGACCTTGGGGATAAAAAGCAGTGGTGAGAGAAGGAGCCAGTAAAACTTCTAATTAAATTTTGAGTTGCTAATAATTTGGCTATGAAATTTTAAATGATTGTTAAGATGAAACTCCTGACATATGTGAGACAAAGTAGACAGTAAAATTACTGTCAACAGGGAGCTAGAATTCTACATAATATTAACAAAATGTGAGAGAATGGGCAGGGAAAATGACTATGTTGAGTTCGTGGGGTTTGTTGTATTTTGAAACAGGGTTTCACTCTGTCATCCAGGCTGGAGAGCAGTGGTGCAGTCACAGCTCACTGCAGCCTCAACATCATGGGCTCAAGTGATCCTCCCATCTCAGTCTCCCAAGTAGCTAGGACCACAGGCATGTGCCAAGATGCCAGGTTAATTTTTTAATTTTTGGAGAGACATGGTCTCTCTATGTGGCCCAGACTGGTCCCAAACTTCAGACTCAAGTGATCCTTTTGCCTTGGCCTCCCAAAGTGCTGGGATTACAGGCATGAGCCACTGTGCTTGGCTGAGTCCCTGCATTATACAATGGCTAGAGGCTGTGCATATAATTGTTTTTGCAATTAAGAGGAAACATTTTAAACATACTTTTATAAACTTAAGAAAAACTATCAATATAAAAAAAAAGAGAGTACTTCCCTATCATTCAAATAAACAAAAAATGTAAAGAAACAACTTGATCAAAATAGGAAATTTGGCAGGAAAAAGGGCAGCCTTACCTTGATGCCAAAATAAGGCAGAAAAAGCTCAGAGTAATGCCATTTATGAATGCAGAGATAAAATTTGAAATATTAAAAATTAATATTAGGAATAAGTCAAAGTTAATGAGTTATAGTGTTCTTACCACTGTAGGCTGACTATAGTTAACAATAATATATATAGGTTCAAAGAGGAGGATATTGAATGTTCCTAACACAAAGAAATAATAAATGTTTGAGATAATAGATATGCTAATTACCCCGATCTGATCATTGTACAGTCTATATATCAAACTATAACTTAGTACCTTATGAATATGTATAATTATTTGTCAATTAGAAAAATAAAATTTAAAAATGTTAACAACAAAAACTAATATTACAATATAATCACGATTTTTATTTCAGAAATGTAAAGTCAATTCAACAGTAGGAAATATATTAATGTAAATTCCTACATTAATATATTGAAAGACGATAAAATCAGTTATGCTACTTTTCTGAATCACAAAGACATTTATGTTTATAATTCTGCAAAGAAACCAGGAGACAATTGCTTTAAAAATTATATCTATCCCAATAGCATCAAAACTATAGCTATAAAGTTAAGAAACACTTCAGATTTCTATAAACAAAATCGTAAAGCTATAAGAAAATAGAGTAGGAAAGATTTAAATTGTCTAAATTAATTGCTCGTTAATAGAAATATTCAGTATTGTAAAGATATTATTTATCTCAAATTATTATATAATCTCAATGCAATTTCTGTCGAAATTACATAAGACCTTTTTTCTTGAACTTTAAATTTTTATCCTAAAGGTTTCTTTTTTCAAAATGAAAATATTATTATACCCAAGAAAAAATCAGATTCATCCACTTATTCAATATTATGTATAGTAGCAAAAAAGTCCTAAAGATTGATTACTCAATTATGAAACATTGTGGAAAAAGAATAATCAGTTATTGAGACATATTATGATCCTATACAATAAGGAAAATGGGAACAATTTTAGTGATATATGTAAAAACAAAATGTCTGTACTCTATAAGGGCAAACATAAAAATAAGAATACATGAGGACAAAGAAAGTCAAATGCCATGAAAAAATAGTGTGTTAGAATTGAACATAATAACACTTCTTGGTCTTAAAATATCTAACATAGTTGATGTGTCATCTTTCAATACAACAAATATGAAAAATACAGCAAGTGGGATCGTAAATAATTTGTATACTCAGAAAACATCAATCAAGAGCTTATTTTTCTTTCAAAGTAATTAGTTTGGAATGCCTTCTTTTTTATTTAAAAGAAAGTGATAGAGAATTATCGCCTGTAATCCCAGCACTTTGGGAGGCTGAGGCGGATGGGTCACGAGGTCAGGAGATGGAGACCATCCTGGCTAACACGGTGAAACCCCATCTCTACTAAAAATACAAAAAATTAGCCAGGCGTAGTGGTGGGCGCCTATGTCTTGTCTTCTGTCTGGTCCCAACACCTTCAATGCCAACAACATCTTCTTCTGTAACATAGCTAATCTCTCGATATTTTCCTACCTTCCTTGATAGACAATTTACTTTAACTGTGCCCAAATCAAATATGCTCTCTTAATGTAGATCAGCTACTAATGGGGCCACCTGGAATGCTGTAAGTTCTACACATAACATAGTTTTAAATTACATTTACTGTTTTAGAATAGCTTTTGCCTCACACTGAACTTGCTGTTCATAAAAACCTTTTTCAAATGAATTACTTAAGTTATACTTCATCTGTTCGGCATTTGAGAAATCATTTTTAAGGCTCAAGGGTAGGCCTAAAATATGTCTCTAATTTAATCTTATTAGTTTTTAGTCTGTCGAAATAATTTTAAATATTGATTGCCACTCTACATGTTACCTGGTTAATTCAATTTTTAGTTATTTGTAAATTTAATTAGTATGTCATTTATATCTTCTCTCAAGTTAATAATCAAAATATCAAATTGGTCAGGATCTCATCGCCATATCACTAGAGAAAACCAGGCTGGCATGATAGTGATGGCTGTCTAGCTAGCTACAGCCTAGCTAACTGTATTCTTGTCCCCTCCTACTTTATTACTACAGTCTCAAGAATATCATGAAAGACTTTGTTATATCTCTTCCTAGAGGAAAAATACTTCATCAATAGGAAGACTTTCAGATTGCTGTTTGCCTTTTCAAAACCAGCATAATTGTCCTTTTTGAATAGTCTTATATGGAGTCAAAATTTATAAAGCATAGCATGGTGGAGCTGCTGTGTTTGAAATGAGAGTGGAAAGACAGGAAACCTACTCTCATCACCCCTGTTTCTCTGAAGCCCTTCCTACATCATGGCTGCCCACAAGCCTCAGGGATGCAAGAAAAACATTTAATGACACTGATTTGTAGTGACCCATCATATTTATTGGTAGAGTCAGCTCCACTTTCAAGGAAATGAGACCAGCTAGGGAGGGAGTAAACTAGGTGAACACATGCTCATGCTTGAATGCCCACTGTTCTATTTGAAGTACTCCTTAAAATCTGTTTAATACTTTTATTAGGTAATATAATGTGTAATAGCAATACTTTCAAGCTTACTGACATATGTGTGTGTGACATATATATTCTCCTTTTATAATAGATGAATTATAATTAGTACAAAGGCCAAATCCTGGTGTCTGCTATGTCTTCTTACAATTTTCAGTTAAAATATTTTGAAAGATCAAGAGACAAAAATTGCAATGACATGGGAAACTAAAAATAAGAATAGACCATATGCTACTCTATGAAGGGAATTTCCAATGACTTTGTATGCACATTCAGTTGTAGACACATTCCACTCACTGTACCAGAATTGTGCGGACAGCTGCATCTCCTATATCTGCTCTTTTGTGACTTAAGGATTACGTTGACCAGAAAATCTGGCAGCCGCTCTCATCCTGATCCACAAGAACTTCCATGGAAGATAATTTACTCAGTATCCTAACTCTAAAACATACAAAAAGGACAATTCTACTAAATGTCTTCTTAAAAAAGTGAACATCTACTTGTAAAATCATATATTTTGATAATGGAAGAACAAATTGGAATTATGGACAATGGCAGGCTATAGGCATCTGCAAATACACAATTTGTGATGATACATAGAAGCCCAGTATATACATACTAGGTGTATGTTGTTGTTTTCCCCTTTTTCATGTAAAACCAGACAAAAGATATTGTAATATAGCTGCAATTGATTTGGGTGATAGATTTTTTATTAAAACAAGTTTTTAAAGACATATGCTTTTGAATTTTACTTATTTATTACCATATTTTGGATCTTATTTTCCATCTTTGTATGGTGAAACTATTTTTATGCGTTTACTCCTTTGGCATTACACAAAAATTGGAAATTGCATTAATGTGGAATATTCAAATTTCATTCAGAAGTTACAATTTCCAATTTATAACATGATCAAAAGTAGAGAAAGGGACAAGTATTGCATTATATCCTGTGTTATGCAATTATCTCAGGAAAAGTCTTGTATGCCGGTGCTGGCTGAGCAAATAAGAATCACTTAAGCAGTACACAATAGATGTAATTTTTTAAGTACTTTCCTTGTACAAAAAGAACTACAGTACAGTCTGACTCTTTATTGTAGTTAAACAGGCTAACTAGTGCACTAGTCTCCTTAGTACACTGAAACAAATGACATGACTCTATCTAACCATCTGCCTACTTATCCATCCATCCACAACAGCGGCTGCATACATTACCCCATACTGAACATATTTCCTCAGACGGCTCTAGAAACAAAAGGATTAATTCATCAGTACATGTAGACTAAGTATCCGGATAAGAATAACTCATATACTCTTTTGTAAAATAAAGCATCAGAATAAAGGAATTAAGGATGAGTATACGAGGTAGTATTAAACAGGATGACTTAGGGTTTATGGAAAGATTTTTCAACATAAAGGCAAAGAAGAACTATCCTGAACAATCAGAGAGCAATATGTTTCTGAAAATAATTTTCTGTGAGAATAAGAGTGAAATGTTTAAGAATATTTGTCTTGGCCTGGCGCGGTGGCTCACGCCTGTAATCCCAGCACTTTGGGAGGCCGAGGCGGGCGGATCACGAGGTCAGGAGATGGAGACCATCCCGGCTGGCATGCTGGAACCCCATCTCTACTAAAAATACAAAAAAAAATTAGCCGGGCGTGGTGGCAGGTGCCTGTAGTCCCAGCTACTCAGGAGGCTGAGGCAGGAGATTGGCGTGAACCCAGGAGGCGGAGCTTGCAGTGAGCCGAGATCGCTCCACGGCACTCCAGCCTGGGCGACAGAGCAAGACTCCGTCTCAAAAAAAAAAAAAAAAAAAGAGAGAATATTTATCTTACTTTCTTAAGAAAAGTCCAATAACACAGCCAATGTGAGGTAGAAACAGGGACTGATACTGGTATCTCTGGCCACAAACAATAATTCTGCTGTGGGTTCACTTAAGCGATTTTCTCATATACATTGTTTTCTCATATACCTAGAAGTATGGAAGCAGAGTGGATTGTCATGTAGGCTCATTACAAAGGTCAACTTGTCATCACGGCTTCTGTGTTTTTCCAACCTCATTGTGTTGGTTCTCTGTTTTCAGGCCTTCATGATCATGTGGTAAATCACCCTCATATTCATTGCAGCATTATTCATAATAGCCAAGAGACTTAAAGTTTTCACTGACAGATGAACAAATGAAGAAAATTGGTATCCAAATACAATGGAATATTATGCAGCCATAAAATGGAGAAAATTGCGCAATTTGAGGCAACATGGATGAGGACATTAAGCTAAGTGAAATAAGCCAGACATGGAAATAAAAATACCGGGTGATCTCAATTATACATAGAATCCAAAAATGTTGAATTCATAGCAGAGAGTAGAACAATGGTTGCTAGGGATTGGAGAGTGAGAAGGGATTGGGGGAAGTAGGTGAAAGGGTACAAACCTTAAGTTATGAGTTGATTAAGTTATGGGATCTAATTACAGCATGGCAACTATTATTAATAATACTCATTGTTTACTTGAAATTTGATAAAAGTAGATTTTAAGCCTCCTGGTAACTATGATTGGTGTTGGATATGTTAATTTGATTGTGGTAGTAATTACACTATATATAGTGTAATTATTATATACATAAACATTATATAGATACACATTTGATATTATCATTTGATATATAAATGTATATACAAGTGTATATACATTTGATACATATAAATGTATGTACATTTATATGTACACACATTTGTATATATACACACATTTGTATATATACACACATTTTATATATATATACACACGCACATCAAATCATCAGGTTGTACACCTTGAAAAACACATTTTTTACTTGCCAATTAAATTTTTTTAACAAAAAAAGGAAACAGCAAGTGTTGCTTATTTGCAAAAAATAAAAATAAAATAAAAGCAGAAGAAAGGGAAAGAAAAGAAAAAGAAAGTAGAAAAATATTTCCATTTCTATAAGGTAAAATTAACTTGAGCCTGCAGATTGAAAGTGGCCCCATATATTCCAGGAAAAATGAAATGAATAGTAAGACACTCACAAATTCTGTATATATTTAGTTAGGAGCAATGACATACAAATAACCTAAAAAGGAGCAAAGTTACACTGGCCTCAGACTTGAATTGTACAACACTAAATTGTGAACAACAATGCCTATAGAAATTTTAGGAGAAAAAATTGCGACCTGAGAATTCTATGTGCAGCATTATTACCAATCTAGTTTGAAAGCAAGACAACAACTATGTGTTTATGGCTTTTGAAAATATACTATTCATTTTTGTTTTCTGTAACTAAAAATATACTTAACTTAATTACTCAATATAGAGAAAAGTCTGGTATTTTTTTTTTTTCGAGGTAAAATGGTAAGGACTCAAGATTCACATACTTATCTAAGATGTCATTCTGATGTAATGACAACAGAAGGATTTTCTTAGGTTTGAAAAGCTCTATTAAACTTGAGACTTACATATTCTTGTAGAAAAAGACATTCTTTGGTCACTTTAAGAACCTAAGAATAGTAATCTGGTAATATAAAAGGACTGATTATCTTTTTATACTTAAAGCTACATAATTGGATGAAATACAAACAACTGTAGTTGTATCCTTATTCAGTTGAATGCAAAGCTACAAAATTAAATGTTGATATCAGAAAAAAATATTCAAATCAAAAAGCATTACTGGACACTGGATGGTTATTTTACATTGATAACTCTTTCTATTAATACCTTAAAACAGAATAAAAATGTTAAGCATTATATAGAGATGTTTACCAATAAAATGACCACTGACTCATACAAAACTCTTCTACCTTACTGAGATACAAACAAATACAAATCAAAATAACAATATATCATTTTCACCCTTAAATTGCAAAATCTTAAGTAATTTTGAGATTCCATTCATTTGAAGATCCCTTGGGACGGTATTGTTGTACATGTACGTTGAATGAAACTCTGAAAAACAGTTGAATAATGTACATAGAGTCATTCTATCTCAAATCATTATGAAGGAATGAATGCTAAGGCATCATCTAAAAAATAATAAATATTTCTGTGTAATGATGTTCATCACAGTTTATAACGGTGCAAAACTGGAGACAAATATCACTGGAAGAGAAGGGTTAAAGAAATTACTTAACATATACAAAAGGCGATGTTATGTAGTTATTAAATAGATGTTTTTGAATAGTTATCATTGCATCGAACAATGCTATGGTTTAAGACAAAGTTGATTAATCCTGATGAATAATTTTATAATCATACTATCACTATGTAAAAGTACATATAAAATGTCAGGAAGAAAATATGCTGTGGTGACCACAGTTGACACTGAAAGATAAAAGTAAAAGTAGTTTCTTTCCTTCTTCTTAATACCTTTCTACATGCTCTAATTGCCTACTTCTGATGTGAATTATCTTAATGAATATAAGATATAAATAATTAAAATGAAAGAAAAAGTTACTTTTTTTCCATTTCCAATTTCTTCCATTTTTAGGCATCCTCAAAGATTGTGGTGGTTTTGTCATTGAACCTCTAGTTCTTTTGCTCCCCTGAGATGTAATTTTTCTGAGACTGGAGGATTACAAAGGCTTTATATTTTCACAGCATCTCCTAACCTGTCTTGTTTTCACTTTCCTCCTAACGACGTTTGCTATCCTTTTGCCATTTTGGGGATCATTCTCCTGGTTGGAGAAGGTGGAAGCTAAATAGGCATCGATTGGTTTTGTTTCCTTTTTGTCATCTGTTACTATTGTACCATGTGTCAACCATAGCCTGCCTTCCCTCATCTTCTTCTGACTCTGAATTTAGCAAAAAGGAAAAAGGTCCACTATTTTGTCTCGAGAAAGTTTTGCAAACTTGAACTCACTTTGAATATTCAACCTCCTTCTTAGAGATTCAAACCAATCTTCTAATTTAATCCTTAGTTTTATGTTCCTAATTCCTCCCTGAATCCCTTTCCAGTGTTCATTTAAAATCTGAGCTCATCAAAGAGTGTCCTTTGCAACTACAATGAGTTTTTTTTTAATCTGTGGCCCTTTAAACCAAATCAGTCCATTTACCAATCATTCACCATTGGTTTATAATTTTGGGCCATATTTACCAACTGTTTTCTCTCTTTGGTCATTTCCTTTTATGCTAACTGCTTTGTATCTTATGTTACTTTCCTAAACTCTGGGTGCTTGTACATGGTTCACATACATACCTTCACAGGCCTAGCTGGTAAAAGGTGGAGAACTGGAAAGCCCAAAGCACACCTACAGGGAAGGCAGTCATTACTTAGCTACCTCTGGCTGATTGCCATGCAGGACTGATGGTCCACTGTGGTAAAATCCTCTGATTTTAAAAAAGATGCTGAAAATCTGAGTGTGTGTGTGTGTGTGTGTGTGTGTGCGTGACTGCGTGTTTGCAGGGAAGAGAGAAAGAGAACGAAAGGAAAAGAAGGAGAAAGGAAAGGAGGAAGGAAAGAAGGAGGAAAAAAGGAAACAAGGAAAGAAAAAGAAAAGAGAGATCATTATAATTTGAATATAAGTAGTTAATACATTTATTTATTTATTCAGGTCAACTATCCACAGAAATTACAAAAACAAAACTTTGTGTGCTAAATTTGGTTTGAGACCTCTAGGTTTTAACCTTTTATACCTACTATGAATTTATTTTCCTACTCTATCCCCTCTTAGTCCTGGCATTTGGATTTCAACTTTCTTAAAGTATCTTCCATAACATCTTGGTGTCACCAACTCACAAGGCTCATCTGTGTGTGTGTGTGTGTGTGTGAAGGAAATAGATATTGATATTTGGCTTGTTTCCCAACAGCATCTTCTGGCCTGATATCTTTATGATCACAAAGCAAGAACTTACTTTTATTGAGTATCCACATATACATGGTCCTCAGTCACACAACATGGCTCAGGACATAAAACAGGTTATGGAAACACGAACTCTCAGGTGCTAGGTTGTCATGGACCCTTCATCTTCCCTCCCACCCTTGCTGCCCCGGCCACTTCTGTTCTAATGTCTACTCATTTCTTTATCATTTATCTTGACTCTAACCTTGCACCTGAATCTTGTTAACTGAATTTGGTCCCCTCATTTTGACCTTTGGTCTTTTCTAGGGACATGACTTTAAATCACCTCTGGGTGCTCACTTTTCTTGATTACTGCAGGTTACTACACCAATCCTGATTCTAGTACTGGATGACGGGGATGGTTTCGTAAGTGAATATACTCTAACATCCAGTGAAAGGAGATCCCGCCCAAAATCTTCAGTAATCAATTCTGTGTATATTAGAGAATGTACCTTTTCTACAATTTTTTCCAAAACAACTTTTCTGAAATCCAAGGTACAAATCAGTTGATATTATTATTAGGTTACATATATTTTTGCTATCCGCTGTCCAAAATGCTTTACAAGTAGTAATTCATTCAATTCCAAGAACAACCCAATGAACTAGTTATGATTATTTTCAGAAACAGAAACTGAAGCACTGAATGAGTAAGTAACAGGCATTCAGCTAGCATCAGAGGTAGAATTTGAACCCGGGAAGTTGGACTTCAGAGGCATACCCTTAACAACCACACGATATTATCTATCTCTCCCTACTTGTTATAAACTCAAAGATGACATCATTCTTTTCTCCCCAGGTTCCCATCATTTCTACCGCTTTCATCAGTTCTTGTGCAGCAGAATGAGGTCCCAGCAGGGTTTTCTCTCATTGCTGCCTCCACCCTCTGCCTTGTGAGTAATGAAACTATCAGTTCAGCAGGGCTTGTTAAGAACTTTCTGATGCTCCACCTTTAGCAGAATCAGCCTTCCAATAGCTATATTGATAGTTGAAGCTGCTTCTACTTGCTTCAGCACCAGTTTTCTGCTTTATTGATTATTTACTTTTTATCCCATAGCTCTGAAGTGTCCTTCTAAAACTGCATAGATAAATATATACTTTTATTTTTAACGAAATCCTACTCTTCCACTCTATACATTGTCATTTAAGTCCACGTTAAACTGTGTTTATGTACAATGCTACTTCCGCTCTTCTTTATTTCGGAGTCTCTCTGACTGACCTTATTCACTCACTTAAGGTTTAAGTGGAAACTTATATTTGTGTGGTTTCAAAATCCTTATTTCTGAGTCCACATGGAGTCCCAAGCTGCACATAAACAAGTGGAAGTAACTCCTGGCCGTATCTTCCCGCAGGCACCTCAAATGCAACACTTCCACCACTGAACTCATAATCTCTCCTCCATAACTGCTCCTTTTTTCCAACTATCTGGTTGTCTCATCTAAAAATATTGGCTCCGTTTCCCTGCCCATCTTCATGAGAAACACATGAAAAGAGTAGTTGGTGATCATCACACCCATTTTCACTTCTCACACACTGTTCTTTGCTCAGTGAGAGTTGGACAATCACCTAACTATAACAGTGAGTGTCATCAATACCTTCCATGTTGCCAAATCCATCAGTCACTTTTCTGTCCTTATCTATTTTATCTCTTAGGCACCTTTGATGTAGTTATTCACTTTTTTCCTTCTTGGTTGTTATGATGCCACACTCTTTTGAATTTCTTATTCTCATATTGGTTGCTCTTTTCAGGTTTCTTAGCTGACTTTTCCTTGGATTGGCCTCTAAATGTTTAAAGTTTCCCCAGCCGAGTCCTTCAGTTTTTTTGTTGCTGTTGTTGGTGTTTGTTCGTTTGTTAATTGCTGCCACAAAAATACTACCACAAATTTAGTGGCTTAAGACAGCATAAATTTATTGTCTTACTGTTCTGCAGGTCAGAAGTCTGACCCAGACCTCCCTGGACTAAACTCAAGATGTCATCAGAGGTATGTCCCTTTCTGAAGGGTCTAGAAGAGAACAATTTTCTTGTATTTTCCAGCTGTGTATTCAGAGTTAGCAACCAAATATCTATGTATTTAACTTTAAGGATCTTACTTAGGTAAACAACTAAATAGTTACACTCTATCAGAGTGGTTAACAGAAATATAACTAAAATGGTGACTTTGTCTGTACTTCAGGTTTTATAAATCTATAATTGTTCAAAATAAATTAGGTAAATATAAATAGAATAATTATATTTATAAATAAACTTTTTATGTAACTTAAAACCTTAAAATTATGTTATGCTGAATTAAATGATAAATACTAATTAGATATCTGAGACATTTTCAAATAAGACAAAATACTAAAACATAAATTACCAAACATAACTATAAGTTTGTTCTTGGCTTCTTAAATTTTACAGAAAGACTAAATATATTTGGTTTTATTAATACATGTAAAATTTATGTTATGGGAAAAACATATTCCTAAAATTATAAAATAGCCCTCACATAGAAACCACTGATATGTGACAGACAATTCAAAATTTCTTGCTTCCTAAGTTTTAACTGAAAATTGCTATATTAAAATTAATATAGAATTCTGTATACAAAATGTACCAAAAAATGTGGTTTTGACTTAAAAAACTATTTAAAAAGATATAAAAGTATGTTCTTTATTTTTTAAAAGGAATAATTTTGTCTAATTCAGAGGTTATTTGAAGGTTGTTTTTAAAATATGGGTTTACAAAACAAAAACAAGATTTAAGAGATCACTAAGTAAGAGGAAAAGATACAAAAATGTTACATGTATGAAAATATATTTTGGGTATCAAAAAAGTTGTAGAAAGAAAATCATTTTAAATAAACAATAATAATATATGATAGATTTTTGTCCTAATGTAAAACGACTGGTCAATTTTTTTTAAAGTATAGGAAAAAGCAGAAAATATAAACATGTCATGAAAAGTCTGAGTAAGTCACAAAAGGTTTGGAAAGGACAAATTTATAGAGGAAATTTTGTACATGATCAAGTTGCCTACAATTAAAAGTAAATTATTTTTGTCTTTCTAAATACTGAGCTTTGATATTAAAAATACACTAATACAAAAGTATAAATTTGGTCTCCTATATTAGAATAGCAAGGTTTTCCTAAAATGTTAATCTACTCAGTAAAACTTGCAAGAGGTTTTGATTTAATTCTAAAGTCTGTTTTTTAAAAAATAAACTTTTCAACCATCTCCTAAACTGTGGATTTACTGTTACCAGCAATGTTTTTCTTGATTCTATACTCTTGGCTTCTCTTGATGTGTCTAAATTTTTCTATGTAAGCAGGAAATTTCCCATGCTTTTACTAAAAGCCATGTATTTCCCTACTTAAGGTACTACTTTTCTTGTTTGCATTCTTCTATAATATGAGATACACTAATGACCTTTGGACACACAACTTTCCTATGTCTGATTAAATTCAAGTACCTTTTCATCAAGTTTGACTTCCAGATTGCCTAAATGAATTTCTCATAAAGAGAAGCATCACACTACAGGAGGTATTTCTGAAGCCTCTTTGGTAACTGGCCTAAAAAACAGATTTTTATGTTTTATCAGAATAATTTCCTATGTTGTCTTTATTGATTACTTAGGAAAACTGAGATTTGAAAGGGTTAAGATATTTGAAAATATATATCCATGAAATGTCTGTGTTACATTTAAAGCCTTTGGTTATCACTCTGGTTAAATACATGGCTATTACTTCATAGTGACTTGTGATACTATTTTGATCAGGTGTTTTAAATATTTTGGCATCTTTGACAGACTTCCTCAGTATCAAAATTGTAAGTTAAGTCTTTCTGATCTAAAATTAACTTTGGGATTTTCCAGTTGAGCCCCTGGAGAGCCTCAAAGGGTATATTTCTCATCTTGTAAAAATATTGAATGAAGAGGTTTATTTGGCAAATTGTACGGAAAACATTTTCAAATGAAAAGTAATGCTATATTTTCTTTTGATTACATTTATGAGTATGTTCTTAATATAAACATCCCCAAATTATATAAAACTCTTAAAAATCTAACATGTCATCAGTCATAATTCTGGTTATGATGTTGATTGCCACATAAATAACCCAATTTCCTTGTCAATTGCTGATTGTAATGAACTTCCATCAGATTTTTAACGATGCTATTCTAAGTCTCTGTCATCTAGTTTTAATTCTTCTCTAAAAGCATTTACAGTCAGATTCATGGAAAAGACTCTAACAAGTATGCTTAAGTATAGATTCTAATAACTTTGAAACCAATGTACTAAATACAAAATTTTCTAAACGCTAATAAATAACTGATACATTCATAAAACTGAATCAAAATCAAGCAAAACAAAAATTAGATGATATTTTAACTGATGAGGTTAATGTTTTTAAATGAAGGCTTTCATTTAAAACAGAGTTTATGACAAGTTTGTAAATCATACTTTTGTGAACAAAGGTAAGAACACTTACTTTTTCTCCCTACTTGATCCTTCTAAAATTCAGAAACTATTTTTGAATATTCGTAGGGTAATATGGTTATTTACATAAGTTCAATAAAAATCAATTGTCTTTTTATAACAGGATACAATTGGAAACATTGGTTATATTACCAGGGTTTTGACTGAAATATCATATTTCAAAATGTACATAAAATGCCCGACTTCAAGGATTCTCAGCCTTATAGTAAGAAAATAAAAATTGTCACTTTCTGACAGATCCAGAAATCTTTTAAGACTGTAGATGAAATCTAAAGTCAGCCTTGGTTTGGCTCTCTAGCCTCAAGAGGTTTTTAAATCTGAGATTCCTATGTGATCAATGTAAAGGAAAAGTTATCTCTTTTAAAAAAGCTATATTATGTCTGTTATTAGATTGTTATTAGAATAAAGCTCTACACATTGTTTTCAAGTTCTTGCTATCTATCAATAGACTAGATTCTGAATTCTTCTAGATTCCTCAAATTCATTTTTTTCTACAAAATTATCAAAAATGGAAACTGCTCCATTCCTGAAGCTCTAGGAGCTAAAATTAGATAAACTTTAAGGGATAAGTCTTCCATTTGATGTATGGGCCACACAAAAAGTTCACCAAACCGCACAATGCCATAACCAGAGATATTCAACCTCCAAACAAGATGAGAAGTTAATGGTTTCATGCTATAGATATGGCTTTTCCAAAACCATCTGAGCAAGACTCCATATCATGAGACTCTTACTCCTCTTAATCCCTACCTTTTTCACGTGGGAAGATAATAGTATAATTAAAATTTTACAATCAATAGCTTCTGCTGGTAACTTGACAAAACCTGACCTAACAGATCCTTTAGTCTACTTAGTGGGTGACTTTGGCAACATCCCTAATACAACTGTTGTTCACTTTCTGCTTTAGTTCAACTCAGTCATGAGATACTAGAAAATAAAATTATATTATTGGTTAAATTTTTAAAGTCTGTGCTATTGCTAGTGCTACATGCTGTAACTGGATAAATTTATCTGAGAAAGGAATATACACAAAATTTAAAATATTTAGGTCACATCTATTGCCTTTAAAATTGCCTGGCCACTGCTTCTACCATTATTATTCATACCGCATTTCGTTGCAGCTTGTCTAAACAATGCTGGGCCAATACTGTGCTGCTCTTTAGCTGCTCCGCTTTGCCAAAAATTGCTGTGCCTCTGATACATCCGTTCTCCTGATGTGGCAAGATCAGCTTGCATTTTCTGCTAAACTCTTCTTCCTAACCTATGTGCTATATTTCTGTATATGGGTCCTAAAACCGTGTTATTTTACACTACCAGTTTCTTAAGAAAACAGTTATTTCTGATTTGCAGCTTTCTCTCCAGGCAAAACTTGTTTACCAGAATCTTTGGATCACTGTTTTTTTTGTTTTTGTTTTTTTTTTTTTTTTCAAGCATCCTTATTGGGAGAATAAACTGAGGAATAGATAATGTTCTATACTCAAAATTATCCCCTTCTAGGATGCACCCATGGTAAATGGACCACATGCACATGTCTGAATCCCTCTTTCAATAGGAATGCTCTTCCAGAAAGCCCCTCAGCACGACGGGCTTCCCGACTCTCCTTCCATTCATGCTCAGCTGTTCTAGCTCATATTTAACAAAACCGTTGAAAAAGCTGCATGTAATCCTCATTCTATCATGTGGAATCAGTTGCTACCAATTAATTAATTCCTTTTTTTTTTTGCAAAGTACTGAGTTTAAGGGTGATTTATCATATTGTTTTGGATAGTTTTTAGCTCAAATGCATTCTAAATGACAACTGTGGACAATAGTCTTGTTATACCGGGTAGCTAGTGCCTCCTAAGGAATGATGCTATAAGCCTTTTATTCCTCCCTCCTTCACTCCCTGTCTCATTCCTTCCTTTTCCTCCTTCCTTACATTTTTCTTCTTTGGATAAATAGTTTGTTGAAAGCAGCAGAATTCCACATTAGCCTTGTCAGCCATATGAATGGTTAACATGGTTGCCTCAGTATGGAGTCGTCTACCACCCTGTGAGTTGCTTTTTCCTTGGTTGGTGATGGATAACTCCCATATGCTAGAATCTGTGGGTCATCACTATTATTGTGGCAATGCTGAAAGATGTCAGTGTTTCTTCCGAGGCTGAACTTCACCCTCTATGATGTGTTTCTCAATCTTTCTTTCATTATCATGCTCTACTTCCTGCCCACTCAAACCCCTAGAAGCCTTTTTAACTTTTTATTCCCTAATCACTTCCCTTCTCCCCCACGAAATTTTAATACCGTAGATACGCTACATATCTGTTTATGCAGTGTTGTCTGCCAACCATTGCAATAAATAAGTTTTATTTATTTCACCACTCCTTCCTACCTCTGCTAAGAACCATTTTTTACCCATGGGGCAATATTAATCTTCATAGAGGATTTATGCTTTCTGAAAAAAAAAGCTCAGATAATATTGTCTTTTTTCTTCTTTTGGGGGAAAGGCAGTTTGATATAATAAAAAGATTAGAGACTTGGGAGTCAGAGAGATGGGGGTTCTGTTTTTGCCATTACCAGCTGTGTGATCTTGGGAAAACATCTCAGAATCTTATTTCATAAGCAGTAAAATGTAGGAAAGTATACTTAACTCATAAGGCTGTTTGGAGATTAAATTTAGAATTCCTGTGCGATCTTTGGCATAGTGACACTCACATAAGTATAATTCCCTAGTAGTTACTCTAGGTCATATTGGTCAACTCATCAATTTCTCAATGCCAATTACCTTCTGTCTTCTTGAAATCGTATTATTCCTGGATTAATTCACACACTATCTCATACTCATTTCCATAAGATGTTACAACTTAATATAGATATTCTTCAAACTGGTTCATTTTCCTTCTGGAAGGAAAAACAGCTTGTATTTAGTTAGAGCTCACAGAACCCAGATCACGTCATGTAGAAAGTCAAACAGAAAGCATACTCTGTAGGTTAAGGAAAAAATTCCACAGGTATTCATATTTCCTGGGTCTGGAATTGAACAATAACTTCTTAGATCTTTGCTAGAAATTTTGGAGTCTGCTCAGTAAAATGGACACTATGGTAGTCCCCCCTTATCCATGGGGGATACATTCTAAGACCCCCAGGATACTCCTGAAACTGTGGATAGTGCCAAACCCTACATAAACTATGTTTTTTCCTATACATACATACCTATTATAAAGTTTAATTTATAAATTAGGCTAAGTAAGAGATTAACAACAATAATAATAAAATAGAAAAATTATAACAACATACTATAATAAAAATTACGTGAATGTGGCCTCTCTCTCTTTCTCTCTTAAAATATCTTATTGTACTGCACTCACCTATTTTCAGACCTAGGTTGACTGTGGGTAACTAAAACCTCAGAAAGTGAAACCTTGGATAAGGAGAGACTATTGTGATTCTAGGAGTTCTTGAGAGTATGCCTTTTAAACCTTCTTAATCCTTGCTACTCAGACTTTGATTCGTAGACCAGCAGCTCCAGCATTCCCTGGGAACTTATTAGAAATGCAGACTCTCAAGTCACACCCAGGAACTACTGAATCAGGATCTTCATTTTAATAAGGTTCCCAGCTGATCTGTATGCATTGTAAAGTTTGAGAAGCACTTTGCATAATCACTTTTCTTCCTCTAGCTGCATCCGATAATCTTTTAATTAACACTATTTGCAAATATTATTACCTATTCATACCTATTAGTGCTATTAACTAAATACTAAGCCCAGCCTTCATCAGTAAATCTTGTCCTGTAAAAGTTGTACACTGGCCACACACATAGAGTGATTCTAAATTTTAGTTATGAGGGTGGGCGTGGTGGCTCACGCCTGTAATCCCAGTCCGTTGGGAGGTCAAAGCCGGTGGATCACCTGAGGTCAGGAATTCGAGACAAGCCTGACCAATATAGTGAAACCTCGTCTCTACTAAAAATACAAAAATTAGCCGGGCATGGTGGTGGGCACCTGTAGTCCCAGCTACTTGGGAGGCTGAGACAGGAGAATCGCTTAAACTCGGGTGGCGGAGGTTGCAGTGAGCCAAGATCGCGCCACTGCACTCCAGCCTGGGTGACAGAAAGAGACTCTGTCTCAAAAAAATAAAAATAAATAAATGAATAAACTTTAGTTATGTTTATAACTTACCTTAGAAGCCTACTAAAAATGCAGGTTCCAGGAGACTACCCAACAGAAATTAGTATTCACTAGATTTATGATGATGTCCAAGAATCTGAATTTTCTATAAACACTTAAGTTTTTTTTAATGCAAGTGATTTGTAGACTGTAGTTTATGAAATATGGCATTAAACTATTTAATTTAGAAAGGATCTTGCTCTTTCTTATTCCTTTAATCGTAATGAGAGTTGCTGGTCACTTTGATGGGTAGAGAGCTCAGGCAATGTACACAAAGCCAGTTTCTTAGAATACTTACTCATCTCACTGTAATGTTTTTAATATTTTCTCTGATGTTGTAACCCTACTCTGGGAAAGAACATGTGAGACTGGCTGAGGCTGCAGAAAATGTATTGCAGTACTCATTAATGAAGGGGAGAAATTTTTATCACTTAATCCCTCTTTAATCAATGACCACTGCCAAAACAACTAATGTTTATTATATTTATAACTTCTTTTGTAAGTATGTAGGGGAGGGGAGTGTTAAAAATCCAGATCCATCGCATTGCTTTGAAGACAATTTCAAAGTATGTCTTACCTAGCTGTATATACTATTTTGTAAATGCTGGGCAGTAAATGGTTAATTCATAGCCATAGCATTTTCCCATAACATTTTGTGCTACAATTAAGGTATCAGGTAAAACGCATTGAAAGTCTTTCAGAAATTGATGCACAAAGCAGAAAACACATTAATAGGAGTACAATAGACAATTTTAGAGATAGCAGATCATCTTTCCCATCTTGCTTGAGAAACAGATGCTGAATAACCATCATATTACACAAAGTGTCCTTCAGAAACACTAAATGTAATTAGGAGTAGCTGTTCCTTGGAGAAGAAAATAGCATAATAATAAGAGGGTTGGTGGCACATATGAAATGGAAGAATTACATAATCCTCTGTATATTTAATGCTACATAAAAGGTTTTTATGTCCAATGAGAGAGCCCATCAGATAAGAGAGCTTGGTAAATGAGCACATTTGACATTGAACCATGTTGAGGGTCAATATTGAGATTTTGACTTTATTTATTGTTGTTATTGTCAATTTTTATAACAAACATTGAACTATTGATTACATGGGGGGCATTATTTTTTTGTTTTTTAAAGAATGACTTCTTTTAACTTTTATTTGCCTTTCAACATTACAGCCACCATTGGGGTTTCTTAGATAACAGAACTAGACTTAATCAGTAGAAATTATGAAAATAAGAATAATTTTGAGTGTCTGTCTATATCTATTATCTAGCTATCATCTCTCTCTCTCTCTCTCTCTCTCTCTCTCTCTCTCTCTATCTGTCTACCTACCTAGCTATCTTTCGGAAGGAACTAAAGATTCCTCCAAGGTCCCTTCTCCACTTCAAGCCAATTTGATTCGTAAGATTCTGAGGGCATTTCTGGAATCTATTTTAAAGGTAATATGGCAGCAAAAAGGAAAATGTAATAATACCACAGGAAGTAATACAGGGCCGAGTCAAGAAAGCTGTGGGTCATAGGGAGCAGATGGACTATTTAGGAACAGACCTAGGAAGGAGACTATAAGGCCAGAGAAGGGATTTTCCATCATTAGTTGTTTATGGAAAGTGAGTAAAAATACTCTTATGCATCATCCCAGTTCCCATGATGTTTTGAGTGTCTTTTCTATAAAGAGACTGTTATAAGAGGTAAGATTACTAGCAGTACATCCAAGGGACTGCAGCTGGTTTACCTAATCCTTTATACTGTGATTGGTAAAAATCACACAAGGTCCAGGGTAAGTAATGAGGCTGACATATCTTTAGGTGCATCTTTGTTACAAGTTTTGGATCAGCTTTAAAGAAATTGTCCTTACTTTGGCTAAACAAAGAGACAGTGTTTTATCTTTTTATTTTCTAAGGTACGTGTCTTTTCTTGTCCGCAGCTTATCAAACAGAACAATTACATCAGCCTTTCAGATTTTTAAGATGCTAGGCTTTATACCTTCCAAACAACACTTTTTGTCACCAGTGATGTTTACAGTAAGACTAATAGTGGGGAGCTTAACAGAGAGTTCTTTCATGGCCTCTCATATGACCTTGCTCCCTGGCTATCAGCGTGACCGAATAGACCCCAGTACATTATTGCTGACACGGCTTCATTCAAACTGTAGAGATGAGACGTCTCCATAGGCACACCAACTACAAATATAAACATCTGTTGGGTCTATGCAGAAGATAAAGTAACCTCTTAACAAAACAAAACAAAACAAAAACCCAAACATATGGGTAAGGTGTAGATCTAAGGAAGCTCGAATAAGACATTTTAAAGTTGGGTTTTTAATTAGATTGGGTTTGCTTAGAACATCCTTAGAGGGGTCTACTAGGTGAATTTAAAAATAGAAGTATGATAAGATTGGGTAATATTAAAAAGGAGACAGAGCAATGAGATTGAGACTCATAGAGAAATTTAGGACACTTTGCTAACTGTATATAGAAAGTAGCTTTGGAAAAGTACATAGAGTTTCTCCTACAGTTCTTGGCAGTCTTCCAAAATCAGAGTCAGAGTTCTTTGAATTTGGAAAGAGGGGATTGTTTAGAGATAGGGTGTCTATGGGGCCTCTGGGCAATAGGAATACTTTGCTTTTCAAACAAGAGGTGATATGGCTCTGGCATATCCATATATAGTTAGGTATCAGTGTGTTGTCACAGGGAGTACTTTAAGACAGAGCCATGCTAGAATTAAGAATGGTTAATCTAAGGAATGGAACCTACAGATGAGGGTGCTAAAACGGTTCTGGAAGAGAAAAAAGAGAAGCCAAACTAAAAAGAGACCAGCGTAAGTAGCTGAGGCTATAGAAGGGCTCATGGTTTATAAAGAAATAGAAACTGAAAAAAAGCAATTACAAAATAAGCTGCACTGCAAGTCCACACAGCTCTATCAGAGGCTATAAATGCTATTAAACTCATGGGGTAGTTTAGTTTTATACAATAAGGAAATATTGCTTGCTCTTACTTAAATCTGATATTATTCGCATCATTTAATTGCTAGTTTTCTAGGAGAGGGTCAACAGTAAATGGTTAACATTAGTGGCATTAGCCCTCAGCAAGCCTTGACCACTGAAAAAAGTAGTGGGTAACTTCCATTAAAATCAAAGTGGCAGGCAAAACCTCAGAATGCTTTCATAGGAAGGGGTTGGAAAGCACAAGTGCCGTCACTGAGGACCATCCTATCAAGATGAGCAGCATACTGTGTTTCTCTTTTCTTCCTTGATGCCTGGTACAATGCATGACACATAGTTTTTGTTTTGTTTTGTTTCGGCAATGATTTGTATGTGTGTGCGCCGTATGATGGGTCAGCTTAATGATTTCTTGTTAATGCTCAACTGAAATCTTAGTGTAATATCCTTTAAAATGTTCTTTGTGTTCTCTCCGCTGCCCTCCCCGCAACAACACATTTAAAATGGGAAAGCTATAAATAAAAGAAAAAGGAAAATAAATTAGAGTACCAAGTAAAAAGATAAGAGAAACCCCAAGTAAGAATAAATTTCTGGATAAGAAAACAAAATCGCGTGAGTAATAGCAGGAGCATTACATAATTAAACATGATATTTAAAAGTGGGGCAATGGGGTAAATTGGAACACATGTGTTTGGCAAAAGGAATTCATTTGTATGCAGAAATCAGGATTTTCATCAACTGCTCTTATAGTAAGTCTAAATTTCCATCTTTTGCCTTTGTACTTTTCCATTACACACAGGACATTATAACCAGATCAGCGGGGCAGCCAAGAGAGCAGAATTTATATTTCTAAATGAAAGTTGATAGTTAATAGCCTAGCTGCATAATGAGCCACATTTCTTGTGCAGAGTCCAAGCTTACACTGATTGCCCAAGTCTAAACAGTGACCCTCCCAAGGCTGATGATTTCCTCAGTAATCCCAGATGGCCCATGCTATGTGAGGCCCAATAAATCAACCCTATCTACAATATTTTTGCTGGAAACAGGGAGAAGCAGCCACACTGGGCTTTCTCTGTGACAGTGAGGGAGGCACGATATATACAACTTAGCTTACAGCAAGTTTCCATTCATAGAGGTGTCAGATACATTTAAACCACCTTGCAATTCATATTTTAAAATGAAAAATTTACCTTAGCATAGATAATTTGTGTTTTCTTGAACAATGGAGGATGCAGTGATGAGAAATACAGTAATTGAGGGTGAAATTCCTTGTAATGGTGATAGCTTATGTTTATTAAGTGCTTTCTGGGAGCAAAGCATTAGGTTAAGCCCCTTCCATGCATTATACCATTTAATCCTAACAAAATTCTGATGAGTTAAATACCACTGTAATTCATATATTAATGAAACAGAAACTGAGGTTTATAAAGGTTAAATAACCTGCTCAAGTAGCAGAGCCAGGATTTGAACCCTAATCTTGTCTGATGCTAAATCCCATGCTTTTACCACAGTATATTTGCTTTGCTTCAAAATATAATTGGGCAAAAGAAACCTAAAATTTGTTTGTAGGATCTCTCTGGGTAATGCTTTAATATCTTGTATCAATATAACATGCCTGTTCTAGAATTCAGAGAATTCTAAGACTCATCTTGTTGAATCCCTTCTGCTCCCGTATGGAAAAGAAGAGAATAGGGGATGAACATTCTTCAGTGGTAAATGACTATCATCTTTGCCTCTCACATTTGACCTATCTCTTCAGGCTCATGATAAATGCCATCTTCCCTAAGTAAACTCTTCCAGAACTACACTCCCACCAAAGTAAATATTAAGCATTTTTTCCCATGCTGTCCCCACCATGCTTTATGGATATTATTCTCTTCTCTGCACTTCTCCACAGATTTCTAGGGGACAATGTCTATATCTTACTCACAGCTTTATTACCAAAACGTAATGACAGGCCAAAAAGAGATTCTGGAATTGAACTCAATCTTATTTAGAATATTCTGCTTCTATTTCATCTACTTTAGTGTTTTTGTTTGCAATTTTAAAGTGCCCAAGAAATGAGAGGAAAGAACAAAGGCCAACTCAGTTGGTCAATTTGTACAAAATAACTTGAGCCCTGGCCAGGTGTCTATGCTGTTGAATTATTTGTCACATGGTTCCCAGGTGAGAGTACTCTGATGATTCTGTTCCAATTCATCACAATAGGGTGGAGAAGTACCACAGAGCACAAATTGTGCTGATGATGGTTGTTCAGTGCATCATCCTTCATATTTGCCAGAATTAATTCAAGCAGTCATTCAACGAACATCATTTGTACATTGAACAACATTAAGTTGGAGAGGGATTAGAAGACATGGTTTTCAGGAGAGGAAAATTACACAAATGAACATAATGGCAGAAGTCTGTGTTTTCAAAGACTTATTTTCCATTAGAGAAAACGTAGAATTTTGCTCCCTTATATATTTAGTATTTATTTTGTTTGGCTTATCACAAAAGCAATTTTTATATGGATAACACTTGACAGTTTACAAAGCACTTCCACACTCATTTATTGTTTCACTTAGTTTTCAAGATAGATCCTAATCAGCATCCTGCTGATGCTGAAAACCAAACACACTTTGTTATTTCTTGCATCCAGATTGTGGGAATTAGAGGCAACCACTGAATGGCCATGCTAAATTAAGGTCATGCTGATGACATAGAGAAAATGCTATTCTTTGGTTATAGATATTAAAAGATGCATTTCCTAGGCTAGACTTCTATATCTTTATAAATCAGCCCCCAGTTCCATTTTTAGCTCATAGCCTAAGGAAAACAATAAACTATCTCCTGCCTTAAAAAACAGCCACTTGAAATCACAACAATTATTTCATGCTAGGTCACAACTTTAATTTTTAATTTTTATTTTATGTTATTTTTTATTATTTTACTTTAAGTCCTGGGATACATGTGCAGAACATGCAGGTTTGTTACATAGGTATATGTGTGTCATACCGGTTTGCTGCTCCTCTCTACCCATCATCTAGGTTTTAAGCCCCGCATGCATTAGTTGTTTGTCCTGATGCTCTACTCCCCTCGTACCCCCACCCCCTGACAGGCCTCCGTTTGTGTTGTTCCCCTCCCTGTGTCCATGTATTCTCAATGTTCAATTCCCACTTATGAGTGAGAACATAGGATGTTTGGTTTTCTGTTCCTGCATTAGTTTGCTGAGGATGATGACTTCCAATTCATGGGTTGCACAGTTCCATGGAAAAAGCACGGTTACCTAGGATGGGTAGCATGCTTGCTTAACACCTCCCTTAGCTGGGGGATGGGGGATCCCCTGCCCCTTGTGGCTCTCAGGTGGGCCGCCACACCACACTGCTCTTCCTTTCTCTTAGTGGGTCTCACCAGCTGCCTAGTCAGTCCTGATGACAGAACCTGGATACCTTAGTTGCTGGTGCAGGATTCGCAAGCTGTTTTAGTTCTTTTCAGTGGGAGCCTCTGACCACCACTGCTTCTAGTTGGCCATCTTGGCCCCGATCACAGCTTGTTATTGTGATGCTGTCTGCCCATTATGATGCTGCACCTCAGGCCATTCCTGCACTGTATTATAACCAACCATCATCAATAAATGTAAGAAAACAGGGCAGAATATTTTTTATTACGGTTGTGTTGTTTTTAAAAAAGAAAAGTAGAAGGCAAATAACAGACAAACAGAAAAAAGCTTTTGCACATAAATGGCTTGTGCTTTTTTTCCGTAATAAAAGCACCCAAATCAGTTTCCCTCTAATGGGAAAAGTTGATTGTGTTTTAGAGAATGGCACATGGCTTCAAGGATCAGTTAAGTGAATTTTATTAGGACCCAAATGGGTGATAGGAGATTAATGTTTGCCTTCTTGAGAATAGCTGTGCCAGCTTCCTCCCAAGAAGGAAGCATGATGTAACTCGTTAAATACAGACAGTCAAGATGAGCTCCTCAGCCAGCTGGCCCCTGAGTTTCACACACCCCAGGAACTGACAGTGCAACCATATCCCACTTAATAAGAATGCAGTCTTACTTTTAAGGATGGCTCTAGGCCTGGTCATTTCCCTTTTGAAATGGCAATTGACTCATAAAACCTTAGGAAAAAAAGTGTTTTGGAAGGAAATCAAAAAGTTAAGGCATATACTTGCTTAACAGTGAATGTTCTCCAAAATAAAAAATGTCCCATCAATACAATTAGTACCAAAATATTGCCCACCACCAAAGTCCTAGTAAGAATGCAGAAATATTGGCAAAGAAAAGGTGACTCAACACCTTTCATTAAAAGAGGAAAAGCTAAAAGTAGTTACCTAGGCTTTTGATTCATCTGTTTTCTTCTTCTAGGACCAAGGAAACTAAAGGCTATGAAGTGCTATCAGTTGAGCAGATGAATCAGAGATTCACCTCATAAAATATCAGTTAAAAAGTAATAATTAAGTCATTTCTGTTTTAAAACATAATTTCCTATAGGAGGAAGGATATTCTGAAGATGGTGACAATTTCTCTCTGACTGGATTCAGAAAAAATAAGCTGATAAAGCATAAGCAACTTAGATTAGAATAAGGAAGACTTTCTTGATGAGGAGAGAATGCCCAATGGTTGAAGGGAAAAGTCTTGAAAAATTGACTATATTTTCTGTTGGAATGGGTCTAGTTGCAGTTCTGATAGGTAGAGTTGAAGTTTTTTGTTTTGTTTTGTTTTGTTTTTTTGAGACGGAATTTCACTCTTGTTGCTGAGGCTGGAGTGCAATGGCATGATCTTGGCTCACCGCAACCTCTGCCTCCCCGCAACCTCTGCCTCCCAGGTTCAAGCAATTCTCCTGCCTCAGCCTCCCGAGTAGCTGGGATTACAGGCATGCACCACCATGCCTGGCTAATTTTGTAGAGATGGGGTTTCTCCATGTTGAGGCTGGTCTCGAACTCCTGACCTCAGGTGATCCGCCCACCTTGGCCTCCCAAAGTGCTGGGATTACAGGTGTGAGCCACTGCGCCCAGCCACGATTTTTTAAAAGAAATCTTTCAGCCCCCTAAATCTTCTTAAAATTAACATTTTTGTTATGAAATAACTATACTGACATGCAGTTGTAGGAAACAATGCAGAGAGGTACCACACTTTACACAATAACTCCCAATGGTAACGTTTTGCAAAACTGTACTACAATATCTCAACCAGGATCTTGATGTTGATACAGTCAAGACACAAAACAGTTTCCTCACCACCAGGCGGTCCCTCTCGCACCCTTATAGTCATACTGACCTTATTCCTCCTTACCTGTTCCTGACCCTTGGCAACAACTAACTTGTTCTTCATTTCTAAAGTTTTGTGATTTCAAAAGTGTCTTATAAATGGAATCATACAGTATGTGACCTTTCAGTATTGGTTTTTATTTTTATTTTTTACTCAATATAATTCCCTGGAGATTCATCAAAGTTGATGTGTATACCAATGTTTATTCATTTTTATTGCTGAGTAGTATTCTTTAGTATGGATGTACTGCAGTTTAACCATTCACTCATTGAAAGAAATCTGAGTTGTTTACAGTTCTTGGTTACTATGAAAAAAACTGTTAGAAACTTTCATGTACAGGTTTTTATGTGAAAATAAGTTTTCATTTGTTTGGGTTAAATGTCTGGGATTGCAACCGTTGAGTTATACGGAATTTTCACATTTAGTAGAAAACTTTCAAACTGTTTTCCAGAGTGGCTGTACCATTTTACATCCTCCCCCACCCCCACAGCCATATATGAGTGATCCTGTTTCTCTGCATTTCTATACACCAGCATTTGCTGCTGTCACTCTTTTTTAATTTAGCTATTCTGATAGGTATATAGTGGGCTGTTACTTTGCATTTCCCTGATGATTAATGAGATTGAACCTAATTTCAGCTTATGTGAATACCATCTCTCTAGTCCCTTTGGCTAAATGTTTGTATGTGTCTTCTGGCCATTTTCTAATTGGAATATTTATTGTTGTTGTTTTTTAACTGTTGAGTTTTGAGAGTTCTTTATGTATTCTAGTTACTAATCCTCTTTCAGGTATGTAATTTCAAAATATTTTCTCCCAGTGGGTAACTTGTCTTTTCATTTTTTTTTTTTCTTGCTCTGTTGCTCTGTCGCCTAGGCTGGAGTGCAGTGGTGCAATTATGGATCGAGGTTAACTGCAGTCTCAACTTCTCAACCTTGTGAATTCAAGCAATCCTCCCACCTCAGCCTCCCAAGTAGCCGGAACTACAGGCATTTAACACCACATCCAGCTAATTTTTAAAAAAATATTTTGTAGAGACCGGGTCTCACCCTGTTGCCCAAGCTGATCTCAAACTCCATGGTTCGACCTCCTGATGCCCAAATCCTGGAATTACAGGCATAAGCCTCTGCACCTGGCTGCTTTCTTCCTCTCAAGAGCTTTTCAGAATTCAAATGGTTTGAAACTTTATTGAGATTAAAGTGATCATTTTTTTTTCTTTCTTTCTATTTTGTTATTATTGTTGTCGTTTTGAGACAGAGTCTTACTCTGTCTCACAGGCGGGAGTGCAGTGGCATAATCTCGGCTCACGGAAGCCTCCACCTCCCGCATTCAAGTGATTCTCATGTTTCAGCCTCCCAAGTAGCTGGGATTACAGGTGTGTGCCACCATGTCTGGCTAATTTTGTATTTTTAGTAGAGACGGGGTTTTGCCATATTGGCCAGCCTGGTCTCGAACTCCTGGCCTCAAGCGATCCACCCGTCTCAGCCTCCCAAAGTGCTGGAATTACAAGCATGAGCCACTACACCTGGCCCAATTTTTTTCTTTTATGGTTCAAGTCTATGAATTCTTTTGTCTATGCTTAGATCCTGCAAATTTTTTCCTAAAAGTTTTACAGTTTAACATTTTACATTTAATTCCATAATTCATTTTGAGTTATTTTTTGTAATAAAGTGTGAGGCTTAGGTCAAGGTGTTTTCTTTTATTTGTTTTTGTTATTGTTGTTTGTTTTGTTGCTGTTGATGTCTACTTGTTCCAGTACCATTTGCTGAAAAGACCATCTTTTCTCCATTGATTAATTTTGTAAGACCATAACTCTTAACATCAAAGAAGACACAACTTTATCTATATTTTCTTATATCTAAGAAAAGCAGTAGTTTTTGTTTAGAGAGTGCTAATTGTGTGCCAAAGCACTATCCTAAGCTTCTTATATATCTTTACCCATTTCCTTGCCTCAATGACTCATTACTCATTTAATTGTCTTAATAACTCCTTGAAGTAAGTATTATTGTTTCCATCTCACAGATAATGAAACTAAAATTTAGCCAGGTTAAATGATTTGCTCAAAGTCACAAAGCTAGTGAGTTGGAAAGCTGGGATTCGGACCCAAGCGATATTCCCCTAAAGACTGTGCTGTTAACCTTCATGAATGCTGCATTATTTACAGTGCGCCAGATATTTAGCAAAATACTGAACATTTTGCTGTTTTTCTCACTGTTATCACAAGGCATTTCAACTAACGTAATAATAAAAGACTCTCTCCTCACATCCCTTTTTTTAAGTTTCATGTGTTTGATGTTTTATTCATATCAAAACCCTCATGTCCATGAAAATACAATTTAAGAGTCAAAAAGCATAAAATTATATTTCCAAATTTGGAGTCTGTTTCACAAGCTGAAGCGCACAGTTTTGATACCTTGACAATCTTTCTGTTACTTGCAAACCAACTCTATTTCATAGGGTCTAAACACACGCACACACACACACACACACACACACACACGTACACACAAATCCACTGGGGAATCCCAGTGCTATTGTTATTAGGTACTAATACAGCTTAGGATTGTTTACTAAAATCAACTCCTATTTCCTTTTTGATTTGTTCTTTCAGTTTGTTTCCTGGTTTCTTAGAGTAAACACAGCAAGTATTCATGATAAATGAAGGCACTATGGAAGGAAACAACGCTAGCTGTGCTGTCAGAGAAAAATTGAAAAAAAGTGGCGATGCAAAATTTCCAACATGTAAATATTTTCTTTCATATGCAGGCAGAAAATGGGATATTAAAATATGAGCCAACAATAGATTATTAAAAAATTTCTACTCAGTAAAAATGAAAAAAAAAAACAAAGAAAAATCATCTTTTACTGTAAGGGCATTTTGGAATCTTCATTTACAAAAGCATTTCTGAAGTTGCAAAATCTGACACAGATGAAAGATAAAAGAGCCAGAAATTCCTTCTCACATGCAATATCAAACTGACTTGGGTTACAGGAACGC
This sequence comes from Homo sapiens, assembly GCF_000001405.40. Taxonomy (NCBI): domain Eukaryota; kingdom Metazoa; phylum Chordata; class Mammalia; order Primates; family Hominidae; genus Homo; species Homo sapiens. The sequence continues at coordinate 178,067,944 of NC_000003.12, forward strand.
TGTTAAACTGAGTTTGAACAATCCTTTTTTATTGTGTTTATCTATGCATGAAGCAACTTGTCATGTTCTTCTCTTAAGTAAAAAGCACTGTCCTAAAAATGGTACTTGTAGTAGTTTGCCTTATTGAGAAGAAGAAGAAGGGATAAAATCTAGTCTGAATGGTTTGAAGTTCCAATATGAGAGCTACTCGGTATAATCCAAAAGTCCCAAGATAGTTTAAAATTGTCATCCTGATTTTCAAATATATCTCCAAACTAGATTTCCAAATCTTCTGAGATGTTTTCATCACTAAAGCTGGAGAAATTGTAGATGATAGACATCCAGGAGATTGGTTAACAATTGCTGGGTACAATGTCTACCACTGATGAAGCTGCTAGCAGGTAGAGATGAAAGCATTATGGAACATAAACCACATAGATAAGTGACATAAAATACAGCACTTTGGAATCTTGGTATGCACCTGCCCTTCCTCTCCCATTCCCTGCTCCTCAACACTCTTGGCCTTTCTTCTGTTCTTCTTTGTTCCCCATTTCACTTTCCATTTGTGGAGAGTTCATATCATGTATTAAAATGATACTAACAGTTGGTGGTTCTCTGCAGTCCCACTGCTTTGAGAGGCTGAGGTGGGAGGATCACTTGAGGCCAGGAGTCTGAGACCAGCCTGAGCAAGATGGTGAGACCCTATCTCTACCAAAAAAAAACCTCCCCAAATAATAATACTAATACTCAATGAAACTCTGGATTTACACATATTTATACCTAAGGGAAATTGTAAGCTACAAATTTATTTGGTGTAAGGGTCCTTGGTGAAGTAGAAAGATAGAGTGAACACTGTATTTATACTTTTTAAAGGATTCTCAGAACATTAAAGAAAGCAAAATCAAAGCTGTTCTTGTTGGCTCAGGTTATATAAAATTTAGGGCATTCAGAAAAGGCTAAAAAAATTAATTTTCTTTCTGTTTTGCTTCTCCTCAGATAAAGATATGCAATATTGCAGCAAGACATTTAACTGTGTAGGTCATTTGTGTTTTATTATAAAAATCAAAAATGTATTTCATTTTGTGTTTCATTATAAAAATCAAAAAGGGCAAAAGTAAAGTAAGTAATTTGTGTTTTGAGCTTCATTATGAATATCAAAAAGGGCAAAAGTAAGGTAGAGTGTAGTACATGGAATCATCAGTGTCTCTGAGACTCAGTGGTGAGACAACTTCAAGATAAAGAGGAAAGAGAATAATTTGCCTTTTTTTCTCTAACCATGTACAATTATGAACTTCCGAATATCCTACTATTCTTTACCAGATCCCCTGAGTCATCTTTTTAAAGGTAAACCAGATTATGTCAGCTTAAAACCCTTTAGTGGCTTTCCATCTCACTCAGGATAAAATCCAAAGTCCCCCCATTGGCCTTCCAAGGTCCTTTACATAGACTGACCTCCAATTACCTTTCTGATCTCATGTCTTCTGCTCCACTTTTCTCTTCTCTGCATCGTCAAGTTCTCTCATTCATCTGCCTGGACTGTGTTTTCCCCAAATGTCCTGTGGCTCATTCTCTCACCTCCTTCAAGCCCTTCTCTCACAGAGACCTTCCTTGGATGCTTTACACAACCACCCTCTATCTTTACGTCTACAATTTCTCATCTCCCTTGGCTTTATTTTTCTCCTTAGCATTTTTTTTCAAAATATAATGCTAAATATCTTAAATATTTCTTGTTTTTTATTGTTTTCTTTTGCTTTTTAAAATTCCCTACTAAAGTGTAAATCCAAGAAGTGCAGGAATGTTTGGGTTTAAGTAAAATATGTATATGGTACATACACACAATGGAGTACTATTCAGCCATAAAAAAGAATGAGATCCTGTCATTTGCAACAACATGGATGGAGCTAGAGATCATTATGTTACATAAAATAAGCCAGGAATAGAAAGACAAACATTGCATGTTCTCATTTATTTGTGGGATCTAAAAATCACAACAACTAAACTTAATGACATAGGGAGTAGAAGGATGTTTACCAGGGGCTGGGAAGGGTGTTGGGAGGCTTTGGGGGAAGTGGGGATGGTTAATAGGTACAAAAAATACAAAGAAGGAATAAGTCCTACTATTTGATAGCACAACACGGTGACTATAATCAATGATACCTTAATTTTACATTTTAAAATAACTCAAAGAGTGTAATTGGATTATTTGTAATTCAAAGGATAAATGCTTGAGGGATGGATACCCCATTCTCAACGATATGCTTATTTCACATTGCATGTCTGAATTAAAACATCTCATATACCCCATAAATATATACACCTACTATGTACCCACAAAAATAAAAAATAAAAGCATATAAAACATGTCCTGGCATATACTATGGTCTCAGTACTATGTACTATTGGTGAATGCTTAATAGATGGACAAGTCATGCTTTAAGAAGCTGAAAGAAAATTAGTCATTTCTCACTTGACATTTATAAAGAACTACAAAATGGGGGAAGCAGAATTGGCAAGGTCATTGGTTGGATATCTACAATTAAAATGTTTTTTTTTAAAGGTTATTTATGCAGTTTCCTACTTTGGGGTGTAATCATGAGAGAGGCCTACAGGTCTACTTAAGTTACTCAGTCAACTAATTGAAATTTCTATTCTTATTTTGCTGCAGGAGACAATCCAGTTATAGTGTCTCAGCCCACAGAACAGTGCCAACATTGGTACAACAAAACAGAATTTGGCTTAAAGAGGGATTTGTTCCCCCCTCCCCCAACCCCTGTTTATGCTGGATGAGAAAAACTAAGCAGCTTTAAGCAACTTTGAAGTTTTTCAGACTTGGATTTGATTCCCACCTCTGCCAGTAATTATCTATGTGAACTTGGCTAATTTGCTGACTCTTTCTTAACTTCCATTTTTTTCTTCCTTAATAAATGGGGCTATGTTAGATGTTGTGGTAGTTTCCTGTGGCTGCTGTAACAAATTACTACAAACTTGCAACCTTAAAAAAACCCAGAAATTTATGCTCTCAGTTCTGGAGGCCAGAAGTCCGAAGTCAGTATCACTAGGCTGTAATCAAGATGTTAACAGGACTACACAGCCTCCAGAGACTTTGGGGTAGGATCGTTTCTTGACTCTTCCAGCTTATTGCGGCTGCAGGCGATCCTTGGATTGTGGTCACCTCCCTCTAACCTCTGCTTCTGTCTTTACATTGCCTTCTCCTTTCTGCCTGTGAAATCTCTCTGTCTTCCTTTTATATGGACATTTGTAATAACATTTAGGACCCACTCAGATGATAATCAAGAATTATCTCATCATCTCAAGATCCTTAACTTAGGCACATTCACAAAGACTCTTTTTCCAAGCAAGGTAACGTTTACAGATTCCAGGGATTCAAATACATACATATTGGTGAGGGCATTTTTCAGGCTATCATAGGTGTCCTCTTAGGATCGATGTTACAGTGACTGGTATGTTTAATGAATTCAGTAACGTTCCTCTTTTTTGTCTTTCCCTTCTCTTCCTCCAAACCTCCGTAATGTTCCCCTGTAGCACTAACTCCCACCCCTAATATTATGAAACAGGCTATGCCTGCCCTTAGCATCATTGCTGCCTTTCAGTTTGTACCTCCATTATCTAGTCTAAAACAGACTCTGGGCAGTTGAAAAAAGAAAAAGAAACCTTTCCTATTCACACGTAGCTTCCATTCTGGTGTGGGAGATGAACAGTTAAACAACCAGTTGCAATATAAGGAAGAACAATATACAATTTACAGAGACACATCTGTAATGCACCGCAGGTTAAAAAAGGAATTAGTAATTATTATTGAGAGGTAGGAGCTAGTGAAATCTTGGAGCCAATAACATTTGAACCAAACCTTGAAGATAAGAATGTCAATGGGTTAATGATGTTGGAAGAAATTTCCAGACAGGAGAAGGACACAGAGGAGAGCTCTCCCTTGTTTCTCCGAAAAACCAGTACCTTCCACCTCCCTTTGCTGCACTGTACACTCCCCCGGCTCTGTCCCAGGCAGCCCACCCAAACCTGCTCTTTCCTCAATGCCTCATATGGCAAAGTGTCCTCTTCTCTCAATCTCCTACCAATTAGCGGCTTTAAACTAGGTGCTAAAAGGAAAAGCATGTGATTAATCTAACTCACTATATGGTGTGTGTGGCTGATAACTCCTAAAATCTCCTAGAACAAAAAGAAGAGTTCCTTACCATAAATAAATCTCTACTGGGATTGTACGCCATGTATAAAATTATATGCAGGAAGAGTGTGTTTCTAAAATCACGCATATTAAGGAACATTAAGAAAATGATAAGCATAGAAAATATTTTTCAAATGATAAAAATGCCTAACTAGGCAGCAAAGATTTTGAGCTATAGACAACCACTCTTTCCATTCTCCATGATGCCAGTGTTGTTAGGAGAAAAGGATTCTGCCTCCCAATCTTATCCATACCCCACCCCCAAAGAAAGGAAAGAAAAAAACTTATTTTTCATTTTCTCTTCACATTTTCTAAGACACTAGTTGGGAAGCAATGGACAGAAACAAATCAAGCAACCCTCCCTTTCTTTTTTTTTCCAGCTAATTCAGAATGAATTGAATTTACACAAGCAACAGTGCTTAAGCAAAACCGTTCCTATGGTTACACAGAAGGTTTTCTAAATGTGGCACAAGATGCAGGCAGCCAAAATGACTTGACTGTTTATGTTAAATATGAAGTCTATTCCCTATTGAAATTTAATGATCTACTAGCTGCATTTTAGCAGCTTGCACCCTGATAAAATTAACATTTCGAATACATTTGGAGAGATAAATTGCTTTAGCAATTGGCGAGTATTCACTCATATTTATTGGATCACATCAGTGATTCAGATGAAAGCATTTCCTCCTGAACTATTAGAAATTGGGTCTGCAAATTATCCTCATCTCTGGGCCTACAGGTCCCCAAACACATTCTATTATCTTTATGTAGGTTAGCTGGTGCCAGATGTTAGTCCTCACACTTGACAAGAGAGCACAGCAAAATATATATATTTTTTCTTTTATAGCAACTAGACAGGACCAGCACTGATTCTCGTGGCATTGCTCAAGTCATCCAGTGGTTCTCAAATGTTCAACAAGGTGAACAGTTCAGACAGGGTGAAGTCTGTTCCCCCATCTCCCTCTACTTCACGTCCTGAATGAGAAAGACAATCTGTGTGTTTTAAAAAGCTGGCAGGAAATTGGATCTGGGAAAGATATATTCACTGCATATTTTAGCTGACACCATTCAAATTTGCTACATAAGGGCGTTCCTTGATGTCTGTAAGTAGGAACCTCCCATTCAGCAAAAATAGAAAATGAAAACAGGCTGCAGGATGCCACTCTCTCGTATTTACTTATGTATTTAGTTCAATTTGACTAATGCTTATTGAGCTTCTTATGTAGTCTATTAGACTATATAAGAAGGACTATGGATATAAAGAAAAAATATATATTTCCTAAACACAGATAGCCATTGGTCAAGTAGAAAAGATGGGCAATCAATACTGCCATGCCAGGTATTTCTTCTCAATAGCAATCTATGTGTAGTTCTATACCATGTCACCATCCTCCACGAATATAATCACGCCAAACATAAGATTTTGGTTGTCAGGAAAGGATACTGCAACATATGGCTTGGACTATCTCCATAACTCACGCTCCCCCAGTCTCTCCTGTGCAGGATCACCCACTGGGAGTTTCATCTTCCTCACTGTTTCTCTATAGAGCTCCAATTTGTTCATTTCTTTCTCATTCCTCCAGAATCCCCCTGCTTACATAGATTTAGGCTCATAAATGGTGTCTCCTTTTCTACTACCCAACACGTAAATCTTTATTTTCTATAGCCCAGAAGTATGAGCTTTGAGGTCTTGATAGATAAATTCTATGAAATTCAACTATAACACATTAAAATCCTCAAAACACAAATTTATCAAAACTTCTCTAGACTTTCCTTGTTAGCGTCAAAATATTTCATTCTAAATAGCAAGCTAGACAAGGCAGACATTTAATAATACTTTAATTCTATTTATCTCTTGAGATGAATGTACTTACATCTGACATTTGAGAATTTCAGTCTGTTTGAGGAAATTTATTTTGAATTGGCAAGGAGAAATACATTCATCCTATATTGATTCCCTTGTCAGGTTAGTTTCTGAATTAAGGTTACCTCTTACTGTTCTAATTAGTAATCCTAGAAGTGATTCTTTATGATCATTGTTATTAATATTTTTGGTGAAAATTTTAGTAAATTTCCCCCTTTATGAAATTCATTAGATAAACAGAAGGTAGAACTTTGTCTTTTCATTTTTGAAAATTATTGACTTAAGAATCTATTTTTTCTTTCAGAATAAGTTTCAAGGGACTACTATCGCAAATGTGTGAGGCTTATTAAAATATCTTTTTACCTGTAGATTTTACAGATGATGTCACACTCTAAAGTGAGTTCTAAAGGTGATCCATATCTTTATAAGAGAGTCAGTCCTAAAACTGAATATATCTCAGAGGAATTCTACTCTGCCTTTTGTAGCTGGGGTATATTTTAGAGGAACCCTAATTTCCTATCCTGTTCCTCTAAGAATGTGGGGATTTCTGAAAAGGCCTTGATATTTTGGTAGATAAATTACTGAACATTCTCTCAAAATCCAGCTTTCAGGCCACCACTTATTTACAAACATTCAATTTTTAAAATTTCTAATGAGTCTATAACTGTCTAGAATAACGGTATGATTGAGAACTAATTTCAAGATTCAGTTGATCTAGATGCAAATTACTTTTTTCTCACAAGCTAGGTCTTCACACAGAGCTTCATAATGGTCAACTTTCAGTACAAAACTAAGGAGCGGATCATCATTCTGTAAAAATTGTGCATGTGGGAGATGAACACTTTATATTAGGAGAGAATTATTGAGTAGGGAAGTGGGATTATCGAACTTCAGGGGAGACTGCTACAGAGGACTTCGCAAACTTAACGACATGGACCCATAGACAAGAACGCTATGTAAGTCAGTTCGCTGCATGATCTTAACTGCAAGAGCCAGGTATTTTTATGTACCCAAATGTCAAGAAGAGTATAGGCCCACAAAATAGTTGTTTTTCCCAGAAATTATGAGTCATTTTCCTATCCTGAACTCACCATTTTAAATTCAAATAGGCATATTTATTACACAGTATTTTGGAAGACATATCTACACTTTCCATTCTTGTTCTCTTTCCCTTTTTTACTCAGAGAGAATAATTGCAGTGAGTACCAGATGGAGTTTAAAATATTGATTCTAAAATATTGTTGCCTCAAGTGTACATATAAGGGATGTATTTAATAATATTTCTAATATACAATTTAGGAGATTTAAATAATACATTTTGTGCGGTTGAGGCAGTTAATTTTTCAGTGCTGACTTCCAGAGTTCACATTCAACAGCTCATGCATAACATAATGTAAGGTGTATTTAAATACCCGAAAGTAATTTCATCAGGCAATGAACCACGGTGTCTTTTCCGTGTGTTCTTACTCAGAACACATTCACCAGTTCACTTGGCATCCATCACTTTTATTTTGTATCCGATACTCATTGTCTGAAGTAATAATGAATAAGTGATCCAAAGAATAAAGTATTGCTTTGAACTGCTGACACAGTGCAGAGTGCTGTATTATGCAGGATTGTGCTAGTAGCCAAAATACCCGTTTAGCTCAGAGCTCTTTGCAGAAAGCATGCCATTGCCCCCATATTTGTGTATAATAAATATTCTATAGTGAGTGATTAAAAATGGAAAGTTGTCTGCTTTGTTCAGTAGAACAGGAAATGGTATATTACATATTTAATTTTAATCCTATCACTCCATAGACACACTTTTTCATGAAACATATTTGAAAATCTGCTTTTTATTTCTACAATGTAAAATGTTAAATTGAAATAGTAGACAACGTGAGACAAAAAATGAGAGAACACTTTAATATTTTTATCAGAATTGTTTGGGATGCAAACTTACATACAATTAAAATTTTCCAGGAAAAACAAAATGTATCCTACTAAAATGCCACTGATTAATCAATAAAGAATGGAGTCTGCTGGCTAACATGGTGAAACCCCTTCTCTACCAAAAATACAAAAAATCAGCCGGGTGTGGTGGCGGACGCCTGTAGTCCCAGCTACTCGGGAGGATGAGGCAGGAGAATGGCGTGACCTCGAGAGGCGGAGCTTGCAGTAAGCCGAGATCCTGCCACTGCACTCCAGCCTGGGCGACAGAGCGAAACTCCTTCTCAAAAAAAAAAAAAAAAAGAATGGAGTCCAAGAAGCAGCTTCTATTTTGCCATATGACAGAATCAAATAAATAAGCAAATTTCAAGATATGTAATTAATTTCATACACACTCATATTCAATGCAGTAACACAAACCAGGCAAGGTCTGCCTATAATATGAGGCCATTCACACGAACGTTGCGGCAGGGTGGACATAGTTTACTATAAAAAGAGAAAAAGGCATTTCTTTTTCATTGCCACATAGACACAAAAATATGAGTGCATTTTGAAATGCTGGAAATACAAATATATATATACATATATGTGTGTGTGTGTATATATATATATATATATATATATATATATATATATATGTTTATACATGATGTCCTAGAGCCTTAATTAAATGGAATCTTCAGGGAGGTGGTGGTGTGTTTTTCTTAATCAAAATTTTAAGTCGTCAAATTGTTAGTGAGAATTGCATTGACCTTTCTGTTAGCAAGGAGCCAAGGACCATGACTTAGCATCCTCTTTCCCCTCACATAGTAAGACACAACATATTGGTTTCTTTGCTGCCTTATTGCATACAACTATATCTGTATCTTTGATGATTTTAGAATTTGAATTTCTTTGGAATAATAACTGTGTCCAGTAGCCTAGATCTAAGTTTCTCTTTTTAAACTACCCTGCAGACCACGGAAGTGAAAGCAAGATGAGGAAACAGGCCAAACTACAACTGTTGCTGTTGAGTGAGATAGAATGAAAAGGGATATTCAATGTTGTAAAACTGTCTGAGTAGCTAAAAAATATTGCTCTCTGTACTTAACATTGTGGGAGATTACATAAAGTGAATGCTAACCTGATAGTACTATGCTTGCTTTTACAAAATACCAGTATTATAATTTACCTTTCCTACACTAAAAAATGAATGTGTCCACTATTCCAATATGGTTTATTGAAGGTTCCTTTTAGTTGAATTATAGACAATTGATGCATTTCTATAATTATACTTATTAAAAAGTTCATAAACATAAATATATTAAAAAGTTAATAAACATTAATGGTACTAAGCACCCATTGCTGTTTTGAAATTCACTGAGTATCTTGTAGAAAATATATTATATTACTAATTGTAATAATAGCTATTTAGATATCAACCACACAAGCTTATTTCTTTACCTGTGACATCAGTTACAAACATAGCTGGATATTTTGCTACATAACATAAAATGAATATATTTCATTAATCTTTATTTTGACAATGTTAGAATGTTTGAAGGCATGTTTCTCTGAAATTCATTTACTTTTTCAGAACTTAAGACCTGCTATCTTGGTTCCTCTATCATGAAGAAAATTCTTCTGACCTTTATATTAGGAGAGGATGATGCTATGACTTTCTCATCACACGAGGATGCTTGTTTCTCCATTAGTGTGAATGGTTTCACATTGATCATTTTCATTCTCTGATTTGTCTCCCTTGTGATTGAAGGCACCATTTCTGAATCTTTGACCAGAGTAAAAGGAGCAGTTTAGATAGATGAGTACTGCCATGTTCTCTGGTGGAAAGCGATCAGACTCCAGCATTATCTGGTTATTTGGGTAGATTACTTAACCTGTTGGCCCTCAGTTTTCTCCTCTGCCTGTCTACTTTTTGCGTTTTGCATAAAGACAGAGTTTCACCACATTGGCCAGGCTGGTCTCAAACTCCTGAGCTCAAGCTATGCACTAGCCTCAGCTTCCCAAAGTGCTGGGATTATGGGCATGAGCCTTCACTCCCAGCCTTTTCATTTAGAATTTTAAAAAGTGTATGTGTATGTGGGCCATGTTTTTGTCTTTCCTTTTTCCCAATTTTACTAAGAAAATCTTTGTATATAGAAATAGATAAAAGAATAGTAGAATGCTCAGTTTTATACTACTAACTTAGGTTATAAACTTAACATTTTTCCATATTCTTTTTATTTTTTATGACCCAGTTGAAAGTAATTCGCAGATATCTTACTACTCTTAAATATTTTGGCATGAATCTCCTAAGAATGATGATATTCTCTGACATAACCATAATACCTCTATCACAAATAAAACAACAATATTTACCTGATAGCTTCTCTTATCTAAGTCATATTCAAATGTCCCCATTTGTCTCAAAATTGGATTTTATAGTTTCTTTTTCCACCCTCATCTATGATTCAATCATATTTCTTGCATTACATATAACTATTATTCAAGACAACCTGTAGTGTCATAAATTATTTGGGTTTTCATATTATGGTAGTTTTTCTATTTAGGACCACTTGATTGTGAAAATATATGGCAAAAATAAATCTTTGAGTGAATAAACATACCTAGTACACGGTAGTTGTTTAACATTTCCTTGCTGAATACATGAATTTAGTTATGTTTTTAAGTGACAGTGCATTTTACTAAGCACAATTCTAACTAAATATATTGGAAAAACAATACATTTCCATGTGAGAGGCAATTTTAAGTTCAGTCCATAGACTCTAATTATAGCTCATGATTTTGATCATTGATTTTGCACCTTATATGGAGCTGAGCACTGAGTATTAGCTCATTTTTCACAACAAAATCATGGTGTATTATTTTTCAGAGTAAGAGGCTAGCCAAATTAAGTATTTAAAGATTTCAAAGTTATTAAGAGAAACAATCTATAGATAAACTGGAGGGCTTATCACATATACTACACTGCTTTGCATGACAAAGCTGGGTGGGTGCTCGAGGAGAGCTTATTTACTCCCTTGCAATGCTTCCTCAGCCTCACCTAGCAGCCAGGTTCATTTCTGTCTGCATGCTCGACCTTCCCAGCTGAAGCACTGTCTAGCATTCTGCTTACTTATTGCTCTGGCCTTAAGGGAACTTAGATCTCTGTGAGGAAGCCCTTTGAAATCCAAAGAATTAGTGTACAGTTTTTCTGTTCAGACAGAACTTTCAGCAAGGTCATGTCTGTTTCCTGAATGAACAGGATTAGGATGGAAAACTGGAGCCTTTCCCAGCTCAAAGGGAGCCAAGTTTCACTGTGTCATTTCATTATTCTCTTTGAAGTAAATTCCCAGAAAAATCAGATGCATCCATATTAAGCTTAAATAGAAAACACATCTCAAAGCCAAATGGACATGATTCAGGGAGTTTGCCACCATTTTGGATTGCCTATGCTTTTGTTCCCTTCTGTTAGTGAGAATAATCACATTTTTTCTGTAACTTCATAGAATGCGGATTAATCCAGTGCAGCCATATTCCTGCAATGTATCCTGAATTATTCAGAGGATAGATCAGGGAAAGGAAGAGATCAACTTTACTAAACATCTGATCCTATTACAGCGTCAGAGTTTAGTTTGGTTTGTTCTTTCAACCTGGCAGTGGAGATTATCTTTTATTTTTGTGATTTCATTTCCCATGAAGTGATATTTCTATTGAGTCTGTAAATCAGTGGTCTGTTCACATAAAATAGATATGTCCACCCTCTTAGAGAGAAAATCCTTCCTAAAAATCTGAATAGACAGATTTAAAAAATAGCCCCCAGAAAAATATCTGGCTCGCAGTTGGTCTCCTTTGTGGGATTAACTTCAAATCTGCTAACACATTAAAAAAAAAAAAAAAAAAACTAAATTATATGTCAACAAAAAGTCAAAATTAATCATGAAAAGGTTCAATACTATGTGTGAGAGAGAAAGACTTGTTATAGATTTAAAAACACTGTGTATGAGATCTGTATTTCTAGATGCCTTATAAACTAAACCTGTGGAAAAGAGATCATACCAGGTTTGCACACAAAGTAATGAAATGTGGAATCAGTCCCACAACTTTCTAGCCACCCAATATGTAAGTGTCCTAAATGCCTCTCATTCTGGGCACTCAATAAATACTAAACAGGGGCAGCAATTTCGTTTCCTGTCTAGTCAGGGTGTCATTATTTCTGTAAAGTCTCTGAGCTAGTGAGCACATAGAAAAACACAATCCACCACAACCTGAAATATGCCTTTGCCCTCCCACCTTCTCCTTTTCATGTGGCTTAAATTGCTGTGTGACCTACTGGAAACCTAAGAATATTAGCTCTCAGTTACCACTTCTTCAACCTTAACCTTTCCTCTCCCAAATGCCAAGAAGATATAGCAAGTCTAATCAGCATATTTTATTTTGCCCTTTTCAATAAGCTGTTTAGTGATGTTGATTTACTGTTGGAAGAAGTCTAAAAAAAACCTTCACTATCTTTTGCTCATGTCTCTGTTCCTTAGGGAAAATGGCATTTTATGTCACTGCTTGTCAGGGCGTTTTCAGTGTTGCTTTCTCCATTTTGGAGGTCCTTTGGGAGAGTTCACTTGGACCTTTCTCATGTCCTTCATTTATTAAAATACAAAGTAAGTGAGAGTAACTAACACCCAAATACTTATTATTACTCTTGGTTATGAACCTTCTTTCATGCTACCGAATAACCATCTCTGTCACTATACAGCAGGACATGGTCCTATGCCCAAAACATTCACTTGGCTTCCAGGATGCCACACTCATTTTCCTACTACCTCACTGGCTGTTCTTTTTCAGCCTCCTCAACTGGCTCCTACTCCTCTGTCCTCCAAACATCAGTATTAGGGTAGTTTAGGATTCCATTCTCCACCTTCTCTTCTCTGTGGATGTTCACTGCCTGGGAGAGCTTCTCCATTTCTTTGGCATTAGATATCTAAACACTGATGATTCTCAAGTTTTTATGTCCAGTTTACAGCTCCAAGCTGCAGATTATTATACCCAACTCCACATTTAACATCTTGACTCTGATATCTGTGTGGTTTTACAAACTTATCATGATACGAGAATTCCATATGTTCTCCAAATGTGCTCTTCCTCCAGACTCCCCATTTTAATAAAATGTGCTACTATTCAATCAGTTGGCCAGGCCAAAATCATATGGGGCATCCTTGATTTCTCTATTTCCTTCATTTTCCATACACAAGTCTTGCCAGTTCTACTTCCAAAATATATCCTGAAGTTGTCCTCCTCTACACTGATATGACTCTCACCCACACTACCATTTTTATTTTCTATTGACTACTGAGATAACTCCAGGATGGTTTCCAGCTTCCAATTTTTCTCCTCTATAGTCTATACTTTGCACAACAGAGTGACTTTTTTTAAATGTACATGTGGTAATGTAACTTCCCTGTTCAAAACTGCAGTATCTTCTCATTATGAGTTAAGTAAAATATGCCCTCCTTACTGTAACCTACAAAGCCCTGCACCCTTCCGTGCCCTGATCTCCCACCATTTGCCCTTGCTCTTCAATGCAGCCACCCTGGCCTACCTGCTTTTCTTAAAACACACCAGTGCAGTCTCGGCCTCATGGCCTGTCACTCATTGCTTTCTTTGCCTGGAATACTCTTTCCTCTTATCTCCGTACGGATCCTCTTTCACATCTTTCAGAGGATTTTCCCCATCCCTTTCTCCCTCCAAAACAGCTTTTCCTGCCTTATCTCCAGTGCTGCTTCACTCTTTTTCAAGGCACTTATTACTACCTGAAAATACTTATTTTTTAAGTTATCCATTGCCTGCCTCCCCCACCAGAATGGAACCTCAGTGAGAAGGCTGACTTTGTTTTGCTTAGACTAAGGTCCGATGCTTTCAGCACCTAGGACATAAAATAGCCGCTTAATAGTATTTGTTGAATAAATGGATGACTGGTTAGGAGTCCTTAGTAAATAGGATAATTTAATATATTATGTGTCTTGTTTGTTACCCTTCATGAATCTCTTTGTTTTGCTTTATTTTGTTTTTATGTCAATGGTCTGCTAACTTTAAAAAGGATAGATCTATATTCTTACACAGAAACCCTTCCTAAAAGTCTGGCTAGATGGGATTAAAACAACAAAAAAAAAAACTGTTACTGAAAAACTGGATTTATATTGTCACTTATTCACTTTTAAGGGTTTTTTTGGTCCAAATCTTCAAGAGATTATGGCAATGAGCTTCAAACTTTAATGTTTATAACAATTGCCTGGGGGAGCTGGCTAGTAAAGCCAGGATTGGGTTCTAAATCCTGATTTGTTAATAAGCCCCTAGGTGACTTTGATGCAGCTGCTCCTTCAACTCCTCTGAAAAATACTGGGCTATGGGGTTTTGTAATTTCTTTCATAACTTTGAGAAAAATAGATACATGCCTGCCTGATTTACCACTAATGGAAAATCAGATTTAGGTGCTTAGGTGCCTGATGCTAAGTTCCTGAAGACCACAGCTCAGTCATGTGAGATAATCTGTCAACCATGGAGAAGGTAGGGATGAGTTTAAATTGAAAGTGGAATCTTCCTAACACATTCTATTGTTGGAACCAAGTGGAAAGCATAGGCAAGAAAGCAGAGACAGAGTCCAGCAGGCCAGAAGCCCAGGAAGACAATAAGAGGGGGACGAATGAGGCTTAGAATGAAAGTAGAGATTTCCCTAAATGGAATTGGAATTCTTCGCAAACTGCCTGTTTGAAAGTTTACGGACAGGTTAAACTTGCCTGGCTGGTCACAGAGGGAACACACAGAGTTTTTCACCTCCTAGAGGTGTATGAAAAATGTACCATAACAGTATACAGCAAAGCTTTCTATGATGGTTAACTCATAGAAACTTTCTGTGTGTGCTCCACACAACTTTCAATTACCAGGTCACGTAGTGTGATTATTGGCCTAAGAGTTTTAGCCTGTAAGACAAAGTCCTTAATATTTGCAGCAGGTGCACATATTGTGATATGGGAGGCAAGCTTGGGGTAAAGGAAGGCATAGAGAAAGAAAATTCTTTGAGTTTGACATATATTCTACAATTTCAATTCTTGAAAGCATGCCATTTAATGTTATTAATTCTACTTATCATCATGTTTCAATCCCATAAATGTAGATAGAACAATTTAATTGCTTCCTATTTTTGCTTTCATATTATAAAGATTCCCTGCAATTGGTTTTTGGTCCTTTAAAGTATAATAGTAATTTTAATCAAACAGTTATTACTGACATTCATTGAAAGCCTATAGATGAAAAAACTGAGGTTCTGAGAGCTTGAGTAATTTTCCCCAAGTTCATATAATCATGAAGTATCAGAACTGAGATTCAGATCTGGGTCTGATGAAAACCTGTGCCCTGGATGAGCTTCCTGACCTCAGTGCTAGTAGTCCTGCCTTGCTTCTCCTCTCTAACATCTGCCTGGTATGCCCTGTACACCACAAGCAAGGGGTGCCTTCCAGAAGTCTCATCTAGTCTCCAAACTATTGAATTCTCGGAGTGAGCAGGGGCATTCATGGCCAGAGATAGTGAGATTGTGCTTCTTGGTCCTGAAGGTGAATATTCTGGCCTGGCTGGTGAAAGGGGCATCAGGCTGAGGCCCTCCCATCTAGCCCATCTGTGTTTGGCCCAGTCTGCCTGCCTGGGTATCTGATTACTTCTTTCTTTTTTATTCCACTCTAAAAATTGAGCCTTAACCAGAACTCTGGGCAGGGAACCTTGGCTATCTGAGACTGTTGTGTAGTTCTTTACAATAATTTTCCTTGGTGACAGTCACTGATTCCAATGTCATACCAAATGATTCTACACTGACTTCTCTCATCCATACCTTGAACACCTACTGTTTGCCGATAATTAGTCCTGTTAGACACCCTGGCACCACCCCTGCCCTGCCCTGCCCTGCCCTGTCAGGGTACGTACATCAATCACCCATTATGCCTAGGATTCCCTACATTCACATACTGTGATTTTGCACTGGGGACCCATGCCTTTCAAGCTGACTCATGTGCAAGAAGAGGTCAAGGATGGAGTCTTTGTTATGATTTGTAGTTAACTTACCCTAGTAAATAGGCCAGTCTGTTTTCAACGACTCAGGTCAACAAGGATAGGGATCTGGAACTCGGAAGTATTTTACAATCAGGTTAAAGATGAGTTTAGATTTCTGGAGGGATACACTTCAAATAGTGTTTATGCTCCCTGGATATCACACTCAGGAAACTGAATTAGGAAGAAACCTGCTTCCTTCCACTGCCTGGCTAAACAGATGGGACACAAAAAAAAATCCTGATATAGAACCATTCCTGTTGCAGAGAGGCATAGAATCCTGAGTAGAAAATGGAAAAAGATTTTTCCATTTTATGCATTAGCAGAGTTTATTTTAGTGATTTGTTTAGTTGTTAATCTTCTCTGTGATAGTGTGATCCCTGGAAGGGCCACCAGGTCTCTTGTGCTCATTTTATCCAGTAGGGGGACACAAAAATGTGCTCAATCATTGTCAGCTGCTGGAAGCAATAAATTTAGGGAATGTCTAAAGAAAGAAAAAGACCCTCATGTAAGCAAATAAATGATACTAAAGGAAAGATAGGTCTTGTCTGCCTTACCAGATATGAGACGTGATGCCCTTAAGTCTAGTGAAAACCATCTACACGATAATTATGAGTGAAGATAATAATGGTAAGCAGTAGAAGCTTACTCTTCATATTCACATTGCACTTTTCAAATAACAACTGTAACATTTCTTGCTCAAGTCCTCAAAGCTCAGAAATAGTTATATTCGAAGTCTGTGCCAACCAAATGGATGTATTAAATACATTGCTGGCTAAAAGCCATCGAAAAACTCTCTTTTCATTTTTCCTTCACCCTTCTCTCTATCTATGCAAGAAAGACCTAGGCACCATGGTGCAAAATTCTACTATAATATCACTCTTGGAATTACCTGGCTTTGGAACATTGTACATAATAGTTCTAATGTAACAGCAAGAAATTTCCTCCTCCTGTTTATTTTTCTGAAGCTGTAATAAGCAATCCTGTGTGACATTGCCTGTGGTGCGGTTGCCAGGCAGCAGAAAGAGATCTGCAGCAGGAGGCGGGAGAGCGGGGGAAGAGAGAAGAGAAAAGCAAGAGAGGAGGAGGGGGGAGGGCTGAGCAAGTTGGGGGCTGGGCTCTCAAACTGCTGAGCCAGAATTCCATCTCCTTGTCATCCTTCATGTTCCAGGCACATAATGAGCCAATAAGCTGGGCCTTAGAGGGGAAATAAAGATGGAAAAAAAACAGTTGAATGTTGTCATTAAATAGGGTGTCAATAATGTGTTTTTATTTTGTGAAGAAAGGGTTTCAGCTTTTTTTTTTTTCTCATGAACTTTGCTTCCTGGTAAATGCAGCTGTACAAATATTAAAGGGACAGCTTCTCAGTGGGCCTGCTTTGCTCTAAAACAACAAACAATTAACACATAACATCTTCCAGCACCGTGCATGGAGAACATACAGTTATAACCTGAAAGGTTTCAACTCCTCCCAAATCTCATGGTGTGGAAAAGTAAATCACAGAGAAAAGGTACTCCACCCTTTATTGAACATGCAGTACTGAGACACAGCTTTGTACCTGAGAGCTGAGAGGTTGTTCAAGCTATTTCAAGAAGCTGGTCTCCTCATTGTGAGGCTTTCTTTAGTTTGTGAAATTGGGAGCTGCAGCTAAATCTCATCTCTTGGCTTTACAAGAATCTTGTTCTAATGAGATTAAAATGATAGGACTGGGATCCGAGCAGAAGTGGTGAGGGCAGATGGCACACAGGTCCCTCCATGCCGGCTTGGATGTCCCCCAGCACAATGCATGGTGCCTTTTGCCAGCCTTCCAAGCTGTCTGTGACTGGATTGGACACTCTCCAGTGGTAACAGACAATGATTTTTATTTAGATGTTTGATTATTCTTACTAATCAAATAGAAAAAGAACAGAAGGTTTGTTCAAAACAAACAATGTATTTACAGATAGTTTTGTGTGGTGGATGCACATTTCAAGGCTCTGAAGTTGTTAGTTCTCTCAGAAGACTCAAACTCACCATGTGGGAGAGAAAATGGGACAAAGCATGTTAAAATGGCAAGATGATCAGAAAGCACTTGGAATTAATGTAATGATGACTAAGTTTCTTTTTTCACCTCAGCAATGGGAGTGAGAAAAAGGGAATGTTAAATTAGGATGATCAACTCTGAGAATTTTGAGGAATAACATATGGGAATCCCGTTTCCATCCCCGCTGCATATCCAGGCATATTTCTTCTGTGCAGAGACTGACTTTCCAGTCCCTTCTAAGGTCATGAATGAGTCAATCAAGGATAATCAGTGATTTTTTGCAGATTCTAGGAGGAAGATAATGTGTCAGAAGAACAGTACTCTTTGGCATATACCACATAAAGAGAGAAGCAGAGACAGATAGGGGATTAAGCAGACAGATGGAATGATAAGAATAAGCAAGCAAACCAAGTCCACCAAGAACCAGGGCTAGGTGCAGGACCAATCACACTCTGCTGTTTTTTAGAAGGCTAACACTTTTTCCTAAGGAACTGCAAAATATTTACAGACACTTGACAGTTTTCTAGGTAGCACAGTTGGAATACGGACACTCAAGCTCTCCAGAACATCCTGTGATTGAAGTTTTGTCTATACTGAACAGCAGGAGGAACTAATCAGGGAAGCTGCTGGTTTGCCTGACCACACTGGTTAACGACAGTCTCCACAGAGCCTCCCTTGGAGCTAGAGATGAAATATCACACTATTTCATGCGAAACTTCACTTTTAATCAAAGCAAGAGGAAAAAATCTTCTAGAGTCCCATAGTTGTGCCACAATAGGAATTTCTACCAAAGTCTACAATCATTCTTCGTTTTTCACTCTTTAAACATTTATCTATCGTAATTTAGTTTTTATTTTATCAAAGTTATGCATGATTTACAAGATATTAATGAGACTTTTGTTAGTTTCCTTTTAGATCTCAATGTTGATAGATGATAAATGATAGGACACCAACATTCTAATGGGAAAAGATAAACCATCTATACAGGACTTTTAAAGAGGTGGTCAACATCCAATATTGTGACCCTGTGCCTAGATACAAGAGACTTCTCAGATAATGAAAGACCATTTTTTGTCTCTTGTTATGTGACCATCTAATGTGAAAGCTCTAGCGTTATCCTTTCATTTACTCATTCTTCTCTATCTCAAGCCAGGTAGAAGGATTCCATGGGATTTATGTCATTGTGGGAATGGGACATGAGAGAATTCTGGGGAAAACTGACCTGTGTCTCCTGAGGTTTGGGAAGCCGTGAGTTCCAAGAGCAGCTGCATTTGGCATCATATTTGTCCAGAGTCTTGGACCACGAAGAAAATAACACAAGAGGAAAGAAAACAGCTAAGTTACTGACTTTCTGTGGCTAAGACAAAGGTTCTGGACCAATTGAAATTCAAAGTGAAATACATCTGGTGTATTTAATTCAGTCAGAATAGATTAGATAGATTCCATTTTCTACATGCTGATAACACCTAGGGAAGGACTGAGGAATGGAAGATCAAACACACAACCTCCTTATAAACACACCTCTGTGCAGCATTTATAATGTACACACAATAGCCAGCATATCTTTCCTCATAAGGTTTGGATTGTTGAAAAGGTGTTAAAGCAATTTACAATGGGGTTGTGATTTTTATTTGCAGTGCAAATAGGAAAGGACTTTTGATGCAAAACCTTGTCAATGCAGAAGCAAGGCATTATTTTCATGGTAGGAAAGATAAAGAAAAATAGAATCTGCATCTCCCTTTGAAGAATCTAGCCCTAGCTGCCAAGGAAAGCAAAATAACAGAACAAATAGATTCCTGTGAGAGGATAAGCACCTTTTCGATCCTGGGAGCTTTGTCATTTTTCAAAACTAGTACATTTTTCATAGTTTGCCACAGTGATCTTCAAGTAGATAAATGGATATAGTCAGAAGCAAGTTAATTCCCATCCAGTTCCTTTTTAAGGATAACAGATAACTTCAAAGAGAAGTGGCACAAAGAAATGGTAGATGAAGAAAATAAAAGCACAGTCTGAAAATGAAGGGGTTCAGAAACCAATTGAAATAAAGCATGGCTTTAAACGATTTCTTAAATTATTCACATGTCACATTATTGGAAAAGCAATGGTTTCTCTCAGCCATTTCTTCCTAAATGTTTTGCTTTTGTTTCCAGAAATAACAGGTTTAATTAAGTGTGCAATATATACTCAAGCAATCCAGACTAATGCACACAGGACTTTTGAAATCACTTAGAAGATTTTAGGAGAGATTTGGATTTGCCATGTTCGGATGCTAATGGAGAAAGCTGGTCTTCAGGGAAAGGGCATGCATGAGTTGTGTATGGCTTTGTCAGTGCTGTCAAAGCTAGTTATTACATTATTAGGAAAAAATGGTTTTGAAAATAGCAAACATTAAGCAAACTGGAAATAAAACTAAGCTTTGTTAAACTCCTTATATGTGTCAGGATAATTTCACATGCATTATTTCAATTAAATCTTAAAAAACTCAGAGGAAATGGATATCATTTCCCCATTTTTAAGATATGTAAGCCAAGACTTTGTGAAGGCTAAGGTTCTTTCAAACCCAAGGTGTCTGACGGCAAATCCAACCCCTTTTCAATTATATTTATTCATATCTCTATGCTAATGAAGATGCATTATCAGTAAATACTGTTTCTGATCAGGAGATCAAGATGTCTAGTAATGCATTAAAGGTGTTCTACCCATTTAATCTGGGATAATCATATCCTTAAACAGCCCAGTTAGAACACTTTTGTATGTTCATGTTTACAAAACAATGTCAAGCATTTAATATAATTCAGTAAGAATGGTCACAAAATGTTGACAGTATGATTTACTGAACTTGCATACAAATGCTAGTTTCAGGAACACAGAATTTTTTTCTATAAGAGGAAGAGAGAGAGTTGCAAATCAGTCAAGGCCACTGGAGCTAGCTCATTGCCTCAATATGTTGCTATTTATTTTGTGATTACAAATTTAAAGCAAACTAAATAAACGTCTTCAGCTTTAAAAGGTACAAGTGCATTATACATTTCATGACTAGCACTGTCTTTTTTCTATAAACTACAAAGGAAGATAATGAATGCAGTTGAGCACATACTGTGAGTAGGCTGGTCCAGCCTATATTTTATAGGCTGTGCAGAATAGCACCCTTGTAAATCAAATGGATGTTGAACATTGGACTTTGAGTCAGGAAACATGAGCTCTAGTCCTGATATCACTGTTGAGTAGGCCCATGAGGTTTTTCCAGTGAATTAGTCTGTTTTGGCTTCATTTTCCTAGATGTTTTGTATAAATGTACTTTTAATACATCTCAGCATTTATGAATATTTAGTAAGCACACACACATTGCCTGTTGAATTGACAAAATAAGAAATTGGGTTTGATTTTTTTCTAAAGTTTTATAATGTTCTAGATTTTTATTTGTTGAACATGTCCAGGTACTGGATTCTTTTAGAAGTTATTCCAAATAAAATACAAGAATAAGTGGGCTTTTCTGAGTTTTCTGCCAAGGACACAAGGCATGTCAAAGTCTTTCAGCTAAAGAAATGTGACTAGAAATAGGATATGATATGTTAAAAGAGGTCAGATTTAAAAATAAGCTAAAACATTTTCTAAGACTTCCCATTAATAACATGCTACATTTTAGAAAAGGCACTAGGCAAGGAATCAGCAGATACATGGAATTTATTAACTGTTTTAGCACTAAATACCTCAATAAATTTGGCTGTCCCTTATTCTGTCTGGCTCCTGGTTTTCTCAGCTGTGAAATGAACTGCAGCATTGTGCTGTAAAGGAATAATGAGGGTTAGGTCAAAACATCCAATAGTCAGTCAAGAAGAAGCAAGCATTTGGGGAAATCCATATAATAAAAAAGCACCATATTCAACCAAACAGAAAAACTGATACCCAAGTCATCAATGTAGCAAACAGAAGTGTGTGTGTGTGTTTCAAAATGTGTTTTTAAAAATTCTAGAAACTTGTCCCTCAGTGGCCAAGATGGCTGACTACAAGCAGCTAGGGTATGTGGCTCTCACAGAGAGGAATGAGAGGGTGGAGTAAATACAGCACCTTCAACTGAAACATCCAGGTACTTGTATTGGGACTAATCAAGGAAACAACTTGACCCACAGAGAACAGAAAGGCAAGGCAAAAGGATGGCCCACCCAGGAGTGACATGGAGCCAAGGGAACCTCCCCTGCCAGGGAAGTGGTAAGTGAACATGTGATCCTGGAAAACCACACTTCTCCCATGGACGCTTGCAACCCTTGGGTCAGGAGATCCTCTTGTGAACTCACTCCACCAGGGCCTTCAGTATGATATACACAGCTAGGTGGAGTCTTGGCAGATCAGCCATTTGTGCACACAGAGAGACCTAGGTGCTTTACATATTCCTGCTCTGGGCTTCCCAGCAAAAGTAACAGCAACTCCAGCAAAGTGGGAGGTTAGACCTCTGTACGTACCACTACGAAAGAGGCTGAATTCAGTGGGCTGAGCAGTGATGATCTGCGGGCCTCATTTCCACAACATCTCACAAGATAAAGCCCACAGTCTTGGAATTCCAGCCAGCTACCAGGAGCAGTGTTGCACCTACTTGGGGAAGAAATCAAGGGGTGGGGAGGAGCAGGACGCCATCTTAACTATTTGGAAAACTCAGCCATTCCAGCCTGTGGGTGGAAGGGATCTCCCAACATAGCACAGCTGCTCTACCAAAATGTAGCCAAACTGCTTCTTTAAGTAGTTCCCCAATATGTTTCTCCTCACTGAGTGGGACCCCCACCCTGAACTAGGACCCCTTAGCCACCCCTGCTGATGTTCTCTGGCCAAAAGAGATTTGAAAACTTCCTAGGACAGAGTTCTCAGAGGGATGAATGGGTCACAATCTTTCCTGTTTGGGTGACTTAGCCATTCCAGCCTCCAGGCTTTGGAGAGCCCAAGCTGACTGGGGGTGGAAGTTGTACTCCAGTACAGCACAGCTACTCTGTGAAAGTGTGCCCAGACTGCTTCTTTAAGCAGGTTCCCAATCCCATTCTGGCTGACTGAGTGAGATCACCTAACTAAGGTCTCCAGCCACCTCCTACAGGTGTGTTCAGGCTGGCAACAGGTCCATAGCTCCCTAGGATGGAGCTCCCAGAGAAAGGGGCAGGCTGCCATCTTTGCTGTCTCACAGCCTTCACTGGTGATCCCTCCAGGTACTGGAAAATCTGAGGTGACTAGGGACTGGAGTGGACCTCCAGCAAACCACAGCAGCCCTGTGGAAAAGTGGCCAGACCGTAAAAGAAAAAATAAAAATCGAAAGGTAAGCAATCTCAAAGATTGAAGGTAGATAAGCCTACAAAGATGAGAAAGAATCAATGCAAGAATGCTGAAAACTCAAAAGCCAGAGTGCTCGCTTTCCTCCAAATGACTGCATCAGTCATTTGGGTTCAGAACTGGGCTGAGGCTGAGATGGCTGAAATGACATAAGTAGAATTCAGAATATAGATAAAATCGAACTTCACTGAGCTAAAGGATCATGTTGTAACCCAATACAAGGAAGGTAAAAATCATAAAACATTGTGGGAGCTGACAGACAAAATAGCCAGCCTGAAGAAGAACACAACCAACCTGACAGAGCTGAAAAACACACTACAAGAACTTAATAATGTGATTACAAGTATTAATAGCAGAATAGACCAAGTGGATGAAAGAATCTCAGAGCTTGAAGACTAACTTTGTAAAATAAGACAGATATATAAGAATACAGAAAAAAGAATCAAAAAGAATGAACAAAACCTCCAAGAAATATGGGATTATGTAAAGAAACTGAATTTATGACTGATTGGCAGAGAATGGAACCAATTTGTAAAACATATTTCAAGATATCATCCATGAGAGCTATCTCAACCAAGCTAGACAGGCCAACATTCAATTCAGGAAATGCAGACAACCTCAGTAAGATACTCTATGAGAATATCATCCTTGAGACACATAATCATCAGATTCCCCAAGGTAAAAATGAAAGAAAAAATGTTAAGGGCAGCTAGAGAGAAAGGCCAGGTCACCTACAAAGGGAAACACATCAGACTAACAATGGACCTCTCAGCAGAAACCCTACAAGCCAGAAGAGATTGAGAGGCAATATTCAACATTCTTAAGAAAAAGAAATTCCAATCCAGAATTTTATATCTGGCCAAATTAAGCTTCATAAGCCAAGGAGAAATATGATCCTTTTCAGACAAGCAAATGCTGAGGGAATTCATTACCTCCAGACCTGCCTTACAAGAGCTCATAAAGGAAGCTTTAAATATAGAAAGTAAAGGCCATTACCAGCCTCTACAAAAGCATGTTTAAGGAGGCAGACCAGTGATACTATAAAGCAACCACATAAAGAAGTCTGCAGAATAACCAGCTAACATCATGATGATAGGATCAAATCCACACATATCAATACTAACCTTAAATGTAAATGGGCTAAGTGCTCCAATTAAAAGACACAGAGTGGCAAACTGGATAAAGAACCAAGACCCATTGGTATGCTGTCTTCAAGTGCCCCATCTCACATGCAATGACACATGTAGGCTCAAAATAAAGGGATGGAGAAAAATCTACCAAGAAAATGGAAAACAGAAAAAAGTAGAGGTTGCAATCTTAGTTTCCGACAAAACAGACTTTAAACCGACAAAGACAAAGAAGGGCATTACATAATGGCAAAGGGTTCAATTCAATAAAAATATCTGTCTATCCTAAATATACATGCACCCAACACAGGAGCACCTAGATTGATAAAGCAAGCTCTTAGAGACCTTCAAAAAGACAGACTCACACACAATAATAGTGAGATACTTCAGCACTTCACTGAAAATATTAGGGTGATCATCAAGACAGAAAATTAATAAAGATATTCAGAACCTGAACTCAGCACTTGATCAAATGGACCTGATAGATATTTGCAGAACTATCCATCCAAAAAGAGCAGAATATACATTCTTCTCATTGCCACATGGCATTTACTCTGAAATTGATTACAAAAATGGAAGTAAAACACTCCTAGGCAAATGCAAAATAACTATAATCATAATAATCTCTCAGACCACAGCACAATCAAATTAGAACTCAAGACTAAGAAATTCACTTCAAAACCATATAAAATTACATAAAAATTGAATAACCTACACCTGAATGACTTTTGGGTAAATAACAAAATTAAGGCAGAAATCAAGGAGTTATTTGAATCTAATAAGAACAAAAATACAATGTACTAGAATCTCTGGAACACAGCTAAGGTAGTGTTAAGAGGGAAATTTATAGCACTAACTGCCCACATTGAAAAGGTAGAAAGATCTCAAGTTAACAACCTAACATCAAAACTAAAAGAACTACAGAAGCAAGAACAAACAAATCCCAAAGATAGCAGAAGACAAGTAATAACCAAAATCAGAGCTAAACTGCAGGAGAAAGAGACACTAAAAACCATTAAAAGATCAATAAATCGAGGAGTTGGTTTTTTGAAAAAATTTAATAAAATAGACAGCCAGCTAGACTAATAAAGAAGAAAAGATAGAAGATTCAAATAAACACAATCAGAAAAATAAGGGGAATATTACCACTGATCTCACAGAAATATAAACAACTATCAGATAATATTATAAACAACTTTATGAACATAAACTAGAAAATGTAGAAGATATGGATAAATTCCTGGACACATACACTCTCCCGAGACTGAACCAGGAAGAAATTGAATCCCTGAACAGACCAATAATGAGTTCTGAAATTGAGGCAGTAATAAATAGCCTACCAACCAAAAAAAGCCCTGGACCAGATGGATTCACAGCTGAATTCTACAAGTTGTACAAGGAAAAAGCTGGTACCATTCCTACTGAAATGATTTAAAAAAAATCTTTTTTAAAGGAGGGACTTCTTCCTAACTTACTCTATGGAGCCAGCATCATCCTGATACCAAACCCTGGTAAAGAGAAAATGAAAGGAGAAAACTTCCGGCCAATATCCTTGATGAACATTGATGCAAAAATGCTCAACAAAATACTGGCAAACCAACTCCAGCAGCACATCAAAAAGCTTATACACTGCATTCAAGTAGGCTTCATCCCCAGATGCAAGGATGGTTCAATGTATGCAAATCAATAAATGTGATTCATCACATAAGCAGAACTAAAGACAAAAACCATATGATTATCCTAATAGAGGCATAAAAGGCCTTTGATAAAATTCAACATCACTTCATGTTAAAAACTCTTAATAAGCTAGGTACTGAAGGAACATATCTCAAAATAGTAAGACCCATACATTACAAACCCATAGCCAACATCATAATGAATAGTCAAAAGCTGGAAGCATTCCCCCTGAAAACTGGCACAATACAAGGAAGCCCTCTTTCACCACTCCTATTCAACATAGTATTGGAAGCTCTGGTCAAAGAAATCAGGCAAGACAAAGAAATAAAGGCATTCAAATAGGAAAAGAGGAAGCCAAACTATCCTGTTTGCAGGTGATATGATCCTATATCCAGAAAACCCCATTGTCTCAGCCCCAAAGCATTTTAAGCTGACAGACAACTTCAGCAGTCTCAGCATACAAAATCGACCTGCCAAAATCACTAGCATTTCTATACACTAAAAAGAGTCAAGCCAAGAGCCAAATCATGAACAAACTCCCATTCAGAATTGCAACAAAAAGCATAAAATACATAGGAATATAGCTAACTAGGGAGGTGAAAGATCTCTACAAGGAGAACTACAAACCACTGCTCAAAGAAAGCAGACATGACACAAACAAGTGGAAAAACATTCCATGCTCATGAACAGGAAGAATCAATATTGTTAAAATGGCCATACTGCCCAAAGCAACTTACAGATTCAATGCTATTCCCATTAAACCACCATTGTCATTCTCACAGGACTAGAAAAATAACTATTTTAAAAAGTGTATGGAACAAAAAATGAGCCTGAATGGCCAAGGCAATGCTAAGCAAAAAAACAAAGGTTGAGGCATCATGCTCTGACTTCAAACTATACTACACTGTTATGGTAACCAAAACAGCATGGTATTGGTACAAGAACAGATACGTGGACCAATGGAACAGCATAGAGAACCCAGAAGTAAGATTGCACACCTACAACTATCTGACCTTTGACAGACCTGACAAAAACAAGCAATGAGGAAAGGATTTTCTATTCAATAAATGGTACTTGGATAACTGGCTAGCCATATGCAGAAGACTAAAACTGGACCCCTTCCTTAAATCATATGCAAAAATGAATTCAAGATGGGTTAAGAATTAAATGTAAAACCCAAAACTATAAAAACCCTGGAAGACAACCAAAGCAATACCATTCAGGACATAGGTACAGGCAAAGATTTCATGAGAAAGCCACCAAAAGCAATTGCAACAAAAGCAAAAATTGATAAATGGGATCTAATTAAATGAGTTTCTTCACAGTAGAAGAAGCTATCTACAGAGTAAAAGACAACCTAAAGAGTGGGAGAAAAGTTTTGCAACCTATACATCTGACAAAGGTCTAATATCCAGCATCTATAAGGCTCTTAAATAAATATGCATGAAAACAAACCCCATAAAAAAGTGGCAAAGGACATAAATAGACACTTTCAAAAGAAGACATACATGCAAGCAGTCAACAATCATGTGAAAAAAAGCTTATCATCACTGACCATTAGAGAAATGCAAATCAAAACCGCAATGAGACACTTCTAACACCAGTCAGAATGGTTACTGTTAAAACGTCAAAAAATAACAGATGGTGGTCAGGTTGTAGAGAAAAAGGAACAGTTATACACTGTTGTTGGGAGTGTAAATTAGTTCAGCCATTGTGGAAGATAGCATGGCAATTCCTCAAAGACCTAAAGACAGAAATACCATTTGACCCAGAAATTACTGGGTATATACCAAAATAAATATTAATCATTCTATTATAAAGACACATGCACACATATGTTCATTGCAGCACTATCCACAATAGCAAAGGCATGCAATCAATCTAAAAGTCCATCAATGATAGACTGGATAAAGAAAATGTGGTATATACACACCATGGAATACTATGTAGGCAAAAAAAGAACTAAATCATGTCCTTTGCAAGGACATGGATGGAGCTAAAAGCCATTATTCTTAGCAAACTGATATAGTTTGGCTCTGTGTCCCCAACCAAATCTCATCTTGTAATTTCCATGTGTTATGGGAGGGAACTGGTGGGAGATGATTGAATTATTGAATTCCGGGGGCGGGTCTTTCCTGTGCTGTGATAGTGAATGGGTCTCATGAGATCTGATGGTTTTAAAAATGGGAGTTTCCCTGCACAAGCTTCTGTTCCTTGTGGCTGCCATGTAAGAAGTACCTTTTGCCTTCAGCCATGATTGTGAGGCCTCCCCAGCCACATGGAGCTGTGAGTCCAATAAACTTATTTCTTTTGTAAATTGCCCAGTCTCGGGTATGTCTTTATCAGCAGTATGAAAACAAACTAATACACAAACTAACACAGAAACAGAAAACCAAATACTGCACGTTCTCACTTGAAAGTGGGAGCTAAATGATGAGAACAAATGGACACACAGAGGGGAACAACACACACTGGGGACTTTTGGAGGGTGGAGGGTGGGAGGAGGGATAGGATCAGGAGAAATACTTAATGGGTACTAGACTTAGTACCTAGATGATGAAACAATCTGTACAACAAACCTCCATGACACAAGTTTATCTATGTAACAAACCTACACTTGTATCCCTAAACTTAAAATAAAGATTAAACAAAGAAAGGAAACTGGTCCCTACTGGGGAAGCTATTAGGATTGGATATTTGAGTAAAGGAATTTATGTAAAATGGATTTCCACATTTACAATTCATAATTTGCATAGTATGAATTATACCCAATAAGAATATATGCATTCATCACATTGTGTAATATTGTGACATTTGAAAATAATTTTAGACACATAAAGAAAGAAAAATAAAGTAAAAGAGGAAGGAAGGAAGGAAAGAAGGGGGGAGGGAGAGAGGAATGAAGGGAAGGAGAGAGGAAGGAAGGAAGGGAAGGAGAAAGGAAGGAAGGGAGGGAGAGAGGAAGGAAGGAAGGGAAAGAAATAAAGGAAAAAAATGTGGGTTACAGAGTCAGATAACACTGGGATTTATACTAACCCTATTACTTATTAGCTCTGTATATTTGAATAAGTTAATTAAGTTTTCCCGCCAAAGTTTTCTTATCTATAGGACAGAGATTAAAATAGGTACCTTACCATGTTGTTATAAGGATTAAAGATAATGTATGTAAAGCACCTGGAATATATTCAAAACTTAATAAAGTGCAATTGTTATATGAAGAAGATAGATGAGATAATCTTGGTTTTACTTTATGGATCAATGAAATGGATTCTTATTAGAATCCTTTATTACTGATACAACTTCTACTCCTCCTTCCCATCTCCCCAGTTAAAAAAGAAATTAGAGAACTGGAAAGAAGACTAAAAGGCAGTAATAGAATAGATGCTATTTCATTCTTCTTGTAGCTACAAAGCCTTCTCTGGTAGCTCTCTATATGTACTGCATGTAATAGAGAATGTGTAAAAGCTTTCAGGGTATTTGTTCTGAGAAAACTGCAGCCTAAAAAGCAGCAGATGGAAGAAGTAATGAAAGGATGTCTACAGACATTAGATAGTCTAGGATGCTTCCTAGAGGCAGATTTCAACATCCCATTGCACAATTCCATTCCTCCTCCTCATATCGCTTTCTGCCTTCTTTCCCCACTTCCCTTTGGAGATGAACTTGGCATGAAAGGAGAGAGGCTGTGATTTCAGGCAGCTGGTGGTGCAATGAGTCTCAGCCAAACCATCAAGATCAAACTGTGTAAAATCCCTTTCAATCTTTGAGGCAGTCCTGGCAGGAGAAGCAAATGCAGCACAACTGACAGCAAAGTGAAGAGTCAGGGGTATCCCACCTCCAGAAAACTATTGTCATGTGACTCAGAAGAAAGGCTGGAATTTTAGTGGAGGAAAGGAAAAATGGTTGAAATGTCAAGACCTATTTAATATACCGGGGACAAGTAGGTGTGTTTCTTTGGGTTTTTTTGTTTTGTTTTTTGTTTTTTTTGAGACAAGGTCTCGCTCTGTCACCCAGGCTGGAGTGCAGTGGCAGGATCTCGGCTCACTGCAAGCTCCGCCTCCTGGGTTCACGCCGTTCTCCTGCCTCAGCCTCCAGAGTAGCTGGGACTACAGGCGTGTGCCACCATGCCCAGCTAATTTTTTTGTATTTTTAGTAGAGACGGGGTTTCGCCATGTTAGCCAGGATGGTCTCGATCTCCTGACCTCGTGATCCACCTGCCTCGGCCTCCCGAAGTTTTATTTGGGTTTTAAAAAACCAACAAATGAAAATGGTTCAGAGATCTACTTAAGAAATGGAGATAATCCAGGTATATATATGGTGATTCACCTCTGCCACTCTTCTTGGTTAGGATTCCCGTTTGGGATTAAGATACATTATTAATCAAGTCTCTTATGATTTCTACTTACTTGGGGTCAGCCCTAGCTCATCTAGTATGTAAAGAAAAACACCCTGCTTCCTCTGGACAGTTGAGCCTCCGCTATGGAGCATGGCTGTGCAAGCAGAATAAGGGCTGGCTTTCAGCTCCACTTGCCCCTTTGGTCTGGCATCCTTGTTCAGTGAACAACTTGCACACTTATGTGTGGTAACCTTGCTCCCAAATATCAATTGACCTAGAACACATACCATGTTTCATGTAAGTAATTTGAGTCGTTCTCAAATTACTTACAGAAGGTCACACAGATAGTAACAGAGCCAAGATTTGAACCTAGGTTTGCATGGCTCGGGACCCCAATCCTTAACACTACACTCTACTCCCTTTGTAATAACAAGGTATAATTAAAATTCAAGCAATTTAAGGTAAAATAATAAAAATGTCAGTTACATATCTGAATAAGGAGAAAACACCTCTCTCTAAATCTCATTATGAACTCTTTTGAATTGCCAAAATAAAGGTCATCATTGTAAGTAATCATAACACATTGACATCTTACAGAGACTAAAAGGAATTCATAGAGCCTGCCTAGTGATGGACAGTGATTACAGTTTACGCTAGTTTCTAATGCAGGATTCAAATAGCTTTTTTTCTGCCATCATTGAGAAACTCAGTTGAATTGATCTTTAGTCCCTGAGTTAAGTACTTCTGTATGTCATCATCTTGGCCCCTGCATTGATTAAGACAGATATAAATCCTCCATGTGAGCTGTGTCTTAACTCTAGATCCAGGAAGGACAATGAGAGTACAAAATGAGCCGCTTGAATTGCAGAAATTTTTTTTTTACACCTTACCTCTTCATCACAACTAATTCTGACACTGAATTATTAAATAAGCTTTGAGGATATGAAGAAACGAGCCTCGGAAATTTTTTTTACATCCTAATTTCCAACCCAAGATCAAAGAAGCTTACTCAGCCAGAAAATAGTCAGATTGCTGGGACTATGTTTTAAAGTAATTCTCCATCTGGTCTGCTTTTGAAGGAGCAGTGAATTAATCACATGGAAGTGTAAGTTAACAGGAAGTATAAAGCTATCCACAAACAAACAAATAAATGAACACGCAAAACAAAAAAATCCACTTTATACACAAAATAGAAAGCAAAAGAATGGAGGTAACTGTAAGCAACTCCGTACCCTAAAACATCTTTTTTACATAAAATGGAAAATTTTAGAAAATGGAGTTTACCTTTTCTCGTGAAAATAGAGAATGATGTTTGCCAAATATTGTCAGTTCTCTACCCACTTGATATGTGACAAGATTGTACTTTCATTCTTGTGTAGTTGGGTAGATCCAGGTAACTAAATTGCACCAATGAAATCTGCTCAGAAGTGATCTGTGTTATTTGGGGGCTGAGCATTTAATTGAGTATGACTGAACTTGCAAAGCTCACATTTTACTCTAGCAAAGGACTGGCAATAACGTTTTCAATACTGGCTGATTCATCACTCTGAGTCCCTGTGTGGCTATAATGAGTAGGCCCTTACGGCCAACCCAAGATATTTAAGCACTAAAATATATGTTACTATAACTTTTACTGATAATATCTTTAATGAGTACTGTGCACACAAATCTAGTGCTGGCCAGATACAAAGATAAATATGTTGTAGTCTGGATTGCCAAGGCTGCTGGATATACCTTAAACTTTAGACCACTGACTTCAAATGCAAGGTTAAGTGGCTCCTATATTCATGGCATAATGTCACAGTTATTCAATGTAATTCTACTTTTATGTTTAAAAAATGTGAATGAATACATTACATAATGGAAGGAAATGCGCTAAAATTTAAATATGGACTTTACCGGGAAGTGACTTTTACTTTCTTCTACATTTGTTTTACCAGTTTTCTGTAATATTTATAAAAGCATGAATTACTTTTGTGATAAAAATTAAATTTTGGCTACACAAAAAGTAAACTTAAAAAAAGTTGATATCAGTTCTATTTTTTAGAATTTATGTAATTTTACTGAAGTATATAGATGTAGTATAATTCTCATTCCGGATTGTAGGACTAATCTTTCTAAACAAATCAGTCATATATAACATACTTTTTTAGTATCAACCTCACCCTATCCCATCTAGCTGCCAAAAGTGTTTTGTATTTCATTGTTTCAAAAGTGTTCTGGTGAGCAAAATCATGTACATGGAATACCTCACCAAACTCTGTCTTAGCAAGGCTGATTTCTTTCAGGTATGCTGCACAAATACACTTTTATGGCTCTTCACTTCATGCAGTCATCTTCAAGGACTTAGTATTTACTATGACCTCTTTCTCCTGTAAATATGGAAAATCCACTTCAGTTCCCACTGTCATTTTCAGTGATTTTAATAAATTACAAAAGTCTTATAAGACTCTTCCACCCATATCTTCCCCCAGTTCCCCACACTTTGCATTTCCTATTGCCTCTGGGCCTGAAGTTTCATTCATTTGAAAACTATTCTTGGAAAGATCTCCCCTCCTCCAGCTGTTAATCTGTCATTAAGGGACCATAAGTAATTCAGATATACTACACTATTATGCAACCTCAACAGAGTGGGAAAAATCATTTGCTTCACTGTCAATGTAAAAACTTTTATCTTCTTTGACAGTTTTATTTAGAAAACCTCAGCTTTATTTTAATTTGATTCTAATGATGGCTTTCAGAAAATGATTTGAGTAAGTAAAAGTTTAGTGCAATGACAGCTGTCATGATTTCTGTGGTGCTTTCTCTCAAGGAGTATTTATTGAAAAGATGCATTTGAAATACAATGCATCATTTTTGGCACAGTGGATGGAAGTTAATTATTCAGAGCTGGTAATGTGGTAGTATTTACTCAGTGGGGAATTTAAGTAAGAAAGGTCCATTTGTTTTATCTTCTCTCATTCCTAGCCAATGCTTCCTTGAGCAAAACTGAGATTCACAGAAATCCCCATGGCATTTGAACGTACAGTAATTGCTGTTGATTGTCCTTACAAGGTAAAATGGCCATCACATTTTCTAATAATAAAAATGATGACTTGAAATTAATTCAGAGTGCAGTGGGTAATGAATGGATTTTTTTAGTTCAGTTTTTATGTGGGCTGCTGTGTGGAAATGAAGGGTAGAGGTATTTATAACAATCTGAAGCTGCTTTATTTTGGAAGTATATTAATGGAATTAAGCATAATTATGACTCTCACTAAATTTTCAAACTTATTTTCATGTAGTGGGGAATACTAACCACATATGACCTTGTAAGTCTGTAATGAATTTATCCTTGGTTGGTGGTGGTTAAGACACAGAGACCCAAGTCTTCATTCCAAAAATAATTTTGTAATACTTCCAAATAAGAAGTATTTAAATCAGCTTTCCACAAAGCCCAAATAATGG
The DNA here is from genome assembly GCF_000001405.40 of Homo sapiens. Lineage (NCBI taxonomy): Eukaryota > Metazoa > Chordata > Mammalia > Primates > Hominidae > Homo > Homo sapiens. Next base: position 178,101,907 of record NC_000003.12, read on the forward strand.
ACTAACTCAACAATGGCAGTTCATGTAGGTATCAGTAATTTTTCTGTAGAATATCTTGCCTTATAGAAATAAGGGCAAAATACTGAGAGCTGAAGAAGCGAAACTATGGATATCTGCATATCTTCAGTCTTAAAAGATGTATATGTAAGCAACCTGAAAAATCCATCACTGTACAACTACTAAATTAATAACACTTTAAATGATTTTAAGACTGCATTGTGGTTTCAAAGGAACAGCTAGTTAAGGTTAGCTCAGGAATGAACATTTAATATAAAATGTGTGGTGGATTTTTTTCTCTTAAGGCTTATTTTATTTCAGAATTATAATGATATAAAATGACTAACAAGTAAAATATAAGTCAAAGAGAAACAGTCCTTTGCTTGCTTTGTTTGGCTGGATGCAGAGAGGGGTGGGAAAGTGCTGCTTTGCAACTCTTGAAGAGAAAGCCTTTCAGAAGAGTGTCTTCAGATATCACAGAAGGATTTGTTTCAAATAGTTACTTGCGGCAATGCATTGTCTCTGGGGAAGCTGACATATTCCAATAAGAGATGACACTAAACGTTAGACTTTATATTTTGTGATTTTTTTATTAGGAATTAAGTGAAAGGGAGAAAGTTCTTTTCTTTTTTTATTTCTTCTTTTTTCCAGATTGCATCTTTATGCTGTTTCTCAGCCTTCACTGATGAAAAAACACATTAGTAAGAGGATTATGTTTACCATTCTACCCTAATTAATTTAAATGGAAAAGTTCAAACTAAGCAATGAAGCTTTTCTAAATCTGAAAATGTTCCCAATCTAAAGATCCAGAGGCCCAAATATATAAGCTCTGTCTGCATAATTTAGGCAGGACGGTAAACACAGCTTTGAGAAATTTTAAGCCATGCTTTCTAGACAGCATTAGCTTTTATCCTCACTAGAAGAAATCTTATAATACCTTGCTGAATTGTTCCATTGTGTTTAAACAAAAAACACACAGATTTGGCAAATGATAAAAAGGACACTAATTTCAAAATATCTAAAAGAAGACAATTCACTACTTAATAGAAAGTTGTACATTGGGCTACCATCTAATTCATGTAGATAAGTATTTTGTTAGTTAACACTTGTCTAAGTTTATTCAAGAAACATCTAATAGGCTGGATGGCATTCCAGAATAGTAATCCTGAAAAACAGGTACTTTGATGTCTGCTATAATTCACATGTTTGTTTGTTTAACTGCTTGCATTTAATCTTTTTTTGGTATGTGTTTCTATTTGGCTTGGATATGGGTAACTTATAATTGTACCATATGTCCCTCCTACACAGGAAAAATAGGCTCTACAAAGTCAGTCCTCTGGACCTCAGTAGCAGACTTTGGATAGAGTGAGAGGGATGAGGGAGAAACATTCCTTCTCTATGCACAGGCACGGTGATGTTACCCAGCTGGTCCACTCAGACATCACGGACACACACCAGTTCCCCAGCTGGGCATTTCCAGGGTCAGAGCCAGCAGACATGGAAATAAGAAAGACTTGTTACCTATCCAGTCCTTTGGAACCAATTCTATATTTACATACACAGCAAGGTCAAGCAATCATAATATTTTGATTTCTTCTGGGGTATATTTAAATATTACTCAGGTGTCCTAAGAGCCTACTTAAATACTTCCAAATTTTTCAGTCCCATTTGCCTTTGTTTGTAATGGTTCAGAATTTGTTTTCAATTAGTTCAGAAGGTGAAAAATCTAGTTTGGAATTTAATCAAGTGTATAGGGACTATTGAGCTACTCACTGCCAACGTATATGTTATTAAAACCACAAACTAAAAGTGCTTGTTGGAAGAGGCATCATTAAATAAAAGTTATTTTTTAATGTTTAAATAAAACTCCTTGGAATAATATCTTTGAGGCAATGCAGAATCCATTGTAATCTTAACAATTCTCTGCCCAACCGTGAAGGACATTTTCTTTCTTTTACACAATTAGACTAAAATGAAGAAATATAATAAGAATTGTTAAGATTTATTTAGCAGACACTATATATACATTACTTAATTTAATTCTAATAATAAGCATATAACACTCCTTTTATCCTTTTATTGTAGGCCAACAAACTGAGTCTTAAGGAAATGTTTGAATTATAGTCTGCCTGGCTCCAAATCCTGAGCTTTTAAACAATTTACTGCATGAGATTTTATACAAAGAAATATTCTGCTAAATATCCAAGTCATTCCATCTCTTCCTCCCTCAGCTCTCTCCACGTCTGGTAACAGGTTTAACATTTGTACTTTCTTTTTCAATTTGCTACTTAAATAGGTAACAATACCATAAGGTGATTAAGATCATGGTGCTTGGAGTTTATTTAAGCCTGAGTTTTAATTCCATCTCCTCCTCTTACAGACTTTGACCTACGGCAAGTTACTTAATTTTTCTGAGTATCAGCTACATTTATTTATTTATTTATTATTTATTTATTTTTGAGACAGGGTCTCATTTTGTCGCCCAGGCTGGGAGGCAGTGGTGCAATCACAGCTCATTAGCTACAACTACAGGCACCTGACACCATATCCAGCTACTTTTTTTTGTTTTTTGTAGAGATGGTGTCTCACTATATTGCCCGTTAGTCTCAAACTCCTGGCCTCAAGAAGTCCTCCTGTCTCAGCCTCCCAAAGTACTGGGATTACAGGTGTGAGCCACCATGCCCCACCCTAAGCATTAATTTTTTGGTCCATAAAAAGGAAGATGACAATTCTTATCTTCTATGGTTGTTTTCAAGGTTAGTTGAGATAATGTATGCAAAGCATTTAGCATAGTGCCTTGTACGTAATAAACCCTGGATAAATGGTAGCCAGTTTTGTTAATACCATATAATTTAAATATTGCTGTGTGTTATAACTCCAATAACACCCTATTTCTATTGTCATCACATTTAATTTGACTCCCATGCCTAGGCTGGAACTCATATCTGTATTCCAAGCCTTCATTTCTCAATGCCAAGAGGTTAGCTCCAAGTGGCTGGAACAAGCCATGCACATTTAAGATGTGCAGAACTAATCCCAGTAAATCGGAATCAATGACACCCACAGTCCACCCACTAAGGGCACAAGTCCTAGCAGTCACTTAAGACTCCTCACTATCTTTAAACCCCACTCATGAGCAGTTACCCTATTCATTCTATCTCCCAATGCTTACTTTATACCATTGCTACAACTTTGGGTCAGACACCAGACTTCTTTTCTCTGCTCTATTCTTTCCTCTTGACTTGTAATCCTGCCTCTAATCCCAGCTCTGCCAGGAGACAGAGAACAATTGTATGTATTTAATTCTATCACTCCTTCTTATAATGGCTCTCTAGTCTATCTAGCAGGGACTCCTGTGGACTGCACACATTTCATGGAATGCACAAAAGAACTCACTGGAAGTTAAGAAAAAAGCATTAGAATTTTCTTTTTGTTTCATAATTTTATTATTTCTAAAATATTTTCATATATGTCTGTAATGCATATGTTTTATAATGTACCTGATATAGTAGTAAAATAGATACATATGTGGTAGTTAATTTTATGTGTTAAATTTGCCTAGGCTACAGTACCCAAATATTTGGTCAAATGCATCTGGATGTTACTGTGAAGGTATTTTTTAGATGAGATTAACTTGAAATTCATAGACTTGCATTAAAGCAGATTACCCTCAATAACGTGGGTAGGCCTCATCTAATCAGTTGAAGTGCATGAGAAAAAGACTGACTTCCTCCGGGACAGAGAACTCTTTGAGCAGACTGCCTTCACAGTCCTGATGTAAAATCAACTCTTCCCTCAGTCTCCAGGCTTCTGGGCTGTCCTGTAATTTCAGACTTGCTAGCCTCCACAATCATGTGAGCCAATTCCCTAAAATAAATCTAACTTGCTCTCTTTCTCACTTTCTTGAATATATGTTCATTCTATTGGTTCTATTTTTCTGGAGAACCCTGGAGTATTACAACATATTTTACAGAAACACATGTAACATGCTCAAAAGATTTTCAAAAAAATTTTAATCTCTGCTCAATAATTTTATGAATGGGTAGCATGTCAAAATAAATCTCATTCGCTCTCTTTCTTACTTTCTTGAATATATGTTCATTCTATTGGTTCTATTTTTCCGGAGAACCCTGACTATTACAACATATTTTATAGAAATACATGTAACAGGCTCCAAAGGTTTTCAAAAAAAGTTTAATCTGTGCTCAATAATTTTATGAATAAGTAGCATGTCCCCAAAGTTTGGAGACTAGCAGTCTCTATGACAAAGTCTAAACTCCTAAGTGTGAGGGACCCTCATGAGCTGACCCTTGCCTGGTTCCCTAGTCTCCTGGGCTGCCATGCCACCACACATACCAAGCACTTACCATTCAAAAGTGTTTGTGGCTCTTGGAATCCAACAGATTCGTGAACATTTTTGCATTTGCTAGCATTTCACTCTGCCCATAATTCTACCCCCAAACTTCTACTGCTGCATTTGTCTTATAAACTATTAAACTTTCTTTGGACTCAGTTCATGTGTCCCCTCTTCTGAGAAACTATTTATATCCCCTAGACATATTTAGGTTCTCTTTTCTATTTCTAAGTGCTCATTATAGATCTAATTATGTCAATTATCCTATTATTTTGTAACTATTTATTGGTATGTCTTTTCATTAAACTGTGGCATTCTTAAGAAGAGATTGTTTTCTTGTATGTTTTTATATTTCCAAAACTGAACAGTTCTACAAATCCAAACCCTTGAGTTTACACATGAGGACAACTAAGACCCAGAGGGATAACTTGCCCCAAATCACAAAGCCAGGAAGAGGCAGAGCCAGAAAGAGAATACAATTTGTTTTTCATGTTGTCCAGAACTCTTTTCACTACTCCATATGGTTGAGTGGGATGTATCGCAAGTGCACATACATGTTTTCTGAGTATCTGCATGTTCCTAAAACACAAACATAGGCAGAATGGAATATGTAATCACAAACCAGTCAATACTCAGGAGAAAATGGTGAAAACCTAACTGTGATTTTGTTCACCATCAGATAAACAGCTGTTACAATTTCTTACCCCATGCTTCCAAAAACATAGGAGACTTTATGGACAAATTGATCTTTTTAGACACTGATCTTGCCACTTGGATATGCTATTTTCAAAGAATGGCACCAATAAGTGACATCTGATTAATTTTTAAAGCATAATTTCTCTTTTCACCATTACTGTTTTGAGCAACAAGAAGAATCCTGTGGAAATGTTTAAAGAATATATACCAACAACTACAATTTACCTAACTTTACCTAACTCCAAAGCAAACTTAGGTCCATCATTCATTCATTAGGTCCATCATTCATTCATTAGGTCCATCATTCATTCATTCATTCATTTTCTCACAGAGCCTCAATAATACTATATCTCAAGCCATTTTCTCAAACCGAATATCTAATAGCTTTCTGGATATTTCTACATGGTGGATTGGCATGGTTTTGAAATAATCATGCCCAGAGCTAAACTCATTTCCTTTTCTCAAATATAGTTTTCTCCTGTTTTTGTTTGGTATTTTGAATCACCATGGGTGGATCGCTGTATAATATATACCCAGATACTCAATTTTGAATAAAAGTGATGAATTACTGTATAATATGTGCCCAGATACTCAATTTTGCATAAAGGAAACCTCACCTCAGTTCAGGTCATCATCAACTAGTTTCTTTTAACTGAGTGAATGTCTGTCTGAACAAATGAAACTAACCCATTTTGTTTCTACCTCCAATATAGACTTCCCTTCACAATAAGTTTTCTACTTCTAAAAGTGGCACCATTATTCTCTCAGATTATCAAGGAAATTTTTGAAATTAGTTTTCCTACCAGGATTAGACTTAAGCCCCAGTCCCTCCTACACGTCCATATACATTGTCCCTCATACCTTTTTCTGATTGAATCTAATATCTTGCTGTGAATTCTGTCAGTGGTTTGCTCATCATGACTCAAAAGTATTGACAAAGTCCCTCTGCCTATGTTATTTGATATGGAATCTTCTATCCCTTCTGACCGAGAAGCTACCTGTCTGGCTACCTCTTCTAATTATTCTGCTCATCATTTGAGGGAGAAATTGCTAATGTGATTAGTCAGAGCTTAACCACATTTATGATGAGCATGGTTATTCTGTTCTAAAGATTAGTATGTATAAGAGGTATTTCTTTTTGTACTCATTTCTCCCACGTGATAAGTATACCCCCAAACAGGGCATGGATTTGAGGTAGGTCTGGCCAGGTATCTCTGTTCTTATGTTACCTCTTCCATGCTAACAAATAAGTGATGACTTAAGCTTTGGTCTACTCTGCAGACAGAGTCACTGCAAATAGAAGAAGGAATCAGTAATTTTGCTTTAAGTTATATATGTCAGTTCAGTTTAACAAAGATTCTGTATGTTGAATTTGAAGCACTGATTCAGCTATTATAGACACAATTTTTCACATTTGATGAAAAATGCTAACATGAGTTTAAGAAGTTAAACAAAAACTCATTTAAGATAGCTCAAAGTAAAGCACGTCAAGGCATGTCATAATCAAATTTCTGAAATGCAATGATATAACAGAAAATCTTAAATAACCTAGGGAAAAAAACATTAAACATAAGGGTCCAATGATTCAAATAAGGGCTAAATTTTTATGTGAAACCATGGAGGTCAGGAGACAAGGGGATGACATTTTTAAAGTGCTAAAAGAAAAACTGTCAACCTATAATTTTATATGTAATGAAAATATTTCTCAGATCTGAAGGCAAAACAAAGTCATTTTCAGACAAATAAAGGATGAGAGATCTGTTGATAGTAGGTGAATATTAAAAGAAATGTTAAAGAACATTTTGTGGGGAGAAGAATAGATATAGTAGATGCAAATTTGGATCTACACAAAGAACTACTGAGATCTGCAAATGATAAGTGTGTGAATAAATACAGTTTTTAAAAATTTTTTAACTTTTAAAAAAGATAATTTAACTTCTTAAAACAAAAATAACAATATATTGTGGCTTTAAATACATATGAAAGTAAATTGTGTGCAATGAAAGCACAGAAAAGGCGGGATAGGTAATGAAACCATATTGTTGTAAAGTTTATATATTATATTTGAAGTGGCACCATATTATTTTAAGATATAATGTGATAAAGATACATATAAATTGTAGAGAAAACACATATACACACAACAAGCAAAGCAAAACAAAGAGTTGTGACTAATATACAAATGAAAAAGTGGAGGAGAATACTGAAAAATATTCAATTAACACAAAATAAAGCTGTAAAAGAAGGGAGATATCAAAGAACATATGCATACATAGAAAACCAGTAGCAAAATGGCAGGCTTAAACCAATCAGACCAACAATTGCATTAAATGTAAATAAACTAGGGCCTCTTCTGTAATGACTGAGTAGTGCACAGAGGATGATGCCCTGTCACAGATAACAAATATAAGTTCTAGACACAATGCAAACCAAACAAATAAACAATCAACAAGCAGTGATTGATGGCAACAAAGAGCTAACAACAAACGTAGCCAGATTCTGGAGGGAAGCAGACTCTTGGAAAAAGGCAACAGCACAAGATGAGTTACCAGGTCTTACACCTTTTATTCTGAGGGCTAGTGAAATTTGGCAACATGTGGGGATTAAATTTTTAATTGAAAAGTTTATAGTCTTTCTAATCTGAAGAACTATAGGTCAGAGTTTTTGGAAATCACAGCTGCATAAAAGAAGTGTGTATACTGATTAGGCGAGGAAGGGATGAGAGCCCTGATTCCTTTGTGTAAACTCAACCCAAATGTCTGACTTATCTTTGAAACATACATGTGTGGGACAGACTACAGCTAAGGATAAAAAACTGTGCTAAGAGTTGAGCTGCTAACAGGAAAAAGAGTTTGCAGTTTAAGACCAACTAGGAATTTCCAGAATCCAGAGTCTCCACAACATAACATTCAAATGTCCGAGATATAAATTACTCAATTTATGAGGTGCTGGAAAAGGTACTCATTAGTGTAATAAAATAGCAATCAAAGAAGACCAACACTGAGATGATCCAGTTCTTAGGATTAATGTGCATGGATTTCAAAGCAGTATTATAATAATTAACCTCAAGGATGAAATAATGTATGCCCACAATAACTCAAAAGAAACGACAGCTCATCAGAGGAAAAAAATGTAAAAAACAACCAAATGGGAATTGTAAAGCCGAAAAATATAATACATTAAAACAATTTCACTGAGTGAGATGATCAGTAAGAAGGAAATGACAGAGAAAAGAGGCACTAAATTTGAAAAGAGATCAACAGACTTATACATTTTGAAGCCTAAAAAAAAAAAAATGTAAAGAACAGACCTTCTCAGACTATGGGGCGGCGGGGGGGGAAAAGACTGTCAGAAGTAAGAGAGAGTGAGAAGAGGACAGAGAAAATATTTGAGGAAATAATGGCTGAAAATACCCCAAATTTTGTAAAAGAAAATAATTTACAGATCCAAAAACGTATCAAGCTTTTGGAGCATGAAAAGTACAAAGTACAAACTACAAAATATAATGTACAAAGCAGGAAAAGTACAAAATATAATGACAAGAGACTATAATAGAGTCAAACTTCTAAAAACCTGAGATAAAAGGAAAAATCTTGAAGCAGCCAAAGAAAAATGACACCTTATAGAGCAAACAATAAGTTAAAAAAAAAATGAAGGCAAGAGGCAGTAGGAAAACATCTTCAAAATACTTAAAAAAAAGTCTATCCCCAATTTAAAATTTTTTTTTAGAGACGGGGTCACCTTATGTTGCCAAGGCTGGTTATGAATTCTTGGGCTCAAATCATCCTCCTGCCTCAGCCTCTCCAGTAGCGGGGACTACAGGTGTGTGCCACCATAGCCAGCCACAAATTCTATGTCCAACAAAATGCTTTTCAAGAAACAATTAAAAAAACATATGTTCATCGAGGGGAAATAGAACTTACCCTCAGTATAGCTGCACTATAAGACATACTAAACGAAGCTCTTCATGAAGAAGTAAAATAATACAAAAGGAAAACTCAGGTTTTCAGAGAAGAATTATGATTATAAAAATGTTAAACATATGGATAAATAAAAAAGACTATTTTTATCTTAATTTTAAACAATACCTAGGACTGACTAAAGCAAAAATTATAACATTCTAGTGTATGTAATGGATTTAGATGGAATGCGTAAGACAACTACAGTGTAAGGGAATTGGGAGAGGTAAATGAATCTATAATGTTGCAAGGTGTATAGATTTTTCAAGAACTAGTACAATATTTACTCTAGGTAAACTTTGAAAAGCCAAGGATACATCCTGAAATTCCTAGAACATCCAATAAAATTAATAAAAAGAGTTATAGCTAAAAAGGCAATAGGTAATTAAAATTACTTTCCAAAATATAAATAGGCTATATACTCTACTTACAGGACAGATTGTCAGGTGAAATAAAGATGGTAAACACAAAATTTTTCAGTGTGTGAGTTACACGTAAATATAAATAGTTAGCTGGGTGCAGTGGCTTACGTTTGTAATCCCAGCACTTGGGGGGTCGAGGTGGGTGGATCACCTGAGATCAGGAATTTGAGACCGGGCTAGCCAATATGGCAAAATCCATCGCTATTAAAAATACAAAATTAGCCGGGTGTGGTGGCACGTGCCAGTAATCCCAGCTACTCGGGAGGCTGAGGCAGGAGAATTGCTTGAACCTGGGAGGCGGACATTGCAGTGAGCCGAGATCACGCCACTGCACTCTAGCCTAGGGGACAGAGTGCGACTCTGCCTCAAAAAAATATATACATATATATAAAATAAACACACATATGTATATATATTTATATGTTATATAATAATAATATATTATATATTATTCTATTATATATTGTATTAATTGTATATTATATATAAATCATATATTATATTATATATTAAACATATAGTATATTATATATGGTAAACATATATAGTATAATATAATATATTATATTTTATATATAATATAATTATTATATATAATATTCTATATAATTATATATAATAAATATAATATTCTATATAATTATATATAATAATATATTATTCTATATAATTATATATAATAAATATATTATTCTATATAATTATATATAATAATATATTATTCTATATAATAATATATATAATAAATATAATACTATTATACATAATAATAATATTATATATATATAATATTAGTTAGGAGGAATAAATTCTGCAGATCTGTTGTACGAAATTGTGGCCATAGTTAATAATAAAGTATTTTATACTGAAAACTGCTAAGAAAGTATTTCTAAAATGTCCTCACCACAAAAACATAATAAGTATGTGAGTTGATTGACATGGTTTGGATATTTGTCCCCTCCAAATCTCATGTTGAAATTTGATCCCAGTGTTGGAGGCGGAGCCTGGTAGGAGGTGTTTGAGTCATCAGGGCAGGTCTCTCAGGAGTGGCTTGGTGTCCTCCTGGGGTAATGAGTGAGTTCTCTTTCTACTAGTTTTTTCGAGATCTGTTTGTTTAAAACAGCCGGTCGTCTCCTCCACCGTCTTGCTCCCTCTCTTGCCATGTGATACTTGGACTCTCCCTTTGCCATCCACCATGATCGAAAGCTTCCTGAGGCTTCACCAGGAGCAGACGCCAACCCAGGCTTCCTGTACAGCCTGCAGAGCTATGGGCCAAATAAATATCTTTTCTTTCTTTTTCTTTTCTTTTTTTTTTTTTTTTTTTTGTTTGAGACAAGGTCTTGCTCTGTCAACCAGGCTGGAGTGCAGTGGCATGATCTTGGCTTACTGCAACCTCCACCTCCTGGGCTCAAGCAATTCTCCTGCTTCAGCCTCCTGAGTAGCTGGGACTACAGGTGTGCACCATCATGCTTGGCTAATTTTTCTATTTTCTGTAGAGGCAGGGATTTGCCATGTTGGCTAGGCTGGTCATGAACTGGGTTCAAGGGATCTGACTGCCTTGGCCTCCCAAAGTGCTGGGATTATAGGCATGAGTCACCACTCTGCTCCTGGCCATCTCTTTTCTTTATAAATTACTCTGCCTCAGATATTCCTTATAGCAATGCAAAACTAACACAGTGATGGATATATGTTAATCAGCTTGATTTAATCATTCCACTGTATATATGGCAATAGATAATATATAAACATCATATTGTGCCTTATAAATGTATACAATTATTTATCAATTGAAAACAAATAAATAAAAAATTTTTAAATAAAATTAAATAAAAATTTATTTTTTTAAATAAATTTTTAAATAAAATTAAATAAAAAATTTATTTTTATTTTAAATAAAATTAATAAAAATTTATTTTTTATTTAATTTTAAATAAAATTAATAAAAATTTATTTTTTATTTAATTTTAAATAAAAAAATTTAATTTAATAAATATTTAAAATAAAAATTTAAAAGTACCATGCAAATACCAATTATAAGAAAGGTAGAGTGGCTATATTAATATATCATGGAATGAAGATTTCTGGGAAATGAGTATTATCAGAAATAAAGAGGAATATTTAATAATAATTTAAAAAATGGTTCATAAAGAAGTCCTAACAATAATACATGCATATATACCTAATAGTATAGTTTCAAAATAATTGAAGCAAATATTGACAGACAGTAGAGAAACAGACAAATCTATAGTTACAGTAGGAGATTCTAAAACTAATCTCTCGGTAAATGACAGACCAACCTGAGAGAAAATCAGTAAGGATATAAACAACTTGAAAACTGTATCAACCAACTTGGTCGAATTGATATTTATGGAGCACTGCAGCTAACGGCCTGCAGAATTTGAATTCCTTTCAAATTCACACAAGACATTCTCTAGGACAGGACATATCCTGGGTCATTTAAAAGGTTTGAATTCCAAAGGTTGATATTATACTGAGCATGTTCTCATATCACTGTAGAATTAAAGAATCGATAAAACAGAAAAATAGAAAAGCCTCAAATATTTGAAAATTAAGTAACCCAGGTCTAAGCAATCTATGGGTTAAAGAAGAAATTACAAAGAAAACTACAAAATATTTTAATATGAAAGAAATGATGAAAAATTGTGATTTGTGAAATGCAGTTAAAATAGTGCTTCGCAGGGAGTTTATAGCTCTATGTGCTTATTTTAGAAAAGAAGCAGGGTTAAAATCGATGATCTAACTTTCTAACCTAAAAAGTTGAAAAAAAAATCAGATTCAAGCCAAGGAAAGTAGAACAATGAAAAAAATAAAGATAGGAGCATAAATTAATGAAATAAATTTCAGAGAAAGAAACCCAATGTGGCTCTTTGAAAAGATTACATTAAAATTGATTAACTCTCTCAGTATATTGATTATCAATATCAGGAATGAAAGTGCGGATGCTAGTGTAGATCTTACAAGTATTATAATGATAAAAAGAAATATTAGAGATGATTTGAGCCAGTAAGTTCAACAATTTTGATGAACAAATTCCTTGGGAGAAAAATAAAAAACTGATTTTTCAAAATAGAAAATTTAAATTGCCAAATATCTACTAACGAAATATAACTAGTAATTAAAAACAGTACCTAAAATATAATTAAAGCAATGGAGTAAAATGGACGTTTCAGAAAAAAACTTAACGTTTTTCATGAAATAAGTTTCAACTAAGCCTCCAAATTGAAATGATGGGAAAAAGGAGCATCTTTCAACAAATGGTGGTGGGACAACTGGATAGCCACATGGGGGAGAAACCTTGCCTCATCTCTCTCCCCATATACATAATTTAACTTAAGATGGATCTCAGAACTAAAAATAAAAGCTAAAACTATATAGCTTCCAGAAGAAAAAAATTGAATATCTTCAATACCTTGAGATACACAAATATTTCTTAGGATATAAAAAGCAAAATCCAGCTGGGCACAGTGACTCACGGCTGTAATGTCAACACTTTGGGAGGCCGAGGAGGGCGGATCACGAGGTCAGGAGATTGAGACCATCCTGGCCAATATGGTGAAACCCCGTCTCCACTAAAAATACAAAATTAGCGGCCGGGCGCGGTGGCTCACGCCTGTAATCCCAGCACTTTGGGAGGCCGAGGCGGGCGGATCACGAGGTCAGGAGATCGAGACCATCCTGGCTAACACGGTGAAACCCCGTCTCTACTAAAAATACAAAAAATTAGCCGGGCGTGGTAGCGGGCGCCTGTAGTCCCAGCTACTCGGGAGGCTGAGGCAGGAGAATGGCGTGAACCCGGGAGGCGGAGCTTGCAGTGAGCCGAGATCGCGCCAAGGCACTCCAGCCTGGGTGACAGAACGAGACTCCGTCTCAAAAAAAAAAAAAAAAAAAAAAATACAAAATTAGCTAGGCGTGGTGGCACGTGCCTGTAATCCCAGCTACTCAGGAGGCTGAGGCAGGAGAATCGCTTGAACCAGGGAGTTGGAGGTTGCAGTGAGCAGAGATCATGCCACTGTACTCCGCCTGGCAACAGACAGCCAGACTCCGTCTCAAAAAAAAAAAAAAAAAAAAAAGGAAAACCATGAAAGAAAAATTGTTACATGATCAAAATTAAATTTGTATGCTAATTAAAAGACCCTGTTCCATAATTAGATAAGCCACAGATTGAAAGATAATATTGTAATGCATTGTAATGCATATATCTGACAAAGGACTTATATCCAAAATACAACAAAAACTTCTACAACTTAATAAACATAAAGACAACTAGTCATGTCAAAACATGAGCAACACATTTGTGGTTCCCTTCAGGAAAGGATAGTGAATTTATTGACTGGGAGAGGACAGCAGAATTTCTCTAGGGTATTAAAGTGTGCTGTATCTTGATCTAGGTGTAGACCACGGTGGGGTATGCTCTTGTCAGAACTTATCAAATGGTGCACTTAAGATCCGGTGTCTCTCTTTTTGTGAATTGTATCTCAATGGAAAAAAATAAGTGTTACTTTAATTTTCAAATTTGCTACAATACCAATCCTGTAATAATTTCCTCATATCATGACAATTAATAATCACGAGTCAAATGATTTAATAAAAATGCCGCTCATTTAAAAACACTTGAATGTGACAATATGTCCTTAAATCTAGAAAGCTGATTTGCTATAGGATATGTGGGAAACAAATCTGTCCTCTGAGCTCACTTTATGGTAAATATCATTTTGCTGCTATTAATGGAAGTGTTTTTTTTTCATTTATAAAGCAAAAGAATATATACCCATTAATTTTTCACTTGCTAATGCAATAATAAAGCAGCATTTTAAGATGATGAAAAATGATTCTTCAGGCAGCATGATATAGCAAAAAGAACAATGGACTGAAGTCAGGAGGTCTGTTCTGTGTTCTTGGCATTGCCACTTCGTAACTGTGTATTGAACCCTGGAAAAGTCCCAGCATCTCTGGCCTTCCTCTCCCTCATCTGCAAAATGAAGTCATTGAACTGCATGACCTCTGAGACCCTTCCTGCCTCTAACTTTTTACAATCTATGATCCATGCCTTGAACTATGACTGCAGGTGTCCTCTCTTTTGACATTTCAATATGCCGAGGCACTTACACTTATTTTCATTCATTCTATTACTATGCAAAGATCCAATTCAGGAAGCTATTTTAAAAATATGGGAAAATTTAATTAATTTTAGTTGATATTTATGATTCTGTTAGCACATTATTTGTTATTAAGGTCACATAAAGAACTAATCATTTCTACTCTTATTCCAGAGGCATAGTGTGTATTACAATAACATAAATCATATTAATGTGAATGTGAGATTAATTTCAAAAAGAGACAAATTACATGCTTTGCTTAGTATTTACATATTGGATGTTATGAATTTATTCTTATTCATGGTAATAACATTAATTACAATAAATTTGTTTTATATTCATGTAAATGTCACACACTTCTGGAATTTGGCATCTATAATACATGAATAAATGGCCACTAGCTTTTTACTCTCGTATTTCAGATGTAGTTACTCAAATGAATAGTCACAAAATTAACAAGCTATGAAACCAGAAAAAAAAAACCTGATAGTTGAATTTTATTGATTTTTGTCACAATATCAAAATATATAATTTCTTACCTCTGGCACTTATTTAGTAATTTTATGTAATGAATTATTTATTAACAGCCAGTGGCCTAACTGGGAATTACTTTGATCTAGGTTGAGCACTTGAGGAAGCTGGTTTATGAAGGCTGTGTACTCAGTGAAACCAACATTGCTACTGAAACATAGTCTGGCTCTGTGTTTATTTCCCTTCACCTCTACTAATCTTGATGAGAGATAATGTGATACAATACAAAGAATTAAAATCGAAGAGTCAAGACACCAGAAAACCTGGGTTCAGATTTCAGTTGTACCACTTAAAATAGGCGTATCTTAAGCAAGTTTCTCAGCTTATGTAGATCTGTAAAACAGAGAAACTATTTAAATGTAATTCAATTTATAAATATACCTGGAACCCTCTAGGCAATTAATATTAATTGGATATGGATTTGCATCCTATGCCTTCCGTCTAACTCCTACTTTCCTTTTCTTAATCCTTTTAATTCACAATTGCTTTGTTAGATAAAAATCTCTTTCTCTGTTGTGTCCCTCCATGTTCTCATTAATTTCCTATCCAGACCGGCCATCTACATTTTTACTCTGTCAGCTAGGCTCCCAGCTCCTTAACAGTGGGGTCCAGTGACTCCCGCCACTCAGAGCAAACCAACCTATTTTTTCAGCCTCTTCCTGAAGCACTTTAGCTGCCTCACTTTGATGGAAACCTTGCTCTTCCTTAATCACACTGAAATCCTCAAAAACCTGCTGAAGAAAATTCTTTCTTCTCCAACCCTTATTACCACTTAATGAACCCCAGAACCAGCTTTCTCACTGGTGTCCTCTGTTCTCCCACAGCCCATCATTTGTACTACCACTTGGTCCAGCCTCCTGAGTCACTGCTGATATCATTTCCTGGTTTAAAAATCCTTGTTGGCTGGGCACGGTGGCTCATGCCTATAATCCCAGCACTTTGGGAGGCTGAGGTGGGTGGATCACCAGAGGTCAGGAGTTTGACCAACCTGGCCAACATGGTGAAACCCCATCTGTACTAAAAATGCAAAAATTAGCCGGGCATGGTGGCAGGCGCCTGTAGTCCCAGCTACTCAGGACGTTGAGGCAGGAGAATCACTTGAACCTGGGAGGCAGAGGTTGCAGTGAGCTGAGATCACACCACTGCACTCCAGCCTGGGCAACACAGAGCAAGACTCTGTCTCAAAAAAAAGAAAAAAAAAATTCTTATTGACTATTTGGGGCCAAAGATTTGTTATGACAAAGTCTAAGCTTACTTCATGGGCTTTAAAGACCTCTGTTAATCTGGCCCAAATCTATCTTTCTAATCTTAATCACTACATCTGTCTGCAAACCTTTTATTTTAGTGAAACTGAACTGTTGCTTATACATCTCTCTCTGTTCTTCCTAGACATGTTCACATTCTGTCTACTGAGAATGATTTTCATCCTAATCCCACATGTCCAAATAATACCCATTTGCCACATACAAACTCAAGTTCCACTTCTTTCTAAAGTTGTATTGGGTCATTGCGGGAAATCATCTATTTCCATAGTGTGTGGGCTCTGTGCCTCTTGTGGCCATCACACCTTTCTACCATGCATGCTACCAACTTACATACATGTCTTTTTCTCCTCATGTACTCTTTGCAGGACCCATATGTAATTCATCTGCAAATTTCTAAAAGAAAAGCACAATGGTTTGTAGAAAACAAGTTCTTCAATATGTGAGTGAAATGAAGTAGTTTTGTATTATTTAAACAAAACTTTATTTCCATGAATCTTGCTGGAAGAGTATTTGCTGCAGAAAATAGAAATTTATTATTTCTAAAAAAGAACCCTAGTAGAACAAAATTTAGGTGAAAAAAGATTATTTTATTATAAAGAGGTTGTGGTGAGCCGAGATCACACCACTGCACTCCAGCCTGGCGACAGAACGAGACTCCATTTCAAAAAAAAAAAATCTAGTTTTATACAGCTGCTATATTTATTATAAAGGTATAAGGACATCTCAAGAATGTAAGGTCTGGGAATTAGCAGGGTTTCACGGATGGAGTGTAATCAAAGGCTGGTACACTATGGGAAGACTGGGACATCATGTCTCTCCATCCCTCATTTGTGATTATTTCTGAGTGTCTGATGTTGTTTGATCTTTCTCTCTCTCTCCCTGTCTCTGAAAACTAAATTTTTCGCTTTTCAACCCATATTACAGATCTTGATTGCAACAACTTTTGAATTTTCACTTTTTCTATTAAAGAATATCTAGACTGCAACTCAAATCTCTAAGTTACTATTCCACATTCTCAAACAAGGACCCTAATGTACCTGGCAGGAATCAACTGCCCATCTTTCAGCTTGCCACCCTTGAATAGAGAGCAAAATTATACTATCAGACATTTTTGGATACACTAGTGTTTCTTCAAAATGGACATGACTATGGTATGCACCAAGGCTTCCTGTTGCACGCAGGGATGTCTATAATCACTGGCATCCTTTGGTAACAGTAGCTTCTCCAAAAAAGTGTGTGAGTGGCACAGGCTACCCAGTAGGTGCCCTTGCCAGTGGTTTGACTTCTGAAGTAATCTTCAGATTATAAAAAATTATTCTCTAGTTTTAGGCCGGGCACAGTGGCTCACACCTGTAATCCCAGCACTTTGCGAGGTCAAGGCAGGTGGATCATGAGGTCAAAAGATCAAGACCATCCTGGCCAACATGGTGAAACTCCGTCTCTACTAAAAAATACACAAATTAGCTGGGTTTGGTGGCGTGTGCCTTTAGTCCCAGCTACTCAAGAGGCTGAGGCAGGAGAATTGCTTGAACCCTGGAGGCAGAGGTTGCGGTGAGCCGAGATTGCACCACTGCATTCCAGCCTGGTGACAGAGCGAGACACCATCTCAAAAAAAAAAAAAAAAAAAAAAGAAAGTAGTTTTGTACAGCTGCTAGTTCTTCAAAAATATTTTAAGTACTGTGTATTTGCATTTTGTTCCAAATAGGATTCAAGTCAGAGTTATAGTTTTTGATGAAAATTTATGAAATCATTTTGACTCCTTGAGGCTATTTATCTTTGAGATCAGCAAAAGAACACTTTTGAAACTGAACCAGTTTATGAAATAGTTCTTCATCTTAAGATGAAGGTAGAGTCATCCAGTAAGTGTAAAGACACATTTTTCTTCCACAGGCTAGAGAGCAACTGATTCAACACAGCATTTCATGAGTGTGAAAAGAAAGATGAATCATCCTACTTTAAATGCAACTTTTGGCCATTACATCTCAGTTGGTTTGACAACAAGCTTAGAAATCATTTTTTTTTCCCCTAAATCTGTTGGATTCCCTTCTTTGACCAGAAGACAATCAAGTGAGGTGATCAAAGGGGTCATGTGTCAGAGGAAGGGGCAGCTTCTTCCTACATAAGGTAGAAGTATGAGGGAAGAGACTGATAGCACACCCAGGAAGTTCTTTTCCGGAACTGAATGAAATCAAAGGAAGGAAAGCAAGACTCAACTGGTATTAGGTAAAGGACTAGAACCTAGACAGGATCCAGCATTGACAGCTGAGTGGACTGGGAGGGAAGGGGAGTGATATGTTTCTATCTGTGTCCCTACCCAAATCTCATGTTCAATTGTAATCCCCAGTGTTGGAGGTGTGGCCTGGTGGGAGGTGACTGAATCATGAGGGTGGTTTCTCATGGTTTAATACCCTCCCCGCCTTGGTGCTGTCATCATGATAGTGAGTTTTTGTGAGATCTGTTTATATAAAAGTGTATAGCACCTCTCCCCTCTCTATATTGCTCCTGCTCCAACCATGTGAACTGTCTGCTTTCACTTTGCCTTCCACCATGATTGTAAGTTTCCTGAGGCTTCCCCAGAAGCAAAGCAGATGCCAGCATCATGCTTCCTGTATAGCCTGTGGAACCGTGAGCCAATTAAACTTCTTTTCTTTATAAATTACCCAGTCTCAGGTATTTCTCTGTAGCAATTCAAGAACTGCCTAACACAGGGCGTTAGGTAAGAAGGAGACTAGAGGATGAGAGGCAGCGTAACAGATAAGTGGGTGGTTGTCTGTAGACAAACCAAGATTGCTTATATTGTTTATTTACTCAGCTAGAACAGTCTTGCTTTGGTTAGTCAGCATATTTTTTAAAAGGTCTGGAACAGTATTGTGTTAGTCAGAGTTCTCTAAAGGTACAGAATAGGAAAGATGAATATACAAAGGGCAGTTTATTAAGGAGTATTGACTCACATGATCACAAAGTGAAGTCCCACACTAGGCCATCTGCAAGCTGAGGAGCAAGGAAGCCAGTCGGAGTCCCAAAACCTCAAAAGTACGGAAGCCAACAGTGCAGCCTTCAGTATTTGGACCCGAGAGCCTGTGGCAAATCACTGGTGTAAGTCCAAGAGTCCGAAAGCTGAAGAACTTGGAGTCTGATGTTCGAGGGCAGGAAGCACCCAGTATGGAAAGAAAGATGAAGCCAAAAGACTCAGGGAGTCTGCTCATTCCACGTTCTCTGCCTGCTTTATCCTAGCCATGCTTGCAGCTGATTAGATGGTGCCCACCCAGATTGAGGGTGGGTCTGCCTCTCCCAGTCCACTGACTCAGATGTTAATCTTTTTAGGCAACACCCTCACAAACCCACCCAGGAACAATACTTTGCATCCTTCAATCCAATCAAGTCGACACTCAATATTAACCATCACAAGTATATACAAAAGCTTACCTTCACATGGGTCTTCTGACATTGTTTGCTAGTGTTTGAGAGGTGGAGAGACATAACGAGTAGCAGAAGAGTGAAACCAGAATGGAAACAATTGGGACGTAGGCTGCTGGCTTTCCCCTCTGCCCCGTTACTAATGAGGGTAGACATTGAGAAACCCCATTTTTGTCCTTTCTGCACAGATTATAACTATCAATTAATGTATCAGGTGGGAAAGTCATTGACAGTTTCATAAAATTATAATATGCAAATTCCTTGTCAGTCCTTTATATCAGTTAGCAATGTATTCAGCGGCACAATTGAAACTCTCAAACAATATTTCATTTATCTCTATAAACAAAAATTCCAGTGTGGACAATCCAGGGTTAATGACAGTTTAGTGATGACATCTGGGATCCAAGCTCTTCCTGTCTTTCCTCTGTCATCCTCACAGTGTAGACCTTTGCCTCATGCTGGTCAACTCATGGTGGCAAAATGGCTGCTGTACCACCAGGCTCATGTCTGCATTCCGAGAAGAAAAAATGAGAAAGACCTACAGGTTGAATCTGTGACTATCCTAAATAAAATTGAAACACTGTTAATTAGCAAGAAGAGAATAAAATTTGATGGGGCAACTAGTTGTATTTGCCTTACCCTTCCCTTGATCAATTAAACCCATATATTTTTTAAAATCAAAAAGTCAAGGTAAACTGTGAAAGAGTGTATTGCTTATAACTAGTCCTGGACAATAGGGATTGACATTGCCTGGTTGAACAGATCTGGTTTCTCCAAAATATTTCAAAGCTAAGTAAGGTATCCTACCTTATTGATGGTTCACACAATGCCTGTAAGCCCCTGTAACTTGGCCCTCTGCACATCAGTTATGAAGATGGAAGAGGACAGAAGATAGACAGAAGCAGCACAGGTATTCTGGAAACAAACAATTTGCTGTACTGTGTGAAGAAGTGATGGAACAGAAAGCTGTGTTGGTGGGAAAAGCTGAATTATGAAGGACTCCATGTGTGGTACTACGCAGTTTGGATTTTTTCATATAGCAATAGAGAACTTGTGAAGGGTTTTAAACAGTAGATCACATGAAGAGCCAGAGACATCCTAATAGGCAAAATGGTGACAAAGAACATCCATTTTTATTTATTTATTTTGCATCAATGTACTAGTTCTGAACATTTGATCCGAGTTTCTAAGTGAAAACCTAAAAGCTCGTTATTCTTAAAGTTATCACATTAGACTCCTTTGAAACTCACAATTTATAAATGAGACATTCTTGTATCATATCAAAGTAGTTGTTCTTTATATCCTTACCTAAATATAAAGTATCATTTTCCTTCTATGCTTAAATAATGAATCACAGGTAGACACTCATTAATATCCAACATAAAGTACTTGAGTTAGGTTCTAAATTAAAGGACAAATTTGGGAGAAAAATCATGTATCAGAAACATCTTTGCTCCACCAGCAGCTTGAATTTATACAAACACTAGAACTGAGTGGAATCTGGGGCCCACTTTTTATATTAAGGAATTTGTTACTTTCTGTTCCAGACAACCAGGACAAACTACAAACTCTACTAGCAACAAAATTACCTCCTATGTTTGAAATAGTGCAAACAGCAGGTGTTGACAAGACAAAGACATATTGCTTTTTCCCCAAAGGAAGCAAAGGCCCAGATCTTTCACCAAGCCAACATCCATAAAAAGGATCAAATGAGGGCTTTAACCAGCTAAGAATCTCAATTTAGGTTTCTTCTCCAAAGAGAGAAGCTGAACACATTGCTGTCACCTGAATTTTAACTTAAGAAAAGAGTACACAAAACTTTATTTCATTTATTCTGTTTAACTCTGGTACTCAAGAAGATGTATAATTGTCTCAGAGTCTGTGACAGTTACCTGGAAAATACTATGCTGAAAATAAAAAATCAGTTCAATTCAAGAGATCTAGATTTTCAATCTGCTATTTTACATTACAAGCAATGTTAATGAAGGAACTTACAAATCCTCTGGGACTCTGGGTTTTATCTGTAAAAAAATGGAGTCAATTATTTTTGTCTTCTTTCAAGAATGTATTCATTTCTTTCAAGCAAGAATCAACTTAATTCTTAAAGCTGTTCAGCCAAAATGCAAGCAGAAAAAAGCAATTTTTAACAGAATTGATTTAAAAATTAGTATATATTCCCCTGGATTTCTGAGTTATCTGGTCAACTGAAATATACAACTTAACACTGTTATAAACTCATTCATATCCCAAGCAACATGACATGCTTCATGAGAGCTAGAGGATGGTGCTGAGGAGCAAAGAGGCCTCATGTTCAAAAATAGCTTTCATTACTTTTGCTATAATTTTTCTATTTTGGAATCAATTAATTGCCAATTAATTATTGATCTAGATTTACTGATAACCAGATGAAGGGAATAAACATATCTTGGAAAGGTGAGATACCAGATAACAGAAAGATATTAATGAGGTTGGTGGGTGACTAGGAAGTGGACCTCCGATTCTCCCCTTTATACTATAAGACTTGTGTGTTTGGCCGTGCATGGTGGCTCACGCCTGTAATCCCAGCACTTAGGGAGGCTGAGGCAGGCTGATCATGAGATCAAGAGATGGAGACCATCCTGGCCAACATGGTGAAACCCCGTCTCTACTAAAAATACAAAAATTAGCCAGGCTTGGTGGCGTGCACCTGTAATCCCAGCTACTCGGGAGGCTGAGGCAGGAGAATTGCTTGAACATGGGAGGCAGAATTTGCAGTGAGCTGAGATCATGCCACTGCACTCCAGCCTGGCAACAGAGTGAGACTCTGCCTCAAAAAAGAAAAAAAAAAAAGACAGGTGTTTGCATTTATTTTTCTCAGATCCAAAGTAAAAATGACATTCCTTCAAATGCTGTTCTCTTGTTTTAAAACCATTCAGCACTATGCTATTCTCACCAAGGTCGTAATTTTTACTGACACACTGAAATTTCTGTGAAGTTTATCTAAACTATAGGAAACCAATAGCAAGAAAGGATTTTACCAGAATTGGTAAATGCATTAATGTTTGTTTGCTCTAGCAATATTTCTCCTAAAAGAGGGCTAGAAAGCACAATGATGGGTCCTTGAGGCTCTCATGGGGAAAGAGAAGAAAAGACATTTGGAATTGCATTTTTAAGTGTAGTAACTTTGCAATAAAGCAAGACAGCTCATTTTTTTGCTGATGCCTTTAAAACCCTGGAGAGTTGTTTTGAAAGCAATATGACAATATAAGCAGATTCCCAAAGTGTACCTTACCTTTCACTCTATTGAGACCTTGTAAAGAAAATCATTCAAAGAAGATCACAATTAGGCTTGAAGATATTTACTACAGGATTAACAGGAATGGTGACTGACAAAAATAAACTTTGGAAATAACCTAAATTTCAAAATATTTGAGAATGCTTAGTTCTTATTTATGGAATAGAGGTATAGTAATTCTCAATCTTATATTTTATTTTATTATCTTTTATTTAAAAATATAATATTATTTAAATGGGCTTCCAAATCAACAATAAAACATGCTAACCATTTTCCTACTGTGCAGGTGCTGCTTTTTGGCTATCATAATGCTAAGAAAATATGACCAGGAGAGAGAGAGAGAGCAAGAGAGAATTGATGATGGGATGCTTCATCTTATCAAAAGCCAGCAAAATGTTGTATATGGGTGGTAAAGGCTAAACGATGAGATATGCACAAAGATTCCAGTCTTTAGTTTAATATACATATATATATATACATATATATACATATATATATGTATATATATATCTCTTTTCTAATTTTAGAGCACCTAGGAAGGGAGGAATAGAGTTGGGAATGACCAGATGAGTGAGATGAGTGTAGGGCAGACACCATGTATTTGTCTGGGTTTAACCATCTGCCTGTCACAGTTCCTGTGGTCTGCTTCCAAGTAGAGACTTTGTAAGTAAAGTGGTCCTTACTGAGGGGAGCCCATGAAAATCCCCACCACCAGTCCATTGGCAAAATTCATGTTTCAATGAACTTTTTCCTTTTTAAAGATGAGTGAAATGATAAAAATAAGATTTGTTAGAAAATAATACAAATGGAATGAGAAGAAAAATTATTCTGAAGAATTAGAAAAACAGTTACTTAAAGCTGGTCAACAAAAAAACAGGAAGAAAAACCTGGGTGTCCGCAATAG
Source organism: Homo sapiens (assembly GCF_000001405.40). Lineage (NCBI taxonomy): Eukaryota > Metazoa > Chordata > Mammalia > Primates > Hominidae > Homo > Homo sapiens. The sequence goes on from NC_000003.12 coordinate 178,125,843, forward strand.
GATAAGTAAAGACATGGTAAATAGAATGGGGTGATGCAGTTATAAAAAGAGATCAGGTTAAGAAAAAGTCAGTACGAAGAGGTGCAAAGCAAATAAACTGAGATTTAAATTAACAAAAAGAAGGGGAAAAGGCTAAACTAAGAAAGATCAGCTCCAAAATTTCAGCAGGGGAATCACATTCTGCATAAAAAAATCAATAATGTCAAACTCTAACTTGCACGTTCTCTTAAAATAATAAAGAAAAAGTGGATAAAATTATAACAGAGAAAATTAAAGGAATAAAAAGATTTGGAGTTTAAACATTGTAGGTGTTCCTAAGCCACAGATGAAATAATGCAAAAGCCAATAACGACAAAAGTAAGTTAAAAAAACTTTCTGCAACTGAAATGAATAATTATTAGAAATATAAAGGAAGGAAGAAAGAAAGAAGGAAAGAAAGGAAAGAGGGAAAAAAGGGAGGGAAGGAAGGAGGAAGGGAGGGAGGTAAGGGAGGAGTGGAGAAGGAGAGGTAGGGAAAGAGAGAGTGAGGGAGGAAGGAAGAGAGCAAGCAATTTTTATGACAAGAGTACCACATCTAGACATTTCCTGTCAAATTTTTGCATAATACAATTGAAGATAAAATTCTACAATATTTAGAACAAACAGAAAAAGTTACTACCAACAGCAATAAAAAAATGCTTACCTACAGTAGATGATTTTCTTTATATGTCTAACTACTATTGTTGAGAGAATGTCCTGTAAAATCAGAATTTGATTGACAAAGGTTGCAAGTCAAGTATTTTACTTTAAGCATATATGATTTTTGCGGTCAAGGCAACAGAAAAAATCAGCGCAACCTACATGACTTTATTGAAAAACTTAGAGGAGATTAATAAATATATTTTAAATTGCTTATCTGCACTGAAGCCAAAGAATAATTTTATTCTGAAGTCTAAAAATAAGTAACGTTTAAATATTTATTTTGTAAAACAGAGGTAACCACAAATTTTTAATAATAGAATATTACATAATTTAAACATTCTTTTACTGGCAATTTTGATGACACTGCTTTTCTAGAATAACTAATGCTAGAATAACCCTATTTCAGAGAAGTTTTATAACAATAACTTTCTTATAATTAACTTTTAAAATTGAATATAAATTTAAAGTTGTTTTGTGGAATATTTAATAATATAAAAAAGTTTATGATATGATATTAGGGACAAAACCAGAAAACAAGAGATCATATATAGTAAGAAGTATAGTTACAAACACACTACACATACACACACTGTCACACAAACACACAAGTGTCCATTTGCTGATTATGAAATTGGGGATTATTTTCTTGTTTTTTCTTTTTAATAATTTTAAATTTTCTTCAATGGCAATGCATTTCTATTATAATCAGAAAAGTTAATTATCAAATTGATAAAGCATTTGAATTATCAAATTGATAAAGCATTTGAATTATCAAATTGATAAAGCATTTGAATTATCAAATTGATAAAGCTGTCACACTGGCCCTCTACTGGGCTGTAAACACTGAAGCAGTCTGCGGATGGCAAAGCTAAAAGGGCACCACTGTAACACTCCTTCTGGGGCTTCAGAGGTCACGAGCCCTCTAATTCTCCAGACGCTACTGCGGGGCCTGCACAGTTTTGCTCCTGCCAGTACCCAAAAGCGCTCACCTTGGCTCCTGCACCCGCTTACCTGCGCTGCCCTTCCCGTGAGGAGTGGAACACAGCAAGTTCCAGTGAGTGGAATTCGCCGAAGTGGCCAGCTAGGTCGAGCCCCTGTGACTCCAGTTTCCACCCGTGAAGGGGTCAGGGAAATATTCTGCTTCAATATTATATTGTGAATATTACTTCTTGTAATTGATGAATGTTGTAATAAGACCACTTTTGGAACAATAATAATCCTATGCCACATTTTTAAAATAAATGCAGACATTAAAAACCGTTGTCCAAGTAAATAAGTAGATAAGTAAGTAGATGGGATGGGAAAGAGTTTTATTATTCAGTGTTATTTAAGTATTTAAACTTATTCAGAATGATATGACAAAAAATACAAAGCGATCTATCATCAAAATTATACTTAATAATCTATAAGTTGATAAATTATGTTCTCCTTCAAGTTTGTTGAAGTAAAATATAGAAACTACCTGACTTGTAAAGACATTGGTTACCCAATCAGTAGTTATTAACTTTCTTAGTATCTGGGAAGTACACCAAATACATTTTATAAAAACTTATCAATTTATTATTAATTATAGTGGCACCCTTTCACTTAGAGTCACCTTATGAAGCCTAACATTTAAAAAAATGGTTAGAGAAAATTAAATTTTGGTAATCTTAATGCCTTGCTGACTTTTAAAAATGAAATGGCTATTTAAACACATGCACGACATATTTTCATAAAAACTCTGGAGCTCCATCAACTACTGATAAATGGATCAACAAATGTGGTATTATAATAATACCATACAATGGTAAAAGTAAAATAAATATGCACTCATTGAAATATTATCCAACAATAAAAAAGAATAAAGTACTAATACATGCTACACATGGATGAACCTAAAAATACATTATATGAAAGAATTCAGCTCCAAAAGAAAAATTGCACATGGCATGATTCCATTTATATGAAATGTCCAGAAGTGACAAATCCATAGAAACAGAAAGTAAGAGGAGCAGGAATGGGAAATGACTGCTAACAGGTACAGGGTTGGTTTTGGGGTGATTAAAAAATATTCTAAAATTAGATTGTATTGGTGGCTACACAACTCTGAATATACTAAAAACCACTGGACTAAGCACATTGAATGGGTAAATTTTATGGTTTGTGAATTATCTCTCAATCAAACTGTTAAAAAAAATTTTGAAGCTCCAGATTCAGTTCATATAATTCATGGAAAATATCTGCTATATAACTTTATTGGTAAAGCCAGTCCTGATTGTTTCTGCTATAAAAACTGCCCTCTTTTTAAAATTAAATTAAATGTGCATATTAATGTTTCCCTTTTATAACCATCTTACTTCCAAACACCGGAATAGCTGGGGATGAGTTTATCTCATTAATTCACATATCAATTTTTTAAAGCACTGGCTGGATACCCTGCAATTCATTATACTAATTGTTCTAATGTCAATAGCCAATGCTGTGTGCAAATGAGTACTCAGTATTTTGGCCACAAAAACTTGTGTTTTTGTTTGTTTTAAACAATGTTTCTAAATTGGAGACTAAAGCAGAAATTTGAGTAAGACCCCTTGTTATAGCAACTATGTTTGAATGAATACATACCTTTTTTTCTGTGACTCTACATGAACTTGAATAAAGCGATTCCACAGTTTTTAAAATAACAACCATAGTTGAATCATGTACAAGTCTTTGAATGCTATAATCTCATCAGTAATGCTTTTTTCATTGCTGTAGAGGCAGATATAAATTACTGGCATGGAATGACTGGAAACCTCCAAGGTTTCACCAGTCTGTAGGTCATAGCTCTTATTCATCACAACTTGCAAAGAGACATTTCCTATGTTGTGCCAATTTTCTCATTCCACAAATCACATGGGCATCTAACTAGAAAATGTGTTTAATCTCAAACATAGGCTTGACATGTCACATCTTTTTATCTGTTAAAAGTGCACCAGGTATAACAAACTTTTTATAAGTTATATGAAATGTCCTGACCTTTGCATTGAGACTTGTATGAAGTTTTCAAAGCCAACTTCAAAATAATTGTGTAAAACTATTAAGCTTATATACATATTTACTAGCACTTTACATTTTCTCATAAACAATGAAAACTTTAGAGTCTGGATGTTTTGTAAGCAAATGAATAGCAAGAGATACTGTTTCAAATTCTTATCTGGAAAGTATATCAAGAGATTCTCCCTTGGGTAAGATTCATTTCTTGAAAAAAATCAGAAAGTCAGTGAGATAAGAGGTTATTAAATAAAACTGATAAAATTTAATTATCTGTCTGAATTCATAACCAAAGTAGCACGGGACAAAATAACACATTTCTGATGTCATATTTTGCCTATAACAGAAATGTGTATAAAATGGGGGATGGCACTAAGGCCTATAGACACACCATCTTTAAGAGCTGTAACACTCACCGCGAAGGTCCGCGGCTTCATTCTTGAAGTCAGCGAGACCAAGAACCCACCGGAAGGAAACAACTCCGGACACAATATTTTGCTTACAAAAGGTTTTACAGACACCAGTATTTCAAACTGTCTCTTGATTTGTGTCTTGAATGTTTTTAAACTCCTGAAAACTGCATCATGTTGCGGAGACCAGCTCGGTCGGGGAGACCTTAACCAGTGGCGCTAGAGGAATTAAAGACACACACACAGAAATACAGAGGTGCAGAGTGGGAAATCAGGGGTCTCACAGCCTTCAGAGCTGAGAACCTTGAACAGAGATTTACCCATGTATTTATTGACAGCAAGCCAGTGATAAGCATTGTTTCTATAGATTATAGATTAAAAGTATTCCTTATGGGAAACAAAGGGATGGGCGGAAACAAAGGGATGGGTCTGGCTAGTTAGCTGCAGCAGGAGCATGTCCTTAAGGCACAGATCACTCATGCTATTGTTTGTGGCTAAAGAATGCCCTTAAGCAGTTTTCTGCCCTGGGCAGGGCCAGGTGTTCCTTGCCTTCATTCCTGTAAACCCACAACCTTCAGCATGGGCATCATGGCCATCACGAACATGTCACAGTGCTGCAGAGATTTTGTTTATGGCCAGTTTTGGGGCCAGTTTATGGCTAGATTTTGGGAGGCCTGTTCCCAACATCCCAATATGTTACAATATTGGATGTGTAATAGGTATGTCCTTCTGTACTAAGGAGAAGGGCTACTGTAAATGGGTAGCTGGTGATGGAGAAATGGAATGAAGCACCTCCCCCTTGGGTGTAGTTTAAGGATCTGAAAGTAGATTTTCTTACAAATATTTGTGCCTTTGGAAAGCCTTTGTGTATGTTTTTCTTAGTCCATTTATGCTGCTATCATAAAATACCTGAGATTTGGTAATTTATAAGGAACACAAATGTATGTATCACATTCTGAAGGCTGGAAAGTCCCAGATTGAGGCACCAGCAGGTTCAGTGTCTGGTGAAGGCCACATTCCCAGCTTACAAGATGGTGCCTTGTTGTTGCATTCTCTGCAGGGAATGAACACTGGATCCTCGTAGGATGGAAGGAGGAAGGGCAAAAGAACCTAAGCTAGTTCTCTCCAGCCCTTTTATATGGCATTAATCCATTCATGAGTCCTCATGTCTTAATTTCTTCCCAAAAAGCCTCACCTCTTACCAGCATCACAATGGGGATTAAGTTGCAACAGGTGATTTTTGAGAGACACATTCAGACCACAGCAATATCCATGCATATGTAGACCCTAGTTTAAAGACTACTGATCTGCCTGAATTCACGTCCTAAAGAAAATTCTTTTAAATAATATTCTATCTTTTAAATATCTAAAAGATACAGTCAGTGATTCTTCAGAGTAGCAGACATTGACAAGGGACAGATTGTCACTAACTTCTGGGGGTATGTCTGGGACAGTTTGTTTTACAATATAGGTCACATGGCATGCATGTGAGGAGTTTGGAAATGAGAGAACACCACAAATAGATACTCCTCCAAAGAGAAATTAAGATACAGTAAGACCTAAAATGTCCCATTTGGAGCAGAGCAGATGGCTATATATAGTATGTGCTGAATAGAGAAATAAACAAAACTTCAGAACAAAGGTATCCTTTGCTATCAGAGTTCTCACTATCCAAATATTTGCTATTAGGATTTGCAGTTACTTTTACCAAAAAAAATCATTATTTGAAGAAAAACTGACTATAACAAATATATATATACACATACAACGAGAAATACTTAAAACACGCTATTCCAATATGTATATTTATAGGTGTGTGGGGGGGTAAATCTGGACTCCTTATTCCAATATGATCAGAAGCAAAAGTTTCCTATTTGAGTAATTTCTTGTTTCATAGATTCAGCTATAGCTTTAAAGGATGGCTTTTAGCATTCAGTTTCTGATTTTCTATTTCTGAGGAGAAGACAAGTCCACAAGTTCCTTGAATTTGGACATGCATGACTCAGTCTTTCCTCACCTCACTGACATTCTCCCTTTATCCATTCCAGAATAATGACGGTGATTAGCTGGCCACTTTTTCCATTTGGTTTTTCTTTTATTTTTGACACCAAGTGGTTGACATCACCTTGTTTCTGCTGCCATCAAACTTCACTTGTAACCCTTCCAATGGTAACTATTTTTTATTGCCTAATCATTTTATTTTATTTGATACTTTATTTGGATTTGATATACATCTTTATTATTTTAATACGTTTACATGAAGTTCATATTTGCTGTGTTACAGGAGAGAAATATAATTTGAAGCTGATACCATGTACTACACTCTACTGAGTTCATTAAATACTAAGGAATTAGACAGTTGACATTTTGTATAATTTATATTATGCAGAAGTTCTTGGTAAATTATTTAAATACTTTTAGTATTTAAAAGTATTTGAGCATATTTCAGAAAATTCTTTTGGGATTTTTGGATGGGTTTGAAATGCATTTTTATTCTTTCCATTTACAATGTAGAATATAAGCTCTTATCCTCAAATTTGCTATCAAATACATTTTCAAAAATGATTGAATTTAAAGAACAAAGGATGCCTGTACCAGCATCAAATCATGAATCATAAGGGCTAATGCTTTAAATTATTGATTTCGTTGATTATTGACAGATTGCTTCTCACATGGACAGCACTGTGCAGCAGCTAAACGTTAGATAACAGCAATAATTTTATTTAAAAGCATTTATAATAGTACTGAGATCCACTGGGAAGAACAGTTGATAAAATCAAAATAACATCTATCCTATGAAAGTAAACCTATTGTCAAGCGGTCAGAGAATATATTCAAAGAAAATGCTTGTAACATTGTATTAAATAGACCAAGAAGAATATACAATTACATAGTAGTTATAATTCAATTTTTATTTTACAAATGTTAAATGTGTACATAAAACACACTGACTATCTCTGAGAGGAAACACTTCATATGATTTTTATTTTCCATTTTGTGTATTTTTTTTTTTTTTGAGACTAAGTTTCACTCTTGTTGCCCAGGCTGCAGTTCAGTGGCATGATCTCAGATCGCTGCAACCTCCACCTCCCAGGTTCAAGCAATTCTCCTGCCTCAGCCTCCCGAGTAGCTGGGACTACAGGTGCCCGCCACCATTCCCTGCTAGTTTTTGTATTTTTAGTAGAGATGGGGTTCCCCTAGTAGACCAGGCTGGTCTCAAATCCTGACTACAGGTGATCCACCCACCTCGGCCTCCCAAAGTGCTGGGATTACAGGCGTGAGCCACCCTGCCTGGCCATTTTGTTTCTTTTTACCTTACCCATTTTTTCTATAATGAGAATCTATATTTTTATAATGAAAACAAAAAATTATGAACATTTTATCTGATTTTCAGATGGATAAGATTTTTAAAGTACAGGAATAACTCAGAGATGAAAAGATTAATACATTTAACTCATGAAAAATTAAACTTTTTATATGTCATATATACCATAAACAACATTAAAGGCAAATTGCACTCATACTGACAAAATGTTAGTAATATATTTAATTTGTAAGAAACTCATAATAATATATAAGATAATACTTCAAGAGTAAGATATTTCTTTAAAATAGGCAAAGATCAAACAATTTACACAAGTAGAAAATAATGCTGAAAAAATGATTCCCAATATTAATATAAATTTAAATTGAAATAAGACATTGCTTTTCAACTGTTATAGTGGACAAAGTGAAATAAGATCATAACAGTTGAAGGGACCATGTTCTGCTCTTGTGGTGGCCCAGAGCAGAGAAAGGAAACCAGTCACGGAGGTGAGGCCTGAGTGAGCCGGCACATCCATTGGCGGTAGGAGACCAGAACCAGAGATTACCAGGGGTCATTGGTGATAGGAGAGGGGAGGTGAAAACTCCCATCCCACATGGTTTTCAAATGCATATGGAATGGAATGCAAGCTATTTTTATCTATTATAAAAAATAAAGACCCCATAAATTTCTGAAAAAAAAAAACAAAAAACAAAACAGAATCTGACATTTGGTTTGACATTTACTATGCATATAAATTTTCTCTACCATTTTTCATTGCACACTTCTTTGCATTAGTTTTGTTTTTAATCATATTTTCATATGTTTATATTTTTTATTCAACTTGGGTGTAAGATTCTTACCAGTAGAAAACTGTATAACTTATATCTTGTAAACCTATAAGGCACCCCTCTAACCAAGGCCCAGTGAAATGTGTACATCACTGCAGTTTAGCTGTGGCCTCAAGCTGGCATATTCCATTCAGCAAATAAGACCGATGCAATTATTCAAAACTGTGTCTTTTAGAAGGCAATATGGTACCAAAATATCGTAATTTATGTTCCTTGAGGAGGGTGTCTTTCTTTTAACACAAGTGCATTATCTTAACAAATGTATTATTCACTTGTTTCATGTCACTTTAGCCAAATGCCTTGTTTATTGCCAGTGTCCATTTGATTGCTCTATGTTCACTTCTGATTGGTTGATATTGTGGGCGTACCTATTGTTAAATATTTTGATTATTGCTTCTTTATCATACTATGGCTTCAAAACACACACAGGTAATGATTTAAAGCTATTCCTGGAAAAATTTCTTCTGCATTTTGCTCCATCTCATCCTATCTCTATGAATGTTTTAGCGGCTGTAGTAGTTCATTTTCACACTGCTATAAAGAAATACCCAAGACTGGGTAATTTATAAAGGAAAGAGGTTTAAGTGACTCACAGTTCCACATGGCTGGGGAGGCCTCAGGAAACTTACAATCATGGTGGAAGGCAAAGGGGAACAAGTACCTTCTTCACAGGGTGGCAGAAGATAGAAGAATGAAGGAGGAACTTCCAAACACTTATAAAACCATCAGATCTCATGAAAACTTACTCACCATAAGAACAGTGGGAAACTGCCCCCATGATCGAATCACCTTCCTCTCTTGACATGTGGGGGTTACACGTCCCTCTCTCAACATGTGGGGACTATAAATCAAGATGAGGTTTGGGTGGGACACAGAGCCAAACCATTACAGAGGCCTTGCTAGATTGGCATCCTGGACAATCTCCCATTGGTTCTTTCTCTTAACTCAACCTGGCAGTATTTGATCTCTTTCTCAATAGAGCACAAGCGGGCTCTTGCACTCAATGGTTTAAAAGTAGGGCTGTCCACTATTCACAATAGCAAAGACATGGAATCAATCCAAATGCCCACGAATGATAGACTGGCTAAAGAAAATGTGGTACATCTACACCATGGAATATGATGCAGCCATAAAAAAGAATGAGATTATGTCCTTTGCAGCAACATGGATGGAGCTGGAAGCCATCATCCTCAGAAAACTAACACAGGAAGAGAAAACCAAACACCACATGTTCTCACATATAAATGGCAGCTGAACAATGAGAACACACGGACACAGGGAGGGGAACAACACACACTGAGGCCTGTTTGGGGGTGGGAAGAGGGAGAGCATCAGGATAAATAGATAATGCATGCGGGGCTTAATACCTAGGTGAGGGGCTGATAGGAGCAGCAAACCACTATGGCACACGTTTACCTATGTAACAAACCTGCACATCCTGCACATGTATCCTGGAACTTAAAATTAAATTAAATTAAAAATTAAAAATAAACCTCTAAATTGATTGAAAATAAATAAATATTTTTAAAAAGTATGGCTGCCTATGATGATTCAGGACACTATCTTGCAGGTAGACATAGTGTTAATTACTAGCAGCAGCAGCCCTTGAGGATTCTGAAATAGACAGGAGTAGACAAACTTTAGACAGGTCTCTATGCCTAAGATAAGGAGTGAATAAAAATGAAACTGGAAAACTGATGTATGGGGAGGCGTGTGCAGGATAGAAGGAATAATTCCACTGCCAATGGTCAAGCAGCTCCAATTACAAATATCTGGTTCCTATGGCATTCCCTGGAGTTCAAAATTGATCTTGGTTGATGGCAAATAATTGCTTGACAGGTGGTAAGAACCTAAAAATTCTGTTCATTTAAGCAGATAGAGGACAAGATGAAGTATGAGTGCACATATTCTACTTTATCTCCTTGATCTGAAGGAATATATCTGATTAGATACTGTGATTATTTACCTGTTAGAAAGCAAAAACTGTAATGAACATACTCATTTACTGCATGTCTACTGGGTAAAATCCTTTGTTTAAAAATAATAATAATAGCTAATTGTTATGACAGCTTACTATGTGCCAGGCTGAATGTCCTAAATGCTTTTACGGTGTTGTCATTTAAGCTCTAAAAAAAAATCTGTGAGATAGTTGTTATAATGACTCCCATTTTGCATGGGAAATTGGAATTCAGAGGTACATAACTTTTCCTTGCTATGTAACTAATAAATGGCAGGCCTGACATGCATAATCTCACTTATCTGTCATTATGTAAATATCCATAGATAAGTATTTATAAAATATATATATTGCTAACCTTATAGCATTCTTGAAATTAGTGTTAGTATGTCTATTTTATATTGTTCTGTTTTATAGAATGCTTGTCCTCAGAGAGTTTGAGTCACTTGTCATGGGTCACACAGGTAATAAACTGTTGTGAAAAATAAAGATTCATATTCAGTCCCTTCTGACTGTAAATGATGCCCTTTATCCACTGTGCCAAACTTAGAACCTGTAGTAAAGGATTAAGACTTCTATAAATTACTCTGAAACATCATTATAAAATGGAAACAAGGTCATGTGCCTGATGCTCATCTTTTGTACAATATAAATATAATAATAACAAAAAGGTTATTTAGAGCATACTTTTATTTGCTTACCTGATATTTATGTTTTATTACTCCTAACAGCCCTGTGAAATAGGCTTTGCAGCTGGTATTATCTATCTTGTACAGATGAACGAACGATTGCTTAGAGATAGAAAACACTTCACCTGAGGTCACCAGGCTAAGTAAATGGGTAAGTAAGAGGTGGTGGAAGATTCCCTGGCTCTCATCCCAGGGTTCCTTTCACACCACATTTCCCAAATATGGCTTCTTGTAATGATGTCTGCTTTCAGATTTATTTTTTATATCTCCACTCCTGTATCTTTGACTTGGAATGAAAATGCAGTCTATTCCACTTCTGGAATGCTTTAAATTATATTTAGAACTCCTTCCAGTTGGTTCCTGTAAGAAGGTCTCTATAAGAAGCATACATGTAATTACTGAGGCCATGCTGCTGGTACTGATCTTCTTACTGAATAAGAAGTTCCAGACAAGGTTATGGGTTTTAAATAACAGAACCAAACTCTAATTTAAGCAGAAGAAGAATGTTTTGAAAAGATACAAACATTTGGGGAGGATTAAGAACTAGACTCGAATCAGCCAGGAAGCACTGTAGTCTAATGAGTCAAGAATCAAGCCATAGTCATGCCTCAGAAACTGGCTAGGATGCGCTGGGACAGCACGGCCATGGGGCACTTCCTGCTCTCATCACTGTTCTCTATTCTCCATTGTTAGCACCAAGAATAATCTCTAAGTCTCCCTAAATCTCTGCAGCTCTCTTTCAAGGTTCTGAGTCTCAGATGAGTCCCACAAAGAAATCGTTTGTGTAACTCTAAGTCATTTGTCTTACTAAGACAGAATATCTACCCTCACTGACTTCCCCAGTATGATGGAGCACTGTTCCTAATAAGAACCAAACAGTAGGTCTTTGGGAGCCAGAAAACAACAAAAATTGTCCCTTACAGAACCAAAGAGTAAATTTGTACATCTGATAAAAATCCTTTTGTTTTTGTAGTAATTAAGCACCTGGAGCTTAATATTCAAGAAACTTATTCTCTTCCATCTTCCAACATAGATATACAAGCAAATAGACATTCTTTTAGCATATATCATATGTCCTTTAGCAAATTATCTCACTCGATTTGTGTGCATCCTCAATTATAAAATAAGTACCTTATTACTGGTCACTCCCTCCCAGGGAGGCTAAATAGATTTGTAGCAACAATGACTTTAAGCACTCAAAAATTCTTTAAAGAAAAATGCTCTAAGGCAGATGAAAAGTGTTCTCATATTATAGTTCTGACGCACAGAAGCTATTCTGTAAATGTTTTAGAGTTTCCGACTTAAAAATGTTTTTCATCAAGACAGATGAAACTTGCTTAGGAGAGTAAAAGAGGGTGCTATAAAATCCAGATGTGTGGAAATGCATGAAAAACTTCATTTGAAACCAAAAGTAAACCTCAGAGAAATTAGTAGTGATATGTTATTGGGCTCATGTACTACATGAGGGGGCATCTCACAAAACAAGGCTACTTGGCAGTGCTTCTCTTTCCATGCAATTATTGTGTTCTTGAATTCCAATTCTAATTTTGATGACTTGTCATCTACAAATATGCTGTTCTCTTAATTCGTGCAACTGTCATTAATGAATGCAATCAATGCAGGGTATTTTGCAAATTAAAAATACCATGATTTTTCTAAATGAAATAAAACTAATAAAATGCACATGTATCCCTTGGAAAAAATGGAGGACGTGAAAAAGGAAAAGGTTACAATGTATTATAAAACTGTAACTTGACTATGGAACAGATTTATGATCACATAAAATTTTTAAATAGCAAAAGAGCTTAGTCTCCTGTATATGACAGTCCTAGGACACTTACAATTTTATTTTAAAAAAATAAAAGGCTCTTCTTGAGCTACTGTGGCACCAAAGATGCCCTGAAACCTCAATAAAAGTCTATTTTTACACTTTTACATGGGAGAGAAAAGATTGAAAAGAATATATGGAGCATATAATACCAGAACCAACCTGCATATCTGAGCTGTAAATATCTTGAATAGATGTTCCTGAAAAGGGCACAGATGGAATTGTCAGTTACTGAAGTTGATTCAGGCAACACGCTACGGAGCTCCATTGGTAAGCATAAGTCCTTAAAATGTATGGTTGTATTTTGCATCTCATACTACCAAGATGTTGCCTGTCAATATTTTTTAGCTCAGAAGAGACATGAAATTGTCTTAATCAAAAAGCCATGTACCTTTCTCTAACATTGACTTTCTAACAAAGATGAACCATTATGAAGGGGATAACATAATGATAAAACTTTCCCTTCTTACAAAACACTTGTACATTTAAAGTAAGTTTGGTCTTAATAGGAGCAAAATAACTTGAACACAATTGATTTGAAGATATGGTCATGCTTGCTGGTGAAGGAACAAGGCCTGGAGCTTAAACCTTCAGCCACTCCCACAGAGTGGAGAAATATAGAGAAGTACAGACACTTAAGGATTCAAAGAAATAAAAGTTTCAAAATTTTCAAGAAGGACACTTTAGTACCACTAACACTCACAAGTTGAACAGATGGTCCATTAAAAGAAATTTAAGTGAGGCCTGAGTTGGAGTACAAGCAGTAAAATTGCAAACAGCTGGACTTCAGACTGAAAATGTTATCTGGATATCCAAATGGAAAGAACCTTGCTAAAAGAGTTGGGTAGAATATTACTGTCCTTGTGCTAATAAAGAAAATAGAGTGAAGAAAAAACTAGCAATGAATGTAAAACCTGATTTCTATTTAAACCTTTAATAACATTGATAACTTAAGTCTTTTTATATAAATTCAATCCATAAAAAGTATTGATGCAAAGTGACCTATGCCAAATTTCCTTTTTCATGTAATTCACAAAATGATGTACAAAACAGCATTATACAAATAACTATAATATAATGGCTTCATTACATGCTATAACAGAGGAATGAGGAACATAGAATTAAATCTCACTACAGGAATTAAGGAAAACTTAATTGAGTAGCCATTTGCTCTGGACTTTGAAAGATGAGTAGAATTTTCATAGATTTGATTATTATGTGGAAGAAATCTAGGTAGGGAAAAATAGTATGATCAAAGACATAGACACGAAAAATCTTTGGTATATTCTAACAAAAAACATTAGTAGAGTAATACTATGTAGATGTATCAGAATAGAAGGTGGGATGTGTAGTCAGAAATAGGTTCTCTATTAATCAGCATAGGTTAAGCCCCAATGGTAGCAATCTTTCAATCCTGTGTTAATGAGTTTACCTAGAGAGAATACACTCATTAACACAGCTTTGAAATAGGAAGCCATTGTAGAAATTTGAGTTGATAGTTTGTGTAATTTGTATCTAAAATATGTCAAATGACCAAACATATTGTGCTAAACTAAAAAGAAAATGTGCTATATACTAGGTGTGAGGTTCAAAACAAAGTTTTTTTTGTTTGTTTGTTTCTAATCACCTAGTGCCATAACAACCACACTAGGACAAGTATTGTTAATTATGTTGAGCAGCGGAGGGAACCCAGAGGGTCAGAGAAGTCAGTAGCACATCCATTCATTGTCAGTTAGCTGGCATGTAGCTAAGCCAAGGCTCAAATTCAGATTCATCTCCCTATGAAGACTGTGTTCCATATCATGGGTCAGGTTTTCCTCTAAAGAAGTTGAGAGAAAGTGTAACAACGCCGTGAAGATCATTTGGGGGACAGGATCTCAATACCCTGGTTGGTGGCCCCATTGTCTCTAGTGGCTAATAAACTATAACCAGGGGAATATTCTTCTTAATAGCACTTGTGCAGTTTCACGTAGTATAGGAAGCTCTGAGTCACTTGCTTATGGGGAATGGGTAAATATTTATCTAGTTTCCACAGGAAAACACAATTACACACTTGAATAATAGTGGGAATTATAACAACTCTTCCAATGTGCTACATGAAGCTCAATGGAATGACTGGACTTTATGACTGTTCTCTTTTCATTCTAGGGGAAACAAAATCCTTCTTGCTTCGTAACATTTCACAATCAGTACAATAAAATAAAATAAGAAAACATAGCAAACTCTATATCTGCATTTCTATATTTGTGATAGATTAGTAAGCTATTCTTTCTTAAGTGCTCTAAAAAAGCATAAATTTCAATTTATGTATTTTCAGAAATCTTGGCCTTAATTGTCGAAATATTTCATCTTGAGGATAAACAGTTCTTTACTTGTCTCTTTCCAACAGATAGGGCTAAACAGAAAACCACAGCAGGGAAAGAACATACACTGAGATAGAAAAATTAGATCATTAAAAATATGTCAAATAACAACAATTTAAAAGTAGCTCTTAGCTGAGATGGCATTTCTTTGCATTTCAGCAACAATAAATCCTGAACACAGATTTCTAAATATGTGTGCCTATACTCCTTGCAATTGTGTGTATTTATACATAGTGACTATTTTTCCTTCCTCCCTCCCTCCTTCCTTCCTCCCTCCCTCCTTCCTTCCTTCCACCCTCCATACGTACCTTTTTCCTTCCTTCCCTCCCTCCCTCCCTCCCTCCCTCCCTCCCTTCCTTCCTTCCTTCTTCCCTCCCTCCCTCCCTCCCTTCCTTCCTTCCACCCTCCATACGTACCTTTTTCCTTCCTTCCCTCCCTCCCTCCCTCCCTTCCTTCTTCCCTCCCTTCCTTCCTTCCTTCCTTCTTCCCTCCCTCCCTCCCTCCCTTCCTTCCTTCCTTCTTCCCTCCCTCCCTCCCTTCCTTCCTCCCTTCCTTCCTTCCTTCTTCCCTCCCTCCCTCCCTTCCTTCCTCCCTCCCTTCCTTCCTTCTTCCCTCCCTCCCTTCTTCCCTCCCTTCCTTCCTTCCTTCCTTCTTCCCTCCCTCCCTCCCTTCTTTCCTTCCTTCCTTCCTTCCTTCCATGACATCATCCAGTGGTACAGTGTCCTTCCACTTATTTTTCTTTTCAGGGTGACGGTGGCTCATCTTCAACAGATTAACATTTCATTTCTCTCTAAATTCTATTGGTAGGGAAAACTCATTCATTTGCCAGAGATTGGATGATTAACATGACCTCGTGATTAAAAAGAATGTATCTTTGTGTTTTTACATTGAGAAGCTTGGAAAAGTGGGAATTTTCTGTTTCTTTTCTCTTTCTCCCCTTTTATCAACATGACCTAGTAGGTATAATATAATGACTTCTCATGTTTAAAATAAAGTATAAACCTATTACCATGACCTCACAAGGCCTACATGATCTGGCCATACTTTTCTTTCTGATCTCAACTCTTTTTTTCTTCCCTTCTTTTCTGTTCCTTCTGCCTGCCAAGCATATATCTGTGGACACATAAGTGTGAATATACCATTATCTCTGCTTGCCCCACTTTTACCTGAGTAAGAAGTTGCCAACAATGACTGAACGTTAGAATCACCCGGGGAACTATTAACAATACAAATGCCCAAGCCCCATTTCTAGACATTTTTATTTAAATGGTTTTTAAAGGGGCCTATGCACTAGTTTTTAAAAAAGTCTCCCAGGTAATGCTTATGTACACTCAGGGTTGAGAACTACTACACTATATTTTCAAATGATGGGGATTAGGTCTCTACTCAGATGACTTCCCATGGAGACCTTTCTTACGTCCATGTAAAGAAGCCTCATGATATTATCACTATTAGAAATCACACCATTTTTGTTTGTTTGTTTACCAACCATTTCTCTCACTAGATTATTAGCTCCATAAAAGCAGGGACTGGCTGGGTGCAGTGGCTCAACCCTGTAATCCCAGCACTTTGGGAGGCCAAGGCAGGTGGATCACCTGAGGTCGGGAGTTTGAGACCAGCCTGGCCAACATGATGAAACACTGTCTCTACTAAAAAAAACTACAAAAAAATTAACCAGGCGTGGTGGTGGATGCCTGTAATACCAGCTACTAGGGAAGCTGTGACAGGAGAAGCACTTGAACCCAGGAAGCAGAAGTTGCAGTAAGCCAAGATCACGCCACTGCACTCCACCCTGGGCAACAAGAGTGAACCTCTGTCTGAAAAAAAACAAAACAAACAAACAAACAAAAAAACCCAAGGACTTTGTATGTCTTGTTCATCATTTTCTCCCAGCCCAACAGATATTCAGTGAATATCTATTCAACAAATGAACATCTGGCTGATAAGGTAAAACCAAAGAATGTGAGAAACATTTATGAATTTATCAAAATACATTTTTACATATAATATAGATGCATTACAATATATGAATGCATACATTGTCTCAAATACCTAGGCCTTACTAGCCTAGAGGCACAAATGGGATCACAACAGGACTAATATCCAGTTTCTAATTTTGCTTTTGTCTTTATTTTTGTTTGGTTATTAACCAACAAACTTTCAGGTAGACTAGGTCCTTGAAAAATTCCCGAAAGCATTTTGAAGTTTTACATATTGTCTTGAACCATTCTGTGAATGAGTGTGTTTGTCTGCTGCGTGCTCCCTTTCTGCTCGTAGCCTACCATCGCTATGCCAGCACTTAAAGGACCCCTCTGAAAATGACCTGACTGGTACCATCCTTCCTCCTGTGTTCCATTAGAATGATTGCTATCCAGGTCCAGGTGCCCTTTCCTGATGCTCCTAAAGCAGCCAGACCCCTTCTCACATTCCTTTTCTAATGCCAGAGAAGTGCTGTGTTTTGTGCAGAGATAGAGAAGATGACCCTCTTCTTCCTTGGTTCAAATATGAGCTTCTAGAAAACCTAATCTCTGCCCTGATGTCACACAAAGTCCCACCTGAAAAGAAGCTCCTCAGTCTTCTGCATATACACTTTTTTTTCTACCTATAAGATTAAAAAAAAAGTTTAGTGGCTGACAGGGATCACATAGGATGTCGTCCTCCAGTTCCCCACTTCTTTCTCTTTCTGCAGAACAAAAGAGTCCACCTCATAGGACCTCTTCTCTATGCATCATATGTACAGTCTCTGAGGTTGAGGCACAATAGTTCCACTAGTCTAATATTAGTTTCAGCTAATTTACACATGCAAACACTGATATATAAATATAAACATATGCATACACACAGGTATGTATATGTGTGTGTATGTGTGTACACATACATATATATTATATATATATAATGTAAATTCAGATTTACAGTTTTGAGACCTACCTGGATCTGCCTTCTACCAGCAGTATAAATTTGGGCAAGTCATTTTGTCTCTTGGAACATCAATTTCTTCATCTGTAAATGGGGAATTTTAGTAGATTCATAGTATTTACAAGTTTTATGTTCACGATGTCAACTCTGTGCAAGTGACCATGAAGGACCATGACATGTGGTGATTTGTAATTTTACTCAGGCATGAAATTGAGGTTCATGTAGTAAGGGGCTGTTGTACAGAAATGAGCCAGTGTGCTGGGGCATGAGCCTTGTTAACTGCCGGGCAGGCACCACATGGTTTGTTGTTTTCTTCTGGACCTGCATACACAATAACCCTCATGGAGCAATTAAAAAAGAAGGGTGGCTTGCGAGTAGAAGAAAAAAGCTGCTGGTGTCGCAGGGATAGAAATAATAAACATACATGGAGATGTTCAATCTAATATCTTACAGTGAAAGACAGAAGTCTTCAACAATTTTTCCCCATGTATGCCCTAAAAGAACATTTACAAATTATGTGCCCTTTCACAAATGTTTAAGTTGACATCTAAAATCTTTTGTCTTAATTTTAACTACTTATAAATGATATAATTTCTGGCATGACATAAATATTGGCAATTTAAAATAAAATTTTTACATCATTCTTAAATTGGTTCCAAAGAATCCATATATCGTAGTGATTTGAGAGCCACCATTATCCATTAAAAAAATACATGAACAAGCACTTTTTAGGAGAAACATCAATTTTGCCTTCTTAAACTCCTACTTCCATTCCCTTTACCCTACAGAATTTTATCTTGCTAACGTATGTTTTATGGTGGAAAGTCTGTTATTGATTACCCTATTATATTTTTCTGCAATAAAAATGTATGCCTCTAAATCTTTTGTGTGAATTTCCTGGGACCATATAGTTCTGTTTAAAAAGTATTTTGAGTTGAGTGATCATTATAATTTATAGTAGTATGCAATAGTAACAGCATAACTGTATAACAAACTTTGATGAATTATTATTAACATAAAGGAAAAAATATTGGAAATGTATTTCTTAAGATATATGAAGCTTCTATCTGTAGATGAATATGACTCGCTGCTAGGTGAACCAGGATTCATCATCGATTCTGTTCCTATTTTTTTTATAGATGGAAGTGCTAAAAAACTGTTGTCCACATAAAAATACAGATAGAAATGGAAGTAGTTTTATTATAGTAATGACACACAATTCGTTGAACACTTTCCAAGTTACATGCCCTAGTGATTTATCATATAAAATTATTTCAAAGATATATTAGCCAACAACTTAATCAAGATCTTCTTCAATTCTGTTGAAAGACAATAATTGGAAAATACAGGACTTGCAAAAAATTTTATTGCCCAGTAATTGAGATCGTTCACTTTCCTGACACCTACAACAATATTTCAAATAGTCCAAATATTAGACACAAAGGGACTTTTTGAGCCCAGGAAAGTGTACTTTGATGACGTTAGAAATAGATAAAAGTGACATTTGTATTTTATAAGGTAAAAGTAGAATAGTTATGAAAGAGGAAGCTGGAAAGAAGACCTGTTTGGGAAGTAAGTTCTTAGATAAATCACTTTTAGGGAACAGCACATATAAAAATTAAGGATCTCAGAAGTCCTTTCTGAAACTATGCAAGTACCTACGCACTCCTTGGGAAGCCTCCACACACCAGTCTGGAGACCTCCAGTAGAAATTAAATATTGATAGCCATTATATTTTAATGACTTTATATTTAACACTCATCCTGTACCTATGAAATTGCTTTTAAAATTTCAGTATTTTGCATTTTATGACTCAAATGTTATGCTATTTGGGATTCTAAACTTCAAAATCCCCACAAATGTTAGGAAGTATACCTAGTAAATATAAGTACTCTCTGCCCCACCATAAAAGGTTAATGAGATTTAAATGAGACAAAGTAGGTGGGAGTGTTATGTCAACTGTAATGCACCTTAAAAATGTTACGACATGCAAGAATTGGCCTCCTTGTGAAAGAGAAGAAATGGTGATGCCTTGGAAGGACCCACTGCAATGTGCTGAGGTCGGGGAAGCCATTTAGCAGCTAAAATATCCAAGGAAAGAGATATTAGTGGAGGAGGGCTGGGTGCAGTGGTTCACGCCTGTAATCTCAGCACTTTGGGAGGCCGAGGTGGGCGGATCACCTAAGGTCAGGAGTTTGAGACCAGCCTGACCAACATGGAGAAACCCTGACTCTCCTAAAAAAAAAAAATACAAAATTAGCCGGGTGTTGTGGCGCATGCCTGTAATCCCAGCTACTTGGGAGGCTGAGGCAGGAGAATTGCTTGAATCTGGGAGAGTCTGAGGTTGTAGTGAGCTGAGATCGCACCATTGCACTCCAGCCTGGGCAACAAGAGTGAAACTCTGTCTCAAAAACAAAAAAACAAAACAAAACAAAACAAATATTAGTGGAGGAGAATATTTGCAGAAGCAGGAAGTAAATACACATTTGGAAAACTAAATAAGGAAGAATTAAAGTTTTGTGTTTTTTTCTTTCTTTCTTTCTTTCTTTTTTTTTTTTTAAAGGATTAGGCTTGTGTTTTCTGGAACCTGATCTGACAAGCTGAGCCAGTCTGGCTCAAGGTAATTTATAGGTAGGAGATAGAATCTGCTCTGGAAGTTCATTTAGATTCCATGCTTTTTTTTGCATTTCCTTTTTTGTTTCATGTTTCTCTTGTGGTTTTCTTGTAAAAATGTCTAAGTGTGCTTTCACTAGAGTAAGAGAAAAATAGCTTTATATCCTTTGTAGCCCATGTTATGTCAGAGATCAGAGTGCCTCTAGGAGAGCAGACACCAATAATCTTCTAATTGGCTCTGCATTCCCTCTCTCATCCCTTTCCAACCTGTTTCCACACAGCTGCATGAATGAGCCTTTAAAAATGAAAATAGAATACATTCTCTCCTCTCCTTAAAGCCTCCTAATGGCTTTCCACACTGCATTTAGGATAAAGCTTAATCCTTAATGTGGCCTGAAGGAGAGTGGTGTTGGAACTGGCTTATACTGGCCCGTAAAAACCAGCTTTAAATTTTGTGAGCTGATTGTCAAACACAATCATTATTAAAATTAAATTATATAGCCATACAATTAGATAAATCATATAAAAAAGATAGATAATAGTCAAAACTCAGTAATTCCTACTTATTTTACATTTTACTTTTTGTTCTTGAGATTATTTACATTTATTGTATTTGTATGGTGGAAATTCTATACAATCATCTGCAGCTGCACAGATCTCCCCAACTCTGTATAAGCTGGTATCTTGACATCAGTTATGTGGTTGTATTTATACCAAGGGAATTGGCAACACTACAAAGAAGGGGTTTTTGTTTGTTTGTTTTATTTAGTTTTTTCTTCCCCAGAGAGCTGCTTGCTAAATGTTTACCAGCACATCATTGGGAAGCCATGACACAAACCTGGATTAACATATAAGGAGGCCAAATTGACTTATCCTTGAACAGTTCTTTGCATCTGTTTTTGGCATTTCCATTTTACAATCCCTCCCCAGATAATAAATTTTTAAAAAAATTAATAAAATTTGTTTATTTGTACTACTTTAATCTTTGAAATTATGCTCTCTGAATAATCATTGCCCATCATGTCTCATGAGATCCAGCACAAAACAAAACTCACATTCTTTAAGAACTTTACCTTTCTGTCCCTAGATGCTGAGACTTTTGTTTCTCATTGTTTAAGTGTACAGCACTCCTTACAGTATTATCAATTCACAATTTATATTATTGTTTCAATGTGTATATATATATACACACACACAAGTATGTATATATACACACACATATAAGTTGTGTATATTGTTTCACACATATGTATACATACATAAGTGTGTATATATAGTATATGTATATATACACAAATTGTGGGTGTATATGTATATGTGTGTGTGTATACACACACAGTCTTTCGAAACACAGTTAATAATTTGAAAACATAACAATATTTTGTATAGATACCTAGTGGCACTTAGAAAATGAACCAACACCCAGGTGTTTTAAGGTTAATATTCTTGGATCCAATTGTTGTAATGTCCATAGAACCTTTCTCAAATTGCATCAAGGGATCTGAACATTAAATTATGTTCTTTTTAGCACTTCCAGTAATAAGAATTTGACAATCATAATTTGCCAATTTCCCTGATAGAACATAGGCAGAATAGCATCTGGTTTAGATTTTCCATTTCAGTATTGACTTTAAGATCTTCTTTGAGAAGAAACTAGGCTTTAAAATCTCATCAGGAGTAGCAATATGCACCATTTTACAGCCATTTTCTTCACAGACTTTCATCACACTTTTAAGAATAGAATTTGAAAGACAAAAAATTTTGGTGCATTTGTGAGATATGAAGTGGCAAATAAGGCTTTGGCTAACTTATAACCAAGGATGCTTTAAAAGATTCTTTCCAAACAAAAATAAATAAATAAATAAATAAAACAAAACCCACAATGTATGTTAAGTATGCCTCACTTGAAATAGCGAGAACATTTTAAATATTGTGACATGGCTATGATAATTTTCTGGGTCACAACAACAGTGGCTAATCTGAACATGAGAAATTTACATAAGAGCTAAGGAAAGTCTGTAAGGGAAAAGTAGACCAGAAGGTCTAGAGGTTATCTACACCAGTCCATGTGAAGAAGATGGAAAGTGAAGGGATTACCCCTTTGTCTACCTGACAATTACCTTTCTATAGTGTCTGGCATGTGCTTATTTAATATATCCAAATATATGTGGTTCTCAGAAAGACATAATGTCCTTGAATTTCATCTTTGTTATCTCTGTCTTCAAACAGAAGCGTGAGTGGATTTAGGTTTCATAAGCCTAACGTTTAACGCTTTGGAAGAGAGGGGCTATTTTTTAAAAAATTGCACAGTTACAAAACAAAATTAGGTTCAAGAGTGAATATTTAGACTGAAAAGAGAAATAATAATTACAATTTTTAAATGCTGAAAAATCCCTTAAATCTCACAAAATTAGAAAAATATATGTTTTCACTAGCTAATTGCTTGAAATACTTCTATAATACTTTTGTCTGTATTTCTGTACACTGACTCTTTATAGGACAATAATTTTGTAGTAATTTTTATAGAGAGAAGATAAAGATAACTCAGTCTTTTTGACAAGGTTGATCAAATTTTGGTTTTATCGTAGATAATTGAGATGCATAAAACATGACTTCACACACAGATGTCCTCCCTGTTTGTGGTACAGTTACAGACTTATGCCTCACAAACAAAGAGATTTTGACAAATTCTATTGTGCTTAATTTCTATCAAAAAAGGAAAAGCAATTGTATGGTGCATTTAGATTTGTCTATGTTGCATTATCAAACATCCTTCTACTAAAAAGGAACTTCTGTTTTTTCTAAGCATTGATAGGAATCATTTTAACTCATCTAAATACTGGAAGAATTTTCCGCAGACTTATCTCTGTTTCCATGTATTTCATACTTTGATTCCCCTCCAGTGTCATCATCTGGTGCCAGAAGTTGGTAAATATCTTTCATGGTGTAATGCACCCACTGACCCTGCACTTTTATAGTGTGGTACAGTGAGTAGCAATAGTCACCAAAGTTATCCCTCCACCAGAACTTTTCATGGAAATCACCACTATGTCCCCCAAACCTAAGTTAAATATATCCCCAACTTAACTTGTCTGTAGCTTTGTCCATGGGCCTTCTAAGACCGTGCACTTAAAGGAAGCTTAAAGAAGTTATTAGACAATCTTAATCAATATGGTAGAGCTACCTTACTCTTGCAAACTTTACAAAACTATATGACCACAGTGCTAGGACTCTTGTTAGGACTTTAGAAAGGTCATGTGCATTTGAGGGGCTCTGAATGTTAGCCCTCATTAAACTTCATAGAGAATCTGTCCCTGGACAGTTTAGGATGTGCTGCCAGGAGGCTCCCACTATTAAAAATATAGGGAGTGTACCATGGGATACTGGAGTTAGCTGCATATTAGCAAAATGAGGCCAAGTATCAGAAATGAAATCCTAACATGGATAAGGGTAATCTACATTAGAAAGAGAAAGCCTGTTTCTCAGAGTTTCCATTTCAATACATGAATCATCTTTTTTTTTTTTTCTTTGAGATGGGGTCTCACTCTGTCACCCAGGCTGGAGTACAGTGGTGCGATCGCAGCTCAGTGCAACCTCTGCCTCCTGGGTTCAAGCAATTCTCCTGACTCAGCCTCCTGAGTAGCTGAGATAGGAGCATGCCACCATGTCCAGCTAATTTTGTATTTTTAGTAGAGACGGGGTTTCACCATGTTGGTCAGGCTAGTCTCAAACTCCTGACCTCAGATGATCCGCCCACCTCAGCCTTCCAAAGTTCTGGGATTACAGGCGTAAGCCACGATGCCTGGCCCAATAAATGAATTATCTTGATTCCTCTCTTTCTCTCACCACTGTGATCTGTTTATCAGAAAGTCTTGTGGACTATATCTACAGACTACATCACAAATCTTCCATTTTTCTTCATCTGAATATTCCTAACTTTGCTTGTATTGCCATCATCTGTAGGCTGACATCAGCTGGTTCCTGCGAATGATCTAAAAGATCTCATTCCACATTTGCCCCAGTACCACATCTGTGATTCATTCCCCACATAGAAGCCCGGGTGATCATCTAAAAATATTAATCGAGTAGTCTGTCTAAAACTTTCTAATGGCTTCACATTGCCTTTAGAATGAAATACAATCTCCATGCTATGGTGTACAAGAACCTACAAACTGATTCCCACCTACCTTTTTAGCTTAAATTGTCAACACCAGGGTTCTCTGTCTTATCTAGCTTCACCATCCTTTTTGCTCCAAAAGTTTGTTAAGTTTATTCCTGCTCTTTGCATTGCTGGTCCCCTTTCCTATATGCTGTAGCTCCTGATCTCTCCTTAGCTGACTCTTTTTCATCAGCAGAAATATCAGGTCCTCTACAACAACCATCCTGTAAAGATGTTTTCCCTCTAGTCGCTTGGTATCAAATTACCTTGCTTTTTGTAAAATTTATTATAATATAAACTTAACCCAGTTGTGTTTATTATCTTTTCAAGGAGAATTTTCAAGGACAATGTATACTCCACAAGAACAAGAAATGTGTAGGCCTTAATCATTTTAGTCAGAATCTGTAGTGTCTAGAAGAATTCCTTGTAAATGCTAGAACCTTAAATTTACTTGGTGATTACATTTTTTAAAAAAGGTAGAGACCTGGGAAGCCGAGGTTGCAGTGAGCCGAGATCACACCATTTCACTCCAGTCTGGGAAACAAGAATGAAACTTTGTCTAAAAAAAAAAATAAAATAAAAAAAAAGAAGTAGAGAGAAAGGCTGAATCTGAATCTGATTCATGGAGAATGGAGAACCTTATCAGTACAGAACAATGATAACAAGGATGTCAGGTACAGAATTCTGATGTTTCTAAGAAATAAACTGGGGATAGGTCTCAATACATTGATCAATATTAGGCCTTTCTAAGTCTTGAATTTGTGTCTTTTTTTTGGTACTTCTTGAGAAGTACCAAAAAGACTAGACAGAAAGAAAACTCAAAGATAGCCTGCCTTCAAGGGAGCATTGGAGAAGGGCATCTCATGGATCAAAAAAGCCTGGCTTTGCTGTTCTTGGACATAGGGCTAACACCCATTGGTTTTCAGGGAACCAGTTATTATGTATTTCCCTGTTTTCCCTTGCTTCTAGTAGAGAGAAAGAGACCTCTACCCTGAAGCTAGTTGGATACTTATTATGAACGGCTGAG
This sequence comes from Homo sapiens, assembly GCF_000001405.40. Taxonomy (NCBI): domain Eukaryota; kingdom Metazoa; phylum Chordata; class Mammalia; order Primates; family Hominidae; genus Homo; species Homo sapiens. Next base: position 178,151,656 of record NC_000003.12, read on the forward strand.
ATGAGGCAGATACTAGTTACTTTGCAACTTTGTGGCTCACAATTGAGGCTATCCCACTAGATTCTGTAGTCAAAATATTTCTACTGAAATATTTGGTGTAGCTTCAGTGATTTTAATAAATTTTCTAACAGATGTCATGCTGTGTAGAATATTGGGCCATTTGTTAATTGTGAACTATCTAAAATGTGTAGTTGACTAATTTTTCCATTGTCAGATATTTTGACCAGCCAACAGTGTTTTTCTCTAATCAACTCTCATCTCTCCTGCTAAGCTATGCCATTTGTAATGAGCTTTTCTATCTACTAAAACTAGATAATATTTTTTTACTCCCTTCTTATTTCCCAGAACCCGTCAGGCAGTTGCCTTAGGAGTGCAGTAGAATCTTTTCCTAAATGTGTGAGACTGAATTTTTAAAGCCATGCATTGATTATTTCTATTTTTTTCAACACTGGTAGATTTTATTATAACAAGAGGATCACATAAGTATTTTCAGCTCATCTAAGTAATGTCAGAATTTCAACTTTTTTCCTAGGCAACCCTTTGAGTTGGGTGGTAGTCACATTAAAATATGTACAGCGCCATCTTTTGATAGCAATAACTACAAAAAAGAAATCATTACAGTCACTGACGTCCATCACTTTAGCTTTTGCAAGCTTTTTAAAAATGCTGACAATCTGCGGCCCTCTCAAACATAGACTAGCATTTCCCCCAGTCATCCTGTCACTTGCTTTTTGTTGTTGTTTTTAGATGAGACCAGCTGCCTTGTGATCACTGAAATGTCAGGAAAAAATCATTTTCCACAAGACAGAGAAGAGCTTAAATATTCTTGGAGACAAAACTCCTACAGAAATCTTTAAAAATCCAAAGGAATAATTCTATGAGGTATATGGGTGACCGCCACTAGTGATCACGGCAGTTATGGATGCACTGGCAGGCAAGTCTGCCCCTCCCCCCACCTTTTTTTTTCCTTCAGACAGGGCTGCTCTGTTGCCCAAGCTGGAGTTCAGGGGCGTGATCTTGGCTCACTGCAATCTCCGCCTCCTGGGCTGAAAAGATTCTCCTGCCTCAGCATCCCCAGTAGCTGGGATTACAGGTGCGCCACCATGCCATAGATTGCCATAGATTTTTATAGTAGAGATGGGGTTTTGACATGTAGGCCAGCCTGGCCTCGAACTCCTGACCTCAAGTGATCCGCCTGCCTCAGCCTCCCAAAGTGCTGGAATTACAGTTGAGAGCCACCGCGCCTGGCCAAGAGTTGTTCTGTACCTTATTTCTAGTTGTATTTGTAGAAGAAAGACACAGAAAATGGTCATTGGTTTTTTTAAATTTGCTTTTAAATTTTTATTTGTATACAATTAAGGGGTACAAGTGCAGTTGTTACATAGATATATTATATATTGGTGAATTCTTGGCTTTTAGTGTATTCATCACCTGAATAATGTACATTGTACCCATTAAGCAATTTCTCATCACCCTCCCCCTCACCCTTCTAAACCTGTAATGTCTGCAATTCCACACTCCATGTCCATGTATACACATTACTTAGCTCCCACTTGAAAGTGAGAATCTGCAGTATTTGACTTTCTGTTTCTGAGTTATTTAACTTAAGATAATGGCCTCCAGTTCCACCCAAGGGAATGCTTGTACACTGTTGGTGGGACTGTAAATTAGTACAACCTCTATGGGAAACAGTGTGGAGATTTCTCAAGGAACTGAAAACAGGACTACCATTCTAACCAGCTATCCCAATACTGGGTATCTAACCAAAGCTAAAGAAATCATTACACCGAAAAGATTCCTGCACTCATATGTTCATCTCAGCACTTTCACAATAGCAAAGGTATAGAATCAACCTAAGTGTCCATCCATGGATGACTGGATACAGAACATGTGACTTCTATGCATGATGGAATACTACTTACCCATAAAAAAATAAAATAATGGCCATTTGTTTTAAAAGAAAAAATAAGAGATGCAAACAACTATTTAATCTAATACAAAAACATTTTATCTATGTTTGACCATAGACAAAGGAATCTCTCTGGGCACTGCTCCTTTCAATTTCAAAGTTGAAGATGGAACTGGATGATTTTTTAAAGCCCTTTTCAGCTAGAAAGATCTATGATTTGGTCTGTTGTTATTAAGTCATTACAATGTTTAGCATCTTAACTGTGCCAAACAGAAAAAAAACTGCATAAATGACTATCAAGTTCTCATCATATTGCCAATTAGATAAAAATGTTTTCCTCCTGTGGAAAGGAGCCAATGAGAAGGGGAAAGAAGAATAGATAATTTCTCCTTAGTAATTCCAAGGGAGACAGGCATTTCTCTTTATCATCCTGAAGTCTTGAAGGTGGAAAAGGGAGAAAAATAAATTCCCTTATTTTTTAAAATGAGATAAATCTTAAAGCCATTATAATTTAAAACAATCAAAAATATCTATTTCTATTTGGTTCAGGTACTTATATAGATGTTCATGTTTTTTATTCATTATGCATTTCTTCATAAGAACCTATAGTGTTCTCATGGTTTCACATAAATATACAAATGGTTATGTTCTTACCCTAAGAATTTTAGGGGAGTAATAAATAATTTTAAATACAAATCTTCATTGGAAAATAGCTATTTACTTAAAGATAAATGAGGATGTAAGATGAATACACACACAGACACACACACACACACACACACTATTTTCTCACTAATATTATCTCAAGAGAAAAATTACTCCATCACTGACAAACTTCAAGGAAGAAATACAGTTTTTAAAAGAGGGGAAAATATTGACTCTTCAGATTAAGAGGGAAAAATATTGTTTTAAGAGGTTAAGAATAATCACTCCTAGGCTGAGTTGTGTAATAAACAATGATATTACAAACACCCAGACATTCAATAAATACTATTTATTGATAAGAAACATTTGTTAAGTGCCCAATTATGAAATACCTGTAAGTTTAAGGTCAAGATAAAATTATAGTATTATTTATTTTAGTGACACATGTACTTTGAAGACAATCAATGGTCATGTACAAGGTGTGGTTTTTTATATAAAAAGACAATGTTTTTGACAAACATACTAGAATTTATGCATCTAAATAAGCATGTACAAATGTATTTGTACTGCTAGGGTACTACTCATCCATTTTAGGGGAGGGGACATATCCTTACCATCCATTTTTGTCATCTGGTTCAATTTCCAAATTTTTGTCTGAAAGACTAAAGATTGGTACCAAAATCAAATACAAAGGAAGCTTTTGCCACCACTAGGAATATTCAGAAAAAATATAAAATATAATACATAAATATTGTTCTGAGGACAGCAATCTTCTAAACGATTTATAAGTACAGTCCCATAGAAACCTCCTGAGGTGACTATTTAGATCAAGGTCCAAACATTCTAATATTCTAAAATCAATTCTATCACTCCACAGTCATGTTGTGAACAAATAGTTTGCCTAAAATAGGATTACATTGTTCAAAAGCAGTAATATTTCAAAATGAATGTATGAAAAATAAAGTAACTCACTTACCACCAAGTAGTACTAACTTTTATCTTTCTTTTCTTGTTTTCTTTTCTTTTTTTTTTTTTTTGAGATGGAATCTCATTCTGTCTCCCAGGCTGGAGTGCAGTGGCACGATCTCAGCTCACCTCACTGCAACCTCCACCTCACGGGTTCAAGCGATTCTCCTGCCTTAGCCTCCCGAGTAGCTGGGATTAGAGGTGCCCACCACTACGCCTGGCTAATTTTTGTAATTTAGTAGAGATGGAGTTTTGCTATATTAGCCCAGCTGGTCTCGAACTCCTGACCTCAGGTGATCCACCTGCCTCAGCCTCCCAAAATGCTGGGATTACAGGCATGACCACTGCACCTGACTTTAATTTTGATCTTTCTAAGTGGGTCAGTCAGGGTCTTGACAGAATCAAAGGCACACATAGAAGGGATTTTTAAAGAAAATTTAATGAGAACTTATAGAAACCTGTGAAGGATTGGAGGAACCAATGAGGAATGTGAAGGCCCACTTGGCCTAGCAAAGGTGGGAAGCCACTGCCATCTCTAGGCCTGAATAGGCAGGAGGAGAAAACTGTACAAGTGGAATCCAGTGAGAGTGCCAGCTTTGGAAGAAGGGTTGGCTTTCAGGTAGAAGTCACTGGAGCACAGCAATGACACTGAAGGGAGAAAGCGGAGGGGAAGAAATACCTCAATCTCTCTCTCCCCTTATCTCTAGGTCCTTCCCTTAGCCAGAGTGGAAAACAGTCAGTGCGATCCTGATGGTTAAGCTGTGGGGAGGGTCAGCAGATATAGAACAGAGAACAGGGTACAGACATGCAGAGAAGGGATCAGAGCTGGGAGGGGGCAATAAAAAACTAGAGAGGATGCTAAGATTCTATATTTTGCCATTTTTAATTGATTGATTAATTTTTTCGTTCATTTAAAAAGTCAATCTGATAGTTTTCCTATACCAAGCACTACAGAGGGTTATAAAAGCAAATTAAATTTAGTCCTTATACTCAAAGAACTTTGAAACATAGACATTTACACATATAATTATGACACAGGGCAGAATAAGGCACAGAAATAATAGTGTAACTAGCATATTCCAGATGTCACCTTCCTTGTCATGTTATAGTAATCATACAAATCTTTATGTTCCAGAGCCACAGAGCGCTTAGTAGGAAATCCAGTCTGTTCCTCCAAATTCCCTTTCCCCAAATATAACCATGAATTCCTATTGCTATTTATACGCATTAGCCAAATGCCCATACAGTTCCCCTTTTGATTGATTCTAGATAATACTGTTTTTAGTTTCTTTTCGTGTGAAGTGGTAGGGAAGGGCCATTGCATATATAATAAGAGCTGCTGCCTGTTGCTCACCGGTCTTTGTGCTCTAGTCCCTTCTCTTCCAACCAACTCTTTGCTCTGTTGGGCACCATTGCTGTGACATTCAGGTAATAAAACACCCACCCTTATTAAATGACCCTGGACCATCAATTTCAGTGTCCTCCACATACCACTTCCTGTGCTGTTGCTGAACTTCTCTAGATTTACAGCCTTCACATAGGCCATGATTGACTTTCTGGACAGTAAAAACACCTCTTCAAACTGTTATGTGGTGCTGTTACTTCTCTTGACAAAAGAAAAGCAAATTTTTCTCCTCCTGAGCAGCTGTATTAGAAGCAGTTATCACAGTAGATAGGTCAGCCCCCCGCCCAGTGATACCAATCCCCTCTTCATACTAATGATCTTCAGATATTATTGTTCATGCAAATCCTGAGAGAATTCCCCTAACAAGGGCATCCTCTCAGATAATTTTGAATGACATCTAATCATTTTCCTTATAAATTTAGAGTTACAAAGAATACAGTCACTGTTTTTTACAAATATTATCATTTTAATATAAAATCGTTGACTTCCAGTTCTGGTCATGATGCAGTTGACTGTATTGGATTGAAAAGCATAAATAATATGCATTCACCCTGCCTTTTGCCCTCTGGGCATATTCTACTCCAAATAGTATCATTAAGGAATGGGACCCAGGCAGAAAGCAGCAGCCCCTCTAGGCTGAAGCAAAAGCGCTTTCTGAGCTCAGAAAGAGAAGAGAAAGATAATGAAAAATAAGCAATATTAAAAAAAATACTGGGTAGAAATATTCAGCTTTAAACAAACACATTAAACTACAGATTCAAGAACCCTTATTAAAGCAAATAAATGCAAATAAAACCAAACAGGAACATCCTAGTCAAACTACTAAATAAAAAAAACAAGCAAAGAAAGAGAACAGCACTTATTACCTCAGAGGATCAATAATAAAACTGAAAGCTAACTTTTCAACAAGGACTATGGAAGCCAGAACACAATACAAGAATATCTTTCAAGTGGTAAAAAACCAAAAAATAAAAAAACTGTCAATCTAGTTATTCAAAGATCAAAGAATATTAAAAATGAAGGCAAAATAAAGACATCTTTATAGAGAATTTGTTGCTAATATACCTGCACTATGATAAATATTAAATAAATAAATATTAAAGGGAGTTATTTGGGAAGAATAAAGGTTACCTCACATGAAGGCATGTAACTGCAGGAAGGAATGAGGGGTAACAAAAATGGAAAAATATGTGGGTAAATATATGTTTACATGAATTGTTTAAAAGCACTAATAAAATGACACTGATTTTTAAAAAGTTAATTAGATGTAAAATAGATAACAAAAATAATAGCTCAAAAAGCAGGAGAAATTAGGAGTTAAACTGTGAGAAAGTTCTTGTATTGTTTAGGCAGTAATAAATGTACTAATTTAAAGCAAACTCTAACATGTGAAGGGAGAATATTATAAGCCCCAGAAAAATTTCTCAGGTAATGTTAAAAGAAGCTGTAAGTATGATGCTAACAAAAGAAACAAAGTAGAATTTTTAAAATCCCTGATTAATTCAAAGGTTAAGAAAGGATTAATAAACAAAGGAGATACTAGCACAGTAGGATACAACTGGCAACATAGTAGGCTTAAATCCAAACATAATGGTAGTTACATCAAATGTAATGGAATAAAATTCCAATTTATAAACAAGGATTGTCAACAGATAAAAACAAAACACAACCATGTGCTATTATAAGAGCCACATTTGAAATACAGCACAGATAGGTTGAAAGTACAATCATTAAAAAATATATACCTTGCAAGTACTAACCAAAAGGTAGATCTCTGGCTATATTAATATCGGACAAATGTCTTTGATACAAAAATATTACTAGAGATAAAAAGGTACATTTCACAATAGTAATAAAGTACCCTGAATAGAAAGATATAACTTTTTTTCTTTTTCTTAAGACAGCATCTCATTCTGTTACCCAGGATGGAGTGCAGTGGTACAATCTCAGCTCACTACAGCCTCAATCTCTTGGGCTCAGGCAGTCCTCCTGACTCAGCTTCCCAACTAGCTGGGACTACAAGCATGTGCCACCATACCCAGCCAATTTAAATATAACATTCTTATAGGTATTATATGACAATACTTGACAGAACCAAAAGGAAGAATACACATTTCCATAATTCTATTGAAAGATTTTAACACACTTTTCTGTAACTAATAGAATAAAGAGGTAAAGATAATCATCAGAAGAATATAGAATATATAGACAAAACTATTAACAAACTTGATATGAATGCAGATCATTTTATCTAACATGTGCAGGATAAAAATTCTACTCAGGTATAAATGAAATGTTTACCAGAATCCACCATATGCTGTGTCTTAAAGTAAGTCTCAAGAAATATGAATGGCTGAGATCATACAGAGTGTATTCCCTGACCACAATGAAAATAAACTAGAAATCAATAACTGAAAGATAGCTTGTGAGAAAGCCAAAAAGCAGCCCATGACATCGAAGAACTGATCTGATGCTCATAGCTAGGCTTTAGTGTGAGAGCAGGCCTGGTGCTCACAGTTACACCATGTTCTTCTCCAGGTGGGTATAAACAATCCCACAAAACAGCAACGTTAGACAAGGTCACTCTGAGACCGTGATAGAATGAGAAAAATTAAAACCACTTCATAATTCAGTTTAAAACACTGTTGAAAACAAGATCAATGTTTATGCAAACAACAAAACACCAAACATCCTCCACTTCTGGGAAATATGAGTAATTGCTCCCTCTTGATCAGCTATAGCTGCAAGCCCTCTTTAGTGTCACCTACCTAGAGATGAGATTTAGTAAGATAGCCAATCATAAAATGGTCCCTGCTTTCTGATAATGCCTAATCTAGAGTAAACTTCTACATCCTTTAATCATCCCCAAAATTACTCAATCAAACAAAATTTCCACAATTTATAACACCTTCCCACTATGCCTCACAGTTCCTCATAGTGTAAGTTATCCCTTTGCTGTTTTGTAAAATAAAACCAACTTGTTCAGCCACAGATGTATGCCTGGTGGTCTTTGGCAATGACAGCTGAAACCCCCAAATGTGGAAATTAAGCAGTACCTTTTTTAATAACCCATGGATGAAGGAAGAAATTATAATAAATGATAAAATATAATCAAAATGACCTATCAAAATGTTTTGGGATTCAGTTAAATCTACTCACTAATGAAATGTACAATAAAAAATTCCCTCCTGTTTTTTGGCAGGTGGTAGGGAAAAGTAACCATTTAAAATATGTCTCTTGTGTTCTCCATAACAAAGGCCAGCTCTCCAGAGGAAACTACCGGAGCCTTATCTGACCTGGAGGAAGGGCAATTAGTCAACTCCCACCCCCTACAGATTTCCTGTCTAATATAAAGGAAGGAAAAATAAAAGGCTAAGAAATGCTATAGAAGTTCACAGCTGAGGGATTCATGCCCACTAAGAAAGAGATTTCATTATAAGATTATAGAATGTTTCCCTTCCCCAACACCTTACCAGCACACTAATGGGGCTTCAGTTTAGTAACAGTGGATTACAACTGAGAGAACTGCAAGACACAGAGAGACAGTTTAAGAAGGAGTTCTTAGGAAAAGCCAAAGACAACAGGGAAGAAAAAAATCTGCAAGAACACTGGAGGAAACTAAAGCCTCTAGCACCCACGGCTACAACACTTATTAAAAATAGCTCAGCTCCTAGCTAGATTAGCATAAACCACACACCTTACCTAATTACCTTAGTTCTTATTTCCCAATATATCATGTCCAGTACTCATTAAAAAATTAAAAGGCAATATAAAAGGCAAGAGAGAACATAGCCTGAGGAAGCATAACAGGAATCAGAAAGTCTCAAGTATGAAAAAGATTTTCGAATTATCATATAAAGGATTTTAAATAACTAATATTAATATGTTAAGGGACTTAGTAGAACAGTAGATGACATGCAAGAATCTACTGGGTGATGTAAGCAGAGAGAAGATCTAAGAAAGGATCTAAAGGAAATGCTGGAAATAAAAAACACGGTAACTGAATGAAGCATACCATTGATGGGCTCATCAGTAGACTGACACAGTCAAAGAAAGATGCAGTGAGCTTCAAGGTATGCCAATAGAACTTCCCAAACTGAAATGCAAAAAGAAAAAGGAATGGAAAAAGAAATAAAATAGGCCGGGCATGGTGGCTTGTGCCTGTAATCCCAGCACTTTGGGAGGCTGAGGAGGACAGATCACAAGGTCAGGAGATTGAGACCATCCTGGCCAACATGGTGAAACCTTGTCTCTACTAAAAATACAAAAAATAGCTGGGCATGGTGGCATTTTGCCTGTAATCCCAGCTACTCGGGATGCTGAGGCAGGAGAATTGCTTGAACTCAGGAAGCGGAGGTTGCAGTCAGCCGAGAGCGTGCCACTGCAGTCCAGCCTGGTGACAGAGCAAGACTCCATCTCAAATAAATAAATAAATAAATAAATAAATAAAATACCTAAGGACTGTGGAATAATTATAAAAGTTGTAAAATACGTGTAATGGGAATACTGTGTAGAAAAGAAAAAGGAAAAATAGAAGTCATATTTGAATTAATAATGGCTGATAATTTTTCAAATTAATGGCAGACACTGAACCACAAATCTAGGGAGCTTAGAGAACACACAGCAGGATAAATACAAAAATTTCTATATCTAGGCATACCATATTCAAACTGTAGAAAACTAAGGACAAAAAAAAACACAAAATCTTGCAGAAAGCCAGAAGGGGAAAAAGAAGTCAAAACTATAGAAGAAAAAGGATAAGAAATACATTGCACTTGTCACCAGAAACTATGGAAGCAAGAATAAAGTGAAGTGAAATATTTAGTGTTGAAATAATAAAACACCAACCTAGAATTCTGTGTCTAACAAATGTAAGGAAGAAATAAATATCTTCTCAAACAAACAAGAACTGTTTGAGTTGTTGCCAGTTGATATGTTTTGCAATAAATGTTATAAGAAGTTCTTCAGAGAGAAAGAAAATGATATAGGTCAGAAATACGGATGTACACAAAGAAAGAAAAGGCATCAGAGAAGAAATAAATGAAAGTAAAATATAATATTTAATTTTTATTTTTAATTAAACTGATGGATAACTATGTGTTCATTGTAATAATAGTAGTAATGTACCAGGAAATTATATAGATAAGTGACAGGAATGACAGCAATCACATAAGGGATGGGAGGGAGGAATTGAGAGTACATACTTGGTCATAAGGCCCCTGCACTACCCATGAAGGAGCGTAGTGTTATTGGAAAGTGAGCACATATTAATTGTAGGTTTATGTTGAAAACTATAGAGCAATCACTGAAAAAATTAAAAATGAAGTATAATTGATATACTAAGATAAGTGAGAGAATCGCATCATAAGACTATCAACTAAAATCAGAGAATGTATAAACAAAGAACAAGTGTAGGGAACAGAAAACAGTTAAAACGTGATCAAGATTACACTAACCATATCAATAATCACTTTAAATATGCACAGTATAAATACAATTTAATTTAAAGACAGAATTTAAAGACAGAGATTGCCAAAGAGGATCAAGAAACAAGACCCAGCTACAGGTGATCAACAAAAACACACTGAACATAAAGACACATGTAGGTTTAAAGTAAAAGGATGAAGAAAGATATGCCACATTAACACTAATCAAAAGAAAGTTAGAGGAGCTATATTAATCTCTAGTAGGGTGGACTTTGGAATGAAGAAAATTATTGGGGATAAATAGGAGCATTATATAATGATAAAAGTGTTAATTCTCCAAAAAGACCCAATAATCTTTAATGTTTATGCACGTAAAAATAGAGCATCAAAATAAATGTGGCAAAATAATATAACTGCAAAGAGAAAGAGAAAAATGAACTCCTCTAGTTGAAGAATTGAACACTAATCTATCACTAATTGATTGATCCAGCAGGCAGAAAATCAGTGAGGACACAGTTGAACTAAACAGCATCATTAATAAACTAGATTTAACTAACATTTATGTAGAATGCTGCATCCAATCACAAGAAAATGCATGTTCTTTTCAAGCTCACATGATACATTCACCAAGAGAGATGACATTCTGGGCCATAAAAACATTCTTTTAAGTTTCAACAAACTTAAAGGAATAGAAACTATACAAAGTATTCTGTCAGACCACAATGAAAATAAAGTAGAAATCAATAATAGAAAGATAGCTAGAAACTCCAAAAATATTAGAGATTAAACACACTTTCAGATAACACGTGGATAAAATTAGAAGTATCAAAATAAATGAAAAATATGTTGAACTATATGAAAATAAAGCATTTCATACAATTTATCAGTATTTGTGGAATTCAGCAAGATCAGTACTTACAGGGAGATTTATAGCGTTGAACGTATATAGAAAAGATAAAAAGATCTAAAATCAACTACTTAAGCTCTCACCATAGAAAACTGAAGAAAGAATAGCAATGTAGGCCTAAAACAAACAGAAAAAAAGAAATAATAATAATTAGATCAGAAATAAGTAAAATATACATAAAAAAGGGAAAATCAACAAAATAAGAAGCTGGTTCATTAACCAGGCTAACCAAGAAGAAAGACATAAATTAATAATATTAGAAATGATAGAGGAACATCACTACTTCTCTTATGGACATTAAAAAGAGTAATAAAAGAATATTTTGAACAATTCTATGCTTACAAATTTGGTAACCAAGATGAAGTGGGCCAAATCCTTGAAAGATACATAATACCAAATAGATAACCTCCATGAGTCTGTATCTATTAAAGAAACTGAATCAATAATTAATAATCTTTGTAAAAAGAAAGCACAGAAACTGAATCAATAATTAATAATCTTTGTAAAAAGAAAGCACAGGCTTAGATGGCTTCATAGTTGAATTTTATTAAACATTTAGTGAAGAAATGTTGTCAATTCTCTACAATTTCTTTCAGAAATTAGAAGTAGAGAAAACACTTCTTTACTCACTTTATAAGGCCAATATTTCACTAATACCAAAACAGATAAAGACATTCATTATAAGAAAGGAAAACTACAGACCAATATCTCTTATGAACATAGATGTTACGAAAACCTCCTCAACAAATATTATCAAATCAGATTCAATAACATATAAAAAGGATTATATGCCACAACCAAGTGAAATTTATTCAGGTATGCAAGATTGATTCAACATTCAAAAATACATTAATATAATCAATCACAAAAATACATTAATATAATCAATCACATCAACAGGATAAAGGAGAAAAACCAAATGATCATATGACAAAGACAAATTATACAATCAGAAGTCAATAGATTCAGAAAAAGCATTTGCAAAAATGCAACATTCATTCATGATAAAAACTCTCAGCAAATTGGGAATAGGGTAGAACTACTTCAACTTGATTTAAAAAAAAAAAAAAAAAACCTTCCAAAAGTCCACAGCTACATCACATTAAATGATGAGAAAATAGATGCATTTCTTCTATGACGGGGCACAAAGCAAGGATAGCCCCTCTTACCACTTTTATTCAATCTTGTAACAGAAGATCCAGCTGAGGAAATAAGACAAGAAAAGGAATAAAACGTATAAAGATTGAGAAAGAAGACATATACGGTCTGTTGTTTCCAGAGGTCATAATTGTAAAAAATAAAAAAGAATTACCACCACCAACAAAAACTCCTCCAACTAATGAGTGATCATACCAGGTTGCAGAATGCATGATTAATATATAAAAATCCATTACTTTCAGGTATACTAGCAATAAAATTTGGGGAATTAAAAATATATCACTTACACTGGCACCAAAAAATAATATACCTAGGTCTAAATCTGATAAAACATGTACATAATTTATAAGACAAAAATTTGAAAACTCTGATGAAAGAAATTTAAAAGATCTAAAGAAATGGAGAGATTTCATGTTCATGGATTAAATATGAATTCTCCAATGTGTTCATATTGTACATACTATTAAGATATCAATTCTTCCAAATTTTATCTATAGATTCAACACAATCTAAGTAAGTTACTTTGTGGATACAGACAAACTAATTCTAAATTTAATGTGGAAACGTAGAAGACCTAGAATATGCAATACACTGTAGAAGGAGAATAAAATAGGAAGAATACCTCATTTCAATACTTATTATCATGCTATAGTAACCAAGAAAGCATGATATTGATGAAAGAATGGTCAAATAGATTAATAGAACAGAATAGAGTGCTCTAAAATAGACCAACACAAACATAGTGAACTGATCTTTAACAAAGAAACAAAGCAATTTAATGGAGAAAGGATGATCTTTTTTAAAAAAAAAATGGTGCTGGAACAATAAAAGGGGAATGAATCACAGACCTAAATGTAAAATAAAAAAACTATAAATTTTGAACAATAACAAAGGAGAAATAATAGGGATCTACATTTTGGTGATGGGTTATTAGATATAACATCAAAAACATGATCCATAAAAGAAAATAATGACAAGTTGGACTTTATTAAAAGTAAAATATTCTCTGTAAAAGACACTGTTATGAGAGTTAAAAGGCAAGTCACAGATTGGGAGAAAATATTTGCAAATCACATATTTGAGAAAGAGCTGTTACCAAAATTGTACAAAGAACTCTTAAAATTCAACAAGAACATTTCATCATATAAAGATATAAAGATCATATAAAAATACACGTAGACTGAAAATAAAGGGATGGAAAAAGATATATCATGCCAATGGAAAGCAAAAAAAGAGCAGGAGTAGTTATACTTAGACAAAATAAATTTCAAGATGAAAACTACAAAGAGACAAAAAAAGAGGTCATTACATAATGATAAAGAGGTCAATCGAGCAAGAGGATAGAACAACTGTAAATATATATGTACCCGACACTGAAACCCTCAGATATATAAAGCAAATATTATTAGAGCTAAATACAGAAACAGATCCCAATACAGTAATAGCTGATGACTTGACTACCCCACTTGCAGCATTGAACAGATAATGCAGACAATCAACAAAGAAACAATAGACTTACTCTGCATTATAGACCAAATGTACTTAACAGATATTTACAGAGTATTTAATCCAACAACTGCAGAATATACATTCTTCTCCTCCACACATGGATCATTCACCATGTGACAGACCATATGTTAGGCCACAAAATAAGTCTTTAAAAAATTTTTTTAAAAATTAAAATCATACCAAGTATATTCTCTGACCACAGTGGGATAAAACTAAAAATTAATAACAAAAGGAACTTTGAAAGCTATACAAACACATGGAAATCAAAAAACATGCCCCTGAATGTCCAGTGGGCCAATGAAGAAATTAAGAAGAAAATTTAAATATGCCTTCATACAAATGAAAATGATAACACAGCATACTAAAACCTATGGGATACAGCAAAAGCAGTAATAAAAGGAAAGTTTATAGCAATAAGCACCTACATCGCAAAAGTAGAAAAACATAAATGAATAACCTAATTATGCATCTTAAAGAATGAAAAAAGCAAGAGCAAACCAAACCTAAAATTAATAATAAAGATCAGAGAATAAATAATAAAGATCAGAGCAGAAATAAATGAAATTGAAATTTAGAAAGATACCAAAGATAAATAAAATGAAAAGTTGTTTTTGAAAAGATGAATAAAATCAACCAACCTTTAGCAAGATGAAGAAAAAAGAAAGATTCAAATAAATAAAATCAGAGACAAAAAAGGAAATATTACAACTAATACCACAGAAATTAAAAGAATCATTTGAGACTACTATGAGCAACTATATGCCAATAAATTGGAAAACCTAGAAGAAATAGATAAGTTCCTAAACCTACCAACATTGAACCATAACAAAATCTAAAACCTGAATAGATCTATAACAAGTAATGAGATTGAAGCCATAACAAAGTTTCCCAGCAAAGAATACTTCAGGACCCAGTGGCTTCACTGCTGAATTTACCAAATGTTTAAAGAAGAAATAATACTGATCCTACTCAAACTATTCCAAAAAAAAAGAGGAGGAAGAAATACTTCCAAACTCATTCAAACAGGCCAGTATTATTCTGAAGCCAAAACCAGACAAAGACACATCAAAAAAGAAAACTACAGGCCAATATTCCTAATGAACATTTATGCAAAAATCCTCAACAAAATAACTAGCAAACCAAATTTAACAACACATTAAAATGATCGTTCATTATGTCCAAGTGGGTTTTATCTCAGGGATGCAAGGATGGTTTAGCACATGCAAATTAGTCAATGTGATACATCATGCCAACAGAATGAAGGACAAAAACCATATGATCATTTCAATTGATGCTGAAAAAGCATTTGATAAAATCCAACACCCTTCAGGATAAAAAGCCCTAAAAAAACTGTGTATATGAGAAAAATACCTCAACATAATAGAGGCCATATATGACAAGCCCACAGCTAGTATCATACTGAATGAAGAAAAAAATAAAAGCCTTTCCTCTAAGACTGGAAGCAAGACAAGAATGCTCACTTTCACCACTATTATTCAATATCGTACTGGAAATCCTAGCTAGAGCAATCAGACAAGAGAAACAAATAAAGGCATCCAAATTAGAAAAGAAGAAATAAAATTATTATTGTTTGCAGATGATATAATCTTATATTTGGTAAAACCTAAAGACTCCAACAAGAAACTATTAGAACTGATAAATAAATTCAGTAAAATTGCAGGATACAAAATCAAGATGCAAAAATCAGTGGCATTTCTATATGTCAAAGCAAACAATCTAAAAAAGAAATCAAGAAAGTAATCCTATTTACAATAGCTAAAAATAAAACTAAATATTTAGGAATAAACTCAACCAAAGAAGTGAAAGATCTCTACAATAAAAACTATAAAACACTGATGTAAGAAATTGAAGATGACACAAAAAATGGAAAGAAATTTCATATTCATGGATTGGAAGAATCAGTATTGTTTAAATGTCTATATACTACCCAAAGCAGTCTACAGATTCAATGTAATCCCTATCAAAATACCAATGACATTCTTCACAGAAATAGAAAAAAAAAATCCTAAAATTTACATGGGAACACAAAAGACCCAGAATAGCCAAAGTTATCCCAAGCAAAAAGAACAAAAAGAACAAAACTGGAAGAGTCATATTGCCTGACTTCAAATTATACTACAGAGCTATAAACAGCATTGTACCAGCATAAAAACAGAAACACAGACCAGTGAAACAGAATAGACAGCCCAAAAATAAAACCATACTTTGATAGTGAACTCATTTTTTCTAAAGGTGCCAAGAACATACACTGAAGAAAGGACAGTCTCTTCAATAAATGGTGCTAGAAAACTGGATGTCCATATGCAGAAGTATGAAGCTAGACCCATCTTTCATCCTGTACAAAAATCAAATCAAAATAGATTAAAGACTTAAATATGAGACTTCAAACTATGAAACTACTAAAACTAAAAGAAAACACTGGGAAACTCTCCAGGATTTTGGACTGGGCAAAGATTTCTTCAGTAATACACCACAAGTGTGGACAACCAAAGCAAAAATGGACAAGTAGGATCACATCAACTTAAAATGCTTCCACAAAGCAAAGGAAACAATCAACAACATAAACAGACAACCCATAGAATGTGAGAATACATTTGTAAAACATCCATCTGACAAAGGATTAATAACCAGAATAAATAAAGAGCTCAAACTGCTCAACAGGAAAAAAAAACCAATAATCTCATTAAAAATGCACAAAAGATCTGAAAAGACATTTCTCAAAGGAAGACATATAAATGGCAAACAGGTATATGAAAAGTTGCTCAACATTATTAATCATTAGAGAAATGCAAATCAAAACCACAATGAGATATCATCTCACCCCAGTTAATATGGCTTTTATCCAAAAGACAGGCAATAACAAATGCTGGTGAGGATGTGGAGAAAATAAAATCCTCATACACTGTTGGTGGGAATGTAAATTAGTACAACCACTATGGATAACAGTATGGAGGTTCCACAAAAAATTAAAAATAGAAGTACTGTATGTCCCAGCAATCCTACTGCTAGGATTCTCAAAAGAACGAAGTCAGTATATCAAAGAGATAATCTGAAATCCATACTCTCAGGTTATTGTAGTGCTACTCACAAAAAACAAGATTTGGAAGCAACTTAAGTGTTTATCAACAGATGAATAGATAAAGAAAATGTGGTACATATACACAATGGAGTACTATTCCGTTACATAAAAAATGAGATCCTGTCATTTGCAGCAACATGGAAGCAACTGGAGGATATTATGTTAAGTGAAATAAGCCAGGCACAGAAAGACAAACTTTGCATGTTCTCAATTACTTGTGGGAGCTAAAAATTGAAACAATTGAATTCATGGAAGGAATACAATGATGGTTACCAGAGGCTAGAAGGGTAGTGGGTGGTTGGATGGGAAATGGGGATGGTTAATGAATACAAAAGTATATGAGATCAAATAAATAAGATCTAGTATGTGGTAGCACAACAGGGTGACTACAGTCCACAACAATTTATTTTACATTTAAAAATAACGAAAAGAGTACAACTGGATTGTTTGTAACATAAAGGAATGATAAATGCTTGAGGTGATGGATACCTCATTTACACTGAGGTGATTATTACACATTGTATGCCTGTGTCAAAATATCTCATGTACCCCATAAATGCATTCACCCACTATGTATCCATAAGAATTAACAATTGAAAAAGAACACAGCAAGAAAAGAAATGAGGTGATTAAAAAATGGGTAACACATCTGAATAGACACCTCACCAAATATATGCTCATGTCAAATAAACATATGAAAAGATGTTCCACACTATATGTCATTAGGGAATTGTAAATTAAAACAAGTTACTACTGCTCACCTATTAGAATGGCTAAAATCCAAAACACTGAGCACACCAAGTACTAGTAAAAATATGGAGCTACATTAACTAGTAATACTAGTAAGGATGTGGAACTACATGAACTTTTCTTCATTGTTGATAGGATCGCAAAATCCCATAGGCACTTTGGAAGATGGTTTGGCAGCTTCTTACAAAGCTAAATGTGCTTATCATATGAGGCTGCAGTCATATTCTTGGTATATACCAAAATTAATAGAAAACATATGTACATGAATGTTTATGACAGCTTTACTCATAATTGCCAAAACTTCGTAGAAACCAAGTTGATTTTAATATGTGAATGAATATAAACAAATTATGGTACATCATATGATGTAATATTATCCAACAATAAAAAGCTTTGAGGTATAAAGCTCAAAAAAAATAGAAAAACCTTAAATATTTATTGCTAAATAAGAGAAGGAACTGTTGAAAGTCTATACACTGTATGATTACTACCATATAAATATCTGGAAAAATTAAAACTGCAGAGATAATAACAAGATCAATAGCTCTTACAAGTCCAGGGTGATAACTGCAATTATTGATAAATTAGATTATACATTAGTCAAAACCCAGAGAATTGTACAACACAAAGAGGAGACTTAATGTGAAATATGAACTTTAATTCACAATAATATACCAGTATTGGTTCACTAATTATAACAAATGACCCACACTAATGTAAGATATTAATAATAGGAGAAAAGTGTATGTACAGTGTGTATCTGTGTGTGTGTGTTTAGGTAAATTATTTGTTGTATTATCTTCTCAATTTTTCTGTAAAGCTGAAATTCTTATATAAATTAAGTGTATTAAAAATTAGAAATTTTATTCTGTAAATTGAAATAATTACATAAGAAGCAACAGAAAAATTAAGATTTTGATTTGACAGATAGTAAGAAAGGTAATAGATATTCCTGGAAGAAATGCTACATATTTTTCAATGTGGAGCAAATAATATGACATTCATTATAAAAATAGCAAATGTTACATAACATAAATAAAATGTAAATTAAAGATGCTATATAGTTACTTTACAGAAAGGTTTATTTCAGATCTTATTAAGCACAGAAATAAATGATAGTTTTTATATTACTGTGCATTGTTAAATTTCACTACTGAGTTAAAATATAAATGTAGCAAGAATGAACATCGATTCATATAAAGCATATATTGTCTCAAAGTATACGACATTTGCATTTACTCAGTGTTAGCTAACAGTACAATTCAATGTGGTTATGAAAGAGCATAATGTGGTTAGCAGATTTTTCTACCTACTCCAAGAGCCAGACTAAAGCTTCCCCATGGAATTAGATTTGGGTATTAGGCAACAGGAAATGTGCCTGCTGATAACTGAATTACTCTGAACTCTAAAGAAGTCACTGGGACATTTTGTCCATTAAGTTTACAGATGGCAAAGTAGATATGTCATTCACAGCTGCATGCATGAGGATATGACATATTTGTCTATATTAATCTCATGGATCACTTGACATGACTCATTCAACCTCTCTTTCTACTACATGAATTAGCAAGATTTCTGGTGGTTCTAAAGTAGATCCAAACACTTCGGAGGGAAATATAAATACTTGTTTCATTATACCAAGTAAGTGGGCCAACAGGGCGCATTTGGTGCTTTAATTGTCCTTCATAATCACAGTAAGGTAGTAAAAATTAAATCTAAAATAATATAAATAGGCCAAAATGGTATATATGATGCATATATGCATGACAAGAGTTTTTATCTTCAGTGGCAGCACAGGCAAGATATTAAACTTATCATGGGAATTGAATTAAATTTCAAAAAAATGCATTGGCTAGAATTACTCAGAATTCCCAGGGGCAGGGAGGGGACACTCTATGAGGTTAACCATTTACTATGTTTAAACTCAATAATTGTGAGCTGAGTATAAATCAAGAAATCTGCTCAAACATCTGTGTCTTACTTAAAAGTTTCAAATGTCACAAATATGTGTGCTATGATGAATATTCACGGTTATGAAGCTGTGGTGAATATATTCCGTGAGGCCATATGACAGGCTGTCCACCAGCCCTAGCCAAAATAAGACATCTAACCAGAATTAATAAGATAATTATCAATGGTCAAGAACACAAATAGATGATGCCTGAAATATATGAAACTGCATAAGCACACAACTCAAGCATTAAGCGAAAGGAGAAACACTGTCATATTACAATCAAGAACCTGGAACAGTCAACTGAGAACCTGGAGGATGCTAGAAGAACTTATTATACCTGGAGCAAAATTTGAAAATTCCTTAGTCTGAAAGTTGGGAGTTGAGTTCTCACATTTGAAAAGCCATGCAAAAAAGTGATTAATCTTAAATTTTGTGTATACTTAAACAGAAAGACCAAGGTCTGAAGTCCAATGTCATACAAAAAGTCACCTTCTTTTTCTATGCAGATTAGGTTGCAATTTAAAGAAGTTTAAGCCCTGTGACAGAAACCACTTGATCTCTAACAATATGTTTAGATAATGAGCACTTCAGTATAGCCCTTCAAGCTTTTTGTAAAAAAAAAAAAAAAAAGAAAAAAATTACATTCATCTCCCTACATAATCTGTTTCTGATGTCTATTGCCACATACTCAAATAGCAAAAATCTTAGTTGACTTTCATCTTTAAAATTTGACATATTGGAGGAGCAATCCAGGACAGTATTTGATTTTAAATAGGGAAAGAACTCACACTCTAATACACAGAGAGAAATAAGTGGTGAAATAACACTTACAGGCTTGTAAATGGCAAATGTGTCTGCAGTGGGCAGAGCATGCTGCTTTCCTCTCCTGGGAATGAAATAAAAATGTGCCAACAGAAATAGCATTGAAAATGCCTGGTGGTAGAGGCAGTGGTATTAACAAAAGCATTCTCCTCCTCATTAAGCAAGTACCAATTAGATATATGGAATCCAAGAGCTGAAAGGGGTATAAGGAATTAACTCACTAGTCATCCTCAACTTCCACGCAAATAATGACTGTGAGAGCTAGTTTCCACAAATGTTCCCGCTTCAACAAACCATGCCTCCTGGAATTCACATCCTTGTGTAGCCCCTTCCATGAATTGGATGCTGAGCTTCCAGCCCTAGCTGTTCCAGTGGATGGTCCATGGATCAGATATACCACCCAGCTGAGGTCTTCCTGAATACTCAATCCAACAAAATCATGAGCAATATAAGAGAATTGTTTTAAGCTGATAAATTTTGGAGTAGTTTGTTTTTCAGCAGTAAATAACCAGAACAATGATCTTTCTATGTTCAAATATGCCTTATGGGCACTCATAATCATTATAATATTCATTCACTGAAAAAGTGCATAGTGGTAAGATGCTATTATTCATCAGTGCTTTTAAGAATTCTAGGCCGGGTGTGGTGGCTCACGCCTGTAGTCCCAGCACTGGGAGGCTGAGGTGGGCGGATCACAAGGTCAGGAGTTTGAGACCAGCCTGGCCAATATGGTGAAAGCCCATCTCTACTAAAAATACAAAAATTAGCCGGGGCTGGTGGTGGGTGCCTGTAGTCCCAGCTACTGAGGAGGCTGAGGCAGGAGAATTGCTTGAACCTGGGAGGCGGAGGTAGCAGTGAGCCGATATCATGCCACCGCACTCCAGACTGGGTGACAGAGGGAGACTCTGTCTTTAAAAAAAAAAGAATTCTAATAATAGTAATCATGAAAATTGTAATGTCTAATCTTTTTCAATGTTGTTTGTGTCCAAAGTGCTCTTCCAAAAGCTTTCCTTAATTATACTATTTAATAGTCATAACACTGTGATGAAGAAGGTATTGTTAATTACATCTTCATTTTACAGATGAGGAAACTGAAACACAGAATGATTAACTTTTTTCACTGTCATCTAGCTAATAAGGAATTGTTACATATTTTATTCATTACAATAGTAAGTAGGTGCGTTTGATACATTGTAGTTCATAGGCATTTAAATATTCTATTTCTTTACAATGCTCAGTACAATGTGCAATGCTCAGTATTTTGGTAAATTCACAGTCACTTTATGATAGCTCCAGGATCTCCAAGGAATTTATGGACTACAGTTTGAAATCCATTGGTCTAGTCCAATTTCTATTACTCTTTTTAGAAGAACTGAGATGCACAGAAGTTATAAGAATTTCCTAAGTTCACATAGTTAGCAACCTATTCAGAACTAGAATTCCTTGTTAGTAATGTCCACTGCAGCATCTTTATACTAATCTTAGGGGATCATCAATTACTGTTTGGATCTTTGATTCTTTACATCTTTCTATCAGAAGTGTACTCTGACATTAGCTCTTATTTAAGCTAAAATTATCAAAATCCTCTCTTGTTGTGACATACTAGTTTTTAGAAACATTTGTATAATTGTAAATTATTATGTCTTCTTATTATTTCAGTTACTGTTTAAGCCTAAAGAAATAAAGTAATACCTTTTAAAAAAATATCTAATATGTACCATTATTCAGATCAGCTTTACTGCACATTAGTCTTTTACTGTCCTGTGCAAAACTAAATAAAATATATAAATTATCCCTATCTTGGTTTCACAACTGGTTAATACTGTCTGTTGTATTTGCTGCATCAGCCTTGCTCTGTGGGCTGGAGCAATTATCAGTGACCAAGTAATCCAACTCTTCTTTATTCTCTCATTGCCTTAACCCTTTTCTACACTCCAAGGGCAATCAATACAAATATCTTGCCAAAGTCCATTTCTTGTGCATGATACTGCTTAACATCACTCAATCATTTGAGTGGAAAGCTTTACAGGAGTTCATCTTAGGTGAACTTGAATATGCCCATTTTTCTTTGAGAGTGGAATGAAGAGTTCCAAACAAGTCATAAAACTGTAAAAGCAATTTCAAGAGTCCATCCTGATTGTTCCCACTGTGAAATAGAAAGAAGCATCGGGGTTTCAAAAACATTCATGTACTCAAGGATATATCAGTAACTATTTATTGAACATTCCTGCAGAAAACATCCTGTAAAGTTGGATGAACCCTGCAGTGGTTGGATGAGTTATTTACAGAGGTCTCAAGGCAGGGTGTCCTTATTCATGCTGAATATGAGTTACCTAACAATAAATCCAATAGCACTAAAAAGGAATTTATGACAGAACACTTCCATGAATTTATTGTTAGCATTAGAGGCATTGGTTCCATATCATCATGAATTTGCAGATCTAGAAAGGACCTTGAAAATGTACTTAAGCCTCCTCGTTTTATCTACAAGTGAATATAAACCCAGACCAAAGAAAGGCAGTTTCTGTGACTTTTAATGATTTATCCTAACCATGGGCTTATGTGTTTATATCCAGTAGGCAATAGCAAATGGTGAGGGTAATTAGTCAGTTACAGGAAATAATCAAAACAAACAAAGACAATTCTTGGATATTAGGAGTTATAGAAGGAACTTGAAAGTAAAAATAAAGTTTGAATTGTAGGTAGTTCCCTAAGCAAAGGTTATAATATCAGAGATAGTGTGTTCTAATCTACTAGCTCCCTCTGTCCTTTGGCAAAGAACAATGATTTCAAGGAATTCTACTCACAATTATCCTGACAATTGTAATGACTAACCTTCACTCAACGTTGTTTCTGGATCAAAGTTTCTTCTTCTGTAAAATAACAAAACACTCTACTTTGTCTAGTCACCAGACTGCTATGTAGACAACATAAAATGACTTTCATGAAACACAAAGAACATTATTTGTTAAAACTAATTTCTCATCACAAACTATGTTAATTGCGAGAATGAGAAATAACTCCAAGGGGATTTTACTTGTAATTCCAAAGACAGTTACCCTTGTTCAGGCTCTGTTATATTGGCAGAACCTGTTAGTTGTTTTGCATAAACTGTATTTAATTATACATCATCTCTGTAGTTGAGTTATTGTATATTTTCATCATTTGATAGATGAGGAAATTATATTAGGTCGATGCAAACGTAATTGCAGTTTTTGCCATTGAAAGTAACGGCAAAAACCGCATTCTTGTTTGCACCAAACTAACGGATCAAGAAACTAGTAACTTGCTTAACGTTTAATGACTAAAAACTGTCAGACGCAAGCTTGGAACTCAAGTCTGAATTTAAAGTCCAGACTTTTCCCACAATGCCAAGCAGCTTCAGTTGATCTCCAGCCAAATAGTTAGCCTTATTGACTATTGAAAAGGTAGTTTAAACTGGTAGTCCTCCATCTTTGAAGAGAATTCTCCAACTTCAGTTGAAATTAATTATTATCCTGTGCATTCCTAACCATTTTATTAAAAATAAGTATAAAAATAAAATATGATAATTAAAAATATAGATAAATAAATATAATTGAACTATTTCACTTAACAATACAAATTATCAGTTTAGATTTTTCAAATTCTGAATTCTGCATATAAGAGAATCAACTTAAATATAAGGATATAAAAAGTTGGAAAAGAGTGGGAAAAGTTATACCTTGCAAAAACTAAGCAACAAAAAGCTTGTACGGATATATGGAGCACACTGTAAACAAGAAGTATTACTAGAGATAAAGAGGGAGACTCATAATTTTAAACACCATTGAAGAAGATACTAAATTTCTAAATATGTATATATCTAATAGCATTGCTTCAAAATATGATAGTAATTGCCAGAAATAAAGTTGAAAGAGACAAACCCATAATCTCGAAATGAAAAAAAGAAAAGAAAGTCACGAAGTGTTGGAAATTTAAGTAGTTCATTTATAAAAATCTCATGAAAAGAGAAAAAAATCATAAACGTTCAAAATATTTTCAGCTGAATTATAATAAAAATAAGACAGTAAAATTTGCTTTGCTTTTTTTTAACTTTTTCACATGGATACTTAGATCACTGATTATTAGACTTTTTCTTAAAATTTGTTGACTTGCTTTATATATAGTTGGTTTTGATATTCTACATTCTTCAGAAGTTAAAAAAAAAAAAAAGTAGTTAAATCCCCCAAAAATTGAAGGAAAAAATAAGAAAGACAAAAGATGAAGTTCATGTTAGGGAATATAATGGAATTTTGGAGGAATTCAGTAAAGTCTAAAGTCAGTTTTTAAAGACAAATCTAATAAAAGTGATAAACTCTTATCAACACTGATTTAAAAAAGAGCACAAATTTACCAATATCAACATGAAAAAAGAATTATCCCTATAGGTTCTATAGATAGTAAAAATACAATAAAGATTATTATAAATATAGAGAATTATAAAATTTAGAAAATTTATAGCACACACATCTCTCTCCTAAAGAAGTGCAAAAATAATTTTACATTTTGCTAATCAAATAATTACATTCAATATATATATGTGTAATCCATTATACATAATAAATACATATCTATGATGCATACACATAATATATCCATAATACATGATATATTACATATGTGATATATTACATATATATGATATGCACATACATACCTATATAAATGTGTCTGTAGTATGTATGTGTGTGCCTATACAAATATCAAACTTAATATATAATATATATGGGATCTATACATACATACATCATCCCCAGTTTTTTATATATCTATAACTGTTTTATATATCTATACACATATATGTACACTGTTCACATATATATATTTATATATATGAAATCACAATCACTGAGATTTATTGTAGAAATAAAAATTTGGTGGAGCAATGAAAGAATGCATGTATCATTACTATAATTCCCCAACATCAACTAAATAATGGAGGGTAATCATGTGATCATCTGAATACTTACAAAAAATCATTTGACATAATCAATACCCATTTAAGATAAAATTCTTAGGAAAGAAAGAATATAAATAAATGTCCCTAACATAGTTAAGTATATATACAAAAAAAGGTTAAATATCATATTTAACCATGAAATACTGAATGTTCTATCCAGAGAAAGATCAGAGGAGTGAAGATGTCCACTGTCTCCACTTACATTCCACATTGCACTAGAATTTGTAACTAGTTCAATTAGACAAGAAGAAGAAACAAAAATTATAAGTCTTGGATAGGAAGAAATGAAACTGATTCACAAATGACATTCACAGACGATATGATTTTGTGCAAGGAAAACACAAAAGCATCTATAGAGCTATAAACAATTAAAATTAAAATTAAGTAAATTTTGTTGTATATAAAATCAATATACAGAAATAAATTGTATTTTTGAATACCAGGAACAAAAAAATGAAATTTGAAAAAAATGTATAATAGTATCAAATAATTAAATACCTAAGAACAACCTTAACAAAATATTTGAACAACCCTTACCCTAATAATATACTTAAAACATTCCTAAGAGACATTAAAGAAAGCCTAAATAAATAGAATTAGAACGTCTGCTATGTTCCAAATCTCCATAAACTGATCAATTGATGCGATATAATCTGAATGAAAATCTGAATAGAATCTGAACAACAACTTCTCAAATTCCGTCAAAATTTGATGGAATCAACTTCAAATTCAGCTTCAAATCAAAACCTTAATCAGGCTTGATTAGTGAAATTCATCAAGCTTCAAATTCAAATTTTGAATAAATTCTAAAATTTATTTGAAGACATAAAAGGTTTAGAACAGTCAGTAAAATATGAAAGAATAATGTAGAATGTACATTGCCAGGTTTCAAGACATATAAAGTCACAGTAGTAAACAATAACCTGGCATAAGTAATGAAGAACAATAACAAAGAATAGAGTCCAAAAAATTACCCACACAGATGTGAATACATGATTTATGACAGTGGTGACCTCGTTAACAATGCAGATTATAACTTTGTGTATTTTTATCAATAAATAACCCTGGATCAATGGAATATCCATATAAAAATTATCTGTGCCTCACACTAAATCCCAAAATAAATATTAGAAGGCTTGGTGATCTAAATAATAAAGGTGAAAAATAAAGTGCCCAGCTGATACATACAAACATAATAGCTATCATAGAAGAATGATGGATATCATAAAAGAATGTCCCTGGGGTAGACAGAGATTTATTAAATAGGACATCAAAGCACTAACCATGAAAGAAGATGATATAAATTTTTCTACCAAAAAGACACATGCACTCCTATGTACATCACAGCACTATTCACAATAGCAACGACATGGAATCAACCTAGATGCCCATCAATGGTAGACTAGATAAAGAAAATGTGGTACATATATACCATGGAATACTACATAGCAATAATAAAGAATAAGATCATGTTCTTGGCAGCAACATGGATGCAGCTGGACACCATTAACCTAAGCAAATTAACACATAACAGAAAAATAAATACTGCATGATCTCACTTGTAAGTGGGAGCTAAACATTGAGTATACATGGACATAAATATGGGAACAATAGATATTGAGGACTATTAGATGGAGAAGGGTGGGAGGAGAGCAAGGATTGAAAAACTACCTATTAGGTAGTGTGCTCACAACCTGAGTGACAGGATCATTTGTATACCAAACCTCCGCTACTCACAATTTACCCATGTAACAAACCTGCACGTGTACCCCCGAACCTAAAATAAAAGCTGAAAAAAAAGAGAAAATGTTTATAAATTGAATATATTAAAATTAAAATCTATTTATTAAAATAAAAATTTAGAGAATAAATAGGCAACCACAGAGTGGAGAAGATATTTGCAATTTGTTCATATAACAAAACACTCATACTCAAAATACATAAGATCCATAAAAACTAATAAGAAAACAATGGCCAAATAGAAGTAACAGCAGAAGTTCTGGACATCCACTTTATGAATAAAGATATCCAATTGGTCAGTAGACCTATGAAAAGTACTCAATACCATTTATCATCAGGGGCATGTCAATTAAAGCTAAAGAAAATACCACCACAAACCCTAGCCAAAACCATAAATTTTTTAAAGGAAAAGTGTGTTAATGAAAATGGATGTGGCATAATTGGAACTCTTATCCAGTGCAGTGAAGATTGTAAATTGGTTAAGCCACTTTGGAAAACTGTTTGGCTGTATCTGTGAAAGCTGAACACATACATAATTTATCACTTTGTAATTCCATTACTAGGTATACAGCCACAAGAAATTTGTACATTTCTCCTAAAACACATGAACAAAACTGTGCATAGAAGCACTGATCGTAACTGCCTCATGTAGTAAGCAACCCACATGTAAATCAATAGTAGAATAGAAAAATTTTATTTTTGTGATATATTCAAACAATGGAATAATATACACCAGTGAAAATACATAAGCTACTGCTCTATGCAATTATAATAGATGAATTAAAAAACAGTTGGACAGAAGAAGCCAGACACAAATAGTATACACTGTTATAATAATTATATTTATACAAGGTTGAAAAACAGGTAAACGATAGAGTTGGAAGTCAAGATACCAGGTGTCTTTTCATGACAGTAGGGAGGACACAAGGGAACTTGCTTTACTGTTAGTTTTGTCATTCTTGATCAGGGTGAAGGTTATATAGGTAGATTTACCCTGAAAAAAATGCATCAAGCTGTGTACAGTTGATTTGTAGACTCACACACAACACCCCTCATACATTAACAAAAAAATGCTTATTAAAAGTGGAAGAATCAGGGAATGTTCCCATGTGACTTCGTGTTAAAATAGAACTGTTTATTCTGCCTATTCATGGAACTAGTCCATTATGAATTGGAGCTCTAATTAACATACACATTGAAAATTTTGGTTTATTTTAAGAATTGGAAGTTGAAGTCCATACTCTTCTTGGTAAATGTTTCCATTTGCATCAAGGTAGGGCAGACTAGCCAGACTAGCTTAGAACTTCAGATTTACATTTATATTAATATATATTGAAACATACAGTTTTAATACAGCTTGAATTGGTAAAAAAATTTACTAAATATTAAGTGTTTATAGAGTTTGTTTTCCCAACATATATGTTAGGAATAAGTTCAGCTGTATGCAAAATCTAAATCAGATAGGATGATTTTTAACTTCATGTTAAAGAAACCTACCCACAGTGCCTGAAGTAAATAGGTTATTATTTTTCTCACATAACAAGAAGTCCAGACCAAGCTAGACTATCAAGGGCTGTGTCAGAAGCTTCACCTGAAATTATAATTGTCCTATTTTCTTTCTAGCTTTCTACTGTACCATCCTTAGCATTCTTTATCCTCATGCTTGAATCCTCAGTATCCAGTCTCACATTCATGCTCTTGGCAGGAGGAAAGATAAAGAATGAAGAAGTATAGCAGAAGCCATAAATTAGGAAAGCAAACATTTTCTTAGAGATTCACCATCTTCTGCTTGTGTCTCCTGCCCCACTCCTTAACTGTAAGGCGGTGAAGAAAGGTGTTACTTTGTTGAGCTCAATGCATTCTAAACAAAACTGGGGTTCTTTTGTTGAGAAACCAGGAGTGAATATTGAGTAGGCAAGGAAGAGTATCCATTATGCGTATGTTTTTCTCACTCCCCCAAACCAATAGGAATTGCTGACAGCATCTCTCAATATATGACACCAGGGTGCAAATCCACTTTTTATTACGTTCAAACAGCAATTTAAATATGGAATGATTTGGTTATGCTTTCTACAGAAAACCTGACTCAGACTCTTTTTCAGATGTAATGTTTTGAAGAGCGGTATATTTTAAATGCTAATAATAGCATTATAGCAATTCTTTTTGCATGTGACATTTCAAAGGGAACATTTTTTTCAAGTAAGCATTGATGGATCATTTATATACACAGCAATGAAATTACTGCACAGTTCCATTTAAACCACTTTTTTCCAACCTACCAGAAACTGCCATTTTAAATTAAGGTTTGAATTCAATAACATCTAAAGGCATTTTTGAGTAACATATTTTCATAAAATGTGCTGAGTTGGTAAAACATGTCAATAATTCAAAAGTATATCAATTTTTTTTAACCTCTGCTAAAATAGTTTCCTTTAGTAACCTAAAAAGATATTTGTGTTTCATATACTTGGAGAAAATAATCTAGGATCACCATTCGTATATAATTTGCATACATATATTATACTATAGTGACCCTATTTAAAAGTTTTGAGGGTTCACAAAGATGACTGAAGAGATTTTCATAAAGCTTGAGTTATATAAAGAGAATGAGAAGCCAAGAAATTGTGTAGGACCAAACAGTCTTCTTGGAATGATGCCATAGAAGTATGTCAATGTTTTTGAATACGTGTAAGTCCCAACCTTCACAAATGCATTTTCAAATAAAATAATAAAATTTTCTTAGTTTAGGTAGATAATTTTTTAAAATCACTGCTTATACAATAAAAATAGATCTATGAGAAATACTTTGAGGTATTGTGACAAAGGCCTCAATAATCTGACTTAGAAAAATTTTCAAGAGTTAAAGATCTCCACAGTATGTCCCCAGCTCTCTTGTCTGTGCTTCTGTTCAAATGCCTGATTTGTATTTCTGTTCCTCCAAGGCTCAAAGCTTGTCCTGACGTGCACCTAACTGGATGGAGTTCTAACAGCTTCTCTTACCTTTATGCCTCCTCTCCAGAGCTTGGATCCGCTTGCTGAGACTGCTTAAAATCTGGCAGATGTTCTAGTAACCCTGATGCTGCCAATGCCTAAATGGGAGAAGTACAAGTTGCCTTTCTGTATGAAGATTAGTGCTGCCTGGGGAAGGGGGCTGCAACTCAACTAGGTTGCAGAAGCCTGGCCCCGTGAATACATACCTGGTTCAGGAAAATGAGATCATTGCCAAATTTAACTGATAGATAGGACGGCAACCCAGAAATGCCTTCTTTCATTGTACCCTTTTCTTTCCTTCATACAATTTTCAAAATCTGCATTCTGTATTTAGTGTGTGTCTCTTTTGCAGACTTGCATCCCTTTGTTATGGATGTAGGTTTCCATCTCCCTTTGGACAATACCAGCTTCATGGGCTATGACCTAGTGCAGTCCCACAGGGCCCCACATTTGGTTTAACACTCTGCTACCAGCGTACTGAAATTTTAATCATTGTATCTTTGAACTTGTGTTTCATAAGTGAAGTCTGATAGGGCAGTGGAGCATCAACATGAGCAGGCAGCAGTGTGAACACATGCGGGCTCAGACCTGGGGGCACAGCAGGCAGTGTCAGGCACCAAGCAACTGGCATGTTGCCCAGCACATATGCACATATCTGGGGCAGTCTGGGGAAACTGGGGAGGCCAGATTGATGGCACTGGCAGTGGCCACAGAAGCAAAAACGGCAGCAGCAGTAGAAGTGTTACAGCAGCCACGGCCTTGGGAAAGAGAAGGGATTCTGCTTCGGGACAGCACTGGGACTTACAGTGGGAGGTTGGCCCTGGAGTCTGTCCCTGTAGCATCTGTAAAAATATTAACTTTCCAGTCTAAATGCAGTCAGAAGAACTGCTAATGTTTAAACAATAAACTTTGTTACAAAATAAAAGCATATGCATTGGTGTTGCATATCTCAATTACTCAGGAAGTAAATAACTCAGGGAGTTATTAGAATTCATCAAAGAGTTTAGAATCTCTGGTTTTCAAAACAGCAGCAACACTGCAAAGGAAATATGCACAGTCTTAGGAAGAAAGATTCAGTGTGAAGACTGTTACATTTGAAAGAAAAGAATACTTTCCTTTTTTTTTTTTTTTGAATGCTACAATAGAATAATAGATAGATGTTTTAAATTACCTGGAAATAGTAAAGCTGCTTTTGGTTTCTTATATACTGAGTTACAAGAAATGTCAGAGAAAATGTTACAATGCCATTATATAGATTTACATATCAAATTAAATTCAGATTTACACAAAGTGATCGTATGAAGAGTTCTTTTTAGAACAATTGTCCCAAAAGAATCATTAGCTCTTTATCTGGTAAAATTCACATTTCAAGATAATTTATCAAAGATTTATCCCAAAGTTGTCACAACCTATATAGTCTTAACAGCACCAATAATGGCTGCATCAGCCAAAGTAATTCTCTCAAAATTAAAAATTACCAATTTGTTTTGTGATTATGCATTTGCCAAGAGCATTGATGTAGTTTTCAATTACATTATTTGAAAAGGAAGTTGGTAATATTTTGGTAGCTTATTAAAAGAATTTGCAGAAAAGCAGGCCAGAAAATCCTTATAATAAATGAAGTTACGATAGTTTAAATCTTATGATTTATTGTATTATATAAAATTATGAAACGAAAATACTTTTTTATTGTATGTTTATGTTGTTATGCATGCATCACTATTACCCCCTGATGTTACATAAACAATAAAATATTTTTAAAAGAAATACTTTACAAAGTTTTCTTTTTCTTTTTCTTTCTTTCTTTCTTTCTTTTTTTTTTTTTTTTGAGATATAGTCTCACTCTGTTGCCCAGGCTAGAGTGCAGTGGCTCAATCTCAGCTCACTGCAACCTCCGCCTCCTGGATTCAAGTGATTCTCCTGCCTCAGCCTCCCTAGTAGCTGGGATTACAGGTATGCGCCACCATGCCTGGCTATTTTGTATTTTTAGTAGAGATGGGGTTTCACCGTGTTGTCCAGGCTGGTCTCAAACTCCCAACTTCAAGAGATCCACCCGCCTTGGCCTCCCAAAGTGCTGGGATTAGAGGCGTAAGCCACCACACCCAGCCCAAAGTTTTTTATATAAAGTATCTTCATAACTTTAATGGTACTTTTTCCCCACCTTTTGAAGAAGGAGTGCATATTTTCGCTTTTCACTGAGTCCTGAAAATTATGTGCCCTTTCTCCTCTTTCACACCCCTACCCTCAGAGCCGTCATAACAGCCTTATCCCTCTTCCCTCCTAATCCTGAACATTCATTATTCACTCCTGCCTTCTTGCTTCCCAGCCATTTGAGTCACAGCATGCTATTCCAGCAATAACAGCATATTTTCAATTATTTTGAACACTTAGACTCTGCTAAAACCTTTACCTATAGTACCTAATTAATCATCACAATCACACTGCAAGGTAGGTATTTTAGCTTAACTCTATAGACAGGAAAACAGAGGTTTACAGTGATAAAATGTTTTCTAATGTCACATGGCTAATTTTTGCATGAAACCTATAGGAAAATGGCAGAAACGTTAGATTTCCTTCCCTACATTTTGTATTCTCTTCCTCTGGAACAGAGACAGAAACTAGCTGAAACGTAGCCTGCTTGAGTTGAATTTTTTGGTGTATAATGGCTGAGTTTCCCAAGACAGAAAATCTACAACTTATTTTTGGTGAATAAGAGATAAAGAAGGCACAGAGAAGAGAAGAAAATAAACTACAGAGAATGTACACTTTCTCGCTAGTATAAAAGTAAGAATTTGCAACTAAAATGACCTATTTAGTGAGTTTCCTATGAAATCCTTTTTTTTATGACATTTGAGTTGAATTTGATATTTGGCAATAAATATCTTTTTTAATGCTGAATTGGCTAAGTATTGTATTTAAGGAAGCTTCTCAAAGGACGAATCACCCACAGTTCTTTTAATGTTTACGGGATACTAATAGGAGGTAGATTTGAAATTAAGACTGTATTTTATATGAACATAATACAAGACTAATATTTATGTACAGTGAGAACAACTTCTCCTTTGGAATGGTAATGCTCTTTGCACTGAGCAGCTGAGCCTCTGTAGTGCTCTCCATCACTTGTCAGATTTAACATCCCAGAGTAAATAGCCCTCTGAATAGTAGCTGCAGGTCCATCTTGTTGATCCCAATTTGTCAAATGTTGCTGTGAAAAAAGCACTAACCCTTTAGAAAGGGTGTGAGGAGATTTGTAATTTATCTAAAACTCTAGATAAAGTCTTGGAAACACAGATTTCTATTTCTTCCAATTGCAAATATACTATCTTGCATCTATGTAGCCCCTATTGCCAAGAAACAAAATAGCACAATATAATTTTCAGTCTTCTACCTTTCTCTGTATCATTTTCAGTGAGGATATGGTAATAAATTTTTTAATTGTTTATGCCTTTTTTAAGGAGTCAAAAGAACAGAGAAGGTAAAATATATAACATTAAACAATAAAACCAGTTTATAGCAGAGGTAAGATTAACATTCAGAAATGATTGGCAACACAACTCACTTTATACAAAATAATGGAAGCAAGAATGATTGAGGAGGCAATGATCATAGAAAATGTCTACATTTAAGTCTTTAATCCATCTTGAGTTAATTTTTGTATAAGGTATAAGGAAGGGGTCCAGTTTCAATTTTCTGCATATGGCTAGCCAGTTTTCCCAGCACCAAAACTATAAAAACCCTAGAAGAAAATCTAGGGAATACTATTCCTGAATAGTAATAGTAATCTGTATCTTGTATAGGCAAGGGCAAAATTTTCATGATGAAAACATCAAAAGCAATTGCAACAAAAGCAAAAATTGACAAATGGGATCTAATTAAACTAAAGAGATTCTGCACAGCAGAAGAACCTCATCAGTGTGAACAACCTACAGAATGAGAGAAAATTTTTGCAATCCATCCATCTGACAGAGGTCTAATATCCAGAATCTACAAGGAACTTAAACAAATTTACAAGAAAAAAAAACCATTAAAATGTGGACAAAGGACATGTACAGACACTTATCAAGATATTCATGAGGCCAATAAACATGAAAAAAAAGCTCAACATCACTGATCATTAGAGAAATGCAATTAAAAACCATGATGAGATACCATCACATGCCAGTCAGAATGGCGCTTACTAAAAACTCAAGAAACAACAGATGCTGACAAGGCTGTGGAGAAATAGAAACACTTTTACATTGTTGGTAGGAATGTAAATTAGTTCAACCACTGTGGAAGACAGTACAGCGATTCCTCAAAGACCTAGAACCAGAAATACCATTTTACCCAGCAATCCTGTTACTGGGTATATACTCAAAGGAGTATAAATCATTTTATTATAAAGATATGTGCACACATATGTTCATTGCAGCACTATTCACAATAGCAAAGACATGGAATCAACCCAAATGCCCATCAGTGATAAACTGAATAAAGAAAAGGTGATAAATTTATACCATGGAATACTATGCAGCCATAAAAAGGAATGAGATAATTTCCTTTACAAGGACATGGATGGAGCCGGAAGCCATTATCGTCAGCAAACTAACAGGAACAGAAAAGCAAACACCACATGTTCTCCCTTATAAGTGGGAGTGGAACAATGAGAACATATGGACACAGGGACGGGAACAACACGCACTGGAGCCTCTGTTGTGGTGGGGAGGAGAACATCAGAATAAATAGCTAATGCATGCTGGGCTTAATACCTAGGTGATGCGTTGATGGGTGCAGCAAACCATCATGGCACACATTTACCTATGTAACAAACCTGCACGTCCTGGACATGTATCCTGGAACTTAAAATAAAATAAAAAAAATTAAAGTACCTTGAAACCACGCAAACAAAAAAACAAACAAAAAACAATAAAAACCCAAAACAAAACAAAAAGAAAATGTCTACATAATGTTGCGTAATAGCTAGGTACCAATTTTAAACTTCAATCAAGATACAAATGTTTTCATTTGTTTACAGATAAGAAGTTACTCTTAGTAAGCTGATTTGACTTATATTTTCTAATTTCAGTTGTAATCATTTGTTGACTTAAATTGAGGTCTTTCTTGGTTTAATAAAGTTATTGTTTCCTGTTAAGAAAAAGTGGTTTCCTAATTATATGTGAATTGTATCAATCATTCAAAGTTTCCTAGTAGGTGACCAGGTATCTGAATTATACCTTCATATATTCCCCCAGCAAAGAAAAGGAAATCATTTAAAGTTCAGTAAATTATTTTTCACAACAAAACAATAAACAGAATATAGCATCAGTAAGCTCCATAGACATCAAGCAAGACTTTCTACTCTACACATGTTGAGGGAATGAGGATTGAAATTGGGACAAAGAAACTAATATTTTTATTAAGCTGGTTATATACTGCTTGTAAAAATATAGAAAACTGTAGCTAAAATACATGTGGTGAAACTTATTTTGGGATCTGCTTCATATATACATCAGGAGTAGTTAGATTCTGATCTAACACAGTATCTGTAGACCTCAGTGGTTCAGATACTGCTTCCATAACTCAATCTGTTATTCAAAAATTAAACATCAATTTATAGGCCAAGTTCCATGTTAGGCATAGGGAACACAAGAATGGAGACAGCAAAGTTTGTATACATAAGGGATTTATAACCTAATAGAAGAGACAAGACTACAAATAACTATGATAGAAGGCAAAAATCACAAAAGAGAGTAATTTCAATGCTGTAGATATTTATGTGACAGAGAGGCCATCTGTTGGGTGGTAGTGGTGGATTGAAACGGAATATGAAGACAACAGCTTTTAAACAATATGATAGATCTGTAGGAGAGTAATTTGGATTAAATGTTGTTAAAAATTATGAGAGCACCTTTAAAATCAAATAGCCTGAATTTATAATCAGTAAACTTATGACTATCTCAAAAATATTCAGAAACTCAGGAGTGAGAATGTGAAAAGCAAAAGTTAAGGGTGATTTAGGGTGGGGATTGGCAAAGCAGGAATGGAAGTAATTTAAGGAACAAAATTTCTTGGGGAGTATCAGGTGATGGTGGAGGTGAGTAGTTATGAGGTACAGCCTGAAGAACAAATGAAGCGAGAAGAGATGTGATAACTTGGGGGGAAAAATGGAGTGGGCAAAGGATTGTGATTATAGGAAGATAAAGAGCAGGTTCTACAATGGTGACAGAGTGATGAACTAAAAGGTAAAAAAGTTATCATTGTAAAGGCATGCTTATACCTCAGGTTTCCCAGCAACAAAGGAAATTCACTTCACAGAAGAGAAAATTGTAGAAGGTACAATTTGCTTTCCTCTCTTGAAGGTGCCTTGCAGCTTACTTAGAGGCAATATCAGGAAAGAAACTTCTGTGGCTCAGCCCCTTCTAGGGGGATCTACTTCAGTCTGTCAACAGGAAGCAGACATCCTTCTTTTCTCTAATGTGGGAGGCCTTCATTTCTGTAAGTGGATTTTCATACACAAGGAAAAGCAGTAGGAATCCCATTATACCTAAGCCCAAGCTACACTCTTCAAACTAGCACCAAAAATAATAAAGCTTTATCTGTCTGATACCTTTATGTATTTTTCAAAAGATCCTGAAGTTGGATAGACACAGAATATAATTACAGATAATAACTATTATCTCCCCAAATCCCAACAGCAATGGGGAACAAAGCTTTTGAGTGTTTGAGAACTTTGAGCTGAAGAAATTGGGAGCAGTGATAATATTCAGGGTGTGGCCAATAAATGGCTGTCTTGTGACAGAGAGAAAAATCACTAAATATGAGGAAGCCAAGAACCTCTGAAATAATAATATATAGAGAAAAATATTAACATGCATGCTAAAATCCCTAAGGAAGATTTCAGGGATTAAGCAGATAAATAAATATGGTAAGGTATTCACTAGGATTTTAAATAATGGACAGAAAATGACTGAAAAAATATCGGTGAGTGTATGAAACAGTGAGAGCTATCATATACTTGTGATGGGAGTATAAATTGGTACAGTATGGTTTGGTATTGTCTAGTGATGTCTTCGTGCATATTCTAAGACCCTAAAATTCTACTCCTACATACTTGCCCTCAAAATATTCCTGCACATTAAGCCAAAATACGTATTCAACTATGGTTTTGTTAGTAGTAGCACAAAAAAAGAACTGTCAGAAACTGCCATCATAGATTGCACTACTAAGTTGTAACCAGTGAAATATTATACAGTAATAAAAGTAAATAAGCCTCAACTACATTTAGCGTAGTTTTGAACTAAACTAAGATACATAGGAATAGTCAGAGGATGATTTCATAAGAGGTATTTAAAACAGGCAGCATAAATTTATATCATTTATCAAGTCACCCTTGACTTTTGCTTTTTTCCATTCCCTCTCTTGGGCCTCTTAACATTTTTTGAGGCGATCATAAATTTACTGCTTACAAATTCAGGCTATCTGATTTTAAATGTGCTATCATCATTATTTAATCTATTATGAAAAATAGAGTTAGGCAAAAAAAAATTACCTGAGATAAAGAGAATAACTTTGTAATAACGAAAGTTTCATTTCAACTTAGAAGTTATAAAAATATTTAATTTGTATGTACCTAATAACATAGTCTAAGTACATATAAAGCAAGAATGAATAAGATTATAGAAAAAAAATCAAATGTACAAACAGCAAGAAATAGTTACAAAACTCATCTCTATAACGGACAGCACAAGGAACCAAAAATGTTAGTAAGGATAGAAAATATTTTAATAACACAATTAACTAAATTGAACAAATGTAATTTAAGAACCTGTTAAACATCTATAAGAATAAACCATAATTGAGCCATAAAGCATTTCTTGACAAATTCTAAAGGGGTCTGAAATAATACAGAGTGTAGCCAGCAAGATCTAGTCAGGAAAGTAGAAATCATACTAGGTAACCAACAGAGAGCTGTTGGTTAAATGGGTGTTAGAGAAATAAGAAAGCAAAAATACCACCTAGTCTGGGGAAGAAAGGGAGAGACCTGGAGCTAGGTCTCAGATTTCTAAAGAAGTGTTGCCGGACTGGTGCCTCGTGAAAGTCATGGTAAGAGTGGCTTTGAGAGTACAAAAAAAAAAAAGCCGGGGACTGGAACCAGCTATTGGATTGTGGTGATTGGGTGTGGTTGAGGGAAAAGGACAGAAACAGCCAGCCAACAAGGAAGAATAAATCCTTGACCTCATTCTCAAGCAGTCTCCCTTCTATGCCTCCTATTGGTGGGACTTACCAGAAACAAAGAAACCTAACAGAAAACAAGAGAAGAAATACAACCTTAACCCAAGAGAAAACAAAGAAGAAATACAACATTACAAAGCAGAATATACAAAGATAAGTTTGGAGCTAAGAAAAAAATGACTCTAATTGCTGGCATGCAGAGCACACCCCACCACATGGTGTGCAATACAATTAAGCCAGAACTCAATAGTTAAAAGATTTGCTAGAATTCACATGTTTGGGAATTTTAAAATACCTTTAGGCCATATTTTCAACTTAATGATAATAAAAAATCTTTTTTAAAACATGGAGTGTATAGCCAAAGTATTTTAAAAAACTGTAGTAAGATTGTGTACATTGATGAAGAATGTAGTCTGAAATTACTAACACATATATCAAGGAGTTAGAAAAAATGACAATAAATGCAGTGAAGAGAAGGCAGTAAATAATAAAATAGCAGAAATTTATAAGGAAGAAAACAAGCATACAGTATAAAAAATTAATAAAGCTAAGTGTTAATTCTTTGAAAGGACTCATTAACAAATATCTAAAAAGAATTATGAAGAGAAGAAGGAAAAGGAAGAAAAGAAAGGCAAAAGTAACCAATATCAGAAATGTAAATATGACATCACTATAGATATTGTAGACATAAAAATAATAAAGGCATATTAATAATAAATTTATGCTAGTAGAATCTAAAATGTGGATGAACTGGTCTAGAAAAATATAATTTACCAAAATTGACTTAAGAGTTAAGAAAAAATTTACTTAATCTTATAACTATTAAAGAGTTGAATTCATAACTGTAAAGAATTCACAAAGAAAACTCTATACCTAGATGACTTTCCTGGAAAGTTCTACCCAAAATTCTCTTAAAAACCTCTAAAACTCTTCTGTAATGTTGGAAAAAACAAACAAACAAACAAAAACAACAATAAAAAGCAATCTCCTAGGAGAAGCAGTTAGAGTCTCACCAATATTCCAAAAACTTTATCAGGTCAGAGTGCCCTGAACCACTTCCAACTGAGTACATTTATCTCTGTGCTTGGGGCCTCTTCTAGAAGATTTTCCCCAGGTGTCTGATCATCCAGAAATGTCAGGGAATTAACATCCTCCACCTCCACCACACCCCATTTCCCCGGCAGCCCTCAAGCAATGACTGATGGGAATATTTAAACAAGTAATATTTATATTTATACAACTCCCTGGACCTGGAGTTGTATAATTCTGATTTGTATATAAAACTGTTTCCTAGATTTTTGGTGCAGAATTAAATTTTAGTTGCCCATTGTGAAAGCTGCCTTAATAACATTGCCCTTTACGGACTGTTTCGTCTTACCTATATTTCTTGCCCATTTCCCTGCCAGTATTTCCTCTGCTCCTCTCAAATCACATTTTTGCATTTGAATTCAAGTCTCAGAGACCGCTTCTGGGAGAAATACACAAAAACAACTCCCTATTTTTGTTATGAGATGAGCAATAGTTTAATCTCAACCTTTACAAAGTCATGATAAGAAAATCATGGTTTAGTCACTCATATACATAGATGTTAAAATTCTGAGCAAAAACTTAGCAAGAAAAA
Organism: Homo sapiens; assembly: GCF_000001405.40. Classification (NCBI taxonomy): domain Eukaryota; kingdom Metazoa; phylum Chordata; class Mammalia; order Primates; family Hominidae; genus Homo; species Homo sapiens. The sequence continues at coordinate 178,191,751 of NC_000003.12, forward strand.
TTCAGCAACATGTAGAGAGGATAACACAAAATCATCAAGTTTTGTATCTCAGGACTACAAGGTAGACTTAACACATGAATAGCAATTAATGTTATTTGCTATATTAAAATATTAAGGAAAATAATTATACACTATAATTGTTTATTTAGAAATATATAGTTATATATAAGAATATATAATGCCACAATTATATTATTAATTACAAAATGAAGAAAAAAACTTTAAAAATTTAATATGTATTCATGGATTTAAAATATCTTAGCAAATAGAAGAGAAAAAATGTCCTCAATTTGATAAAGAATATCTTAAAAACCTATAGCAACAATGTACTTAGAGAGATAATAATAGCTTTCTTTTTTAGATCAAAAATATAAAAGGGTTTCTACTATGACTAATGCTACTCATCATTTTATTGGAGAACCTAAACAGTGTAGTAGAGAAATAAAAAGAACTATAAGCTATAGTGGTTGGGGTGGGGAGAGAAAGCAACAAAATTTTAATTATTTGAAGGCAATAGTTTGCAGATATAAATTAAGTAGATAGATAAATTAGAAGAAGGGAAGATAAAAATGTTGCTTCACAAATAATATACAAAAGCAAATTGTTTATACATAGGTACAAGATTTAAAAAATAAAAACTCAAACAAAAATATTTCAGTTAGGAAGACATTTTTAAAACATAATGCACCAGAAAACATCTAACCCTTATGAAAAAAATTATATATTTTATAGAGTGACATTTTAAATGACCTAAATAAATGAAGAGATATACCATATTCATGAATTGGAAGATACGTGTAAATATGTCAATTTTACACAAATGTATATATAGATTTATTCCAATCCCAATAAAATCCCTAAGTTTGATTTTTTAAGTTTGACCAACTAAGATATAAGTAAATAAATACACACACAGAGATGGAGAGAGAGAGAGAGAGGCAGAAAGACAGAGATGAAAACAGCTAAACTACTGTTAAATAACAAATTGGGAAAACAGGCTTTTTGGATATGAAAAATGATCTTAAAACCACTGTAACTAAGATAAAGATAATCAGATAGACCTGAGGAGCATAACAGTGATAAAACAGACCCACATAAGCATGGACACTTAATATATGAAATGTATATCATATATGAAAACACTAAGGTGGCACCGCAGATCAAAAGAAACATTTCTGAAAATTGGGTGTCCATGTAGAAGAAATAAAATTGGGCTTCTACCTCCCACCACACATGCAAATCAATTCCAGCTGAATTAAAGACCAAAATGTGAGAGGTAAAACCATAAAGTGTTTAGAAAATATAGGAGAATGTCTTCATTTCTTTAGGGTATCAAAGACTTCTTAAAAGTCATAAAATTTTTGTCAAAGACATAAAATTCTAACCATAAAAAAAAGAAAAAAAGAGATTGAGAGAAAGTGGAGGGGTGGAGAAGAAGGAAACGAGGGAGGAAAGAAAAAAGAAATCATGTAAAATTAAAGATTTCTAGTGTCCATAAATTTTAATGCTATAAAAGTGTCGGAAGTCTTTGGTTTTCATCAGAATAATTTCCTCTGCTTTTTTTTTCTGCTATAGGAAATTAAATAAAATATTAGTGACACTAAGAAATGGTTTTTATGTGAACTTCTGAGTTGTCTAAACCGTTAAGAGGAAAGTGTGGCCTTTATATAGCTGATATCTATTGCTTTAGTCCACTGAGAATACATTTTAAGAAGCCTTATAATTTAAAATGGATTTATTTTCAACTATTATTTCTTTTGAATTAAAATCTTTTCTAAGTAGTTCTTATTTTTCATTTTCTCACAACATTTTGTGAATTTGTGCTATCATTTGAGAACAATTTAGAAACATTTTTTAAAAACAAAGAATTGGGGATGCAGAAATAATGTAAAAGTAGAAACACAGCCATATATGATTATAATTTCTGTCATAACATTATTATTTTCTAATTATTGCACTATTTGTGTAGATTTCCAAAAGTTATATAGGAGTTTTCAATGAAAAGGATCTTACTTTGATTAAAAATCCCAGTCTCAATTGTGAAAATCTGCTGTGCTATGTGGATGGCTAAGCTTTTGGTAATCTCCTAAACTTGGCTGAACTAGCCCATGAGGCACACTCAGAGTTTACAATGAGATAGGTTTTGTCTATTGGATAAATTTGTCCATTAAGTACAATTGCCTGTCAAGAATATAGAGAAAAAAAAAAACACCTTCCCTTCTATAGAGAGAATTACCTAATAAACCCACTGTTCCTACTTTCTCTGAAGACTTTGAGGTCGAGGAGGCCACTAATGATTCCACTTTGACTGCAGAGATTTGTCTTGGCAGGACTTCTAAAGAAACTCTTAATCATCTTCCTGCTTATGGCTTTACCTGTTTCCTGAGTTTCAGATCAGGTTGTAGGGTTTCTGATGCAGACTATTTATTAAAGGAGTAGAATTGTGTCTTCCTTTACTCCTTTGAAGTAAGTAGGGCAGAAAAAAATTGATCTTAAATTCTCAAAATGCCTTTTTTTTTTTACTTATATTTTACTTGAACCTCTGAAAAAGTTTCCTTCTGTTTTGGTGTGTCTTTTCTTCATATAACTGGCACCTGTTTCTAGTATATGCACCATGGGAAGATTGCTTTCATGGAAATTAAATAATACAAAATAAGATTAAAATAAAAGGTTAAACTTTAAAGTTAGGATATAACAGGGATATGTAGGATCAAATTTAAGAGACAGGGTTGTTTTAAGGTGGGCAAAAATGTATTGTACTGAATTACATGGCAATTTTAAATCTAAAATATGATGTATAAGTCAGAAGACGGTTGGTGGGTTAATCATCCACGAAGACTGAGAAAAAGAAGAATTATAGAAGCAAATGTTGGCAGTGCCTGTCCCAGGCAGCTAAACACTGCCAATTCCTTGGCTTGGCATGCCTATAGTAGGGAAGAAGTTGCTTGTCAAGAAACCACTGGGTGTTTAAAATGGCTTCATATTTAACAGATAACATGATATGGATATCTGGCTCTCTTGACAGCTCTATTTCTAACAAATAATGAATGACTTGGCTAACTGTCTCTGCCCACATCAGGTTTCCGAGATGCAATGCTGACAGTTAGCTCTTAACCAAATATATTTTCTCTGGTGGTAAGAACGCCAGACAGCAAATAAAATTTAGAATGTCTGGTTACATTTGAATTCCAGATAAACAATGAATAATTTAGAGCATAGTTAGACTAAAAAAGTATTCGTTACTTGTCTAAAATTCAAACTTAACTGGGCTTCCTATATTCTGCCTGGTAACTCAACCTGGTGAGAACCTATGGCAGTGGCCAACTTGCCTAACTTACAAGACATTGATTGGTAATACACCAGTACAAGGTAATATTTGAGGGGGAAGAAATGCCATATACACATAGGGCTTATGATTCTTTCCCATCCGTCATCTAATTAGAGCTTCACAATGAAGCCTGACCTGACCTGGTATCCATGACCACCATGTGTTCATTATCATGAGAACAATGAGGCCCTCTGACTTCCAATCCACCCTCTTCACAGCTGACCACCTCTCTTCCTAGATGTCCTATTTCACATCATTTCGTTAGCTGTATGCTAATGCATTTTATTTATTGACTCTTACCTTGAATGTTCTCTCTGATCTCACCTTCTGAAAGCCAGTCATTCCATTTGCTTCCTGAGTAATAAGGGCATATATTGATAGATAATACTTTTCATGGAACTATAACAAATAGAAATTGAGATTCAGAAATAAATATACCTCCAAGTAAACTTTTGAATTAATCAAATCTTGGTTTGGCACATTTTGAGTGTGGGTTTTTTTCTAATTCAGTTCTTCCTTCCCTACCTTTCCCCAATTACTGAAGGTTCCAATAAGTATTACTCCAATTCCTCTTGCCAAACTTTCTTTCAAGAAAAGTCTCTTTAGCTCAAGTAACCTAAAGTTAAAAAGCACCCACAATGACCTTAAGTTAAATTAATACACATGGGCAGCTTCTAGGCAAGAATAATATTGTAGTACTTTGCTATTTAGGGTGGGATCATTTCAACTCCTTTGAAACGATCAGCATTCAACCACCATGTAAGAGAGTTCCTGAAATATTTGTAAACTTAAAAAAATTATTTAGATAAATACATAAACCAGACAGACAAAGAGACAGAAAGATAAAAGAATTACAAAGAAGAAGGCAAGGCAGGGAAGCCTGTCTAAATGGGACGCATGACACAGAAGAGAACAGTATGATTCAGCTGTTTTGCATGAAGGTTAAATTATTATGCAGCCAACAGGACTACTGAGAAGCAGGACTTGTGTCTTCAGTGTCCAAATTCTGTCTCTGATTCTAATGACTCATTTTGTGACTGCATGTAACTTATTACATTCTCTTTATTCTACTCTTACCTGCTGGAAAAGAAATTAAATACCATACAATTCACAGGCGATTATAATCCTGAGTCATTAATTCAATAATTTATATAGAGAAAATATTATTAGCTGGTAGAGAAGTGGTGACAAAAGTAATTCTGAAAGGCATAATTTGGGAATCTGGAAACAGCAATAAAATAGAATGTGCAAGGCCAAAATTTTGGTTTAAAAAAAAAAACACTTGGAATCAAGAACTTGTGTTCATGGAGACATGGAAAATAGAGAATGGTTGCAGAGAGCAGGGACAAGTCTAAGCTGTGTTGTGCTGTGTAACATGCATATTCTAGGGACACTGAAACCCCTTCCTACTCTGTTTACCCTCTACTTGCCACACACGTCATTCTAATATGGACGTTATATCTTTCTCCTTGCCACCCTAAGCTTAAAACCTTTCCTCGGATGATTTGTGCTGAGACAGAAATAATTTCATAAATTGAAAAGGGTATTATTTTATAAGCTGGCACCAGAGTTTATTCTGAGAAAAGAATACATATGGCTCAGTGTTTGAGAAAGAAATGTGAGGCCAGAAAGAATAGGAAGGATACAACTAAACTATTCTTCAAAAAAAATGAGGTGCTGAGGTGACGGAGAAATTCAGGAGGCAGGAGAAGAGGAAAACAGACTGGAGAAAAGCCAGTATCCAAGTTGGCAGAAAAAACAGATACTTTTAAAAAACTGAGACAGCTAATATTCATTCTTAAGCTGTTCACATTATTGTGTTATAAAACCAGCACACCAAGGCTTTTTATGTTTTTATCGTGTGTGGAAATGAAGAAAATGGCTAGGCAAACCTACAGTAGGCAGAACACAAATAGCTGGTGGGCAAAGGTGAGATGATCCATGAATTGAATTGATCCAAAGGAAACAGACTTTTAAACTAGAAGTGACTAAGAAACACATGAATATACCTCACCTCCTCGAGCATTTCCAGAATGATTGGAAAGAAGGATTTCTATTACAAACAAAAGGATTTGAGTCAATGTTATTTTCATCTCTGCAGACTCTAGGATTTAATCTGGGCTAGCAGGCCCTTCCCTGGGGCTGTGTGATGTGAGGTAGACAGCAAGTGACCTGACATCTCCCTCCTCCCTCCTGCATCTCCCCAAACAGTTCTCATCTGATCTGCTTCTCCTAGTTACAATTCCAGAAAAGATTTCCTTTTACCTTTTAATGCAGCTGAGAAAAAAATTATGCTGGAAAGTCATTCACCTAAAGTCTCACTCTTTACAGAGGTATTTCTATTTAAAATAAAAAGTGAATAAAATGATTGAGGCCTTATGGAATAATTTCATGAGAAAGTCTTTCTAGAGAGTTGGAGGAAGTTGAAGAAGCGGGAATGGGTTGGTGCCTGAAGATAGTAAACTAGGGAAGGAATTCATAGTATAAAGCCTAGAATTTGAAGTTCTCTCTAATAGTCCAAGACCTTCCCTCCAGGTGACATTTTCTAATGATATTTTGAAGAAAGAGAGAATAGATTTTTATTGAGAAAAACTACACAATTTGAATTCTATTGGTAACCTTTAACTTTGTACTCTGCCATCAGAATATCTCAAAGACCTTAAAGCCTAATAAAAAGATTAAAATATTTAAATACCGACCACAAAGACAGAAAAAGCATAGTTTACACTGAGGTTTTTTTCTTTAAAATAAGAGGCATTACATTTTGCTGTGCAATGCTAATAATTTCTTAAATGGAATATAAGAAAGAGGTACCGGGTGTGGTGGCTCACAGGCCTGTAATCCCAGCACTTTGGGAGGCCGAGGCGGGTGGATCACGAGGTCAGGAGATGGAGACCATCCTGGCTAACACAGTGAAACCCCCTCTCTACTAAAAATAGAAAAATTTAGCTGGGCGTGGTGGTGGGCGCCTGTAGTCCCAGCTACTCGGGAGGCTGAGGCAGGAGAATGGCCTGAACCTAGGAGGCGGAGCTTGCAGTGAGTGGAGATGGCGCCACTGCACTCCAGCCTGGGCGACAGAGCGAGACTCCGTCTCAAAAACAAAAACAAAAACAAAAGACAGAAAGAGGTACCAAGAAACTCTTCTCTTAAGAAAAAGTAAAGTTTTTCACTTAAAAATTAAGATTTTATTCTTATTTCTTCACTTCCTTAAAATTACTTTTTAAAAGGTTACTTAATATTTTTTAAACTTCCTTTTCAAAGGTGATACCTTTGAGAACTGAGTTCAGGATTCTCAAATTTGTATTTTATCATTTGGTGCTAGGAGAGACCTCCTTTGCTTTAAAAAAAATGATTTTTAATGACAATCTCACAGCTCATTTTTAAATAGCCTCTTTCCGTTTCTGAGGAATTGCTTTGGAGTTCAAACAAAATGAGTCACCCAAGGAAAAAAAATTCACAAGCCATTTTTATGCATTATACAGAGCAGAAATTTAATTTAATGGCACTGATATAGAAGAGCTCCTTCAAGTAGCAATTTAAGAAATCTGTTCCTTTACTTTTATGACAGCAGCAAGTTCTGTTGTCTATGCACATGAAATAACAATGAATGGTAATTGATCCTGGTGCTCCTAGAAGTGTGGAAAGGGGCTGCTGGTGGCCAGGAAAGGGGGATCAACCTAATACCATAGGGAAAAATAATTCTACAATGTAATTTGGGGGGTTTCTTTACAGTTCTTCCTCTCTCCTAGCTGGGATTGGAGCAGTTTCAGTTCTCATTTTCTTCCTTACCCTCTGCCTTTGATTTGAAGAATTTTCCTATGGGAAAATAGAGGGCAGCAAGTAAGGAACTTGTAACTATTGAGACTTCCTTTCAAAATTTAAACTGTTATCCCTGTCATATATCTGCTCCCTTCAAGTTGCAGAGAATTTAGGTTACAGTCTTGATTTAGGTCCAGATGAGCCCTTTGTTTTTTTTTTTTTTTTTGAGATGGAGTCTCACTCTGTTGCCCAGGCTGGAGTGCAGTGGCATGATCTCAGCTCAACTGCAACCTCCGCCTCCCAGGTTCAAGCAATTCTCTGCCTCAGCCTCCCGAGTAGCTGGCAGTACAAGCGCCTGCCACCACGCCTGGCTTTTTTTTTTTTTTTTTTTGTATTTTTAGTAGAGACGGGGTTTCACCGTGTTAGCCAGGATGGTCTCAATCTCCTGACCTCGTGACCTTGTGATCTGCCCGCCTTGGCCTCCCAAAGTGCTGGGATTACAGGCGTGAGCCACCGTGCCCAGTCCAGATGAGCCCTTTCTGACATGGGGGTCCTTTCCCTCACTCCTCTGACAATGGATATACCCATTTCATTCTGTAGGTTTATAGAAATAATAATTCAGGAACCACTTGCTTCAAGATGACAATTTACACTTTTAGACTAAGTGGCAATACTGCTTCAGGGGTTCTTCCTTCCATTTTGAAATAACCTCCTCTGTGGTTCACTATTTTAGTTCCTTAACAGGATATATTTTCTTAACACACATGGTATGTGAAACTGTATCTAAGGGATATTTCACTTTCACAGCTCTAGCTTACTAGGTTCTCTAACCCTAGGTTAAGAGTACTGATTCTCCAGCCAAACTGACCACCCAGGTTCATCTCCCATCAAGGCCTGCTTTCCAGCTGTATGCCCCAGAAAACAGAATCAGACACATTTTTGAGGAAAGTACCATTCCAGGAAGCTGGACCATACCCCAGGAAGTTCTTCACAGAGGCCATTTACACAGTGTGATGAACATCCTGGCTCCCTCTCAGCTCCGATGCTAAGGATCAATGAGATTGATAATGAGCAAACTCATCTCTTCATGAGTACTGGAGGTTTTAGAGTCTTCTTGGATTCTACTGAAAACAGAAAAAAGGGAGAGAAGGATAGAATGACTGGCTTAGCTATCAATTTTCTACTCCTCATTGCTATCACATCTACTTTTCTTGTCTGGGTTCTATTTTAGTCAGCCAGCGTTATCAGGCTTTTGAAAGCCCATGATATCAGTCAAAAAAAATTAAAACATCAAGTATAAGATGTAAGCCATTAAGTGGCTAACATCAATTGGATCTAAAAATGTTAGATATTCTGTGCTTTGAGTGCATCATTTCATTTAATCTGCATAACTCCATGATAAAGATCTTTTTTTTTATTTTACAGATGAAGACTCTGGAGCTTAAAGAAATAATTTACAATTCCAGTTATATATTGCTGTGTAACAAACCACCCTGAACTTAGTGTAAAAAAGAACAATTAGTTTGCTCAAAAATGTACCATTTGGGCAGTGTTTGGTAGGGACAGCCCACATATGCTCCAAGCAGTGTCAACTAGGATGGATGACTCAAAGATCGGGGGAACGTGATGGCTGGAAGCTAGAATCATCTGAATGCTCACACACTCACATGCCCGATGGCTGATACTGGCATGTGATCCTCAAGTGGGGCTCTTGGATCAAATGACTATATGCAACTTCTCAATGGGTTGCTTGGTTTTCTCAGATCATGGCAGCTGGATACCAAGAGTGAGCATTCGAAGAGACAAGAAGTGAGTGATACCAGTTTTTTAAAGCCTGGGTCTTGTAACCGGCATAGTGTCATTTGCATAGCATTCTATTAGTCACAGAGCCCAGATTCAATAGGAGACAAAGACCCCACCACATGATGAGAGAAGCGTAAAAACACTTAGAGGCCATGATTTAGAATTGGCCACACTTTGTAGCATCATGCATCTTGAAGTAAAGAATCTTGGACTCAAGACTTGGACTTTATAACTTCAAAGTTCTGGTTTTTAATCACTTTTCTAAATTACCTTAAAAGTGAATTTTGTATTAGAAAAGGCAACATTTAAAATAGAGTTCTGTGAATACTCATAAAAACCATACCTCCCAAAATTCAGATTAACAGAGTTCAGGTGATATTGGAGCTAGAGGTGACCTCGATGTATCCCACCTCTTTTCCTTCATTCTATACACCAGGAAGGGCAAGCACCAACTGGTCACATGACGTGGTTGTGTTAGCCAGTTGCAGTGTTGGGACCAAAAGCCAATACATTTTCCACTGTGTCTCTGCTTGGATGCACATATTACTTCCATTTTCTACTTTGTATATAAGTAACTTTTTAATCCAAATAACTAACATTTACCTGGAGATTTACAATATCCAAAGTACTTTTTTTTTTTTTTTTTTAAACGCTAGGATGCCTATCCTGGCCAACTGGGACAATGCACTGTGACAAAGACTCTGATGGCCAATCCAAAAAAAAAAAAATCAAATCACTGATTCTTAAGAATGGAAGCTATAAATGACAAATCAATGAATAACATGGTGATTGGAAGCTGATAGAGAAACATTGGAAGTGAGAGGATATGATGAATAAGGCAGACAGAGGTATATAATATATATGGCTGGTTCACAATGAATGTCCCAGAATCTCAGGATTCTGGAACAATGCACTTCTGCTAATTCCCACCTTACCAGGCCAGGCCTCACTAGACTTGATGTCAAACCACTGTCAGGTAAGTTCTATTGTTAACACCCTATGTTAGTTTCCTGGAGCTGCCATAACATATTGCCAGAAACTGGGTAGCCTCAAACAACAGAAATTTATCTTCCCATTGTTTTAGTGGCTAGAAGTCTAAAATCAAGGTGTAGACTAGCCTTGCTCCATCCAAAGGCTCTAGGGAATAATCCTCCCTTGCTTCTTCTAGCTTGTGGTGGCGGCCAGCAATCCCTGTAGATGCATCACTTCAATCTCTGCCTCCATCTTCAGATAGCATTCTCCTCTGTGTGTCTGTATCCAAATGTAATGACACCAGTTATTAGATGAGGGCATACTCTAAGCCAGTATGATCTCATCTTAATTTGATTACTTCTGAAAAGATCCCATTTCCCAATAAGGTCACACCCACAGATTGTAGACAGATATGAATTTGTACACTATTCAACCCAGCACACCTTCCTTTTAGAGATGTAGAAACTGACATCCAGATAGGCTAAGCAGTAGGATCAGATCATTCTGGGGAACAATTTGGTATTTAAAACCAGGTCTTCTAATTCCAATCCTGTGTTGTTTCCACTGTTGCATAAAGTATGCAAGAAAATTTTGTAATGTAAGATAATCTTATTTGATTTTCCTCATGAGGCCTGTGGAAAAAAAAAAAGGAAGACTGAATATTATCTTTTTTTGCAAAGGGAAAAGAATGACTTCCTTGAACTTCCTGCCCCGTCTATTTGTTTCCATAGCAACCTATTATGCCTTTCATAAGTGTTATCGCTTTATTGTATTTGCCTGATTATCTGTTCTACCAAATGCAAATGCGGAGAAAAGCAGCTTGGTGGAGGCACTGATGAGTGAGACTGAGAGAGATACAGAGTCCTGCCTGGGTCACAGGGGTTAGGTGCAAAGTTTGGACCTGAACTAATTCTGGGAGGCTATGACTTCCTCTTATGGTATCTTCTCCAAGAGTCAAATTTTCACTGTGTGATCAGGCCCCTTCATCTATTGTTTTCATCAGGCACAATGCCCATGATCTATGAACTTTTTAAGAGTCAAAAAAAATTTAAGACCTGAAAATATATTACTAGTTACAAATAGTAAAATGTTGCAAAACTAAAGGTAATAAGTATTTTAATTAAATAATGATAAAATATGGCTGGGAGCGGTGGCTCACACCTATAATCACAGCAGTTTGGGAGGCTGAGGCGGGCAGATCACTTGAAGTCAGGAGTTTCAGACCAGCCTGGCCAACATGATAAAACCCCATTTCTACTAAAAATACAAAAATTAGCTAGGCACAGTGGCATGTGCCTGTTGTCCCAGCTACTCAGGAGGCTGAGGCAGGAGAATCGCTTGAACCTGGGAGGCGGAGGTTGCAGTGAGCCAAGATCTCACCATCCTGGGTGACAGAGCAAGACTCTGTCTCAAGAAAAAAATATATATATAACATATTAAACAACTGCAATAATTATTATATAAATAAATATGCAAATTTGACATAATCTGGGACTTTCATGCATTTTAGTTGATATAATATGAATGGGAGGTTTTCAAAAATAAGAATATTTTGGGCCTATAAAGATCCTAAAAAGTCCCCAAGTACCAGATTAAAAATCAACCCTGTTTATGAGGATCAAAACAACTCTCTGATTAAGTCTGGCATATGAGATGGGAGAGTGTGAACAGTTCCTTTTTTTCCTTTCATCACAAGTAAAGCAGCTTCTCCTTATTATATAACCGTCTTAGTCAGGATCAGTAATGCAGCATTTGGTGAGGTCGTCATGTACTATTTGTGGCTCACTTAATCCCAGTCTTCCTCCTGGGGGTAGGCCTAACAGAGAGATGTTTCATTTTGGTGTTTTTCCTGTGAAATTTTTGATCCAATTACCTTTTAATCTTTTGCTACACAGTGTGTTGGGCAAGCAATTTAGCAGCCAGAGCCCTTGGTCTACAATGAGAATGAGCACAAGAGACAAGAGAACTGGAATACCAGAAATCAAAGAAAATAATATTGAATGGGAGAAAGATTTATCATTTTTGTAGCTCTCTGTTCCTGATAACGCCCAGATAGCTAAAAGAACAACTAGATTTAAAGGATGTTAACAATCTTTTTAGTGAGAACTAATTTTAGTTCCAGCTCCCCCTATACTCCTACCCATGGAATGAAAGTCTTGTTATTCTTCTTTTACATTAAAGATTTCATAATATTCAAAGTAGATCTCTGACATCGATGTGGATGACACAGTTTCCATATTGGGGAAATCTTATGACTTTTCTTGGCAATGAGAGTTTATGTTGTTTAACCACAGTAAAAGCCAAGGATGTAAAGTGACTCCACACTTTTCTCACAATTTATAAGCCTTCTGTTGGCCTCTGATCCTTCCTACTCCAGGCTAAGCTCCCTGTGCTAGGATTTCAACCATTCTCCTACCCATCTCCATAATTCCCTCAGTCCTTTGTGCTCCCACTATACAAACTCCACAAAGCCGTACCCTGCTCCAGTCCCAGATCAGTCAGCTGCTTCTATACAAGTTCAACTAAATATCACAAGAGAAATTTTCTTATCACCTCTGTTGCTTCCCAAAGTTACCATCTGCAATCTACCTTGGAGAATCTTGCTTCTCATAAATGCTTTTATTTATCTTTGATCAGCAACTTATTCCATCCTTATTGCATACTCAAAATGTTATCTTCAAGTCCTTATCCCAATATTCACTCTCAAAAAATAGCCCACTACCTCAGTATCAATACCAGGCATGAGCTACCTCAAATTTCCTTTCCAATTGCCAAACAAATCCATAGCTACACTTCTCCTACAGTCTCTGAGGAAAAGATGGCACACTCCTCTTTCACAGGAAAGCTCCATCTATGCTCCTCATTGCGCCCATTCTTGCATTCCTTCTCTATGCCAGACACCAACATTTTAGACAAAAAAAATATAGAATGCCTGCTCAAAGGGTAGTAAGAGAGACAAGAGAACAGACGCATCTCACACAGCATATGTCATTTTGCTTTTTTTTGCTACACGAATATCTACTCTAGAGTGCTGGGGCTAAAAAATCATTCCAGAGAAGATGATACCTGAGCCAAACCATGTAGGATAAGAAAGGAATAGGCTGGATGAAAAAGGGAGATAAGATCATCCCCAGTAGGGTGAGCAGCAATTACAATGGCACAGAGTTATGAAAACAAGGGACAGTTGATCTAAAGCTGAGGAGTTGCTGTGGAGTGGAAAAATGTGATGCAGGACAAGGATGTCATAATCAGATTCTGAAATACGGCATGCAGACTAAGATGTCTGAGTTTTTATACTGACAGCACTGGGGATCCTGTATAAGTTTCTAATCCTGGGAAAGGAACAATCACATTTGCAATTTAGGAAGAAGATTTGGAATGCAATGTGGTTGATAGATTGCAGGGGATAGAACTTGGGGCTTGGACTAGAAGGAGGCCAGCAAATAAACTGACTATAACCCAGGCCAAGAAAACCAATAGGGTGAACTAATTTGTCACTGCCTTAGAATGGCAGTGGCAGTGGCAGGGGCACCTTCATATGGGCACCAACACCGTTAAGCCTCAGATACCACTAAGCAAAACCTCTGCTGTGGATATAGATATGAGTGCCCTGGCCTTGTCAAGGGTCAGCCGCAGATATCACTGCTGAAAACCAGAGTAGAAAAAAAGTTGTAAATCCCACAGAGGAACAAAAACTACTGTGGATGTCTAAGTCTATCTGGAAGAACTGGTAAAGGTGTATATGGATGTGGTGTGTGTCAAGTGTGTGTATGGATGTGGTGTGGGGAGAAGAGGATTATGGCAGCTAGCCTTATATTCACTTACTCCCTGTATTAGTCTGTTTTCACGCTGCTGATAAAGACATACCCGAGACGGGGCAATTTACAAAAGAAAGAGGTTTATTGGACTTAGTTCCATGTGGCTGGGGAGGCCTCACAATCATGGCGGAAGGTGAAAGGCATGTCTCACAAGATGGCAGACAAGAGAAGAGAGTTTGTGCAGGGAAACTCCCCTTTTTAAAACCATCAGCTCTCGTAAGACTTATTCACTATCACGAGAACAGCATGGGAAAGACCTGCCCCCATGATTCAATTACCTCCCACTGGGTCCCTCCCACAACACATGGGAATTCAAGATGAGATTTGGGTGGGAACACAGCCAAACCATATCAGGTATGCTCTCAGAAAAGAAGTCATGTCACCCAATCTAATCACCTTCCCCACTGAATCTGCAAGTATACAGACTATAATAATCCATGCTACAAGGAAGAGATATTAGCTTCAGAATGTCCTTAAAAGGATTTTTCTGGCCAAAGTTTTACCTCTGATAAATAAACCCGGAATCTCTGGATTGTAAGGCATGGCTTCCTAGGGAACTTTACATAAGCTCTGCCACACTGGGTTATACAATTTGAGAGTTTTCATCATTGAAATACACCCTGCTGCAAGAGTTTACCCTGTAAATCTCACTTAGAGGCATCACTTAATATTCTAAAGCAGAGGTAGAAGTTTGATGTGTAAAGGACCTGGGTAGCTACTCTCAATACCTCAGGCTTTCTCTGCTTTCGGAGAAAGCAGATGCCTCTTGATTGCCTGTATCCTTGAAATTAATAGTAAAGCTTGCTATTTGGTAAGATTTGTGAGTCTGATTTGACACCATTCCTGTGTAGTGGAGAAGAACTAGTGAAATACTATTTATTAATCTTTCTATGTGCCTAGTTTTACCTACAGAATGATTTGTTCTGGAAAGAGGTTACACTTAAATTTTCTGGTTTTACATCTGGCCTGTTTGACCAAATCAAATACTTCTTATCCATTTAGATATTTTTGATTGATCCATCCAATTCAATTTGAATTTTTATCCACACACCTATTAAGCTAATCTCCACTAACCTGAACCAATGAAGGTAGTTCCTGCCCCCTCCCAACCCTTCCCCTGAAACCTTGATTTGTCTTCAATACATTACCAGTGCAGATAAAATGTACACTAGGGCGTGTCTTCAAAATCTTGTTTCAACTGGAATGTGTTGCGTGGATTAGAATAAAAATATCTGTAGGAGAAGTTCTCTTCTATGCAGAGCAAGTATAGGCACTGCTTTAAATCCACAGGATAAAGCAAGCAAAGCTTTGCTTTCTTCTCCAGGGCAATTTAGGATAGCAGTAAAGCAATTACTGCCTGCAGCCGAAGAAAGCTGTCCCCACAAGTAGGCAGCTGGGGAGCTGTGAATTAGCTTTTCAACACCTGAAGCAAAAGTTAGAGAAAGTTAATGGCTCTGCTTTGAGAATAATAAGAAAAGCCTGGGGTTAGATGAAGTCCCTTTCTTCACAGTAATTTTGCACACTTTAATAATTAGAAGTGCATAAATATTTATGATATCACAATAAAGAGGCATATTTTGAGGGGAAATGTTCAATCATATGCATATTCTCTTCACAGTTGTCCATGACTAGAGAGAACCCTGTGTCAGAGCAGGGACATTTTTTTCAGTCAAGGCTTTCTAAATCAATGCACATGGCCTGGGAGAAATTAGGCTGCTTCTAAAATGCTAGCCTTGCAACCCTATGCCTAAAATGTGGTGCTCACCTTAAACTGCACGTGCATTTCACAAAGTAAGGCTTGTGGTGACCTTATTAGTATATTTCTAAAGAATAGAGGTATTATCTACTTCAGTGGTTCTCAAACATTAGTTCACATCAGATTCACCTGGGTTCTACTCCAGTACTAACTGATTTTGGTAGGTCTGGGATGAGGCCCCAAATTCACATTTCTAACAAATCCCCAGGTGATGAATGTCAGGCTTCTGAGCCCAAGATAAGCCATCACATCCCCTGTGACCTGCACGTACACATCCAGATGGCCAGTTCCTGCCTTAACTGATGACATTCCACCACAAAAGAAGTGAAAATGGCCTGTTCCTGCCTTAACTAATGACATTATCTTGTGAAATTCCTTCTCCTGGCTCATCCTGGCTCAAAAGCTCCCCTACTGAGCACCTTATGACCCCCACACCTGCCTGCCAGAGAACCACCCCACTTTGACTGTAATTTTCCTTTACCTACCCAAATCTTATAAATTGCCCCACCCCTATCTCCCTTTGCTGCCTCTCTTTTCGGACTCAGCCCACCTGGACCCAGGTGAAATAAACAGCCTTGTTGCTCACACAAAGCCTGTTTGGTGGTCTCTTCACACGGACACGACTGAAATTTGGTGCTGTGACTCGGATTTAAAATTGGTGAGATGTTCTTTGGGCTGGTTGGTCTGAGGACCAGAGGTCGTAGGTGGATCTTTCTCACAGAACAAAGAGCAGGACAGGGGATTGATCTCCCACGGGAGGTCCTCTGATCTGAGTCACGCCTGCCTGATTATTCACCCACGTTTCAGAGGTGTCTGACCACGCAGGGATACCTGCCTTAGTCCTTCACCCTTAGTGGCAAGTACTGCTTTTTTGGGGGGCAAGAACCCCCCAACCCCTTCTCTCCATGTCTCTACCCCTTCTTTGCTTTTCTGGGGGGCAAGAACCCCCCAACCCCTTCTCCTTCACCCTTAGAGGCAAGTACTGCTTTTCTGGGGGGCAAGAATCCCCCAACCCCTTCTCTCCGTGTCTCTATCCCTTCTTTGCTTTTCTGGGGGGCAAGAACCCCCCCAACCCCTTCTCCTTCACCCTTAGCAGCAAGTACCACTTTTCTGGGGGGTAAGAACTCCCCAACCCTCTGTGTCCCTGCCCCTTCTCTGCTTTTCTTGGGGGCAAGAACCCCCCAACCCCTTCCCCTTCACCCTTAGTGGCAAGTACCACTTTTCTGGGGGGCAAAAACCCCCCAACCCCTTCTCTCCATGTCTCTACCTCTTCTCCACTTTTCTGGGGGGCAAGAACCCCCCAACCCCTTCTCCTTCACCCTTATAGGCAAGCACTGCTTTTCTGGGGGGCAAGAACCCCCCCAGCCCCTTCTCTGTGTCTCTACCTCTTCTTTGCTTTTCTGGGGGGCAAGAACCCCCCAACCCCTTCTCCTTCACCCATAGCAGCAAGTACCACTTTTCTAGGGGGCAAGAACCCCCTGACCCCTTATCTTCATGTCTCTAACCCTTCTCTGCTTTTCTGGGGAGCAAGAACCCCCCACCCCTTCTCTCTGTGTCTCTACTCTCTTTTCTCTGGGCTTGCCTCCTTCACTATGGGCAAGCTTCCACCCTCCATTCCCCCTGTTTGCCCTTAGCCTGTGTTCTTAAAAACCTAAAACCTCTTCAACTCACACCTGACCTAAAACCTAAATGCCTTGTTTTCTTCTGCAATGCCGCTTGACCCCAATACAAACTCAACAGTGGTTCCAAATAGCCAGAAAATGGCACTTTCAATTTTTCCATCCTACAAGATCTAAATCTTGTTGTAAAAGGGGCACAAGGTCTGAGGTGCCTGACCTCCAGGTATTCTTTTACACATCGGTCCCTCCCTAGTCTCTGTTCCCTACGCAACTCGTCCCAAATCTTCCTTCTTTCCCTCCTGCCTGTCCCCTCAGTCCCAACACCAAGCATCGCTGACTCTTTCTAATCTTCCTTTTCTACAGACCCATCTGACCTCTCCCCTCCTTGCCAGGCCAAGCTAGGTCCCAATTCTTCCTCAGCCTCCAATCCTCCACCCTATAATCCTTTTATCACCTCCCCTCCTCACACCTGGTCTGGCTTACAGTTTCATTCAGTGACTAGCCCTCCCCCACTTGCCCAGGAATTTCCTCTTAAAAAGGTGCCTGGAGCTAAAGGCATAGTCAAGGTTAATGCTCCTTTTTCTTTATCCCAAATCAGATAGTATTTAGGCTCTTTTTCATCAAATATAAAAAACCAGCCCAGTTCATGGCTCATTTGGCAGCAACCCTGAGATGTTTTACAGCCCTAGACCCTAAAAG
This sequence comes from Homo sapiens, assembly GCF_000001405.40. Lineage (NCBI taxonomy): Eukaryota > Metazoa > Chordata > Mammalia > Primates > Hominidae > Homo > Homo sapiens. Next base: position 178,209,505 of record NC_000003.12, read on the forward strand.
GTCTAAAGGCCATCTTATTCTCAATATACATTTTATTACCCAATCTGCTCCCGACATTAAATAAAACTCCAAAAATTAAATTCCAGCCCTCAAACCCCACAACAGGACTTAATTAACCTCACCTTCAAGGTGTACAATAATAAAGTAGAGGCAGCCAAGTAGCAACATATTTCTGAGTTGCAATTCCTTGCCTCCACTGTGAGACAAACCCCAGCCACATCTCCAACACACAAGAACTTCCAAACACCTAAACCTCAGTGGCCAGGCATTCCTCCAGGCCTGCCTCCCCCAGGAGCTTCCTACAAGTGCCAGAAATCTGGCCATTGGGCCAAGGAATGCCTGCAGCCTGGGATTCCTCCTAAGCCTTGTCCCATCTCTGTGGGACCCCACTGGAAATTGGACTGTCCAACTCGCCCGGCAGCCACTCCTAGAGCCCCTGGAACTCTGGCCCAAGTCTTTCTGACTGACTCCTTCCCAGATCTTCTCTGCTTAGCAGCTGAAGACTGACACTGCCTGATCACCTCAGAAGCCCCCTAGACCATCACAGATGCCAAGCTTCTGGGTAACTCTCACAGTGGAAGGTAATTCTGTCCCCTTCTTAATCAATACAGAGGCTACCCACTCCACATTACCTTCTTTTCAAGGGCCTGTTTCCCTTGCCTCCATAACTCTTGTGGGTACCGATGGCCAGACTTCTAAACCTCTTAAAACTCCCCAATTCTGGTGCCAACTTAGACAATACTCTTTTAAGCACTCCTTTTTAGTTATCCCCACCTGCCCAGCTCCCTTATTAGGCTGAGACACTTTAACTAAATTATCTGCTTCCCTGACTATTCCTGGGCTACAGCCACACCTCATAGCTGCCTTTTTCCCCAGTTCAAAGCCTCCTTCACATCCTCCCCTTGTATCTCCCCACCTTAACCCACAAGTATAGGACACCTCTACTCCCTCCTTAGCGACTGATCATGCACCCCTTACCATCCCATTAAAACCTAATCACTCTTACCCTGCTTAATGCCAATATCCCATCCCACAGCATGCTTTAAAAGGATTAAAGTCTGTTATCACTCGCCTGCTACAGCATGGCCTTTTAAAGCCTATAAACTCCCCTTACAATTCCCCCATTTTACCTGTCCTAAAACCAGACAAGGCTTACAGGTTAGTTCAGGGTCTGCGCCCTATCAACCAAATTATTTTGCCTATCCGCCCCATGGTGCCAAACCCGTATAGTTTCCTATCCTCAATACCTCCCTCCACAACCCATTATTCTGTTCTGGATCTCAAACATGCTTTCTTTACTATTCGTTTGCACCCTTCGTCCCAGCCTCTCTTCGCTTTCACTTGGACTGACCCTGACACCCATCAGGCTCAGCAAATTACCTGGGCTGTACTGCCACAAGGCTTCACAGACAGCCCCCATTACTTCAGTCAAGTCCAAATTTCTTCCTCATCTGTTACCTATCTTGGCATAATTTTCATGAAAACACACATGCTCTCCCTGCCCATCGTGTCTGACTGATCTCTCAAACCCCAGCACTTTCCACAAAACAACACCCTTCCTTCCTAGGCATGGTTAGGTACTTTTGACTTTAGATACCTGGTTTTGCCATACTAACAAAACCATTATTTAAACTCACAAAAGGAAACCTAGCTGACCCCATAGATCCTAAATCCTTTCCCCACTCCTCTTTCCATTCCTTGAAGACAGCTTTAGAGACTGCTGCCACACTAGCTCTCCCTGACTCATCCCAACCCTTTTCATTACTCACAGCTGAAGTGCAGAGCTGTGCAGTCAGAATTCTTACACAGGACCAGGACCACACCCTGTAGCCTTTTTATCCAAACAACTTGACCTTACTGTTTTGCCTAGCCCTCAAGTCTGCATGTGGCGGCCACCACCACCCTAATACTTTTAGAGGCCCTTAAAATCACAAACTATGCTCAACTCACTCTCTACAGTTCTCATAACTTCCAAAATCTATTTTCTTCCTCACACCTGATACATATACTTTCTGCTCCCTGGCTCCTTCAGCTGTACTCACTCTTTGTTGAGTCTCCCACAGTTACCATTGTTCCTGGCCTGGACTTCAATTTGGCCTCCCACATTATTCCTGATACCACACCTGACCCCCATGACTGTATCTCTGATCCACCTCAAATTCACTCCATTTCCCCATATTCTTTCGTGTTCCTCACCCTGAACACACTTGGTTTATTGATGGCAGTTCCACCAAGCCTAATCGCCACTCACCAGCAAAGGCAGGCTATGCTATAGTATCTTCCACATCTATCATTGAGGCTACCACTCTGCCCCCCTCCATTACCTCTCAGCAAGCCGAACTCATTGTCTTAAGTCAAACCCTCACTCTTGCAAAAGGACTAAATGTCAATATTTATACAGACTCTAAATATGCCTTCCATATCCTGCACCACCATGCAAGAGGTTTCCTCACTGCACAAGGGTCCTCTATCATTAATGCTTCTTTAATAAAAACGCTTCTCAAAGCTCCTTTACTTCCAAAGGAAGCTAGAGTCATTCACTGCAAAGGCCATCAAAGGGCATCAGATCCCATCCCTCAGGACAATGCTTATGCTGATAAGATAGCAAAAAACAGCTAGGGTTCCAACTTCTATCCCTCACTTTCAGTTTTTCTCCTTCTCATCTGGCCACTCCCACCTAATCCCTTGCTAAAACTTCCACCTATCAATCTCTTCTCACACAAGGCAAATGGTTCTTAGACCAAGGAAAATATCTCCTTTCAGCCTCACAGTCCCATTCTACTCTGTTGTCATTTCATAACCTCTTCCATGTAGGTTACAAGCCACTAGCCTGTCTCTTAAAACCTCTAATTTCCTTTCCATCACGGAAATCTATCCTCAAGGAAATCACTTCTTAGTGTTCCATCTGCTATTCTACTACTCCTCAGGGATTATTCAACCCCTCTCCCTTCCCTACACATCAAGCTCGAGGATTTGCCCCCACACAGGACTGGCAACTCTTAACTCCCTCTTAGAGTGCATAGATGATCTTTGCTGGCAGGGGACCCTCCAATTCTTTCACCCTGATGAAGTTCTACTCTTTACTTTTATACTCACTCTTATTCTCATTCCCATTTTTATGCCACCCTCTACCTCTCCCCAGCTATCTCTACCACACTATCAACCTTACTCATTCTCTCCTAGACGTTTCTAATCCCTCCTTAGTGAACAACTGCTGGCTTTGCATTTCTCTTTCTTCCAGCGCCTACACAGCTGTCCCCACCTTACATGCAGACTAGGCAACACCTTCTGTCTCCGTACACCTCCAAACTTCCTTTAACAGCCCTCACCTTTACCCTCCTGAAGAACTCATTTACTTTCTAGACAGGTCCAGCAAGACCTCCCCAGACATTTCACATCAGCAAGCTGCTGCCCTCCTCTGCACTTACTTAAAAAACCTTTCTCCTTATATCAACTCTACTCCTCCCATATTTAGACCTCCCACAACACAAACTACTATTCCTATGGCTGCTTCTTTATGTATCTCTTGGCAAAGACCCACTGGAATTCCCCTAGGTAACCTTTCACTTGCTCGATGTTCCTTTACTCTTCATCTCCAAAGCCTTCTTCTTGTTTACTTATACCCGGCCTCAAAAATAACAGTGAAAGGTTGCTCGTAGACACTCGGCATTTTCTCATACACCATGAAAATTGAACTTCCCCCTCTATGCAGTTACCCCATCAGACCCTATTACAACCTCTGACTGCTGCTGCCCTAGCTGCATCCCTAGGAGTCTAGGTACAAGACACCCCTTTCAGCACTCCTTCTCATCTTTTTACTTTGCATCTCCAGTTTTGCCTCGCACAAGGTCTCTTCTTCCTCTGTGGATCCTCTACCTACATGTGTCTACCTGCTAATTGGACAGGCACATGCACACTAGTTTTCCTACTCCCAAAATTCAATTTGCAAATAGGACCGAAGAGCTCCCTGTTCCTCTCATGACACCGACACAACAAAAAAGAGTTATTCCACTAATTCTCTTTCTTGTCGGTTTAAGACTTTCTGCCTCCACTAGCGCTCTCGGTACGGGAATAGCAGGCACTTCGACCTCTGTCACGACCTTCCATAGCCTGTCTAATGACTTCTCTGCTAGCATCACAGACATATCACAAACTTTATCAGTCCTCCATGCCCAAGTTGACTCTTTAGCTGCAGTTGTCCTCCAAAAACCGCCGAGGCCTTGACTTACTCACAGCTGAAAAAGGAGAACTCTGTATATTCTTAAATGAAGAGTGTTGTTTTTACCTAAATCAATCTGGCCTGGTGTATGACGACATAAAAAACTCAAGGATAAAGCCCAAAAACTTGCCAACCAAGTAAGTAATTACGCTGAACCACCTAGGACACTCTCTAATTAGATGCCCTAGGTCCTTCCAATTCTTAGTCCTTTAATACCTGTTTTTCTCCTTCTCTTATTCCATTTAGTTTTTCAATTCCTACAAAACCATATCCAGGCCATCACCAATAATTCTATACGACAAATGTTTCTTCTAACAACCCCACAATATCACCCCTTACCACAAAATCTTCCTTCAGCTTAATCTCTCCCACTCTAAATTCTCACGCCACCCCTAATCCCACTCGAAGCAGCCCTGAGAAACATCGCCCATTATCTCTCCATGGCACCCCCCAAAATTTTCACCATCCCAACACTTTACCACTATTTCATTTTATTTTTCTTATTAATATAAGAAGACAGGAATGTCAGGCCTCTGAGCCCAAGCTAAGCCATCACATCCCCTGTGACCTGCACGTACACATCCAGATGGCCGGTTCCTGCCTTAACTGATGACATTCCACCACAAAAGAAGTGAAAATGGCCTGTTCCTGCCTTAACTGATGACATTATCTTGTGAAATTCCTTCTCCTGGCTCATCCTGGCTCAAAAGCTCCCCTACTGAGCACTTTGTGACCCCCACTCCTGCCCACCAGAGAACAACCCCCCTTTGACTGTAATTTTCCTTTACCTACCCAAATCTTATATAACGGCCCCAACCCTATCTCCCTTCACTGACTCTCTTTTCGGATTCGGCCCACCTGTACCCAGGTGAAATAAACAGCTTTGTTGCTCACACAAAGCCTGTTTGGTGGTCTCTTCACACGGACACGAGTGAAAATGGTGATGCTGCTTGTCTAGGGACAACACTTTGAGAACATGGATCTATTGTATATAAATCAGAATTCCAGATCCTGGCTGTACTTGAGAACCATCTGGTGGCCTCTTAAAATATTAACACAGCCAACCAGAAAGAGGCCCCAATGGCCAAAGATGGAAAAATTTGAGTAACAAAATGAATAACATAGTTTTGAGTTACAGTCCAAAGTATAAGACAAATACCCACAAGTCCATATTTGTATAAATATAATATTAAGTAAATAAATGTAGGAAAAGAGAGAAATCTTCTTTATGAAAGAATCACAAACCATTTTTGTATTCTCCCCTGAAGCAGGTGAAACTTACCTCCTTCCTTCCCCCTCCCCACTCCTCTTAATGACTTGATTAAAACAAAATAAATTATGGGTATGTGAAGGGAGGAAGAAATAACTTCACAGTGAAGAAACAGGAAAATACTACGTTGGGTAGGTGATCAAGATTAACATACACTATGATGAATTACATTCACAGACTTTACTCCCTAATATGAATGACAAAGGCACTTCACCTCTGTGGTATTCTTTCCAAAAACCAATAGCCCCAGTCTAACCATGATAAAAAAATAAAAGCCCAATTGAGGAATCTTCTTCAAAATACCTGGCCAATATTCTTCAAAGGAGTCAAGATCATTAAAAATAAGGAATGGAAGGATGACTCCCAGAGGCTGGGAAGGGTTGGGGTGGTGGGTTAGGGGGTGGTGGAGATGGTTAATGGGTACAAAAAAATAGAAAGAATGTATAATACATACTATTTGATTGCACAACAGGGTTACTATGGTCAATAATAATTGTAGATTTCAAATAACTAAAAGAATGTAATTGGACTATAACACAAAGGATGAATGCTTGGAGGGATGGATACCCAATCCTTCATCATGTGATCATTTCACATTGCATGTCTGTATCAAAACATCACATGTGCCCCACAAATATACCGACCATGTACCCACGACAATTAAAAATTAAGACATTTTAAAAATAAAAATAAAAATCCAGGAATGGATGAGAAACTATCATGGTCTTGAGAAGATGAAGGAGACATGACAAAATGTAATATTATATCATGAATGGTATTCTGGAGCAAAAATAAAAAATAAAAATAAAAAAGACACTAGTGGGAAAGTTACAGAAATTGAATGAAGACTGGAGTTAATCGTAATGTGCCAGTGCCGGTTTCTTAGTTGCGACAAATGTACCAGGGCAATGTAAGATGTTAATAAGAAGGGAAATGGAGAAAGTCATATGGGATCTATCTGTGCAACTTTCCTCTAAATTTGAAAATGTTAAAAAACTTAAGCTTATTTTAAGAATACTAGTGCCCGGAGATTACCACAGACAAATCAGAGTCTCTGGGGTGAGACCTAGGCATTTGTTTTAGAACTCTGAGGGATTGTCAGGAGCAGTCCAACTAGATCTACCACTGATCTAGATATAATTAAAATAATAACTTTCCTGTTAAATCTCACTTTCACTTGGTCAGCATGGTAGTTAATACTAAAACAATTTGCCACTTTTTGTATTTCTAGAGAAAGCATCTCTTTCAGTGTGGGTTAATCAAATCTGCAAAATGTTAGTAGCAGGAACTTAAAAAGGGAAGTAGAGATAGAATAAATTCATAAATGGCTTTTAAAAATTACATTCTAGAGTATATCCAGAGGTCCACATGTATTGTATCTATGCTTTTACACCATCTTTAAAACTTCCATAGGAGAGAACTTGGGAGAATTTTATGACAAACAGAATTTAGGCAATTGGGATGATTATATGAGAATGCTCTGTGTCTGGTAAGTTGTATGCTCATGTGTGATATGCCTTTGTGGTATGTCTACACAGATCTCTACCCAAAAGTTTGTTTTCTTTTCTAATTCTTGTTAGTTGTTTAAGGAATTGAGGCTCTTTTTCATATTTGTTTCATTTCTTCCATGTCTACATTATGTACATAAATCTTTCTTAATTGTAAATATGCTAAAAGCAAATAATAACCCCAACTATTTACTCAAATAAGGTAAACATTTTTACTTTGAATTAAAAATAAAAAAAGACTTGTTACTTCAGTAAAACTGATACCGAAATGACTCTAGCTACGCAATAGGCTGTTTGAACATCTCTCAATGCATCTCTTTGGTAGCGTCTCTTCAGTAATAGCTATGTGATTTCAGATTCAGCATTTGACCTATGGAGAGTATTGAGAAAAGGAAATCAGTAGCGGAATTCTGCCATAGAAGTGGCAAATTTTTTTTATTACCCACTTAGCAGTGCTAACCAGTTCACTTGGGTAGCCCAGTTTTATGATTCCTGCAGGTCTAGAGGATACCACTTGAAATGTTCCCATTTTACCTTTTCTGTATCCTCTGGCTAGTCTTTGTAGATTACCAACTGGCAATCTGGGGAGAAGGATGAAGTATACCAACTGGCAATCTGGGGAGAAGGATGAAGTATACCAACTGGCATTCTGGGGAGAAGGATGAAGTATGAAGTTGAAGAGACTACAAGTAGTATCAGAAAGTATGGCATTTATAGCCACCACCTTAACTTTCATTGGCATTACAAGCAAACTTAGGGATATAGAGATACCAGGGACTTACACCATCCAAGGAAGGAAGGTCTAGGAACATGATGTGCCTTTATCATATTTAAGGTGTTCTTTATAAGAATACATTATAAGAGATTTTCTCATAATCTTTGAGGGCAGTTAAAAGTATTGTTAATTGGTTTTAGGGAAATTACCATAGCTGCTAGGCACTCAGAGGGAGAAAAAAAGGTCAGTATATTTTGTACAGAGCAAACTTATATTTTTGTACAGTGATATATTTTGTATACAGTGAAATATATTTGTATACAGCAAAACTGTTACCCAGTTTTCATGCCCTATTTAAGGCAGTCTTAGAGATTCTGTTCCCTTAGGAGATCATATGAATGTACACCAACCCTGCTGTCAGGCATTATTGATTGGACAGAAGAGGACATCTCATTCCAGTTGACTCAGCGATTTCCTCTCCGGGAAATCTGTGGTTTGGACCCAGAAGTTCTAGTTAGTGTCATAGGGACTTATAGTGTATGGCCTTCCATGTTTACTCAGAGACAGAGGGAGGCTGTCTACAGAAAGGCAGATTAAAGGAGGTAGATGCTCAGAACTACCAGGAAAGGACTGACTCTGGTAGATATGATCAGCAGGAGTGAGAAAGGGAGACTGAGAAAGAATGACAGAGATTGGGAAAGACAGATGGAGACTAATGTGATCCCAAACTGCTTGCTTCTTGTATTTCTTGAACTTATCTTCCATAAGTTACCCTTATATGCTAGGAAAAGTTATTTATTTTTGTGTTTTTATCCAATTTATGTGAGTTTATTACTCTCAGTAATATAATTCTTGAGTATGTATACATCAGATAAACAGTTAAAACATTCCTTTCAAACTACAATGCCTGCCATATAGTAGACATTTGACAATATTTTTGGTGAATAAAACAAATTTTCTATGCATCTAGCTACCAAAATTTATTGTATACTTACTACATTGTATGTATATATGTACATGTATTAGGTATATACATATATATGTACATATTTGTCTGTGTAGCTGTATATGCACTATATTTTTAGGGAATTCCCTTAAAGACATTTAACTAGTAATACCACTTTCTTATGCTCTTCCCATGCTGAAAACAACAAAAACTGCCTAGTAATATGTCTTTTGCATATTGATTAAGTGCATATGTTCTTGTGCCAGACTGACTGAAATGTTGTGAGGCTTAAATGAGTTAATTTATGTGCAGAACTTGGAACCATTTCCCACATATAACATATAATAAGCATTCAAAACTATCACAGCTTATTATTACACTATAATGCTTATTATCATTAGGATTCTTATATAATAAGTATGCAAAGCTGTTGTTGTTATTATTAGAAAGTTGGTTTAGTCCCTAGAAAACTTGGTAGAAGTCTTTAAGCAGAGAGAGATACAAACCTAAAGACCAAATCTACATTTTCAAAGATGCATAGGCTGTTTATATTTAGAAGACAAACAAAGCCAGATGAAATATAAAAGTGGTAAGTGTAGAATGAAGATTGCTTCTGCTTGAGAACCAAAGTCAGTGGTGGAACATGGAATTGGAGAAGATGGGACAAAACTGAAGCAAGCAGTGCTTGCTTCAGTTTGGCAACATGGCAAACAAAGGCCCCGTGACTCTAAACCCTTTGAACTGCTTCATGCAAACTTATGAAGAGACTGTTGGGCATCCTTTCTGGAAGAAAGATGAGAGCAATGTGGGATCATGGGTAACCAATATAGCCAGAGACTTGGAAAATATAAATATGACTCAAGCATAATGCCTCCTTTATTATTACTCAGGCTATGAGACCTAAGTGGCCAAAGAAATGAGGCGTCTAAGAGTATATCCTTTTCATTATGCTGTTCATTCATTTTAATTTATTCTTCTAATCATTAGAGTACTTAAGGTAGCCATGTATTATTATTTAATGTGCTTCCCAGGGAGTTTAAGAATGTCATAGAATAAGTGGGGGTGAACTTTTCTGTAAAAGATCAGATAGATAGTAAGTACTTTAGGTTTTGTAGGCAGTAGGTGCTCTGTTACAGTGACTCAACTTTTCATACAATTGTGGTATAAAAACAGCCAATAACAGCACAAAAATGAATGTGTGCCTGTGATCCAATAATTTTTAAAAATATATTTTTGACTCTTTCTATGTGATCCTGCTAAGGCTTACCAAATAAACACACTGTAATTTATTTTTTATTGATTTATATATTTACAGTTTTTTTTTTAATTTTACTTTAAGTTCTGGGATACATGTGCAGAACGTGCAGGTTTGTTACATAGGTATACATGTACCATGGTGGTTTGCTGTACCTATCAACTTGTCATCTAGGTTTTAAGCCCCACATTAGGTATTTGTCCTAATGCTCTCCCTCCCCTTGCCCCCAACCCTGACAGGCCCCAGTGTGTGATGTTCCCCTCCCTGTGTCCATGTGTTCTCACTGTTCAACTCCCACTTATGAGTGAGAACATGTGGTGTTTGGTTTTCTGTTCCTGTGTTAGTTTGTTGAGGATGATCGTTTCCAGCTTCATCCGTGTCCCTGCAAAGGACATGAACTCATCCTTTTTTATGGCTGCATAGTATTCCATGGTGTATATGTGCCACGTTTTCTTTATCCAGTCTATCACTGATGGGCATTTGGGTTGGCTCTAAGCCTTTGCTATTGTGAATAGTGCTGCAATAAACACGTGTGCATGTGTCTTTATAGTAGAATGATTTATAACCCTTTGGGTATATACCCAGTCATGATATTCCTGGGTAAAATGGTATTTCTGGTTCTAGATGCTTGAGGAATCACCACACTGTCTTCTACAATGGTTGAACTAATTTACTCTCCCTCCAACAGTGTAAAAGTGTTCCTGTTTCTCCACATCCTCTCCAGCATCTGTTGTTTCCAGACTTTCTAATGATCACCATTCTAACTGGCATGAGATGATATCTCATTGTGGTTTTGATTTGCGTTTCTCTAATGACCAGTGATGATCAGCTTTTTTTCATATGTTTGTTGGCCACATAAATATCTTCTTTTGAGAAGAGTCTGTTCATATCCTCTGCTCACTTTTTGATGGGGTTGTTTGTGTTTTTCTTGTAAATTTGTTTAAGTTCTTTGTAGATTCTGGATATTAGCCCTTTGTCAGATGGATAGTTTATAAAAATTTTCTCCCATTCTGTAGGTTGCCTGTTTACTCTGATAATAGTTTCTTTTGCTGTGCAGAAGCTCTTTAGTTTGATTAGATCTCATTTGTCAATTATGGCTTTTGTTGCAATTGCTTTTGGTGTTTTATTCATGAAGTCTTTGCCTATGCCCATGACCTGAATGGTATTGCCTGGATTTTCTTCTAGGGTTTTTATGGCTTTAGGTCTTATGTTTAAGTCTTTAATCTATCTTGAGTTAATTTTTGTATAAGGCATAAGGAAAGGGTCCAGTCTCAGTTTTCTGCATATGGCTAGCCAGTTTTCACAACACCATTTATTAAATAGGGAATCCTTTCCCCATTGCTTGTTTTTGTCAGGTTTTTCAAAGATCAGATAGTTGTAGATGTGTGGTGTTATTTCTGAGGTCTCTATTGCTTATTCTCTAATTGCTGATAGAGTGAGAAAGTCCACACCATCAGAGGATGTATCTAAAGGACAAAGGCAAGTAATTATCATGATCAGGTTCAAGTCATATCTCAGAAGTGGTATAAAAGAGAGGTAAGAGCTGAAATAAGAGGTGTCACTCTGAAACTCTCATACATGTGGAGAAGTAGGTCTTCAGCAAATCTGGGCCAGAAAATAGAACTACAACAAATCAAGCAGAGATATTCCTACCAAGGGGAGATGGGAAGAAAACAACTTCAAGACAAAAACAGTGAATAATTTTTTTTTTTTTTTTTTGGAGACAGAGTCTCACTCTGTCACCCAGGCTGGAGTGCAGTGGCATGATCTCAGCTTGCTTCACCCTCTGCCTCCCAGGTTCAAGCAATTCCCCTGCCTCAGCCTCCTGAGTAGCTGGGACTACAGGTGCGTACCACCACGCCTGGCTAATTTTTGGCTTTTTAGTAGAGACGGGGTTTCATCATGTTGGCCAGACTGATCTGGAACTCTTGACCTCATGATCCACCTGCCTCGGCCTCTTAAAGTGCTGGAATTACAGGTGTAAGCCGCCGCACCTGGCCAAAAACAGTAAATAATTCTAACCAACCAAAGGAAATATTGACTGCATCTTAATATAAGGCAGAGTCAATAGACTATGAATATATGACAGACAATTTGTGTATTTGAAGCCCCCAGCACAGAGCCTGCACTCAGAAAATACTTAATAAATGTTTGTCCAAGGATATCCATCAAGTAGCAACAAGAAATCTGATCCACCCATAACAACAGAGAATTCAGGTGGTAGTCATCATTAAACAGTCTGTCCATAAGTAGAAGATGCCTAGTACAAAATATGGTATCATAACAGAGTCTAGAAAATAAGAACACAAAAGACAAGAAGAACTTTGGGAACATCCTGGGGTGAAAAATTGTATTTCAGTCTTCAAAATGGGGCTCATTCAAGAAATAGATAAAATGAGAAGTACAAACCCAGGTAGAATTCCAGAGCCGGTCAACACTGGAAGAGAAGGGGTCACAGGAATTAATGTGTCTTAAGAAAATATGGGCATCTTATTTCTACAGTGCTAGATTCTGAATCTTGTTGATAAGAAAAGGGAACTAACTAAAGAGGATCCAAGGAAAGTCATCTATCAAGTGTGACTGAAGAATTGACTTTTAAGCCTAGAAGAAATTTTTAATTCCAAAACTCAGTAAGGTTGATGATATATTTTCATGTCAGGGAAAAATGGAGATTACAGGCAGAGGCATCCTATAGATGTAGCCAATAGCTGTAGAAGGTACAGGTTAAGATGTTAAAATACAGTGTAATCACTAAGACCACGGATTTTTAGAGCCAGATAACCCTGGATTGAGACCTGAACTCTGCCATTTATTGGCCCTATCTAATAGTCATTTTTGCTCTTAAACAGGTTATTTAATATTTATCCTCAGTTGTCTTGCCTCCAAAATAGGTATAATAATAGCATCTACCTCATAAGATGGCTATGAAGATCTAATGAGAAAGCTATGCAAAGTGCTTCATGTCTGTCTGTATAGTAACTGCTCAAGAAAGAATAGGTTTTATTAAGTAGGAAGATAAAAACAAGTAGGGATGTGAATTTAGACTTTCCTACATTAATACTTGCTAAAATACACCTAGATTTTTCAAAAATATACATCTAGGACCACCAAGACAATTTTTACATTTTCTTTCTAGTTTTGACAAGAGTCAATACTGTTGTACTTTGCAACTTTTAGTAAAGGCAGTTTCCGGGACAGATTGAGAGCCTCCAGCAATCAGAAACCATTCCATGGGTTTGAGTGGAAGCTTAGTGGTTTCTCCACTGTTGGGCAGACTGGCAAGTTTCCAGTTTGAGGAAAAATAGATGAGCTCTAGAAGTGCAAGGAAGAATGTTTTTCCCAAAATAACATTTTCAGAATCAGCGCCTGATCTTTCTTATATTTTTCCTGAAGCCAAGAAAGGAGCCAAGCATGAAATGGTCATCCATCCTTAGAAGGTTACTTGTCAAAATAGTTCTCCTAGGCCTGTTATTGTTTTAATCTGACATTAATCTGTCAAAACAACACTAGCATGTCTCAGTATTCAATGTATTGGTGGATTCACCTAACTGCAGCTTTTATACATCAGTGTTTTCTATGGGCATGGTGAACCCTCCCCAACAGCAAGAGGATCAATTTGGGCAGAAGACAGAGGAAAACAGTATGGAGAGAGCACCCTTTAGCCTTCCACATCTTCCTGCCCACAGTGGGCTTCAGAGACACATCAGAGAAAATATTTTTTATTTTGTCAACCAAGTAATTAATCAGAGAGTAAAAAATACTAGTAAATGGCATATTGCCTGCTACTAAATGCCTTTTGGAGAAAATTAAAACCTAAACTTAAGTGCTATGAGACCTTGTCACAAGTGGCATTTTATTTTTTAATGTATTTCTAGATTTAGGATGGTTTGAGCTTCCAACTGAACTGCATTAAACATTTCAAATATGTCTTTCTTATAAGGCACCTAAAACATCATCCAAGCTACCTGCATGGTAAGATTTACTTTATGCCAAACTTAAATATCTCCTTTAATTTCTTGAACTGTATATAGAACTGTATATATGTACACACATGTGCATATATATATATATTTGTGTGGTCAAGCTACATTATATATATAGTATATATGTATATACATATGTATATGTATATATGTGTATATATGTATATATGTACACACGTGTGTATATATATATTTCTGTGTTCAAGCTACATTGTATATATATGCTACAAGTATGTGTGTGTATATATGTATACATATACTTGTGTGTTCAAGCTACATTGTCCAAGCTACCTGCATGGTAAGATTTAATTTATGCCAAATTTAAATATCATCTCCTTTAATTTCTTGAACTGTATATATGTACACCTGTGTGCATATATATATGTGTGTGTGTGTAAATATATATCCTATTGGTTCTGTTTCTCTGGAACAGATATATTCTAGATATATGCATACATCTAGAAAGAGACTTATATAAGGTATTGGCTCACAAAATTATGGAGGCTGAGAACTCTCACAATCTGCTATCTGCAAGCTGGAGACCAAGGAATGTCTGTGGTATAGCAGGAAGGCCTGAGAGCCAAGGAGCCAGTGGTGTGGATTCCAGCCTGACTCTGAAAGCCTGAGAACCAGGAATACTCAGGACAGAAGACTGCTGTTCCAGCCCAATCAGTCAGGTAGAGAGAGGATGAATCCTGCCTTGTTGCACAATTTTGTTTTATTCATGTCCTGCATGGATTAGATGATGTCAACCCAGATTGGGAAGGGTAATGTACTGTACTCAGCCTATGATTCCAATGCTAATCTCTTCCTGAAACAGTCTCACAGACTCACCCATAAATAATGTTGAACCAGGTATCTCAGCATCCTGTGGCCCAGTCAAGTTGACACATAAAATTAACTATCATAGAAAGAAAACAAAATGTTTAGTTTCCATGTTTACTAATTTGGAGTGGTCAAACATAAGATGCACATAGCTTCCAGATACTCTGACACTTAAATTATGCTTTCATCTTGCAGAATCAATATGGCCACTTATCATTAAACAGTCACTCAGAAGGAAAATAACAACACAAGGACATTTCATCTGAATTTTCTCTTGGACCTTCTACATCAGAATCAACAGGAGTAATACTAAAAATGATGATACTTTTGGGCCAACCAAAACTTCATTAATTATAAGATCTTGAGTTTGAACTCAGGAATCTGCTCATTGGCAAATATTTTACCCAATTCTTGTACACTATAGAAAGTAAGAGCCAATAATTTAGAGATTCTGTTCTGACACTATTCGATGTTCAAAGAAGAGAATTTTAAAAATCAAATTGCATAAAATTTGTAATTTATTTTTGCCCATAATTTTGGTATATTTCATTGATTATTTTATTATATTAAAATATTATATTTGTCATTCCCTAAAACCAAATTAAAATTTTTATTCTGAACCAAATATGCAAATTTCAATATCTCTTCTTATTAATGCCATATGTATATATTACACTTCAGATTTCAAAAATATTTAACTTGTCCACCAAAGAATTAAAAATTTAATAAAACTTTAATGAAAATTTATTAGGTACTGGAAAAGAGGACCCAGGAGACTTTGATCTTTCAGAGAACGAATATTCTATACTTTCTCTGGCTTTAATTCAGCAGTTACTTCCAAGAATTCAGTGCCACGAAGAAGGACTGAAACAAGCATGGCCGTATTTTTGAGTTGAGGAAATAGAGATTAGAGTATGAGAAAGCTAAGGCAGGAAGAAGTTTTAGGCTAGGGAACTGGAAGGAGAGAGTTATGCAGAGAAAGTTCTCCAAAACTCTGTATAGGGGCTTGCTTGGATCTGTTGCTAAATATCAAGCCATAGATGCATACAGTAAAACTCTGTGATAACAAGCCAAACACACACACACACACACACACACACACACACACACACACACACACACACACCCTATCAGAAAGTGGTAATCTAAATAATTCCTAAGCTTACACAGGAGTAAGAGACATTCATCTTACAACCAGCCAGAGGTTAGAATCCTCATCAAAAGCTCAAAGATTCATTAGAGACCTCAGAAAGGTCCATCCTTAATAGTAATCTCAAACTATTATAGTCCTGGAGAAAAGCATATCATATAACTTTCCTAACAAAGATTAAAACTAACCCCCCAAAATCAAGTTGATTGGCAAGTAACTTACCTATCTGCCAGAATAAATTTCAACAGTTGTTAAAAGAATATAACTGAATCTGGACACTCATCCATATAATATAAAAATGGCCAGCATCTGATCTAAAATTAACAAATATAGATACACAGAAAAATGACTTTCATAACCAGGAGAAACATCTATACATAAAAACATATAAATGATAGATATAAAGGAACTAGTAGACAATTACTTCAAAATAATGTATCTAATATGAAAACAGTAACTGGGTGCACTTATTAGCATACTTGTTGTGAAGTACAGATCAGTGAATTTGAAGTCATAACAATATAAACAATCCAAACTGAAGCACAGAGAAATAAAACTAAAAAAGTGAAATAAACAAAGCCTTAATGATTTGTAGAACAATATCAAGTGGTCAACCAAACATGTATTTTTATTGCAAATTTAAAAAAAGAGTGGTCCAAAAATATGTAAAGAAATATAGTCAAAATTAGTTTTGAAACTGATGAAAATGATAAACTTACAAATCCAAGAAGTTTAATGAACCCTAAGCAAGATAAACAGCAGACCTGCACTATAAGACATCTTCAAGGAAGTTCTTCAGGTGGGAACATGTACCTTAGAAAAGCAATAAAGGATGGTTAAAGTGTGAAAAAAATAGAAAATTTTTTTTCTCATTTAAAAAATTGTTAAAATAGAGAGAGCCTATTGCATAATAACTATAACAATGAATTGCAAGATATAGGAAAGTAAAATCTATGACAAGAATAGTACAAGTATGGGGGAAGGAAATGAAAGCACATTGCAGTAAGATGCATACATCATACATACGTGAAGTGCTATAATAATATTTTAATATAGATTGAAGATAGCTCATAATATATTAAAATTTTACATCGTAAGTCTGAAGCAACCATTACAAAGAAAAACAGAGATATAACTTATAAGTCAACAATGAATGTAAAACTAAGTATTAAAAAGTCTGAATGAAAAGACAGGAAAATGATAAAAAAATGAATGAAGATCAGTTGCAACAAATATAAAACAAATAGAATGATGGTAGACTTAAACACCTCCAGATAAAAAAGTTAAATATAAATAGTTCATATACTTCAAATAAAAGGCAGTGGTTGTCAGACTGATAAAAAAGGCAGCATGCATCTTTGTACTATATTTACAATAATTGCATTTAAAATATGTAGCACACATATTTTAAAAAGGAAAAGAATGAAAAATGATATACAATACAACGGAGTAATTATAAGAAAGTGTGAGTGGCTACTGAATATTAGAACAGTCTTTAGTTCAAAGAATTTGACCATTCATAAAGATAGACATTCAATAATGATAAAAGGGTCAATTTATTAAGAGAAGTAACAACCCTAAATGATTATGCACATAACAGAAATGCCCCAAAATGTAGAAAGCAAATACTGATAGCGCTCAAAGGAGAAATAGACATACAATTATAGTATAGAACTTTAACCCTCCTTTCTGGGAAATTGATAGAACCGGTAGACGTAAATCAGTAAGAATACAGAGCATTTGACCTTCACTATGCATCCAGTGACTTAGTGAACATTTATAGAACACGTCACTCAATAATAGTAGAATGCATATTCTTTTCAAGTGCACACAAAATGTTATTAAGTTACATAATATGATGAATAATAAAATAGATCTCAATATATTTTTAATATGAAGACATAAAACTTTTGATCAGAGATGAAGAAATTTATTCTTCACAGCGATAGCAGTAGCTAGGGTATCAGTGTATCTTTTTGGTCAGCTCTCTCAACCCTAATTTCTGCAGGTGATACAAAGACAACCAATTGACACATTAACCTATGCTGCATTTTTTTTTTTTACAGGAGAAGAACCCTGAGCCTAGAAAATCTGAAGCATTTCTAAGGAGTATTAAGCATATGCAACAAATATGCTTCTATGCTCCAGGGAAGACATTATAGTTACCATCTAAGCCTGTAAGAAAATATGCCCTTTGCTCTAAAGAAAGATATTATCTTTATCATCTTTTGAGGATGGTCACTATAGAAACATCTGTGAAAAAATAATCCAGAGGAAAGGCAATCAGTGCAACAAAATGTGCAGAAACACGAGTGATGGGTGGAAAATTGTCTAGCCATAATCACAATAAAAATTCCATCAGGCAATTTTCTTAGTAGAAATTAAAAACCAGATTACACAATTTATAAGGTGACACAGTGACTGGGAGTAGCCACAACAATTTTTTGGAAACTTTAAAAATCTTTACTTATTAATTTATTTTAAAATTACAATGATAAACCCATTATATGTTGACATAAATTGAATTTATATGAAAAAATAGCTGTTTTCAAAAAATACTGAGTGAGGCTTTTAAAATAATTTTAACCATTTTGAGTGTTGTTTCAGTGGCATTTAAGAAGATTCACATTGCTGTGCAACAACTGTTAACACCATTCACCTCCATAATTCATTACACCTTGTAAAATTGAAACTTTGGACATGTTAAATAACTCTTCTTTCCCCTTCTCCCTAGCCCCTGGAAACCATCTTTCTACTTTCTTTTTTTTTTTTTTAAATAAACTTGATTACTTTACTTACCTGATATAAGTAGAATCAGGCAGTATATGTCCTTGTGTGTCTGTTTCACTTAGCACAATGTCTTCGAGCTTTATCCACGTTGTAATGTGTGTCAGAACCTACTTTCTTTATAAAGCTAACTAATATTCCTTTGTAAGTGTAGATCATATTGTGTTTATTCATTCACCTATTGATGGACTCCTAATTTGCTTCCACCTTCAGCTATTGTAAATAATGCTGCCATAAACAGGGATGTACAAATACCTGTTCAAGGTCTTGACTAACATTCTTTTAGGTACCTAGCTAGAGGAGGAATTGCTGGATTATGTGTTAATTTTATTTTTAATATTTTGAGGAATCATCATACTGTTTCCATAGCAGCTGTACCATTTTACATTCCTACTATAAATGTACAAGAGTTGCAATTAAAAAAAAAATCCTTGTCAACATGTTGTTTTCTGCTTTTTTTTTTGTAATAGCCATCCTAGTGGCCTTGGGTTTAGATTACTTTTTTTTTTTCTATTTCTTTAAGGTATAAGATTAAGTTGTTCATATGGGATTTTTCTTTTTTAAAGCAAGCACTTATAGCTATAAATTTTCCTCTTAGTACTGTTTTCACTGCATCCCATAAGTTTTGGTATGTTGTGTTTTTATTTTCATTTATTTCAAGACTTCAAATTTCTCTTGTGACTTCTTCTTTAATTCATTGGTTGTTTAAGTGTGTGTTGTTTCATCTTCACATTTTTGTGAATTTTCTAGTTCTTGTTCTATTGCTAATTTTCTTCTATTGAGAACAGAAAACATACTTTGTATGATTTCATTCTTCTTAAATTTAGTGAAGCTTGTTTTGTGGAAAACATACAGTCTATCCTGGGGAATGTCACACGTGCACTTGAGAAAAATATCTATTGCTGAATGATATGTTCTGTGTATGTCTCTTAGATCCAATTGGTCTATGGTGTTGTTCATGTCCTCTATTTCCTTATTGATCTTCTGTCTGGTTGTTTTACCCATTATTGAAAATGCAGAATTTTTTTCTTGGAGTGTCTCAATTTCTCCCTCATTTTTGAAGGACAGTTTTTTGGATGTAGGATTATCAGTTGACAGGTTTTACCCCCACCCCTTCTTTCAGTATTTTAAATATGTCAGCCCATTGCCTTCTGGCCTGCACAGTTCCTGCTGCAAAATTCACTAGCAATTTAATTGAGGATCCCTTATTTTGTGATAAGTTGCTTTTCTCTTGCTACTTCTAAGATTCTCTCTTTGTCTTTGTCTTTTTACAGTTGGTTTATAGTGTGTCTTGGTATGGGGCTCTGCAGGTTTCTCTTACTTAGAGTTTGTTGAGCTGCTTCTGTTTGTTATCCCCATCTTTCCTCAAATCTGTGAAGTTTTTGGACATTATTCCTCCCCATTAACTGTGTATTTTTCTCTTTTTATTCTTCTGAAGTTTCTACAATACATATATTGGTCTACTTAATGGAGGCTCATAAGTTCCTTAGGCTCTGTTCACTTTTCTTCATTCTCTTTTTTTTTGCTCTTCAGACACAATAATTTCAAATGATCTGCCTTCAAGTTCACTAATTTATTCTCCTGCCTATTCAAAACTGCTGTTGGACTTCTCTAGTGAATTTTTAAATGTGTTTGTTGCACTTTTTAGCTCTCCAATTTGTTTGATTATTTTTTAATATAATTCCTATCTCTTTGGTGATGTTATTATTTTGTTCATATATTATATATTTTTCCAGTTTCCTTTAGTATTTTTTTTTGCATTTTCCTTTAGCTCTTTCAGCATATTTAAGAGAGTCTTAAAGTTTTTGTCTAGTAAGTCTGAAATCTGTGTTTATTTAGGGTCAGTGTCTGGAGACGTATTTTGTTCCTTTGAATAGGCTATGTTTATCTGATTTTTCTTTTTTGTTTTTGTATACCTTGTGATCTATTAAAATTGGGTATTTGAAAGAAACAGTCATATCCACTAGCCTTTGCAAACTGGCTATGTGAGGGAGAAGATGGTCCCTAATCAGTTAGGTAGGGTTCTCTCAGGCTTTTTTTGTGCATTCATCTTCCCCGAGTCTGTGTGTATACTTTTGTTCCAATTATTCTAAATATATGACTGTTTTTAAATGTGTTAATTTTCCTAAAAATTTCTCCCAGTTGCTTTGTGGAGCCCTTCATGTATACCTCTGCCCTTAATTCTTTCACAAAGGTGCCCACAGATCTGCAGTTGCCCTGAAGTTGTCCCAAGTCATGATGCTCACTACCACCTCTGTGGCTTCTAACCTGAGATTCAAACTATGCTGTGGACCTTATCTGTGCTCTGGATAAGGCAATAACGGAACTAGTTCACAGACAGGCTAGAAAATTGCAAACATGTTCTACCCTTTTTCTTCTGTTTTGAGGGATGGAACTGGGAATTGGGTGGCTTTCTACCAATCACATCATGCCAAACAAACACAAAATTGACCAATAAGCACATAAAAAAATGCTCAAGATTATCCGTCATCAGGAAAATATAGAGTAAATCCACAGTGAGATACTACTTCACCCCATCATAATGGCTAAAATAATAAAAATTGAAAATTTCACGTGTTAGCAGTTGTGTGGAAGAATGAACATTTTCTTGTTCATGGGAGTATAACATGATGTTAAACAGTTGGAAAACAGTTGTTATAAAATTTAACATACACTTGCCGTATGACCCAACAATTATCCTGTAAAGAATTTACTTCAAACAAATGAACACAAATATTTACACAAAAATGTGTTCATTAACTTGTATATCAGCTCTATTCGTAGTATTCGAAATCTGGAACCCAATCAAATGTCTATCTCCTGGCAAATAGATAAATTTTGGTATATCTATACAATAAAATATTACTCAGAAAAAAGGAAGTAAATATTGATAAATGCAACTGCACAGATATACCTCAAAGACCTTCTGCTGAGGAAAAGAAGTTAGACACATTAAAAAAAAATAGGGAATCTAATATACATGACAGAATACACATTACTGGTTGACTGTGGCCAAGAGTGGGTAAGGTTTAACTGTAAGGTAGCATATAAGAGCTTTTAGGAATGATGTGAATGTTCTATGCATTTTTTGGACACATTAAATTATATTTTAAGTGAGTGCATTTTTTTTTTTTTTGAGACAAGTTTTGCTCTTGTTGCCCAGGCTACAGTGCAATGGCACGATCTCAGCTCACCGCAACCTCCACCTCCCAGGTTCAAGTGATTCTCCTGCCTCAGCCTCCCGAGTAGCTGGGATTACAGGCATGTGCCACCATGCCTGGCTAATTTTTGTAATTTTAGTAGGGACGGGGTTTCTCCATGTTGGTCAGGCTGGTCTCAAAACTCCCAACCTCAGGTGATCCGCCCACCTTGGCTTTCCAAAGTGCTGGTATTACAGGTGTGAGCCACTGCGCCCAGCCCAAGTGCATTTTATAATATGTAAAATACATGTTTATTAAGTTGATTAAATATTAATTAATGTAAACATAAAAATTACTCGTTTGGTCTTACTAGAAAAATATATGCTTTTGATTACTGGTCTCATCTTCTAAAAAGGATTTATTTCTACTTTATCTTTAGCTTTACCTTCAACATCTGGCCCAAATTTATTTTGTACTGGAGAGGAATACTACCTTCTGCATGCCTAGAAGCATGCCTCTTACCAGCAGACATCTTCCAAGGGAAATGATGTGGAGCAAAGGAATGAGCACACAAACACTCATGTCTTAAGTCTAAAACAAAAACCCAAAAGTGTTTGCTTTGTATCGCATATTATTTTTTTATTTTGTATTTTCCATTCTCTTTTCATTTCACCATGGATGTTTTCTACAAGCCTATACTTATACTTACTAATGCTTTCTTCCGTTAATCTTCCATTAAAATCCATACTGAACTCTTAATTTTAAAAATAATTAAAATTATTGTTTAAACATTTCTATTTTTAAGATTTTTATATTGTTTCTTTAGAAAATAAATTCTAGTTCTCTGGTAAAATTCTTTATCCTGTCAAATATTTTCTTGAACATATTAAGGTTTTTTCAAAGTCTGTGCTTGTTCACTCCAAAAAAATAGTGTGCCTACATGTCTGTTTCTTATATATGTATATAAAAATTACCACAAAAAAAGGAATCTAATTTATAGTGACAATAGATCAGTGGTTGACTGTGGCTGTGAGCAGGGGAAGGAATTAACAATAAAGAGGCATAGGTAAATATTTTGGGGAGAAGAAAATTTTCTGTACTTTGATAGTGGTAGTAGTTACATAATGTCAAGTTTTTCTTTTGGTCTCATACTGTTACATACTCTTTAGTTATTCATCTAATGTTAGATATTTTGTATGAAATAAAACTAAGCTACTCCTTCATACATTACAAAATATTGAAAGCTTAACATGTGCCAGTCCTTTTACTGGGGATCTAGCACTAAAACAGGACAGACACAGCTTCCATACTGACAGAGCTTCCAGTTCCTTGGTGGACCTTTCTAATTCCTGAAGTTCTTTGGGCTTTCAAAGTTGTTCACACTCTTTTATTTACCCAGAATGCCATGGTCCCTGTGTTTGTATGCTCAAATCATATACATATTTTTAAATGTTACAATTTTTAAATACAATTTTAAATGTTACAGCCTCAATAAATCTGTCTATATTAAAAGTAATCTTATGTTAGTCTGAGCTTTCATGTTAAATGATCTGTTCCTCTAATGGTATTTATATAATCTGCCTGCCTGGTAATATTAATGAAGTATCCCATATAACCAGATTTCAAACTCTTTAAGTACAAGGACCTTGTCTTACTAACTCTTGTATGTACTATGGTATGTAAAAAAGTGCCTGATCGTAGTAAACATATGTATTAAGTGAATATTTGACTGTGTCATTATAATGTTTATAAAATTATAGTCCATGTTTTAATATTTTCTACCTAATAATTCACCACTCTACTTACTCCTAATTATTGAGCTCGAATCACTTATAACCCTACCATAACTAATTCTAGCTTGCAGCTTCCATGATACTCTACTATGCTGACAAACCAGATAATCAAGCTTATTAAGGAATATGTATTAAGTAAATGTAATTAGGCTTTTAGGGAGGGTGTAATGACTTTTCATACATTAAATCATGGCTTGAAAGTTTTGCTTCAAATCTGATTGCTTAGACTGTTTTCTCAACATCCACATTTTGGGGCTATATTTTAAAGCATTAGACAATGGTTTCCAGAAATCTGACCTCCATAAAAATAGGGCATTGCATTGCTAGAAAAAATTATCCCTTTTATAGAAAATGGCCATTCTAACACTGAATATGTGTCCTTTCTGACAAATGGATTCTGGTGTTCAGGACTCAGAACCAGACAGCTGTCACAGTACCACGGAGGATTCCTCTAAATTGTAGCAGATGGTGCTACTTATTTGGCCATCTAATGCTATTCTGAAGCATCAGTTGGCCAACTGCTGTGGTGGAGGTATGAAAATAGAAGATTTATTTAGAGCCAGAGGATGCAAGCACAAATATTTTGGAATACAGAGTTTAAACTGATATGGAAAATTTGTATCCAACAAATTGACAGGCAAGATCCATTAGAGGGTGTGGTTATAAAACACCATCCCTCAGATGAAAGCATTCATGGAAAATATAACCTCTTTGGCCAGCTGTCTTATAATCTCTTCCATGCCCCTTTCCCGTGACGTGCACATAGCCACAGGCATACTACATAAGCACACACACACCACATGTATTTCCATACATACATTTGCTAATCGGTCTGCAATTTAAATTTAATACCGCTTAGGAACCAGCTGGGTCACCTGTAGCTGGTCTGTGGAAATATGCACAGTATGTGTTGGTGATCTACACTAGAAGAGGTCCTCTCAATTTTATCTTTAAGGTAGCAGCTGCAGTCTTGTATAGCTTATGCCAATATACAGTAATCTGTGTTTTCTGCAACACAGTGATATCAGGCATTTTGGTCACACTTTTAGCCATTTCCATAGAAGCTATGGATCAATCTTTATCAGAATTAAATCTAGTTAATTAACACTCTGCTTGCCATTGCCAAGAATACAATTTTTAAGTACTTCCTTAATTCTTATTTATATCATTAACTATTTACATACATAGATTAAAGATAGCTTACAACAGCTATTTAATAGAATACTAGTGCAACATAAACCCTTTTATAAAGTCGATACATTCTTATTATGTTTACAGTGAGCTTCTTAAGAAAAATGAACTAATTAAATTATTCAACCAAACATAAATTTATATTGGTATACTACATTACCTAAAAGGAGGTGAGTTAAAAAGTAAAAAATACACAGAAAACTGAGAGATTATTTTCAAGCATCTGTATTAGAGGTTCAGCATAATATGGCACATGAATTGGAAACACTAACATACAAATAAAAATGACATACTGAAATAGACCTAAATTAATGACTAGAACAGCTTTGCATGGCTTATTAGTAAAAGTAAGTGAGACTGTGGTGCAGAAAAAAAAGCCTTTAAAACACAGAAAGAGCACTTAACCAAAAAGGAAGTTCCCCAAATTGGTCAAGATCAAAGGCAAACAAGAAATTGAAACAGCAATTAAAACAGAAGTAAATGAATAAATAAATAAATACAGTTTTACAATTAAGTTGAGAATTTTTTCATGATAACCTCAGGTGTGGTTAAAAGCATTTTAAATAAAACCAAAGGAGGGCACAGAATAGGTGTGGAGAATATTCATGGGCAGAGCATACAACATACCTTCTTGGGGGCTAGTGAGGCAGAAGCAGACAGGCACAGGCAATATGAATACTTTTCTCCTTATAAGAGAAAATTTCTTCCAAATTATCTTTACAACTGTTTCTAAGTCCTTGAAATGCCTGTGAGAAAATTTAGGGGCAAACAGTCTTCTGTGACAATAAGAACCAGCAGAGGAAACCATCATTCTCAGCAAACTATCGCAAGGACAAAAAAACAAACACCGCGTGTTCTCACTCATAGGTGGGAATTGAACAATGAGAACACTTGGACACAGGAAGGGGAACATCACACACTGGGGCCTGTTGTGGGGTGGGGGAAGGGAAGAGGGATAGCCTTAGGAGATATACCTTATGTAAATGACGAGTTAATGGGTGCAGCACACCAACATGGCACAGGTATACATATGTAACAAACCTGCACGTTGTGCACATGTACCCTAGAACTAAAAGCATTAAAAAATAAAAATAAAAAAATAAAAAAAAACTCAAAAAAATTGCTCTAAAAACTAACATCTTTAAGAATTTAAAAAAAAAAAAACAGAAAATGTTAACGAAGATATATCAAAATTTAACCTTTTGTGTACGGCTGGTCAGAATGTAAAATGGGGCAGCTGCTATAAAAAACACTGTTGTGGTTCATCAAAAAATTAAAAGTAAAATTACCACATGAAAAAAAAAAAGAACCAGCAGAAATAATAATACTCTTAGTTGTCAAAATTTATCAACAGTCTCTTGTTTGACAGCCACTGCCATATCTGTGTCACTTTTGTCCCAGCTTAACTCTTTGCCCCCACTTGAGATTTAGGGTTCAAATTGTTTACATTTTATTGATTGCCTTTAAAGACAAGACTTACTGCTAATTTGCTACCTGGCTTGTTTAAACCCCACCCTATCTCCTATTTTTTGCTACCGTCACCCCCACTCAACTCTCGCACAATGAATTAGGCCTGGTACCCAATTTTCCATTCACATTTCTGGTTTCCATGTCTATCTCAAGCTCTTAAACTATGCCTCTGTTACATTTCATTTCATAATATGTGGAAGAAAGGCTGTAAAGATCCAGCAGTGGTAAAAACACGGTATGCTCAGATGAAATTAATAAACCAGACTTAGACAATCTGTGCTACAACGGTTAATATTCATTAAGTACTAAGGGATAAGTTCTGTTTTAAACACTTTTCATACTTTAATTCATTTAATCATACAAAAACTGTGTATTATAAGTAACAATTACCTAATTTTAAGAATAAGAAAACTGAATGACAGGTTAAATAATAAAACTTCTAATACACCTATACTGCTAGCTCATGGCAGAGCTAGGATTTGAACACAGGTAGTTTAGAGTCAGAGTTCACCCTATTTTCCATTATGCTGTATGATATCTACTTGAGAATTAAAAAACATTAAAAGACAAAACAATGCAATTAGGATTATATGTAAATTACCATTACAAATTATAATTTTTCAGGAACATCAATGAATTATGAACACCTTTCTGTGAGCTTATCAAGAAATTAGATTCCAGAGAGGCTGAGAAATTCAGACTAATGAGCCCATAGTTACCCATGTTCAGATTAAATAGAAAGAGAATCTCTAACTACAGGTAGAATCTGAAAAAGCTTCCAAAGTTTTGATGAAATTGAAGTTGTTGTCTATTTTTTTTTAGGTATATCCTTCAGGTATATCCACTTCTTTTGGAAGCTTCAAAGCAAAGCAGGTATACAGATGTCATATGACTATAAGATAACTCCGATGTACATTAGGGATCCTTGTCTATATAAAGAGAGTAGATGGAGTTATTATGCTACATAGAGTGAAAACTGGTATTTCACTGATGAGGGAAGTGCCAACAGAATGACGCATTGAACTTAAGTAAGAGAACAAGGTTATAGGATAGATTTCATAGCCTTTAAATAATTAACCATTAATTAACATAGTTAATTACATAAAGACTTTGAAGCAATTATAATTACTTGAGGTGAGAGGAAGCAGTTGAAATAGGCAGGTTGGTAAGTATATTTGAGATCTATAAATATTTTGCACGATGGTTAGCAATCTGGTTTACTTTCTTTTTTTATGCCCGAAGGTATTTTGCAAGTCTGTCTGCATGTCCTGGAGTTATTCCGGGTAGTCATCTCATGAGCTTTTCTAAGATTGATGCCAGAAAATATTGTTGAATCAGGAACATATTTGGAATGAGTGAGGATGTTCCAAGTTGATAGTATATGACATTGTTAAAAAAATATGTGTACATGTTTTTGCCTGGTCAGGGCTCTTTGAGCAAAGATTGGTAGCAACATGAGTCAAATGACTGAATAGTAAGGTTAAGATGTATGCCTCTAAAAAATACAGAGCTTTATTTCCCTGAAGATTCGTGTTTACGTTTCAATTAAAAAAAAAAAAAACCTAGAGCTATTTGTTTACATTCTAAAATGTTATTGGAAGCATCAAGGATCTTCCCTATCTCTTCCCAAAAAAAATTGTTTCCATGAGAGAGCAACATTTTCTCCCCATCTATCTGGGAGAAAAGTTCCTACATAAACTATATTGTATAGTTTTGGAGTTTCTCACTTGTAGCACAAAACCCCCTTTTGCACATGCAGATGACATCTGTTCTCATTGTGTCACCCCAAAGGGATAAAAAGAATACCAGAGCTGAGATTGCTACATAAGTAAATAATTGCCTATTTCTTATCCAGATATCTTCAAGATAAAAAAATACAGATATTAAAAATTTATTATTTAAAAATAGGAATGTTTCAAGGTTTGTGCTTGGCTAGTGTGTTTGTTCTGTATGAATGCTTCCTGGAACAAATATCTCCCAGATATTTTTGTGCAAGGTATTAATATGTGTTGCACAAGTGAAAGGATTACATGATTAAGTAAGTTTGAGAAACATGGCATACCATCTCCATCTCTCTCTCTCTCTCTCTCTCTCTCTGTCTCTGTCTCGGGTACATCAAAATTGGGTTCTGAAAACCCCTACACTAAACAAACGTGTTCAGTCTTCACTCTGTGTTTCCAAGTCAGTAATGCCGTTGGAGAATGAACTCATAGCTTCTTCTTATCCCCCAAATGTGTCAGAAAAGTATCCTGAAGTTAGTGCCATATTCATGAATGTATTTTCTGTGTAAATGTCTCAGGAGACTTACTAGTTAGTGTTATTTTTCCTCTCATTGTCCTCAATGTCCTAAAAAAAGTCACTCTATTGGCCCTCTACAAAGCAACTACTATTCAAAAAACGCAGTGATTTTTCAACACTTCAAGCTCTTTAAAATCACCCAGGTAGCTTTTAATAATACCAATCCCTGTGTCCCAAAGCATGGCAATTAAAAGAGAACCTCTAAGAATGAGTCAGGAATGTGTAAGATTTAAAAGCTTCCCAGGTGATTCTAATGTATAGCCAGGCTTAAGAACCTGCCCCACTCACCAATACAGAGCAGTTGTTCTCAAACTTTAATGAATGTAGGCATCACCTGCATATGAATGCAGACACCCACAGAGGTTATTATTCAGCAGGTCAAAGGTGGGCTAGAAAACTCCTTTTTAAATGAATACTCCAGATGCTTCTGATATGAGTCCTCAATGAGCACCCTTTGAGATACACAGACATAGGCTAAACCCACCCCCTGCCTGCATCAGGATAGTCAATCAAAAATTCTATCTTCTGGAAATCAAAGGATGATATTTTAATTCTCCCCTATTCAAACAAGGGGTGTGAAATAATTTTAGAATTCTAACAGCAAAGTTTAGACTCCTTTTTAATGTCTCTGGCAGACTATGGGTGAGAATAAGCAGTCTATTCTCCAGTAGTTTGATTCAGCTGCAAGAAGGAAAGCCCAGATACCCTAACAGCATTCTTCTGTGACAATTCATAAATCTGGCTCCTCAGAGCAGTTATTCCACCTGTAGAATATAGAAGATTCAGCCTGCATAATGAATTTGTTTCAGAAAACTGGCTAAATTTCTAATTTTGGTAATGGCTATCAGATCAAACTCCTGTAAATAACAACCATAAACTATGGTTAGAATATGGAAAACAATTTCCAAAGGCACTGGAAAGAAAACAAAATGCCCAAACACTGGAGGGCGATCAACATGTAGAAGAAAGAAATAGTACAAAGTATGTTTCTCATTTTTTATAGCTTTTAGCCTAAAGACAGGCCACAGCTGACATGCAAAGTTGCTAAAACCAGAAAAAAAAAACCCAGATTATTGAGGACCAAGAACACAGAATAAAGAGGCACCTATAGTAACCGGAAAGTGAAATGAAAATCCTGGAAAGATGAGAGCAACAGATAGAGCACTAAATTCTGCAAACTCTGCTCAAATCTCTGGCTCACTCCTAAACTACACATTCAAGAGACAGCTTCCAAGAAGCCTAGTTAAGGTAAAACAACAAATAAGGAAAAAATTCAACTATGAAATCATTACTTGGAGTTTGAGTTTTCTTTATAGAAAAATATCAGAATCTAAATTCTTTCAGACACATAATTCATAATATCCAGCATGCAGTAAAAAATTATGTGGTATATTAAAACCAGAAAAATATGACCCATTTTCAAAGGAAAAAAAATAAACAGAATTCAGCTTCAAATAATGCAGATGTTGTAATTACCAGATACGGGTTTTAAAGCATCTATCTTAAATGAGATAAAGTATGCATGTAATATGCACAAAAACAGGAAATAGCAAATAAATAGAAATATAAAAAGAACAACATGAAATTTCCAGAAGTGAAAACAAAAATGCAGTATCTAACATAAAAATTAAATGGATATACTTCATAGCAGAATGGAAATTTCCAAATAATCAATCAGAGAATTTAAAGATATACTGATAGAATTAAAAACAAAAATTGTATTATTATATGATTATTTCCATAGGTGCAGAAAAAGCATTTGACAAAATCCAGCATCCCTTTACGATTAAAACCCTCAGCAGAATTGCCATAAAAGAGACATACCTCAACGTAATAAAAGCCACCTATGACAAACCCAGAGCCAATTTTATACTGAGTGAGGAAAAGATGAAAACATTTCACCTAAGAACTGGAAGAAGATAAGGATGCCCACTTACACTAGTTCTAGTCAACACAGCACTGGGAATCGTAGCCAGAGCAATTCAACAAGACAAAGAAACAGAGTATCCGAATTGGTAAAGAGGAAGTCAAACTGTCACTGTTCACTGATGATATGATTGCATATCTAAAAAACCCTAAAGACTCATCCACAGAGCTCTTAGATCTGATAAATGAATTCAGTAAAGTTTCAGGATACAAAATCAACATACACGTATCAGTAGCACAGCTATATATCAACAGCTATCAAACTGAGGATCAAATCAAGAATGCAATCCCTTTTACAACAGCTGCAAAAAATAAAATAAAATACTTAGGACTATACCTACCCAAGGAGATGAAAGATCTTTACAAGGAATACTACAAAACACTGCTGAAAGAGATCATAGATGACACAAACAAATGGAAACACATCCTATGTTCATGGATGGGTGGAGTCAATATTGTGAAAACGACCATACTGCCAAAAACAATCTACAGATTCAATGCAATTCCCATCAAAATACCATGATCAGTCTTCACAGAACTAGAAAAACCAAATTCTAAAATTCATATGGAACAAAAAAAGAGCCTGCATAGCCAAAGCAAGACTAAGCAAAAAGAGCAAATCTGGAGGCATCACATTACCCGACTTCAAACTATACTACAAGGCTATAGTTACCCAAACATCATGGTACTGGAATAAAAGTAGGTATGTAGACCAATGGAACAGAACAGAGAACCCAGAAATAAAGCCAAATATTTACAGTCAACTGATCGCCGACCAGGCAAACAAAAATGTTAAGTGGGAAAAGGACACCCTATTCAACAAATGATGCTGGGATAATTGGCAAGCCATATATAGAAGAATGAAACTGGAATCCTCATCTCTCACCTTATAAAAAAATCAGCTCAAGATGGATCAAATACTTAAATCTAAGACTTGAGACCACAAAATTTCTAGAAGATAACGTTAGAAAAACCCTTCTAGACATTGGCTTAGGCAAAGAGTTCGTAACCAAGAACCTGAAAGCAAATGCAATAGAAACAAAAATTAACAGATAGGACCTAATTAAACTAGAAATCTTCTGCACAGCAAAAGAAATAATCAGCAGAGTGAACAGATGACCCCGGAGTGGGAGAAAATAGTTACAATATATGCATCTGACAAAGGACTAATATACAGAATCTACAAGCAACTTAAATCAGCAAGAAAAAAACTTCCATAAAAAAGTGGGCCAATGGCATGAACAGGTATTTCTCAAAAGAAGATATACAAATGTCCAACAAACATATTTTAAAATGCTCAAATGCCCATCAGTGACAGACTGGATAAAGAAAACGTGGCACATATAAACCATGGAATACTATGTAGCCATAAAAAAGGATGAGTTCATGTCCTTTGCAGGGACACGGATGACGCTGGAAACCATCATTCTCAGCAAACTAACACAGGAACAGAAAACCAAACACTGCATGTTCTCGCTCATAAGTGGGAGCTGAACAATGAGAACACATGGACACAAGGAGGGGAACATCACTCACTGGGGCCTGTTAAGGGGTGGGGGCTAGGTGAAGGATAGCATGAGGAGAAATACCTAATGTAGATGATGGGTTGATGGGTGCAGCAAACCACCATGGCACGTGTATAACTATGTAACAAACCTGCACATTCTGCACATGTATCCCAGAACTAAAAGTATAATTTTTAAAAATGCTCAACATCACTAATTCTCAGGAAATTACAAATCAAAAAAACCACAATGAAATACCACCTTACTCCTGCAAGAATGGCCATAATTTTAAAGTAATAGATGTTGATGTGGATGTGGTGAAAAGGGAACACTTTGACACTGCTGTTGGGAGTGTAAACTAACACAACCACTATGGAAAATACTATGGAGTTTCCTTAAAGAACTAAAAGTAGAACTACCATTGGATCCAGCAACCCCACTGCTGGGTATCTACCCAAAGGAAACTAAGTCTATATGAAAAAGACATTTGCACATGCATATTTAT
This sequence comes from Homo sapiens, assembly GCF_000001405.40. Lineage (NCBI taxonomy): Eukaryota > Metazoa > Chordata > Mammalia > Primates > Hominidae > Homo > Homo sapiens. Next base: position 178,241,991 of record NC_000003.12, read on the forward strand.
AGCAGCACAATTCACAATTGCAAAAACATGGAACCAGCCTAAATGCCCATCAACCAACTAGTGGGTAAAGAAAATGTGGTACATATACATCATAGAATACTACTCAGCAATGAAAAGGAATGAAACAATGACATTCATAGCAACCTGGATGGAGTTAGAGACCATTATTCCAAGTGAAGTGACTCAGGAATGGAAAACTAAATATCATATATTCTCACAAGTGGGAGCAAAGCTGTGAGGATGCAAAGGCATAAGAATGATATAATGGACTTTGGGGACTTGGAGGAAAGGGTGGGAGCAGGTGAAGGCTAAAAGACAAAATATCAGGTATAGTGTACACTGCTTGGGTGATGGGTACACCAAAATCTCGGAAATCACTGCTAAAGAACTTATTCATGTAACCAAACACCACCTGTTCCCTAAAAACGATTGAAATAAAATAAAATTTTAAGAATAAAGAAATACCTGAGATGGGTAATTTTTTAAAAAATAACAAAGATACACCAATATAAATTAAATCTGGAAAAGTGCAAATGAGAAAGAAAAGATTTAAAAAATAGTACCTCAAGAGTCTGTGGGACAATACCAAAATATATGAAATACATGTTATTAGAGTCCTAAGGAGAGTTCAGAATAAAGCCAAAAATTTCCCCAATTTGGTGAATGACCTAAATTTACAAAGATTTCAGAAAGCTACAAGCAGAATAAGTACAAACAAATAGCTCTAGGTGCACCATTCAAACTACTAAAAGTCAAATATAAAGAGGAAATCTTGAAAGCAGCCAAAGAAAAAATGACACATTGCATAAAGGGAAACAAAAATTCAGCTGAACACTGACTTCTGCTCAGAAACAATTGACACCCAAAGGCAGTTGACCATGTGCAGAAAATGGTACAGGAATTGACATGCAGAAGGAAAATATCAGAACAAAAACTGGAGAGGAAAGTGGAAGTTAAATAATTTATCAGAGCCATAGAGTTGAAGATGGAGAAAATATTGGATACCCAAGGTTGCATAATGTATCTAAACATTAGACAATAATGGGATATAAGAGGGCAATTCCACATGAGCCTAGAACAATAGGGTATAGAACACCGATGATCACGGGGTCAAGTCTGCATTTGAACTTGTACGAGATGTGTTTTTCCCATACTATGGCATAATATGAAAATGTCACGTTCTTCATCTATTCCTCTTCCCCAACCAGAGAAGCACTTTTATCTATATAATGGGGATAGTTCACGACACTAGTTCTCCTCCATTTGTATAATTAATATAATATAATATAGCTGTATATTTCAAAAGCCTCTAACACTTATGCTTTAACAAAATAGTTTCCATTGGATTAATTTAGTCTAAGAAAAGTATATGAAGTATAGAGAAATACAAGATATTTATCAGATTTTTATTTATATATATTTTTTAAAAAACAATATTAATGGTAGAAATAAATGAATAATTAAGTAACCTTAATCTTCCATTCATGAGGGTTCCTCATGAATGGGAGTAGTGCCCTTATCAAAAAGACCCCAGAGAGATCCCCCGATCGTTCCTCCAGGTGCGATTACAATGAGAAACAGGAAGTGGGCCTTCATCAGACACTGAATCTGCAGGTACCTTGATCTGGACCTTTTGGCCTTCAGAACCTCAAAAAATACATTTCCATTGTATATAAGCTAACCAGTGTATAGTATTTTGTTATACTACACACATAGTATATGGGAGGGAGGGAAAAATGTAGGGAAAGTAGAAGAGAGGCAGAGTCACACACACACACACACACACGAGAGAGAGAGAGAGAGAGAGAGAGAGAGAGAGAGAGAGAAATGAGATTAATGTCGCTGAAAATTGCTGAATAAAGAACAAACCAGCCCAAAAGCTAAAGCACTGGCACTCCACAGATAATCTGCAATGTAGCTTATTCAAAAGCATATGACCTAAAATGTTATAGATGAAAGAAGAATTATGTTAAACCCTAGATTATATGCATTTGATGTATATAATAAACACAATGTGTATTACATACAAAATATTGCTTTCATTTATTCAGGGGAAGAACAATCTATATTCTGTTTTCATTATGGGACTGTATAGGCATTTATTGTATGCTTTATACTACAGTTCTTTAAAGTATTTCAATTTATTTCCCTGCTAACATTTCATTCTAGAAATGGCAAGGATTAGAACTTGAGGACAACATACATTTGATGTATTACAAATGTCTGCTACAGATTCATTCTTTGGAAGGCTTCAAGTGTACAATTAAAAATTTACAACCTATTAATCACCTATAATTAATGCAAAGTGAATGGAGGATCTATAGATATGTTCGCATGTCTGCATAGCTTTTCACAAATACAAAGAGTTACCCTGCCACCGGCCCTGTGCCTGTAAAATGCCTGCCAGTTTTAATAACAGAATAAAGTTCCTATGACAGTTTTTTTTTTCAATTTAGAGTTTATTTCAATCAACCATATTATTAGTTATATTCAGCTCATTTAATATTAATCACATTTTCTTTTCACACGTTGCTGGAATTGACCTAGTATGTCTGCAGAGATAATAAGATTAAGGTGAATGAAGTAATGAATAGTATAACATGGTCTAATTATATACCATACTCCCATTCACCTTAATTTGAGAAAGAGCAGAAACTGGATGAAATTCAAAAGGCAGCAGATTGAAAATGGATAAAAAGACTTTTTTATGTGGTGCATAATCAGCTTTCAGAATTCACTGCTGAGGGATATTTCTCAAGCTAAAATTTAGCAAAGTTTCAAGATAGGAATAAGAATGGCATCTGTGGATACACTAGCTGGATGTGAATTTATGGACGCTATCAATCCTCATGCTGGTAGCCATAAAATCATCACCAGCTGGTGCTGGGATGGAAACTCTCCCTGTGGTATCCCACTGTTCAATTGGCCAGATGCATGATGTGCTGTTGTTGTTGTACAAAGACAAAAGAACCCAGAAAGCCTTAGGCATCAGCCTTTGCCAAAAGAAAGATTGCGCACGTGATGGAAACTTCCAAGCAAGCCATGGGCCATGTTCCTATGTTTCGCAGTAACCTCCTTTATCTGTCTTTTGATCAAACGTTATTTCCCCCTTCATGGTAAAACACGATTCCTCCTTTCCACAGAGTTTATTCAATATTATCACTGAATTAGTGTGCACTTTATTGGTTAGAAATGCGACTAATCTCTGCTGTAAATAACCAGACCACCTTTCATTTAAAAGGTGGCAGGTCCCAAACGTCCCCCTTTTAAAGTGGTAACAATGGCCATGGCAGTGATCTGAGGCTTTTGTTAATGGACGGTATGGCAGGTCTATTTGTTGGCATCCTCTCTGATACCCAGAGTCCTTTAATTCCATCTGACAGATTCAGGCCGTGCTCCAGATCTCACAAAAGAGGTGAGGGAGAGTATTGATCCTTCTGTTATTGTTGGTGATTTACTGTTCCACTCCTTTAGCAAATTTAAACACACACGCACACATACAAACACCCACCACTGAGGTCACAGCTGCTAGATGGCAGAGTAATGAGTGATTATTTTCTTATCTCTTCTAAGCTCTATAAGTAACTTCTCTTGTGGATTCATGACAGTCCTGCCAATTTAAACCAAATAAATAATATCTTTTCACCCTAGGGTCAAAGGGTTTCTAAACATGGTAATAAATATCTGCTTAAAATAGAAACTCACACATGTTGAAGGCTTGCAGGGAGCTGAAATGGGCAAAGCTACAAACTACTCTGCCTTTTTTTTTTTTTTTTACAAGTATTCTACGGTCTAAAACAAAACTGAAATTATCATTTTGGAGTAGTCTAACAAAGTGATACCAAAAGGATACATAATGTAGAAGATATAATTATAAAATCATGAAGCTTCTTCTTTCCTCCAATGCCCACATCAGTCATGGAGATTATTGTGCCTGTTAAATGTTGCTGCATTAGGATGCTCTACTGACTTAACTATGTTGCCGTAATACAACATGTTTTTGTATTTCTTTATCACCTTCCCTTCCCTAAATTTATTTTTTGTTGCTGTCTTGTATACTTACAGTGGTTTTGACTCTTGAAACATAAGTTAGGTAATTGTATCATAGTCTACTCCAGAGGCCCTAACCAATTATCACAGACTGTGGTAGCCTAAACAGAAATGTATTTTCTCATAGTTATGGAGGCCGGAAATCCAAGGGCACAGTGCTGGCAGGATTGGTTTCTGGTGAGGCTTCACTTCCGGGCTTGCAGATGGTGCCTTCTGTCTGTGTACTCACATTGTCTTTTCTCTACGTGTGTGCATGAGGAGAGAAACCCTAGTGTCTCCTCCTCTTCTTACAAGGATGCAGATCCTATCAGAGGATTGGGGACTTCACCCTTATGATCCCATTTAAAGTTAATTAACCTTTTAAAGGCCCTGTCTTCAAATACAGTCATATTGGGGGTTAAGGCTTCAACATATGAATATGGGGGGACACAATTCAGTCAATAACCATAATTTTATTTATTTAATGCCAACTATTTTTGAATATTTCCTCTTGAGGTAAATGACACTTAATATTTAGATAAATGATAATTCTTAGTAGATTAAAAAATATATCACAGGCTCTCAAGACAATTCCAAAACAAGGAGTTTCAGACATGTTTTGAAAAATGTAGGATTTTCCAGAATAAATAAATAGCTTACTAAGATGACTATATTCCTATTGAGAAAGAATAAGAATTAACAATTTCAATTTGACTAAAAAAAATCCACATTATACCAATCCTTCATCATTGTTTATAAAAAATGTTGATGCCCTTCTGTGACAGCCAAATAAGATTCAAAGAGCTTCAAACAGTCTTTCTGCTAATAACAACTTTGGGCTCTGAACAAAATACTAAAACCGTCTTGAAGGCTCTGGAGGAGAAACGAGGCAGATTCTGAAAGGAAGTTGCCATTAGGAAACAGGGAATAAAATGGTACATGTTTTTTGTTCTGATGGCCTTGGTTCAGTATCAGAAATTCTGATGTTCTAATAGAAAACCTACCATCTTTCTCTGCCAAGGAATCAGGGAACGAACCTGATAACCAGAGATGATAGAGAATGGGAGGGAATCACAGAAAGGAGAGATTTAGAAAAGGTGATCCCCAAATTGTGTGTATAAACTCTGCCCGAGCCTCTGACTGATTCCTGAAATGTGCGTGTGTGAGGAACACTACCAGTGACCATCCAAGTATAAAATAACTGAACCAAGATTTGAAATCCACCCAGTGCTGGTGAACCAGAATTTGCAGTCTGAATCTGACCAAGCTAATTGCCCACAAAAACAAAAAACCATTAATGTTCCTCTGAGGCATACATCTAGAGTCTATGCAGTATAACATTTATAATGTTTAATATTAAATCCAAGTTACGTACAAGAAAACATGAGTCCTTTTCAGAGGAAAAAATAACAAATTCAAATCTGAGATGATCAGAAGTGAGAATTATCAGACAATGACTTTAAAGCAGGTGCTTTAAATGTCCAGTAAGGTAAATAAATGTCCAATAAGGTAAAGGAAAATATACTTGTAATGAGTGAAAAATATAGAAAATATCATCAAAAAAATAGACTATGTATTAAAAAAACCAACCAAATAGAAATTTTAGAAAGAAAAAATACAATATTAGAAATTCGCATTTCACTAGCTGGACTTACATAGAAAAAAAATCAGTGAACTAGAAGTTATTGAACTTGGTCAATAGAAATTACCTAATCTGGAATAAGGGAGAAAAAAGATTTAAAATACAGTTATACCTTGAAGATATTGTGGGTTCAGTTCCAGACCACCTCAATAAAGTGAATATAGCAATAAAGTGAGTTACACAAATTTTTTGCTTTCCCAGTACATGCAAAAATTATATTTACAGCATACTGTAGTCTATTAAGTATGTAATAGCATGTACAATGTAGATATCATAACTAAAAATACTTTGTTGCTAGACAAAATGCTGTCTGAGCCTTCAGCGAGTCTTACTATTTTGCTGGTGGAGGGTCTTGCGTCAACAGTGTTCATGGATGCTGACTAATCAAAGTGGTGGTTGCTAAAGATTGCAGTGGCAGTGAAAATTTTTAAAAATAAAACAAGGAATTTTTCCACATTGATTGACCCTTCCTGAACAGAAGATTTCTTTGTAGTATGCAATGCTGTTAAATAGCATTTAACCTACAGTAAAAGTTCTTTCAAAATTGGAACCAATCCTCTTAAGTCTCGATATTGCTTTATTAACTAATTTTATGTAACATTCAAATTTTTTTGTTGTCATGTCAACAATGTTCACAGCATCTTCGCCAGGAATAGATTTCATCTTAAGAAACCACTTTCTTTTCTCGTCCATAAGAAGCAACTCCTCTTCCGTTAAAATTTTATGAGATTGAAGGATTTTGGTCACGTCTTCAGCCTCCACTTGTAGTTGTCTTGCTGTTTCTACCATATCTGTAGTTATTTCCTCCACTAAATTTTTGAACCTCTCAAAGTCATCCATAAGAATTGGAATAAACTTCTTCCAACCTCCTATTAATGTTGATGATAATCTTGCCATGAAACACAAATGTTCTTAATAGCGTCTAGAATGGTGAATCCTTTTCAAAAGGTTTTGAATTGACTTTGTCCAGATTTATCTAAGAAATCACAGCCTATGGCAGTTATAGCCTTATGAAATATGTTTCTTAAATAATAAGAAAGGAAAGTCAAACTTACTCCTTGATATATGAGCTGCAGAATGGATGTTATGTTAGTAGGCATGTAAACAACATTGATCTCCTTGTGCTTCGGCACAAGAGCTCTTGGGTGAGATATACAAGAGCTCTCAGATGTATCGTCATTGAGCAATGAATATTTTGAAAGAAATCATTTTTTTCTGAACAGCAAGTCTCAACAGTGGGCTTAAAATATTCAGTAAACCATGCTGTAAACAGATGTACTACCATCCAGGCTCTGTTGTTCTATTTGTAGCCAAGCAGAGCAGATTTGGCATAATTCTTAAGGGCCCTAGGATATTTGGAATAGCAAATCAACATTGGTTTCAACATAAAGTCATCAGCTGCTTAGCCCCTAACAAGAGTCAGCTTGTCCTTTGAAGCTTTAAATCCAGGTTATGAAAGTTCTAGACAGCATCTCCTTCCAATATAAGGCCATGTTGTCTACAATAAAAATCTGATGTTTAGTGTAGCCACCTTCACCAATGATCCTAGCTAGATCTTCTGGATAAGTTGCTACAGTTTCTACATCATCACTTGCCACTTCATGTTGCACTTTTATGTTTTGGAGATGGCTTCTTTCCTTAAACTTCATAAACCAATCTTTGCTAGCTTCCAACTTTTCTTCTGCAGCTTCCTCACCTCTCTCAGGATCTATGGAATTGAAGAGAGTTCGGGCCTTTCCCTGGGTTAGGTTTTGGCTTAAGGAAATACTGTGGTGGGTTTGATCTTCTATTCAGACCACTACAATTTTCTCCATATCAGCAAAAGGCCCTTTTGCTTTCCTGTCATTTATGTGTGCACTGGGGTAGCACTTTTAATTTCCTTCAAGAACTTTTCCTTTGCATGCACAATTTGGCTAACTGTTTGGCACAAGAGACCTAGCTTTTGGCATATCTTGGCTTTCAATGTGCCTTCCTCACTAAGCGTAATCATTTTTAGCTTTTGATTTAAAGTAAGAGACATACTACTCTACTTTTAGTTTAACCACTTAGAGGCCCCTGTAGGATTATTAATTGGCTTAATTTCAATATTGTCGTGTGTCAGGAAGTAGGGAGGCCCAAAGAGAGAAAGAGAGATGGGGACATGGTCAGCTGGTGAAGCAGTTAGCACACACATTTATTGATTAAGTTTGCCCTCTCACGTGGATGCAGTCTGTGGTGCCTCCAAACAACTATAAGAGTAATATCAAAGATCACTGAGCATAGATCACCATAACAGATAAAATGATAATGAAAAATTTGAAAAATTGCAAGAATTTCCAAAATGTGACACAGAGACACAATGTTGGTACATGCGCTGATAAAGTTGCTCAACACAGAATTGCCGTAAGCCTTCAATTTGTAAAATGTGCAATATCTGTGAAGTACAATAAAGCAAAGCACAATAAAATGATGTATGCCTGTAAAAATGAGCAAACACACAAAAACCTGAAGTAGATCAAAAGTTCTAAAATATGTGTACAGCTGACTCTTGAACAACATGGGAGCTAGGGGTATCAACCCCCACACAGACAAAAATGTGAATATAGCTTTTGACTTCCCAAAACTTAACTACTACCAGCCAATTGTTGACCAAAAGGCTTACTGATAACATAAACTGTCTGTTAACCTGTATTTGTATGTTATATGTATTATATACTAAATTATTACAATAAAATAAGCTAGAGAAAAGAAAATGTTATTAAGAAAATTATAAGAAAATAAAATGTACTTGCTATGCATTAAATGGAAATAAATCATCATAAAGGTCCTCATCTTTATCATCTTTACATCGAGTAGGCCGAGGAAGATCAGGGATTGATCTTATTGTCTAGGGAGTGGCAGAGGTTAGAAGAGGTGGAGAAGATGTAATGGGGAGCCAGGAGAGGCAGGCACATTTTGTGTAACTTCTAGTGAAATCAACTTGCTTAAAATGGACCTTCATTGTTCAAATCCATGTGTTTTAAAGGTCAAGCATAATTATTGTCCCAGAAGAAAAGGAGAGTAAGGGGACAGAAAAAATATTTAAGGAAATAATGGCTAAAAGTTTTACAAATTTAGTGAAAGGTAGGTTCAAGAAACTCAGCAAATCTTAACCAAATAAGTACCAAAGAATGCCCCAAGCCATATCATAGTCAGACTAGTGGCCGACCAGAAATAAGACAAAAATCTTGAGAGTTAGAAAACATGTATGCATACAAGGAGTAATGATTTAAATTATCATAGATTTTTAATCAGAAACTGTGGAGAACAAAGCCTTTAAAAAGACAATCTTTAATTTATTAAATTAAAAAATAAGGAAACCAAGAATTCTATATCCAGCAAAAATATTTATCAAGAATAAAGGAGAAATAAACAGATTTTATATAAAGGAAAACTAGGAGAATTAACCATCAAAATATACCTACACTGGAAGAAATTTTAAGAAGTTATTTTGGCCAAAAAAATATGAAAATGGAGATAAAATCAGATATTCAGAGACAGAGAACATCAGAAATCTTAAATATCTTAGTGAATTACAGGATATTTCTTTTTCTTAATTTAAAAAAAATACACAACTGAAACAATTTTTAATGGACATCCGGAAGGTGGAGGGAAATGGTCTAAGTTGTAATGTTTCTACATTTTATGTTGTTACCATAATTCTGATTAGATAAAATATTTTGAATAAACATGATTTTTCTGAATAAAATATTATTCATCCATTTTTTAAGATGATGTTAGAAATGCTTACCCACATTTAATAGGCGTGTGTTTTACTCCATTTCTACATTTTACTTGGGATATACTAAAATTGTAGTAATTCAAGAGCAACTTCCACCTTTTGGGCAAGGATGACATATTTACAAAGGTGAATCAATAATTAAGTAAAAATGAAATGTTAGGATTCATTTCACTCTTTCAGCAAATACTCACTGAATGCTATAATAGAAAATATATGTATTTGAACTCCACACACATACTCACAAACACATGCATATCAATACCAGTGGGATTAAAAGGAATAAAAGAAGAGATGAAAACTTTTTTCCTTCAAATGACAACACATGAAAATACTTATCTATCCTCACAGTACCTTAGAAAACACACAGAAAGCATTAAAATAAAATGAATTAAGAAGTGGATAAATTAATATTTAAATTAGAACATTTTTGCATCAAGAGATACTATAAAATGCATTAAGACAAGTCCCAAACTAGGAGAAAAATATTTTTAAAATTCTAAAAATAAGTTAGTAGAAGAAAAATAGCTCAAAAACTCTTAAACAGATGATGTTCAAAGAAGAGAAAAACAAAATGGCCATAAACAGATTATCGATTTGTATTAGATATTATCCATTAATATTCAAGGAGATTCAGTTAAACCACAGTGAGATTACATTTTTGTCCCTATCAGGTTAGCAAAACTTAAAATATCTGACAATAACACATTTTAGTTAGGATGTAGAGTAATGGAACTCATACATTACTGTCAGAAGTAAATTGGTAAAACCATTTTAGAGAGCAATTTTGCAATATCAGATAAATTTAAGATATACACATGCTGCCCCTCAGCAATTTTATTTCTAAGTATGTATGAACAGAAACTCTTGCATAAGTACAAAGAAGCATATGAATAAGAATAATTATTGCAGCATTGTTGATAGTAGAGAAACATTATGGATGGGAACAAATTATGTTATACTCATAAAAATAATATTCTATGGGAGAAAAATGAAAATTTTAAAGGTAAACTTTTATGGGTCACCATAAATGCACCTCACAAGCATAATATTAAGAAAAAACAAGCTTCACATATCAAATATTAAAACATATCTAGCAAAACTACATTTAATATAGGTGTACATATAGGTATAGCAAATTATCAAGAAATGCATAAAATTGTGATAATAAACACCCAATTCTATATAGTATTTTTCTTGGAAGAGGGATGATACAATGATGAAAGAATACATATCATAACAGGGAGAACAGTCAGGAAGCTATTACCCTGGTCCTATCAAGGGATTATCACTTAGACTAGAAAATTATGAAGCTGATATCTAAATTCAGTTTTTTAAAAAATTTACCAGTTGAAAGTAATCTTCTAGTTAGGAGTCTCATACTTAATGACCAAATGTGTCTCTTTTTATTATGTGAGAGTTCTCAAACTGAGACTAAGCTTCTCTCTTTGTCAGACAAAAGAAGCACCTGTCTCTTTATCTTGTCCTGAGGTTATATAATAGTACATGTTTACCATCAGCTTTTCTAACTAAACAGACTGCAGAATTATTTATACAATGTTCACACAAAGCAGCAATGGGAAAACATATCAATGTAATAGATTCAATAAAGCTTAATTTTTTAGTTAAATATTTTGGTCACACCATTTTGGCAACTAATAATTTTTTTCTGCAATTCTTCCTTGTCTAATATGTAACACTGAGAAATGAGGCTTCATTAACATCTCCTAGAAACTCTTCTATAATATCATATGTAAAATCTTCTGTAAATATCTGTGCACATCTAGCCCCTCAACACTTAATTTTAAATTGCACACTTTACATCTGAAAAATTGCCTGTCTTGAAATGATTCTCTAGGAATAATTCTCTGCACATATTTCAATGTGATGCCTGTCATCCAGGGATTTCAGAATGTTTCAGTTATGTCAATATACTAAACATATATACATATTTAGTAAACTTTTTTTTACGAAATATGCAAGAATCTTTAGATGATAGTTCACAAGCTTTCTTCCTTAGAACTGTGATGCATGGGAGGATGTGAATTTAGAATTTGCTAGAGATAAGATGAAAAAGTAAAGTGGAAAATAATCTTAACTGCATTATCTTCTTCATAAAGACAGTTTAGATATTTGATTAGTGGAGTTTCCCACATGAATTCAAATAAGTTGATTTGTCTATGGGGGAAAAAAGAAGATTGAAAAATACTGCTCTACACTTGCAATTGGAGGTTCAAACTAAATTTTAAACAATAATAAGAGCTTGTTCACAACATCAGCTTCCATGAGTCAAGATTGAAGCACATCAGTAATTATCTTGAAGGAAGTTTCAACATTTAAAAAATTGTATTTTAAACTCAATACTAAAACAAAAATAATGGAGCATATAAGAAAGAAAAATGCTCTACAAACATTCCACAGCAATAATCTGACAAGCTTAAACCAAAAAGTGAATGTACTGTATTTTTAAAATCTCTAATGGGCGAATAAGGACTGACATTCAAGACAACAAAATTAGATGTATAAATATGAGTAGGTGGTTTAAAAATGAACCAATTCAAAGTTCAATTAAGAATAGTCATAAAAGTATCACTCGACTACATATAGTAGACTAGCTCATAGGAAGAAAAAAATGTACTTGGAATCAAGAACTGAGAAAAATTTTCAAAATGTATCACAGAGAGATTAAGAAATTAGAAAAAATAAATGCAAACTTAAGAGACATTGAAGATAGAGAAACTTTAAATCCTTCTAATAGCAGTCCTAGAAGAAATAAATAGAAAGAATAAGATTGAAGTAAAAGGATAATGCCTATGTATTTTTTGAGTTAAATGAAAGCATGTATCCTTAGATTGAACTTCCTGTCATGTGCCAACCAAGCGTCAACAAGAAAGAAAAGAAGGAAAGAAGGAAAGAAGGTAGGAATGAGAAGGAGCCTAGAAACATTATAGTAAAACAGTAAACTTTATAGTAAAACAGTAGACTGTTTTTTAAAAAACTTAAAACTCATCAAAGAAAACAGATGCATACCCTAGACAGAAATTAAAATCTTACAATGATAGCTATCTGTTCATAGTTGCTCAGCTTCAAATTTACCCTGTATTATCTGCTATGCAAAAACATAGATTGACCCTTTACATTTTTTCCTTTGTCCACTGGAATGATGCTAAAATTTGTCAGTAAGGGATACTGGAGAGACAGCAAAAAGTAGAGGTTTTCATTCTGAGTTCCGTGTACTCTCCCATCAGGCAGTACATGCCCAGCTACTGCTACAAACACAGGTTACTTCACCAGAACATGACTCCTGCAACAACTACAGCTTCACTGCCTGGATCCTAGGTTTTGCAATGCAATGAAGGCAGCTTCTCCACTACTGGGTTTCTGTGTTACAGATGGCTTCACCAGCACCCAGCTCCTGCAGTATCCAGTTGTCAGCAGCACCCAGCAGCCAGCAGCTTCTTTTGGCATCCCTCTTGGGTGGTGCAAAATCAGGGAACAATTTACAAGACCACCTTTATTTTTTACACCAATTGCAAGTTTGGAAGTCTCCAATACTACCATTAGTTTTATAATTCACTACAAGGACTCATAAAACTCACTGAAAGTTGTTACACTAATTATGATTTGCTATCAACTAAATGTTTGTTTGTCCCCCTATAATTCATATGTAGAAATCCTGATCTCTAAATGTGATGGTATTAGGAGGTACAGAATTTGGAATGTGATTAGGTTATGAAGTAGATAGAGCCCTCCTGAGTGGATTAGTGCCATTATAAAAGAGACCCTAGAGAGATCCCTCACCCCTTCCAGCTTGTGAGGACATGGTGAGAAGATAGTCCTCCATCTATGACCCAGTGATTGAGCCCTCACCAGTCACTGAATATGACAGTCCTTTGATCTTGAACTTCCCAGCCACCAAAACTGTGAGAAATAAATTTTTATTGTCTCTAAGCCACACAGTTTATGGCTTTCTCTTACAGAAGCCTGAGTGGACTAATACATGGTGTACAACAGCAAAATAATATAGATTAAAATCAGCCAAGGGAAGCGATACATGAATCAGAGTTTCCAGTTGTCATTTCCCAGTGAAGTTATGTCCATGTTAACTCCTTCCAGCAATGATACGTACAAATATGCTGGGAAAATTGCCAACCAGGAAAGTTCACCCAAGCCTTTGTGTCCACATATTTTATTGGAGCTCAGTAACAGAGACATAGTTAACCACCTTCATTTTTAGCTCCTCCAGAAGTCAAGCTGATACCACATGGCCCAAAGTTTCTACTATAAATCACATTGTAAGACTATCGAATGTGGTAAGATACTTTCTTCAGGCAGGACATTCCAAATTTTAGAGAATGCGTCCCATAAGCCAAGGGCAAAGGCTAGACTTCTCTTTGGTAAAATTAAATCTTTACTATACAGATGGTTCGTAGCAGAGTGTCTCTGATGCTGTAACTCCCCATAGGCAGCTTTCTTCTGCATCTTAGAGGGTGAATTTCTGGCAAGTTCTATCAGCATGGCACCACCAAAACATCTGTCATACAGTGAGTCATTAGTGTGCCCATTTCAACAAAGTCTGGATCTCAACCCTGGGGGTAAAGGGATGTCTCTTTGTTGAGTGCTTATCTCAGCCCCAGCATTCATGAATCTGTCTTATTTTTGTGATTCCCATACTTTTTATATTCTGCTTTCCTTCTCACCATTCAATTATTTGATATTTCCATTTTCTGTGGTAGTTAAGGATTCTATATATTAAATATTTCCTATTCAAATTGCTGTGTGGGTTCTAGACTCTGATGATACAGGATTAAGTAGACTTCCTGCCTGTAACAAACATCTCCAAAAAAAAAGTGAAAAATATCTTCAAAATGCTAATTAAAATTAGCCATCAACATCAAATTCTATGAAAAGCAAATATATATTTTGAGAATGAATAAAAACATATTCTGTTATTTAAGTACTAGGATATTTTATAAAAAATAGACTGTCACAGAAAAACTGCTAAAAGACTTATATCTGTAAAAAGGAAAATAAACCCAGAAAAGAAGAGTCGAATTCAAGTTGCAATAGTAAACAAAGAAACAATTTTAGATTAATGGTAAATATAAACTAAATGTCTCTTTTTTTGTGATTGTATATTTTTTGTATATGCATGTGTGTCTGTTTATGTATATAAACACAAGTGGTAACTAAAATTATAGACAATTTAATTCTAAATTTCATATGAAAATATGAACGACAGAGAATAGTCAAGGCAATTTTGAAAAACAGAACAATGTTGACTGTGTAACAACTGATTTCAAAATTTATTATAAAGTATGGTAATAAAAAATAGTGTAGTATTGGCAACAAGATAGAAAAAGAGATTAATGAAACAGAATTGAGAGTTCAGAAGTAGACTGACATTTCTGGGCAACTGACTTGACAAAATGGAAATAGATATAGTGCTGGACTACTTGGGTATCAATATGAAATAATGAAACTCAACTTGTAACTCACACCATATCAAAAAGTAAACTCAAAATAGATAATAGATCTATGTGCAAAACCTAAAACTATAAAGCTTCTGTGAAAAAGACAAAATTAGCCTGAACTTAAATTAGGCAACGATTTATTTAATACAACACCAAAAGTATGATACATAAAAAACAAATTGAAAATTGAATTTCATCAACACATAAAACTTCTGCTATTCAAAAAGTACTCTTAAGAGAATGAAAAAAGTGAGAGAAAATTTTCTAGCATATATAAGACAAAGAACTTGTATTCAGACTATATAATGAATTCTCAAACAACAAACAATGGAACATTAATAAATTAAAAATTGGACAAAAGATTTGAACATTTCACCAAACATTTGCCATACAAATGGCAAATACACACACATAAATTGGAACTTTCAACTCTGGGAAGATAGAATAGATAGACTTTTCCATTTTTATCCTGCTAAGTACAATTAAGTACCCTGGGTGTTACATATGAAAGAAACTTAAAAGGAATCTGAAAGGTAGAAGGAAGAAGACAGCTTATCTAGGCACCTCAGGACCAGAGGACAGAAATTGCTATGGACTGAATGTTTGTGCCCCTCACGTCCCAATTTCATATATTATTAACTAATCCCCAACTTGATAGTATTTGGAGATGAGAACTTTGAGTGGTTATGAGATCATGAAGGTGGAACTGTCATGATAGGATTAGTGCCCTTCTAAGAAGAGACATAAAAGAGCTTGCTTTTTCTCTCTGCTCTCAGCCATGTGAAGATGCAGGGAGAAAGCAGCCACCTGTCAACCAGGAAGCAGGCATTCAGCAAGAACCCAACTGTGCTGACATCTTGATCTCAGGCGTTCAGTCTTCAGAACCATGGGAAATAAATGTTTGTTGTTTAAGCCACCCCGTTTATAATATTCTGTTACAGCAGCCTGAGCTGACAAAGATAGAAATGGTGATAAATTATCGAGGTTTTCTCTTTTGCCTCATATATTCCAGACTTTGAGCTGAAGAAGCCAGCAATCTGGACATACCAACAGGCACAGACCAAAAAAAAAAAATATATATCCCAACAAAAGCCTACTTATTTTTAGATAGAGAACTAGGAATAGGGCAGCCTAGCAAGCCAGAAAACTTCTAGATAATAACCATCCTACTTTATCTAAACACCACTGAAAAAGCTGTGGCCTCATCTATATTCTAACTGTCAAAGGCCAAGTGGGGAGTCTAGACTTCCACCTTTAGGAAGTTGTAATGAGACCCTATCAAGTTGGTGTAAGAGAAGGTCAAGTAGAAAGCCAAAATGTATGCCTCTGCAAGCCAACAACAAAGCAACATCCACTTTCTCCAGTGTTAGTGAAGACCAAGACCATGTAGGGAGACTGGAATTCCATCACCACCTCAGTATGATGTGACTCTTGCACTCGATGGTGTCACAGGTGACCTAGTAGAAAGTCAAGGTGGTGATAAGGAAGCCACCCTAACCACAGTGTCAGTGGAGACCTGGAACATAGGGACCTGGAACTTCCACCCCACCCTTCCTTAGGTGTCAGTGGAAGCCAAGTAGGAAACCTAAAAAAGTTACAAAAAGAGATATACTTGAAAGCAATATAAATAAATGAAAAATAAAATTATAAAAATATTGAAGTAACGTAAAGCAGCAAGAAGAAAACAGAAGAGAAAAACAGAAAGAAAAAAATATGTCAGAGTAAGCCCTAACATACCAATAATTACGTTAAATGTAAATCACTTAATTACACCAATTGAAAGACAGATATTTACAAAGTAAATTGAAAAAACATCACCCAACTGTATGTGGTCTTGAGGAAATTCACTTAAAATATAGCAACGTAGGCAGGTTAAAATTAAAGGATTGGAAAAAATATGCCACTTAAACTTGATCAAAGGAAATTAGAAATTATATTAATAATGGATAAAGTTGACTCCAGAGCAAAGAAAGTTACCAAAGACAGAGGAGGGATAGAACATAATAATAAAAGTGTCAATTCACCTAGAGGACATTGTAATCCTAAATGTGTATGTACAGATACTAGAGCTACCAAATACATGAAACAAAAATTAATAGAACTGAAAGGAGAGATTTTAAAAATTTACACTTACAGTTGGAGACTTCAAATTTTTCCATTCAATAATTTATATAACAAATATATAATCAGCAAAGATATAAAGTAATTAAACACCATCAAACAACAGGATCTAAGTGACACTTATAAAACACTTTACCAACAGCAGAATACACATTACTTTAATATTCACACCAAACATATACAAAGATAGGTCATGTGCTGGGTCATAAAACAAATCTCAAGAGAGTATTCTCTCCAACCACAATAAAAGCAAACTAGAAATCAATAGTATAAATATAACAGGAAAAACAGAAAGGGCTATCCATAAGGAAATGAAAAATTTTAGTGGAGTGTTTACACCATGCAGCATTAACTATATAATAGTTAAAATAATTATGGTATGGATAAATCACAGAAATATAAGGTGAAATAAAAATTTTAAAACAAAGTTGCAAAACAAAAACAGGAAAACAGGATATTTATGTAAATATTACTAAACGCATGTACAAAAATATGTTTTAATTGGTTATGGATTAAAAATATAACAATGGACTGGAACACAATATACTATACTAATAATCATGGTCTCCGTGAAAGGAAGAACAATGGATATTGCAAAAGAATATAAGATGTATCTGTATTTGTTTAAATGATATGTATGTATGTATGTCTAGATACCATGTAAATTTTAAAATTCTAACTAATATTAACAACTTGAAAGGACTTACATCTATCTATATGATTTAGTGCTTAAAAAATTGGATGCTATGCAGAATAATGTTAACAGAATTTGCTATAGTCTTCTTATAAGTCCATACAAATGCTTAATGTGTTGTGGTTTTGTCTTTGTTGTCAGTGTAACCTAGGTTCAAATTACTAGTCCACTACTAGGAAGTTGCATGACTCTAGACAACTTGCTCAAATTCTGTCCTGAATTCCTATGTCCTTATCTTGTGCTAACCCATATATATGTTTTTAGGATTCAATGCAGCAATAAATAAAAGACAAATAATGTATTGAGTTAGCTGGCACTTACTGAGCATCTAATAAGATGTAGTTACTTTAGTAAAACCTTAGTGCATTCATGACTAAGTTTACTTTTCTTGCAGAAAATGGGTAGAGTTAAATAAGACTTATTAAATGATCATTTTGAAAATTTATTTACTTATATATTCATTTCTGTCAATGATTTTCACAGCTTGGAACATTAAGAAACAGTAGCAATTTGTAGAAAGATCATCTGGGATGCACTGAACTAAATGATACTCTTTCTTAAAATGCACTTCTCACCCACATAGAAATGGTAGCCATGTATAATGATATGAACGAATCTCAATATTCTTATGTTGTTCTGAAAGGAACTAGACACAAAAGAGTACATAATATATTACTTCATTGATATGAATGTATAAAAAAGAAAAATCTATTATGACAGAAAGCACATCAATGGATACTTAGGACCAGAAGTGCATGGAAAATTAAATAAGGGCACAAGGAACTTTTTAGGATGATAGAAATGTTCTATATATTGATTAATTCACAATTATATTGCTGAAGATTTAAGGTGTATAAATACGCCAAAAGTCATCAAATGTGCACATAAAATGGGTGCATTTTAATGTGCAAATTATACCTCAATAAAATTGTTCTTTTTCAAAAGTGAAAAAAAAAAAGAATTATACACTAGGACCAAGTGGGATTTATACCAGGCATTTAATGTCAGTTTAACATCCAAAAACTAATTAATGTAATACCATATTAATAGAATAAAGAACAAAAAACCACATGATCATTTAAAAAAAAAAAAGAAATGGTAGCCATGTGAAACAAAAAGCCTTCCTCTAAAAAAGGAAAATACTCCAAAAAACACTTAGTGTAAAGCCTCTTTCATGGGTCCATTCCTTTGATCTTGCTTTTAAAAAACATTAACTACACTTTGTTTCTTAGGCTGCTTACTTTCAAATAAACTAGCAGGTGCCCTTTTCCACCCCTGTTCCTGGCGAGACTCTGCTTTCACAGAAGTCTGGTATCTGGAAGCCTCCTTATCAGTGTCATACATAGTAAACATCTGAAATTTATTATCACTGTCTCCAGGCTGAGGAAAACATGCTCAACAGTCACAACTAAGAAGTTTAAAGTTTTACAAAGTTTTTTAAAGTTACAGGCAACCACGTTTTGACTTGTTCCTAAAACAAAAAGTAACAGCAACCCACACGTCCTTTCCTATATTCTGGCAAGAATAGCAGAAACAAAATGTCATGCACTTAAACATATGTTGAAGATTAGAATGTAAATAGGAAAAGTGCAAAAATTTTTATAGCTTTTCAAACTATAGGAGATAAGTAATATCTTTGTAATGTGAAGAAAGCCATTTTCATTATCACGGGGCCTTGACAAGTAGCTTCCCACACAGCTTGTCAAGTCAAATGCTACTAATACTGCCAGAATACTGATTTTGTTCATGCTTTTGTTATGTCTGAAGGGAGGATTTTATGCATTTAGCTCAATGAATGCACTGACAAACTGATAGGTCTTCCAAGTCACTGTTGATAAAGAAACAAAAAAAGTTTGATAAATGGATTCTCTGCCTTCTGCTTCTATGCTGCCTTATGAATACTTATTTTCTACCATGATAAGAATTATTGTCATCTATATGTCCTTCCTCACAATGCTGCACACCTTTCTACTCTCACCAAAACAGAACTTTGTTTCAGTTTGTCCTACAAAGGGTAACTTTTTTACATACCTGATGCCTCCTCAGGCTTGGTCCCTTGTGCTCCTAAAAACCAATTTTAACGATGAAACAGGAACGGAAATGACAGTCTACATTTGAGGAATATTTCATCATTTACAAACTGCTTTCATGTGCAGTATCCAATTTCATCCTTCTTACAACTGTGAATTAAGGGATATTTTCTAATTTAGCAGACAAGGAAACTGAGGGAGTAGAAGCATTGAACCATTTGTCCAAGATCACATAATATCTAGTTCACTGTCTTCTGTTTGTTTCCTTGTTTGGGGCTTTTTTTTGTTTTTATTTTTTATTTTAATTGACAAATCATAATTGTATATATGTATGGAGCATGACGTGAGGTTAGACATAAGTATACATTATACACTGATTGAATCAAGTTCATTAATATACCCGTCACCTCACATACTTATTTTTTTGTGTGCTCTGCTTGCTTTCTTGTTTTTAATTGAGAGTGGCATGCCTGCAGTGGAGACCTAAAATCTTTGTAGTTACAGCCAAGCCATCCTGTTGTCCCATAGACTCTTCCTTGGTTTTCTTAATCTAGTATTTTCTATTTATCAGTTGCTGAACTTTACGGCCCGTGTCTCCCGTCATTACAAGCTTGGTCTATGTAATAATTCCTGCACACAAGAGTCCCTGGTTACATGTTTGTTGAAAGAACAAATGGATGAATTAATATAGATATAAAACTAGTAGCTTATGTGTTTATTCTTAAGGCTGCTTAAGGATCAGTTGCTTTTAATCTGACTCAGTAATTACCTTTTTTGTCCTGAAGAGGTTGTTACAGGAGTCTATGCAATTATATTGTGAATGGTTACATGATAACATAAAATATTACCAAATAAAACATTACTACTTTATGTGGTAAAATCTTCTCTCTCTGCCTTGCCAAAATCATAGTTTGGAGTAAAAAGGTGCTTGAAATTCTTATGTATTTTGTACCACACAAGTTAAATAGAATGTAAATCATGCAAATGCACAGACATGCATGCAACTTTGACTATCCTATGTATTTTTCCATTTTCCCTTCTGAAATTGTTTCTGTCAATATTTTGATTTAGATCCCACCAAAAGGAGAGAAAGAGAAAGATTTAATCAGAATATTGTCAAACACCTAAGAATTAGTGGATAATATGGTATTTGAAGTCTGATACATAACATTCTTAGGAGATACAGCTCTTGTAGGCATTATTATTAAATCATTTCTAGAAAAATTATTTACTTACAGGAATTCCAGATACAGCTTTATACTTTTAGCAATTATCTATTCAAGTCTTATGTATGTGTTTACACTGTAGTGTGTGTGAAATATATATATATATATGTATATAAAAAACTGGCATTTCCCAAATACCACAGTCTATGGCCTATGTACATCAGAATAATATGGAGAGCTATTTCATTTTTAAAAAGTAAACACTGAATTCTACACGTACAATTATTGGCATTACAGACACATGAATGAACTGAATTCTAGAAATAATAAAAAGCTCAGGATTATTTCAAGCTATACATAGGCATGAAGTTTAGATGTTCGCCTGAGTTAGTGTGTAACTTCCGTATTAAGTATTGCAAAATGCTGAAGGTCAGTCAGTTGTCTTATCTACAGGAAGAAGGATATGGTTCTTTCTGCACTTAACTATACTTAGGGTAGTTTCTTCTGATTATTAAAGCCTATTCTTGAAGGCTGGGCCTTTTAACTGTGAGTTATTTAAGGGATTACACAGCCTGGTTTCAAATTGCCTTACAAGCTTCATCTTCCTCTATTCTACAAATGAACACTGAGCTCCAACTAGACCAAATACAAACCATTAGTCTGTCATCACATGGTTGTCAAGTTCTATTGTTTTTGTTGTATGTATCATTTCCCTTGATATGTGTATCTGAAGTTATATGTTTTTTTTTTTCCACCACAAGATTCTAGAAGGGCAAATCTTGGATCTTTTATTTTCAGCTCCTTCCCTCCAAAACCTAACCATCTCTCTGCAGCTTAGACTAGTTGTTTTACATTATAGTAACAGCTTAATAGTTTAGTAAAAGCTCCATACATTTGTGATATATGAATAAACAATTAGCATGAACTATATTCATTTGACCAGAAATTAATAAAACCTGTTATTAGTTAATTTTTGATAACTGTGAAACAGAATGTGTCAGGACATGGTAATTGACATCATGTTTCATACGAAGCAGGAAATTGATTAGATGTTTGAGTTTTCATTCAGTTTTAATCTGCCTTTGTTTATAGTGATGAGATTCCAGAAGTCAAATTATTTCTTTTCTGTTTGTCTTCTCTATGCTGTCTCATAGTGGTGGGAGGAGAGAGCAATGTAATTCTTATTCCCCAAAAAGGAAGTTTTGATTTCAGAGAAAAGGGGGCTACCTGGTAAAAAGCATTTCTGCCTCTCATCCATGCACTGAGAATGAGAAAGTAATTCAGGAAATTTCTGCCTCTCATCCGTACACTGAGAATGATAAACTAATTCAATAATTCAGGAAAGGTATTCAGATGTAAAGTAATTGTAGTGAGGCATTTTCCATGAACATCAATTAGAAATTTGAAATTAAAATTGTAAGTAAAAATAGTTCATTAGTACTTTAAAGGGAAAAAAAGAAAAGAATACTAGTTGTGTTTTACTTTGTGCAATACTATTATATGAAAATCCAAACTGCAAAACAATGTAGAGATTTTATTTGCATTGAGAAATATTACTTTATAAATATCACAGCCAGGCGTGGTGGCTCATGCCTGTAATGCCAGCACTTTGGGAGGCAGAGGTGGGCGGATCACCTAAGGTCAAGGGTTCGAGACGAGCCTGGCCAACACAGTGAAACCCCATCTCTACTAAAAGTAGAAAAATTAGCCGGGTGTGGTGGCACACACCTGTAATCCCAGCTATTTGGGAGGCTGAGGTAGGAGAATCACTTGAACCTGGGAGGCGGAGTTTGCAGTGAGCCGAGATCATGCCACTGCACTCCAGCCTGGGCAACAAAGTGAGACTCTGTCTCAATAAATAAATAAATAAATAAATAAATAAAATAAAATAAATTCACTATGGGGTACTGAGCTCAAATATTTTTATAAGTCAGATTGAATAATCAATCAACAAATATTTCTTGAGCATTTACTGTAAGTAATTAATAAATGAACTGCAGGAAGCACGTGCACAAGTGCACCACACCAAAAATTATATTTTAAGCATCACAAATCAGCTGTTTTCTTTTTTATTTTTAATAGTTAATAAGCTTTATTAATATGCTTTTTAAATTTTATTTTTATTCTAAAACAAAAATGGGATACATGTGCAGAATGTGCAGGTTTGTTACATAGGTATACACGTGCCATGGTGGCTTGCTGTACCTATTGACCCGTCCTCTAGTTCCCTCCCCTCACCCCTGCCCCCCAACAGGCCCTGGTGTGTGCTGTTCCCCTCTCTGTGTCCATGTGTTCTCAATGTTAAACTCTCACTTATGATTGAGAACATGGGGTGTTTGGTTTTCTGTTCCTGTGTTAGTTTGCTGAAGATGATGGCTTCCAGCTTCATTCATGTCCCTGCAAAGGACATGATCTCATTCCTTTTTATGATTGCATGGTATATATGTACCATGCAGTATTCCATGGTATGTATGTACCACATTTTCTTTATCCAGTCTATCATTGATGGGCATTTTGGTTGGTTCCATGTCTTTGCTGTTGTAAACAGTGCTGCAATAAACATACATGTGCATGTGTCTTTATAGTAGAATGATTTATATTCCTTTGGGCATATACTCAGTAATGGGATTGCTGGATCAAATCTTATTTCTGGTTCTAGATCCTTGAGGAATCGCCACACTGTCTTCTACAATGGCTGAACTAATTTACATTAACTCAAGATGGATCAAAGACTTAAATGTAAAACCCAAAACCATAAAAACCCTAGAAGAAAACCTAGGCAATACCATTCAGGACATAGGCATTGGCAAAAACTTCATGACATAAACACCAAAAGCAATCGCAACAAAAGCCAAAATTGGCAAATGGGATCTAATCAAACTAAAGAACTTCTGCTCAGCAAAAGAAAATAGCATCAGAGTGAACAGGCAGCCTACAGAATGGGAGAAAATTTTTGCAATCTACCAATCTGACAAAGGCCTAATATCTAGAATTTACAAGGAACTTAAACATATTTACAAGAAAAAAACAAACAACCCCATCAAAAAGTGGGCAAAGGATATGAACAGACACTTCTCAAAAGAAGACATTGATGTGGACAACAAATATGAAAAATATCTCAACATCACTTATCATAGAAATGCAAATCAGAATGACAATGAGATACCATGTCATGCCAATCAGAATGGTGATTATTAAAAAGTCAGGAAGCAATAGATGCTGGCAAGACTGGGAGCTATTTTCTTTAAGTTTAGCACTGCTTTTGTTTAGTGTAGATTTTGTACAATAATAATGATAATAATAATAGTTACACCCCTTTTTTGGTCTACTATGTATGCTGGGTATGTTACATGTATTTTATTTAATACACAACTGTCAACTCTGTAAGGTTGGAGGTAATATCTCTATTGATAAGAAAAAAGAGACTTGGTGATTTAAGAATCTTATTTAAGTTTACTTGCCTAGTAAATATCAGATCTGGGCTTTGAATTCAGGTTGTTCCGACTTTACTTGAAAACCATTGTCTCTGTCCTGTGTCATATTTTCTCTCCACAGAGCATGTTGATAGTACTACCAGAATTTTGGTAACAAAGTTATATACATACCAGTTTTAAATGGCAAAAACTGATATGTTTGGATCAATTAATATCTAGATGAATAAAATTCTTTTTAAGTAAATGTAAAGAGATGAGTCTAATTGCTATAATTCTGTTAAAAGATGATTTACATGTACATATTTTCTAGTTTAAGCAATATATTACAGTTATTACTTGGATGACAAACTTCATTAAATATGTTTTAAATAACTAGATGACATTCGGATAGCATATTATGTAATAAATTTCTTATTGAATTTAAGTTCCTGTTTGAGCAACCAAATTTAAATTACAATCTGGCTAATGAAACAGGAAAACTGAAATTATGATAGACTAGTATGCAGAATGACTTGACAATGGGGAACTCTTCAGAGTTCAAGAATTTAGGGACCATTTCCAATACTAGTAGTTTACAGATAAATATTTATTTTTGATGATTGTGCTTAATTAGTATTTTAGAGATGAAAAAATTTAGCTATCATGGTTCAGCACTTTCCTCTTTAAAAATGGAAACGTAACAATTAAATAACTTCCCAAAGTCACAGGAAGAGAGAGTATTAGGTTTATAAAGAGTTTTCTGTATTCTCAATATAAGTTATTTCCATTATTCTATATAGTCTCTTATATGCCTCATATATTTAAAAAGATGGGCATCACTCATGTAATAACACTGCCTGGCACATAAAAGTATTGTTGTCTCTCTTAGTCCATTTGGGCTACTTTAACAAATTCCCATCCAATTATCCAATAACTTTTGTGATAGATGTGTTTCTTAATCATTTTATCTTGAAAGCATCTATTCTGGCCCTACAAACTTCCCATAGCTGTATCTGACTCACCTGAAAAGTCAGTTCAAATTAGGTCCCCAGCTAATCACTAGACTGCTCAAAAAACAAGAGATTCCAGTGATACATGGTTCTCAACCCTGGCTGCATATTAGAGCTCTTTAAATTGTGAAACCCAGAAGTCATCCTGCATAATTTGATTTAACATAAACCAAATAATCACAATAAAACATTGGTATGTTTTATTTTAAACTCTCAGTGATTCAAATGTGAAACGAAGGTTGAGATAAATTGTAAATTGCTGAGTCTATGTGATCACACTTATATTGGTTTAGGTTTCAGTCTTGGTGATTGTTATTGTAATGGGTGATGTATTGTGGCTGTTAAGGTTGGGCTCTTGTGTTCTATGGCACCAGAATCATCTGCATAGCATTTAGTATATTCAGATGCATGCCTGGAAATACTTCCAGAGTTTTTGATTCATTAAGTTTTGTGAGAGAGCAAATGTTTTATTTTTGAAAAAGTTATTAATAAAAGTTCATTGAAAAGAAAGGAAATATGAAAGGAAAGAAGAAGACTATATCAAACAATCTTTGTAAGAGAGTACCAAATAATGTTTCCTTCCTATATCATGTTATTCTTTGTCCCCAGAATGACTGCTGGGCTCTAGCAGGGGTTCCAGAATTCCCTTCCAGAGTGTATCTCCTAGAGCTAGTCATGGCACATAAAATGTGGATCGTAGCTATCAGTAGTCTTGGAGATCACTGAGCTTTGTCATGAAATAGGTCAACTACAAATCCATATACTACAAGAAAATAATGGGAACTAAAATGTAAGAGCAAGAAGGTCCAGAAATGTCAGATGTTTAATGAGAAAGCAGCAATGTGGATGCTAAGAAGGAATTCCTGGGCTTGGAAGAGTTCATGAATACAACGAATGTGTGTGCGTGTGTGTGTGCGTGTCTAAGGCAGGCAGAAAGGCTCTTTGGAATCCAAGGGATCAAGAGCTTAGACTTAAGCAGATACTATCATTCTACCTCTAGTATACCAGCCATATCTATCCTTGTTGTCCATGATTGTTCTCCAGCTCACAATGGTGTAGTCCCACTGCAATTTATATTTCTGACTATTATCGCCCTATGCTATTGCCTGAACCTTTTAAAGTAATTATTTCCACACCTCTTGCAGTAAAAAGCAAGAGTGAAAAAAAGGTATAGATCTCATTCATCTTTGGATATATCAAGGTACTTGACACACTTTGTTTCATATAATTGGTATGCAGTAAATGTTATGCACCTCTATACCTATTTCATTACCATAACTTTTAGTTTTGACTTCTGTGCCTCTCCTATCTCATACTTTCTTTCTTCCTTCATTCCTTTCCTTTTCCTCTTTCTTTTCCTTCCTTCATTTTCTCTTTGTTTCTTTCTCTCTCCTTCCTTCCTTCCTTCATTTCTTTCTTTCTCTCTCTCTCTTTCTTTCCTTCTTTCTTTCTTTCTCTTTCTTTCTTTCTTTCTTTCTTTTCTTTCTTTCTTCTTTTTCTCTTTTTCAAAACTAAAAGGCAACCCACCCAAAACAAAATAAAACTCCACAGGTTCTTCAAAATATAATCATATTTGTCCTCCTCTGTGAAGCCATCTCTAATGTTTTGGTTCATTTCTTTTCCCCATGTACCACTGCTAGATCATGGACATGTTTTTATTGGTGAAAATATTACACTGGAATATAATTATTAAATTTATGTCAGTCTCTCACTATGTTTTTAGTTTCTTGAGGTTAAGGACCACGCCATTTATCACTGCATCCCCAGCACTTGATAAGGTTCCTGCAACCTGACAGAAACTCACAAGTGTGCATTGAATTCAAATAAATATATTTGTATAAAACACGTCCCAACTCTGTGCCTTATTTTAAGGGATGCTTCCTTAGAATTTATGAATGAAGCTTAGAAGAAAGGTAAAATATTTCAATATTTAGTAGAATACAACTTACCCATAACTATAAACAATACTTTCCTGAGTTGTTGATGTTCATTACTGCTACATAAATAATAGGACTTTGGTTTTGCTCTTAAATCTCTGCACTAATGAGAACATGGGACAATCTTCCTATACGGTAGTTACCATGGTGATAGATTCACATGAAAAAAAAGTTATCACTTGGCTAGGACATGAGCTAAGATGCATTTGCATTTATTATCTTTGGGTTAGGTTCCTTTTGCATTACTGAACAGGTGGCAACTGCTTTTGTGTTCCTTAGAATATGAACAGCTTCTAAAATTTTAATCTCAATTGGTGTTTCAGTTGTTCCCGGGTGACAGGCAGTTAACAGCACTATGAGTTCACTTGCAAAAGTGTGATAGATTTAAGGAAGTTATGAAGCATCTCTCAGGAGACATGGCCATTTTTCTCTGTCATTAGATAACTTTCTACTGCCAACTAGCATCATTTCCCTCTTACTTAGAATGAGTGGCCACTCATTTTCTTTCATCAAGATGATTTTCTCAAGCAGACATAGCAGAAAAGAAAAATATTGCATGAATTCCAGATGAAGTTGTAAACAACAATGCCCCAAATACTTGTCTATTTGCTCTCTTAAATGCTGCTTTTCTGGATCGGTATTGGGAGAAGGTGATTTGATAATCTAGCTAAGTAGATTAAACTCTGCCTAGAAGGGAAGACTCCTTCCTTCTCCACAGTCTCTTTGTACTTCCTCCATAGTCCCGACTCAATTCCCCTTTAAAAGTGAATGGCCCCAGAAATGGAGACAAAATTAACCCTCACCCGCATTTTATACTTTCTTTAAAAATTAGTATATTACACCATTTTATGAGAACTACTCTTGCTGACAAGAGAATGAAGAGCATACAATCTTATCAAATTCCCAGCATGATGAGATGAGATGGGGATACTCTGAAGAGAGGAAAACAGGTAGAGGTAGATATATGGGGTTTTGACAAATTTCTCTTATCTCGAAACCCTAACAGTGGCCGTTATTCTTGTAAACAAACAATAATGTAATACTATTGATTTTAAGGTTCACTTTTTAGAAAAATATTGTTATTTACAAGCTAAGTCTCATAGGCTTCTCAAGGGGTAAGATCCCTCCAAAACATTCGCATTTATAAAAGCTAAGAAATCATAAATATCTTTCATCAAATACCTAGTGCCAGTATTTAAAATGAATTATTTTATAAATGAACAGTCATTTATTTCGTCTGTTCTGGGTACCTGACTACATCAATAAGCAATAGCAATAATCAAAGGTCCTTGTTTTTGTGAATCTTAGGCAATAAAATATAAACTTATTTATGTACAACTATAATATGTACTATAGTAGAGGTGATAATGCTGTAGAATAAAATGTCATCTTAGAGCAGGGTAAGGAAGATTGGGATAAGAAGGTGAAGTTTGATAAGAAAGTTAAAAAAGGTGAGGAAAGAAACCGAGACAGTGTCTGGGGTAAGAGGATGCCAAGCAGAAGAAGATCAAAAGCCCTAGGATAGAGACATGCCCAACATGTTGGAAGATAGCTTGAAGACTAGTCTAGCTAGGGCAAGTAACATATGAACAAGGAGAGTAGTAGGAGAGGAGGGCAAAACTGGCTCAGGGTTGGGAAGGAGGAAGGCAGATAACATAGGTCTGTGCCAATCTTTATAATGGTCTTGCTTTTACTCTAAGAGAAATGAACACTCTTGCAAAATTTTGAGCAGATGTGTAACATGATCTGACTTAAGTTTTATAAGATGACTAAGAAGGTGAGAGATGATGACTTCGTAGGCCAGGGCGACAACACGATAATGCGTGCTTGAATTCTGGGTATATTTAAAGGTAGAGCCAATATGATTTCCTGATGGATCATATGCAGAAGATGAGAATACAAAAGGATTACTTTAAGGCCTGAGTGACTGGAGGGAGGTGTTGCCATTGGTTGAGATGATGAAGGCTACAAGTTTGGGGTGACGAGAGTCAGTTTTGGACTTAGGTCTGAGTTGTACACTCTACATCTAAGTGGGGATGTCAAGCAGATGGGTGAATAATCAAGTCTGGAATTCAGGAAACAGGCTTGGGTTGGAAGTATATGTTTGAACCTATTTCACAAATAAATGGTATGTACACACACTTAGGAGTGAGGGCAGATATGGAAGAGAAGAGAGCTGAGTTCTGAGCACTCCAACATGAAACTGTTGGAAGAAAAGGAGTCATCAGTACAGAAGACTGAGGGGTGACCAGTGAGGTAAGAGGAGAAACAGGAGCGTGTGCTGTCCACAAAGCCAAGTGAAGAAAGTATATTAAGGAGAATGGACAAATAAACTATGTTAAATGCTGATTTCAAATTTAAGTAACGTGAGAATTAAGAAATGATCTTGGTCTTTAGCAACATGTAGGTAATCAATGTCATTATTGAGAACACTTTTGATAGGGCGAGAAAGAAATCCTCATTGGAGGGTTTTAAGAGAAGTCCCTCTACATTTATGTCTGGTGAAGTATGCATTAAATACATGTTACTGAAATTAAAGCAGGAGGAAAATCAACAAGAGTGTTTATCTTGATGTAGAACTCTGATTACATGTTGTACGAGAAATATTGCATCATAGTGGTTAAAGCCATGAGATCCAGAAAGACCCACTTCCAGGCTCCACCTGGTAAAGGCTCCTCCACTTGCTGACCATGAAATAATAGTCAGATGTCCTTAAACTCTGTCCCCCGCATAGTGATGTTGCTACACTACTCCCACAAACATTAGCTATAAACAGCAGTCTATGTACTGTTTAAGTTTTTTCTTTTGTGTGCATTCATTACTATTTAAGTGACAACTATTTGTATACATGATGAAACTAATGCAGTAGTGTGTATGCCTGTGGATATATAATATCAAGCCAAAGGTGATCCAGAATGGAACTCTTAAGAAAGCAGAAGTCACGAAAGATTGACAGAAGGAGCTGGTGCCTAAAACAGTTCAAGAGTGCATATGCATATTAAATAGTGATTACATTCAGAAACCACTGTATGTACATTTTTGCACAATCTTAAAAATCTGTTTCTTAGCAGTCTGCATGTTAGTTATCTGTAAGCTTAGGTTAAGCATTCAAAGGGAAGGGAGTCCTCATATCTATTCCCAACTCTAAGTCCAATATCACAGTGAAAATTGTGCTACTTAGATGTGATATCCTCAAAAGAAGAGAAAAAGTAATTTAGTAGGTTATGTACCCAAACAACGTATTAATATTTATCTCAGTCATTTTAAGTTTCAATCTCAAATATACTTTAAAATGTATTATTACAAATATCTCCTCTGCATATGTCTGCAGAAGCCTCTGACTTGATCAACATCAAGATCTCTCTGCATGAAAATGGTCCTTGAAAAGTTGCATTATTTTTTGTTAATAAAAATATCTCCTCCTTCCCCTGAGCAAGGCTTTGGAATGAGGGCCAAATGATCAATCCACGCCACATGCAATTTTTATTTATCCTTGCCAGTAACCCTAAGTTCAAGGCTATCCAAAGACTGCCAGACTGAGTTGGTGAATCTCTGTCAAGGGAGAGATTATATGATTTTTACAGTTCAGCTGGAAAAGGAGCAAAGTTTATTATCTATCTATCCTGCTAGGCAGCAACTGTCTATAATATTCTGCTTTCTCTCTTTTTAAATCCCTCTGTGCTGTTTTGAGTGAAACAGGGAACCAGCGTCCGCCATCTGACAGTTCCTCCAGGTCTTTTAAGGTAATTAAACCTCTCTTTAAGCAAAATCTCTCATCATATTACAGGGCTGGAAATTTACAGAACTGTGGCATAGACATAGTTTAAAGTCATGTCTTTTGAACTTCAGCATTGCTTTTGCAGTAATAAGAGGGTGAAATTAACCGTAATTACAGTCAAAATTAGTTGCATAATGCTGTGTGCATCTCATCAGTACATTATGTTCTGAGCAGGCAAAGAGAATAGAGTTACCTGGAAATTAGGGTAGTTTTCAAGTAAGGTGTGCTAATCCTGATTCATGTGATGGTTTTGCAATTGGTCTGGTGCTCAACTGCAGGCTCTGCACAATTGGAACAGAATGCTGTCTCCAGTAAATTAAGAGAGTATATAAGAGATATCTGAATTGCATATATGTTAAGGCAGGGTGGGGAAAAACATTAGGACCTTTTAAATCAAAACTTCTCATTTTACAGAGTACTGAGGCCCAGATACTGTATTCATTTGTCTATTGATTCCTGGAAAGATTCTATTTTTAGTGTCACTCAAATAATAAGCGTCCTGACAAATCTACTGCTTCTTAGAGAAGGAATCAAGAAAGCTTTCCCCTATTGTTCTAATCCACAAATCCTTGGGATTATTTTGAATCCTTGGACCTCAAGGAAGCTTTTGCATCAATCTCCAGCATAGACACCCACTATTGCAAACATGCACCTGCAAGATCTTAATATTCTCCTCTCAATGCCACATTGCCAGAGAGGCAATGTGACACACAGGAGGTGAGGGACCATAGGTGTGAATCCTGTTCACCCAGACCTAGCCAACTCACCTAAAATAAATCACTGGACCTATGTAACAGTGATTTCTTAAGCAGCAAAACTTGGATAATAATACATTCCTATAAAGTTGTTGTAAGGATTAAGCAAGGTTATATAGATGAGAATACCTGGCACATAAAGAATATTAAATACAAGATTCAGAGACAGAACCTTGTGCACATGGACATATGTGTCTTGGGACTAATGTACTTGTGTTCAATTTCCAGTTCTGGACTTACTAACAATGTAACCTTGGATTAGTTACTTTAGCATTCTGAGTCCCCAATTTCCAATTTGCAAAATGGTACCGATGAGCTCTCCTTGGTAAAGCTGGATTGAGTAAGGATATTTAATGTGTGTTAGGCATCTAGCAGTGTGCAGCACAAAGAAGGCACTCAGCATGTGAGCTTTTATCCACGTCTAAACCGAAGTTTACTTTATAATGATGGCTTAGTCCTGAGCCTTCTATATCCCAATGAATTCAAAATTGCTATATCCAGCCCAGACATTACCTTTGAATTCCCATGCCACCTACTTACTTGGCATTGCTACCAGAACCCCAGACTTAACATGTCCCAAACTGAACTCCCTGAACTGAATACCAACTATCATCCATCATCCCCTACATTGTGACTGAAATTCACATCTTGTCACCATTCTTCACCAGCTGCTCATTCCCTGCCCAACATTCCCTACCCCGATTTTATGTACCTGCTGCATCTCTTCCTTCAAGTCTGAGCTTAAGTATAGTCATGGAGAGGCTTTCTTTGTTCATGCAATCCAAGTAGATCCACGAAGCTTTTCTGTTTCTTAACATCCTACACTTTACCTTTATATATGTATCATTATGTATATAATGCATGTTTATTTATTTATTTACTTGTTTATTGTCCATCTTTCTCAATACTGGAAACTCTAATGCTTTTTTTTTTAACAGAGTGAGTGAATAAACAACTACGATTTGTGGCAAGTTGCATTTATTTGTTTATATTCTCCTACGTGCATGTGATGTTATCAAAATGAGTTCAGCATAATATTCATTCATTTGTTCATTCATTCAAGAAATGTTCTGACGTGTCCTGGGCCCTGAGGTAGGGCAAAAGATAAACTAAAGTAAATGTGACACATTTCCTACCATTGATGTGCTTCCTTTCTTGATGGAAAGATAGATGAACAAACGAAACCCAACATAGAGTAATTAATGCTTTAATAGTGCTGTAGGAAAAGTCATTGGAGGGACAACATAATTCAGCTGAAGAGTTTCAGAAACAAGGCATCATAACATGGGTGATATATTAGCTGGGACTTGGAGAAAGTTGACCTATTGGAGAACAGCCTTCTTCCAGAGGATAAGTCGGCAGAACATGATCATACTTGATTAATGGCTACTAGAAAATAATGAATCACATGTCTAATTTCTACATTAGAAAAATAAATTAATGGCAAGTAGATTTATTTTTATGTAAGGAATATTATACAATAAGAGATAGTCATCATATTTTACATTTTCCTTTTACATATAAACACTTCCCCTTAGACAATCTAAAATCTTCATATCTTCTCTTCCTTTCTTATATATTTATTGTTACCTCTTTTCCAGTGAAGGGCCCTTTGCTTCTGAACATTCTTTCCTGACAGAGCTTATTTACTTGGATGAATGTTGAAAGAATATTTATTACTCTCTCAGGTAACATTCCATGAGTCATTTGCAGTGAATATTCTGTTTGGTTGTTAGGCACTTTGTAGGCCTGAGTGACAATACTTTTATGTAGTATATGGTTGGCATATTGTACATCCCCTAATTCATTTAATGGAAATATCAGTCAAAATATAAGGATAAAATTAAAACCTGATAAAAAGCTTCAAAGCCACAAAAAATTCTTAGAGCAACTGGAGGACCCAAAGCATTAAAAACTTTTGGGCACTAAATCAGAGACTAGATTTTCTTTCTTTTTGTTTTTGCCTTGGCAATTTATTTGGCTCTATGCACCAAAAGACAAGCCTTAAAGATAACAAGGCTTTTATGCACTATCACTGAAAAATTTTGGCTTATCCTTTAAGGGATTTTTCTTTTATGCAACCATACCCATATTTACCCAAGAATTTTTAGAAGCCATTTAACAAGCAGAGATTGAGAAAGTGATTATCAAGTCTGGGCTCAGGAGAAAAAGTACTTCAGCCTGGGTAAACATTTTTGTGGTGGAGAAAAACAAGGCATTAAAGTGTGGAGGCGATTAATGTTTCTGTTTTGAACTTCATGTTGTAAGACTCTCCAAACTCCATGTGGGTGGAAAAATCTGAGGTTCAGGCTGAAACAGGAACTGCAATTCTCTGAAATTCCGCACAAGAATATTTTGTTTTTCATTTGAGAATTTGGTAAACAAGTTTGCCCCTGCAATAAACAGAGACTGTGACAGTACCCTGCAGGAATTATACTGCAGATGTTTGAAAACACGAACCTTCAAAAGCATAGGTAAATTACATTCTCTCAAGAACGAATATTTCTATGCTACTTAGAATCATGTCTTGCTTCGTATTTTAATCTTCTACCCTATTGCAAGGGACAGGTGACTTTCTATATTTACCTCAGAAAGAAATAGAAACAGGTAAAGACAGTAAGCTAAGTTTTAGATTTGAAATCGCCACCTAGAAATTGTTCCCTAGAAGCCAACTAAATATCCTAAAGTTGTTTTCCTAGTCAACATATCATTTCTTATGTGTATTTATTCTTCCATATAACATGTTTGCTCAAAAATAAGATGCAAAAAAATAGCTACTGTACACTGAATGACATAGTTTGCCAAGCAATGTCTTTGGCATCTTGTACACATTAACTGAATCTTCACAATAACTTTATGATATAGATGACAATGAAGGTTCACAAGTTGAAGCAGTAGGAATATAATGCTATTTCATGAAAATTCGCTGAACTTTTATGAAGGCCCTTTAAATTTATACTTGAAATAAATATTATATGAAATACAGAAGCTCCTATGAAACAAAATATAAAAAGAACATTGTGACTAAAAACATCACAACATTTGGGATGTGTAAATTATACTTGAACACCTTGCTTTAATACATAAAATAATACTAATAAACTTAATAATAGATAATTATCAATTATCTATTGGTAATTACCCTCTAAAAATGCCTGAGCTGTGAATTCTTACTTTGGTATGTAAAAATCCCCTGTGATGTTCTTCTTCTTTTTTTTTTTTTTTTTTTTTTGAGATGTAGTCTCGCTCTGTCACCTAGGCTGGAGAGCAGTGGCATCATCTTGGCTCACTGCAACCTCTGCCTCCCAGGTTCAAGCAGTTCTCCCACCTCAGCCTCCCCAGCAGCTGGGATTACAGGCATGTGCCACCACACCCAGCTAATTTTTGTACTTTTAGTAGAGATGGAGTTTCACCATGTTGGCCAGACTGTTCTGAAACTCCTGACCTCAGGTGATCTGCCCGCCTCAGCCTCCCAAAGTGCTGGTATTACAGGTATGAGCCACAGCACCTGGATGATCTTCATTTTATCTAAACACCTTGTAATGGCAACATGAAATAGCACAGGATGTGTTTTTGGTGGCTGCTTTTATGTAATACAGAGTTTTCATGAACTATTTACTATTTGTCAACAATCTGGCAGACAGTAGCACATCAGACAGTATATGAACTAGAAATTGAGTATTATTTCATCACTTTTATGGGATTGCAGAATTTTATCTACATTGTTGAAAAAAAGAGAAATATGTAAGACTAGAATAGGGGCCAGCAACCTTTTTCTGTAAAACACCAGATAGCTATTACAGGCTTCACAGGCCACACAATCTTGCTCACTCCCACTCAACTCCACTGTTGTAGTATTAAAAAAGCAGCAGGGACAAGATGTGAACTAATAGGTGTGACTGTATTTTAACAAAATTTTACTTATGTATTTACTACAGGCAATGTTTGGCAGGCAGGTCATAGTTTGCCAACTTCTGTGATACAGTATGACTCCTTATCTCCATACTGTTAAATCTGAGGTTAATGAATGACTCAGTAAAGTAATACTCAGGAGAATTACAAATGATTTATTATTAGACTGTGCTTCTCTGGAGGCCTAGTCTCAACAACCTGGAAGGAAATATAATGTTCCCTTACCTTCTGCTCATTCGTACTTTCCTCTGGATCCCACCTAGACAGCTCCTGTCGCTACCCTCTCCAGAACCATGGCTAAAACAGCATTCAGAGGCACTCCAGCGTGGGAGACAGAGTGAGACTCCATCTAAACAAAATAACAAACAAGCAAGCAAAAAAGGACATTCCTAGCCTATACCCGCAAAAACAGTGATACAACTCTATACTTTACCCACACTTGCTCACATACCCAATTTATAGATCTCTAGTTCTTTTAATGCATTTAGTTTTAGAATCCTACCAATTTGCTAACTGTTTTACTCTACTTGCCTCCACATGTGTATTTTCCTCTGGTGTATTTTGTTTTATTTTTTAAATGTCAATCTTCTCAAATATTACCATCCCATTTGTCTTGGCTCTCCCTAACATAGTATGTTGCCAACACAAACTTTTATAGAATTTAACTGAATGTAAAAGAAAAAAAGATTAATAAATTTCAAGTCTTTCCATCTAATATCATGCATGAGGAGTAAGGTTTTTTATTAGCTCTTTCTACAGACATCACTACAGAAGCACTATATGTGAGATCTATTGCCGTTTATATGGGATATAAAAATATAAAACTCAGGGCTATCTTCAAAAAGTTTACAGATTAAATAAGTGACATCATAAGATGGAATAATAAGAGCTTTCAGTATTTTATTCCTCACAGAAACATCAATTTGAACAACCAGCTATGCTCCAAAGTGTCTTTACAAGAGCTAAGGTACCCAAATGAGAAATTATGGCACCTAGGTGGAGCACAGAACTACGAAAAGACACATTGAAGGGGGTAGAAAGAATAGTTTTATATCATCTGTATTATTCCTTCCCCAAGCCCACACACTGCAGTATAATGAGAGACACCCTTGCATGGGGAAAGGAGAAATGAGCACTTAACTTTGCTGCAGACCCCAGCACCAGAACTGTTCCAGTAAATCCAGCACGAAGCTGAAGTCTGGCTCCAGTATCTATGCGTGCTTCTGTGGACACAGACTTCAAGCCCACTCAGACACCAGGACAGCCCTCACAGCACCTGGTTCCAGATCCAGCCCTGTAGACTCAGGCCCATGGCCCACCTCAATGACATGATATCCTTCATGGACCCTGGTGCTAGGTTAACTCATGTCAATTAGATGTCAGGTCTACCCTAGTGGGCCCAGGCTCCAGACATACCCTCTGGATCCCAGGAATTATGCCAGCCCCTGTGGACACAGGTACCAGGCCCAGTTGTCTGCTGATCCAGGTACCAGGCCAGTCTTCCCAAGGAATGTAGCAACAAAACCACCTATAGACTCTGCAAGTTAGTCTGCCCAGAATCTCTGAATGAGCTTACTGGAGTAGGGCTTTCCCTGCCCAAGCCAGTCTGTAAAGACTGGAAGAGGTACCTATTTTTTCAAATACGTAGTCACCAATGCAAGACCATAAATACTAGGAATAATCAGGGAAACATAATACCACCAAAGAAACAAAATAAAACACCAGTAATCAACCTCAAGAAAGTGGAGTTCTACAAACTTCCTGACAAGGAATTAACAATATTATCTTAAAGAAGCTCAGTGAGCTAAAAATGAACAAAGATACACAACTAAATGGAAACAGGAAAACAATACATGCACAAAATTAGAAGTTCAACAAAGAGATAGAAACCACATGAAAGACCCTAACAAAAATTATGGAGCTGAAGAACACAATGACTGAGCTAAAAAATTATAAACAGAGTTTCATCAGCAGACTTGAGAAAGCAGAAGAAAGAATCAGTGAGCTCTAAGACAGGTCGTTTGGGATTACCCAATCAGAGGAACAAGAAGAAACACAAATGAAAAAAAATAGAGAAAACCTGTAATGGGACACCATCAAGCAAACCAATATTCACATCATGGAAATCTCAGAAGAAGCTGATATTTCAGCGGATATTTCAGATTCTTCTGAGAGGGTGCTAAGGAGGGGGCTAAAAGCTTACTTAAAGAAATAATGACAGAAACCATTACAGATCAGGAGACGAAAATGAACATCTGGAGAGAAACCTGATGAACCCAGGATAGACTAAAAATAAAGAGATTTTAACTGAGACATGTAATCAAATTCTAAAAAGACAGAGAGAATATTAGAAGCAGCAAGAAAAGAGTGCCTTATCACTTAAAAGGGAAACTTAACAATACTATCAGTGGATTTCTAAGCAGAAACCTTGCAAGCCAGTAAAAACTAGGATACTACATTTAAAGTACTAAAGAAAACAGTGTCAACCAAGAATATTATACTTAATGAAGTTATTCTTCAGAAATGAAGGAAAGAGAAAGACCTTCACAGGCAAACAAAGGTTGAGGGAGTTCAACATCACTAGGCCTGACTTACAAGAAATGTTAAAGGAAATTAAAGTTAAAATAAAATGATGCTTACTAACCACATGAAAACATATGAAAGTAAAAAATTACCAGTAAAAATAAGAATATAGTCAAATTTGAAATATAGTCAAATATTCCAAATTCTAAAATTAGAATATTCCAAATTCTAATATTATAGTGGTGGTATATAAATCAATTTAATATAAAAGTTAAAATATAAAAGTATTAAAAAATCATATCTATGATACTTTTTAACAGATATGAAATATAAAGAGATGTAAATTGTGACGTCAATGACCTGAAATCGAGGAGAGAAGTTAAGATGTAGAGTTCTTGTATTTGGTCAAAGTTAAGTTGTTATTAGCTTAAAATTGACTGCTATAACTGTAAGATATTTATGTAAGCCTCATAGTAACCACAAAGAAAAAAACCTGTAGTCAATATGTAAAAGATAAAGAATCAAAACATACCACTACAAACAAAATCCTCAAATCACACACACACACACACACACACACACACACACACACACACAGAGCAAAGGAAGACACAAAGTCTTTATAAAACAATAGCAAAAGGATGAAATGGCAATAATAAATCCTAATCTATAATAATTACTTTAAACATAAATGGATCAAATTATCCAATCAAAAGGCAGAGTAACTGAATGGATTAAAAAATAGCAACAGCAACTGATGTCCAGCTATATACTCCCTATAGGAGATACACTTTAGTTTTGAGGACACAAGTGAAAAGATGAAAAGACATTCTATATAAATGATAACCAAAAGAGAATCGAAGTGCTTATATTTATAACAGACAAAATAGAAATTAAGTAAAAAACTGTCATAAGAGAAAATAAATCATTATATAATAAAAGAGGTCAATACTTCAAGAGGATATAAATATATACATATGTATGCATTCATCATCAATGCATCTAAATAAATAAAGCAAACATTAACAGAAATTAAAGGAGAAATAGACAGCAATACCCTAATAGTAGAGGATTTCAATACCCCACTTCAAACAATGAATAGATCATTTAGAAAGAAAATTATTAGAAAACAGAAGACTTGAACAATATGATAGATTAACTGGACCTAACAGATGTGTAAAGAACATTCCATCCAACTGCAGCAGAACACATATTATTTTTATGTGCATGTGGAACATTCTCTGGGATAGATAATATGTTAGGACACAAAATGCATCTTAATAAATTTAAGACAATTGAAATCATATCAAGTATGTTTTCTGACTACAATAGTGTAAAAGAAGAAATCAATAATGGATAAAAATTGGAAAACTCATAAATATGTACAAATTAAACAATACATCCCTGCACATATGTGTTGTATTTGCACATATTTATGAGTTTCCCAATTCTAGCAAATATTTAAAGAAGAATTAATATCAACGCTTTTCAAACTGTTCTAAGAAACTGAAGAGGAGAGGGCACTTCTAAACATATGTTGCATTGCCAGCATTATCCTGACACCAAGGCCAGAAGAGGATGCTATAAGAAAAGAAAATTAAAGGCCAGTATTACTGATGTATACATAGGCAAAAATCCTCAACAAAATTTTGAGGCAAAACAAACTCAACAGCACACCAAAATTCTCTTACATCATAATCCAGTGAGATTTATGCTTGAATTACAAATATGTCTAGACATACACAAATGGATAAATGTGGCATACATCAACAGAATGTTAATTATTTTAATGCATTACATTAACCAAATGTAGCATAAAATTATATGATTATTTCAATAGATGCAGAGAAAGCATTTAACAAAACTTAAAATTCTTTTATAATAAAAACTATCCATAAGTTAGGTATAGAAGGAAGAACCTCAACATAATAAAAAATTAGACTTTGAGAAAACCTTTAAAATTTTGGGCATGAAAGGGAAGTATCAGAGTAGAAAGGTAAACTAGAAAATGGGGAAAAATTGTAAATCATATATTTAATATGGGATTAATATCCAGAATAGCTAAATAACTTTTAAACTCACCACAGAAAAATGAACATCCAGATTAAAAAATGAAGAAAGGACTTGTTCAGATATTTCAGAACAGACATTTCTCCAAAGAAGATATACAAATGGGCAAGAAGCACGTGAGAAGATGCTCATCATTCCTAATCACTAGGGAAATGGAAATCAAAACTACAATGAGATACCACCCCACACACCCATTGGAATGACTACTATCAAAAGAGCAGAAAGTAACAAGTGTTGGTGACAGTGCAAATAAATTGAAACTCTTGTGCACTGTTGGTAGAAATACAAAATGGTAACACTGCTGTGGAAAACAATATGGTTATTCCTCAAACAATTAAAAATAGAATTACCATGTGATGCAGCAATTCCACTTCTGGGTATATGCCCAAAATAATTGAATTCAGTCTCCAAGAGATATATGTACATCTATGTTCCTAGCAGCATTATTCACAATAACTAAAATGTGGAAGCAACACAAGTGTCCATAAACATGTGAATGGATAAACCAAATGTGGTATATACTCACGATGGAATATTACTAAGCTTTAAAAAGGAAGAAAATATTGACACGTTACAACATGGATGAACCTTGACAACAATGTGCTAAGTGAAATAAGTCAGCTACAAAGAGGCAAATACTGTATGATTCTACTTATATGAAGTTATATGAAGTACTTAGAGTAATCAAAATCGTACAGACAGAAGTAGAAGGATTGTTGTCAAGGGCTAGGGAGAGGGAAGAATGGAGAGTTATTGTTTACTGGGTATAGAGTTTCAGTTTTACCAGATGAAAAGTGTTGTGGGCTGGGCGCTGTGGCTCACGCCTATAATCCCAGCACTTTGAGAGGCTGAGGTGGGTGGATCACAGGGTCAGGAATTCAAGACCAGCCCGGCCAACATAGTGAAACCCCGTCTCTACTAAAAAATACAAAAAATAAGCCAGGCGTGGTGGCGGGCGCCTGTAATCCCAGCTACTCAGGAGGCTGAGGCAGGAGAATCGCCTGAAACTGGGAGGCGGAGGTTTCAGTGAGCTAAGATTATGCCATTGCACTCCAGCCCAGGCAATAGTGTGAGACTCTGTCTCAAAAAAAAAAAAAAAAAAAGTGTTGTGGAGATAGACGATGGTGATGGTGATGGCTGCACAACAATATGAGTGTATTTAATGCCACCGAACTGACATTAAAAAATGGTTAAATTGATAAATTTATGTTATGTATTTTGCCACAATAAAAAATTGTGAAAATTGTGTACAACATTCTTAATCAAGTTCATAATATCAGTATAATGATTACAAATTTCAAACAAAAACAAAGTTTTTGGACACTATTGAAATTATACATTAGAAATAAACGACAACAGAAACCTAGCTCTATATGAATTGGAAGAGCATCTGAGAATGGCTCTTTCTTGTTAGTCTGCTGCTTTATATATTAAAAAAGGATGCAGCAGTTGCCATGGCAAACTTCTGGCTCTGCTGAATGCTAGAACCTGGTATATAAGCCTAGGATTTGATGAAGCTATGTAATTTTGAAATGAACAGGCATATTTCAGTCATTCACCTAATGTAGGTTTGAGTTCTCAAAAGAGGATATATTTGAGTTCAAGAAACACTAAATATCCTTGAAATTACAGACAATTTTTAATATCAGGAATCTAGAATTCTAACATTTTTAGGGCATATAAATTATTGAGCAAGAAGTTAAAGAAATTATCTATGTCTTTTTTCCAGAGGCTGATTTTGTAACAAAATCTATCATTCCATTAATAAAAATGTTTTCTCTGCATTTTCATCATAGATTATAAAATGTAGTTTCAAATCTCATTCAGCAACATGAGGTACATTGCACATATCTACAGCTATCCAACCGGGGTAACTTTCTAAGCTTTTTGGTCACTGGAATTCATTTGTATTCATCTCAATATTCTGTAGTATAATAAATGCATGGTATTCATGTTAATGACATATACTCCATAAAAGTTTTAATTGTCATTCTGCATTAATTAAGCCTGAATTAATGAATGCTTTCAAAGTTTTGCAACAGTTGAATCACCAGTTCCCATCAAGCGTGACTGAAGCAGAATTAGCTCATTCTGAATGCTGAAGCCATCTACACACACACACACACACACACACACACACACACAATCAAGAAGAGAGATACACAGAATTTCAGTCAATTATAATATTGAATAAGCAGAGTTTATTGGCAGAAATGCCAAATTCCAGGTGAAATTTAAATCTAAGATCAATTTCTGGATTAATTTTGCTCCAAAATTTGTTTCAAGTAGACTGAATTTTTTTCTTTCATAATTTTTGTCATTCTTTTAAAAGTTTTGAACATTGTAATGTGAAACTTACCTATGTTACACCATGTTGGAAGTGGTGTCTGCATTCAGAGCTAAATTTCTGAGTGGTTTAGAGGTGGTGGGTGGATGGGATCTAGGGTGAACCTACAATGTAATGCTAATTCTCTTCCCCCTTGTAATTCCAGAGCTAATCCTTAAAGGGGAAACATAATCCATCCCCCACCCTCGTTAGGAAAGTATCAAAATAGAAATTTAAGGAGGTTCAGTGAATCATCCAAGTTGCCAAAGGTAGAAGGAGGAAGCAGATGTAAAATTTCTGATTCTAAGTTTAATCTCTTTCTCCTCACTGGATAACTAATGAGGTCTTTGAATAACATAGAAGAAACAATAGAATTGAAAGCATCTACACATCCTACTATCTATACTGACATGACTTTGGTATTCCACTGTCCTCACCAACAAAACCTTAATATTTCAGGAAGCCCTTTCCAGGAAAATAAATGTTATAAATTACTTTATTGCTTTTTGCAGGAACTTAAAATCTTCAATCAAAAGTATCAAACAACAGTTTACACTCTGAGATTCTGTGAATCCTTATATCAAAATCTTCCTCTTTCTGTGTTTACCAGTTCTACACTACTAATCATGATCTTTATGCAATCATGCCTTCCCCATACCCCAATTCCACATTGAAAGACCAGTCTTGCAGGAAACTTCAAAATCTCAATAAATATCCCAAAGTCATTCTTCCACTCTCTAAGATGTCACTAAGATTGTTGGAGTAATGCTCTCTCTTACCACAGCAAGCAGTTAACAGCTTTGTCTTATTAGAATGGTTACTTTATTGATACTTTGGGGAGACAGCTTTTGAGAGATAGGAGAAGTTTGATTGGATTGAAGTAGAATGAAATATGAGTTTGAGTTCCAGGTGGATAGAATTGGCTTTTGCCTTTTACTAGTATCTCAGAAATCATCCTCTCTTGGAGCTTCCTCTAATTCTCTGTTAAAAATCTGAATTTAATATCGGTGGGATCAGAGAACCCTGTGAAAACCTCAACATATCACTTTGCAAAGAATCTATATACTACATATAGCATTTATGAAGCATACAAATAAAACGTTATTACTCCTACCCAAGTACTGAACTGGAAGATCACCATTAGCATTGAAGTTAACCTGCAGCCTCCAGCCCCAATTCGTCCTACTACCTCTCCCCACCCCTAGAGAGGACACTGTCCTGTTTTGCAACTCAAAGGTATTTTTTTCAAAATAAACGTTAAAATAATTTGAGCACATCTGTATGTCTGACTATAAAATATGCTTTTAAATTAATTTTTAGTTTTCAGAAAAAGAAATCATCTTTTTCTCT
Source organism: Homo sapiens (assembly GCF_000001405.40). Lineage (NCBI taxonomy): Eukaryota > Metazoa > Chordata > Mammalia > Primates > Hominidae > Homo > Homo sapiens. Next base: position 178,285,978 of record NC_000003.12, read on the forward strand.
AACTTTCCTTTAATACTGAATATAATGTTTCTGAGATTTACTTCCGCCATGGGTAGCTATTGAACTTTCATTTTTACTGTTGTTTTCAAAATGTTTTTCACACATTTTGTGGGGTTGGAAAAAAATTATATTAAGTTTGAGGTGATTGCCTTAAAAAGAAATTCTTATTAGGGAAAAATGTCCTCTCTTTTTTTTTTTAATGCAGACACCTTGATAGAACTTTATTGATTGTGAAAGAGATGCCCCTGTGATATTATAATGTAAATATTGGTTTTTGTCCACAATTCCTGGCTCATAACTCCCATGGCCCTTGTCACACTCTTCTGTTATAATATTGGGTCCCTTTAGCCTCAGACGTAGGCCTCAGAAAAGACAATCTCTCTCTCTGACCTTCTTATGCCTTCCTTTCACCTGCTACTTTTCTCCCAAAGGCAGAACATTAATCTTCTCTGCCTTTCCATCTTGGAGCTGGCTGTGACCTACCTTGTCTGACTGTGGCATCGTAAGAGCCTCATTTCAGGAGGCGTCCCATTCCGTACCCTGAAGGAAGGAATGCTGCACGGAAAGGCCAAGAAGAACCTGAATAGACAGGCCTTGCTTGGTTTCCCCACTCAGACTGTTACGTTAGATCATATGCCCTTTGTCCAATCACAATTCTCAATCATGCCTGTCCAGAGAAATCCCCATAAAAGGCCCAAGAGGACAGAGTTTAGAGAGGTTCCATACAGCTGAACATGTGGAGGTTCCTGGAGGGTGGTGCACCCCTGGAGGGCATTGAACCTCCACGTCCCTTCCCATACCTCACCATATGCATCTCTTTAACTGTATTCTTTGTGACATCTTTTACAACGAACTGGCAAATGTAAGTAAGTGTTTCTTTGAGTTTTGTGAGCTGCTCTGTCAAATTAATGAAACGTATGAAGAGGGTTGTGAGATCCCATATTTATGGCCCATTGGTAAGAAGCACAGGTAAAACAACCTGCAGCTTGTGATGGGCAGTCTGGTGGGACTGAGCCCTCAACCTGCGGGATCCAATGTTGTCTCAAAGTAGATAGTGTCAGAATTGAATTGGAGGACACCCAACTGGTATCTACTGCAGAATTAATTGCTTGCTTGTTAGCAGGGGAAAATCCTCATACATCCAGTCACAGAAGTCTTTTATGTTGATTGTTGATGTGTGATAGCAGAGAAAAAAGTTTGCAGTTTTAGTCATTCAGATCCCTGGTGCAAGGTCAGGAAAGGGAAAACAGGAAAAGGAGCTCCATTTCTCTTCTTGTACTATGATGAGAGAAGTGGTGGTTGTGGGCTGACTGCTAGAAAGGGAAAGAAAGTACCATGGGCCAGAGGAGGTCCCTGACCGTGGGCTAGCAGACTATGACCTATGGAGAAAGACATCAATGAGAAATGTCTGCAAAGCACCAGTGTCTCACTGTGTCCACTTCTGGCTCTCTAGTTACCCTCCATTATCCCTAACTCTTGTGTAAAAATGTCTATTACTAGCTAGATCTTGTGTTTGTAGGGCTTCAGGATATGAAATAAAAGGGGCAGTAACCATCCTTAGGACAAAGATGTGTGGAGACAACACAGCAGCTGCAGGAGGGAAGATGATGTTATAGGATAGAGAATTTAACACTAAGAAAGAATTTGGAGTAAGTGCTATTCAGGCGTAAGAAACAGCCATGGAATTGCTCAAAAATGGGAGGCAGGAACATCACTGAACATCCTACAGTGTGTGGAATAAGGGCCAAAGCCATTTTATCTAGAGATTGAAAGAAAGTGGGAGACTTCAAGAGGCTAGAAAACTAAGGACTGGCAATTATACACCGATTTATAATTACTGGGTTTTCCATTTCCCCAAAGAAACTCTAAGAATTGGTTTATATTTTCTCTCTCCTTAAGTCTATGTATTTATATTTCATGAATAAATAAGAGAAATAAATAAATAACTTTTGGAACAGAAACAAAGACTTCAGAAAGACCAAAGTGGAAGATACAGATATGGGAGTCATCTATTATATGTAGAATTTTAAATGGAGATGCAGATAAAAGAGAAAAGTTCATATAAAAAGAAGAGAAAGGATGTTTTCAAGTTGGAGAACAATCCTATTAGGATTAGGAAGTGAAAAAGCCCTTGTTCTGTGTATTAGTCCATTTTCACACTGCTAATAAAGACACACCCAAGACTGGGCAATTTACAAAAGAAAGTTTTCTTGGACTTACAGTTCCACGTGGCTGGGAGGCCTCACAATCACAGTAGAAGGCAAGGAGGAGCCAGTCACATCTTACATGGATGGCAGCAGCCAACGAGAGAGAGAATGACAGCCAAGTGAAATGGGTTTCCCCTTATCAAACCAACAGATCTCGTGAAACTTATTCACTACCACGAAAACAGGATGGCGGAAACCATCCCCATGATTTAATTATCTCCCACTTGGTCCTTCCTACAACACATGGGAATTATAGGAGTACAATTCAAGATGAGATTTGGGTAGGAACACAGAGCCAAACCATATCACTCTGTAACACATATACAAAATCTATCAGCTCTACTGATTTCACTACTCTGGTGACACTTGCCCTACCCCTGGCTTGTGGAGTCTACTTGCAAGAGTTGCTCTCTACTAAACAGATTTTCTTGGTTTCTATGGTAACACAGGGAAGAAATATCTGCAACTAGGTGGAGGCACTAACTGTCTATTCATGGTGCCTTGATGTGACTGAGACTGTAGGTGACCAGTTCCAAATACAGTTTGAGTTGTCTTGAAGAATTTTGATTTCATTTTTGTTCTTATGCCTGTCATCTCCAAGTCTACTAACTTTGATTCCTGAAAGAATATTTAAGATCCAATCTTCTTGATCATTCTACCTGGCCAATGTATAATTCCAAGTGGAATATTCAAAATTGAAAACACTGTAGAGGAATAAGTATGCATTACAAAGAATAAAACATCTTTCTTAATCTCTGAAGAAACAAATAATGATCTCCTAAAGGATGAAACAATTGCAATGTTCTCTAGAATGTAGTAAGTTTAAAACTTACCTTCAAACTTGGTAAAGAGAAAATCTGGGGCCTTGCTCTTTAGGTGTGGTCTGTGGGCCCACAGCACAGGCATCAGCTGGGAGCTTGCTAGAAGTACAGACTCCCAGACCTTGCCCCAGACTTACTGAATCAGAATCTTTATGCAATTCTTGGGTTATTAATATGCACACAAATTTTAAGGAGCATTGTGCCCGAGTGCTGAAGAAAACCCCCAGAGCCTATCTTGGCAACAGTGAAGATCTATGGAAAGTCAAAGGCAAACATGGATCCTCTCACCGTCTCCCACCCCTTCACCACCAGAGCAGTTTGGCTTTAGTCTGTATCTTTTTTATATTGAGGTCCCATATCAAACTTTAAAAATGTAACCTATTGCTTACAGAATGTTTAAAAATCATCCTTCAATGTAGTGAGCAGAATTATCTTTAGTCCAAAAGTAACCTAAAATATTTCCCAACCTGTAGGCTAGGGCTGCTGGTGGATAGACTCACCCCCACCACCCACACCTGCTTTGTCTGGAGCCTCAATTCTTAACATCTTACAGTATTTTAAAAATACTTGTAGATGCCATTAAAATAATGAAACATACTCACTTAAAAGTGGAAATTAAACAAAGAAGGACAGGGCTATCTAATAAAAGCTTGATAGTGCTCAGCAAATGGAGAAACAGAGAAGGAAGAATAGCAACTGAAATCTAAATCATAGAAACTGGAAGAAGAGTGGTTTTCAACCAGCAGATGGTCAGCAGTGGCAAATATTCGGAGAAGAGACACAGGAAAAAATGTGTTTAGGAGATACTAAAATGTAACTTCCATGCACAGTTTTCAGTTGTCGATTTATTTGTCTGTCACAGGAAGCAGAATACCGTGGGTTATGTCATTTTATAACCATAATAATGTTCTGAGCCAAACCAGCTGCCTCGGCCTGTTGCTGTGACCTCAAACGCAACAGATGAGGACTGAGAAAGGAACATTGGATTTGGCAATTAGGTGGTTATTAGAAACCACGGAGAGAGCAGCTTAAATGAATAATAAAAATGAACTCCAAACTGCCTGGGGGTGAGAAAGGGAAGCTAGCACAAGGGCAAATTTAGATACTTTTTCACTCCAACAAAAATTTTGCTAAGAAGAAACAAAAAGTAGTTTGAATAGATACCAGATTTAGGGATAATTTTTTTAGATGCTGGAAAGATAAACAAGTTTGTATATTGAGGGAAACAAAAACAATAGAGAAAAGGATTGAAGAGGGAAAAAATAAAAAGGATGGAACTAGTTCTTATGAGAGACTCACTGGCATAGGTGGAAAATGGAATTATTTCTGCTCTACTCTTTTTATGACAACTATTTTATTATGAAAATGCTTAAACATATAGTGAAGTTGAAAAAATGTTTCAGTGAACACCTATATATGCACCACTATATTCTACCATGAAGATTTAACTCTATTTGATCTATCATATGTCTATTTACTACTCAACCCTTCCATTAATCCACTTATTTTTGATGCATTCTGATGTAAATTGCTTTCCACTAAAAACTTTGTTATGAATTTCATTAATAGAAGTTTAATATTTATTTGGCTGTGTAGCAATATCTGTGGGGTGTGTAGTAATATCTCATTGTGCTAATAGTGTTGGGTTTTGTTTTACATTTTAGTATTAGAAGGTGATTTTCCATGTCACCGTATTACAGCCCTTTTGACAGATTACAATTATTAGTTTACGTTTGTCACCTCACCTAGAATGAACTCCTTACAGACAAGGCTGTGTTGTATCATTCAAAAGAATTTTTTAGGTCAAATTTATATACAATGAAATGCAAATTTCACATGTACATTAACTGAGTTTCAACAAATGTGCATGTTTACATAACCCAAATTCCTATCAAGATTAGAACCTTCCCACCACTCCAGGTAATTTCTTCATATCTATTCCCAGCCAATCCCACCTCCACACACCCAGAGTCACCCAGCATTCTGATGTTTTTCCATGTAGATCATATTTGCCTGTTCTAGAAGTTTATATAAATGGATTAGTGCAGTATGGATTCATTTGTACAAGGCTTTCTTCACTCGTCAAAATGTTTTCAGGGGACATTCATATTGCTGGGTGTAGCAATAGCACATTGCTCTTTATTGCTGAGTAGTAATTCATTGTTTAGCCATTCTCGAATGAGAGACTTCTAGTGTACCCAAAGCGGCTTTGAACACTCTTGTACAAGTCTTTTTAGGAATATGTTTTTTCACGTATCTTGAGTAAATACTTTGAAGCAGAATTACCGGGAGTGATAGTAGTTGTATATGAAAAGAAACAGACATACCTTTTTCCAAAATACATGTACCATTTTACCTTTCCATCAAAAATGTATGAGAGGTCTTCTTCCTCCAAATCCTTCTGACATGTATTACTTTTGGCCTTGCCATGCTGCTGGGGGTGTAGTAATATTCTCACTGTGCCAATAATGTTGGGGTTTTATTTCACATTTTTGTATTAGATGGTAATCTTCCATAGCACTCATATTATAGCTCTTCTAACAGAAGATTGTAATTGTTCTTGTTTGTCACCTCACCTAGAATGAACTCCTTACAGACAAGGCCGTGTTGTATTATTCTTTATTTTTTTGCTAGTATTTAGCCCGGTGACTGTGTTCAATAAATGCTTGTTTAATTTAATTGAATCAAACATGTTCCTGCTGGCAGTTCTAGCAGTGGAGAAGTCAGCATGGAAGCATCTCCCTCCCCCTTCTCGTCTGTTTTTAGAGGATCAGTTTGCCAGTGGCAGTATGAATACAGAAAAGAATGACAGTCCCACAGTAGGAAAAACAGCATGGTATGTTCCAACTGAAAGCAGATATAAGCTGGGAGTTGACTCTTCCTAATATTTAGATACATATTTCAGAGTAAAACGACTCGGAGGTAAAAATTTCAGGTGGGTTTTTATCAATTATATTTCAGCCATCTGGATTTTTGCTAATAGATACCACAGACAACTACAATGTGGATAATAATCAGAAAGTAAAGCACAACTTCCAGGGAATAACAAAGCGTATTTTATTTCCTTGAAAACAGCACAAAGCTGAAGGCTAAAGGCTGTTTTATTTGTATGCAGTAATCCACAAGAAATGTGATAAAATCTTTGAAGCGTATTATGTTCTTGTGACATACCAAAAGAAAAAAAAAAAGAAAATCAAAGCAGCAACACAGCTTTGGCTTAGAAACATCTGAAAATAGTCATATACAATGCCTCTGAGTTTATTCATACAAGATTGAAACATTATTTGTCAATTTACTTCCAAGAGCACATGGATGAGAAGCAAACTTTACAAAAAAGTATAAGGATGAGAAATGTGGAATGATTTGTGAAATTATGACAAATCAAGAAATTCTTTTGTTGTAACAAGGAAATAGATGATATGTTAGAAACATTTTCAAAGAGAAAGGTTATGATTTGCATTATCCCTAAGTACTTCTGGTCCACAGTATTTTTCAAACATTTATGAAATATTAATATATAACCAGGTACCAGGTACCAAGATCTGATATATGCCATTCAGAATATGATATCTGAGAATGAAGCGATTCTACCTGTTAGAGTTCTTTTCACGTTTCTTCTCATTCCTCTGCTAAGATTTGAAAGAGAGTACTCTAATCAGGAGAAGGGAAAAGTGGATTATGAAAATACATTGAATGCCTTCTATGGCAGGCTCTACTAGTTGTCCACAAAATGTTTTTCTTTCTGGAATGGCTCTAGGCCATTGGTGAGACACGGGCTATATTTTGTAACCCTCCTTGCATTGAAGAATAACCATATATTGATTCTCGGGAGAAAAATGTGAACAAAAGTGATGCAGACTACCTTCAGGGCAAAATTTTAATGACGAAAACAAGGCTTCTCTGCTGTATGTCTTTCCCTAGGTTTGAAGGAAGAGGATTCCACGGTGCTTGGACGGTAAATCTACAAGGTAAAAGAAGTAAAGTCCTCTACTCATACACAGACAATATGCAGCCTTCTTACCAGGAATACCTGCACTCGACTGTTGAGTGATGACTTTTATTTTGTTAAACTACTGATGCTTTACTAACTATAAAACAAAGGGCCAATGGTGACCTTTGTTACTTCAATATTCTAACCAAGTTTGCACAGCTTAGAACAACAACAAAACAACAAAACTAGGATTTTAACCCAGGTCTGCCCGGCTTCAAAATCCAGACTACAAATTTACTCCATTCATCATCGTAAGTCATAATATAAACTTTCCAGAAGTATAGGAAACCTTAGAGATAATTAAGTGCAAAGTTGCTGATTTTATAAAAGAAAACTGTGTTTACGTGATTTAGTGGAGTTCACACAGGTCTCCAAGTGAAAAAAGAAAAGTTCCCTTGTCCACCTCGCAGGGCGTGCAATGGGGGTGTGACTCACTTCTTCAGTGCCCTGCTACTCAAACGTCTAGGGGGGCATACAGACCGGCAGGCTGTAGGGCTCCGACTCCACAGCAGTGTCTAGGGGTGAATGTTTACAGCTCCTGAAGCCCCAGTGGACATGTGTTACAGGGTGCTCTGTAGTTTTGCTCTTTTAGTTTGCCGTCTATAGGCGGCTTGTATTAACCGGCTCAATTAGACCCTCTACCTTGTTGCAAGGACAGAGGGCTTTCTGTATCCCGGGTTCTTGCCTTGGTGTACTGGAAGAGCCGGATCACATCTGGGCTTGAAGAAGGAGTGCAAGGTCTTATTGAGTAGAAGTAGCTCTCAGCAGATGGGGGAGCCAGAAGGGAAGTGGTTTACCCCTGGAGTTGGGTCGATAGGTGGCCCAGGCTGTCCTCCCACTGTCCCAGCCACACTCCACGTCCTTCTGCTAGTCAATGGCCTGCCGGCGTTCCGGTGCCTGTCAGTGTGCTCTTCTGCCGGTGTGAACCCCTCAACGTCCTCCTGATGTCCAGCCACTTGGTCTTCTTCCGTTGATGTGTTCCTCTGCCATCCAACAGTTTCTGCCTGCCTGCTAGGGTCTCGGGGGTTCTTATAGGCCCAGCACTGGGGCATGGCAGGCCAGGGTGGTCTTGGAAAATGCCTACATTTGGGCGCCATGGCAGAAGTGCTTGTCCTAACCTAGGTCCCTAGGAGTAGAGTCCTAGCCAGGGACCACACCCTCCTCTACCTAGCACTTCCCTTCCCCACTTCCATATCATTTAAAGGGACCACGCTCTTCCCTTCCCAGCACTCCCTATCACAGGCAACAAATTTGGGAAAAGCAGATCCAATATGCTTTTACTACATCATAATATTGAAATGAGAAATATTTGTTTAAAAATTAATAAATATAATTTTTTAATATTTTTTATAATTTATATAATTATAATAATTTTTATATTTACATTTAAAATATATAAATTTTTATAATTTATATAATTATAATACTTTTTATATAATTGTAAAAATTATAATAATTTTTATAATTATAAAAAGGCTCCATTTATAATATATATGAATTAATGCAAGGAAGTAATTTTCATTATATTTAGAATTTATCCCTGACTTTATTACAAAAATATGTTTACTCAGAAAGGACAGAAATAGCTTTGCATGTCACTTTCTCTTCTTGTTTATCATGTGTCTTCTGTTTTATGTATTTGTAAGCGTTTTACCCACTGGAAGAAGGCTTATAATTACTTTAAAGCTACTGAGTTTTCATCATGTCATGCATAAAATACCGTAGAGTGAAACAACTATCCTTCAACATAGAATCATGAATTGTAGCCATTCAGAAAACTTTTAGAGCTCTTATGTTATAAACTTCTTATTTTACAGCTAAGGAAACTGAGGCTCAGAGAGTTGAAATAATTTTCCTAAATATACAAAACGAATTATTCATAAAGCTGAAATGGACTGCAGATATCAGCCTTTTTTCCTACCTTACACCCTCAAATATGAAATAAAATACTAATTTTAGAATTTTTTGGTAACAAATATACCCAAATCAAAATCAAAAAATCATAGAAATTAAGAAAAATAATAGGGTAATACATCTCAATTTGGATATTCATCATAGTAAGAAAAAGTCATGGTAATCAAAGAGATTATGAGACAATACTTGTAAAATTGACATTAATATCTACTAATAAATGTGTAGTGTAACACTGGTTCCATTACTAAGATTCCACATAACAACTATCTTTATTATGTCCATGATTCTAGTGTAGTTATAGTCTTTTCAGGTCTACTAAAAGAAGGCTTTGTTCTAGTTATAAGAAAGTATATATAAACCTTGTTATCTGGTTTTTTTCTAACACAATTCCCATGAAGTATCATCAAAAAACACTATGTCAGAGAGAACAAAACCTCCCACAAGTCTCTTGCTCATTGTGCAATTATCAAAAACAGTGGTAAAATCTATGCACATTTGTTTCCAATTTCAGTTTAAGGGACCAGGCTATGAAATCATAAATCATGAGTCTCTGTAACCATCTTGCTGGATGAACACCAGCATGACAAACCCTGGAGTGCTCATTAGCCCAAAGTTTTGGCTGCTCAGGACTCACATCAGTTACCCAACAGTGGGTGTTTGATGGGAAAAGTCTTTGCAGGGGTTTCTGAAAACTCCACTACTGAACATTTGCCAACTATAGAATAAAAGCATGTGTTAGTCTTCCAGAAAGAAAATGAGCATTTATTTTCATACTATTATTGAACGCCTGACAGATGCAATTATGAAAGTTCTCTGAATAGGGATAGGAGACTGCTATAGGACAGAGACTTAAAGGAGAGTGAACTATAAATTATCACAATTTGGCTTATTTTTCCTTTTTTTTTTTTTTTTTCTTTTTTGAGGAGTCTCTCACTGTCTCCCAGACTGGAGTGCAATGGCACCATCTCAGCTCACTGCAACCTCCGCTTCCCAGGTTCAAGTGATTCTCCTGCCTCAGCCTCCGAGTAGCTGGCATTACAGGTCCCTGCCATCACATCCAGCTAATTTTTTGTATTTTTAGTAGAGATGGTATTTCACTATGTTGGCCAGGCTGGTCTCAAACTCCTGACCTCATGATCCACCTGCCTCGGCCTCCCAAAATGCTGGGATTATAAGCGTGACCCACTGCACCCGGCCTGGCTTATCTTTCTTATTAGATCATTGCATTCGGTGGACTTAAGTGCAAATGTTGAAAGGCACTGAAGTTTGGTGTGTTTTGCCTAAGAACACAGAGAAAGTAAATACAAAAATAAATAATAATGAATATAATTAAGACTATGGAGAATCCAGCTGAACTGGAATAAAAAGAACCCTTAATTAAACTAAGCTCTAATTTTCCAAGGCCAAAATTTAATAATTTGATGGGGGTCATTTCCAAACTACCAGGATCAAATGGTTACTGGCGATCTAAGCTGCAAGAGGTAAAGGACCATTATCTAACCTTACTTTTCTTTACACTGTATTTATGGAAGCCAGCATTATTTTTTAGTCACAACTGAAACTAGAAACTTTTACCTTGGGCCTCAGAGAGCATCTAACTCCACCACCTTCCCAAAGGAACAAAGATTTTGGATAGAAGTGTTGCACCTGCAAGGCCGGGCACTGTGGCTCATGCCTGTAATCCCTCCCACTTTGGGAGGCCGAGGCGGGCAGATGACCTGAGGTCAGGAGTTCGAGACCAGCCTGGCCAACCTGGTGAAACCCTGTCTCTACTAAAACTACAAAAAAATTAGCCAGGCGTGGTGGCATGTGCCAGTAATCCCAGCTATTTGGGAGGCTGAGGCAGGAGAATCGCGTGAATCTGGGAGGTGGAGGTTTCAGTGAGTCGAGATCATGCCACTTTTGCACTCCAGCTTGGGTGACAAGAGTGAGACTCCAACTAAAAAAAAAAAAAAAAAAAAAAAAGGAAAGTGTTGCACCTGCTAAATGTTCAACAGTTACTGGTTTTGAGAGACAATTGGGAAAATTTGCCTCATCCTATACTCTCATTTTTCATTGCCCAAATTTAGTTCCTTTCCTAAGTGGGTCCTTCTGCTACACTACTACTAAATTCCTCTGCTATGGAAGGAACACTGAATATCTCACTGATACAGCTCTTTATCCTACATAGCTGTAGAGTCTGATGGCCCCAATTTCTCTACATTCAGAGACATCTTTCTAATATTCAGATTACAGTTGCTTTGCTTTGCCTTACATATGGGAGCTGGTTGTTTGAGACAGAGGTATGTTATATGGAGGCTGTATCTGAAGCTTCAAGATCATTTTAGTATTTAGAAACTCGAATGTACTGCCAGTTACTGTAAAAGGAGCAGATTTGAGAGTTTCCAAAACTTTAGAAACAATGTCTTCTCTATAAAATTAGTGATGAAAAGTAGTCTACCCAGATGTTTGGCTTCCAATGGCCATTTCAACACTTTGGATTAAGTCATTGTTGGCTGCCTACAATAGCCACAGAACAGGCCTGACTAGCAACCTGGATTCTGAAGCTGAGTAGGACTGGCAAAGGGGTAGATCCTGCAAGTTCTCAGTAAGCTTGTTGCCTCTGTTAATTAGACATCTAGTCTCTATAAATCAAGACTTTAAGAATAATCTCTGGTATCCTCAGTTGTGCTACACATAACACCCACTGGAGGAAAAAAATGAGCAAAATGATAGAAAATATATTCACTATATCAATGTGATCATGAAATAATGTAATGTGAATTGGGCACTTTACAAGTATGATCGTCCTTATGGGATGTGATTCTATGGATGAGAGAATAGAAAGTGACTGACATTCGCTTGTTAAATGCTTTAGTGAATAGACAGGATGCTTACTTTCACTTGAGCATCACGAATTGTTTTGATGCAACATGATTCTGGAACACAGATGTCAGGCAAATTATGCCTTTTAGGTCTGGCCCCTGGCCTTTCTAAGTTCCACGGAAATGTGGGATGATTTTCTATTCCAAATTAGCTAGGGCAAAGCGGAGAGGATTCTGAAGGAGGCATCTTTGCAAGAAGAGTGTCTTTCACGATTTAATTTCCATAGCAATTTAAGGAAATGGTGTGGGGGCGGGGACAGGCAGCGAGATGGTAGAATAATTGCTCGGATCTGACAGGGTGTGAGAAAGCTGAGCAGTTTCATGTGCATAATATTAACCTCCACACATTTCCAAAATGGCCTCTTTATTCAGCAAGAATATTCTCAACATCTATGAATAGCGATTTTGAAACTGAGTGGCATTATGACAGGTCAGAAAATGCCACAGGGCATAACAATATATATATTTTCAAACTCAATCTGAAGTTTCTTGTAACATCAAGTTAAGTGGTTTTAAAATATATACTGACATCTCTCAAAGATTATAAACTTGTAGTTACTTCTGCCTTCTGTTTTATTAGAAATTCACAGTGACAACAGTCAAAATAAAATCTGACTATGGCTATACACTAAGATGATTCTTTTACATGGAATTTAAACATGTAAAAAGTGGTAAAAATTTGGTTGTTAGACAGAATTCAGTCTTTTATAAAATAGCCTGTGTTTATGAAGATGGCTTTATGTATTACACGGAAGATACAAGGTGATAGTACTTCAAATAATAACTATGAGGTCAGGTGAAGAAGTGACTAGAGCATTACCTTTGAAACCAGATTCATGGGGATGTTAGTCCCAGTTCTGCCACTCACTGACAATGAGAATTGGGTGAATCAGTTAACCTCCTGGATCTCCATTTCCTTGTTTGCAACAACAACAATAATACCACTTTATAGGATTATCAAGAACACCAGTTTCAGCATAGGTGAGGTTTATCTCACAAGACCATATTATAGAAGGCACTCAATAAATGCTTCTTCTTATTTATTTTCATCCACAAAGAACCACATACTTTTTTTCATTCTGCCTGCCTCATAAAATTAGATAATAAGATTACAATTTATTAAATGAATAACGTGATTCTTATTTTCTTGATCATTAAAAAAATAAGTTAACTTCAGGTGAAATAATGTTGACCAAATTACAATTCTTAGTTCACTTGGTAACATAGTTGCTGACTCACTGACTCCTTCTGTGCTATAAACACAACCTGAGTCCTTCTGAGAATAATAGCTTGAAACTTAAATTTAAAATTAGACAGGGCAGCCTGGGCAACATAGCAAGATTTCATCTTTACACAAAAATGAAATATTAGCTGGGTGTGGTGACACACATTTGTGGCCACATTTACTCAGGAGGCTAAGCTGTGAGGATCACTTGAGCCAGGGAGGTCGAGGCCGCAGTTGGTTGTGATTGGGCCACTGCACTCCAGCCTGGGTGACAGAGTGAGACCCTGTCTCAAAAGAAAAGTAAAATTAAACAGGAAAAATGTTTTAAAATGCATATTGATTGGATGAATCAAAATATTAAAAAAGTAGATCCTAGAAAATAGTTTTTGGCATTTCTATCTTTAAAAAAGGGGATTTTAGGTAAAATGACTACTTTTATTTCAGAGACAAAAAAAAAATCAAGCTCAATTTGGATCACTCCACTCCTTAGGCTAAATAGCTATCGGCCTCTCCACAGCATGTGACAAAATGCCCAAATTCTTACCTGCACATTCAATAAATTGTCCCATTGTTTCTACTGTCCATAACTTTGTTCCATTGTTTCTTCTACTACATTTTCCACACATCATTTATATATACCAATGTGTCATTCAAAATGAGCTTCTCATTTCACACATGTCATAATCGAAGACCTCTGTGGATGCAATCACTGTGTTTAGAGTATTTTAGAATCTCCTTTACCATTCTCATGCCATCTACACATATTAATCACATAAATTCCTAAAATGTCAGTGCAAATAACATGTTCTCCTCAAATCCATTCCAAATTTACATTCCTTCTCTGAAATCTTAGAGAAATTCTTCCTCTCTCTCTCTCAATGGATTATGATGGGAGATTTTATCTCTTTTTGTTGTATTACATTTGCTTATTTGTGTCTTTCTACTACATTATAAAATCTTAATAGCAGAAACCATGTAATTCATCTCTATCTGAATAGGCAGGAGTGTAAAGTTGAAAGGTGCAGATCTTAGAGAAAGACCTTCCCAGCTTGGACACACATTTCATTGACTACTGTGTGGCATTGAACAAATTACATCTGCTCTCTTAGCCTTACCTTCTTTGCATAAAAATTCATACAGTTAAAAAAAAACGAGTGAATGTACACTTTCCTAATTTAGAAGCAGTGAAGGTAAGGGAAAAAAACCCAATTGTTCTGCAAGATTTGAAATTGTTCAATGGTTAAAAACAAACAAACAACAAACAAAAAACTATCAAAGAGCTATTTCTTATTTCCAGATTGTTTACCAAAGCTGCTTTTCAGAAAACCGAAGGGAAAAGTTGAAAATGGCATGGAAAAGGGCAAAGAGCTTTGGAGTGACAGACAAGAAATCTTAGCAAATGTGGCCCTGATTCTACTACTTGACGGCTGTGTAATCTCAGGCAAAACCTTCACCAATCGAAACTTCACCTTCCACCTCCCCAATATGAAGTGAGGGTATGAGAGGTATTAAGTTCTTACAGATTTTTCCCCCTGTGGTAGTAACAGTTGTCCAGTTCAAACTAGAGGCAAATAATAAGAACCAAGGAGCAAGTAGAAATGCCCAACTCCCACTTCGAGGTCAGAAGACCGCAGTGTAAGCCATTCCAGAAGCTCAGATGTCATTTCCACAACAAAGCCTTCCTTAAAGCTACTATCTAGCCCAAGGCAGAGTACTCCTTCTGCTATGAACCAATTTTTGTTTGTACTTTTTCGCTATCACTAATCACCTTGTATTTTCTTATCTACCTAGTATGTCTGTTTCCTCTCACAATCTATGGATTTCTTGAGGATATGGATCATATGTTTTATTATGTTCATTACCCCATGCAGCTTGTAGCTCAATGAATGTTTCATTATGAATGGGTGAATCAATGAATGAATGAATAAGTGAATAAATAAAAACTTAGAAGAAACAAAAGTTATTAAAGACCCCCAAAATGGAATTTTATATATATGTCAACTAAGGTATATTAAAAGTAGTTGCAATATGTATATATAATTTTGGCAATTTTTACCTGGTTGCTTCACGCCTCAATATGTATCTTTCTATTCTATTTGAATGGTATAATTTGCTAAGTTTGAACTACTTTAGTTGTGCGTTTTCTTGTTTTGTTAGGCAGCTGTAAGATAAAGGAAGAAATCGGCACCAGCTTCTGCTGTATCATTGACTTGCTCTTTCCAAGTCATGAATATCAACCATAGGCTAATTTTGCTATCTTGCTTTCTGACAATTTTATTTTTAGGCTTTTATAACAATGAACACTGATCTTTCCGTTTAAGAAAATGTTTCGTACATCACACCATTTAAAAAACCTAGTTAATGACTTCTCATCAGTATAAATTACAAACTATTTTCCAACAACAACGGGAAGGAACTGTCTCAGTATATTTACATAGGAAGGTGACAGCTGCTTAAGTGTAAGTGACTTACTATCAAATACCAAAATAAATTCACTTAAAAAAAATGTGGGCCATGCGCAGTAGCTCATGCCTGTAATCCCAGCATTTTGGGAGGCCAAGGCAGGCAGATCACCTGAGGTCAGGAGTTCAAGACCAGCCTTGTCAACAAGGTGAAACCGCATCTCTACTAAAAATATAAAAATTAGCTGGGCGTGGTGGCACATGCCTGTAGTTCCAGCTACTCAGGAGGCAGAGGCAGGAGAATCACTTGAAGCTGGGAGGTGGAGGTTGCAGTGAGCCAAGATCACACCACTGCACTCCAGCCTGGGCGACAGAGCGATACTCCATCTCAACAACAACAAAAAGTATGTATGGCTCGCTAAATTCTGGTAACAAGATAATGCCTGACAAAAATCAATACATTAGTAGATGATGTTCATTAAAAGTTTTCTCTCCATGACATCACTCACTTTAATGAACTGATGTCTACTATTATCAGCTAACATTTCTTCAAAGTAGTTACAAAAGAAATTACCCTTGGAAACCAAAGATTAAAGATAAACAGAACTTTATTTACCTAGTAATTTTGACGTGAAAACAGTTCTTACAGAGGGCTTAACAGCTGCTGTCAAAAATAAACTTTCCAAAAGAATTCTAATCTTCTTTTTTTTTTTTGAAATGGAGTCTCGCTCTGTCACCCAGGCTGGAGTGCGGTGGCGCAGTTTTGGCTCAGTGTAACCTCCACCTCCTGGGTTCAAGCAATTCTCCTCCCTCAGCCTCCTGAGTAGCTGGGATTACAGGTGCGTGCCACCACGCCCGGCTAATTGTTTATTCATGCACTACCATATGGCCATATACCTACAGCACACAGCCCTTCTTCTCACATTCCTATCAAATCCTGCTATAAGGTTTTATTTTATTTTATTTTATTTTATTTTTTTGAAATGAGGTTTCCCTCTATCGGCTAGAGTGCAGTGATGTGAGTAGCTGGGGCTATAGGTATGTGCCATAACACCAGGCTAATTAAAAAAAAATATGTATATACACACATACATACACACACACACACACACACACACATTCACACACACACACACACACACACACACAGTGTAGACATGAGACCCAGGCTGGTCTTAAACTCCTGTACTCAAGCGATCCTCCCACCTTGGTCTCCAAAAGTGTTGGGAGTACAGGTGTAAGCCACCGTGCCCAGCTCTAAGATTCTTGATTTGTACTGAAACCATTCTGTAGGGGGCATCCTCCCAGGGTATTTGCATTCTCAAGAGGAAGAAAAGATACTTGGATATATCAGTTTAGTTTTAAATGCTAACAAAAATGATAAGCAAAAGCATCCAGGATTGTCCATGGATGAGGAACATTTCCAGGGTTCCTGAAGTCATATGCACTACCTGGCCTCTTGTGCCTTGGCATTCAGTTGAATTAGCACCTCAGCCATCACTGTGTCATACTCCATAGGAACAATATTATAATTAAAGACATAATCTTTTAGTGATAGATTATTATGATAATAATAAGCTACATTGCTCATGTGTTTGGTTTATTGGTAGATGCCTTTGTCTAACCAGCAAGTGGATACATGAGAACAGGACATGTGGTATATGTAAAGATGATTCCTGACCCAGAGGACACACAAATAACAAGAGCTTCTGCTGTGGGATGAACACAGTGCAGACTCCATACCTGGCATTTTTTTCTCAAAACAACACAAAACCCCAAGGGTTTAATTAGTTTACCTAAGAAACCACAGCTAGTTTTTAAAGGCATTTAAAGAGACCTCTACCTCTAATACCTATGGGAACCAACGCTCCTTGATGTCTTTCTCAAACTAAATCTCCTATGCTTGATACATACTAAGCTATAGTCATCCTGGTGACTTAAAAAGCATGATTAGTATAACCTGGATATATTTAGTAAGTTACATAATATTATGCAACTCTATTTGTGCCTGAAAAAACAATGAAAATGTTTCCTCTGCTGACATCAAATACTTCACTTGTTCCATTTCACTTTGGTAGTGCTTTCAAAGCCTCTTGAAATTTGGGTCACTCGCTTGAAAAATTATTTGATTATGGGATATACAGTTAATTGGTTTTTGCATTTGAATTTATTGCATAAACGTTCAAATATTTTTTAAAAAGGATTGTATGTAGTAAAAAACTGTTGCCATGGGAGCTATCTCAATCTTTAATATGAACAATAGTATTGTATTTCTAAGGAGGTTTTCCTTCCTTCAAAACCTTTGGATCTGCAAGCCTGTGACGAATTCTGCTTCTTAGAATGGCTCTCAGCCAGGTAAACCTGTATCACGTGTTCTGTGGCACAAGCCTCTTTATAGATTCATTGATTGCAATCATTAGTAGTCTGCTGAAAACTGGAATGAAATAGCTATGAAATAACAGATGCTTGTTTATCTTTCCTCAAGCAGACAACATCGCAGCTACAACTCTCTTTGAAATAACTATGGCATCATGCTCTAATCACAGTTTATGCAAACACCATACAGTTGTAGAGTGCTCCTCAAGACATTTTTATACAAATTAATTTATTCAATTTTTGAGAATAACACATGGGTTTTTAAACATAGAAAGAATTATAATATTCATTTTGCAGATGAAGAAACTGTGGTCTCTGGATGCAGAACAACTTGCTTATGACCACAAAACTAGTAAATGGCAAAATTTTGCTTTCGTATAATAGGCTGTGGACATAGGCATAGGACGGTCACAGTTTTAAGTATTCACAGGCCCTCAACAAGGAACATGATTTGTACAAATTTATACAATTTTTGGTCACAACTATGAAAAATACTGTGTCTACTAAGACTGATGCTCAGATGTAAGTTGGTTACTAGTGAGTGGACCTAGCTACTGCCCAGAAGCTGCATATCAACTTAATTTTATTTTTATTACTTACCACTATTTTCATAAATCACATGCATATTGTGAGTTATTCATTTGTTCATCCAAAAGAAATACCTAATAATCAATTCTGTGAGGAGTGCTAAAATGGTGCTGACTTGATCCATGAATTCAAGAAGCCTGCAGCTATGGAACAGCTATTAAGCAAGAAATTAGTAACAAGCTATGACGATAATTCTAAGATTAGATGATTTTTATAAAACTTTGATATCTAAACTAAGCATTGGCCAGAAATTTCTCCATGGAAAAGGTGAGATATGAAGAATAAATAGGAATTCCACAGTTTAAAGAGAGGACAAAATAAAGAATATTTATTTTATTTTTTGTTTTACTTTACTGCCTTTTGTGCAAGAAAATATATTTAATAATAATAATGTTTACAAATTTAGGGATTTGCCACAGTCTCAGGGTGTACCATGGTGACTGTCAAGGGTGTATTCTATCCTGAGTTTTCCTTTACCTACTTAACTGTGTTGGTTAGAACATGATGCACTTAGAAAGTCATGAATTTGATTGCATTCCTAAATGATGATGTTTTTCCTTGTCCCAAGCATGCAATCTGTGGTCATAACTCTGTCATAAGAAAGAGTGCCTAAGAGAATGTGGATGGAGTAGTGAAATTTAATTACTAGTGTTCGAAAAAAAAATTGAAGTACAGATGCTACTGACATCATACACTTTTCTGTTTACCTTAAAGACATCAGCTTATTATACAGTTTATACACATACTATAAAAACAGTCAGAGTCTTATATTTCTTTCTGTAGTGGTTGGAACAAAGAATTCATGTTAATTTGTATTGCTTCTTATAAACATTCTAATTTTTTTCAAAGTGTCACTAAGAATTTTGCAAGATTTGCACTATATGTGCTTGAATATTCAGTAGTTATAGTACTATATTTTACATAACATCTGTTGGAAATATCATTATGTAGCATTGTGTGGTTCTAATTGATAGCATATTTTAAAAAGTCAAATCTAAATTTAAAATTTCTTTTTTGCATAATGGACAACCCCAGCTCCACACCAAGATTATGTTCAGGGAAAGTAGAGTACAATTAACACAAAATACAAATAATGTGTATAAAATGAAATATATTTTAAAATATACCATGAAAGAGTGATATTATTCAGGTTATTTCATTTATGAGGTCTTATAATGGAACTTTAGAATATTAACCAATTTATAGAAAACACGGAATGTCAAAATTGATGTAACTTTATTTTTTCTTGAGACCAAGTTTTGCTCTCATTGCCCAGGCTGTAGTGCAATGGTGTCATCTTGGCTCACTACAACCTCTGCCTCCCGGCTTCAAGCGATTCACCTGCCTCAGCCTCCCAAGTAGCTGGGATTACAGGCATGCGCCACCAGGCCCAGCCAATTTGTATTTTTAGTAGAGACGGGCTTTCTCCATGTTGGTCAGGCTGGTCTTGAACTCCCGACCTCAGGTGATCTGCCCGCCTTGGCCTCCCAAAGTGCTGCGATTACAGGCGTGAGCCACCACGCCCGGCCCTGAGGTAACATTTTAAGGACAACTCTTTTATAAATGAGAAAATTCATTTAGTCAAGTGTAGTCATAATGCTAGTTAGTAGTAATGCTGGAAAAATTCAAATATCTTCACTCAAAGTCTAGTTCTCCATGGGCTTCACCATGCTACCAACTTTCTATTTCATAGAAAGTTCAAAATATTTTCAAACGTTTCACTTTCAAATGATTCTTTAACCATTTCGAATGCATATCTGTGTATAGTACGTACATAAAAACAGAATTGAACCTATAACTCAAGAAAAATCTAATCATGTCGTTCGTTGCTTTTGACCTTTGTGGATACTAGGATGATTACTAAATAGTTTAAGAATCGTTGCAAAGATATCTTCTGACACAACAGTGAAGAACAGGAAATTAACAGAACTGATAGGAAGTCAGAGATATCAACATCTTTGATTATACCTTTCTGTATAGCTAGTTATCATCTACATATCATCTATCTAGCCATCCATCTATCTAAAAAAACAACCCATTTTTCTATGTATTTATATAAGACATATGTTTATATGTATGTATGCATCTATCTGTCTACCTATCTGCTGTCTATCTACGTTGCTATCTGCAAAGAAGCTGAAATTACTGTATTGCCATGAATGAAGAGGCAGTCATAATATTCTATACTGAGTAGTTAAGTCATTTCTTTTCATGGTCATAATTAAAACCAGAGGATAAAAACTCTCCTCCTCCCTCTACCCCCTTCTCTCCCCTTCTTTTAGCCATATCACATTTCAATGAGCTATGTAACTTATTCATAACTGCTGGATAGAGGGGGTGGAGGCAACTCCAAATCAAACTAGGAAGAAGACACTGAATCTGTCCTAAATATTGACTTGTGTGTATATATATATATGTATATATATATAGTCATGTGTCATGTAACAACAAAAGTGTGCTTTGAGAAATGTATCATTAGGCAATTTTGTCATTGCACAAATATCACAAAGTGTATTTACACAAACTCAGATGGTATAGCCTATGACACACCTATGTTATATGACACAAATGCTCCTAGGCTATAAACATGTACAGTATGTTACTATGCTGAATACCATAAGTAATTTTAACATGATATTTGTTTTTCTAACCATATTTAAGCACAGAAAAGGTACACTAAAAGCACGGTATTATGATCTTACAGTATCACTGTTGTACATGTGGTATGTCATTGACCAAAACGTCATTATGTGGCACTTAATTGTAATTGTTTATAATTGTTATTAGACAAAGTTCAGCCTGAAAGTTGACATGCAAAATTAAACAACAAAGAACTCAAGATAAAATTGCAAGATTCCTGATATGTGAAGAATCAATGGACACTAGGCTGGCAACACTGTTCTTAGAAGACCATTTGGGTGGGCGGGCAGAGTGCTTCTATTGTGATAAGCATGCAGCAGAAATTCAGCCATCTGGATGAGGAAGGGCAGTGCTCACATTTGGGACAGAGGCCTTTATGTACATCTAGTAGAATGAACATCTGGAAGGTATAGAACAAGGCCTCAGATAATGAGCTAGGAGACAAAAACTCCAGTTACTAGAACTGCAGTACAAGAATAAGAATGAAAGGGGAGGTGAATTGAGATTTAAACCAACAGGAGTGTTCCTGGCAATAGAACTGCCTAAGCCCCAGGGCCCAAAGCAAAATATAAACTCAGATACAAGGGACTTAACTTGCTGTAGTCTTACAACTTTGAGTCTAAATCATACCACCAAATGATGCTGCCTCATCCTAAATCCATCTCCATTTTCTATCAAGTAAGTAATGTGGATGCATGTCTGTATGTATATTCTCACTTGGGATTGTCTTTCATTTAATCTTGATTTCTGTAAGTTTTTCTTTAGATTTTTATGGATTCCCTTTCTGTTTCATATCAGATTACAGTCATTATCTAAAAACACCAATGTGAAAATTCATTGAAAATTTATCCTGTAATTTACTTTGTGATTGGGTTTTTTTTTTTTTACCTCTACTAGTTATTTGGCAAATTAAATATGGTAACTGTGCTGATATATAAAATGGCTGAATTCAAGATGAATGTTGTATAATGTCCACTGACCACAATCTCGACAAATACCTCAATGACATGTGCCTTTGAGTAGATACTTAATTGTAGTATTCTTTTCTTAACATTGGAGACAGAAACAAAAACACAGGAAATAGGAAAACAAGTTTCTGAGTCATATCTTAATATGACTACAATATATTTTAAATTTGTATGCTAGGTCAAGAATACTAAATTGAAGAAGCAATTCCTATAGCAATTGGTCAGATAAAGTCATAATAAGACATTTCTCCAAAGGATTCAAAGCATTTTTTACACTGAATGTAACTAACCCCTTTTGAGGTATGTAGAAAGTGATTATAAACATTTTCATTATGTAAATAAAAAGAAGAAACACACAAAGTGTTCATATAGTAAGAATTCTAAATTTAGATGAATGCATGAGTCTAAATCAACCAAAAATGTAGTATTCATATTACCTTTTTTTTTTTTTTTTTTAATAGATGGAATCTCACTCTGTCACCCAGGCTGGAGTGCAGTGGTGCAATCTCGGCTCACTGCAACCTCTGCCTCCCGGGTTCAAGTGATTTTCCTGCCTCAGCCTCCCGAGTAGCTGGGATTGCAGGCACCTGCCACCACACTCAGCTCTTTTTTTTTTTTTTTTTTTGTATTTTTAGTAGAGGTGGGGTTTCACTATGTTGGCCAGGCTAGTTTTGAATTCCTGACCTCAAGTGATCCACCCCCCTTGGTCTCCCAAAGTGCTAGGATTACTGGCGTGAGCCATCGTGCCCGGCCTCATATTACATTTTGAATATTTTATATAAGCAACAGAAAAAAAATGTTGCCTAGATTAAACCAAAAGATATCATGCCTAGGGAGGAGAAGGAGGAAACATAGAAGGGCAGCTGATGAATCAGACTCAAAAGACAGTTTTGAGGATCCAACAAGTAGGAGCTAACTGTCAGCTTCATCTGTTTACCATCACATGACTTATTCTTTTTTTTTTTTTCGAAGTGTCAAGAGAAAATTGGATTGCTTTTGATACAGGCAAGTTCTTGACTTCATCCTGGAAGGAATTCAAGAACTGGCTGGTGGTAAAAGAAAACAGCTTTATTGAGGCAATGGCAGGGTTAGAGCACTGTGACTGCTCCTGCTTAAGGAGCAGGCTTTTCAGGATTAGCTAGAAAATGGGCGGTAACTTTTGGGCATTGCAATGGCAATGGTAAACTATCATGGTGCTGGTAGACATGTCTTATGGAGCCATGCTTTCAGGGTCTCTTCCCAGTTCTGGGGAGTCTATAGTCTGGTCCGGAGTCTAGTCCCACCTACTGAGTCTAGTCTCACTTTAGTTTGGATCAAGTGTTTGCCATTTGGCTAGAAAAAGTTTATAAGTAGTTCTGTCAATCTAGTATGTATTCTGAGTAAAATATATATAAACATATATATATAATTTTTTAACCAAAAGACAAGAAAAAAATAACAAAATATTAAGGTAATTAATATGATAGTAATTATTTTTTCTTATGTTTTTCTGTTTTCCAAGTTTTATACATTAAGAATTGTTTTGTGTTCAGAAAAGTAACATTTACTTAAAAAAATGGTTCATGAAACACAGCAAAGATAATTTACTTGAAGAAGAATTGAGTTTTTTATCTTATTTTCCTTAAACTCACCTATTGATCATATCCCAAGGATGTGGAGACCAGTGCTATGAATATTCTTCTGTCTAAAAATTGGTACTACATAAAATGCCTCACCTACACGTTTTTCTTTCTTTTCATATGTTCCCACGCTGCTCTTTTTCCTTTCGTTTTTAATGTACAGTTGAAAATGGGATGTTTTATTTTGCAACCAGTATGTTAACCTTTCCTTTAACATTTTCCCTACTAAGTTTAGATACATTAAGGCACAGCTTTTTTTCATCTTTCAAGTGTATATTTTGTTAATATCAATTGATTACTAAAATATTTTGTTGAAAATAATTTTATTTTTAATCAACTGTGGGTAGCCTTTAAAATAGTAACAGAATAATTTCCATTTTAACTTTCGAATTGATAATTTATGCTACATTTGCTTTTTCCATTAAACACAGAACAGAGCAGTCAACTCAAAAACAAATTCCAAAGGAATTTGACAGGATATAAAAACGATTTTTGAAGTTTATTGGAAAGGAATCTCTTAAGCTAGGATCACAGCCTTAGGTGATTGTGAGGAAGATGACTAGCCCAGAAGGAGCCCAGCCAGGGAAGTAATGAAAGGGTTGTTTTTCTATCTTTTGAAAGACTGTAGTGGAAGAATGAAAAATATTTACCAGAGACAAATAATTGGGATAGATCTACCTGGAACATATTGAGAATCTACTTTTAATCTTTCAGGCCTATGGAATTTGCTCAAATTTGTGGAGTAGTAATGGCTATCACTTAAAACATTTTTGAAATTGTATTATAGTTCTTATGCATTCATAATCATAATTATAAATGATGATTTTTAAACATGAAGTTTTTTCATATTAGGCAAGTATTATGTTGGTATGGTAGAAATACCACAGGTCAGAAGTACAAAAATTTTATATTTTCCTTCTGCCATATTCTGGCTTGATGACCTTGGATTTTTTACTTAATGTAAGTACAATTTGCTCTACTGAAGAAAAAGATTTAGGACCAGCTGCTGCCATTCACAGCTGATAGGGTCATTATGTTGATTATCATTATGTGAATTCAATGAAATATATTTTTGAAATGCTTGAAAAAACTATAAATTTTCATAGAAATATAAGGTGGAAATACTGTTGTTATTATTATCATTGTAAGCATAAAATGAGAGACTTGAGTTTCTAAATCACTTTTGATTTCTAAACTATTGATATGTATCATTATTAACTAGCATTTCAAAACAGAAGTAATGTAAGCATCGATAATAGTTTCTTGATCAATGAAAAAGAATATTATGTAAATCCCATGAGTTTTGATGTATATACATTATTTTGAAAAATTGATTTAAAAGCTTTCTTTGAAAATGGATGACATTTACAGCAGCTTCCTATGAATTCTTCATGATTTTAGTACTCTTGAAAGTGACAGATTGACAGCACCAGTTACTGTTTATCTCTAGGAAAAGGCATCAGCAATTAAAACTTCTAAAGGTCTTGGTGAAGTGCCACCTCACAACACAAAAGGATGGTGGTTTGGTCTCCACAGGCTGTTTAATTCTGCAGGGACTCCCAGAAAGGGCCTCATTTGCACTAGTGGTTTTCATGTCACAATCCATTAAGAGTTGAAATGGAGTCTGCTGATTTGCTTTATGGGCTGTGGAACAATACTGTAGAGCAAGTGAGAGCAGAAAGAAGCCCTGGAATGGGAAGGCTTATATCAAGTCAGGCTGGATGAGTGGGGGTCAGCCATGTGACCTCTACAAGAGACTATTATACAGACCAGGGGGGTGG
Source organism: Homo sapiens (assembly GCF_000001405.40). Taxonomy (NCBI): domain Eukaryota; kingdom Metazoa; phylum Chordata; class Mammalia; order Primates; family Hominidae; genus Homo; species Homo sapiens. The sequence continues at coordinate 178,311,374 of NC_000003.12, forward strand.
AACACTTTTTCTATAAAGTGCCAACTCATAGGTATTTTCAGCTTTGTAGGTGACATACAGCCTCTGTCTCATATTATGGGGGGGTTGTGTGTGTGTGTGTGTGTGTGTGTGTGTATGTGTGTGTGTGTTTTACAACCCTTTAAAAATCTAAAAATTATTTTTAATGAGGGGGCCCTAAAAATCATGTCATGGGTTGAATTTGGTCCACTGGCTTAGCTTGTGGACCCCTGTTATATACAAAGACATTTGTCTATGTCGGTCATGTCAGTGACTCTCAGAATATGCTCTACCTTACTCCAGCCTCTTCAAACTTTCGGAAAGTTTTGCTCATAGTTCCATATAATTTAATAATTAGGCCTTTATACCTCTGGCTTAAATTTCCCTTTCTAAAAATGAACATTACATACCAGTGAAAAAATTAAAACCTAATTGTGATGGTTAATATTGAGTGTCAACTTGATTGGATTGAAGGATGCAAAGTATTGTTCCTGGGTGGGTCTGTGAGGGTGTTGTCAAAGGAGATTAACATTTGAGTCAGCGGACTGGGAGAGGCAGACTCACCCTCAGTCTAGGTGGGTGCCATCTAATCAGCTGCCAGTAAGGCTAGAATAAAGCAGGCAGAAGTAAGTAGAATGGGCAGACTTGCTGAGTCTTCCGGCCTTTGTCTTTCTCCCATGTTGGATGCTTCCTGCCCTTGAACATCAGACTCCAAGTTCTTCAGCTTTTGGACTCTTGGGCTTACACCAGTGGTTTGCCAGGGCCTCTCAGGCCTTTGGCCACAGACTGAAGGCTGCACTGTCAACTTCCCTACTTTTGAGGTTTTGGGACTCAGACTGATCCACCACTGGCTTCCTTGCTCCTCGACTTGTAGACGGCTTACTGTAGGACTTTACCTTGCGATTGTGTGAGTCAATTCTCCCTAATAAACTCCCTTTCATATATACATATTTCCTATTATTTCTGTCCCACTAGAGAATCCTGACTAATACACTAATGTTTGCCGGTTATTTAAATGTATCCATTCTATTCTTTTTATTCCTCATTCTGTCCCTGTCCTGTGCATCAGGTGAGGCATAAAAGCCAAACAAGTCCACGCCTGTAATCCCAGCACTTTGGGAGGCCAAGGCAGATAGATTGCTTGAGTCCAGGAGTTTGAGAACAGCCCGTGCAATGTGATAAAACCCCATCTCTACAAAAACTACCAAAAAATTAGCCAGGTGTGATGGTGCATCCCTGTGGTCCTAGATATTCGGTAGTCTGAGGTGGGAGGATCACCTGGCCCCAAGTAGCAGAGGTTGTAGTGAGCCAGCCGAGATGGCAACACTGGCCTCCAGCCTGGACAACAGAGTGAGAACTTATCTCAAAAATAAATAAATAAAATAAAAGCAAAACAAGTCAGATGCAACTGTGAATATTCCAGGCACTCCTCCAGAGCCCTTTCCCTTTGCTCTCCACTGGATCCTGGAGTGTGCCTCCTTTCCACAAGCCCTGAATCCTGAAACATTGCTTTCTATACCTGAAGCTCCTTTGTCTCTCATGTTTTGGCTTTTGGCCCCTGTGCCTTGGGCTGTCCTCCTGTGACTTATTTGACTTCCTTGGATTTCACATGCCCTGAAGTTTTAAATGAGACCCAAATTATAGAATCCATTTTACTGAGAGATACGAGAATTAAGTGAGATAATCCAAGTAAGGGGTCTAGCATATGAGTATTGAAACTCAGTATTTATCAATAGACAGAACAGTAAAGGGAAAGAACTTCTGGGTTCTAAATGTATGGCAAAAGAGTGGTAGAGAAGTTGGGGGCTTTTCTACATTTGTTCCTCCTTTCTCGGGGTACAAGACCAGAGGGAGACAGAAAAATGATTATTTTCATAATTATTCAGAGAGCGAATCCAACCTCTAGCTCTATTATTCATATTAGCAACAACAGGTTCTAGACAAAGAGTAGAAAAAGCTTTGCTTTGTTATCTAAGGAGTATAAATTCGGACTTTTAAAGCAGTCAGGGAGCAGCAGCTGTACTGTACTTCTGTTTAAAAGGTTTTGTTCTTTCTCAGACTGTCTGTCATAAAGACTTTTTCTTCTTTACCCAGCCCAAACTCCTTAGAATGGCACAAAACAACCTCACCACCTATTCCTTGCCACTTTCCTGTCCTACCCTTCTTTCCATATGGACCCTCTAGTCTCCTAATGCCTGTTGCCACTCTATAATCCTTTATGCTTCTTGCATGTTCTCATTTTCACATGCATTTTCTCTTGCACATTCTCATTTTCACGTGAAACACTTTTCTTTGTTAAGTAATGGTGTTTATCACCAACGCTGTGAAGCCTTACCTACCACCCCTTCCGACTCCAGACTGAGTTGGTTGTTCTTCCCTCTATGTTCAAAAAAACCTTTTGTGCAAATCTCTATGAACATTTTATTCACTGTTCTGAAATTATCTGTTAAGCATATTTGTCTCTCCTTCTAGATTGACAGCATATCCTGGACAGAAGTCTTGTTTTATGCATCAGAAATCTCTGGCATTCAGTAGGGTGTCTGTTGAACTCAGTAGTCTGTTGAATAGACTAATGAGTTCTCCATGAATTGTTTAGAATTTTCTGGCAATGTTTTTGCAATTTTTGTTAACCTCATGTCTAACTATAGATGTGAATTTATGTGAGTTCTGGGATTCTATGTCTGTAATCATGTTTATAATGCTCTTTCTGGTCAGAGCAGTAGGTTCTTTGTATTGAGTATTCTGATAGAAACAACACAACTTAAAAGATCTGGATTTATAGAATTCTGATGTGCTAACACCATTAAACTATTTAGAAAACATTTGTTGTGAATCAAATATGTGGTAAATGCTAGAGCTAGAGACAAAATAATGTGTTTTTTGCCCCCAGGAAGCTCTCAGGGGAGAGAAAGAGTCAGACAAGGCAAAAATCCAGTGTGATCAAAGCCATCATGCATGCAAGCACAGGTGCTATCGTAACAAACGGAGAGGACACATAAGCCAAACTAAATAAATAAATCATGGGAAGATATTGTCCCTTCTGACATGACACATAAAGTTAGCTGCTTTTCTGTGGTTCTAGAAAGTCATGGGAAAACCTTCCAAGAGAAGTCATCAAATGGGTTCTCTAGCTGGCTTTCTCCCTTTCCCACTAGAAAGGTGACAAGAGACCACCCCTTCAAAAATCTTTGGACAGGATCCTGTTGCTCACTCCTCAGTGGTCCTTCATGAAAAATGTGGCCAATTAGTTCTTTAATGTGTACAGGTCATCTTATAACAATTCAGGAAAACTTGGAAAATAAGCTGTATGCAAATTATCTGTTCTATGTACCCAGAGGTCTAGGTTTTACAATCATGTTAACTTCCCTTTTTATTTTCCACTATTGCTTATTCAAGGGCTATTATTTTCAGCAATTGTAGTCTCTAGCAAAGCAAAATTTATTCTTTATTTGTTGGTTAGAGATGCTTCTCTTAAAGCCAACTGATCCGAATGTCACTGGTAGCATTTTGGGTTCCGCTTGTGAAACCGCCCTCTACTTGGCTTTGCCCTGTCTGGGTAAGTGTCTGCTCTCTGAACAGGTTTCTCCAGATGACTTGACTTCAAAGATTTTCTTCCACTTAATCCATCTTTGTCTGTGACCCAGGACTATATTTTCTCCTAATCTAAAATGTTCTTCTGAATCTCTATTTGTCATTCTCTTTTATTTTTTTTCTAATAGATCCAAGCTCCTTCATTCATAGCTTACCCTTCAGGGCTTTTCATTTCTATGAAAAGCTACAATGTATATTATTTTCAGATTAAAATGATGCTTCTATATCTTTATTAATAAGGAATTTTCCTACCCTCACTTGATGACTCTGAATCTTAGGTCCAGGCCCCACAAACTCCTTTTGAATAATCTACTTAAACATGACTATTCTTCTTATTCTTCTTATCTCTTCTGACACCTATATGTGTATAACCATTAGTGCAACTGTTACTTTGTTTTATTAGGTTATATCAAGCCCAGGTGAATGGGAGTTAGGGGCATTTGCTCATTAGGTGGATATAAGCATTCTTCTAGATCTAACTCTTAAAGTGGCAGACATGACTGGGTGCAGTGGCTCATGCCTGTAATCCCAGCAATTTGGGAGGCCGAGGCTGGTGGATCACGAGGTCAGGAGATCAAGACCATCCTGGCTAACACGGTGAAACCCCGTCTCTACTAAAAATACAAAAAAAATTAGCCAGGCATGGTGGCGGGTGGCTGAGTCCCAGCTACTCGGGGGGCTGAGGCAGGAAAGTGGCGTGAACCCAGGAGGCAGAGCTTGCAGTGAGCCAAGATCGCACCACTGCCCTCCAGCCTGGGCGACAGAGCGAGACTCCATCTCAAAAAAAAAAAAAAGTGGCAGATATAACCTAAATAACCCCCAATATGCATGCTGTTATATAATCCCTCCCCAAAGTGCAGGAAAAATCTGTGACTCTCATCTACTTGATGAAATACGACAAAGGTGAAAGGACAGTCACTCCCATAGTTGTGTTACAATATATACAACTCCATCTTAGTAGACTGGAGGGATCCTCTTCCTGGCTTGGAAGAAGTAAGCTGAGGTGTTGTGGAAGAGCCTGTGAGAGGCTCATGTGGTGGGAAACTGTGGGCAGACTTAGAAGTTGAGAGTGGCTTCCAGCTGACCACCAGCTAGGAAAGGCGAACTTCAGTACTACACCCACAAGGAACTGAATCCTGCCAACAACCACATGAGCTAGGAAGAGGACCCCAAACTTCTGAAAGGAGCAAAGCCTGGCTGACACATTGCCTATAGCCTTGTGAGACCCCAAACAGAAGACCCAATTAAGCCATGTGTGATTCCTGGCCCATGGAAACTGAGAGATAATATATCTATGTTGTTTTAAGTCTTTAAGTTGGTGGTAATTTGCTATGCAAGATAGAAACTAGTACATTTAATTGGTTTTGCACAACTCAGCCTCACACTCATTTGAGCCTATCTGACAACCTAATACATAATTCCCAAAATGTTCTGTCAAAATCATACTGATAACTTTGAAACAGCATACTTCCTATGTGCCTCATTAGATATTACAGGGAATAGAAGATGAAGTGAACGTACTGATATATATTTAGCTTACAGTCATAAAGTGAAGAAGTATCCAAAAACAGCAACAAAAGAAAATTGATTCTATGGTACATGTTAAAGTCATCTAGAATGCCAGAAAAGGAAAGGATTCGAGGATTTTACAGAGCAGAACACCAACTCCAATTTCCAAGTAGACGGATAACACCACTTTGAAAAGTCTCCATCCTCAATACCAACAATAAGGAGAAAAAGATATATAATATGTGGTCTTTAAAAATTTATAAGATTATAAGATCAGTATAATACCTAACCATACTGAGCTATTATAAATACACAGAAATGAGATAATATGTGAAAATCCCTAGCATAGTAACTGACATAGTATGTAGAATCAAAATAAGCTGAATGAAATGAAGCTCTAATTTATATTTATAATGTTACAACCCTCTGCAAGTACCAGAAGGCTACCCAAACAGCCTCTCCAATATCTAGGCCTTGGAGACTAATGAATCCCAAAGAGAATTACATAATGTAATGGTATCTTGATAGCTGTCTCATGTCTTTCATCCCAAAAAGCTGATCATAGATACTCTCCAAGCCCTCTATGGCTCCATACAACTTGCAGTAATACACAAAATTGAATACCCTCATAGTGAATGGCAGCTCCTCAGCAAGCTCACATTTTCTCCTTTCTGTTGAAGGAAATGTGGCCCTGCTGAGGAGCAGCAATTCAACATGAAGAGGTTTCTCATGATTCCAGCCAGCATTTGGAAGTACAGGGGGCAAGCATGATTGATCCAGAGCAATTCTAGATTATTAAGGGGAATGGGCCCTCAAGAGCCACTATCTTTTTTCTCCACTCATTTGAAAAGCCGAGTAGACTTGTGTTGCAGAGTACTTCCAAAAGAGAAGCCCTTCCTGCAAGAGATATTAATTTGTGATCAATAAAGCTAAAAGGGCCTCTTATAGAATGTCTAAGTGGGTCTCAATAGGTAAATCTATGCGCCACTTTCATTTCCTGTCAGTAAATAGTGTAGTAAAGCCAAAACGTTCAGTACACGTGCTACACGCTATGCAAAGAAAATGTTCCATTTCTCATCCTTTTTTCTTTACTTGGCAAATGGCCTCTTTAAAGTCTCAATTTAAATGCCTCCAATGTCTAAGAAATCTTTTCTGACTCCTCAAGGCAATAATTACCTTATTTACATTCATACAATACCCTGCTTATATCTCATCTTGTATTTCACTTATCACTAAATGTTTATCCTAATATTATAAAGTCCTTTGTGATAGAGACAACATGAGTGATATAGATTTTATATTTATGTCCTAACCTAGGACGTGAATCATTATAGAAATTCAACATATGTTTGGCCAACAAACAAAATAATCTATACAAAATATATGCAAATAGAGGAAGAATTCCCCAAATGTCAGAGATTCAGTCGGCATCACAGAAGTAGTAAACCTCAAAGATAATTAGTTTGCTTTCAAAACTTAGCATTGACCAGCAATCCTCTACCCCAACCACCAGTTGTCATAGAAAAAACCTAGCACATTTCATAATAAAATAGTTCTTTTGAGGCATGTTTATTATATAATGGAATCTCTACAAATATGATGGTTTAGAATTGTGTTCTCATAAAATAAAATAGGACAAGAAATAAAGAACTGCAGTATTTCAACAACCCAAGTTAATGGCCCAGACTCCTTTTATTACTACACATACAGAGAATCATCACTCTGTGAGTGCTGTGGAAAGAGAACCTCAGGAGATCTGATGCCAAAACAGGTCAGGTGGCCAATGTTTCAGCTTCAATGTAGAGAGGGTCTAATAATACAAGTTATTTAGCACTCAGTGTGTCCAAAAGCTCTTTACAACACTAAATAATCCATCATCTCCAAACTCCCTGCGAGATCGGTAAGAATTATCATTCAGTCTTTACAGATGGAATATTTGAAATGTAAAATAGCATATACAAGGCCAGACAGGAACTCAGCACCATGATTAAATAAAAACTCTGAGTTCCCAACATCCAAGCCTTGGCAAAGGAATTTGTCACATTGCCTTTTTATATATAGAGCACGGAAACCCAGGGGGGATGCATAAGAAAGAACTCTGAATTTTAAAGCAATATGGAAATATTTAATTCAGGCTGAAGTTAATAGGTAATCAGCTCAATTCCTCCCCCTCTTGCCTGTGAGTAGCTAGCTGTCAGACTGGCAATTTAGGTGACTTGGAAAAACCTACACAAGCTGAATACTGACAGAGGTGGGAACGAGAAAAATTAAGGGACAACGAAGACTTACATGCTGTCATCTATGCCTTCAGGGAACTTAAAAAAGAAGTATTAGCCCTAGCAATGCATTCACCTATTTGGGTTATTCTCTACACAGAATAGAGTTTCATGACCCATGGCAGAATTTTATAACCGATTTAAGGAAGTTGTTCATCCCAAGAGGTCTTCTTTGCTTTGGGCTCCTTGATTCACATTTCTTGTAGCATGTGCTTACATCATCCTGGCTCGATTTAATAACCAATCAATGAAAAACTAGGCATGTCCCACAGATCAGCACTAGCAAGGATTTGCATCTTGCCTGCTTCACAGAAGTCAAAGTTCAGTTTATAAATTCATCATATAGGAATCTGAGTCCTGACAGCCAAGACAGAGTATAACCCCAGGAAGTAATTTATCTCCCCATCCCCACAGAGATGCTGTAGCTTCAATAACTGATAACAGAGCTGTGGGATAAGCAAGGCATTGGTCATAAATGGAATGTTCTAGTCTGGTGTTCCTCATTTAGGTGCTTTTTGACCTTTGGTGGCTTCTGACATCATGAAATGAGATACAGTCGCTACCTGCTAAGGGACAGAGTGAAGAGGGATGAGAGGAAGTCTCAGTGATTCTCTGCTCAGGTGATTTGCAATACCAGAAGCCAGAAACTGAACTTTCCCAGGAATCTCTCTCTCACCTGCCTGTTTGCTTGATACACCATTACAGCTGCTCCATTACAGTTGCTCAAGAAGAAATGGCTGAAATGGAGCTGTTGCCTCTAGCTGACCAGAATTGGAATGCTCATGTGACCATCTGACCTTTTCTGACAGATAAGACACAGTAATAAAAATAAGAATATGCTTCTCATGTCTGAGTGCGATATAATTTGCATAGCATTTTCAGACACATTTCTGAAGGAGATCCTCCCTGTAGCCCTGGGTGGGAATTGGAATTCGGATGAGGTTTTTCTTTTCCATTTATTTATTTTATTTTATTTTTAGATGACAGAACTTAAGCCCATTGTGCTTCTGCGATTTTCCCAGATTAACACAGGTATTAAGTGGTTGAGTCATTTCCAAGCATTTTTGCACAATTAGCTATTTGTCCTGTCCCTGTCTCCCTGTCCCCAAACCAAAGCAACTTATGTTTATTCAAATGAGGTAGAGATCTAGATGACCTTCCAGGACCCTTCCAATGACACGTATCAGTCACCATATTAATAGCAATATATCTCTCAGAACTAGCCCAAGGATTTAGTAGATTTCCAGATTACTTTGGAAGGAGCAATAATTATAGTCTTTTAGTTGGAACCAGAGAATCACACTCCAAGAAGATTATAAATGGTCATAACTTATATATTTATTTCACTCTGTTGTGCCAAGAGCTAGCAGCTTACAATCCAATAGGGAAGATAGATATTAAATGAAGAAGTACACAATGCCTTAATTCCTACAGTGCTATTTAAAGGATGACAATACTCCCCTGGATACCAGCTAATATATGTCAAACTTCTTATCAATAAACAAATCACAGATTGTTAAGAGAAAATCATGGCAGAAAATAAAGCCAGTTTTGTAGATCATGATTTTCTCTATTGTGGAGTTGATAGAAAAAAAAAAGAGAGTCTGTAAACTACAGAAAAAAAAATATAGCTGAAAAAGTAACCCTGTGGTCTTCTTGCTAGTCACCACTTAAGGAAGTAGAGATTTTTCCAGACCCTTCTGTCACTCTGGGCAGGTGACTGACTTATAACTCAGGTGTGCATTTGCCTGCTTAAATCTGCCTCAGTTCCAAACAGCTTGCCATGCTCTATATATAGAGATGACTTCACCCTCTGTTGGAATGCAGCAGCTGTTCAGCAGTGCACACTGATATGCTTCAGAGACTTAGGCCATATCTAATTGAGCACTTCAATACTGCAGAGATAGGCGCCTTGGAAATATTTAGATAAAATACCTTTGGCCAGATGGAAGCCGGCCAGGATACCAGCATAAAATCTTCATCTCACAGGACTGCTAGTGAGCCTTGGCGGGGGGCTCCATGGAGGGAGGTGGCATCAGGAGAGATGCCAGTCTGTCCTATCCACCCCCTGCACTGTAAACATGACACAAAGAATAGTAGGAAATAGGAGAAATCAGAATTTTGTTGCTTCCTCCTTCTCCCCTTGGCAGACCAAACACAGCCTACCCTCTGTGAAAACAATCTGAATGTTAATGGTGCCTCCATGTCAGGAAGCTTCCCAGTTGTAATATTCCCCCACAGGACTGTCCCTTCCCCTAGAGGCCAGATTGCCAGCCCTGGAAATTGGTTGGCAGGTATAGAATCAATGGTACTTTTTAAACATTTATTTGCCTAGGATTCATTGCTAATCTTGCTAGGAGAAGCAACCAGCTATCACAGTTGGCTGGGAACTGGCCAGAAAGCACTTCTGGCTTTGCTACCCATGGTCCACATGACTCCAGCAAGCCTGTGTTGTGCTGGATCTCACTTTTCCCATCTGTAAACTTTAGAGATTGGCAGATTTAACTTCAATTTCTCTTCCAGCTCTAAAAGAACCTGTGTGTGTCTTTCACGACACAACTCCCTCTCCCATTCTTTTTTCTTAGAAGAAAAAGAAAAAAAAAGAAAAAACATTAGCAGATGATAATGAAAACATCTTGCATTTGCATGTAATCTATTGTTTAGATAAATATATCCACCTTTAAGCCAAAGTAAGTGCTATTATTTTCATTTAGAAGAATCAACAGAAACACAGAGAAAATGAGTGGTTTGCCCAAATCAAGCAATTAGAAAGTACATTTGAACTGGGTCTCTGTCTTATCAATGATGAAGGGATCATTTACACAGTAATGCAATTGCCTATCTGGATGTGTCATTTATATGGACTCAGAAAAAATATCGAGGTTAGGAATAATAAGTATCTAGCTTTGGGTCTTATCTATGCTTGGATTTAGGGGTTTGGAAATAAAACACACAGTCTGGCCCTCCAGGTTCACAGTGCAGTAGGGGCACTGGCCTAGTTAACCAATGCTTGCCTGCCATACAATGTGGTAAAACACTGAATAGGACATCAAATTTATACTTGGAGCTTTAGAGGGCTGAAGTCAGGGGAGGCTTTGCAGAAATGTGTATGTGCTACCCAGGCAGAAAAGGATAGTGGAGCAGGGGGCAGACAGTGAAGAAAGTGCTAGGGAGGTTCTACAAACAAATAGTGTGTGAGTGACTGGAGTTTAGAATGCTTGTCATAAATACTGGGCCTTTCACATAGCAAGATACACAACAATCGAATATTTGAACATCCAGGTGGAAAAGTTTATTGGCAGCTGGATATGAGAGTCTGACGCTCAGGGTTGAGGATGAGGTGTAAATACAAAAGCCATTGAGCCTCAATTTTTTATTGCATTTTTCTCTCTCCATTTCGAATATTTTAGTTTCTCTGAAGTGACTGAAAACACAGCAGTGCAAATGACAACCATTTCTAGACAGAGTCACTAGGGTGTCTGCAGTTTGAAGAAAGAAAGCTTTGTGAAATGTTGTATCTTTGAGCTAGGAGTTTGTCTATCTGCAATTATTGCTTTAAGGACATAAGTATAAGTTAGACAATTATGATCTAGAGGAAGGAGGATAGGGAAGAGAGTAAGAAACAAGGGAAACAAAGTTAAGGTGGAGCAAAGCCCACCTAGTGAGTGCTCAATAAGTTTTACAGAAATGCAGAAGTGAATGTAATCGTTTGTTCCTAATAAGTAGTGCCCAACAAGTTTCACAGAAGCTCAGAAGAGACTCAGGGGTCAGGTGTTGCTGTTCCATTGTTTTTAAATGAAGTGTTTGCTCAAGGTACTTCTAGAAATTTATTTTTAAGGCTTAACACTATCAGAAAACATTTCAAAAAGTGGTAAAAATTACAATTACTTTTTTAAATATAAGAAAAAACCTTTCAAAGTAGAGAAAATATTACGGTTGACCATTCCACTGCTCTAAACCAAAAATGAAGTTATAAAGCTTCTCAGTAACCTGTGTTTCACATCCCACACATCACCCAGTAAACTATTTTCTGAAGAAACAGGAGAATATTACAGAATAAAAAACCTTAGAAATGTGAAATAACTATGTGTGAATGTTGAGGGACACTCAGAAGAGCAAAACCCAGTGGATGTTAAAGAAAACATAATGGGTTTAATTATATTTAAAAGGCCTATTCTATTGCTATATACACTAGAGGAGCGTGAATATTTATTCTCTCCACTAGATATTACCATAATTTTAGGTAAGACAAAAATAACTCAGATATGGATTTTTCTATTATTGGAAATATATTGTGTTGGCATATCCTCACGTATTATCTTTAAATCCTCACCAAACACTGTGTAGTGGATATTATCAGTTCCATTTTAAAGTCCAGGAAAAACTCAGAAAGGTGAATTGTTTTATCAAAGTCCTAGCATATGTTAGAGTCCAGATTTGATTCCAGGCCACTGACTCAATATCCACCTGGTTACTGCCTACTTGTGTACAACCTGCAAGCCTATGAATTATGAATTCTTTTTCTATACAGTTAAAGAATTCAAAAGAGGAATAAATTTTGCAACATATTGAAATTATATAAAATTCAAATTTCGGTGTTCATAAATAAAGTTTTTTAGAACACAGCTACTCTCATTTTTTATATATTGTCAATACCTGCTTTTGCACAAGGGCAGAGTTGAGTAGTTGTGACAGATAACAAACAATACACAAAAGAAACAATGTAAATAACCATTTCAAGGCTCAACCAAATGTAAGGCTCAATAAATGCAACATTGTTAGTCTTTTATTTTTCAAGAAAATACTTGGACTATCATGATAATGACAAAAAAGAGATTCCACACCCAAAACTTAGTCATATGTTGTTATAGGAGGTAAGTACCTCCCAAAAGACCCATAGACAAAAATATAGCTTTTTTTTTTTTTTTTTTTGAGACGGAGTCTCGCTCTGTCACCCAAGCTGGAGTGCAGTGGGTGATCTCTGCTCACTGCAACCTCCACTCCCAGGTTCAAGCGATTGTCCTGCCTCAGCCTCCTGAGTAGCTGCGATTACAGGCACCCACCACCACGCCCGGCTAATTTTTGTACTTTTAGTAGAGATGGGGTTTCATTATGTTGGTCAGGCTGGTCTCGAACCCCTGATCTCGTGATCTGCCTGCCTTGGCTTCCCAAAGTGCTGGGATTACAGGTGTGAGCCACCACGCCCTGCCAAAAATACAGCATTTCTTATATTAAGAGAGTAGACTAGACTGATTCACTATAGCTATATTTTATGACATTATACCAATCAAACATTCAGAGTCTTAATTTCTCCAAGAAAAAAACTGTGATGCCTGGTCCAAACTTGAATAAGCACACGGAAACATAAAGACTCAGATTAGTTGCAAACATTAAAATCTTAGAACTCTTTTTATTTACTGCTATATATATATAAAATATATTAGTTTTACAAACATTTATAATTTTATGCTCAAGTATTGCTTTAGGCAAGGTGCCAGTTTATGGAATGCCTGCTGTCCCATGCTAAGGAGTTTGGTTTTATCTGATGGTGATGGGGAGCTACTGAAGACTTTCAAATATAAGATCAATATGTGGGTTATCATAAATAAAGTGTCAGGTGATGAACAGTAGTCCAAGAAGACTACCAGTGTATAGACAGAAGGAGAATAAAATGACACCAAAGAAAGGGGATTAGGAAGTTCAAGATAAATGATTTAATTGCCGTGGCAAGTGCAACGAAAAGTCCTATAAATCAAGGATTTAAAAATATCCATGGATTGGTCATTTAGAAGGTTATCGGTGACTCAGCAAGGCAAGGTTCAGAGGAGTGGTAAGGCCAAACATTAGACTGAAATAAACTGAAGAGTGAATTAGAAGAAATTATAGACTGTTCTTGTCAGAGATTTGGAGGAACAGAGCAGAGAGATCGAACAGTTGCTTAATCAAGACGCAAACACAGTATTTGTTTGTTTGTTTGTTTCTTTTCCCTTTTTGGGGTAAGAAATGTTCAAACATGTTTATTGGCTGAGGAGAATGAACGGGTGGGGAGGTGAGGGTGGATTGGCTGAGGAGAATGAACAGGGGTGGGGAGGTGAGAGTGGGGGAAAATGAAAGATATTAGTTGAAGAAGCAGAATATCTAATGGAGCAAATCTTGGCAGGAGTGAGAGGAGATGTGGCCTCAGACATGGTCAGGGTTTGGATTTAAACAAAAAGTGAGGCATCCTTTCTTCTGGTACTGAGAGGAAGGCAATGAATTTGATGGCAGATATAAACTAGCTTGTGGAGTTACATGTAAGAAAGATTTGGAGGATATTATAGCTATGACCTTGGTTTTCTAGATGAAAGAGGCAAGGTAATTAGCTAAGCATGAAAAGGTAGGGGTTGAATATGGATTTTAATAGACCAGTGATTTTTTATAAAGTGTAGATACCCCAAATGTAGAGACAGGTATTTCCTTTCTTTATTTTCCTATCACTGTCATTTAAGCATGATAGAAGCACTTCTAGAATCTGCATATAAATATTTGTTCCCACTCTATCTGATACTTCATGATGGCTTTCTTTTGTTTTGCATTTTTCTTGTATTATTTCCAACATTCTACTGGTTATATATTGTTGTTCCCCAGATTAGATAACTTTGAAGAAATATTTTGTGCCCCTAATTCATCTACCAACCTCAATCATTGTTTAATTCTCCCTGGACTTTCTGTTTTGGATTATCTTCATTTTACAAGTACTTTTCTGTGGTTAGAGATTTCTTTTTTTCTGTTTTATGTGAGATTTGTTTTAAGGACTTTGTTTTTAAGATCTTATCATGGAAGAAAAAAGATTTTCATTTTTAACGTTATACTGGCCTCTAGAGTAGAAAATGTTGAATATCACCAACAAAGGAAAACAGCATGATAACTGGCATGGAAAAGATTTGTTTTTAAAACTCCATTCATTCTCATTAGGGGAGTACTCATTTAGAGGAGCATTCTTTTACTTGAATACATAATTAAAATAAATAATTGTATTTTCATATACGGCATCACGGGAAAAAATGTGAAGAGACTATATAGTCTTAGCCACAGTATAATATTTTTGGAACAAGATGGGCTGAGAAGGCATAACATTCTATTTCACATTTACATCATGATCTTTCTCTAAAGGAAGTCAAGGTCTTAAATAAAACACAGAAGAAAAATTGTCCAATTTTTTTTTAGACATATCAAGAAAGGTAGAAAGGTGGGGAGTTATGAAGGTCAAAAGGCATCAAGATTGAATAAGAAAGAGAGTCAGGGAGTGACAAATTAGATAGGAGAACATTTTTTTGCCACCATTCCTCCCTATTCCACAGCTTATTAGTAAACAATTAAAGATCCAGAAGGCTGTCTATAATTTGCAACTTGAATTTCCTGAATTCCAGTTCAGCATCTTCATTGCATAATATAGCTTCTCCTACTAGGAAGATAAGTGATAGAAGAACCACCAAGTTTCTCACTGACCATGAGTGGTGGTCCTAATCACAAGGAAAAGGGACACCAGACATGGAACTTGAGCTTCATGGTGCTCTGTGAAAACATCACTTTAAGGTACTAGCACCAGTCACAAGCTTTCTGAATTCAGCTGCCAGATAAAGACCCCTTTCCTAGAAAGCCACCAGGTCATAAAGAGATTATAGAAGTGTCTGATAGAGTACTTCTATACCAGATGCCTCTGGAATAGAGCAGAAAATTCCAAGTATATTTAGCTGACAGGGTCAGAACATGTCATCTTAGTATACCAAGCACGTTCACATACTCTTCTAATTTAGGTTTCTCAACCATCCAGGAAAAAAAGCATAGATATCCCTTTTTTTTAAACAAATAAATGTTCAGGGGAGTTAAATAATATAGGCTTCACACTGATGTGAAATAGCAAAACTGGCATCTGAACTCATGTTGTCTCATTTTAAGCCCTATTTCCCACCCTTCCTTCAGCACTGAGTATTCCTCATTGACTTCACCTCTTCACTACTTGGGCAAGGCTTATGATTAATGATGGTTTGTATGGTAGGAAGTTTTTCTTTCATAAACAACTTTCATATTTACTGGGTTTGAAACTAGCCTTTAGAAGAACTCCTAAACCACTGGGTTATAAATTGGTCTTGATGAGATAAAGGAATGATTACCAGTATTAAGTCATTTCCCATAGGTATACCCCAAGGCTGTTCCAGAAGCTTGGCAGTAGGCAGCTAACCTTTGAAAATGATGTCAGACTCAAAATGAGGCGTAATTTTGAAGTATATTTCACTTAAATAGAACCCTAGACTGAGCGTCCTCTTTCTGTCTCTCCAACCATAAAATGCCATGCCATTCATATCCATGCACCGAGGTTGTTGTCTATCATACATACATGTATATTTTGGAATCATTTATTTGCATCTTCAGATTAGGCAGCTATGGATGCAGGACCATATCAGGCATGACCAGAAGTGGGTGATGTGTTTATTTTGACTCTCCATTTATACTTTCTATCCTTTTCTTTCATATTAATACCACCTAAGTTCTTAATAATAAACAATGCATTCTAATCTTGACCTCCAAAAGATAATCTCACAGAAGTTTCAATTTACAGTAAAATGTAAATGGCAGACAAAAACATCAGCTTCTACTCACTCCAGAAGAATATATATTTTACAAGTATCAAGTCTTTTACACAAAATAGGAAAAAATCCATCGTAGTGATTGTGGATTTTCCTACAAAGATGACAAATCTTATTGCCATCTTCTACAATGTAGCCTCTTTCCCATTATCCCAACAAGGAGCAAAAACTCTATTCCCAAAAAAATGTCCAGAAGGAGAAAAAGTTTGTTTACTAAACTAAGAGTTAGAAGGAAGAGAAAGATAAGAAACCTCCATTCATCCCCTATGACTTTAGGAAAAAAAGAGAGCAACTTCATGTGTATTGAGTTTCCATTACATATTATTCACTATAATAACTCTCTTTTATGTACTATCTGATTTATTTCATATCACTCAAGAGTTTCTTAAAACTCATGATAGAGGTAATTCATTACCACTGTAATTTTTAAGAAACACGCAGTTTTGAATGTCAGAGTTGAAAGTGGAACTCAAGATTTTTAAGCCAACTGCATTTTCACCAGCGCCACCTGTATATGAACTAGTAGGTATTTCTGTTGATACTCTTGGATCTAAAAAACTTTCTCAGCACTACCTCCCAGTGTACTGTCTCTAGATTCAAACTGCGTGGGCTCAATCTCAGCTATACCATTAACTAGCAGTGTGACTGTAGTCCAGCTATTTAACTCTGCTGAGCTCAATTTCCTTATTTGCCAGAAAGATATGATAATAGTACCTACATTGTTAGGATTATTGTGAAGATTAATTGAACTAAACTACATGAAATGCCTAGCACAGCGGCTCAATAGCTGTTCAGATATTATTGCCATTACTGACTAGGTCAGAGGTGGTCATTTTTGCTTCTTGCATGTCAGCTCTGATTGAGCATTTCGGGAACATTGTGCTGAGAAGAATTCAGAGAAGACCTCTGTAGAGAGAGTACTGTGCCTGATTTGTCCCTAAGAGCAGGATGGGCCTAAGGGAACCAAGTGTGCAGCAAATAGGCTATTCTGGACCTAGGTGAAAGCCAACTCGCCTATGGGCCTTGCACAAAATGGTGCTTTAAAAAATGAATGAATGTTTAATGAAGTAAATAAATATGTGAATTAAGGAATCAACTTAAGGCCTACCCAGTGTGGGTCTATATATTAGCTGAATTTAATGTCAAATTTTGAGTCCACTTTCTCAGCTTTTTAGTCATCGCTCAAAATAGGTGCTTTCTTTAAAACTTCAGGGGATCTCAGAGGAAAGACATTAAAAGGCATTGAAAATATGCAGCATCTTTCTTGGTAGATAATGTAATAAGACAAAAGGACTTCTATCTCTAAGAGCCTATGACTCTAGGATTGGAGTATGTCCCAGTTGGAGTTGTCCAAGTTTGTGGCATGTTGGATATGACATTGAACAAAGAAGCAGAGACATGTAGTTCAAATTTAGAACCAGTAAACATATGGTTGTCCACAGTAAGTTCAGGTTGGAGTACTGAGTTTTCAATATAAAAATGAAAACTATCTTTCCCGGCTTTTGAGCTCTGTCCTTCACCTCTGAAATGTTGCCAGGTTAGTTTCAGAAGCAGGCATACATTTCTAAAAAGAGAAAAAAGATCTTTACCACAAAAATAAATAACTTTCAGACTTATGATGTAAAGACCTTAGATGAAGTGACTTGAGAAAATAAGGGAAGTTAGAAAAGTCTCATGAACAACTTTGGAGAAAAAATAGACTGCAGCTTTAGTTGCTCTTTTTACTTCTTCTTCTGAGACTAGGAAATACCAAATTATTTCATCTTTATTATTATTCCTTGTACTGTATCTATATACCTTGAAAAGAGGTGCCATGGTACAGGCTGAGGCTCAAGAGAAAAATGCAAAAAAATAAAGGGGGATGGGAATGACCTGTCTTGAAAAAGACTACACTTATACTGTTGAAATTGAACCCGAATACAAAGGATTAAATAATGCCTTTTGTATTATTACGAGCCTCTTAAAACAGAAAATTATGAGCCATATTTTATTATTAATTGAGAAGAGCGTCTAGCAGGGCTCAATGACTATCTTCTTTCATTTGTGATGCTATAATAAAGCACCACAGACTGGGTAATTTATAAACAATAGAAATTCTCACAGTTCTGGAGGCTGGAAAGTTCAAGACCACAGAGTCTGTATCTGGTGAGAGCCCTCTTGCTGAGTCCTTGTGTGGCAGGTGGTGGAAAAGCAAGAGAGGATAAACACTGTGTCCTCACATGGCAGAAGGGCAGAGGAGAGAGATGCCACTCGCACAACCCCTTTTAATAAAGGCATTAATCAGTTCATAAGAGAAGAATCCTCATGACCTAAACACTTTCTGAAGGACCCCACCTTCCAACATTGTTGCTTTGGAAATTAAGTTTCCAACACATGAATTTTGGACAACACATTAGGACTGTAGCAAAGAGTACCTTGGAGCCAAAAAGATCCAAAACTCATTTTTCAGAGAATATATATGGCACAAGTTATCTGTAGAGCATACTTTGGGAACTACTGGCATATTGCTGCATGGCTATGACGTTAAATGTTTAATGATATATGAGTATAAGACAACCACTTGTACACATTTTTATGGCTTACAATGCAATATTATGTGTTTTTATGCATTTAACTCTCCAAATTACCCTGTGAGGTCAGTATAACAATATTCACTTCAAAGATGTAGAAAGAAAAACCCACAGAGGTGAAATAACTTTCCCAAAGTCTCATAAGTAATTACAGGCAAAACCAGGACTCAGGGTTAGAGCTTTGGCTTTAAGTCTTATGCTGTTTCCAGTAGTAACAGCAGTAAACTAAACTGGAAAAGGTTTTGGCATATATATCAACTTTTCTTAGGAATATAACTATGTTATGGGCCCAGACTCATTAATCTCTCAATATTTCAGAGAAGTCGATAAGAAATTGTTGTATTCCCATTTTGCAGCAGTTGTTTTTCTGTTTCCCTTCAAACAGACTCCAAACAATATTTGCTATTCCTTAAATAATGCAGTCTACAGAACCAATTAAATGGAGCAATCCTTTTGCTCACTGCTGTGGATTAAGCTGAAAGCCTCTGAGTGCCTGAAACAAGCAGTGTCCACATTGCTGCCTTACATTGAAGTTATCAACATTTACCTACTGAAGGGATGCAGCTCTGGCCTGCTTTAATTGCTTTAAGTCAAATCCTGCCTCTGTTGTCATAGTTCTCCGGGAGAATACAGATCCCTAGGCTAAGGTTTAAATGATTTTAATAAGAACAACAACTGCAAACCTTTAAAGATCAACAACAAGGTGAAGATTTTTAGGAAAGTAAACCCAAACAAAATTGGTCCAAAAATATTTGAGAAGTCTGCAACTGATGACTATGGGTGTAACAAAAACTGGTCAGATTGATTTTTTGTGTATATTTGGGCAAGCTGCTTCACATCTTTGGACCTAGTTTATCCTTCTTAAAAAGAAGGCTATTGAATATATATTTAAAACAAAGTTTCTAATATCATCTTGCCGAACTATAAGTGTAAGGGAAAGCATTTTTTGTGCCTAATAAATGTCAGGGCCTTCTTTTATGCATTTCTTAATACTTGGGCTAATCATTTAAGGCTTTTGACACTGAATTTGAGCCTCTGTTTTAATATGCATATGGGTTTTGTCCCCATCAGAAACTGGATGTACTAAAACACTGCACATTGACTGGGGGGCGGGTACAGTTTTCAGAGGTGGTGATGATACCTTTTTCATTCTTATTTTCAAAATAGAGACTGTAGCCTTCAAAAATATTTTGTAATCCCTCAGTGCTTTCCTTCTAAGATTCTTTGGGTCTCTGAAAGCCATGAGTGTTTGTATCTAAATAAGAATCTGGAGCTAGCCTAGAGATTCTGAAGCTTAAGGAATCAGTTTTCTTCTTTTGGGACTGTAAGGGAACAGGGAGACCAGCAAACCTTTTG
Organism: Homo sapiens; assembly: GCF_000001405.40. Lineage (NCBI taxonomy): Eukaryota > Metazoa > Chordata > Mammalia > Primates > Hominidae > Homo > Homo sapiens. The sequence goes on from NC_000003.12 coordinate 178,331,300, forward strand.
CAGAATGTTCTCTTCCCCTGATAGTGGAAAAAAAGAAAAAAAAAGGGCAGAAAAATCAGCAACATGATAATGAAATCTCAACAATGACCTTTAGGAAATGTTAAAGGGATAGTGGCAGTGACTGTGGAAAGGATTAGTTTTGAACAGGGTTAATTTTCCCTCCAAATCATACTTTGAAACATGAAGTGAAAGCAGTAAGTTTTGTGATCACAAAATAAAAATTGCCAAGAGCATATCATTCAAGGCTAAAAGTGCTGAGAACAGGAGAAAGTTTGAAATAGAATTATGTGTTTCTCAGATGTCAAGTACATAAGCTTCCATATGATCACAGACACAGTGCCATTTCAAAATGCTCCTAAAATGGATTCTATATTATTTTCCAAATTTAGAATTTGATATTTTTGCTAATTAAACAATGAGGTTGTATGTGAAAATTAAAAAAAAAAGACAGCTATGATTACAGGTCTTGCTGTGGCACTTTAAGTATATTTAATTCACTTTTCTTACAACAATTTAATAAATTAGGAAATATTTCAAAATGTAAATATAGGTTTTATCAATTTGCAAAGTGATTGCTTTGGTGGTGATAGATTCTTCTTAAACATCAAGTCATGACATCTATCTCATTCCTGACTGAAGTTCCTGGTCTATTTTGGTGAATGTACTATGTGTATTTAGGGTGGAAAAGTATATTCTGGAGTTGTTGGATTCTTGTTCTACAAATGCCAACTAGATCAAGATGGCAAATAGTGTTGTTTAGATCCTATAATGTTTACTAATATATTTTTGTAGTTGTTTGAAAATATTATTTTTATTACTCAAAAAGATCCCGTAAGATGAAAACAAAAATACCATGATATTAAAAGTCTTCACTGAAACCACATTTGGCAAAATGTCTACTTAAATTACATAGATTTACATAATTTTAATAATAATCATCAAAGAGTTTAACACTGAATTCACTTTACTCATTTTTCCTACAAATATATTTTGTATAGTTTCTTTTTTTTTCTTTTTGTAACTTTCATTTTAGGTTCAGAGGTACATGCACAGGCTTATTATAGGTAAATTGCATGTTACAGGGATTTGCTGCACAGATTATTTTTTCACCAAGGTAATAAGCATAGTGCTCAATAGATAGTTTTTCAATCCTCACTCTCCTCCCATTCTCAAGTAGGCCTCAGGGTCTGTTATTTTCTTCTTTGTGTCCATGTGTATTCAGTGTTTAGCTTCCACTTATAAGTGACAACATGCAGTATTTGGTTTTCTGTCCTGATTAGTTTGCTCAGGATTATGACCTCCAGCACCAACCATGTCACCACAAAGGACATGAATACATTCTTTTTTATGGTTGTGTGTTTCTCGTTTGCTTGGTTGATTTTCTCTATCTCTTTATTTTGAGCCTATCCATGTTGTTTCATGTGAGATGGATCTCTTGAAGACAGCACACAAATGAATTTTGCTTCTTTATCCAGCTTGCGATGTTGTGCCTTTTAATTGATGCATTTAGCCCATTGCCATTTAAGGTTAATATTGATAGTGCAGATTTAATCCTGTCATCATGTTTTTAGCTGGTATTATACATACTTGATGTGTAGTTGCTTTATAGTATCAATGGTCTATGTACTTAAGTGTGTTTTTGTGGTTGCTGATAATGATCTTTCCTTTCCATGTTTTGTACTCCCTTCACAACCTCATGTAAGGCATATCTGATGGTAATTCTTTCAGTATTTGCTTATCTGAAAAGGATCTTATTTCTCCTTTGCTTATGAAGCTTAGTTTGGCTGAATACAAAATTCTTATTTGGATTTTATTTTCTTTAAAAATACTGAATCTAAGCCCCCAGTCTCTTCTGGCTTGTAGGATTTCTGCTGAAAGGTCTGCTGTTAGCTTGATGGGGTTGCCTTTGTAAGCAACCTGTCCCTTCTCTTTAGCTGCCTTTAACATTTTTTCTTTCATTTCAACCTCAGAGAATCAGGTGACTCTGTGTCTTAGGAATGATCATCTTGTATAATATCTTGCAGGCGTTCTCTTCATTTCCTGGATTTGAATATTGGACTCTCTAGCGAGGTTGGGGAATTTTTCATTGACAATATCTTGAAATATGTTTTCTAAGTTGCGTGCTTTCTCTCCCTCATTTTCAAGGATGCCAATGCATCAGAAATTTGATCTCTTTACATAATCTCATGTTTCTTGGAGGTTTTGTTTATTCTTTTTATATCCTTTTTTCTTTATTTTTGTCTGACCAAGTTAACTTTGGAGAACTGGTCTTCAAGATCTGAGAGTCCTTCGTCAGCATGGTCTACTCTGCTGTTAATACTTGCAATTGTATTGTGAAATTCTCAAAGTGAGTTTTTCAGCTCTGTCACTCTATCACATCAGTTTGGTTCTTTCTTAAAATGGCCATTTCATCTTTCAGCTCCTGTATTGCATTATTGTATTCCTTAGCTTCCTAGGATTGGGTTTCAATCTTCTCCCAAATCTTGATCATCTTTCCTATCCATATTCTGAAGTCTATATCTGTCATTTCTGTCTTTTCAGCCTAGTTAAGAACCACCACTGAGGAAATGGAGTGATCGTTTGGAGGTAAAAAGACACTCTGGCTTTTTGAATTGCCAGAGTTTTTTGCACTGGTTCTTTCTCATCTTTGATATTACTGTCCTTTGGATGGGGATTTTGGCTTTTATCTTCTTTGATGCCCTGGGAGTTAGATTGTGGCATATGATGGGTTCAGTCAACTGGCTTCATTTATTTCTGGAAGATTTTAGAAAGCCAAGGCTCAGCTCTACACTGCTGGGCTGCATGTTTTAACTCTGGGAGGCTGGTACTGGGCCCCCAGCCTTGTTCTCTGGCCCCTCAAGGTTAGGAAGCTGCTGCACTGGAGAGACTGAGGTGTTCTTGTCCACTGGCCACCACACTCTGATGGGGAGGGGTGCTGGTCAAAGCATGTCACTGGAGTAGTGGCAGTGGGATCCATGCTGGCTCATGCATACCAGCAGCCACAGCAATGTGGCAAGGTGCACACATGTTGGCTTGCACAGAGCAACTGTGGGAGCAGGGAGGTGGTGTTCCTGCACATGTTTATGCCAGTGATGACAGCACAGCAAGGGCAGTACACTAGCAGAGATGGAGTTGCTGGTGTCCATGTATGCATTCACACCGGCAGCATTGGTGGCGGTGGTAGCAGGGGTTGGGGGGAGAACAGTGTTGCCAGCATCTGTGCACACATTAGTGCTGGCACAGGAGTGAACCTGCATGTTAATGGCAGGGGGAAGCAACAAGGTGGACTCATACAAGCACAGCGATGGAGAATGGCCATGAGCAAATGCATGTCAGTAAAGCATTACGGGAGGGCTGTGATAGGGTGAAGCTGTGCGTGGGCTGGTTCATGTAAGTGGGGCCTGGTCTGCTGGAGTTCTCTGATAATCAGGCACAGTCTGCCATTGAAGGAGCTAAGTCTGCCATTGAAGGAGCTATGATGAGGGTTCCTAGAAGCACCCCTGTTGGGTATCCAAGGCTGCACTTCAAGCAAGCACGACCAGACTGGCTCCCCAAGAGAGGCCAGCAGGTAACAGAGCATCAGATCAGGCATCAGGCCGCATCCCACGAGCAAGACTGCCCTGCTTTGTCTAGCTCTAACAGTCATATTGAGGCTAAAGTATCCTGGAGAAGCACAGTGAGCCTTGGAGGATGGCCGTCCCTGGATGTGCTTCACTGCAGCTGTTCTCCCACCACTCTGGGCTCTGCATAGGCTGGAGTCCTGCCCATATGACCTCTCTGAGCAGCTTTTCCTACCATCTCAGATGCCCATAGAGGTTGAGGGACCTACCAGAATGGGTCCATGGTGAGAGCAGGCCACTCCTCACCTGTAAACTCACCCTTCCCCCAGGAGTCTCTGAGGGCCAGGTACAAGTCCTGAGGCTCAGCCACACTATGCAGGGTTTCCAGCTTCCTCTCTCTTCAGCCCAGCATCTGCATCCTCTCTGCATCCACTCTTAATGTCTTCCATCAGAAGATCTACTCAGAGGTGTGTTATAGTCTTTCCAATGTCCCAGTCTCTCAGTGGGAGATATTTCTCCTGGCCACATCTAGTCAGCAATCTTGGCAATTCTCCATGGTTCTACTGACAAAACAAACAAACAACAACAACTATATATATATATATATATATATATATATATATATATATATATACGTATATATATATATATATATATGTATATTAGTTTCTAAGGGAGAGATTTTAAAATGATTGTCCAATTATTTATTTCTTCCTTTAATCCTGTTTTTGCTTTATATGTTTTAAGGTTTGTTATTAGGTGTATACATATTCATGATTATCATATGTTCCAAATCGATTAGCCTATTAACATTATAAAATAATGTTCTTTATATTATTAATGCTTATGTTAGTAATACTTTGTCTTCAAGTCTATTTTATCTGATATTAATATAGTTTCACTAGTCTTCTTATACTCACATTTTCTTATTGCATGATATATCTTTTTCTATCAATTACTTTTAACTTGTTTCTTTATATTAATGTGCTTCTCTTTGTGATAGAATAGTTTCATCTTCCTTTATTTCTAATAATCTCTGCCTTTTAATCAGAGTGTTTTTAATCAATATTTAATGGCATTATTGATTAGGTTAAATTTAGGTCTACCATTTTATTATTTGTTCACTGTGTATAACATTTCTCCCTCTTTCCCCATTCTTGTCTTCTTTTATTTGTAGTGTTTTAGAATTTAGCTTTTTAACTATGTCTATTTGCATTTTTTCTTTTTAAGCGGTTGCTCTAGGGATTTCTATGTGCACCCTATTTTTCTCAGTCTACTTAGAGTATTAATATTTAGAAACCTTGCAAAATAGTGAGTTCATTTATCCACACACTCTCCACTATGCTTTATGTAATTTTAACATCTGGGTTATCTCTAATTTGTCATCTGTTGTTTGCCTTTTTCTTTGCAATAAAGCCACATTTTTCTCACACACACATATGAGTAATTTTAGATTGTCTCCCGGAAGTTGTGAATGTTATGTTGTATAGACTCTATTGTATTATATTGTTTTAAGGAGTATTGTTTTGTTTCAGCAGGCAATTCACTTAGAATCATATTGTCAATTCTCATGCCTGTGGTGGGTGGTAGCTCAGATATCAGATCAATTCTTAAATTTTTAGATGTACACAATTTTCAGTTTGTGTCATAAACAACAGGTTCAAGAGTCAGCCAGTGACAGGCTGAGTTAAACCAGGAGACTTGGGGTTCACCTTCTCTGTGCCTCAGCTTTCTGAGTACCTTCCTTTATTCTCTGGTAGCCTTGGCTGTTTGATCTCCCTTGATGGCCAGAAGGACCGGGTTCTCTATCACAGATTTGCATTTGTTTTTGCTTTCAAGGCAATGCCTATGGCCACTGTCAGAGAAAAGTCACAAAATCCAGGGAACTCATTTTATGCCAGTCACTTGCTACAAGTTTCTACTCCAATCCCAAATCTACCACCACTGTTCAACCCCTAGAGTCCTCTGTTAGATTCTATTGTTGCAGATTTGTTTTTCAAATTTTATAGCTGTTATTTATAGAAGAAATTGGCCTTTTAGGCACCCACTCTTCCAAGCCAGAAGGCCAAATTCTCATTAATTTCTTTGTTTCCCTTCCTCTTGAAGGAAGGGCCTGAGAATCATTTAACTCCAGTTATCCACTTCCAAAAGCATACGCTGCTAAGTCTTACATTTTAATTATCTTGATGTTTTAAACTCCACATTACATCATTCTTATTGTGTTATGCTTTCAATATTAATTCAGCTCCACAATACATCTTTCTTATTGTTTTATACTTTCAATATTAGTTCACCTTTACTTTTCTATGTACTTTTCTTGATTCACTACACTTCTTTCTATATTTCTGAGCTCTATCTTAGCTTATTTTCTTCTGCCTGAAAAAAAATTATTAGCATTTTCTTCAGTGATGGTACACTGAAAAATTTTCTCATTTTGTTTGTCAGAAAGTGTCTTTATTTTACTCTCACTCTTCAAGAATATTTTCAATAAATTATAGTTACAGGTTTGCAATTATTTCATTTCCCCATTTTGACAATACCATTTATTTTCCTTCCTGTCTTTATTATTTCTGTTGAAAATTTGGCTTTCATTCTAATTGTTGTTCCCTGAAAATAATTTATTCATATAATCTATATTAATATTTTTTCTTCAAATTTAGCTTCAATACTGCTATGATCATAAGCCTGCATGTGACTTTCTTTTAAATGTTTCTACTTGGGATTTGTAGGATTTGTAGGCTTCTAAGCTTGATGCTTTTCCTCAATTAAAAACAAATTATTTATCATTACATTCTCTAATATCATTTCTGTCCTATCCTCTCTTCCTTTTTATTTTGGGATTAGATTATATATAAGCAGACCTATACACTGTCTCTCTTTTTTTCTCTTTATATTTTCTAGACTTATATATAATTTGTTTTGGTATTCGAAATTTATTTCTAATCTGTAATCTAGTTCACAAATTCTCTCTTGTCTGCCGTTAATTCCACTATTTGAGTTTTTCACTTTGGTGTTTAAGTTTCTCAATTACAGAATTTCAATGTGGTTCTTCCCAGTTTCAAGCTTAAATTATTTTATTCCTGCCCTTAACTTCTTAATTTAGTGAGCATACTTATTTTAAAACCTGGAATTGACAACTTCCCCCAGTGGTTCTGTTTCTGTTATTATCATTATTGATATTACTTTCCAGTCATGTTATTTTTACAACTTATATAACTAGCATTTTGATTTCATGTTTTAAATATTGTATTTTCATTTTTAAAATGTCAGCCTTAATTTTAGATACAGGGGTACATGTACATATTTGTTACATGGGAATATTGCCTGATGCTGAGATTTGGAGTATGGATCCTGTCATCCTGGTACTAAGTATAGTACTCAATGGGTATTTTTTGTAACCCAGCCCCTCTCCCTCCATCCTCTAGTAGTCTGTAATGTTTATTGTTTCCATACTTATGTCATGTGTGCTAGTATTTTCAAAACTTTGTAGATAGTTTGAGTAATAGAAACATTTTGTTTTTCCCGAAAGTATTTAAATTTTTATATTCAGAGTACCTAGCCATCTGGGATTACTCAAAGCTGAGATGCCCACAAAGCTGAACTGCAGTCCCTGCAGAAGCCATCTTCTTCTGTATCACAGTTACTCTCTAGTGAGGCTTTTTAGAGTTCCATCTCAGTGTAAGGAAGATGCATCAGGACTTTTACTGGTGTGCCTTGTACCCAGAGGTTTTTACTCTAGCCTTGAGGCTATCAAATGAGCCATCCATCCTTTTATTCTTTCAGCTCCCTCATAGATTTTTTTACTTACTCCCAGGTGAAATATAACTCAAATTCCTCTGATTTTCAACCTTTCCACACATCCCAGACTGATAATTCCTCACTATTATGCTATCTCCCTATTACTTTCAAGCAAAATTTTTTATATATCGACAAGATTTTCAATTGACTTCTAGGGGATAGTTGGACCAAGTTACCCAATCTGCCATTATAGGAAGCAGAAATGTAAAGTTAAACATTTTTTTAAAAATTTATACTATAAGAAGACAACTATTATTTAACTATAATAATATTATTTGATGGGGTAATTACAGCAAGTTAGGGAAATAATCAAATACCACCTGCGATAGTCAAAATAATCAAATCTATGCACTTTATCAAAATTTTTAAATTAGCATAATTTACTGTTTTTATAAGAAAGGATTTTTTTCAAAGCATTATTTATACACACTACAGAGTATTCTTTATTTAGACATATCATGACTTACCCTACTGTATCCCTCTTTCACAATAAATATCATTCTGCACAAATCATTATATTTGCTAGCAGTTTGGGTTATTAGTTTTTCCTTTCATTTAGAAAAATGGCTGTTGTATTTATTTAATATAACCAGCAAATATTCATTGCTTAGTTCTATTTTACTAATTTCTTTTATAAATATTATTATTCTGTTTTTCCATAAGTTTGACCTTTTTTTCTGACTTTCTATCTTAAATGCTCAGGTCACATATTTCTACTGGCTTTCATTTTAAAAAAATGTGTTTAAGGCCACAGCTATGTCATGGTTACACTGTTATGTTGTTCATTTCTAATATAATTCATTATGTTATATCCTGTTTATTATGTTTTGTTGTTAAATTTCTATATATTTTACAACTATCATTATTTTACTCTTTTACCTGAGGGTACTTTACAATGACTAATTTTTCACACGACTCAAAAAAGTTTATAATTCTGACACTCCTGACCTATGACCACAGACAATGGGCATGAGATTTAAAATTATATTATATAACAAAAATGTGTCATTTTGATTTGATAGTAAATGTTTAATTTAACCTTTTCACCCTTAAACCCTATTTTATTTTGCTCTATTGTATTGCTCACTCCAAAGAAAGCGGTTGCCATGTTGTGTGGATTTGCAACCTACCAACAGTAAAATGAGAGGGCTTGGAAGCAGATTCCCCTGCAGCTGAGCTTGAGATGACTCCAGACCTGGCCAGTACCTCGATTACAACCTTGTCAGTGACCCTGAGACAGAACCATTCAGCTAAACCACCCCAGGTGGTTATAGTCTGTGAGAAAAACAAATGTTTGTTGCTTCAAGCCACTAAGTTTTGGAGTAATGTGTTACACAAGAAAGAGATAACTAGTATACATCTCATTTCTTTTCTACCAATATTAAATAATTAATAAAATTTCAAGTGACAAGGTAACACATAGGAAAAAGAGGGTATGGCTAAACCAAGATGTTTAAAACAAAATTACGGTCAAGTCTCAATTGTGTATAAGTAAGGAAATAGAAAGTACTAATCTCTCCAGATATGATGATAAGAAACCTGGATATCTGTCCATGGGGTCAGGAAATAAAAATCCAATGTTGAGAACCAAAGAAGATGAATGGAGTTAAATGAATAGTTTATGACTTCCCAAATGCAGTTCACCTGAACCAAGTTCATGGCCACGGCCCAACCTTCACCACCTTATACCTTATTGAGTTGTATCACAGAAGTGTCGTTGGCTTACTTGCAGACTGCTGATTGAAATCTGCTCTGCCGTCAAGCTTCAGGTTCATGGCAGTGCACTGTATTCCAATCTCTTTTGTCCTTACATGTATTTAACACGAGGAATTATGGTTTAAATTGAACCTAAAAGCTAAAATTTCTGTGACAGATATTTATTTAAAGCCAAATAAGAAATGCTATGCTCTGTCAAATCCTTTGGGAAGAATCTTCAAGAGAATTACATTTCCTGCTGTGTGTTTTATCTCTTTCACAATACAAAAGATGGGACTTTTCCTTTTGGGGTGTTTTAAGATCTCTGACATCTGGTTTAGAAAGTGATGAACGTGCAACTTCAGTAATATCTTGCTTTTGTCACAGGAAACATCAATAGACAGAACTATGCCTGTGACGTTCATACTAGTGCACTCTATCATAACAACATTTTTGTTAAAATTTGGACTTGGTCCTGTCACTTGACTTGTGGAGAATGGGTTATCTTGTTTCAAAAATCTTTGCCAACTATCAGTCATCATTAGTGAAAACATCTTTTTTCTGCCCCATACTAATAATTCAATATACATACTTTCTCAATCACATCTTTGTTGTCTTGTTCCCCCTCATCCTCCTTTGCTCCAATTTTTCATTTTAGTATAGCTGTTCCAATTTCTGGTGCCTTTTGAAAAATTGTCATAAAGCTTCCTGTCTCTCTGTTTTTATTCTCTGACCTTGGCTAACTGGAAGTCCTGAAACCTAAAACAGATATTTTTACTTCTACTTGTAAAAAGACCACCTATGAATAACTATAAATGTATGATTATAAACAAGAGAGGCATTTGGGGAGACATTCCTTAGCAGACTCCTCTTATAAAGCAGTGCAACATATTGCATAAGGGCTCAGGCTTTGGACACAGGTGGATATGGGCTTACGTTCTAGTTTTGCTATTTAACTGTGTGACCATGGGGAGAGTTCTGTATGTTCTCCAGGTATCAGGTTCCTTATATATTAAATGGTATTTGCCTAGAATATTACTTTGGGTTTTAGATATAATGATGTATGTAAAGTGTTTTTAAAAAGAGCTTGGAATATAATAAATGCTCAGAAATTATCAGCCCTACCTCTCCCAGGAAAGGCTGGTTTTGGTTATGCTATCATATCATAGGTTTTTCTACAATAATGAGATAGATAACTTTTTCTTTTATTGGATATAGAATGAAGAAATTTAGCCCACAAGACAAGCATATTAAGGGAACTATGTGGCCTTTTTAACAGGGTTTACTTCAGGTCCACAGCAGTATATGTGAACACACTGTTGACTGATAAGGGATGTAAAAACTACCTCTTAGGCCCGGTGCGGTTGCTCACACATGTAATCCTAGCCCTTTGGGAGGCCAAGGCAGGTGGGTCACTTGAGGTCAGTAGTTCAAGACCAGCCTGGCCAACAAGGTGAAACGCCATCTCTACTAAAAACACAAAAAATTAGCCAGGCGTGGTGGTTCCTGCCTGTAATCCCAGCTACTCAGAAGGCTGAAGCAGGAGAATCACGTGAACCCAGGGGGAGAGGTTGCAGTGAGCTGAGATCACGCCATTGCACTCCAGCCTGGAGGAAAAGAGTGAAACTCCATCCAAAAACAAAAAAACGAATAACAACAACAAAAAACACCTCTTATTAAGTTCCTGATCTATGTGAAGAAATGTATGATAGCCATTAGATAGAAAGATAGATGATGATGATAGATGATAGATGGATAGAAAGAAATGGAGTCATGAGATCACAGAATTTGAAAAGTTAAGAAAGCTTAAATAATTGGTAATGCAACCCCTAATTTTACAGATGAAAGGAAAGATACGATGCTGAATTTGCAAGAACACAATTGTCTCAGATTCCTTTCTCATGTTATTTCCACTACACCAAAATGTTGACTGCAGACATTTCCACAGAATCTTGCAAACAGCACTAAAGAATTCATTTGCAACTATTTGTACAATGCAAAATATTTCAAGAATTTGAAATCGAAAGACCTCTTACAGAAGTTTATTGAAGATTGTTACTTTTTGATAAAGCAAAATATTTTGCCTAAACTAGATATACACCTGCATTTGAATCTATTTCATTGTCCTACCAGACAATAAATGGCCTTTGAAGGTAAAAATGGATTTACTACTTAAAATCATTCAAGCATATGCAGTCAGAACTGTGGAAAGCAGTAAGTGCAGTTATCAAGTAAAATTCCCAAAGTGTATAACCTTCTCTCATCCAGCATGTTAAGCCTTTTGGCAAAGTTTATTAGCATTTTAAAAACACTAAAATGAAAAATAAAGTCTCCCTACTTTTAGAATAAACTAAAATATACTGAATACCAATGCTTCAGGAACTTTAAGAAACACTTTCAAAGGGGGAGGACACAGCCACGTGGAACAGCTCCCACACAGGGCCTGAGACAGTTGGCGTGCTTTTAACAGATCTTCAGAGGGACGGTATTGAGAATGGACAGAGGGAAGACCCAGAAGCTAGACTGAAGGGGGAGAAAGCTGGAAACTCTGCACAAGGCTACTGTGCACCAGAACTCATTTTTGGACCATAACAGCACTAGGGGAATGGGTGAGTTGAATTGGTAAGGAGCAACCCACTCTTGCCACAGGCCTCTGGAACCCCAGCATGAGGAGACCCCTTGACTACCACTGACACATGAGTTGGCAGAGAGACCTGCTTAGAGAATTTGAAAAATTAAGAAACCTTAGAGAAGCGGTAGGGGCAGAAGCCAGCTGATGGGGAAATCAGAGGGTTTGGTGTGAGAACATCTGCAGCAGAGCATGTCCAGGGACAGTCATCTTCTTAGGCCCAAGTTGCTCCCACTGAGACTTCAGCCCTCGGGGAGCTGTTGGACCTGATCTCTGCAGGGTGGTCTTGCCCATCAGATGGGGCTGGTCAAATCTAAACATCCTTTGGTCTGCTGTCCTCTCCTGAGACCCCAGCCTGGCCATGGCTGCTTGCAGGGCAGTCTTGGGTACCCTTGGGGCCTGAACAATAGCTTCTGTGCTGGTTGACCATGACCAGTGGAGAACTCCAGAGAGGCGGCCCCTATGGTGGTACATCAGCCAACCTGCTCCCTCCCCGTACTGCAGTTTCCCCTGTGACCGTGGTAACTCCCTACATTGCTTTGCTGGCACCTGTCTGCATAGGCAGGTTTGCTTTCCTTACCCCACCCAGGCAAAGGAGTTCAGTCTGCCCGCCCTTCCCTTACTGCCCTGCCATTGTAGACAAAGCCTTGGTGGGCACAGAGCCAGCAAGGCTCACCACCTTCCTTGTAATAACATTGCACAGAGAACAGCAGATCCTCCTCCACCCTGAGCAATCACTCCTGCTTGTGGGGTACAGAGAAAGCACCCAGACCTGAACTTGCCAGCACCTCACCCCGAAGCCAACACCACCTACAGCACAACCATGTGCAGTCTCCAGCATGGGCCCCTGCCAACCCAGCTGCATTGCCTCCACCACTGTGGTACATGCCTGCAGGGAGGCAGGCACTCTGGCACCCACTAGCACTCTACCATAGCTGCTGCACCTCAGCTCCCTCAGTGCAATGAATTCCAAACCTCAAGGATCCAGATCCAAAGAACAAACTCAAGGCCCAAGTCCCCCAGATTTAGAGCACACAGTCCAGGAGTTGGGAGCTAAGGAATGACCACCTAAAGTCTCTCAGAAAGAAAGCCAGATGGCTGAATCCACCTTCTACTACAATCAAACCCTCAAGGTCACCAAACAGGATAAAAGAAATAAAACCCATTTGAAGGTCAACAACCTCCAAGATTGAAGGTAGATAAGCTCTCAAAGATAAAAAAGAATCAGCAAGATAACTCTGAAAACTCAAAATGCTGGAGTGCCTTCTTTCCTCCAAATGACTGCATCACCTCTCCAGCAAGGGTTTTGAACTGAGCTGAGATGGCTGAAATGACAGTAATAGAAATCAGAATATGAATAAGAAAAAAGGTCATTGAGCTACAGGAGTATGTTGAAACCTAATGCAAGGAAAGTAAAAATTACGATAAAACAATGCAGGAACTGACAGACAAAATAACCAGTATAGAAAAGAATATAACAGACCCAGCAGAGCTGAAAAACAGTACAAAAGTTTCATAATGTAATCACAAGTATTAATAGCAGAATAGAACAAGCAGAGAAAAGAATCCCAGAGCTTGAATACTGGCTTTCTGAAATAAGACAGCCTGACAAAAATAAATAAAAAAGGATGAAAAGGAACCAACAAAACCTCCAAGAAATATGAGATTATGTAAAGAGACCAAATCTTCAACTCATTGGTGTCCCTGAAAGAGATGGGGGAGAATGCCAACTTGGAAAACATATTTCAGGATATCATCCATGAGAACTTCCCCAGCCTAGCTAGAGAGGCCAATATTCAACTTCAGGAAATACAGAGAACTCCAGTAAGTTACTTCACAAGAAGATCATCCCAAGACACATAATTATCAGAGTTAAAATGAAAGAAACATCAGCTGGCTTCTGCCCCTACCGCTTCTCTAAGGTTAGTCAAATGTTAAAGGCAGCTAGAGAGAAAGGTCAGCTCACCTACAAAGAAATTTCATGTTCATGGGTAGGAAGAATCAGTATCATTAAAATGGTCCTACTGCCCAAAGCAATTTATAGATTCAATGCTGTTCCTATTAAACTACCATTGAGAGGAGGAAGGAGAGGATCAGAAAAAAATAACTAATGGATACTAGACTTAATACCTGGGTGATGAAATAACCTGTATAACAAACTCCCATGACACAAGTTTACCTGTATAACAAACACACACATACCCCTTAACTTAAAAGTTAAATAAAGACACACTTTCACATACATCATCTTAATCTCATGACTCTAAAAAGCTAGTGGAAATCTTTATTTAACTGATGATGAATTTAAGGTTCACAAAATTAAGTTACTGATCTACAATCACATAAATATAAATGATAAATATAAATATAAATCACATAAAAATAAAAATATAAATAAGAGAGCCAGGTCTCCAACCTGAGTCTCAATTCCAAATGCCATACATTTGACTATAATTATTTCAGAAAGCCTCTTGAATTTTTGGTTTATGTGTTTGTTTTACCACAAAAAGTCAATATTAGAGAATGTTCAGCAAAATGGAAACAAATTTAATATGATCCTATTACCTGGAATAACTTTTCTATTTTTCATGTGTTCCCCAATGATATTTATCCAAAAGCATTCATAATTTTACACAGCTCTAATCCCAGTGTGTGTTAATTTTTATTAAGATTTTGACTTACTTAACATGCTACCATGATTTTACATATGCTTTTTGCTATTTTCATGATTGTATAATATTTAATTACTTCATTGGACAGTGATTCATTCTAGTTTCCACTAATATTGGATAATTAATACAGTAAAAAACAATTTTGTACATATAGCTTTCTACTTTTGTTTCAATATTTCTTTATGCTACATTTCCAAGAAATTAAGACTCCTGAATTAAGAGCAGATTTTTAAATGTCTTTTTATAGTATCGACAGCTTGCTTTCCAAATGCATTATATAAATTTACAGTGTATTATTGCATTTGGTGTTCATAACACCCCACAATCACAAAGTTCTAGTGAACCCACGATTTTTGGGAATTTAGCGAGATTCACAGTAAGTACAAGGTAAGTGTATTAATCTGTTTTGTGTTGCTGTAACAGAACACCACGCACTGGGTAATCAATAAAGAACAGAAATTTATTAGCTTACCAGTCTGTAGGCTGGAAAGTCCAAAGTCAAAAGGCCAGTATCTAGTGAAGGCCCTATTGGTAAGTCCACCCCATGGTGGAAGGCAGAAGAGCAAAAGGGGGCAAGAGAGAGAGCAATAGGGAGTAAATCCACTTTCATGATAAGGAACACAATCCTGTGATAATGGCATGGTCTATTCATGATCTAATCACCTCTTATAGGTCCTACCTCTTCATACGGTTACAATGACAATTAAATTTCAATGTGGGTTTTGGAGGGGACAAACATTCAAACTATCACAGTTACCTTATTAAGCTTCTAACTAAATGAGGGTACCAACAATCTTCAGAGGCCACACTTTTCAATCAAACCAGAACTTGTTTCCAATGTAGAAAGAATGCAGTACATTCTGAGAAAGATGGATCGACAGGTAACTCTGTCATATTCTTTCTTACTGGTGTTCCTTTCCTATAATAGCCAACAATGATGAGAGTAAGAAAAGGAAAAACAGGGCAACTTATAGTTCCTTTTTTTTTCAGTCCTTCCTTACTCATAAGTAAGCTAAAGATAGTGTTGACAGAATGTGCAAGTGTCAAGAAATGAAATAAAAACAGCTAATTAAGGTTGTGCATGATTTCCACTCTTTGGGTGAGAATAAAAAAAGTTCATGTATGAACTATGAAATACAGACTGTTCAAATTTGTGATTCTGCATATAAACAAAATGTTTTTATATTTGCATATAAAACTGTCATTTTGCAATTTAAACAGTAAAGTTCATGCTAATAATATAAAAATTTAATTTTTTTTTTTTTTTTTGCTTAGAGCAACATTAAATAGCAAACGTGAAACACCACGGCAAGTCAAGAGACAGACCATGGAATGGAAAAAAAAGCTTTATATTTTAGTACTTTAGTGGCACCTTTTTCCTGCTTTTTGAACAAGGAGCTCCACATTTTCATTTTGCACCGAGCCCTGCAAATGATGTAGCTGGCCCTGTCTTTAAGTATTGAGAAGCTGTCAAGTTTATAGTGGTGGATACACATTTTCAAACTTCTGATTTTAACTGAAAAGCTCAAATTTTATCATTGGCCACAAATACTGTCAGTTTTGTTCCTTGAAGTGACAAGCTCACTTCACCCTTTTTTGAGAAAATGTCTGCCAAATTCCCTAGTCTGAATAACCAGTTTCCTTCAAGAAAAAAAATAACATTTCATGAAAAAAAGGGGCCAGTTCAGCTCTCAACAATGCCACAGCCATACAACTACCCTTTCAATGTAGCAGAAATGCTTTATGCATACTTCCTACTTACACATAATATTAAAAAGACATGTAACCAAAGATCAAGATTTAATAAAAATTCATAATTTTAATGCTTCTTCCAATACATTTGTAAGTAAAACTTGCTTTTTTTTTTTCTGTATGTGCTTGGCAACAAAGAATACAATGTCTACCAGTATCGTTTTTTTTTTCCACATTGCCTTGATTCATGCTATATATCTAGCAGTTTTCCCTATGATGGTATATGCATTATCTGTGCAAATGTCAACACAGCAAAAAATATAAATAATTTTTAGTATTATTATGAAAATAATTTTGATTTCATAGACCTCCAAAAAGGTTCTCAGAGGCCTCCAGATGTCCATAGGTCATACTTTGAGAATCACTACATTAGCTAATTCATTGTAACAGGGAGAATAAAATAAACCAAAGAAAAGTAATTTGTATTTAAAACAAAATTTTAAATTATGCTTTACTAATATGTAATATACAAATGGACACTGGCATCATCATTTTTGCATGTCAAATGCCTATTAATCATATATAATAGATAAAATATCCCAGGGGAAGAATAAGATTTCCTCAACCCCAAAATGTTGACAGATTACTCATTTGTTCTTTCATATTTTGATTTATCATGTCAAGTGGATTGCCAAAATTATGCATTTCTGCTAATCCTCACAAAAGTGGTCACATGATTTTCAAATATTTATGCAAGAAAACAAGGGGCTACAAATAATAGAGCACAAGAAAATAAAAATAAAATGGCAAAACCAGCACTTCTACTCCTGAAGTGAGCTCTTTGTCGGTCACATTCTTAGGTAAGAATCAGTGATGAACTCATCAGCGATAACAAGAAGCCAGTCAAAAGTGTTGAAAATTATCAAAAAGATGATTTGATAATAAATGATCAATCTAACCCTAAAAAGTGTACAGTGTAACTTGTACACACTTAAGACAGTAACACATATATACATAAATAATTATTAAAAAATAAAATTATGTAAATAAAATGAAAAGTACTGTCAATTATGACTCCACTAGAAACTAAAGTTATTATTAATCTAGTTATACACACATGAGATTGATAAAGAAGAAAGATGTGAGGGTGAAATTTATGTGTCAACTTGACAGGGCTGAGGACACCCAGATATCTGGTATAATGTTATTTCTGAGTGTGTCTGTGAGAGTATTTTTGGAAGAGATTTGCATTTGAGTCAGTAAACTGAGTAAAAAAGATGCACCCTCACCAATGTAAGTGGGTATCATCCAATCCATTGAGGGCCCAAGTAGAACAACAATGCAGAGGCAGAGGAAATTCTTTCACTCTCTTTTTGAGCTGGGAGCTCTTCTCAAGCCGTCTTCTCTCAGCCTTAGACATCATAGTTCCTGGATCTCCACCCTTCAGACTTTAGAATTTATACCATCAGTTCTACTGCTTCTCTGGCCTTGGTGTGTCCAGAATTGGTTCCTTCCAGTGGGTTCTTGGTCTCGCTGACTTCAAGAATGAAGCCGCGGACCCTCGTGGTGAGTGTTACAGTTCTTAAAGATGGTGTGTCTGGAGTCTGTTCCTTCAGATGATCAGAGTTTCTTCCTTCTGGTGGGTTCGTGGTCTTGCTGACTTCAGGAGTGAAGCCACAGGCCTTTACAGTGAGTGTTACAGCTCTTAAAGGTGTCACATCCGGAGTTGTTTGTTCCTCTCAGTGGGTTCGTTGTCTCGCTGACTTCAGGAATGAAGCCGCAGACCCTCGTGGTGAGTGTTACAGCTCATAAAGGTAGTGTGTACCCAAAGACTGAGCAGCAGCAAGATTTATTGTGAAGAGTGAAGGAACAAAGCTTCCACAGAGTGGAAGGGGACCCAAGCGGGTTGCTGCTACTAGCTTGGGTGGCCAGTTTTTATTCCCTTATTTGGCCCCACCCACATCCTGCCGATTGGTCCATTTTACAGGGTGCTGATTGGTCCATTTTACAGAGTGTTGATTGATGCATTTACAAACCTTTAGCTAGACACAGAGTGCTGATTGGTGCGTTTTTACCGAGTGCTGATTGGTGCATTTAAAATCCTTTAGCTAGACACAGAGTGCTGATTGGTGCATTTTTACAGAGTGCTGATTGGTGCATTTACAATCCTCTAGCTAGACAGAAAAGTTATCCAAGTCCCCACTGGACCCAGAAGCCCAGCTGGCCTCACCTCTCACTGGGACTGAGACTGAATTATACCACTGGCCTTTTTTCATCTCCAGCTTGCAGGTGGCATGCTGTGAGATTTCTTGGCCTCAATAATCACATGAGCCAATTATCATAATAAATCTCCTCTTAAATATCTATATACATCCTATTGGTTCTGTCTTTCTGGAGAACACTAGCTAATACAGTAAAGTACTCTAACTGAAAACTAACCAAAGGAAAACAAAAGACTGGTAAAATAATACTAATATTAGACAAAATAGATTTAAGAAAAATTATTAAAAATACAGAATAGCATAAAATTATAATAAAAAGCCCACAAGGAATATATAGTAATCATAGATGTGTACCATTGAAGATATATTCTTGAAATGTATGAAGCAAAATTAACATTATGGAGAAATAGACAAGTCCACAAGTAAAAAATAAATTAGATTTTCAGATTCTCTTTCTGAAATTTGTAGATAAATCAGCTAAAAATAATTAAGGACATAGAAAAAGTGACCTACACTATTAGTAAGAAAGTGTTTATAAATTTTACAATATCCAATAAAGTTAGATACATTTTTATTTTTCTGCCCCAGAATTACCAATTATGAGCATTCATTTAAATGTTATAATACAGAAAAAATGGAAACAAACTAAAGGTTGGCTAAAAGGGAACATAATAACATGTATGCAATTATTAAAAATAGACATGTCATTACAATATTTTTAAGCAAAGAAAAAAGACAGTACAATGCATATAATTTAATATGTGAATGTAAAAAAATACACAGGTACATATCAACAAAACATGTTTTAAAATAAATTTACAAAACACTCACTATAAACTGTTGAGAGTAGTAGCCCTTGAAAAAGAGTGAAGGAGAAATTTGAATTTTACTAACATACATGTATATTGTTTGAATTTTTTGAAGGCAAGAAAGTATTTAAATATTAACTATATAATAGAGATACAGAGAGACCAAGGGAGAAAACGTGGACAGATCCCTAACTAACTTCAGGCTGCTGCAACAAGAACAGATAAGAAGCTCTGTACTGGCAAGAAAATGGGAAAATAGGTGTTTCTATAAACTGTGAAAGTGTAAATTAATATAATAGAAGGAAATTTGTCATGACTATTGATCTCTGATTTATAATGTAAATGTTTTCTGGTCAGTGGCTGCATGGCAAGCTATGATAAATCAAACTCGATTATTATAGAAACAAAAGTGGAAGTCAATTCATACAATACCAAAATTAATGTAATTTAAAGAAAATGTGTGCAAGTATTAGGCATATATAAGTTAAATTATAAATGCATTTTGAGTGGGTAGGCTGGGAAACCGTTATCCCAAGGAATGGAATGCCTCAGACATAAAATATAAATCTGATGAAACTGGACTGATCATGCTTTTTGCCCCAGTAAATCTTCCTTTAGCAATGATTACTCATTGCTGTGAAGAAATCCAAACAAATTCTAAGAAATGGGATTTTATTCTCAGTTGATTAGATGTACATGAATAACTTTGAGTTTAAATAGTGTAGGAAGAGATAATTATTCATGGAAGCATTTTCAACAAATGTTTACTAGGCAAACGGCAAATGTCTCTAATAAGAGTGGCAAAGAATGGCTGGCACTAAACTTAAAATTTTCTTGTGAAGAAATACATTTTCCCCTGCAAAACACAACATGAAAACGTTATCAGGAGTACAGCCACAGTGAGCCAGAGAAGAGAAAATTGTGCTATCACAACAATGTTTACTTGGCCTCAATACAGTATACTCTGGATTTAAAATGTAATAAAATGGCTGTAAAGAGCTAGGGAATGGGTCAGTCATTATTAGACCAAAATAATTGTGTAAGTTTATATTTAAAGACTATCTAGAGAATAATATTTTAAAAAGGAAGAATTTTGCAAAAAGGATTGAAGAGGATGAGAAAATGAAATAATTGTTTGTCTTTACATACAGGTCAGAAAAAAAGATTAATGAAAGCAAGGCCTGAAAAAAAAAGGAAGAAGAAAATGAGATTTTGTACCCTTGCATAAGCAAAAGACAAATAAGCCCAAATTTTAAAACACATTTATACACAAATTATTAGCACCAGTAAGTACAGTAAAACATTATGACAACTAACCTGTAAAAAATACTTTTTTCTAAGTAGAAACAATGTCAATTTAATCTTAATACACAGTTTAGAAAACAAAAATTGTGAGCTCTTAAAATGAAGATATTAAAAATAAAAAGTAATTATTAGAAAATGCATTTTATATTATCAACAAGATATGCTACAGAACTCCATTTCAACGAAATAAACAGATTCTGATTTCATACATGAACGCTTCGGAAAAATCAGCCAATCACAAATCGTAATTTGACTAAATTGGTCCTTTCTTAAAACCAAAGTAAGTGAATCAACTCAATAAAAGTAATCAAACTTTTTTCCTGCCATAAAAGAGGGCTACAATTAATGAATAAATAAGTGGTAAATTGATGAACGAATGGATGAGGGTAAACATATTTCAATTAACATTAAATACAGATGCAGTCACTAAAAATATTTTTTAAAAATGTGAAATAATAAGGAATAATAAAAACAAAACTAACGTTCTATAAAAATAACCCTCAAATAACAACCAAAATATAATTTGAAACACATGGAAAGTACAGGACATTGAGAAGGGAAGCAAATAAATAGAGAAAAACAAATAATATTTTTTTCAATACAAGGGGAAAGTATAGGGTATCACACACTAAAAAGAGAACCAAGTGTTTAGTTAACCCTGGCCCATTTCTTCTTAAGTTCATTCAAACTAACTGAGAGGTACAGCTGCTGATGCAGTAATTGATGAACACAGATCAAACAGGATTTTTAAGTCATGGGGCAGGTGCTGACAGCCCAGGATGATGGCTGAATATGACAGAAATGTCAAGGGAAAAATATCAAATTTCTTGCATCTCTATACACTGAAATAGTTGGATGTTTCCTTCTCAGCATGAGGATGTTCAAATTGAGAATTTATTTCACAGATTGAAACATTACTCCTGTTTTATTCTGTCTGCATTACATTAGGAAGAATCTCTCATATAAAGCCAATTTTATTTTTTTAAATCTCAAGGCAATAAGCCTTAATTATTCCCTGTAGATTGACAATTTTAGAACAAATGTCGTACGATAGTGTGTGACAGTGAGCTAGAAGCTGGTTAAGTTAATGGGCAGCTGGCCTATTATCAAGGCAAGGAAATTCTTTGGCTGTGCGTCATTAGACTTTACCCTGCTCCCTCCTTAGACCCTGTTGTTAAAAAAAAAATCACAGAAGCATGGAAGCTATGCAGCATATGCAGGGGAAATAGTTGTGATAAAGTGTTGTCTTTTAAATTCCACAGGAAAAAAGCATAAACACTATGATTACTGGCATGCAAAACACATACACATTTTTAAAAAGATTAAAAGAGAATATTTAAATATTAACAGATGGGTTGTATAAAATTTTTTCAGAATTTGCTAAATTTTTAGTTGATTATATAGTCATTAAGTTTTAAAAATCACGTGTAAACACATTTAGATCTAAGATCATTTAGACTGAAGACTACTTGGGCTTCATAAAAAAAACTGTATAACTTGAATTCTTGCCAAAGGCTTCAAATTTAAAAGAGAAAAAAAAACTAAGTACATGTTTCTAATTATCTAATGATGTAGAATACCCTTACCAAATTATCACTTTACTTGCCTTAAATTTCTACCTTCAAATTGCCTATATTAGTCTAAATTTTAATATAAAATTAGTATATAAAATGCCTCTAATAAAATTTAGTCAATAAATTATAGTTGTTTTGTTTTGGTTTTGGCTTTACTCTTTTTTTTTTTTTTGGCTTTACTCTTACAGTGAAACTAGATATGCTAGCCAAGATGACAGGCATCATAGCTTCTATTCATATGGAGGCAATTAAAAGAATACAATTTATAAAATACTAGGAAACCACATGAATGCTAAACCATACAATACCATAAGAGAATAAGACAGTATCAAAGCTTTTTTCACAAACCCTCTCCCCATAAACTTCCATAGAGAGGAACAAAGCTAAGTGCCAGGGAGATTGTGTCCATCACCAACAGACATCTATTCAGTTGTATATTAACATTTTCATCCCTCTGTTTACATAATGGCCTGCCTGCTAGCTATGTTTGTGCTTATTTTTCTGAGATGTGTAATAAACATTATTAACTTTCTTACATATAGCAAGTTTTAAAAGGCAGTAAAAATACTGTCAGTTGTAGGAGGCAGTAGAGTATGATTACTGATACTGTTATTTTGATTTAGTAAACTGATTTCTGAATAGCCTATTTATAATAGAAGGGCCCAATTGTATAATAGGGTTACTAAATGCAAGCACAGTTAGAGAAAGGTAATATTTTTTAAAAAATGAGAGAAAGGTAAGATATAGTTTTGGAAAACTGGAAGATATAAAAGAAAAAATATAGCTAGGAGGCAACTATATTCACACAAGAGTTGTGAAGTCTTCCTGTGGGAAGGAAAATTGAAGAAGGCAATAAAAACAGACAGGGAAACCTATAAGAAAATATACTGGGCTTTGTCATGAATTACAAGCATTTGAACTTTGAGGAGTACTAGTGGCCCAACTTAAAAGGAGGATGAGGACAAAAGGGACATTTTTAAGGATAAAAATGAGAAGTTTGGCTATAGTCACACTAAATTTGTACTTTTTAGGAAATTTCAAGAAAAGTTTTCTTGTAGGTAGTTTGAACTAAAAGGCTGTAGCCTGATGGAAAGATTTGGCAAAGGATTAGGATTTGGGAACAATTGATTTATAGATGAAGATTTAAGACAGAAATAGAGGATAGCAGCTTCTACAAAATAAAGTTTGAGAATAGAGGGTCAAGAAATAAAGTTTGGATATTTCTCACGGTTGAGAGACGGAAGAAGAAAGGAGACCTGGTGATGGAGGGAAGATAAACCACAAAGAGATGAACCAAAAAGAGAAATTGGAATCATCTATATCAGTGAGAGTAAGAGGAAGGAAAAGTTTGGAAAGCAGTTGAAATTGCCAACAGAATCAGAATAGCACTGAGATGTCAAAAAGTAAGAGGACTAAGGAGAAGCTTTTAAATCTGACTGTAAGAACATCATAACAACATTGTAAATACTGGGCTTAATTCAATGGTAGAGGCAGAAGCAAGAGGAATGGGTGGTCAAAATGGATTTGTGTTGCTAAAAAAGAATGATACAAAGTATATCAACGCTACAAAGTACAATAAAATCTGTGAAAAGTCTGTATTTATTTAGATGAAAAGAATTAGATTTTTAATATATAAACATTGAGAGCAAGAAAAAGCAAAATAAAAATTGGTGCTTCTAAACAGAGGAAGATAAGTATGAGCATAATGTCCTTCAGAGGGGAATATGGGATCAGTACGAAGATTATGACAAGAATGGTTAGCTTCAGAGGGAAAGGGCCATTGAGACATAAAAACAAGGACGTATAACGGGGCTTAGAAAAAGACTATGCTTTCAAAAACAAAACAAAACAAAACAAAAAGGCCAGAGAGTTGTCCAATGTCAATAACGACAAAGATAGAATTGAGGGATAAAGAAGCGTACCCACCAAAAAGAATGTAAAAAATCTGTCATGTAGCACTAATGAAATGCAAGTGCATTGACTGTTCAAGGACCAAATTCACATCTTGTTTCAGCTAGGAAAACAGGGAAAAGTATGATGGGGGATGAATATGTGCAAAGACAAAGGGAGAAGTATAACAGGGCCTGAATTCAGAGTATGATAAGAAATTCAGTGTGGTAGGAGCATAAGCGAGTGTCAGAACATGATGTATTCAGGGAAGAAACAAATGATAACTTCATTAAGAATGATTCTAGGATAACAGTGAAAATCACTTTTGTTACTTGCCCTAAAAAAGAACACCTTTGAGAGCTAAGTCACCTTATATGCCTTGAGATATAATTCCCACATTTCTTCACAAGGGAACCCCTTCAACTCCACCTCACACACTTGATGTGTACATTGACAATAATTTAATGAAATTGAATCCTGGCAAAGCTGGTCAGGTGTCAAAGTACTTTCCATTATGCAGACGTTTCCTTGTCAGTGTTTACCATCCAATGTAAATTGAAAACCTGGTTAAGTACTTATATAATAAGTAGAGTCAACCAACATAATTATGAGTCTTTTTCATTTCACAATTAAGAAATGGCCTTATTATAATTATTTGAAGAAGTGGTGTCCTTTACACTTTCTTTTTAAATATATAATGAAGCACCAAAGAGCCTTCTTCTGTGAGCAAAATCAATGCTTTTAATTCTAACATACTAAAAGTAAAGTTGTTTTATTTTCTGTGACTATATCTGAAATTACTGACTGAAATTTTTTTGTGTGCAAAGTCTTTTGCCAATTTATTTATACATTCCTTCAACAACATTTTATTATGTACTTAAGTACCAGGAACCATGCTATGTGCCCAAGATTGTGGTGAAGGAAAACAAGCAATTCCTAGTCTCATAGAGCTCAGAGTTAAATAATAACACAAATAGATACAGAGGTAAGAAAAATATAAGTGTTCTACAGAAAAGAAAAATGTGATCCTATAAGAGTGTAACAATAATAACAAAAAACTTAATCTAGTCTGGAGCTTTGTGAAGGATTCCTGAGAAAAAGCAAACACCACCATAGAAGACTCAACTGTATGCTGCCAACAAGAAACTCACATTACCTTAAATGACACTCATAGACTGAAAGTGAATAGATGAAAAAAGATATTTCATGCAAATGCAGACCAAAAGAGAGGAGAGGTAACTATATTTATTTCAGACAAAATAGACTTTAGGCCAAAAACGTAAAAATAACACAAAGAATGTCATTATATAGTGATAAATGGATCATTTCATCAAGAGAATATGAGAATTGTAAATATATATGCACCCAACATCAGAGCACCTAAATATACAATGCCAACACTAAAAGATCTGAAGAGAGGCAGGATACAACACAATAATTATATGGAATTTTAATACCCCACATTTAATACCCCACATTAGTCAGAAGAAAATATTGAACTTGAACTACATTTTAGACCAAATGGATCAGAGAGATATATACAAAACATTGCTCTCAACAGCAACAGAATACACATTCTTCTCAAGTGTACTTAGAACCTTTCATAGGATAGATTACATGTTAGGCCATAAATTTAAGAAGGTCAAAATCATATCAACTATCTTTGCCAACCATAATAGTATGAAACTAGAAATCAATAACAGAAAGAATCATGGAAGATTATCAAATATTAGAAATTAAATAATATGCTTCTGAACAATTATGGGATAAAAGAATAAATTAAAAGGAAAATTTAAAAACAGGTTGAGACAAACAAATATGAACATACAGCATATTAAAACTTATGGTATATAGCAAAAGCAGACTTAAGGGGAAAGTTTACAGCAATAACACCTACATCCAAAAAAAAATCAAATAAACAACTTCATGTTACACCTTAAGAAACCAGATAAAGAAGAAAAAACTAAACCCAAAGATATCAGAAGAAAGGAAATAACGACGTTGGGAGCAGAAAGAACTGAAGTAAGAGACTAGAAAAACAATATATAACATCAATGAAATCAAAAGTTGTTTCTTGAAAAGCTAAACAAACTTGACAAACAGCTAGACAAAAAAAGAAGCAAGACTCAAGTAGATAAAATCACAAATGAAAAAGAAGACATTACAACTGATAAAAAAATACAAAGGGTAATAAGCAACTACTATGAACAACTATATGCCAAAAATCAGACAATCTATAAGTGGACAAACTCCTAGAAATATATAACCTATTAAGACTTATTTATGAAGAAATCCAAAATCTGAACAGATCAATAGCAGTAAGAATATTGAATCTGTAATAAAAACTCTTTCATCAAAGAAAAGCCCAAGACCAGATGGCTTCATGACTGAATTGTAACAAATATTTAAAGAACAAGTACTAATCCTTCTTAACCTCTTCCAAAACATTGCAGAAGAGAAAGTACTTCCAAACTTATTTTGCAAATCATTATTACCCTGACACTTAACTCAGAAAAGAATACAAAAAATAAAAATAAAAACTACAAGCCGATATCCTTGATGAAGATAGATGCAAAAAACCACAAGATCATCTCAATAGATGCAGAAAGAATAATTTGACAAAATTCAACATTTTATTATAAAAACTCTCAATAAATTAGGTATAGAAAAATTCCTCTCAACACAATAAAGGCTATATATGACAAATCCACATCTAACATCACACTCAATGTTGAAAAGTTGAAGATTTCTTCTCTGAGATCATGAATAAGAAACAAACACCCACTTCCACCGCTTCTATTCAATATAGTATTAGAAGTCCTAATCAGAGCAATTGGCCAAGAAAATAAATTACGTCTACATAGGAAGAAATGAAATTGTCTCTGTTTGTTGATGACATGATCTTATATAGAGAAAATTCTAATGATTCTACAAAAAAACTGAGAGAACTGATAAAGGAATTTGGTAAAGTTGCAGGATATGAAATCAACCTATAAAAATAAGTAGCTTTTCTATACAAACAGACTGTCTGAAAAAGAAATTAAGAAAACAATCTCATTTACAATACATTTACAATAGCATCAAGAATAAAATACTTAGGAGTAAGTATTTTAAAGAGGTGGAAAATTCATATACAGAAAACTATAAAACATTGATAAAAGAAATTGAAAAAGATACAAATAAATGGAAAGATATTCTATGTTCATAGATTGAAAGAATTAATATTGTTAAAATAGTCATACTGCCATAAGCAGTGTATACATCCAATGCAATCCCTGTCAAAATTTTAATGTCATTCTTCACAGAAATAGAAAAAACAATCCTAAAACTCATATGGAACCAAAAAATTCCTGAATAGCAAAGCCATCTTAAGCTAAAAGAAGAAAGTTGGAGTCATCAGACTACTGGATTTCAAAATATATTACAAAGCTGTAGTAACCAAAAAGCATGGCACTGGCATAAAAACAGACACATGGATCAATGGAATGCAACAGAGAGCCCAGAAAAAAAATTCCACTGAATATCCACATAACAGAAGAATAAATACAGACCCTTATCTCACTGCTTAAAAAAAAAATAGACTCAAAATCACTTAAACATAAGCACTGAAATAGTTAAACTACTAGGAGAAAACATAGGGGAAAAGCTCTATGACATTGGTCTGGGCTGCAATTTCTTGGTGATGTTCCCCAAAACACAGGCAACAAAAGCAAAAATAAACTAGTAGGATTGCATCAAATTTAAAAACTTCTGCGTACCAAAGCAAACAATTAACAGAGTAAAGGGATAATCCACAGACTGAGAGAAATATTTGTAAGTCATACATTGGATTAAGGGCTGATATCCAAAATGTACAAAGAACTCAGAGTACTCAGCAACAAGAAAATAATAACCATATTAAAAAATGTGCAAAGTACTTGAAAAGACATTTCTCAAAAGAAGACATGAAAATGTCCAACAGATATATAACAAAATGCTCAACAAGTCTAATCAGAGAAATGCAAATTGAAATCACAATAATATATCACCGCATAACTGTTTTCATGCTAGGGTCAGGGGAGTGGATGTTGAGTAGGAAAATAGATGTTAATAATCAAAGGGTACAAAGTTTCAGCTAGGCAGGGAGGAATAAGTTCTGGTGACCTATTGGACAGCATGGTAAGTGCAGTTAATAGTAATGTATTGTATATTTCAAAATAGCTAAAAGAATTTTAAATGTTCTCACCACAAAGCAATGATCAATATTTGTGGTAATGAATATGTTAATTATCCTGATTTGATTATTCCACAATGTATATATACTTGTATTAAAACATCACATTGTATCCCCTAAATATATACAATTATTATATGTCAATAGAAAACAAAATAAAACTTTTTCTTAAAAGAAGTGTTGACCGGGCGCAGTGGCTCACGCCTGTAATCCCAGCATTTTGGGAGGCCAAGGTGGGTGGATCACCTGAGGTCAGGAGTTAGAGACCAGCCTCAACATGGAGAAACCCTGTCTCTACTAAAAATACAAAATTAGCTGGGCGTGGTGGTGCATGCCTGTAAACCCAGCTACTCAGGAGGCTGAGGCAGGAGAAGTGCTTGAACCTGGGAGGCGGAGGTTGCAGCGAGCCGAGATCACGCCATTGCACTCCAGCCTGGGCAACAAGAGCGAAACTCCGTCTCAAAAAAAAAAAAAAAAAGAAGTGTTATGAAAACAAGAGATAAAATGATGAACAGGCTTAAGCTCAAAGAAGGAGTCAGATTACTTCCTGCCAGCAGACTCAGGGAAAGTTATCTTTATTTAAAAGATACTGTAGCCACACTTTATTGACTTTGTTCCCTCCAGGTTTTCATTCTTAATCAAGGAATGAATCTGTCCTCAAAATAAGCCCAGAAAATATCTCCCACCAGGACATAAAAAGCAGGAAGAGGTTTTTTTGGAGGATGTTATAGTGTTAGTAAGGGGTCATATCAAATCATTGGTTTTAAACATTTTCTAAAAGCATCTTGGCCTAGAGTAAATAAGAATGAGGCAGTGTAAGGCAGAAAAACACATAACTTTCTCAGGCTTATAAATAAGGGCTCAGAGCAAGAGAAGTTATTAAGAACTGAAAGAAGCTGTCTAGGCTTTTCTTTAAAAAAAAAACAAACGTCAATTCTGGC
Source organism: Homo sapiens (assembly GCF_000001405.40). NCBI lineage: Eukaryota > Metazoa > Chordata > Mammalia > Primates > Hominidae > Homo > Homo sapiens. The sequence goes on from NC_000003.12 coordinate 178,360,300, forward strand.
ACAAGGAAACATATTATCCTTTCATTCAGAGAATGACATAGAATGATATTTCCTGTCTATGTATTGAATTTATTTTGCTTTCTTAATGTAGGGTCTCTCAGTACGTGGTTTCACATTTGTTTATGCTCATGTAGCCAACTGTGCATTGCTACAAAAAGGAATCCTAGGTCTTAGAAAAAAAAGAAGCAATTTTGTTCCTCCAAAATGTAAATTCCTAAACAATTTACTATTCCCTAAAATATAAAATTTGAATGAAAATATTTCTTTTAAGATTTTGTAAAAGGCTTGTAATAGTTATCACACAAGCAGCTAAACAAAATGGAGCTCTGTTTACAGAGCACAATCACTGTAACAAGCTGAGCAGCAGAAATGTCAGAAATCGCTATCCTTTCATCTCCAGTCCTGTTTTGATGAGTTTAAAAAAAAAATAGCAAATCAAACTAGTATCCAAAGTCTCATAAAAAAAATCAAATGTGGTAGCCAAAATGATATTATAGAATCCATTTTTGGATTCCTGGGCAAGATGGCCGAATAGGAACAGCTGCAGTCTGCAGCTCTCAGTAAGATCAATGCAGAAGGTGGGTGATTTCTGCATTTCCAACTAAAGTACCTGGTTCATCTCACTGGGACTGGTTAGACAGTGGGTTCAGCCCATGGAGGGCAAGCAGAAGCATGGTGGGGCATTGCCTCACCTGGGAAGCACAAGGGATCAGGGAACTCCCTCCCCTAGTCAAGGGAAGCCTTGAGGGACCCTGCCATAAGGGACATGGCTATCTGGCCCAGATACTATGCTTTTCCCATGGTCTTTGCAACCCACAGACCAGACGATTCCGTTGGGTGCCTACACCACATGGGCCCTGGGTTTCAAGCACAAAACTGGGTGGCCATTTGGGCAGACACTAAGCTAGTGCAGGAGTTTTTTTGGACCCCAGTGGCACCTGGAATGCCAGCAAGACAGAACCCTTCACTCCCTGGAAAGGGGACTGAAGTCAGGGAGCCAAGAGGTCTTGCTCAGTGGATCCCACCCCCATGGAGCCCAGCAAGCTAAGATCCACAGGCTTGAAATTCTCGCTGCCAGCACATCAGTCTGAAGTCGATGTGGGATGCTCGACCTTGGTGGGGGGATGGGTGTCTGCCATTACTGAGGCTTGAGTAGGTTGTTTCCCCTCAGGGTGCAAAGAAAGCTGCCAGGAAGTTTGGATTGGGCAGAGCCCACTGCAGCACCACAAAGCCTCTGTAGCTAGACTGCCTCTCTAGAGTCCTCCTCTCTGGGAAGGCCATCTCTGAAAGAAAGGCAGCAGCCCCAGCCAGGTTATTTATAGATAAAACTCCCATCTCCCTCAGACAGAGCACCTGAGGAAAGGGGCAGCTGTGGGTGCAGCTTCAGCAGACTTAAATGTTCCTGCCTGCTGGCTCTGAACAGAGCAGCAGATCTCCCAGCATAGTGTTCGAGCTCTGCTAAGGGACAGACTGCCTCCTCAAGTGGGTCTCTGACCCCCGTGCCTCCTGACTGTGAGACACCTCCCAGCAGGGATCGACAGACACCTCATACAGGAGAGCTCCAGCTGGCATCTGGTGGGTGCCCCTCTGGGACAAAGCTTCCAGAGGAAGGAGCAGGCAGCAATCTTTGCTGTTCAGCAGCCTCTGCTGGTGATACTCAGGCAAACAGGGTCTGGAGTGTACCTCCAGCAAATTTCAGCAGACCTGCAGAAGAGAGGCCTGACTGTTAAAAGGAAAACTAAAAAGGAGAAAGCATTAGCATCAACATCAACAAAAAGGACGACCATGCAAAAACTCCATCTGAAGGTCGCCAACAGCAAAGACAAAAGGTAGATAAATCCATGAAGATGAGGAAAAACCAGCTCAAAAAGGGTGAAAATTCCAAAAACCAGCATGACTCTTCTCCTCCAAAGGATCACAACTTCTCACCAGCAAGGAAACAAAAGTGGACAGAGAATGAGTTTGATGAATTGACAGAAGTAGGCTTCAGAAGGTGGGTAATAAGAAACTTCTCTGAGCTAAAGGAGCATGTTGTAACCCAATGCAAGGAAGCCAAGAATATTGAAAAAAGGTTAGAGAAATTGCTAACTAGAATAACCAGTTTAGAAAAGAACATAAATTACACGATGGAGCTGAAAAACACAACATGAGAATTTTATGAAGCATACACAAGTATCAGTAGCTGAACTGATCAAGCAGAAGAAAGGATATCAGAGGTTGAAGATCAACTTAATGAAATAAAGCATGAAGACAAGATTAGAGAAAAAAAGAATGAAAAGGAATGAACAAAGCCTCCAAGAAATATGGGACTATGTGAAAAGACCAAACCTACATTTGATTGGTGTACCTGAAAGTGACAGAGAGAATGGAATCAAGTTGGAAAACACTATTCAGGATATAATCCAGGAGAACTTCCCCAACCTAGCAAGACAGACCAACATTCAAATTCAGGAAATACAGAGAACATCACAAAGATACTCCATGAGAAGAGCAACCCCAAGGCACACAATGGTCAGATTCACCAAGATTGAAATGAGGGAAAAAATATTAAGGGAAGCCAGAGAGAAAGGTTGTGTTACTGACAAAGGGAAACCCATCAGACTAACAGCAGATCTCTCTGCAGAAACCCTACAAGCCAGAAGAGAGTGGGGGCCAATATTCAACATTCTTAAGAAAAGAATCTTCAACCCAGAATTTCATATGCAGCCAAACTAAGCTTCATAAGTGAAGGAGAAATAAAATCCTTTACAGACAAGCAAATGTTGAGGGATTTTGTCACCACCAGACCTGCCTTACAAGAGCTCCTGAAGGAAGCACTAAATATGGAAAGGAAAAACCGGTACCAGCCACTGCAAAAACAAACCAAAATGTAAAGGCCATCAACACTATGAAGAAACTGCATCAACTAATGGACAAAGTAACTAGCTAGAATCATAATGAAAGGATCAAATTCACACATAACAATATTAACCTTAAGTGTAAATGGACTAAATTCCCCAATTAAAAGGCACAGACTGGCAAATTGGATAAAGAGTCAAGACCCATCGGTGTGCTATATTCAGGAGACCCATCTCACATGCAAAGACACATATAGGCTCCAAATAAAGGGGTGGAGGAAGATTTACCAAGCAAATCAAAAGCAAAAAAAAAAAAAAAAAAAAAAAAAAGAGCAAGGGTTGCAATCTTAGTCTCTGATAAAACAGACTTTAAACCAACAAAGAAAAAAAGACGAAGAAGGACATTAAATAATGGTAAAGGGATCAATGCAACAAGAAGAGCTAACTATCCTAAATATATACACACTCAATACAGGAGCAACCAGATTCATAAAGCAGTTTTTTAGAGACCTATTAAGAGACTTAAACTCCCACATATTAATACTGGGAGACTTTAACACCCCACAGTCAATATTAGTCAGATCAATGAGACAGAAAATTAACAAGGATATTCAGGACTTGAACTCAGCTCTGGACCAAGCAGACCTCATAGACATCTACAGACCTCTCCACACTAAATCAACATAATATACATTCTTCTCAGAACCACATAGCATTCATTCTAAAATCAACATCATTATTGGATGTAAAACAATCCTCAGCAAATGCAGAAGAATGGAAGTCATAACAAAGAGTCTGTCAGACCACAGTGCAATCAAATTAGAACTCAGGATTGAGAAACTCACTCAAAACTGCACAACTACGTGGAAACTGAACAACCTGCTCCTGAATGACTACTGCATAAATAACAAAATTAAGGCAGAAATAAATAAATTTTTTGAAACGAGTGAGAACAAAGACACAACATACCAGAATCTATGGGGCACAGCTAAAGCAGAGTTTAGTGGAAAATTTATAGCACTAAATGCCCACATCAGAAAGCAGGAAAGATCTAAAATCAACACCATAACATCACAATAGAAAGAGATAGAGAAGCCAAGAGCAAATAAATTCAAAAGCTAGCAGAAGGCCAGAAATAACTAATATCAGAGCAGAACTGAAGGAGATAGAGACATGAAAAACACTTCAAAGAATCAATGCATTCAGGAGCTGGTTTTTTGAAAAGATTAACAAAATAGATAGACCACTAGCCAGACTAATAAAGAAGAAAAGAGAGAAGAATCTAATAGACACAATAAAAAATGATAAAGGGGATATAAACACTGATCCCAGAGAAATACAGACTACCATTAGAGAATGCTATAAACACCTCTAAGCAAAAAAACTAGAAAATCTAGAAGAAATGGATAAATTCCTGGACACATACACCCTCATAAGACTAAACCAGGAAGAGGTCAAATCCCCAAATAGATCAATAGCCAGTTCTGAAATTGTGGCAGAAATTAATAGCTTACCAACTGAAAAAAGCCCAAGACCAGGCAGATTCACAGCCGAATTCTACCAGAGTTACAAAGAGGAGTTGGTTCCATTCCTTCTGAAATTATTCCAAACAATAGAAAAACGGGACTCCTCCCTAATTCATTTTAAGAGGCTAGTATCATCCTGATACCAAAACCTGGCAAAGACACAACAAAAAAAGAAAATTTCAGGCCAATATCCCTGATGAACATCGATGAGAAAATCCTCCATAAAATACTGGCAACCCAAATCCAGCAGCACATCAAAAAGCTTATCCACCACGATTCAGTCGGCTTCATCTCTGGGATGCAAGTCTGTTTCAACATACACAAATTAACAAATGTAATCCACCACATAAACAGAACCAAGGACAAAAAACACATGATTACCTCAATAGATGCAGAAAAGGCCTTCCATAGAATTCAACATCCCTTCATGCTAAAAACACTCAATAAAGTAGGTATTGATGGTATTATCTCAAAATAATAAGAGCTATTTATGACAAACCTACAGCCAATATCATACTGAATAGACAAAACCTGGAAGCATTCCCTTTGAAAACCAGCACAAGACAGGGATGCCCTCTTTCACCACTCCTATTTAACATAGTATTGGAAGTTCTGGCCAGGGCAATCAGGCAAGAGAAAGAAATAAAGGGTATTCAGATAGGAAGAGAGGAAGTCGAATTATCTCTGTTTGCAGATGACATGATTGTATATTTAGAGAACCCCATCGTCTCAGCTCAAAAACTCCTTAAACTGATAAGCAATTTCAGCAACGTCTCAGGATCCAAAATCAATGTGCAAAATTCACAAGCTTTCCTATACACCAATAATAGACAAACAGAAAACCAAATCATGAGCAAATTCCAATTCACAATTGCTACAAAGAAAATAAAATACCTAGGAACACAACTTTCAAGGGATGTGAAGGACCTCTTCAGGGAGAACTACAAAACACTGCTCAAGGAAATAAGAGAGGACACAAACAAATGGAAAACTCATTTCTTCCTATCCATGCTTATGGATAGGAAGAATCAATATTGTGAAAATGGCCATACTACCCAAAGTAATTTATAGATTCAATGCTATTCCCATCAAGCTACCATTGACTTTCTTTACAGAAATAGAAAAAAACTACTTTAAACTTCATATGGAACCAAAAAAGACAATCCTACGCAAAAAGAACAAAGCTGGAGGCATCACACTACCTGACTTCAAACTATGCTACAAGGCTACAGTAATCAAAACAGCATGATACTGGTACTAAAACAGACACATAGTAGACCAATGGAACAAAACAGAGTTCTCAGAAATAACACCACACGTCTACAACCATCTGATCTTTGAAAAACCTGACAAAACAAGAAATGGGGAAAGGATTCCCAATTTAATAAATGGTGTTGGGAAAACTGGCTAGCCATATGCAGAAAACTGAAACTAGACTCCTTACTTACACCTTATACAAAAATCAACTCATTATCAAGTAAAGATTTAAACATAAGATCTAAAACCATAAAAAAACCCTAGAAGGAAACATAGGCAATACCATTCAGGACATAGTTATGGGCAAAGACTTCATGACTAAAATGCCAAAAGCAATTACAACAAAAGCCAAAATTGACAAATGGGAACTAATTAATCTAAAGAGCTTCTGCACAGCAAAAGAAACCGTCATCAGAGTGAACAGGCAACTTACAGAATGGGAGAAAATTTTTGCAATCTATCCATCTGACAAAGGGCTAATATCCAGAATCTACAAGGAGCTTAAACGAATTTACAAGAAAAAAAAAACTCCATCAAAAACTGGGCAAAGGATATGAACAGACACTTTTTAAAGGAAGAGATTTATGCGGCCAACAAACATGAAAAAAAAAAGCTAATCATCACTAGTCATTAGAGAAATGCAAATCAAAACCACAATGAGATACCATCTTACCCCGGTTAGAATGGTGATCATTAAAAAGTCAGGAAACAACAGATGCTGGGGAGGATGTGGAGAAATATTAACACTTTTACACTGTTGGTCAGAGTATAAATTAGTTCAACCATTGTGGAAGACAGTGTGGCAATTCCTCAAGGATCTAGAACTAGAAATACCATTTGACCCAGCAAACCTATTATTGGGTATATACCCAAAGGATTATAAATCATTCTACTGTAAAGACACATGCACACATATGTTTACTGCAGCACCATTCATAATAACAAAGACTTGGAACCAACCCAAATGCCCATTAACGTTAGACTGGATAAAGAAAATGTGGCACATACACACCACGGAATACTACACAGCCATAAAAAAGAATGAGTCCATGTCCTTTGCAGGGACATGGATGAACCTGGAAACCCTCATTCTCAGCAAAATAACACAGGATCAGAAAACCAAACATCACATGTTCTCATTCATAAGTGGGAGTTGAACAATGACAACATATGGGTACAGGGAGGGAAACATCACAAACCCAGGTCTGTCGGGGGCTGGGGACTAGTGAAGGGATAGCGTTAGAAGAAATACCTAATGTAGATGTCGGGTTGATGAGTGCAGCAAACCACCATGGCAACATGTATGCCTATGTAACAAACCTGCACGTTCTGCACATGTATCCTAGAACTTAAAGTATAATAAAAAAGAATCCTTTCTTGCATTTTTATTAAATTTTACATAAAACTATTCAGAATCCAGACTTACTGCTATCTACATTTTAAATCATACAAATGCTATTGTGTGTGAGAGTGTGCTTGCACACAGAGGGGCAGCCTAAAAAAGCCATATTCCTCATAACAAATGGTGCTATGAATTCTTAAATGAATGTAAATAAGGATTTATGTTGATATATCTGTGGTCCAAAAACCCTACTGCGTTGTTACCCCATAGATTTAAATGCTGTAGCAATCAATTCATCTAGTACAAAGAATAAAGCATTCTACTATTTCTCAGAGTTTCCTTCTGCTCTCTCACATTTTTTAAAGGCTATTAATTGATAGTGTAAGATTTTTCTTCATTAATAGAATATGGTTTATTCTAATGGTCATTATAGTGAAGATACTCTGCAATGAGGCTGTTAAAAGAGGGTATGGCACACATCTGGCAATGCTTGCTTCATTCCCTGTGAGCATCAAGCAACTGTCATCCTGCTAAATGAGTTGTCATTAGCAGTCAGATTTTTATTGCAGCCTTTTGGAGAAACACAGAAAGAAATCTAACTTTGAAGTAATGTCTATTGGAAGAGCTTTAATAGAGATGGAGTCTTAGTAAATCCCTTCTCTGATGTTCCCCATCCTAATATATTAGTAGTCTTTCTAAAATGGGAAGGTATTTGGCATGGGACTGGTGACCTAAAATTACCTCTGAAATCTGGCAAGGTATTTCAACACTGGCATGAATATTGTTTCCTCTCAGCCAGCATTTTTGGCAGGCATCTTATGCGTTGCAAGTACCTACCAAAAATGGGAATTAGATAAGGTGACTTGCAGATATGAATTAGCAATGGTTTCCTTTATTCAGGTTGGAATTTTCATAAGAAATTATGGTCTTAGCTTTCTTAGTCTTCCTTTGTAGTTACACTATGGCAATTTCAAAATTTTCCCTGAAGACAGACCTTATTGTACTAACAGATTTTCAACCTCCAGATAACTCCCTTCCTCCCTCCCTCCCTTCCTCCCTCCCTCCCTTCCTCCCTCCCTCCCTTCCTCCCTCCCTCCCTTCCTTCCTTTTTCCTCCCTTCCTCCCTTTCCTTCTTTCTTTCTTTCTTTCTTTCTCTTTCCTTCCTTCTTTCTTTCTTTCTTTCTTTTTTCTTTCTTCGTTTCTCTCATATAAATAGTACATCTTCATGTGCCCATATTTCATTTTATCATGCCAAAATTTATATTTTTCTCGTTTACTGTGTTTCTACTGAACTCTCAAATTTGTACTAAATGAGGAAGTGGTTGAACTTTTCAGAGACAAAACGTTATCATTTCATTAACTCAAAAAACATTAATTAGATCCCTATGAGGGCAGTTGTTTCCAACCTGAAATTCTTTGCTACCTAAGGGTTCCCAAAGATATTAATAGAAATCTGAAGTTACTTTAAATATTTCAGAAATTTAATTAGCTATAATTTGTATTTGCACATAATGAGACTGTATAGGCTAACTAAAATGGCAACTTTCTTTGCTTTGGCTAAAGTTATATCACACCTTTGATAATCCCAAGGTGATCCCAGAAACTTCACTTCATGGATACATCATAGTATATAATATCTCCTGAAGTGATATATATTATATCTAAAAATGAACGGCACCCCTACATATCCTTATTTTTTTAGCTCCAGACTATAGCTATTAACATAAGTTCTCATACGTACACACGCACCCAAAAACCTATAAATCATATTGCCACAGCATACTCAGGATAATAATGCTAACCTCAAATACAATGAATGTGTGAAAAAATAAAGTTTTTAATCCCTTTATAAGAGTCATCAAATGGTTAGTGAAGAGTATAGTTCAACATTGCTGCCTGGAGATGAGAACTGGGCAGACACCCAGGCTCCCTACCAGCTCATTCATCAACTCCATTACATTCAAAGCAAATACAAATCTGGGTGAAATGACTGTCACTGTGTCATGTACCTCCATGAGTGTTTAAACCTTCAGAGGCCAATGCTCTGCTATAGTTCAAGTCACACATACCACTGTTTATCTCAGACTGAGGATGGGCTCTTATTGGCATGTACACACACTTTTTTTAAAAAAGTGAGGAAATTATACTAAATAAATGCAACTTGAACGAAATCTTTCAAAATATAAAATCCATTGATGAGGGGTTGGGAATAACAAAAGGAGGCTTGGAAGGTGGAAAGTGTAACATTTAGCATTTTTGTGTTTTGTCTTGCTACAGTGGAATACCACATAGTGAGTAATTTATAATAAACAGAAATTTATTAGCTCACATTTCTGGAAGTTGGGAACTCCAAGATCAAGGCACTGGTGTCTGGAGAGGGCTTTTTTTCTCTTTTATCCCACGGTAGAAGGGCAAACAGAAGGGGTGTGTGTGTGAGAGAGAGAGAAAGAGGGAGAGAGAGAGAGCACACAAGCAAAAAGAGGGCCAAACTCATCCTTTTATAGATAAGCCCTCTCCCATGATAACAAACCCACTCCTGCAATAGAAGCACTAATCCTTTTATGAGGGCAGAGCCCTTATGAACTAATCACTTCTTATTCGGGTCCATCTCCCAACACTGTTGCATTGAGGATTAAGTTCCAACATATACTTTTTATGTTTTTGTTCGTTTTGTCAAAGATTAGTTGGCTGTAAGTATTTGAGTTTACCTCTGGGTTCTTTATTCTGTTCCCTTGTCTATGTAGCTATTTTTATACCCATACCATGCTGCTTTGGTGACTATGGCTTTATAGTGCATTTTGAAATCAGGTAATGTGATGCCTCCAGATGTGTTCTTTTTGCTTAGTCTTGCTTTGGCTATGTGGGCTCTTTTTTGGTCCCATGTGAATTTTAGAATGTTTTTCTCTAATTCTGTGAAGAATGACATTGGTATTTTAATGGGAATTGTGTTGAATTTGTAGATTGCTTTTGGCAGTATGGTCATTTTCACAATATTGATTCTACTCATCCATGAACATAGGATGTGTTTCCATTTGTTTGTGTCGTCTATGATTTCTTTCAGCAGTGTTTTGTAGTTTTCCTTGTAGATGTCTTTCACCTCCTTGGTTAGGTATATTCCTAAGTATTTTATTTTATTTTATTTTTTTGCAGCTGTTGTAAAAGAGGTTGAGTTCTTGATTTGATTCTCAGCTGGTCACTGTTGGTGTATAAAAGAGCTACTAATTTGTGTACCTTAATTTTTTATCCAGAAACTTCGCTGAATCCTTTTATCAGTTCTAGGAGCTTTCTGGAGGAGTTTAGGGTTTTCTAAGTAAACAGTCGTATCATCAGCAAACAGCAACAGTTTGACTTCCTCTTTACGGATCTAGACCCCCTTTATTTCTTTCTCTTGTCCAATTGCTCTGGCTAGGACTCCCAGTACTATGCTGAAGAGGAGTGGTGAGAGTGGGCATCGTTGTCTTGCTCCAGTTGTCTGAGGGAATGCTTTCAACTTTTCCCCCTTCAGTATTACGTTGGCTATGGGTTTTTCATAGATGGCCTTTATTACATTGAGGTATGTCCCTTTTATGCCAATTTTGCTATGAGTTTTAATCATAAAGCAATGCTGGATTTTGTCAAATGCTTTTTCTGCATCAATTGAGATGATCATGTAAGTTTTTGTTTTTAATTCTTTTTATGTGGTGTATCACATTTATTGACTTGCGTATCTTAAACCATACCTGCATCTGTGGTATGAAACCCACTTGATCGTGGTGGATTATCTTTTTGAAGTGTTATTGGATTCAGTTAGCTAGTATTTTGTTAAGGATTTTAGCATCTATGTTCATCAGGGATATTGGTCTGTAGTTTTCTTTTCTGGTTATGTCCTTTCCTGGTTTTGGTATTAGGGCAATACTGGTTTCATAGAATGATTTAGGGAGGGTTCCCCCTTTCTCTATCTGGTGAAATAGTGTCAATATGATTGGTACCAATTCTTCTTTGAATGTCTGTTAGAATTCTGCTGTGAATCTGTCTAGTCCTGGACTTTTTTTTGTTGATAATTTTTAAATTACTATTTCAATCTTGCTGCTTGTTATTGGTCTGTTCAGGATATCTAATTCTTCCTGATTTAAGCTAGGGGGGTTGTATCTTTTGTCTGTAGGAAGCTAATAAAAACTACCCTGTCCATGGGAGAAAGGAAAGGAAAGGCAATGTGGAAGAGTGTAAAGTGTATGGAATCTGAACCTACTTCAATTTGAGCTCAAATCCCACCTTCATTATTCATTATTTACTGGCAGTTTGACAAGCTATTAATTGATCACAAGTCTAGTTTCTCTGAGATAGAATGTTCCCTGGTATACTTCTCTGTTGATACATAAATGACACTTAGTCTCTGTGCTTTTTCTTACTCTGTATTGTCGTAGAGTTTGGTGCTTGCCTCTGTTTCTGCAGCTACATCATATTATGCTTTTATGTGTTTATTCATAATATTCATTTATCAAGCACTTACTTGGTGTGCTAGGCCAGTTCCAGATGCAGGAGAAATTCACACAATGCCTGCTTTCATGGAACTTAGAATCTAACAGAAAAAGAGAGATGATAAAAATAAATACATAATAAATATTTAAATAAAAATCATAAGATTGTATCAGTTATATCTAAAGAATTAAAGCGTGTAGTAGAGAGCAACTTGCAAGCTACTTTAGACTCAAGGTTAGGAAAGGCTTTTCTGAGGGAGTGAAGTTTAACCTGAAATAAATTACAAAAAGGATCTAGCCTTACAAATATTGAGGGAAAGGGGGACCCAGGCTGAGGAAAGAGCTAGGACAAAGGTGCCGGGTTTTCCCTGCTAAACCATGAGTTCCACCTCAGTCCATTTTTATGTGTTTCTGAATGCTCCCATGTTGCATTTTAACATATTACTTTATTTCTATGTAGCACTAGCTATTACTGCAGTAATGCTGTATAACAACCATACGATTTCCCTGCTTAAAACTCTTCAGTAAATTCTTCTCATTGGACTTAGAATAAAATCCAGAATATAAAGTAGAAGCTCCATGACAATAAGAGTAACATATGTCTGGTTTGCCACAATGTCTCCAGCACAGGTTTTGGTGTCTGATAAGAAGTAAATTCTTGCGCTTGTAGAATAACAAGAAACAAGTATGTGAATGAAACTGAGCTCTGTATCGCAGCCCATCAATCTCCTCAAGGGCTTGCAACCCACTTTCTCCTTCAAACCAGTCTCTTACTAGTACTGGCCCTTTGCCATTCAGCACATGCATTTTTCCCACCTGAAAAACAAAACTAACAGTAACAACAACAACAATAACAAAACCTTTCCTTTGGCCCCTTTAGCTGCCAACCCTCCTCCTTCTCAAGTGTCATAACTTCACTTGTCATCCACACTCAGAATATCATTTCTACCCACAGTTTTCAAGTTATCATAACATACATAACTGCCAAAAATCAATGGACTATTTTTTTTTCTCATCTTACTAGACTGCTGGACTTCCTTTGGTGCTGTTAATCTCCTTTTTCTGTAAAGTCTCTCTTTCCTAAGCTTCTAGTTTTCCTTTCTCCAGTCACCTCTTATCTTCCTCATGGGCTGTTTACTTCTCATCTTCCCACCCCAACTGGTTTACCCTTACCACTCTGTTTCTTTTACTATATGATAAGCCCTAAAGAAATAACCCAAACTCATGGCTATAATTAATACCTATATAATTATGACCCTATGATTTATCATTACCCCAGATATCTTAAAGTTCCATATAATAATGGCCATTATTTATTGATTGTTCATTATTACATGGGAACTCTGCTACGAACTTTAAACATGTGGTTTAATTCCTCAATGCCTTTTGAAGTAGAAATATGATGATTTTCATTTTATACAGGAGGAAACAAGGTCTTATACAGTTTAAATGAATTGCTCAAGGCCACACAAATAGTGGCATATCTGGGATTTGAATTCGGGCTGCTAGACTCCATGATTTTGATCACTATATTATATTGCTTCATATACAAGATTTATTTAAGTTGATTATTTTCAAGTATCTTAATTGCAAATTATGTTGAGCATAATTCATCAAGATCCAAACTGACTTTCATATATCAAACTGAGAAGCCTTTCCTAAAAATATGCTCTCTTCCTAGAAAACTGTATGTTTTACTCTTCTTTCTAAATTGCATATCTGTACATCTCTTCAGGAAGCTTCTCCTGGAAGAAGAAACTTCAGGATAAAAGAAAATATACGAAAGCACAAAATGTGTCTTCTTTGATCAATGGTTCAAGGATAAGACTTCAGTCTGATATTTTTGTTCTGTTTAGCTTTGTTTTACCCGGCTTTTGATTAATGCTTGAGTAGACTCTTTGCACCAGGAAATCGTGGATGACCAGTTTACTAATAGCTAGGTTTCTTTTCTCTAAGAGTCTAGATGAGACAGACAGAGGTGTAGCCAGATTATTAGACAAACAGATCAAACAATGAAATGTCTAAAGGCTGGAGGCAAAAAACAAAAACAAAAGCTAAAACAAACTAAAAAACAACTGAAAAACAGATGATGGCCAAGGACATGGGTATACAATCAGATTATTTGTGCTCTCTATCCATCTTGCAACTTGTCCTTGGGAAAATTATTTAAACAAACTAGCCTCATAGTTCTCATACATAAAATAAAAATAACTGAACTACCTGCCTCTTGGAGTTGTTGTGAATGGTACTAAGATATGCTATGGCTAGGACAGTGCCTTACACACAGTGAATATTCAGCCAAAGATGGTGAGGCTGTTATGGTCCATGCTTTCTTCATATCCTTCTGATTCACATGCTCTACTAGATGATCACGTGCCAAACAATTATGGCTACAGTCCATGGAACTAGAGTTCACACTAACAAGCATGTGGGTTGGGTGAAACACTTACTTCAGGATCTAGTTTAAAGACATCAGTATGTGTTTCTAACCCCACTGATATGGTTTGGATATTTGTCCCCCCAAACTTCATGTTGAAATGTGGTACCCAGTGTTGGAGGTGGGGCCCGTGGGAGGTGTTTTGGGGTCATGGAGGCAGATCTCTCATGGCTTGATGTTGTCCTCACAATAATGAGTGAGTTCTTGCAGGATCTGGTTGTTTAAAAGAGTGTAATACTTTCCTGTGTTCTCTCTCTTTCTCCTGCTCTCACCATGTGACATGCCTGTTCCTACTTGCCTTCCACAGTGAGTAAAAGCTCTCTGAGGCCTGCCTCAGAAGCCAAGCCGATGCTGGCTCCATGCTTTCACAGCCTGCAGAGGCTTGAGCCAATTAAAATGCTTTTCTTTATAATTTACCCAGTCTCAGGTATCCCTTTATTTCTTTATAGCAATGCAAGAATAGCCTAATACATACACCTTAAAAGACAAGACATGCTAGCGAGCCATAACTGCTTAATGAAAAGAACATCACCTAGAATTCCTATCCACTTAGCTGGGTGCTGCCATATCTACCAGTTTGTGTGGAATAGAGAGAAATTGGATTTAACTCTGTCTTGTGTCACTCTTATACCTGACTTCATCAAACTTTCTGAATACATAAATAGTAGGAAAATTGAAAGGTAAGCCCAGGGAAACCGATAAGTATTTCATATTTTTACATAGAATGTTTAAAACCCCAAGGAAATTGGATGAGACAGATTATACCTGGCTGTTTAGAATGTGTTATGAGTAAACTACATTATGGAAATTAATTAGAAGCTTAAGGGAGACGCATTACCAATTTCAGATTCTAATTTAGATGGATTGGGTGGTATGGTAATTTAAATTCACCTCATTTTGTATATTCAAAAGATTGCCACTTTGGGGCAGTTAAGGTAACTTTTCTGATTCCATAGACAGTGTGATATGAGCAGCACTCACCCCAAGCATTCCACGAGGCTATGATTTCCTCCCAGGGCATATTTATACTCTAATAAAATCCTAATTTGAGGATTTATCCGTTTACTGTACAATAGTGATGACAATGTGAGGTTGTGCAAATCCTGGTGCTGCATATTACAGAGAGCCAGCACCTATCTTCCCACAGTGCTTACACTGTATAGCCCCAGAACATCTTTCGTCATGAGATTCATTGTTACAGTGTGGACTCTCAGAAACTGCATACAAAATGAAAAAGAATGACATGAAAGGAGGAACAAATCCTCCTTTTGTGCCATTCTTTCCCATTTGGTACATATATTCTCCACAGGGGCCCTAATGCTGGCGACATTATAGCCCCTCTTCTAGATCTGACCATCATATAGCTGAACTATATGATGCTCCTGAGTACACATCACCAATACACAGACAGTTCTGTAAAAACAACAGACTAGGGGCCCTTGGCAGGACTGGCAAAAATGCTCTCAGCAACAAGGTTGGTATCTTGTCCCTGGAGCGCTTGGTGTATGACTTCTCCTTTCCCAATAGAACTACGACTTTGTCCATCTCCTCATGTAAGAAGACTCCTCACAAACATCTGTTGCCCTCATCACATCTTTGACCTGGACCTGGATCTTACAGATCAATGAGCCAAACTGGCATCCCTGATTGTGTGCAAGTGCCATGGTTTCCCATACATAGTCATAATGAGAACTCAGTGTTCTTTCATATATTTGAGCAAAAATAACATACCCAGATTCATACACATAAAAATAATGCAAATCCTCCTCAAATCTCATAAATGCATATCTTTCTCAATCAAATAAAACTATACTTGAGAAGAAAGTAAATTCATCCAAAGTCATGTTCATTTTGAAGTCACTGAATGCGTGTGTAAAATTACTCTGTCCCCCACACATACTCTAGTAAATATCATCTATGATTAAGATTATCCTCATCATTTTGAGTTCAAGCTTACTTTTACTCTTGCACAAAAATTAGCGAAGTCTCATCTGACAAGGTTGGAGGTGGTTCTTCCATTGAATGGAGTAATCAGGTTCACGTAAAGAGAAATAACACGACATTAGAACGATGTTTTTCCACATTTACCTGATGACTCACTTTTCATATACTTGTATGTGACTATCTCTTTTCTAGGGGACAATGCAATCCTAAAAGATTTCAGCTGACAACAAAAAAGTGTATCAGGATTGAATTAAGATGTGTTAAAATTAACACACTGACTTTTTTTTTTTTCTTATTTCACTCTGTGTGATAAAATACTAATGTGAGACCTAGTGAGCTTTGGAAGGAAGCTTCTCATTTCTGATATTCTTCCTTCTCTCCCCATTACTTTTACTATATAAATCTCAAAGTAAATGGAAGGGGGAATCTCAATGGGTAGAAGCTGTTCCCACTCCCGCTGCTAGAACAAGTAGCGATAGTGCATCCACCTAGGAGTCCTTGTTCATGTCCACATGGCCTCTGCCACTGGGAGAGCAAGGCTGGCTCATCACTCAAGGAACTCACGCTCCCATCTGAATTAATAATAACTGGCATATGAATAGCACTTTTATTTACAAATCCACAAATTTCTTTCATGTATATTATGTGAAATCTGTCCCAAACCCTACAAGTTGGAAATTTTAAGAATTAAAATCTCTTATTTTACAGCTGAGAAAGCAAACTCAGGGTGGTGATTTATCAGGGCATACAGCACATTAATAGTGGAGCTAGGTCTCAAAATTAGATATTCAGATGTAAGGAAAGGTCATGTTGCTAATGTTCTGCACTTTTTTAAGAGTATTTGCATGCCTAAACACAGCCTTTTGCACCACTGTGTGTACTCATGTATCATTACGTGCCTGCATGCCTGTGAAGTAGTCGGTCAGAAGTCTTTCACATAGAGAAGAACAAGGAAACACACACCCTATTTTGGTAAAAAGGAAGAGATGATTGCTGCTTGAATGGGTACATGTGCTTAAATACAGACACATCACACAAAACTCTATCATATCACAGATTTACTTTCTAAAAACAGTTTTCTTACAAACTGATATTTGTATTGTTATGAAATATTTGTATTAAATTATGACCACAGTACAAGTACAGTCCTATGTACCTGTACACCAAGTTAATGCAAAAGAACTACCATCAATAATCCTAGATTTCCCTCTCCATTCACCAGGTTTCCATTAGCTATGGCAACCCAATTTAAGAACATATTGAATGGAAATGAATTAAATTCAACTAGAAAGAAGATAACGCTCTTTATATTTCTTATATTGTTACATCATTTTCATTGTTTCCTTAGGGATGGAGGATGAATAGCATTTGTTCAACATTTTCTAATACAAACATAACTTCAACATACAGTATCTGTTTCAACCCTCCCATTAACCAATTAAATTAAAAGGTAATTTTATTATTCCTGTTTCCCAGATAAAAATATCTGAGTCTCAAAGATGTTCAGTTACTTGTCTCAGACCTCATACTCCTAGATGCCATACCCAGAATCCCAACATAAGTGTCAATTCGTTTTTTTTCCTTTTTAATTTTTTTCTAATTTTTGCAGAAACATAGTAGTTGTATATATTTATGGGATACAAGAGATATTTTGATACAAGCATGCAGTGTGTAATAATCACATCAGGGTAAATAGGGTATTCATCACCTCAAGCATTTATCCTTTGTGTTACAAATGATTCAATCATACTCTTAGTTATTTCAAAATGAACACTTAAATTATTTTTGACTACAGTCCCCCTTTTGTGCTAGCAAATACTAGGTTTTATTCATTCTTTCTAATTTTTTTTATCCATTATCCGATAACTCTTAAATTAATGTGACTTCCTTTTTACCCTGCTACATGTCAGGAGTATCCCAGAAAGAAGAAGAAAGAAGGAAGCTGGACTGCAGGAATTGGGGAAGTAGGCATGACTCTTGTTCCTTGCCGAGTTCTCACTCCCACTGTTGAGCTACCTGTGTCATCCCAATCTTGTCATAAAACAAGGGAGTTTCTGCAGAACAAATCGAAATGGAAAGGAGATGCCAAGCACTCAGGAGGGATCTCTGTCAGGTCACTTAATATCCGGAACGAAAGCACAGGAGTGCCGGATCGAAGAGTTAATGAAGGTGGCTTTCATTGCCACAATAATCTTTATCACCTCCTCCCTTCAATAAAGATATATGCTTAGTAGAAAGTTTGCTTTATATACGAACAGTTTCAACACAACCCCTCATACCCACACTCTTCCTTCCATTCTTTCAACCAGATAATCACACCTACATTTTTTTGTATGGAAATTTTGAGGACACTCACTTGTTTCTGAGATGTTCCTATGTATTGAGGATAATTCTTTTTCACTTCCTAGAAAGGGCTTCCATCCCACTCAGAATAGCTCACAATATACTACTATGGTAGTGATGAGAGAGTGTAAGGTAGAGATCCAAATCTCAGAGACAGGCAAAGGAAAGTTCATATTCAACTTAGACCAAGAAGTTGAAGTGGGAGGATGGGAAGAGGGCAGAACACAATTGGAAAAGTTATGGGGTATTAATAGAAAGTGTCCCGAGTAAAACTCATGCACACATGCCCTAGGTCAAATTCCAAGAGAAAAAAAAAATACACTAGGAAAAATAAATCATTGGGAAAAAAATAGTTAAAAATGACCTCAATACGATGGCAATTTAGGGATGAAATAAAATCAAAAGTGGAAAGAGCTAGAAGGGCTTCATATACTACAAAACCTAAATTAGCTTTGTTTTGGAGAAAGTTTACTAACAGATGCCAGGTTCAACAGAAATGCCTCTGGCAATGGCAGAAACACTAACAAAAGAAATCTGCAGCTGAGAAACAAGCTGCCAGGTCATTAAACGAAGAGGCACGCGGCCGGGCGCGGTGGCTCACGCCTGTAATCCCAGCACTTTGGGAGGCCGAGATGGGCGGATCACCTGAGGTCAAGAGTTCGAGACCATCCTGGCTAACACGGTGAAACCCCGTCTCTACTAAAAATACAAAAACAAAATTAGCCGGGCGTGGTGGTGGGCGCCTGTAGTCCCAGCTACTCTGGAGGCTGAGGCAGGAGAATGGCGTGAACCCGGGAGGCGGAGCTTGCAGTGAGCCGAGATCGCGCCACTGCACTCCAGCCTGGGCAACAGAGGGAGACTGTTTCAAAAAAAAAAAAAAAAAAAAAAGGGCACACTACTTTTGAACCAGCACATTAGAAAAGACCGGTGTCTGTGCACTGGGACATTGCAGGAACTTTCCACATGAAATCTTCCTTTGTGAGATACGTAGAGCTGCCACACACCAAATTTCTGCTTTGGATCCTAGAACTGCAACAAAATAACAATAAAATACAACTGGTATAACTCTTGAAGTTCCTTAAGCAAATTGTAAGCCAAAATTTATTTAACCTGCCCACGTATGATTTTTTTTCTCACACACTTCAAGGAATGCAGCTATATGTGTGGAAGAATTTCGTTCTGGTCAGAACACAGATCCGAGTTTGTATAATTGTTAAAATCGTCATGAAAGCAATCAAAAGTATCTCATTAATTCGTTTATGTTCTCAAATATTTAATAAGAACCTACTATGTACATGTTGAACTCTATTTGACACTGGGAATGCAAAGAGAAATACAGCAGATTTTAAAAAATGATTCATTGGGTTTGGAGCTCCAGATTCTGATAAACCCAGAAACCAAAGGAACCAAAAAAATCCAGAGAATAGCATCATTTGAGGGGCAGCAAGCTCCCAGAGATCAATGAGAATGGTCAGCTTGGAGATCTTTTTAGATCTTTGGAAGCTTGCTCTCTTTAAATGTTTAAAGTGCTGACTTAACAAAGACTGGGTAGATGTGTTCCGTGGGGCACCAGGGGACAAAACCATAGAAGTTATAGGGAGAGACATTTTGACCTAATAAAATTAAGGAGCAAAATGGGCCAGCTTACAAAGGCTTTCAGACCGTGGATATATCCAAGTAGAGGTTGAATAATCAACTCGTTAGAATATCCTAATGGGGCTTTTGGCTCTTGAATGAAGTTAAATTTAAATCTATTAATCTGAGATAGTAAGACCAGTGGTGTTGGAAGACTCAATCTCACTGGTTCCCTTTATATGAAAAAGTAATAAGATTAGCATTTTATAACTTTAAAATTATGCTATGTTATTTGCCTTGAAAATAATTTTAGTAATAAGATTATTAAAAAGTAGACCTATAACAAGCAACAAATACTTCCACCCTTGGGGATTAGGGTGGGGTAATAAATTTCTTCAGTTCCTTATGCTGCTGTATCTCTGATTTCTTTTTTTAAGTCCGTTTGTAATAGTTGTGCCACAAAGTTTTACTCTGAGAAAAGAAGAAGAATAGTGCATCCCCAAGGGCAGGCCTGAGCCTACTTACATATTGGGTACAGTGTGGTCACTAGAAGTACATTGCTGTTTTAGACAGGAATATCTCATTACCACCGGTTGGTCATGAAAGTCATGGTTTGACTACTTTCTGCCCAAGTATGAATTACTTGTATGAATGTTACCTATTTTAATGGAATGTCTGGTCAGTCAGTAGTTATTTTAGTTCTGGGTATTATACGGCAGCTATCTGTAGGCTATTAAATTGCTTTCCAAATCTGTTGAAGTAGCAGTTGTTACAGGATTAACTGGGTCAACAGAGTCTAGAGACTAATAAAGTTGAATCAGAATTGGATGCCTCTATTAGATAACCTTCATCCTCTTTGAAACCATCCAACAAAGTCTTTCATACTCTTGCTTCTCTTTCTTACAAGAGATGCTCTGGTTCTTTATCACTAAAGCCTTTTTATTGTCTTTTTTTTTGACATTTTATTTTCTTCCTGGTATTGGATAAATAAAAAGTACAGCAGGAATACATAAAAGTGGGTAATGAGGAGGGGATAATATCTATCAGAATTAATGTAGTACAGAACTAGATTTAAATATTGTTGGACTAGTGCAAAACCAGACATGTCTAAAAGAGAAGCTTGTCATAAAAGAGATACTTCCAACAAGTGGCAAAGGGAAAATTGCCTAACTACTTGGGGAGGGTAGAATGTTAAATTATTACCTTTTATCGTTATAAGTTTTATCAAGATTAAATAATTACATATAAAGAAATTAAACCATACTGACAGTAGGAGAAAATAAACACTTTATATGGCATCGTGGTGGAGAAAGTCTTTCTAAGCATGATACCAAAAGCAGAAACCAAAAGTACGAGACTCATAAGTACAACTAATTAAAAATTAGGATATCACATATAACAGCAAAGGAAATAATTAAATGCAAACATAAACTCTGAAACTATTTACAACATATATGATGTATTAATACAAAAAATAGCTCTTAAAAATGAATAGAAGCTGAGAAAAAAGTATCCCCCCCAAAATAGCCCTAAGAAATGAAGAAATGATAAGAAGATATTTCTGTGGTTTCTAATATATCTGATACTTATGTGGTTTTCCATATTTTCCTCTTTTAAACGATACTATAATGTGTGTGTTTCTACATATATTAGTGTATTTATTCACAAAGAGAGATTCCTATCTGGTGAGATTAGTCATCCCATGTCTTGACCTTCTCTATATGTATGTGTCTCATTTGCTTCACACAAATTCCAAGTCATCTTCTTCCCTTTGATTTATTTCTATCTATCTAAAATAGACTAATATGGAACTAATGATGTAATTTGTGTGCTAACCAGAGCCCACTCTGAATCACAACCACCAGATGTATCAAAACATTATGCTGTACATTACAAATATATACAATGTTTGCAAATTACAAAAGAAATTAATTAATAAAAAAATAAAAGACAGCCAGGATAGAAAAAACAAATGAGGCACAAATACATATTAATCTTAAAGCCCAGCAGCTGGGGTGTCCCTTCCCATGACTTTATTCAGCTGGAATTCTCCTTCTCTGAGCTTCTCTTTCTCTGAAATCCTTATTCTTATTCAACTGTTCCTCTAAGACAGAATTCTTGTCACATTTATTTGGTCATTCCAGTTGCTAACACAGAACCTGGCATGCAATATGCACTCAATAGTGTTTGATGCACGAATCCATGTGAAGGAATAAGCTAAGTTTCTTTTCTTCTTTGAGGTCATCATGAGAAGATAAGGAGCAAATTTTGTAAAGATAATTGTAAAATGTGTACATCTAGTGAGGAGGTTAGTCCTATCTACAACCCAAACTCCTTTTCCTGCAACCAAAAGGATCCATGTTAGAGGAAGACCTGTGTGCCTAAACTTATATTAGATCCTACCAGTACTCTTCAAGATAAGACAAGACACAGACTATGCCTGGGAGGAGATGGCAATCTAGTGAGATAAGTAAGTTATAAATGCACACATGACACAGACACAAAAATTGAAAAAAAAGAGAAGAGTATGCAGACAAATATTTGTTCAGATTTAAAAGAGGTTTCTGGAATGATTAGGAATGCAGATAACTAATAGGCTGGAGAAACAGTCCACATTGTGCACCACTTTGACCCTGCTCCTTGGCTGTTTTCCACCACAATTAGTTGTCTGGCAACCTTGCAAGATCTTAATAAAAATAACTCATAAGATTTAGTCACATCAGAAAAATCATCAAAATGTGTGATTGCAAATGTTTTGAAAGGGTCATGAGCTAAATAAGCATCTAGGATATACATTTAAAAAATTGCCTTATCTCTTTCATCTCCAAAGAAAACACCAGAAGGATACTGTCATATCTTCGGCACTCTCACCCCATCCTTCAAAATCTATTAATATCACATTGTGAAGTTGGTGCCATTGTCAGGAGTCCAATACAATCCCACAGCATTTCTTTCTTTTGTTTTTTCCTTTCTTGGAGAAGTAACCTTTTTCTAATCTTGTTACACACATTTTCATGCTTTCTAACCTAGTAAATACCAGATGTATTTTTTGCTTGTAATTACATCAGATTTCATGACCTAAAAGAACATGAAATAATATAATTACACTATTTATATAAATAATATACTCAGGAGATTGTGCAAAGCCCCTCACAGTTCACAAAGCCCATTTGCACATAGTTGTTGTCAACTTAAAACCACTCTATGATTTGTTTGGACAGATTATAGTGGGTTTTTTTTTTCCATTTTAGAAAGAAGAAAATTGAAGTTTAGAAATGCTAAGGA
This sequence comes from Homo sapiens, assembly GCF_000001405.40. Lineage (NCBI taxonomy): Eukaryota > Metazoa > Chordata > Mammalia > Primates > Hominidae > Homo > Homo sapiens. The sequence continues at coordinate 178,383,303 of NC_000003.12, forward strand.
AAATTCTCAAGGTTAACAGAGCATGCAAATGGTAAAATGATTCTTGAAAACCATTCATCTGCCTCTAAAATTACGATATCCTGTTCCTATGCGTGGGATGCACAATTGAGAGAAAGAGGGAGAGAGGCAGCTGATCTTCCCTAGTGCCCCTAGCATAGTAGTCGGGAGGTCAGGCAATTTCCTAAACTCAATGTACTATCATAGCAATAACTCAATCCATAACTCCTTCCTTATTATTCTATATTTCGCACTAGAAAAAAAATGGCACTTCTCTGGACTGGCTATATTGTTTACAGGAACTAATACCCTGTTCTTAGGGTCTTCCCAATGCAAAATTGGAAAAAGTATAGAAAAACATTCTCCTGGTATTTTATTACTAAATCTTTAGATATACATCTTAATTTTTGGATGCTTCTATTTCTCTCACAGCCCCAGAAATCCAGCGTTTCTTAGGACTTTCGCTATCCTGAGCAATCTACCAAAACCACCTTCTCTAAGAAGAACCCTATGTACTTCCCTGTTTTGGTCATCTTTTCCATAGAAAGAGGAAAATAAATGAGTTCATACTAAGACATTAATGATAGTAATTTGATAAATGGACTTCTCTGTTAATGGCAAAGCTATTTCTTTTATGAGTCTCTTATTGGTTCATTTCAGATATCAGTGACAGGCTGCAAGGGAAAATATTTGGAAATGGTTAGTCTTACTAGAAACTGCTACCCCTAAACCTCACCATAACATTAATTAGATGGATATTTTTAAGTCTAGCATCCTAGATTTAGATTAATAATTTGTCTATATTGCTTTTAAAATGAAGAATTACATTTTAAATGCTTAGACTATTAAACTGAAATATTGTCTGAATAAAAATAATAAACTGTCATTGACAAATAACCACTTCTACTTTCAACATGTCAGAGAAAACTGTAAAAGACAGAGAAAAGAGACTGGATACTGTGGAAGTTTCCCAGTGGGTCCAAAGGAAATAAAATGTCCCCTTTTCCTGAGCCCATTTAAGCCTTGCTTACATTAACTTTTAGAAAATGCACGGAGAAAATATTTCAGAGAAGGGTCTTACTGGGATAAATTCGTATATTTCTTGGAACTCTGGTAGCCCATGAACGACAGCATATGTTAGTGTTAACCTTGTGTTACATTTCTGAACCAGTGTCCAGCTCAGCCTCTGAGGCCATCTGCTTTCAGCGCTGAAAATAACCAGAGATGACTGAATTCTTGGAACACATTTTTCCTACTGTTTTATTAGAAAAACATTTCCACCCTAATCAATCTCTGTGTTTTACCTCAAGCATATATTTGATGAACATCCTAGGTTTGGTTCTTTACTACACACAGTAGACTTTATATCCCCAGGAAAGCAATATTTGACGTTGGAGAAGTTTCAGTGCACATGCAATGGAATCCTATAAAGTCTCATTTGCTTTGCTCTCTGCTCTCAGGAGGAAAAGGGACATGTACTAAATGAAACCACAAGAGCAGGGAGATAAAGGAGCCCGTGTGCTGGTATTTTCCCTGCATTAATGCTTTCAGCATCCTCCTCACTCATTTAGATGTTCTAGTTATATATTTTTTCCCATATCCCATCTATTGTGTTTTCTTCCCTCTTTAGATGGCTCTTTGTGGCTCTCCTGATTGTCTGTATCTGACGGCTGAGGCACATAATCTAAAATGTGTGCTCAGATAAATGGTGAAAACAGAACATCTGAAAACACGAAAGTATTCCTGGCTGACTTATGATTCAAATAGGATCTTCTTTGTCCCAATTAAGCAAGCCTACTTGAACAAAGATAGCTAAAACATTGTTTTCACACAGACATTTTTAAAAATGTATCAAATAAAGCAGAATAAAAGGACATAGAGGATGATATGGGAAGAACATTACTTACTAAGTCATTGCCTTTAGAAATCTTGAAGACATGTATTGAATTGCTTTGTTTCTGAACTGGATGGAAGCTCTGCAAAAATCCTCCTGTGACTTCTTTCATAGCCTTCATTCAGTTTTATATTGTTCTGAAGGTCCAGGCAGGGAGGATATGTAATTGGACATTTGGTGAATGCAGAGGAGTGAAATTGTGTCCAAAGTTATTAGCTTATCTTAGTTTGAAGAGCAAGGAGAACATTTTATTTCATCTAACTTTTTATAGCAATCAATTAATCCTGTTTCAAGGATAACAACAGAATGTCTTTATTCATTCTCATGGAAACATTGACATCTAGTGGGTCACTGCATTAATGCAGGCCAGCTCAAAAGCTGGGGGAAATTCTCAAATCTTTGTGATGCTCAGTGTGGTACGCTCTCTTTGATTAATTTGGCCCATTGATCTCACTAGGTAGCTGCTGTTGATAATTGTGTATTTTTAAAAAATGATTCAAAGAAAGCTGTAGAAAACAAAATGAACATATCTCACCTATAGCTTTCATGTATGTTATAAATAAATTCTTAAGGACTATTTTACTTGAAGATCTAATTCGTGTTTGTAGGAATCAAAACTCATAATGGTTCACTGAGTTTTACTAATGATAGAAGCTATCTATTCGTGTTAGGAGACCTGCAGAGCCTGGCACAGTAGTTCCCAAACTTTTAAAATTCATAGATGACTTCGATAAACAGTATGAATACTCGGCCAGGAAATTTTATATTTGAGCAGCCACACTAAATTTTGCACACAACCTCAAGGAGTGCATAAAACATTTGAAGGTCAGGCTGTAAAAAACAAACAAAACCTGAACTAGTAATAGTGATAGGAAACTCTTGGAAACTCTTTTATTTATTTATTTATTTATTTATTTATTTATTTATTTATTTATTTATTTATTTATTTATTTTTGAGATGGAGTCTCGCGCTGCTGCCCAGGCTGGAGTGCAGTGGCGCGATCTCGGCTCACTGCAAGCTCCGCCTCCCTTGTTCAAGTGATTCTCCTGCCTCAGCCTCCGGAGTAGCTGAGACTACAGGCGACCCCACCATGCCCGTTTAATTTTTGTATTTTTAGTAGAGACGGGGTTTCCCCATGTTTGCCAGGATGGTCTCCATCTCTTGACCTTGTGATCCCCGCCTGCCTCGGCCTCCCAAAGTGCTGAGATTACAGGCGTGAGCCACTATGCCCGGCCGATAGCAAACTCTGTCATACCACTTACTACGTGTCAGGTACTGTTTTAAGTGCTGTTCATGTATGAGCTCATTTAACCCTCCCAACTCTTCTAAGAAGTAGCTATTATTCTTCACCGTTTCCACAGAAAAAGAAACAGAAACACAGAGACATAAAAATATTGGCTTAAAGCCACACAGTCCCTAGCAGGTAGAGTTAAGACTCAAACCTAGGTAGGCTGGCCCCAAATTCTATGTTCTGTCACACTGCCCAAAGCCTTCAGAGATGGCTAGACAGGCAGATGGAAACCTTAGACACTGGTTTCACTATGGCCAGTCTCTTTAAGCAATCTCTTCAGACTACTGTAATTACTTTCTATCCACCATTGCCTAGAATTGTGTTGCAACAAATAGACATGCATTATCTAATGAGAGGATAAGAAAACAGGCAGAGAAATACGGCAATGTGTTTTGGGCCCCTTAAAATGGAGATACAATGCAAATTTGCATTACTAGGACTGGCAAGTCCTGTAGTCTTAGGCTGACAGCCACTGGAAATAAAAATGACCCACACATCGATCACAAAAACACTGAACTTGAGCAAATATTGTCAGTTCTGGGGTGGCAGGAGATGTGATAGATCTTCTTTGTGTTATAAGACCTTTAATCTTTCACCTTCATACTTTGTACTTCAAAAAGTCCCTTCAAAGCAAACTTTCCTGTGGTCACATTAGAAGAGAAGAGTTACAGCATCTGCTCCCTAGTATGCAATCCTCCTGGAGTGCAATGGTAATGAGGTTAGGGAGAAGTGTTCAAGTACATACTAGGTTACTGCCATCCAAGATGTCCCAGCTGGATCATCCTACTCACATCCTCCCCCAGAGTCTGCTGGGAGACTAAAGAAAAGGGCTGTTGGACAGCCAGAAACCTTTCTGAGTAGTGTCTCTCCCTTAAACCCCTAAACACTTGGCTGCGATAAAGAATCTCCTTTTGAATCCATTTCTAGATGGCAAGAGAGGGAGTGGAAGGCCATTTCCGCCTCTTTGAAAAGACCTGTTTATTTCCAAGGAACCATTTATAAATATGAGAGTCTCTCAATTACCTTTTTCATACAATTTTCCTTTGAAATGGATATGGTGAAAACTTGAAAAGCATTCTTTTTGAATTCTAGGAAGTTTTCCCTTTCTCACCTTTGGCACAAATATTTAACCAAGCTAAGAATCATAATTGCTCTTTCACAAATGAAACTGGGTTTGTTAACACAGAATTTCTGATGCAGATGAAGAGAAAGAGAAGTGAACATCCACGGATGGTAAAACATTTTCTCCAGAGTATCCTGACGAATCCGAAAGAAAGGCACACGTGTTTTCCAATTAAGAAAATGCCTGCCGAGCAATGGGTAATGCCATATGTTTGAGTCTCTTAAATGGAAATGAATGGTCAAAAGCTTTTTGCTAAAAAAGAAAAGAAAGGGGGTTGCTATTGCTTTTGTGGCCTGGTAATCCAAACTTCTGAAATCTCGTCACTTCATTTCTGTGAACGCCACTATTATCTTAAGTGCACTTGGACTATTTAATATTGATGTCCTAATTGTATAATTAATACAAGCAAATTTACCCTTCTCTACTTTGCCCTTAAAAATACCATTTTTCTCATTCAAAAAGAGAACTCAGTAGATTCCCAGCATAGTTTTCAGTGATTTAATCTTCTGTGATAAAGTCCTGTGCTTTGTACTTCACCGCTGGACTATCAATGTCTCCTCACAAACCCTTGAGGGATGAAATCAAAAGGCTTTTGAGATTCAGAATAGACTCCATCTACTGCCTCACCATTTCCTTATTCTTTTCTGAGCGATATGAAAGACTTGCTCAATAAATGTTAAATGAATAATAAAGGTCAGAGGAAGGTCATAATTTCTTTTGAAAGAGGCACATTTTCTTAAGCCCATCAAATTGAAATTTTCTAACTACAGGGGAAATATGTACCCTCATTAACAAAGAATGGTCCTTTCATTTTCCACTCAGTACACAGACTTGTGTTCTCCTGATCTAGGTATCCATACAGAACCATATTAAAAGGGACTGGGACTCAATATTTTGTAAAAATGGTAGAAGGTTTTACTGTAAAGAACTGAAACCTGCACTATAATGAGAATCAGATGTGGCTTACAACATATAGGACACAACTAAGAAAGACTGTTAGGTTGCTTCTGAGACTGAATACCTCTTTGCTAAGGACTGAGGGAACTCCTTTGCCAATGGAGTTAAAGGACTGAGTTCCGCTTTTGTCTGGTTCCCCTTTGGTGGGTGCTATGTTGCTATTGCTCCGTTAGAGTTTGTGCCAAGACCTTTAAAACTCAGACTAGAACTTTGTTTAGCTACTCATTGAAATAATGAAAATAATAAATAATGTTAGCATATATATATATATATATATATATACTCTTATGACTATAATATAAGTAATATCATTCATTCAGGGTTTACCGTACTAAGTGTTCTAGTAAACACAGCATTGTGTTTATTTCACTTAGTTATCCCCTAGTAGAAGATAAGTTTCATGAATGCAGGGACATTTTTTTCTTATACACTATGGAACCACCCATGCCTGGAACACTGTCTACTGTGTAGCTCGTTGAATTAATAAATGAATGTTCGTGGTATTACAATATATATTTGACAGATGAAAAAAATTAAGGCTAATCAATGTTGCTTTGCCTCTACATTATCAAAGAACAAGTCCCTTTGCACACAGCTAGTAAGTTTTGGGCTGAGGTATAACTCAGTTCTATCTAACTTCAAAAACCAACAAATATATTTCAAAGTAATGAAGTCTATTGCCATGAAAAGCATTGCTTTCCTTCCAGATGTTATTGGTAAATTATTAGCCCTATGTCTCTACTCTGAGTGAGACACTTGGCTTCTCAGTGTTCTGCACAGTGGACTCCATTCTCTCCTCTGCAATTAATACAGAAAACGTTTTAAAGTCCTTTGTTGTCACTCTACCTACATGGTGCCCAGCTGGAATGTGGTCACCTGTTTGTGCAGGAATGTGACATTCTTATGTGTCAGCATTAACTAGTACATAAACATTATCTCATAACAATAGCTCTGGTCATTACATATATACTTTTTTATTTTTACCAAATATTATATAGGTTTTATTGAGTCTCTCTAGTTTCTCAGCTATTTACCTTCTTTACACTGGACTTTTCACAACTTATCTCCCCAAACTAGTTTCCTATCCTCAACTATTTTTGAAAGTTACAAGCTACATTCAGAAACTGAATGATATTCAGACTAAAAATCTTATGCTCAAGGTGACTTAAGCCAAACACTAACAAGCAGTAAAGAATGTGCTTCCTGGGCTAAATTTGCTTGTGAATCCTTTGTTTTCTTCCCTCCTTCAATGAAGCCTGGAAGAAGAAATCCTGGGTAGTTGAGGGGGTCCTGGCTGACCATTTACTAGCCGTGTATGATTTGGAGCAAGTGCTTTATCCTCACGACTTTCAATCTGTAAACATCGAGGTAGTTTTATATCTTCATTCAGGGTTTTTATTTTATCTTTGAAAATGTTTAATTTGTCATATTTAACATGAACATTACAAAATTCAAAAATGCCAAAGAATATTTGGTTACATGTAAATCTTCCACCACTGCTATCCTCTAACTCAAAACCACTGTTTGTTATGTATCCTTCCAATGAAATCCTTTGCATAGTCAAGCAATTTTATTCATTTTTAACACCAAAGGTAGTTTACTATACATAGTTTTCACATTTGTTATTTACTTATCAATATTTCTCAAAGTCCGTTAAATATGTAAGAGTGCACCAAAAGCTTACTCATCCTTTTGACAAGCTATATAACTTCTGTACCTTATAAAATTATTTTTAGATTTAACATGGAAGAACAAACAGGTGAAAATATTCAAGACATTTTTATAAAGAGAATAATCATAAAGGGAAAGTTTGTCTATCCCACTGTCTAAATGTCCAAGTATACTCTAAAATAGTAAAAGACTTCAATATTTCTACATGACAGACCACAAACAGAACGCACAGCAAAAGGACCTAATGTATATAACTATCTGGTATATAATAAAATCTATATAGTAAATGAGATATTTGGAAAAGGTTAAATTAGATTAGTATCACATTCCAAATATATTCTAAATGAATTGAAGGGTTAAGTGTAAGAAAATGAAACCATAAAAGAAGCAAAAGTAAATACCCCATGTTTATTGCAGTCTTATTCACAATAGCCAAGATATGGAATCGATGTGTCTATCAATGGACGAGTGGATGAAGAAAATATGGTACATATACACAATGGAATATCAGCTATTGAAAAAAGCCTGAAATCCTGTCATTTGCAGCAACATGCATGAAACTGGAGGACATTATGTTAAGTGAAATAAGCCAGGCACAGTAAGACAAGTATCACTTGTTCTTACTCATATGCGGGAGCTAAAAAGAGCTGATCTCTTGGAGGTAGAAAGTAGAATGGTGGTTACCAGAGGCTTGAAAGTGTGTATGTGTCGGGGGTAGGGAGTGTAGACAGGTTAGTTAATGGGTATAAAAATACAGTTAGATAGAAGAAATAAGTTCTGGTGTTCATTAGCACAGTAGGATGACTACACTTAACAATAATTTATTATACATTTCAAAATAGCTAGAAGATTTGGAATGTTCCCAACACAAATAAATGATAAATGTTTAAGGTGATGGATATCTCAATTACCCTGATTTGATCATTATATGTTGTATGCTTGTATCAAAATATCACATGTACTCCATCAGTCTGCACAGTGTATGAATAAAAATGCTAATTTAAGACATAGATGTATAGATAGATATAGGTAAACATCTAACTGAACTTGAAGCTGTAAGACCTTTTTAGGCATAAAATCAAAATTAAAAACCAGGGAGAAAAAGTATGATGGATTTGACTATGTACATAGTAAAATTTTTGTTGTGTCAGAAAATTAATAGACAAATTATAAATAGAAAATTTTTGAAACACGTATGGCAGACAAAGGGCTAACAACCTTTATGTTGAAAGAGGTCTCACTAATAGTTAGAAAAATGTAAACCACCCAGTATAACGGAAAGTAAAGTACATGAGGTGGCAATAAATATACTAAAGAAAAACATACACGAATGACCAATAAACATTTTTTAATGTCCAACTTGCCAGTAATGCAAAATGGTAAGTAATACTAAAAAGAACATAAAATAGCATTTCTTTCACCTATAAAGCTGGGAAAGATAATTAAATGCACAATTCTCAGTACTGGCAAATATTCAGTGAAATGGATGCTCTCATACCTTTACCATCATTCTGAAGGGTAATTTGATATTATGATACAAGGGCTTTAAAGTTGTAAAATATTTGCCCATATTTTCATTTTAAACAGTTATTCTAATAAAATAATCAGATGTGTATTAAAATTTTATATACAACAATGTCCACATAACACAGTGAAAAGTTCCAAAGAACTTACATGTCTATTAATATGTCAGTGTATACATATTTTGCTACATTATGCACCTGTTAAAATAACATTTTACAGAAAATATGATGACAAGATAAGTTTGTCATACAGTTAAATTTAACAATCAGATTATAAAATTGTATATCACATAAGTCTAAGCATATATAATTTAAACATATATAAACAAATATATGATCATATGTTATATGAATCCAACTTAAACATATATATTTTCTATAAAAAATAAAGTTTTACACAAACTGTTAACTCTTTTTAGGATGAAATGATAAGAATTTTAAGTTATGTACAGAAAAGTGTTATCTTTATAACTAGAAAAAGTCAATAAATGTTATCTTTAAAATTAGAATTATAGCAAACATCTTTGACTTAGATATTTAACTGCTGTTATTCAAGTGTCACATTATTTGTGCCAACCCTTACTGAATGTTGCTTGGATATGGAATTTTTTTTAAAAGGAAACAAACATATTTTGAATCATTCTCAGGAACTCTCTAAGCTCTAAATTTAAAGTCCAGAAGTATCCCCTGGAGGGGTCCAAGAATTATTAATGTTTCTGCTTCACTTTGAAACAGCTATTTAGATTTTTAAAAAGTAATTGCTGTGTATACAAACACTGCTAAGGCTCAATTAAGTGGCCTCAGTTAAAATACCAGTAAGAGAGACAATGTACATGAAGGAACTCAGATTGTTCATGTTGTTGCTGTAGCAACAGCCATGGGATTTGCCAACCTAAGTCAGTGTTTTTGCCTTAGCCAGCCATACATAGCTAAGATGTCATATGCTCAAGTTCCACCCTTGGCACAAAAACAGGAATTAGGCTGGTAATCTAGGTTAGGAATTCATTTCAAAACAAATCACGTTGTGTGTGTGTGTGTGATTTGCCAACTAATTTTTCAGTTTCTTTTCATGGTTTTCTGAGAAAGATCAAACCAATGATTCAGTTAACATTACTCAAATTGGCAAAAAAAACTAGTCATGCACAAGACAATTATTACTAATGTGTTTAAACATCCTTAAATACGTTCTGTTTCACTTCTTTCACTTTATTTGGATAATCAACTCCACTTTAATTTTCCAATACTGCTAATCAGGGTTCAATCCCCAAAAGCAAGTAAAACTGAGATGTCCCTTAATTATCAAGAGATCCTACTCTTCAGATCTGCTGATGCCCAGGGTTAGTAAAAAATGTGTCAGTACTCAGATTAGCAATACTTGTGGTTTATTTTACATAAAATACTTCTCCACTGGTATTTCTTCATTGATTGATATATGATAGCTGATATCAGTGTACATCAATCCAAAATATGCTGTGGTAGATTTTTGCTTAAAAATGGGAAGAAGTAGATTTCGGCAGGCCAATGCTGCCCCTGAGAATAAAAAGAAAAAAAGCCACATAACATATGGTAATCATCTGTTTGAAGTCTTCACACTGCTACAACAGAAAAGAGAAATGGAAAAACCATAACTCCAGAGAGGGAAGAGCATAGCAGAAATACACAGAATTCTGTAGTTATATTTACCCTTGTGGCTTTTGGCAATTTTGTGCATGGGCCAAAGGATGAATGTTATATGTGTAGATTAAATGATATCCAGATACCTGGTAAAACATTATTTCTTGGTGTGTCTGTGAGGGTGTTTCTGGAAGAGATTCACATTTGAATCAGTAGACTGAGCAAAGAATATCCATCCTCACCAATGTGGGCAGCATCATGCAATCCATTGATGGCCTGAATAGAAGAAAAACATGAAAGAAGGGTAAATTATTTCTCTTTCTTCTTGAGCTGGTATATCCATCTTCTGCTCCACAACACTGAAGCTTTTGGTTCACGGGTTTTCAAACTCCAGGACTTATACCAGAGGCTTTCCTAGCCCTCTTCTCCTGCCTTTGGAATCAGCTTCATTGGTTCTCAAATCTTCAGACTCAGACTAAATTGCAACACTGAAATATACATATTTAACTGAATTATCTATATATGTAATACATATATATTGCATATATACATACAACTTGTTTATTTATACCATGAATACTGTTTCTCTGGAGAGCCCTGACTAATACAATGAGAATCTGAATTATGTACTCAGACAAGAATGCTACAAAAGGACAGAGAAAACAGAACTAAGCTTTTGGCAGAGACATGGGGAGTCTAAATCATATTGCTAGCTTTCCTCTCATGACAGTTACCAAATTCTGGAACAGTAGCAGGCAGGAAATTAAAATCTAAACAGAAAGCTTCTAAAAGACTAAATAAAGCTTATACAGTCTCATATGGAGATAGCATTAAACAAGTAAAAAGGCAACCCACAAAGCTGGAGAAATGATTTGCAACACATATATCCGACAACGATTTATAGCTATAATATGCAAAGAACTTCTACAAATCAATAACACATGATATATTTAATTGAAAGAAAACCAATGGGCAAAAGATATTACCAAGTGTTTCACAAAAGCACGTATCAATTTGCATTTTCCAATAGTTATAAGGAAAGGAGCTCAGTTTCATTAAGAATCAGAAAAATGAGAATTTAAATCACAAAGCAGTACTACTACACACCAAAAAAAGCTTAAATTAAAAAAAATTAACAATTCCAAATGTTGGTAACAATGTAGAGCAGCTGGAACTCTTATATATTGCTGGTGGGAGTATAAATTGAAGAAATGCTTGGCAGTATCTACTAAAGCTAAGCTGTGCATATCTTTGACCCAGCTATTCTACTTTTAGATACAAACTTAACAAAATGCATAAGCATATTCCCCAAAAGACATGTCCAAGAATTTTCATAGCAGCACTATTTATAATATCCCCATATAGGAAGCTACTCAAATATCTAACAACAGTAGACTGAATAAATAAATAGTGGCATATTTAGACAATAAGTACTATTTAGCAGTGAGAATGAACTGTAACTATACACAAAAATACAGATATAAGTCACAAATATACAGCAAAAGAAGCCAGGCTCAAAAGATTGCAAAATTAATCTATGGTGTCACAATTCAAGATAGTGGTTACTCTTAGAAAGTTACCAAATGTAAGGAGACAGAAGAGACCTTCTGGGATCCAGGTGATGTTCTGTTTTTAATCCTGGTGCTGATCACATAAGTTTGTTCACTTTGTAAAAGTTTATTCTGCCATACACTATTGATCTCTGTGCTTTTTGTAGATATATTTCAATTAAAAGTTTACATCAAAACGTGTATGTGTTTATAAAGCAGAGTTGCCATTAGCTAGCCCAAGATAACAACTCCCATAGATTAAGAGCTGTAACAAAATCTCAGGGAGCATTCAATTCATCGGTTTGACATACACAACGAATACATTTTTGCCTATCAAATTACTAAACAAATATTAATTAAACACCTAATGCTATGCTAGTGGTAAAAACTTAAGGATAAGATATATTCCTAATTTCATGGTATTTACAAAATATTTACAATCCATTTTTGGGAGACAAGATTAGAGATAAAATAATAGCAGAGTCTGAAACTAAAAGCTAATCTGTATATGTCTTTTCTCCCTCACTGTGTGTGTCTTTTCTCCCTCACTTCCCCTCTTGAAATACACATTCTTTTAAGAGTGGGTTAATATTAATTTTGTGCAATCTTGAATCTTGGAAATTTTCAGCTGATTCCATTTGGGATGTTGCTCCAGCCACCAAGATATCTTTTGAGGATCATATCTCTTGCTCACAAAATATAATTACATTACTTGGAAATGGCAAGACTGGGTCCTGAAAATCTATCAACTCAGAGCAGTGAGGAGCAGAAATTATCTTATAATAGGATCCTATGATCTTATTACAGGTTCTCTGAAATAATCACCTTCTTAACCACCAATCAGATCAATGTTTTGCTGTCTCCTTGCCAAGTCTCACAAAAGACCGCCCTTATGTAAATTCCCGTAGCTTTGGCTTTCTCCTTCATGTCACAGGTTCTGCTCCTTCCAAAAACCCACTATGTCAGATTCCACTTCCATTTTGGTCAATAACATATATCCTGGTTTGGAAAGCCACTTTCACCAGGCTAGGCCATTGATTTATCCTGTTCTCAGCACGCATATACCATTCCTGTCCAACTCTTGATCTCCAGATGCCACCCACAGGTATTCTGATTCAATTATTCTAGAGCATGGACTGGGCTATCAGTATTTTTACACTATTTTTTCTCTCTTCTGTTTTGGGAACTCCAATTAGATGGATATTTGGCCAATTAAAGTTGTCCCCTATCTCACTAATGTAATACTCATATTTTTTCAATCTTTTAATACTGTTTATTATAGTTTCTATTTACACATGAATCATTAATCTTTCTTCTGCATTGTCTAATATGCTATTAATCTCATCCAATGTATTTTTTATATTAAACATTGTAATTTTTATCTTTGGACATTTATTTTGGATATTCTTTATATACTTTATATCGTGGTTTCTGAGGACACCCAACTCTGTCTCCTCAACTCAGGGACTTCCAGGCTTTGCCTGGTATCTTCTCTTCATGCTGCAGCATGGAAACTCTCTAGACAGTTACCTGGTGCAATCATAATGTTCACTTTATTTGCTTTTCCTCTCCCAGGTATAACTGTCCCATGCGGCCTAAGGTCCAATGTCTAAAAAATTTCTGTTTCAGAGATTTTTTCTGGGATTTTAGCTGTTTTAGGCAGAAGGGTAAATCCAGTCACAGTTTCCTCATCTTGGCTGATGGCAGAATATTTTTTTCACCTTGTTTGAGAAGTTTTACTATTATCTGCCCACATAGAGATGTGTTTCTTTTTAATCTCATTTTTCATGAATATTGTCTGTGGTCTCCAAATTTAATAGCGCATATTGTATGTAAATTTTTAAAATATTGGAATAAAACATAAATATAGTAAGTACAAAAATTCCAGGTATACAGCTTAATGTGTTGTCATGAAGTAAACATACGCATTTGACCAGCTTCCAGATCAAGAAATTTAAAAATCACCAACACTCCAGAAGCTCATCTGTGACCACCTCCTACCATCTGCCCTCAAAAGCAGTGACCATCTAGAATCTTAGTGTTGCAAAACATATTTTATCCCATTTTAAAATTTATATAAATGGAATCATAAACTATGTATTCTTCTATCTCTGCTTTTTTGGTTCAGCATTATATTTTAAGAACCATCGATGTAATTGCATATAGTTAGAGTTTTTAAAATTCTCACTGCTCTATTGTATTGCTACATACCAATATTTAATTATCCTTCTATTATGGTTGGATATTTGGGTACTTTTCACTATTATGAATAAGACTTCTACAAAGCTTATTTTGTATATGTCTTTTGATGAGCAAATGTATGCACTTCTGTTAGGAATATGGCAGGAGTCCAATTGCTGGGTCATATAATGTATAAATATAAATATATATATTCAGATTTGTTAGATACTGCCAACTATTTTTTCGGAGTGGTTATACCAATTTACATTTTCAGTTGCTTCACATCCTCACTAACAGTTGGTATTTTCTGTCTTTTACATTTTCCCCAGAGGGTAGTGAGATCATATTGCAGTTTTGAATTTGAATTTTGCTGATTCTTAATGAAGTTGAGGATCTCTTCATATGTTTACAGGCCAATTGGTATCCTATGTTATAAAGTGCCCATTTAAATCATTTCCCAATTGTGTTGCTGACCTCCCCGCCCATGACCTCTTTTATTAATTGGAAGATGTTCTTAATATATTCTGGGTAAAAATCCTTTGTTAGACATCTGTGTTACAAAAAATCTTCTCCCACTCTGTAACATATATTTTTATTCTCTTAATGAAGTATTCTCACGAACAGGAGTTCTTAATCTACTAGCTCAATTTGGTTTTTCTTCTTTAAAGTCAGTAAGTTTTGTATATTTTAAAGTAAATGCCCATTTTAAGCACATGTAATTTTCAGTTTTTTAAAAAAACTTACTATTTTAACTTTCAAATTTCAGACTACTATCTGAATTTATTTTTGTTTATATTTTATGGTAGAGATCAAGACTTATTTTTCTCATCTGTATATTCAGTTAACCAAGTACTTGTTGAAAAGACCAACCTTCCTCCCACAGTGCTACATTGCAAAATGTGTAATAAATTAAGTGACTACATGTGTCTTGGCCTGTTCCTGGAACTGCACTTCAGTTCTATTGGTTTGTCCTGGTGCCAATATTACATTGTCTTATTTACTGTAATTTTGCCATCTGGCATTGTTAGTCTTTGGTTTTCTTTTTCTTTGAGAATTGGGTTCACGATTGGACTATTCTTGACATTTCCAATTTCAAAATAAATTTTAGAATCAGTTTATCAATTTCTAAAGACTAACCTGGTAGATTTTATGTCTGTTTGAATGAATTTATATATTGATTTTTCAATGTTGAACCAACCTTGCATTTCTCAGATAAATCCTACTTGGTTATGATGCATTATCATTATTTATTCCTGGATTCCATTTTGTCATGTTATTTTTAAGGATTTTTGCATCTATGTTTGTAAGAAATCTTGACCTATAGTTTTCTTTTCTTGTAATGTCTTTGTCTATATTTTGGTATTTGGATAATATTTGCCTCCTAAATTGAATTGGAAGTATTCTATTCCTCCTTCTTATATTATCTGGAAGAATTGTTGTAGCATGTAAATTTCTAGTAAAATTAATCAGAGAAGCCATCTTTCTTTGGAGTGCTCTTGTGCAAAGATTATCTTTGCCAGATAGAAGGCTATTTATCTGCCTTCTCTTGAATTAGCTTTGGTAGATTGTGTCTTTCTATAAATTGATCCATTTAATCCATGCCATCAAATTTATTACAATAAAGATACTCATAATATTTCCTTATTAATATCTTCAAGGTCTGTATGATCTAGTCATAACATTTCTTTGCTATTTATCATCTGTGTCTAGAAGTCTATCAATTTGATCTTTCCCAAGAAAGAGCATTTGACTTTATTGATTTTCCCTATTTTTAAAATTACTTTTAGTTTAACTCCTAACTTCATTATATCCTCTTTTTTTGCTTGCTTTGGATTTAGTTTGCCTTTATTTTGCTATTGTCTTAAAGTGGAACCTTAGCACACTAAGATAAATCACATTAAATCTTTCTTCTTTTCAAGTGTAAGCATTTTATGCTATAAATTTTCCTTCAAGCACTGCTTTAGCTGCATAACATAAAGTATAATATATTCTGATTTTCATTAAATTAAAATTGTTTTCTAATGACCCTTTTAAATTCCTTTTTGATACAATAGTTGTTTAGAAATATGTGGTTTAATTTCCAAATATATGAAGATTCACTGTATATTTTTCTAGCATAAGTCCATTCAAGAAATTTGGTGTGCTTTATCTGACAGCCAAGAATATAAAATATCTCAGTAGATATTTTATGTGTACCTTCAAGATGTGTATTTTGCTGTTATTAAAATAATTGTTCTCTGAATGTCATTTTAGTCAAGTGGTTAATCGTGTCGTTCAGGTATTATACAGCCTTACTGATTTTTGTCTACTTTTTCTATTAATTAGACAGAGCAATGTTGATCTTTAACTATCTTTGTAGATTTACCAATTTCTCTTTTGAGCATTTCATTGGGATACATATATATTTATATATACATATACTCACACATATATGCATATTGTACATTGGAATAGATATATACATATATATATGAAGATTTGTAATTGGGTACATAAACATTTAAGATTGTTATGTCTTCTTGATGAATTAATTTACTTATTATGTAATATCCCTTTTTATCCGTGGTAATATCCTTAATTTTGAAGTCTATTATGTCTTCCATTAATACAGCCACTCCAGTATTCTTGTAATTAGTGATTAGAATATAATCTATATTCTAATCTATAAAGATAAGAAGAGATTTAGTAAAAACAAAAACAAAAACAAAACTGTAAGTTAACTGAAGAATTTTAGTAACGTTAACTAAGTCACTCTGTTGATCTGTTGAACACTTTATAATCTATAAAGATAGAATATAATCTATCTTTTTACTTCTTACTGACCTATGCTCCAATAGACTTAATACTTTTCCCTCCCAAATTCATACATTGAAATCCTAATCTCCAAGTTGATGGAATTAGTAGAAGGGCCTTTGGGAGGTGATCAAGTCATAAGGGTAGAACCCACATAATTAGAATTAGTGCCTGATATCATTTGGATGTTTGTCCTCTCCAAATCTCATGCTGAAACATGATCCCCAATGTAAGAGGTGGGGCTAGTGGGAAGTGTATGGGTCATGGGGGTAGATCTCTCATGAATGGCTTGGTGCCCTTCCCTTGGTAAAGAGTGAGTTTTTGCTCTATTAATTCACACACAAGAGATGGTTGTTCAAAGGAGTTGGCACCTCCGCCCCTCTCTCTTCTTCTCTCTCTCTCTCACCATGTGACACACCTGCTCCCCTTCACCTTCCTCCATGAGTAAAAACTTGCTGAGGCCTTACCAGAAGCCAAGCAGATGCGAGTACCATGCTTGTACCATCTGCAGAATCGTGAGCCAAATAAACCTCTTTTCTTTACAAATTAGCAAGTCTCAGGTATTCCTTTATAACAGTGAAAAACAGACTAACACTGTGGGTCTTATAACAGAGACCCCAGAGAGCTAGCTAGCACCTTCTGCCATGTGAGAACACACCTAGAGTGTGCTATCTATAAACCAGAGAGTGGGCCTTCACCAGATGCTGAATCTGCTGATGGCTTGATCTTGAATGTCCCAGTCTCCACTACTCCACTACCCACTACTGTGAGATATAAATTTATTATGATTTTAAACTACCTAGGTTCTAATATTTTATTATAGGAGCCTGAATGGACTGAGACACTGTGTGTTCATATGTAGAGACAGCATGTTTAAAATGTTCACGTTTCTTCAGCTGCCTACACTGATCTCTTCTTATCTTTGATTTTCAGCAGTTTATCTATGACGTATACAGATATGTTTACACCGTAAACATTCTTTGTGGGGTACTCTGAGCTTCATGGATCTGTTATTTGTTGAATGATCTGTTTTGAACAACATAGATCTGTTTTTCATTAATTTTGAAAAATCCTCAGCCATTATTTATACAAATATTTATTCTGCTTATTTCTATATCTTTTCTCCTTCTGAGATTCCAATTAGTTAATATTTTAGACCAATTGATATTGACCCACATCCCTGGGGTGTTATGTTGGCTTCTTTGTTTTTTTGTTTTGTTTTGTTTTAGCATTGTTTTTCTCTTTGTGTTTTATTTTGGGTAATTTATATTAGCCTACTTCCAAGCTCACTCTTTCCTCAAATGTGTCTAGTCTTCTGATCAACCTGTTAAAGGAAATCTTCACCTCTGATAGCCCATTTTTCTTAACTTCTAATATTTTGCCATTTAAACTAATTTTTATCTCTCTGTTGAAAGTCTCCATTCACTCATATATATTGTCCACCCTTTTTATTAGATATTTTAACCTGTTAATTATGGTAATCTTAAACTCCTATCTAATTGTTCTAATAGCTAGATTCTCTCTGTGTCTAGTTCTGCAAATTACTTTATCTTTTTTACAAAGGGTCTTTTCGTTTTCTTTTTGTGAGTCACATAACTTTTGATCAGATGCTAAACATAACATATCAAATAGCGGTAGAGTCTGAGGCAAATAGTATTTATTCCTAGAAATGAGTTCTCTCAGGTTGTTAGTACAGGGAGAGTTTGACTCAATCTAGTCAATAATTGAGTTGGGTTTGGCTTTTTTTGTTGCTGTCATTATCCTCAGTGACCCAGTCGTCAAACACCTTCAGCATTGGGCTGCCATCTTCTGTACAGAGGATGGGGCTGCTGGAGGGGCTCTATTATTCTTTTTCTATCCCTCCATTTCAGCAGTTCCTGAATGTCTGAATCACAGAAGGAGTCTCTTTAAACCCTTTTCCATCAGCGGTTTGCTTCTGCTGGTTACTTAGTGTTAGCTGCATGGTGGGGGTGAGGAGGATTCTTGTTCCCCTGGTTCAACCTCAGGCTAAGTAAGGCAAGACTTCTTCATATGGGTCTTGTGAATGAGGTATTTTTTTAGCATTCCTTCCCCTTCTCCTTCTCCTTCCCATAGCACCCAAACTCTTTTTAAAATCTGTGTCAATTGTCAGGCAAGAGATGGTCTTCTGGTCCTCCACAAGTGATAACATATCTCTGCTTTGTACTGGTGCATGATTCTTGACCCAAGAGGTTTTTCTGCTCTTTCTTCAGCATTCCTTATGGTAAAAGTGTTTTCTGTCCTCTCCCAGTCTCTGAAGCCCTTTGTTCCCTATGGAAGAAGGATCTGCAGAAGTGGACAGTGTTTTTGCCTGTCACGCAGTGGCATTTAGTTAGCTCCTGCACATCTACCCCACTATAGGCCAAGGGTCGGGGCTTTCCAGCCTCTTGCCTTGCACCCAGTCTCTCTGTGAGCACCTAGTAGAGGCCCATGGAGAACAATTTGTGAGTTAGGGCAAATGCTCCTTGTGTTTGGGGCTCTCCGTTTATCTAAACTGAAATCTTATCCCACTCTTGGCCTTTAAAAAGCATTTACATTCTTAGCTAACTTTTTTTCTGACATGCTTCTATGAAAGCTGTTTATTCTTCCCATCCTCTGTAAAAGTTGAAAAGGTTTGTGTCAGCCCTCCCTATATCAAGGGATCTGTTACTACTCAGAATTCAGTTTCCTTCATTGTCTTGTGACCTCAGGACTCTCTGATGGCTATAATAAAAGCTGTGATTTTGTAGATTATCTGGCTTTTTCTCATTGTTAGGCTAGGGGTAAAAGTCTTTTGAGTTCTTGGTATCCCAAGTGGAAAAATAATTTACTTGCTAGGACCTTGATTGAGATTAAAATCTACAGATACATTTTGGAAGAATTTCATCTATACAATATAAGCCTTTCAATCAATGTATGATTTACTTTAAAAATTTTTTGAGTGGTTAACTTATGAATAATTGTTGTTAGCATAATTGTACTAATATAATATTGTATTAATTGTTATATTAGTATTATAAATAGTACTAATGTTTTAAGCATGCACATTGACTCATGTTTGGGAAAATTACCCTTACTGACATTCTACATCTGCTCTGGAATGATGAGGTGGCAGAGGTAGGGAGCAAATTTGAAGGCAAGACAGTAATACAGTAATACCCCTTTCCTTCTCATTTCATAGGGCATCATATCACCTGCTCAAAGATAAACAGCAACTAGTGAGTAACAGACTGTAACCCTGGTCATATCAGCCCTCCAGTTCAGGAATCTTTCTTCTATACATTACATATGCTAATGTACTTTGTAAAGATCTCTTGGTTTTTTTCTTTTTTAAAATAAAAAATAATAATTACACAAATTTTTCAGAACATCAATAAGTTCATGACTTTTCAAACTTCTAATATCTATTCTTATAGCCAAAACTTTCAACCTTGGATTTTTGTGCTAAATCCTCTGATAAAAAAGAAGCCTTTACTTCTATAGAGTCTTCTTATATTCATCTTTATTAGTGCTTTCATGTGAGTCTGTCATTTTATGTCACTTTGCTTCTCATATACATTTGAATTCTAGGTAATCTTTGGGATCTCACCACTTGAAAAATTGTTATTTTTGGTATCAAAATTGGCTAAATGTCTTTAAAATTAAATAATCTGGCAAATAGTCCTTGCCACTCTCTACTTGAATTTTTTTCACTGATACATATCAGATGTGCATTTTTGGGGATACATGTGCTAATTGGATACATTCATATAATCAAGTTAGGGTAACTGGGATGTTCACCACCTTATTTATCTTTTCTTTACACCAGGAACATCCAAATTATTCTCATCTAGCTATTTTCAAATGTACAATTGATTAATATTAATTAAGTCACTCTGTTCATCTATTGAACACCAGGTCTTATTTCTTCTATTTAAGTGTATAGTTGTATCCATTAACCAGCCTCTCTTCATCCCTCCCTCTCCTCTACTTGATTTGAAGTTACTGAAATTCGAAAACTAAGCCTAGATTTCAAGTTAACTAGCTGATCATCTTACAACTCAAGTCAGTGTGGCCAATGTCATGCAGGAACCTCAATAGCATGAGCTGGGAAACAGGACCCAGACATGAGGAAAAGGAAATATCAAAACTAGTAATGGGGCAAATTACCCTATACAAGGACAGATTCCCTGGGGAAAGGTGGTAATAGCATTGAATGAAATGAAATAAAGTAGCTTTAGTCTGACATTTACCCAGAGTTACTGCTTTCTTTAAACATAGTAAATGAAAGTTTTAAGTTTTTCCAATCTTCCTTTAGATTTATGGACTTCTGATGGACCTTTCCTTGAAAAGAAGAGTTCACAAGAACAGGATCCTAAAGAATTTTAGTAATTTGCCAAAATAAACAAACAGAAAAAACAAAAACAAAACAAAACAAACAACAGTCAGTTAGGAAATCAGACTGTAATCAGGCTGTCAGACTCTTGAGTAGGGTTTAGCAAAATATAAACCACAGGCCAAATCTGACCTGCCACTTGTTTTTGTAAGTAAAATTATACTGGACACAGCTATGTCTATTCCACTTTCCATGTGCATCCATAGGGATATTTTAAACTGCAAATTTAATCTTATACTTAAAACCTTCCAAAGGCTTCCTACGGCTCCAAAATCCTTTATACGACATACAAGGCTATTCATAATATGGCCCCTGCTTACCTCTATAGACTGCACGTTTCTCACTATTTCCCATCTTACACTCTGGTCATACTTTATTCTCCTGCCTCTGGGCTCTTGTACATACTCTTCTCTTTGGCTTTAACAGGAGTATCCTTTCTCTTTTTGTGGTTCCAGCATAGAAGCCATCATTTCCTTAAGCAATACCCGGACACTCAAGAGCTCCATATGCTCCCATAAAACCCAGAAGATCTATTACTAGCAGTGATCATGCTAATGTTTTATTTTGTTTGTGGTATACATCAGGGGTTGCTAAACTACAGCCCATAGGCCATGTACACATGCTATCTGTGTACAGTCCACAAGCTAAGAATAGTTTTCACATTTTTATATAGTTGAAAAAACTCAAAATAAAAATTTCATGACATACAAAAAATTATATGATATTCAAATTCCATTGTCCACAAATACAATTTTACTGGAGCCCAGCCATACTCATTTGTTTATGTATTGTCACACACTGTGAAGGTATCATAGATACAATCACGAAAGAGAAAGCACTATCCCAGTTTTCCCAGAGTTTGGTATCCACAATATCTTCCCCAGTGTGTAGCTCAAAGGATGCACTCAATAAGTATCTGTGGCATGAATAACGTGTGAATAAGGAAGTAAAACTATTTTGCCCAGTAATCAGCTGTAATTCAGCATAAAATCCAGCCAGATTTACCATTTCCTAGCCAAGTTATCTTTGCTACTACATCAGCTCTCCTTTTCTATGACTGTAGAACAATATTATTCTTAGATTCTTCATAAAATTTAAATTTCCTCCAATTTTTTCATAGTCTAGGATGTCGCTTAGATTACAGGTTTGAAGACGCTGAAGTCTTCATGAGAAAACCTCCCCTGTTATGCCCACAAAGAGTAAATAATGATAGAGGAGCACTTCTGCTTGAAGCTCTGCTTTAAAACAGCATTTCGATAAGTTCAAGCACACCTCAAAAGCAAAGCTTATTAAAAAAAAGTATATAAAAGCAAGCACCGTGATTAACTATATCCAGATGGGAGAAAAATGTGTTGACATTTCAGCAAGAACAGCCTTCAATTCAAGCCAAAAAAATCCTCATTTAAACTTTCTAGTCAGCCAAAATTTCCAGCTGCATGGATTCTCTTGTGAACAAACAGGCCAACACATAGAATAAGGTCACTGAAGAATGTGCCAGTAATCACAAACTGTAATTAAGCAGTAATGACCCCAACCTGAAGCTTTCTTCAGGATTAATGAATACCTGAAAAGCCAGTGGCCCGAGGCAGCCCTCATTCTATCTAGAATGCCCTGGGATAAAGTGAGTGCTATAAACAAAATGTGTTTCCAGCTTATATCATCCCCTAAAGTTATCTTTTCCACTACTGTCTCAGAGTTGGATTTTTATAGCACTCATTGTGAAAAAGGCCAAGTTTAATCAAAAAAAGATAACGGAAAAAGTGAAATTCTAAAACAGCATAGAAGATTTCTTTTGGATAAGGCAGTGGGGGTTAGTATACATTTTACTTAGAATATTTAGCTTTAATTTCCAGTTTTGCTCTCCTCCTCAGAAACATGAGGATAAGAATATTTATTATATGCCAGATGATACCCATAAATTTACCACTATAGTAAAAGTAAAATTAAATTACAATTATTATTGTGAAATGTGATATACAAAATGTCATCACTCAAGTTCAGAGCTCTAAAACAGTCAAGAAGCCATTCTAACGACTGCCTGCAAGACCTGCAACCATGCAAAAAAAATCAAAAAACAAAAATCAAAACCCAGAAACTTACTATAGAAACTTGCCTGGAATTTTTAAACTGGGCCAAACCACCAGACCATAACATCCTGGAAACAGCTGAATTTCTCTAGCACTGCAGCTCCTCAATGGCAACAACGAATGAATTATGGACCCATGTGCTATGACAGCTACCTCCACGAATGATAATTCTTTCAAAACAACTTGTGTAATTTCCCTGAGCTTTCTAAAAAACAACAACAACAACAAAAAAAAAACACACACACACACAAAAACCCCTACACTCCTCCCTCTCTTCAGAACACAATTTGGCTTCTAGCTAAATCTGTGTCTCCCAAATTGCAATTCCTAAGACCCCAACAAACACCTTGTCTTACTGCTTTGCAGTCTGACTTTTCACCTCTTCTTAGTTGACGTTATCAATAACTTTTAAAATCATCATTGCTATGACTTTTAATGCCTCAGCTTAACTGATGAAAAAAAGAAAACAAGAAGATTTTTCTGTAAGTTAAGTGACCATCAAAATATGAGCCAATATTTATTTGCTGCTTACTCTACAGCAAGCACTTAATAGATACTCTGTCTTTTCCCTTTGAGGTTGAACATCATTTCCTTTCTACAGTGAGGAACCTGCGAATCAGGATGGTTAAGTAGCTTGCTCTAGGTCATCCTAATTAATGTAGGGGTTGGAATTCAAGCCTAGGTTCCGATTACTCCAAGGCCCAAACATAAAATAACCATGCATTATGACCTTACTGATAGGAACGTTCTCTGTCAATCATTTAGAAGTGATGAAATTGATTTTTATTTATTTATTTTTTTGAGACGGAGTCTGGCTCTGTCGCCCAGGCTGGAGTGCAGTGGCGGGATCTCTGCTCACTGCAAGCTCCGCCTCCCGGGTTCACACCATTCTCCTGCCTCAGTCTCCCGAGTAGCTGGGACTACAGGCACCCGCCAGCACGCCCGGCTAATTTTTTGTGTTTTTAGTAGAGACGGGGTTTCACTGTGATAGCCAGGATTGTCTCGATCTCCTGACCTTGTGATCCGCCCGCCTTGGCCTCCCAAAGTGTTGGGATTACAGGCGTGAGCCACAGCACCCGGCCTGAAATAGATTTTTGAGGGTAAGAATATCGATAAATAAATGGAGCTGGTGATACAAAATCAAAGTCATTAACTCATTTTAAAGGGCCCTTTGTGCATATAGGAGTTATAGCTGGGAAAACCTCAGGAGTGATGGAGATTTTAATACAGGAGTCTGCTCTTAGTGCCATCATCAGGACTTGGTAGTGTTTTCATCTCTTGATATAAAATGTAGGAGCCCTGAGACAGCTGTATGTTCCAAAATATACTCCACACTCACACTAACTTCATCTACATCCACCATGTCTGAAATTTCTTTAATAAAGCCTAAGAGGTGTATTTTTTAAATGAGAGGCTTAAAATACGAACATGGCTTCAAGAGTCCCATTAAATTCATCCTGAGCTGAGGGAAAAACTTCTATTGGTACTTTTCTTAAAAGTAATAGTAGGAGGTTAGTTTTACAGACTGAGGAATTAAGTAACGCATTATAAAAATATTTTATACCAATACCAAGATAAATGAGGGGAGCAGTGGAGAAGAGCCTATTTGTTTGTCTGCTGCAGACAAAAATGGAAAAGATAAAAGTAGCCAGATACTTAATTCTCTGTTCTCATCTTCTTGGTCCTAAAGAATACCTAAGAAAGTATTCTTTCTTCTTTAGGATAGATAGGACTGTTGACAGAGGGAACATAAAAGATGCTTTGGCTAACTAGTTGTCTGCACTGAGCCTTTATTTTTAACTATGTGGTTTTCTTCTAGGCAGGGTATACTTGGGTCCCAGATTCCCTTCTGAAGACACAAATGTGAGGTGTCCATTCCACCTCCTCATCACAGGTCCATTCTCTCCCAACATTGCCCCCACTCTACCTATGAGAAGCAGACCTGCCTGATCTTACTGATTCTTTTCTTTCAGGGCTGTGAGACCACTATGAGCCTGACTGCTTTAGCTTATTTAGGAAGACAATCTGTGGTAACATTCAAGCAAGTGAAACAACCTTCTAGGCAAGTCTCAGATACTAGAGTAAAATTATGTTTGAACCATTGTAAGTTTAAAGCCAAAGTATGCTCACATTCTAAGCTAGACATCATATGATCTCTGCCGCCCTTTTCCTAGGTGAGAAAATCATAAGAATATTTGAGAGGAAAATTCCTAAACTCCCTACCTTACCTTTCCTCATCTTCAAGGTCAGATCATTACAAACACAACCAGAAAAATCCCCCATTTGTCCATGAGCTACTAAATTTGGAGAGTAAAGTATAGTGGACAGAGATGGAAGAGTGAAGGAACTGTGGGCATGCATGACTGCCTTTAACTACTTTGTAATAAAAAGGAAATATTGCAGACCTTTTCAAAGCAGAAAATTATCTCACCTTTCAAACACCAAGTTGGCCGAGATTGCAGGACAGATGAGTGACTTAACTTCTCAATGAGTTAAGTCTGTTTACAAATCTGATATTGCTGTGGCAATAATGAGAGAAAGGTTCTAAATAAAGAGCTAATGAATTTGATATCTTTGCTAAATTGTAAACCATGCATAATTATCTAAGGTCTAGTCCCATCCTAGTCCTAGTCCTAGTTCAGACCCATATCACCCCCAAGGGCCTGGGCTACCCTGGCACAGAAGAGTGTTGAAGTGGGGATTGAAAAGAGAATATAGAATATAGAGAAAAGGAAGCACAATGCTTCTATGCCAGCAATATTTACCCCAGCCCACTAGTTACCCAAAAGCCATTTCCCTTGGCCCACATCTAGTTAGCTATTAATTTTAGAATTTGTAAAAAACCCCAGGTGGAAATCGAGCAACAGGCTTTCCCAGGTGATTCGGTGAGTAGTAACTTTGTCATTTTTGTGTTTGTAGACAATCATTATATCCTACTTAATATTCTTTTCTAAGCTACTTCTAGTTTGATGATTCTCAACCAGAGGTATAAATGTGAACCATCTGTAAAAATGTTTTTAAAATGCATATACTCTGCTCATTCCAGATCTAAGAAGTAAGAATCCTTCAGAGGAGAAGAATCCATATGTGTATTAAAAATAAACACAAATCTCCAATGATTCCAAAGTATACACACAGTTCAGAACGATTATTTCAATCTCCTTAGTTCTTTCTCAAATGAGAAAATCTAAAATTTCTCTCCATCTCAGCTGCTACTCTTTGAGAAGTATTAGCTTTTAATCATGTTTTATTAATAATGACTCCTGATAAAGAATATAAAACTCCGTACATCCATAGGAAACAGGGCTACTACCTCCCTTATTCAATTAATGCAGCCTAAGATAGTATTTGGTTCCCTTTTCAGCATTAGCAAAACCTTTCTAGGCCCCGAATCTCTTTCACTTGTTTCATTATGTGCCATTTTATGGGACAAGGTTCTCCCACAGGTGCCCTGCATGATTTCTAAAATGGTCTTCAAAGCTTACTGTGAAAACTCAGCTGATTGATGCCACTTCCTATCTGCTTCCCATCTCTTCGATGTCTTCATAGTTCTGGCCCGCCATGAATTTTCAAGTCTGGCTATATAATTATGACTTATTCTTGTATCTTTTCTAGGCAATAGATTAAAAAGGAGGAAATTACAGCATTATTCCAACCTGCTGAGATCAATTGTGATTAATATTCCAGCGTATTTGCAGCATATTCCATATATATGCTATTTGTACATTGATCAGCCTCTCATAATTCTACTCATCCATAATATTGATTAAAATATTGAGACCATGACATCAAGGCTATTTCAAATCAGCTAAATAATCACCTAATACTTATGTCAGTCCAAAGTGACAGAGCAGTAAAAAAAAAATTGCAAGGGAAAAAAGACATCAATAACTTGGTTACTACACAAGTCAAAAATCACCTCATCCTCCAAGATATATCCTCTTGATATGTGATGTTTTCTTCTTTGTAAAAAAAGTCATACTAGAAAGATTTTATAGCTCTTGGAAAAAATAGATTATGAGATTGACTATCATGAACCAGTTTGTATCAGAGCCCAACTGAAAGTAAAAGTAATTTATTATTGAGTTAAAATCATAATTATGCCACAGACGTTAACATGCATCCATTCATCTGTTCAACTAGTGGATATAAATGTAATACTAACTGTGCACAGCACATGCACTATGCTAATCATGGGGAGTAATACTAGAGTAATGACCAAAAAAAAAATTCTGTTCTCTTCAGAGAGCTAATAGTCCAATGGAGAAAGACAAACATGAAAGGAGAAATAACCAAAAAAAATCCTAACCTAGACAGATGAGATGTCCTTCTACTACATCATATTCCCTTATTATGCAATCATAAATACAAAGTATCTAGTGAACATTTTTTTTTATTTCAAAATGCTTGTGGATACACACATTTGAGAGGGATATAGAGAAACTAAGATTGTTTTAAGGGAGCACATCCTGAATGAAGTGGCTTGAAACCATGCTGTATAAAGACATTAAAGGAATGGAAATGACTAGTTTAAAGAAGAAGGATGGTCATTTAGCAATCACCAGAACCCTTAAGGTTAGAGTGTGGCAAAGGAAGGTAATCTAGTTGGTAGGGTGTTAGGGAGTTGAGCAGAAAATAGGTAGATGCAAGAAGAAAGCAGATTTCATCTCAAAAGAAGAAATTTCTTTATATCAAGAGTGTATTAAGATTAAAAGGGATACTCAAGAAATTAAATTTTTATCACTAGATGTGTCTGATCACATATTATCTCATCTCTACAACAATATTGAAAAAGGGTTTCAACTAAAGAATGGGCAGTGGGGCTAGAGGGTAAAGATCCTCCCAGACCTGGGATTCTACAAATTGTTCCCTATATATTAAACTATATGATATATATATCAATAAAATACAAAAACCCGAACTCTCATTTTTAAACATGTTTATTATCCCTTAATTATAATGCCAAATTTCTTTTATTTTCTTTCAATTGACTGTCCAATCTTATATTGTTATTTTACACTATAGGGGCACATTTTAAACTGTGAATTGAGCAATATGGAAACTCACTTTTTAACACAAAATTATGTGATTATTTTAAATATGTTGTTTGAAAAATAGAAAAAGCTCTTGAAACTTGTGTCAGACCTATACAAGTAAGCCCTGGCCTCTTCCTTTGAGAAACTACACAAAACTTCCATTACTCATATAATTTGTGAAACTCCTATTTTGGAATTGCCTTTGAGAGCCTGTAGCAAATTCTTTTGAATAACTTCAGAGGTAGTAAATTACAATCTTCTGAGGTGCACATTTTGAAATAGTCAAAAGTCATTCAAAGCAACTTCTGAAAAGTAAGATTAGGAGATCAGGTTAATAAATCATAACCTAATTTCTTAGCCATAAATTTTTCCTTCTTTCTATAAAGATTCCCAAGTAATTCTCCCACTAAGCTGTGTTTTTTCTCTCTGCAAGGACAAATGTCCTTGTCTTTTTATACAATATAATTCAGATGTTTTGTTAATATGCAATTTCAGTGGTTGCTCAACCCTTTTCCATGGACAGGATGTATCTAAATCACCCAATGCCTTTAAAAATCATTGCGGATTCACTATATCTCAATGGATCCTGGAGTTCCATATTCTGATAAAGCTACTTATACTTATTGTGATGCTTGGCCAAGTGAGGGTGTCTCTCTGCTATCATCTTATTCCATACTTTTGCCCTCATCCCAGCATCCGCATGACAACAAATAAATATAGGGAAAAAGCACAGAATTTCAAATCCTGCATATACAGGTTTAAATCCCAGACCCCCTGTTAACTAACTGACCCTAGGCAAGTGAAAATCTCTTTGAGATGCTGCTCAACAGGGATATATTAATATTCATCTAAAGGACTATTGTAAAAGTTAAATTAGATCATGTATGTAAAGCACCTAGCATAGCCATTGGCACATAGGAGTTTAATTTTTAAAAAGCGATTGTTGTCAATTTATCATTGCTACTCAACTCTACACATATTGACCACATTTCTTTAATAATTGATTAAATTATAGCTGAATTTAAGGGCACTATAGGTATCCATAGAGAGTTTCAAGCTCTTCTCATTTTTCTCAAAAACAGTGGCTAACATCTAAGTGAACTGGTCCATTAAAATGTTCAGATATTGTCAAGAAAAATTAGAATATTTTTGCTTAGACAGGACAAAAACAGAATCATTGAACAATAATTTACTGTACTTTATAAAAAAGAAAGGAAATTGAATGAATGAAAGAATCTATTAAAACTTCACCATCTAGTTTTAATCTTATTCTTTCCAAATATGATCTTTTGAGGTGCATATTTTGAAATAGCCAAAAGTCACTCTGAGCAACTTCTGAAAAGCAAGAATACGTGGTCAGGTTAATAAATCATAACCTATTTTCTTAGCCTTAAATTTTATTTCTCCTTTCTGTAACGTGTTCCAAGTAATTTTACTCCTGAAGTTATATTTTTGCCCTTGTTCTCAAGTATCCATCTTTGTAGGGAAGAGCCTGGTTAATGCTGAGACATAAATTTAAGACTTCCCCTTTTTTAATCCTTGGAGGGTAAGTTTTCTAAAGGAAGCTTACCCCTTAAGTTTCTGACTCTCTTCAAATAAGTATTAATAGTGAGTATAAGTGTTCAGAAAGTTCTAAATGTGTTTGCCTTTAAAAACTTCAGTGACTCAAAACAGATTTATTTTTTGCTACCTCTGCCAGCAATCTCAATATAGAACAAACCAGAATGTATACAGTTGGTCATCATTCTTGCCATAGCTCTCTGGTTGGACACCTGCAATCCTATTTCTTATAGGATTGCTCTTATCGAGGCTGCTAGTTAACACCCAGCCTGGAATATAGTAAGTGTTCAAGAAATATCTATTTAATCTATAAATGAATGCATGAATGGGTATTATGGGAAGAAAAGGAAACAGGTATTATCACAAGTTATAAAAGGAAAAAAAGCTTTTGGAGAGAGATTAAATTGGAGTTGAATCTTACATGATAATGGAAGTTTGTTGGTGGTAGAAGTGGAATGCTGTGGAAAAATAGCCAGGCAGAGAAAACTATGAGTTAAGACACAAAGAGGAGACAGAGTGTCTTTAATGTGAGGACCTGCAAGCAGATTTTCAAAGCACTAGTTGGACATAAGCCTAAAGAAGCAGAATCTAGGCCATAAAGGACTTTGGTGTCACATGAGGAAGTTTAAACTTAATTCTGTAGGTGATGGATAGTTACGTGATATAAGAGAAAGATTTTAAGAAGTGAGATAACTTGATCAAGTGGATCAAATATATATTTGGTTTGTTTATGGATTAACATAGTCGATATGTGTAGGAAGAGTATGAGGAGGGCAAGGTGTGACACTTGAGTCCAGAAGACCAAACTGTTGGGTGTTCAATACCTATCTCTTGACACAATAATGGTGGAAATGAAGATAATAGTGATAATAATAATGACAATGATAACTATGATGATGATGATGGAAACTGTACGCCTAACATTTTATCAAAGCCTTACTTTGCATCAAGTCCTGTGCTAAGCACTTTATTTACTGTCTCATTTAATTATCACAGCACACCTATGAGGAGGGCACTTATTTCATTTTATAGATAAGAAGAAAACTGGGACTTAAACAGGTTTTAAAATATGCAACTCAGTACTCCTATAGTATTTTTCCTCAAAACACTTAACCTCAGTTGAAAAAGAGAAAACATCATATAAACCCAATTGAGGGTAGTGATTCTGTGAACTAACTACTTTGCCAGTACTCTTCAAAAGTGTCAAGTTCATAAATGATAAGAAAAGATGGGGGAATTATTTGCTTTCCTTTGACAATTGTACTA
Organism: Homo sapiens; assembly: GCF_000001405.40. Taxonomy (NCBI): domain Eukaryota; kingdom Metazoa; phylum Chordata; class Mammalia; order Primates; family Hominidae; genus Homo; species Homo sapiens. The sequence continues at coordinate 178,414,219 of NC_000003.12, forward strand.
TGGTTACATAAGATGTTACCATTAGGAAAAGCTGAATGACAGATGTATTAAAACTCGAGGCTGGGCACGGTGGCTCATGCTTGTAATCCTAACTCTTTGAGAGGTCGAGGTGAGAGGATCACTTGAGCCCAGAGGCCGAGGCTGCAGTGATCTGTGGTCGTGCCACTGTATGACCACAGTGTGAGACCCTGACACTGTACAAGGCAGTGTGAGACCCTGCCTCAAACAAAACAAAACAAAACAAAAACAAAAACAAAACTTCACGCTACTTTTGTAAATATTCTGTAAGCATACAAATATTTCAAAATAAAAAAGTTTTTTGCATGTCTATGTGCTCATGAAACATGGCAGGCAAAAAACAAGTACAGCATAATGGATTCTGTAATGCTAGAAAATAGATAGTAAAAGAAAAAAAACACGAGCCAGTGTGAAACAACTCCCAATAATCCGAAACTATTTGAGCAACAAAATAAATAAAAATAATGTTAGATTATAAGTGAAATAATAAAATAGAAACTTGTAAGTCTATGTTTATAAAAGTAAATGTCCCAATAAATAACTAAATGAGTTTTAAGGAACAAATATGTTTTTACAGAAGAATCCCCAAGAATAAACGTAGAAGGAATGGGAAAAAGAAAAAATATCTTAGAACATCACATGATAATTGGTACAGGCAAGATCCACAGGCAAATGCTAAAATAAGTGGGTAAAACTTTAAAGAGAAAGAGGATATTTTCATGTCTGAAAAGTGTATTCATGAAATTTTAAAAAAATAATATGATGGTTTTAACGTATATCCACCAATTCCTTGATGCCCTCCCGTCAAGAAGTAGAGTGTAATTTTCCTTTTCTTGAGTGTAAACTAAACCTAGTTACTCACTTTTAACATATAGAAAATGAAAATTGGGGGAGTGTAATTTTATAGTTTAGAAACCAAATCAAAACCATCCTAACCAGTAATCAAAGTTAATATCACAAGTTATGAATCATGTTTATACCATATTCCTCTGACGTGGTGTGATGAGAAGCGCACTTCGGCTTCATGGTATTTTTCTTAAAAACCCAGTAGCCCAGTCTAGTCATGAGAAAACATCAGACAAACACAAACAAAGAGATATTTTCCAAAATGCCTGACCAATACTCTTCAAAAGTATCCAAGTCATAGAAAATAAAGACTGAGAAACTATTACAGATTGGAAGAGACCAACGAGATAACTAAATGCAATGCGGTATACTGGAACAGAAAAATAATATTAGTGGAAAACTAGTAAAATCTGAATAAAGTCTGCAGTTCGGTTCACAGTATTGTAACAATGCTAAGTTCTTGGTTTCAGTAAATGTACAATGATATTGTAAAATGCTGACATTGGGAAACAGGGTGAAGTGTATACGGGAACTCTGTACCATCTTCACTACTCTTGGACATCTAAATATTTTCAAAATTGAAAAAAAGCTTGAGTATCTAAGTCAAAAGACATTAATAGGCCGGGTGCGGTGGCTCGAGCCTGTAATTCCAACACTTTGGATGCCAAGGCAGGCGATCACTTGAGGTCAGGAGCTGAAGACAAGCCTGGCCAACATGGTGAAACCCTGTCTCTATTAAAAAACAAAAATTAGCCATGCGTGGTGGCAGGTATCTGTAGTCCCAGCTACTTGGGAGGCTGAGGCAGAAGAATCTCTTAAACCTGGCAGGCAGAAGTTGCAGTGAACCAAGATCACACCATTGCACTCCAGCCTGGGTGACAAAGCGAGACTCCATCTCAAAAAAAAAAAAAAAAAAAAAAAAAAAAAAAAAGATATTAATAAGCCAATCACAGAAAATAAAAGAAAAAGGAAAATGGCCACTAAATAAGAAAGTATCAATATTACCGATAATGAGAGAAATTCAAATTAATACTACTATGTCATCGGTATTTCTAAGATGGGCAGAAATTCAAAAGTTTGAAAAAACACTTTGTTGGTAATTTTACAAACAGAGCTTCTTATAAATGGATGCTAGAATATAACTCCTCAAATACAAACAACATACGCATTAGACCTCACTTGTAGGTGCAAAATTTCATTTAATTTTAGTTTATAAGGGATATATTGAATAAACAGTGGTGCAATAAAAGGTCTATGATATAGAGTCATGAAAAAGAATGAGGAAAATTTCTATGTATTAAGATAAAATGATTTATAGGAAATACTATGTAGAAAAAATCAAGACATTGATTTATTCTTACACAAAATTTAGTGACTCTGGATTTTATACAATATGTTGCATGAAAATAAAATATGAATTAATCTACCTACACACATATTTGCCTACTGCTTCTAAAATAAACAAAGGAAACATAAGCCAGAAAGTAATGAAATTCGTTACCTATGTATGGATGTAGAAATGAGGTGGAGCAATAGGAATAAAAACCATATTACTTTGAGTATAATTTTTACTTATTTTTGATTTTAATCAAGATTATATATTCTAATGTAAAACTAAAGCAGAAAAAAACAGTAACAATTAATCATAGAGATATAGATAAGTCAATACATCAAATTTATAATATAGCTACACAGAGAGAAGTATTATTTCAAATAAATTTTGAGTACAGTGTTCTAAATATCCATCCTTTATAGAATACTTTCTACAGACCAAAAAATTTAAAAAATTTTAAACTACAGAGAAAACTTCAAAATCTATACTTAAATTTATAATAGTAATATACTGGTATTATAATTTGAAACCACTTATGAATATTGTAGAATAAGTAATTTAAAATAAATATAGTGTTACTATAAAATGATTTTTCCGTGTTAAAAAGAGTTACAAATATAGAATAAAAAGTTATAAAAAGTTCCATATATTAAATTTAACCCCAAAATATCAACCCAAATTTATAATTTTTAACAATTTATTTCCTGGCTCTGTCTACTGAAGTGGCCTAGAAGCGATAACATCCTCATAGGAGTGAAAATACCTAGCACTCAGAACTTTATTTCAAACTGCCACTCCTCTCTAGAAGGAACAGTGTCTAAAAATAATGACTGACTCCAAATCTTGAACAGGTAAGACACAAGGTGAACCCAAGACATTTTAGTGAGTCACAAAGAAAAAAAAAAAAGGCCTAAATGAGAAGTCATTATTATCCCAAATCCATAGTTTACATTAAGGTTCACTCTTGGTGTTTATATTCTATGGGCTTGGGCACATTAATAATGACATACATTCACAATCAAAGTATCATGCAGAGTAGTTTCACTGCCTTAAATTCCTCTGGGATCTGCCTATTCATCCCACTCTCCCCAGTTACCTCTGGCAACCACTGATCTTTTGGCTGCCTGCATAGTTTTGCCTTTTCCAGAATGTCATATAGTTGGAATCAAACAGTATGTGGTCTTTGTCGATTGGGTTTTTTAACTTGGTAATATGCATTTCAGGTTCCTCCACATATTTTCATGGCTTGACAGATGATTTCGTTTTAATGCTGAATAATACTCTATTGTTTGGATGTACCACAATTTATCCATTCGCCTAGTAAAGGACATCTTGGTTGCTTAAAGTTTTGGCAATTATAAATGAAGCTGCTATAATCATCCATGTGCAGGTTTTTGTGTAGACATAAGGTTCAACTCCTTGAGGTAAATATCAAGAAGCACAATTGCTGAATCACACGGTAAGAGTATGTTTCGTTTTGTGAGAAACTGCCCAACTATTTTCCCACATGGCTGTACTATTTTGCATTACCATCAGCAATAAGTGAGAGTTCCTGTTGCTCCACATTCCCACCCACATTTGTTGTTGTCAGCGTTCTGGATTTTGGCCATTCTAATAGGTTTGTAGTGGTAGCTCACTGATGTTTTAATTGTGTTTCCCCGATGATATATGATGTGGAGCATCTTTTCATATGCTTGTCATATGTATATCTTCTTTGGTGAGGTGTCCGTTAAGGTCTTTGGTCTCTTGTTAATAGTATTATTTTTATTGTTCATTTAAATAATTCTTTGTACATTTTGGATAACAATTCTATAACAGATATTTCTTTTACAAATATTTTTCCCAATAGGTGGCTTCTCTTTCCATTCTCTTGTCAGTGTCTTTCATAGGGCAGAAATACTTAATTTTAATGAAGTCCAGATTATCAATTCTTTCTTTCATGGATTGTGTCTTTGGTGTTGTCTCTAAAGAGTCGTTGCTAAACCTTAGGTCACTAGATTGTTTTCTATGTTATCTTCTAGAAGTTTTGGAGTTATATGTTATATATTTAGGTCTGTGATTGATTTTGAGTTAATTTTTTTAGAAGATGTAAGGTCTGTATCTAGATCCTTTTTTTTTTTTTTTGCACTTGGATATGCAGTTGTTCCAGCACTATTTGTTGAAAAGACTGTCTTCTCCATTGTATTGCCTTTGCTCCTTTGCCAAAGATCAGTTGAGTATATTTATGTGAGTTTATTTCTGGGCACTCTATTCTGAAAATATTACTTTTTCATCTTATTGCACATGGATAGAGACATAAAAAATGCCAATCATTTCAAAGCAGCAAAACTGCTCATGTTCTCCTGACTGGTTAATCTCCCCTCAGAACCAGCTATACATTGCTAGCATGATTATTTTTTCAGGACTTTTAGCCAGAAATTGCTATAAAAATGGGCTTTTAAAACAACTCTGTTCTATTACTTGATTTGAAAACAAACTAAACCATTTTAAACAGTTACTAAAATAAACAGGAGATTCAATTTCTATGCCCTGGTATAACTCTATATATCAGAGATGTCAAGAAGCTACATTATCTTTGCACACTATATGCTATATTGATATGCAAGCTTATGACATGCCTTGTTTAAGCAGGGGAAAAACTAGTTTCAGTACATTTCTGGACTAAACATTTCTGGGTTAAAGTACAATTTCAGCATCTGAAAAGGGGATCTGTGAGCTATCCATGCTAACATGGGGAAGGTTTCAGAGGAGGAGCCCTTCCTTCCCTTCGTTGCCATTAGCACAGGTCTCCAGGGCACGTCTTTTCTCCTGGGTTTCTATGTTTGTTTTACTCACTGCCTCTCGTTCCTCTGCTTACGACATTTTCATGAATAAGCCAGAAGATAGTCAGCACAGAAGCCTCCCTACAACCTGGAAAAAGAAATGAGCTTTCACTTTGAATATCACACAGACATACTGAGGTAAGTCATTTAAAAAAAATCAGTAGAATGATTTTTAAAGGAGTAGTGTTATCATAGATATTTCTATTGGCATATTGGCCTAACTTTTCCCACTTCTCAATAGGGAAATATGACTTAGCTGTAGTATCAAAACAAGAAATGTCATATGAGCAATTGATAAAGTATCCAGAAGTGTTTTGCCATATATACATATATATAATAAAAAGCAAAAGAAAAGCTAATGGCAATCAAATTTGTTAATTACTGAGACCCTCAAACTTGTGTTAGTCCTTTAATCTTTTACTTGCTGTTGTATCAGGTAAAAATGCATTTGACAATGAAAGTTACATTTTTATTCCAAGATGTTGCTTGAGCGTCCCGTTGTTTACTATCTGGAACAATCAGGGGCTGGAACCAATAATAAACCCATGTTATTAAGGAATTGGTCACCTATTCTAGCAGAAATGTCAACGCATGACAAATACATTTCAGAATAGGTTTATTTGAGCAATCTTGTTTTCCCATTCTTTAAAATTATTGCCCTCTGATTTATCTTGAATATTTAGCTAATATTCGAATTCATATTAAAAAGTTAAAGAAATGAATGTATTTTGTTAAAAATCACCATAAAAATTCAGTTAAATAAGCCCCCAAACCAAAATTATCTCTCTCAAATCATACAACAATATTAGCTTAAACTGAGGGCCTGGCCCTGATTGTATGAAAGGCTTTTATTCAAGTAATCCAAGGAAACAGAGAGGAGCAGTTGTTATTCACCTCACCATGAAAAGGCAGCAGGTGAACAAATACAATGATTGTTGTGGAAGAGCAAATGCTAGATGAATATGTATATTTATGAAACGTATATACATATTGAAAATGAAAATGTATATTTAGAAGTAGTCTCCAATCTCCTAAGTCATATCTAATATACCACTGATTATATTTTTATGAGTTTTCTTATGAAATGAGCAATGCCAAGTGAGTCATAACACTAGACTTCAATATTTGTAATGTTACATTTTGAGTCCTTCTTTGTTTAATGCATATTACCAGAAGAAAGTGTTTGAAATTACACCTTTTATAACCCATATGCAAAGCAACTTCTCTGACCTACAAATTATTTGAGTAATCTTAAAATAATATGATACACAATAAAACTGGAATATCATCTATTGAGTTTTTACAAATATTTTTATTTTTCCTCTATGAGCTTTTTTATAGCTTATAAATGTTTCCTATAAATCATGATGTTATTTTCTCTAATAATTTAAAAGTGCTACATGAACTATTTCATTGTTTTTTAATCTGTTCCTTAAGTTAAATAGAAAGTCTTATTAAGAAAATCATTTATAAATTTAAATCCCTAAATTGGTAACCAGTAAAGTATAAACTCATCCTACTTTTATGTTTTCAAGTTTGACTAGTGTTCACACATAATGATCTTGAGATATAACTGTTTGTAGAGAGAAAATTCATGTATTCTGTATTCTCCAATGCCTTAAAAGTATTATGTAGAATGCAACAATAGTGTTCTGCTTAAATTTTATTGTATGATTTTTTTTAACCTGAAGAAACAGGGAATTCCTCAATGCTAAAAATTTAAAATAGCATTGGCTTTACTTTTTTTTTATTTAAAGGATGATTATTAAATTGGGCATTTAATCTGGAAAATTCAAATCTAGATACATGGATTGAATTGTCCCTAAGCAGCAAATGGAGTCTATTTTGAATGGTTAATTTATTTTCAGGCATACACACTTCCTCTGCTATAAAATCCCTCAATTTGGTCCAGTTCCATCTGTCTTTCTTGTTTGTTTTAAGTGACTGAAATAAAAATAATCACAGTTCAAGCTTTCCTTACCTACACAGGGAAGATGGAAAGAGGGTACACTGTGGTGCCAGTCTGGTAATCATTGATGAAAAACTGTCAGGGAAGAGCAGTCATCTATGTTTGTTCAAGGAAAGCTGATCCTGGGAAACAATATTAAATATTTTATAGGCCAGAAGTCCTACTTAAGGATTAAAAAAATCAATAAACATTCCACCCAACATGTTTGTTGTAATAACACGGCATATATTGCTGACCATACATCATCACTTTCTCTTGCCTCCAGTGCTTCATTCAAACATTTGCGCATTTTTCCCTGAGCACTAAATAACAGAATCATTAACAACATAATAATCAGCTTAGGATCAGTAGATATGTAACTAAAATTATTTAATGACACATTTCTTTAGAAATTGTAACTGTACTAAAGTCCATTCTTCTCTCTGAAAAATTTATTTTGATCACTAGAGCTTGTAGACACTAATATGTGACTGCAAATATAAGAGTTGTCAAACATGAAAATTTGTATGTACACAAAGGATTGAAAGAAATCTTTTAAAACATGAATTTGGTTTCTATGTCTGGAGGTGGATACTAAAAAGTGTAAAACATGATCCCTGGCACTTAGTAGTTGATGATCTGGTTGGAGGAACCCAGGAAAGTACATGGGAAATAAATGATTAATGGCAAAACCAGAGATAATAACAATAATTTCCAAAGGAGTTTCAGAAGGTGAAAAATGTAGGTTAACACCTCAATGAAGGCCGTGGGTATTTGAGAGGAATTGTAGCATTATGTGGACACCCAAATAGGATCTGAACAAATTGAGGGGAAAAAGAGGATCAGTTCAAATGTCACCTCCAGAGCTACTAGCTTCTTCAGGTTTCCATCTAATGCTTTCCAAGCAATGGCACTTGTTGCAATATATTGTAGTTAATTGCTTACTCCCTCTCCCCTTCCCTCCCCCTCCCAACACACTCTGCTTACATCCTTATGAACTACTAAAAGGCAGAGCAAGATCTTCATTTTTGTATTTCCAGAGTCTGAAGGTGCTCAATAAACATGTGTTGAGTGCATTTTTGAGTGATTACAAAGCAATACAAGCAAAAGCACAGGGCAGAAATAAACACAGCATGTTCCGATTTCATTGAAAGTACTAGCTGTGCAGAAGAAAGCATTTTATGTTGCAGATAATAGAAGATACGTCAAAATAGTTCAGGAGAAGTCAGATCTTTGAGGACCTTGCTTGTCTAGATGAGCATTATCTTCTCTTTGCTGGATTCATGACTCTAATTTCTCTTGGTCAACCCAGTCCCATTATCTCCCAACCTTCTGTGACCAAAAGGTAACACTAATGAGATCTGAGATCCTCCTTTGGTATCAATCCTTAGACTTCATTCTGCCCCCTATCTGTGACATACACAAGGTGAATTTTATAAAGATTAATCTGGCCAAGTACAGAATGAGTTAGAGAAATAAGAGCTATTGCAAAAGACCTGTCTAGAAGACAATTCTGGAGAAAGTTTTAAGGAAAGCCACTATAGAGGAATAATTTAAAAAATTGGTATTGATAAACTGTAATATAGGATATAAAAGAAAGGGGAGCAGTTAAATAAACTCCAAATTTCTATGAGAGAGTAACTGTGCTGCTGACAGATGTAAATGTAGGAAGAAAACTCTAATGGGTATGCTACAAGGAAAAGATGGCAAGTCTGTGTAAGGCATGTGGAGCTGGGGATGATGCATTGACACACAGTGGAAATATCTTAGAAATATGAGGAGGTACACGTGGAAGTAGAAATGACAATCTAAATATAGTGAAAGTTGACACTGCGACTATGGGTAAGATTTTAAACACGGAAGAGAGCTCTGGACCAGGAATTTTAAAAGTATCTGAATGATATGAGTGTTTTTAAGTCGCTCAATCTCTTCTCTGTAGATTGAGGATAATACCTCTTCTCTTTACCTCATGGGGAAGATTTAAAAATGAAATGGGGATAAGACTATTTAATAACATAAAGCATTTTGTATTATTTTATGTTTATTTAATATTTTGTGGGAAACACAATAATCATAGCAACAAAACTTAATTGGAACAATTGCTAAACTCAAGAAAGTCACGTGGTTTCTTAGTAAGTGTAGACAGTAATTCATTTGCTCTCTTGTATATAAATTGTCTAGATTCATTTTTGCTTCTCATGTATGCAGTGAAAACAGTGCTCATAACTAAGTAGATGTTTTAGTGAAATATCCTACCATGGCCACATTTAATATATTTCTCCAATGCACTGAACTTTTGTTCCCAGTGTCATGAAATGTAGTCCACAGAATAGTGCTCTCATCTTATACGTTACACATACCCTCATTGTTTACAGCTAGTTAAGTATTTATATCTGGAACTTCTCTTTGATGAGCCCTTTGACATTTTACTCTTCTCATTTTCAGAAGTTCCCTTTCTTCTTCCTTCCCTGACTTCTTTTGTCCTGGAGCTCCATTTCAATCTCCCAACCTTTGTGAGCTCATCTCTGATGTCTCATTAGCATTTTTCCTACAATTTCTCAGGGATCTTAACACTTAGGCAATTTTTGCATTTCTTCAAAAAATTTAAATATTTGAGTAAGTAGCTAAATATTAACAATGCATAAATTTTTAATACACATAAAATTAGTAGAAATATGAACTCTTTTTAGATGATACATTTTAATGTTATGTAGTAGAAACTCTAAGCTGATTTTTAAAAACCTTTTTATTGATACATAATAATTATACATTTAATGGGGGGTATATGTGATATTTTGATAAATGCATACAAGGTGTAACGATTAAATCAGGGTTACTAGGATATCCAGTACCTCAAACATTTATCTTTTCTTTGTATTAGAAATACTTTAAATCTCTTCTTTAGCTATTATGACTTATTATTAAATATCATTATTAACTATAGTAACCCAACTGTGCTATTGAACACTAGAACTTATTTCTTCTATCTGATTCTGTTTGTATTCATTAACCAACTCTTCTTCATCCCCAACTGCTGAGACCAGCTCAGTCGGGGAGACCCTAACCCAGCGGTGCTAGAGGAATTAAAGACACACACACAGAAATACAGAGGTGTGAAGTGGGAAATCAGGGGTCTCACAGCCTTCAGAGCTGAGAGCCCTGAACAGAGATTTACCCATGTATTTATTAACAGCAAGCCAGTCATTAGCATTGTTTCTATGGATATTAAATTAACTAAAACTATCCCTTATGGGAAACGAAGGGATGGGCCTGATTAAAGGAATAGGTTGGGCTAGTTAACTGCAGCAGGAGCATGTCCTTAAGGCACCAATCGCTCATGCTATTATCTGTGGCTTCAGAATGCCTTTAAGCGGTTTTCCGCCCTGGGTGGGCCAGGTGTTCCTTGCCTTCATTCTGGTAAACCCACAACTTTCCAGTGTGGGCATTATGGCCATCATGAACATGTCACAGTGCTGCAGAGATTTTGTTTATGGCCAGTTTTGGCCAATCATAAGCAAAAAGAACAAAGTTGGAGGCCCCATGTTACTCAACTTCAAGCTATACTACAGGGCTGCAGTAACCAAACAGCATGGTATTGGTACAAAAACAGGTAGCAGGTGTACAAAGAAGAGCTGATGCTGTTCCTATAGAAAGTATTCTAAAAAATTAAGGAGAAGACACTCTATTCTGATAGTGAGCTCAGAAATAAGGCTGCATATCTACAACCATCTGACATCTTGTCATCTTTGATAAAGCTGACAAGCATTCTTTTTTCTCTGTATCCTCACTGGCATTTGTCATTTTTTTGATAATAGGCATTCTAACTGAGGTAAGGTGATATCTCATTGTAGTTTCTATTTGCATTTCCCTGATAATGTGATATGGAGCATGTTTATATATACTTGTTAGTCATTTGTATGCCTTCCTTAGAGAAAAGTCTATTCAGATCCTTTGTTTGTTTTTTTACTGTTGAGTTGTTGGACTTCCTTGTATATTCTGAATATTAGTAGCTTGTTGGATACATAGTTAGCAAATATTATCTTCCATTCTACAGGTTGTCTCTTCACTCTTGATTGTTTCCTCTGCTATGGAGAAGCTTTTTACTGTAATGTAATTTCATGTGTCCAGCTTTGTTTTTGTTGCTTGTGCTTTTGAAGTCTTAGCCATAAAATCTTTGCCTAGACCAATGTCCTGAAGTGTTTTATGATTTCTTCTAGTAGTTTTACAGGTTTTGGTATTACATTTTAGTCTCTAATTCATTTTGAATTGATTTTTGTATATGATGAGAGACAGAGATCTAGTTTTATTCTTCTGCATATGGATATCCACTTTTCCCAGCACCATTTATTGAAGAGCGTCCTTTCCACAATGTATGTTCTTGGTACCTTTGTTAAAAATCAGTTGGCTATAAATGTGTAAATTTATTTCTGGATTTTCTATTCTTTTTCATTGGTCAATGTGTCTGTTTTATATCAATACCATACTTTTGATTACGATAGCTTTGTATTACATGTTGAAGCCAGATAATGTGACACTTCCACGTTTATTCTTTTTGCTCAGGATTGCTTTGACTATTAGTGGTTTTCTGTGGTTTCATACAAGTTTTAGTATTGTATTTTCTATTTCTGTAAACAGTGGCATTGGTATTTTGATAGGGATTGCATTGAATCTGTAGATTGATTTGGGTAGTTTAGCCATTTTCATTAAATTAATTCTTCCAGTTCATGAGCATGGGATGTCTTTATATTCTTTGTGTGTGGCCTCTTCAATTTCTTTCATCAGTTTTTTGTAGTTTTCATAGTAGAATTCTTTCACCTCCTTGGTTCAATTTGTTCCTAGGCTTTTTTTGTAGCTATTTTAGGTGAAATTACTTTCTTGATTTTTTTTTTTTTTCAGACGGAGTCTCACTCTGTGGCCAGGCTGGAGTGCAGTGGTGCCGTCTCAGCTCACTGCAAGCTCCGCCTCCCAGGTTCAACTTTCTTGATTTTTCTTCCAGCTAATTTGTTATTGGTGTATAGAACTGATACTGAATTGTGTATGTTGGTTTTGCATCCTGCAACTTTACCAAATTTGTCAGTTCTAAGAGTTTTTGCTGGGGTTTTTAGTTTTTTCTACATATAAAATTGTGTTCTCTACAAAGAAAGACAATTTGGCTTCCTCTTTTTCAATGTGTATGTCTTTCATTTTTTTTTTCTGTTGCCTGATTGCTCTGGTGAGGGCTTCCAGTATTAAGTTTTTAGAGTGATGAAAGTGGGCATCTTTGTCTTGTTCCAATTCTTAGATGAAAGGCTTTCAGCTTTTCCCCATTCAGTATGATGTTAGGTGTGGGTTTATCAAAAACGGCCTTTATTACATTGAAATGTGTTCCTTCTATGCATAATTTGTTGAGAACTTTTATCATGAAAGGATGTTGAATTTTATCAAATTCTTTTACTGTATTTGTTAAAATAATCATATTTTTGTCCTTCATTTTGTTGATGTGATGTATTACTTTTATTGGTTTGTGTGTTTTAAACCATCCTGGCATCCCTGGGATAAACCCCACTTGATAATGTTTGACTCCTGTATCAGTGAGTTTCATACTTTCTGTGTTTTCATTATGGCAAATATCATCCTTTCATTTCCAGATATAATACCTCTGTAAGCATTTCATGCAGGGCCAGTCTAGTGATGATGAATTCTCTCAGTCTTTGTTTATGTGGAAAAGATTTCATTGCAGTTTTTAAGGATAACTTTCCTGGGTAAAAGTTTTCTTGGCTGGCAGCATTTTTTTTGTCAGCAATTTGAATATACCATCCTATTCTCTCCTGACCTGTAAGTTTTCTATTGAGAAACCAGCTGTTAGTCTGATGGGAATCTCCATATATGTGACTGGACTCTTTTCTCTTGTTGTTTTTAGAGTTGTCTCTGTCTTTGAATTTTGACAGTTTGCCTATAACGCGCTTTGAAGAAGACCTTTTTGAGTTGAATCTATTTGGGGATTTTGAGCTTCCTGTCTCAGACTGCCTATGTCTCTTGCAAGAATTGAGAATTTGGGCCACTAGGTGACATATGTAAGCACCAGCAGTGGAGGATCCAGGTGAGTGGGTCCTCAAGCCTCCAAGAAGCATGCTCAGGTGCCAGCAGTGGCAGCAGTGGGTCAGGTGGGTAGGTCCTCAGATCTTCAGGTGGTGTGCATGACATTGGAGTGGCAATAGTGGGGAGGCAGGCTAACCTTTGGGTTCTGAGTGGCATACATGGGGGCCAGCAGTGGTAGTGGCCAGCTGGGTAAGTCAGTCCCCAGGTCCCTGGGTGGCATGCATGAGTGGGTGCCAGTGGTGTTGGCAGTAAGCTTAGCAGGCTGCTCTTTGGTCTCTCAAGGGGTATGTGCAAGCATGAGTGACAGTTGGGGTAGGCCCATCTTTAGGCCCCGGATGGCTTGCATGTATACCAGCAGTGGCAGGCAGAGCTGGTCAGTTTGTAGGACCCCTGCACAGTATGCATGGGCAGTGGCAGTAGGTGGGATAGACCACCCTCTGGCCCCAGACAGTGTGCATGAGTGCCTGCAATGGCGGGCATGGCAGCTCCTTGGAAGATGTACAGAGGCACTGGGAGGCAGGGCAGACCTGTCCTCAGGCTCCTGGATGGTGCATGCAGGCACTGGTGGTGGCAGGTGTCACAGATGAATCTCCAAGTCTCCAGAAGATGTGTCCAGGTGCCAGCAAAGCCAGCAGCATATGGGCCAGGCCTATCTTTAGGCTTCTGGATGGTGCACACAGGCGCTGGCAGCGGCAGTCAGGGTAGGAAACGTAAGACATTTTGCAAATATATATTGTTATTCTTCTCCATACTTATTTCCCTGCCCCACCCACGATCATATTTCATAATAAAAATAAATAAATCATCATATGATAATTAGAGTAATAACATTAACAAGTAATCACAAAAACACATACTTGTTAATATGCAAATAAATCTAATTTATGTTCTACTGTGTATCACAGAGATGAAGAAATCTAAAATAACATGAGATAAAACATAGAAAAGCAATCTTGTTTCTGTAGTTTAGTAAGTGCTAAGTATTGTGCAATGACAGTTATATGCATTATTTAATTTAATCTTCATAGCAACTCTATAAAGTAGAAATTATCCTGTTATGTCAATGTGATATGTAAGCATTTAGGTAACTTTTCTATGGTTCACATAATTAATGCCATATCATCATCTAATCTAGGATGACAGTAACATTATTGTTTTATTTACCACTCATGGGGGCAAAAATATGGCGAATTAGACTACAACATGCCATCAATTACAACATTGTGCCTCAATTTCATAAATATTACATGTACAGGAAAAAAGGTATCTTGTTAATTGATGAAATATTGTAATTGATAGCTATGAAATCCTTTTTTGTTTTCAATCAATACACAATACCACTCCCCAAAAGAAAAATGATTTATAAATCCCTGTTTCAGGGTTGTCATTGTTTCTCTAATACTTGGTACCACAATCAGCTAGATTTGGATTATGGTCCAATGAGCTTTAAGCCAAACAAGCAAGGAGGCATATATTGTTTCACCAGCTATACCCCATTTTATTTCATGGTATTTCCCGTTAAGAAGAATCATGGCAGGATCTGAGACTCAAAAGCTATTCTAAACATTAGACCACTACCGATATTACTGAATTTTTTTGAAATATAGCCAGAATGGCTCTTCTGTGATAAGAAAGAATCAAGTGTCCAAGAGAGATTTAGAAATGACTGAAAACTCTCTCACAAAGAAGAGAGACCATTATACCCAAATAAGTTGTCATACAGATGTCTAGTTGGCTTCATTAAAAGTCTTATAATCAATGAGGATTCAAGATATATTTTGTTGCATTACTAAATGAGGGTTTTCTTTTTTCATCACGATCCCAAAAAGTAAACACTGAGAACCCACACAACACAAAGTATATTTGTTTGGCTTTACAAAGTGTATTGAAAATTATTTCTATTATTTAACTCACATATTGTCACTTTGAAATTATATCTCCCCTCCAAGTACTAACCATGGCAGACCCTGCTCAGCTTCTGAGATCAGATGAGATTGGGCATGCTCAGGGTGGTAGGGCCAGAGACACTTTGAGATTATGTCTACAAAACAATCAATAAAGGTAATACTGAAGCCACTTGTGAACCGTATACCACAAATGAGAAATTACACTATAAGTTGCCAACGAAATATTTTCACAAAGCATCAACTACGCTCAGTCTCTCTAATGCTGTCCCCAACCTCCAGTCCTCTCTAAGACTACACACATGAATACAATCAGAAGGAGCTGGTGTCACCTCAGATATCACCACTCAGCCTAGTATATACTTCAGATCCCTTAGACATGTTAGGCAAGGGACCACAAAAGGCCATGAGACAAACCAACAATGAAAGGGAAAGGGAAGGGGAACACATTCATCCCAGTTATTTACACTAAGTTAAAAATCTCCAGATAGAATCACAGGTGTTTACCTGATTTATACAAGACTGTGAACTCCAAAAGGGCAGTGCTGGGACCCACTCATCTGTATTCCCAGAGTTTAGCATAGGGGTGACACTCAGTAAAAACTGGATGGGGTCAGGCATGATGGCTCACACCTGTAATCTCAGCATTTTTGAAGACTGAGGTGGGATGATTTTGAGACCATCCTGGGCAGTAAAAAAAGACTACATCTCTACAAAAAAATTAAAAGTGTACCAGGCATTGTGGCACACACCTGTAGTCCCAGAATCCTGATCCTAATAGTCATGTAGGAACGATCCAACTCAGTTTTGCATAACTAACCAAATATAACTTAAAAGAATTTTTGACCAGGGGTTTTATGACAAATGAATTTATTAAGAATAATCAAAGCCACACTTTTTAAATGAGAATATATCACATTTACATATCTATGATAAACTCTAAGAGATAACTTAAGGATATTCAGTGGGTTATGCTATCAAACTCCAGATTCTTTTGCACATATAATAACCCATACGAGTGGAGCAGGGGAGTAGCTATTATCCTCTGATAGCTCCCATGCTATTGTTTGTTTCAGTTGTCAGCAACTGAGATGCTCATGCCTGATTTCAGAGCCCTCCTTACTAATTATTGGTCTTGTTTGCTTGCTTTTTATGTTTGAAGTATTATATTTTATCACATTTTCAAAACATTTTATGCTCTTGGCGATGCTTTCATACATATTTCTTGGGATATAGTTGGTGCTTCCATGAACATTTTTGAATGAAGGAATAAATGAGTAATTATACTTGTGCTGTCAAAAACTTCTTAAACGCTAGCCTCTCTGAAGACAAGAGCAACAACTTCGTAAAGCAGTGCAATGTGTACAGAAAAATTTCTATAGGAACCTTTATGATTCACAATGTATTTTTATGAACAGCATTTCATTTCATTCTTATGATAGCCTTGTGACTGACATGAAAGTAAACACATTACATCGTAGTGAGTGGTAGTATGTATAAGACGCAGAGGAAGGAATGATGGACTCTATCTGGGAAGGCATCCTGCAAGTGTTGACCTACAAATTGAGTTTTGAAGGCAAAATAGATTGCTTTTAGGTAGGCCTGAGCAGGATAGACATTCCAGACAGAAGGACGAGCATGTTCAAAGGCAGATCAGGCATCATTATTCCCATTTATTGAAGGCTTAACGCCCAGTTAGTGAGTGATAGGTAGGACTTGAATCTACTTCTGATTTTTAAGTCCTGCATTATTTCACTACATTTTATTATACTTCTAGTTCATTTAGTATTAGCCAATCAGTTGGTACACCTGAAAGATAGGAACTGAAAAACAGCTACAGGCTTCCTCAGAAATAACTTGTTGGGGCACTACAGTAAAATCCATAAAGAAGAAAATTCAAAGATAGGTAATAATCTGTGAAAATAAATCTAGGTGACAACAGGAAATAAGGACCCAACATCAGAGGCAACCCAACTGAAGGAAATCAAACACCTAATAGATGCCCTGAATAAACATAATAACAATAGTAATCCAGAAAATAAGTCACTGTAAGTATCCAACTTTGGAATACACCCCAGGAGAAGATTAAATAAGTCATCATGAAAACAGACCAAGTAGGATTCCACTAATAAGAAAATATTTTATTTTTTAAAAACCACACTAAGTTAATAACTATTTTTAAAAATCATTATATAAAACCTATTAAAATGTCCTCACATCCCACAGTAGACATTGTTTTTGCTATAAAAATGTGAAAATATTTTTATAATTTTCCTTTTTAAGTTATTTGGATCTGACTAGTTTATTTAATTTATGATCATCAAGTATCCAGCAATCATGGTACATGCTTCAGAATTCTTGTAAGTGAGGAAACTTAACCTAAAAATTGTTTTCAAATATTATAAAATGTTTGTAAATATTAACTATTAATCAAGCTTATATAATATTACATTTTAAAGCTACTAGGTATTTTTGAATTAATATCACCAGGATTTTTCATATTTAGGGGCCAGTAAATTGTATCTTTCACATCTGCTAAAAATGCCATAAATCCCTGGCATTATATCTGTATGTCCACATTGGCCAGTATATAATAAGGGACCTACTTAAAAATTTATATATGTACATATGATGTGTGCAGATTTAAAGTA
Source organism: Homo sapiens (assembly GCF_000001405.40). NCBI lineage: Eukaryota > Metazoa > Chordata > Mammalia > Primates > Hominidae > Homo > Homo sapiens. Next base: position 178,431,819 of record NC_000003.12, read on the forward strand.
ATGAATCTAAGTTACAGGGTCAGGTGTACTCTTCTATTTTCAAAATATTTATATTTTATTTTAATATTTTACCTGATTTTAGTAACAGATTTCTAATGTTAAGAAGCATAGCATCCAGGTATACTATTGCAGTTTCTTTCCCTATGGCTTCCAACATTTTCCAATGCAGAGCTGACCTTTTGTCATTTACATACAACTCCACTTAGAGATAGTAGGATTCATACAATGAGACCTGCCATAGAGTTGCTTTCCTGCACAAGCTGTCGGGAATTAAACAGTGTTAAAAGTGCACACTTTAAAAATACTCAGTGAGTTGAAACTAAGTGAAATAAAACAAAACAAGAAAGGCAACCATTTTTTTTTTTTCCCAAAAATTGTGTGATGTGGTTTGGATGTCTGCCCCTCCAAAAGCCATGTTGAAATGTGATTCCCAGTGTTGGAGGTGGGCGTGGTTGGAGGTTTGGATCATGGGGTGGGGCACGGGGGGTGGTTCCTTCATGAGTGGTTTAACACCATCCCCTTGGTGACAAGTGAGTTCTGACTCAGTTCACAGGGGATGTAGTTATTTAAGAGTCTGGGGCCAGGTGCAGTGGCTCATGCCTGTAATCCCAGCAACTTGGGAGGCCAAAGCAGACAGATGACCTAAAGTCAGGAGTTCAAGACCAGCCTGGCCAACATGGTGAAACCCCACCTCTATTAAAAATACAAAAATTAGCCGGGTGTGGTGGCAGGCACCTGTAATCCCAGCTACTCAGGAGGCTGAGGCAGGAGAATCACTTGAACCCGGGAGGCGGATGTTGCAGTGAGCAGAGACGGTGCCACTGCACTCCAGCCTGGGTGACAGAGTGAGACTCCATCTCAAAAAGAAAAAGAAAAAAAAAAGAGCCTGGGACTTCCCCCTTCTCTCTTTTTCTTGCTCCCTCTCCTGCCATGTGACTTACCTGCTCCCCTTTTGCCTTTTGCCATGATTGTAAGCTTCCTGAGGCCCTCACCAGAAGCAAGATGCTGGAGCCATGCTTGTATAGCTTGCAGAGTCTTGAGCCAATTTAACCTGTTTTATTTATAAATTACCCAGTCTCAGGTATTTCTTCATAGCAACTCAAGAACAACCTAATACACTATGTCAATAATCTTGCCATCCGGCCTTCCCCAAAAGCTTTCTATCAGAAGCATATGGTAGGAGATTTTAACAAGAAGGGAATGTGATTTAACTATAAATGAGATTAAGTCCCAGCTCATGCACACATCTAAGCAGATTTTGTGAAAAAAGAGTTTTTGTGGGGGAAACATCTTATTCAAAGTATGAAGACATTCCTGTTTGAATACTTTAAAATAGTGTTCTAAGTTTAACCTGAAAAGCCAATTATCCCAGAAAACACCCAGGAAATCAGTGTGAAGACAGGCATCAAAATTAAGCTACCAATATTTCCCTAGTCTTGCCAGTTATTTCTTTTTTGTTTCTGACTCTGACCAAGAAATGGAGCAACAACGGATATCATGGCTTGTCTGGATACATCTTTCCATCAGGCTTGTATTGAAGCCCTGTAATATTACACAGGACTACAGAGTAAGCATCAACAGTGACAGTGGGTGGTAGCTCAATTAATAGACATTCATTCATTCACCTATTTATTGCACATTGATAGTGAGAATGTGGTCTGTTCTTAATGCTTGAGATACAGAGACATCTCTGCCCTAAAGAAGCTCAAAATCAGGTATAAAGCTATGAATCAATTATTTATAAATTGGAATCAATATATCAACAAAGAAAGTGATAAAGTAGAAGCCTGTACAAATGTAGAGTCACAGAACAGAGAAGAAAGAGATTAATAACATTTGCAGAGACTCAAGAAAGAATCATTAGAAAAGATAATATTTCTTCTAAGCATGTAAAGATGAGTAGGAGTTTACCAGACGACGGAAAACTCATTCCAGGCAGAAAGAAGACTGTGTGCAAAGGCCCATGGTTTGAAAAAAAACTAGTGTATTTGGGGAACTTACATTTAGCTTGGGTTTCCTAGAGCTGGGAATACACGTGTCTATTGAACACTTGAAATGTGTGTAGTATCAAAAGTTAATTAACATGATAATATTCTGGGTAACCTATTGTTGTTTGGAGGTATTTCTTTTATTTGGTTAGTTGGTTTTTCCTCTCTTAATATGGCTACTAGAAAATTTTAAATTTCATATGTAACTTGAATTATATTTTTATTGGACAATGCTATCATAGAGTATAGAAAATGAAGAACTAATTATGAGAGATAAAGGTGGATTAACAGGCAGGGGCCTATTATGAAGAGCTTTATGTGACGTGAAAGATAGTCTCAACTTGCTCTCCAGAAAAATCTCATATAATAATCAAAGAGCAGTCATGGGAGGTAGTGTGATAGGGACATTGCAGGGGTAGGAAAATCTTGCAAAACTCCTAGGAAGGCAAAAAGGAGAGGATTGAGGCAAGACTCCAAAGGTAATCACCACTTAGGTGGGTAGATCTGCATAATGAGAAGAGGAAGATTAGTTGGACGGAGTGATCACAGCCCAGAGCATAGCACATATCATTTTACAGTGGCTTGCATCACAAGTTCTCATCATCCAATTATTAGGACTTTGTATTTCCCAACGGAAGCAGGAAATAGTGCCTGGCTGCACTCTAGACACTGTAACTGCAGGTTACACTGGGCCTTGTAACGGTAATGTGACTTTACTTAATGAACACTCTTCCTATCATTTAATACCCAACTTGGGAATAGATCTTATCTTGGCAGATAACGGGTCATGCTCTCCAGGAACAAGCAGAAAATTGAAGGAAGTGATGTTTTCAAGGCAGCAGATGGCACTCTTTTCTATGCTTCAGTACTAAAAGTTTCAATGAAAGAAGCTCTGTCTTCTATAGAGAATCAAAAATTTAAAAGACTGCAGCACTTTTCGGGAAAGTGAGGGATGCTTGGTTCTGAAGTCTGATCTACATAGAAATGTTCATGCCAAGTTCTAGAAATTTATTTATTCTAAGGAAATGATTTGAGAGAAGGAGGGCATGGAAAACATATGCATAATAATGGGCATTGCAGCACCATTTATAAAATTAAAAGCAATATAAATACTCATAGATAGGATATGGGGAAATTTTTGTCCATGTAGTTAATATAATACAATACAATATAATATAATATAATTAAACCATAAAAATGACAGCAGTTGAAAAATGCTTCTTGGCTAGATACAGTAAAAATGGTATTTATATAAAACAATCTTTGATCTGTAAATACACAAAAAGTGTATGTATTATACATGTACATATATATACACACATGAATATTAGACTGAAATTTTTGATACAGAAATGAACATAGTTGTTTAAGGGCGCTGGGATTATTAATGCCCTTGTTTTTCACATTTCAAGTAGTATCTAAGTAATTGCCTAAATATGACAGCATAGCTTCCCCTCCTAAGAGAGACTTACCCAGGAAGCCCCAGGGTAATCTGTGCTTTAGGTAATTTTGAAATAGGGAAAGAAAGTTAAAGTAGTCAAAGACTCACCAAAGCTCCACCAGGTGGTCAGGCACTGGGAAAATTGACCTAGCACAGTGTCTAGAGCTAGCTTTCTCTAGACTTGCTGTTGGACCTGATGCAGCATTTCTTACCTTCCTCGAGGATGCTGTTAAGAAAGAACTGGCTACTCGAAAGTGAAGCTCTGGTGTTTCAACTCCAGAGCTTGCATCCAAAAAGTACATGAGGTTGTAATGATGGATAGTTGTTGGAATAACCATTGTTCTCACTGGTCCCTAGAAAGGGATCTGTGGCTCTGCAATGGGGAGAAAGACAGGTTGCTGTTTGCTTCTCATGTCAGCACTATGGCTCAGAAGGAAGCACCATAGCCGCAGTCACCCCAGGGAAGTATGAGGCACAGTCTCCAACACCACTGAGGCATCGCCGCTGCAAGATTGATTCTGCCTTAGGGGAGGCAAGACAAGGCTGAATGTACAATGTGTAACTACCATTCGCTGAGCCTCCATTGTTAAGCAATCTTTGTGTCAGGTGCTTTACGCATGTTATATGCCTTACCTTCAGAGCAACTCTAGACAGGTTTTACAAGCCCCACTTTGCCCAGGAGGAAACTGAGACCCAGAGAGATTGATTATTATATACAAGCTTTCTTAATAAGAAAATTACTGAGTTGAAATGAAACTCAGTTATCTGATGCCATGCTCTTTTCACAACACTACTTAAATGCAAACGGTCCCCTCTCCTGAAACCTGGCATGCACTGGCTCCTGGATAAGCTTCTCCTTGACTATAGACTCTTAGGGGCTAAAGAAATGAGAGCACAACAGAATATTGAGTTTCAAGTTACTCAGAACTCCCTCAGGAAAACTTCCTTGTTTTACAAATGCAGAAAATAAACCCCAAGGGGATAAGATTCTATTTTAAAACAATATTTGTACAGTACTGTTATGGGCTGAATTATGCCTCTCCAAAATTCATATATTGAACCTCTATTACCTAGTACCTCAGAATATGACTGCATTTGGGGTAAGAGTCACATTTAGGTTAGTTTTTATAAAATGAAAGAGTTGTATAATGTCAGAGAACAGGCTTTCATTCTAAATGAGATTCTTTCTCCTTCTGAGGTTAAGCTAAGTGAAATGTCTTTTGGGCAGAATCACAGAACATTAGAGACTACTTGTTGAGATTATCTCACCTTTTCTCATTGTCTAGATGAATACATAGGACCAAAGAGAAAGAATTTTTGCACTTATTGTACCAAGATATGTTCCTTTCTTTCATGAAATTGAGAGTACAACAAGTAATTGGCAGCACTTAGTGTCAGTATTGCTCTTATGCATTTAACTATAAACAGAAGGGAGAATATTTTTAATGTTTTCTTTACTTAAAAAAGAAATCCTACAAACAAGTTGATATTCTTGTGTCACAATAAAAATACTCTGTCTGTTCCCAATTTGTCAAAAGGACAAGAATTTTCAAGCTCTCGACAGGACCCTTAGAATTTAATCATTTAAAAAAAAATGTTTTAAGTTTCTACTGAGAGTTCTTCTCAATTATGTCCAGTAGGTGGCATTACTTTAACCACACAAAGCAAGAAAACCATGAAAAAGCCAGAATAATTCTGATACAGATCAGAAGCTCTCAAATGTTGGCTTCAGACTAGCAGTGTCACCATCACCTTGGAACTTGCTCAAAAGGCAGATTCTTGGGCCCTACCGCAGGCCTATTGAATCATAATCTCTAGGGGTGGGCCCCAACAATCGTGTTTTAATAAGTGATAATGTTGCATGCTAAAAGATGAGAATCACTGAGATAGAAAATCAAGTTTGCATGAAAATCAGATAATAGTTTTTCACATTGAGGCAACATGATAATATACATTACAAATGTTATTTCCTAATGAATGCAATATTCTCTTTTCAGAGTCAACAGCATGGACAAACCTCAATCACCAATATCATTTCTGTTGGCCTTATTAATTACTTACTATGGGCCTAGTATTTCACCAGTATCAACTCATTTACTCTTTATAACAACCCAGCACGGCCAGTGCTCTTCTCTCTCTTTTTATAGATGAGGAAGTAGAGGCTTCGATGTCACAAGACTGCCTCTTATTACGCAGCAAGTAAATGAGAAGACAGTACTCAATATCGGCGAGGTCTTGACACCAAAGCCCTTGCTTTTCTTCTTTATGCCCATGTAGGGTTGTCAGATTTAGCAAATAAAACTACAGAACATGCAGTTAAATTTTAATTTCAGATAAACAACAATTTTTTTAGTATACATCCCATGCAGTATTTGAGACATACTTACACTGAAAATGTTATTTGTTATTTATCTGAAATGTGATTTGATTAAGAATAATTTTATCTGGACACCCTATCCTGTTGTCTCTATCTGTGTGCATTCCAATCAGTTGCAGAAAAAGGAACTAGAAAATAATCTTTCTTAAGGGTTATTAGGAATAAATCTGAGCATGGGCCTCACTCCAGAAGCTGCAGTTTAACGTCCGTCCCAGGTGATTTGTATGCACATTACTGTTCAAGGAGCAGTGGCCTTAGAATGCTTACAATCCAAAATGACTGTGGTCTAGAGCTGGGGACCAAATTTAAAGACCCCTCCAGACCTGAGAGTCTATGAATCTATGAGGAAAGTGAATGTGAGATAGAATAGCAGTTTACTATTTTTTGCACTTACTTAAAATTCTGATACAACTTTATATGAGGCAACAAAAATATTTAAAAATCAATAAATATTTTCTTTATAGAATTACAATACTTGATTAGGTTTTTGAGGATAGGAATAAAATTAAGTAGAATTTTATGATTCTTTTGCAAAGCATTACAAGAAATATCTTTAATATTGGATTTGAACTGTCTTCAAATCAAGTCACAAACAGAATATTTACAGCAGAAATAATGCTACTCATTTTATAAGTAAGAATACTTTTGTTGAAATCCATAACATCAAGTATGAGATGCAGAGAGAGTAAAATAGTTTCCCAAATGATACAAGTACTTATTCATTCCATGTTTATTGAACACCTGGGGGAGGTGAAAGGTGAAGGTGTGTTACGATAAACATCTGCAATTCATGTGGGATGTTATGGCACCCCTTTATGCAAAACTTTAAATAAATGGTCTGTTCCAGGAACCTGCTTCAAGTTGCTGAGACAAGAATGACAGCCAGGCTGGGCGCGGTGGCTCATGCCTGTAATCCCAGCACTTTGAGAGGCTGAGGCAGGCAGACTATGATGTCAGGAGTTTGAGACCAGTCTGGCCAATATGGCGAAACCCCGTCTCTACTAAAAATACAGAAATTAGCCGGGCATGGTGGCGCACGCTTGTCGTCCCAGCTACTCAGGAGGTTGAGGCAGAAGAATCACTTAAACCCGGGAGGCGGAGGTTGCACTGAGCTGAGATCGCGGCACCGCACTCCAGCCTGGGTGACAGAGTGAGACTCCCCCCCTCCGCCCGCAAAAAAAAAAGAATGACATCCAACAGTTCCTCCTGCCATGCCTACAAAAATCATTACAGCTCAAATAAACATATGGGTCAGCTCATTTAGCAGACATGTATTAATTTCCTACTATGTGCCAGGCTTTAAAGAATGGGCTTATATGTGAGAAAAAAGGGGCAAGGAAATATCATCATGTGCCATGATCCAGTGGACTAGGAATGATGGTACTATCCAGGACAGAACCTTGAAATGGAGAGAGACGTGTGTGCGTGTGTGCGCGTGTGGGCGCGTGTGTGTGTGCGTGTGTGTGTATGGGGTTGGTGAAGAGAGGTTGGATACAACATCAGGAAGCCAGGCTGGGGGATCTGATTAGAAAACTTCTGCAGTCTCCAGTCTTGGACTTACTATCATTGCCTTGCCTCTAGCCACAATTAAAGAAAAGTAATTCATTTCCATCTGCCTGGTTTTAAGTAACTGGAAAGTCTTTCTGCTTTAATTCGTATGCATTTTCCATATTTTTTTCTCTCTGACATTAATTTGCACAGGGCTTAGAAAAAGGTACTTCATTAACTATTAACCATGGTACTTAAGAAGTTGGGGACTTTCAAATCATTAATCATATTAAAAATATATAAATCCACCTCTCTTCACATTTGGCCCACAGAGGTTCACGTTATGAAAAGAGTTTTAGTGATTTATTTGGTCTTGAACCACAAGGTTCTGTTTTTCTTAAATCCCTATAAACAGTCTACATTTTGGACACTGAACAAGTAAATGTATGTTGCATTTTCTCACTGAATCCACAGGGTTATTAAAATGTATACTTATTCCCCAAATAATCCAAGCTCAAGCACTTGAATAAGAATACCTCAAGGCTTTCCTCTTTCATTTGCTTTGTGGACAGCAACTGCAAGGCAGGGATGAGTCAGCACGTGTGTCCAGCTAGCAGGAATAGGCAGTAGCCCTGGTTTATGCTAAGCCATAGGGGAATTTTGCAGTCATTTTGTGCTTCACTGTCCAGGTTTTTCAACATCAGTGGAACCTTTTGTGTTTCACCCACTGTATGGAAAAATCCACGACTGTCCTAAGAAACCTGAGAACAAACACCCATCTGCCTATCCTTCCAACACAGGCTATTAACCACAGTAGCATGTACCCCGTTCTGGGCTGATACTTAACATTTTGGGTTTTCATCCTTACAAATTTACATAAAAATATGTGTGATTATCTCAATTTGACAGAGGAAAAGAAAACACAAGGTCAATCAGCTAGCCAATGGCAAGGGGAATCTAACAGATCTGTCAAAAGCCAAAGTCAGTTTTGTGTTCACTAAGATGTACTATTTCCTTACTCCATATAAAATGTAATAAAAAACAAATGAAAAAAAAGCAGACTTGGAAGGAAAAGGCGATGACTGTGGCAAATGGGCAATATTAGGTTCGAGTGTGGAGCGGGGTGGAGCTCAGAGCAAAGTCAGCCAGCCAGGCCTACTGATTATGTAAATATTAAATGTGTTTATACCAGTGTTCATTAATCTCCATTTGCACCTGACGGGAGGTAATTCTCCATGGCATTTCTGTGAGTCTTGTGACAGCTTTTGTTTAGAATGATCTTTATAGCAAACAGCCTTGGAAAGTAGATATTGTGTCTAGTGTACCTCTCTAGGATAGAGAGAGGGAAGATTTGTTTCCTGACCAGGACAATATAGATAACTTCTTCCCCAAGGGACAAAGATTTGGCATGTTTTCTAGCATCCCTCTTGAGTGGCTTCCTAAGTTCAGTGTTCCCCAGCTGTGACACAACTCACAGTGTGTACAGTATCCACCAGGACCTGGCTTCGCATGGGCCCCAGGGAAACTGGAGGGTAAGGGGAGCTGAAGCCAACAAGAAGCTCATGCTGCCTATTGTCCCAGGAGCAATCAACTGAGTAAAGCGATGTGTGTTCATTGTCTCCTTACCAGTCAAACCTATAGAATTCTGCAGAGCTGACCTAAAACCTTCCTGATGCTGCTTAGGGACTGCTTGACAGCATAATCAGCTCCTGCATCCCCATCCCTTCTCCACACTTCTTTGTCTTGTTCTGAGCCTGGGCTTCCTTGCCTCTGGCTTCCTGGTTAGGATTGGCATAATGGGATGTGCTAGGGGAGATGGGAAAATGGGAAGAGTGAGAGGTCAGGGTATTTATTCTTCTTGCTCCTTCTCTGCCTCTGTGGCTACAGCTCCTGCTTGTAGTCTCTCTTTCATAGCCAGACTCTGGTAAAAACAGTGCTCTTGGAAAAATATTATGTCACTCTTGCTAGACCTTGGGTGTATCACTATTAAAAGCTTTCACCAGCTGGGCACAGTGGCTCACGCCTGTAATCCCAGCACTTTGGGAGGCTGAGGTGGGCGCATCAGGAGGTCAGGAGATCGAGACCATCCTGGCTAACATGGTGAAACCCCGTCTCTACTAAAAATAAAAAAATTAGCTCGGCGCGGTGGCGGGTGCCTGTAGTCCCAGCTACTCGGGAGGCTGAGGCAGAAGAACGGCATGAACCCGGGAGGCAGAGCTTGCAGTCAGCCAAGATCATGCCACTGCACTCCAGCCTGGGCGACAGAGCAAGACTCCATCTCAAAAAAATAAAAAAAAAAAAAAAAAACCTTTCACCCTGCCAAAATCTCTATAAACAGCTTTCACAAAGCTATCTGCAGTAAACTATTTTGGATGTGCCACCTTGTTTTTAAAAATAAGTTAAGGCAGTCTCTTACATGTATGAAACAGGTTATACACATATACATAAAATACTGCTTTTAAAACTGTAAATTACCTCTTGTCCTCATCGTACTGAGTCTTTGCAGCCACCTTGGACCTCCATAAGGCAAAGATACTTGCCTTAATTTATGGTACTCTCAGGAAGGCTTTGACTGGACTGTGTTACAAATGCATTTTCACCTGCTCCTGGCCATTTGTTTTGATGCCTATAGAAGTCCCGTGGGTGGCCATGTTAGTGGCCATGTTAAAGATGCCCTCTTTGTCAGCATGCATCTCACTGCACCTCTTCTCGCAGATAGTTATGGTTCCCAGTGTGCAAATAATACACTTTAAGTCTTGGTATAGTTAAATAAATGTAAAGAAAATTTAAAAAGGACCACAGCATAAAAACTTTCTACATAAACTTAGATCATTTGAGGAAACTTCAAGTGAACTCAGAACCACAGTTTGTAGTTGGAAGAGATCTCCAAAGATGTTTAATAAAACTCTCTCATTGTACAGTTCATTTGATTCTTGGAAAATGAAAATTGCATGAATTCATTTTAGTCCCTGTCATAATCATCACATTTTCCCTTTTTTAAATATTATTTCTACAATGCAGCAGAATAAATTACAAGAAGAGTTCTAAAATTCCAAACTAATAGAAAAGTATATTATCCCAGTAGTACATACGAAGAGAAAATTACTAAGTGGTTTGTTTCCTTTTGTTGACAGTAATTACGACGATGAGGCTATGATGCTCATGCTAGGTCTCAAAGGATGAGCAGGTGTGGACCAGGAGGATGAGACTGTGCAATGGCAGCTCTAACAGAGCAGGCAGCCTAGGCAAAGGCCTGGAAGGGAGAAAGAAATTGATGTATCCAGGGAGCTAAAAGCAGGTCAGAGTTATAGAAGCATAAGCTAGAATTGAGGGAAAACAGAGGAGAGAAAGGTGAATGCTACCATTTAAAATTATCTGTTTCTAGCCACACAGCCAGGTTTTCTCACTATAAATGCCTGCCAGCACTGGGCTGGAGAATAACCAAGATCAAAAACACTCAGGTTCTCAATTGACCAAACAATCATGATTAACTATTTGAGAGCCCTATTTCCATTAATAGTTCTTTAGCACTTGCTGCGCGTCTAAGCACCACAACAAGTGATTCTATCAAAATCCTAAGTAATTTTGATTCAAATTATGTGGTCGTTATGAACCAAGGTCAATGCATCTATTGAGCAGTTTCCATCACGAGTGTCTCTCCAAAGAGTTGTTTTTTTATTCTCTCCCATGAAGTCTAAATCCAAAAAGCATCTAGATCAATGCAGTTCAAGATAAAGGCTGGGCTCTACATGGATGAATGTGAGTTTGCACAAGGAGCTGTCAGTGGATAATTACCGTTTCCGCAATCTACATCAGTAACTCCTAAAGCCTCACCTAAGTAGCCATACAAATATAAGTAAAAATAGAATGCTTGTTACTTTGATACAACTTCCAGGCAGGTTGCCCATCACTTAGCACCTCCCCAAAATCCAGTGTCTTCTCTAGACTTCTCTATATAGAAATGTGACCTAAGTAGAATTTCTGCATAATATTTTTAAGGGAGGAGTTTTGAGAAAGAGAAAAGTTATCTCAGAAACTAGGACTTAAAGTATAATTTTAAAAAAGAGGAAAAAAAGGTAGGAATGAATAAAAAGATACTATGTTTCTGCTAGCAAACAATTTATATTTTAACTAAGTAGATAATTATTTTAAAAAGCAATTAATAAGAGACAGTTAGACAAGACCCTTTGGTTTAATGCTCTGCTGCTGCCATCTTGAAATTCTTAATGATTTTTAAACAAAGGGTCCCATGTTTCCTTGTATTGGGCTCCACAAAGTATGTCTCTACTCTTGCCTGTGATATGGGAGTCCTCAGATGGGCAGGCATTGCATGCACAACTGGTCAAGGAAAGCAAATGGAAAAGAAAGACTTAATCCAGGCTTTAAATAAAATTTAGGAGGTAAATAATTTAGGCAAGGGGAGGGGGGAGACTTAAAATTCTGAATTAATACTCTTCCTGGGAAAACAGCAAAAAAAGTAATAATAATAAATTAAAATTAAAGCCTAAAATTAATCTCCCAAAATGGTTTCAAAAAATAAGTTACTCTGTTTAGGCTTTGCCTGTTTTCTCTGACTTAAATAGCTAGTATATTTACTTAAATCTACATTGTTGCTTCAGCTTCCAGAAAGGATTTATTATTGTACACAGACCATGAAATAAGTTCATAATTATCAGAGAATTCCACAAGGTGTCAGCCTCAAGCTAAAATGATAAATCCAACGCTGGGAAATAGTTTTAATTTTAAGAAATGAAGATTTGAAGTCTCCATTTTGAATTCTGTGTCTGGGGCCTGTAGTAATGTAGCAGCCCCTATTTGTTGGGTGCCTCGTACATGCTAGGCACTTAACATACATTATTTCTAATCTTTAAAATAACCCTGTGCTATGGTGTGAATGTTTATGTTCCCCCCCAAATTCATATATTGAAATCCTAAGCCCATTGTGATGTTTTCAGGAGGTGGGGCCTTTGGGAAGAGATTAAGTCATGGGGCAGAGCCCTTATGAATGGAATTAGCATCCCTAACAAAAAAGGCACAGGGGAGCTTATTTGCCCCTTCCACCTTGTGGGGATGCAGCTAGAAGGCACCATCTATGAGGGAGCAGGCCCTCGCCAGACACCGAATCTTCATGCACCTTGATCTTGGACTTCCCAGACTCCAGAACTGTGAGAAATAAATTTTTCTTGTTTATAAACCACCCAGTCTATAATATTCTGTTACAGGTGCCCGAATGGACTGAGATATCTCTATTGATTTTAATCCCCATTTTACAAATGAAAAAATATGGTTAATGAGTGTTAAGTCAATTTCTCAAGGCATACAGCCAGAATCAATATTCAAAGACAAAACTATCTGAACCCAAATCCTGTGCAATTTCTGCCATACTGCCTCAAGGCCTCAAACAAACAAAGCAGTAAAAAGAGTTCAAGAATGGATATAAAACAAACTCTGGGACTGTCTCCTGTCCAGGCTCTATTCTACAGCAGCTAAGGGTGCTGGACCGTCACACTGGACCTAATAAACATCAACCCAGCAGCTCCTGTCTCCTGGGTTTTTGAGCACAATAGGGCCGCCCACCAGGGCAACTCCCAGGCTATAGAACCCTGCAAAAGGGCATTTCAATATCCACTGGTTTTTATCATCATCTATTATTATTGTTATCTAGTATTGTATAAGTTTCAAAGTAATGTTTGGTGTAAATCATAAGCATTAATATTACTGTTGCTTCCAGATGTTCCTGATTTCCCAATCACACCAGCAGGAATTTCTGCTCTCAGGAGCCTCCTCTATAGCTGTAGTTTCTTGACCCAGACCTACAAACTCAGCCCTTTGCCTTCTGAAGCTCTGGGGCCATTCTTCCCTTATTTAGAAGGTGATTCAATATTAAGCTTACGGCTGGTTGTTCTGTGCAACATTGTAGTTGAACCTTAGACAAGCCCCTGTCCGTCCCAGGCTCTTGTCATTTGGACCCATTGCTTTGTTGTGCTGAACTTGAATCCATGCCTTGGGAAGGCAACAACTAGCATGAGGATTAATATCTCTGGCTCTGAGTTTGAGTCCCAGTACCATCACTTTTAGGGTGACCAACCATCCTGGTTTGCCTAGGATTGTCCCGGTTTCAGCACCAAAAAGTCCAGGATCCCATGAAATTCCTCAGTCACAGGCAAACGGAGATGGTGAGTCACCCGAAGTTTACTTCCTAACTGTGCAACCTTGAGCAAGTCACCTAACCTCTCAGGGCCTGATATGTAAAATAGGTAAAATACTAATATTTACTTTATCACATCATTTTGAAGATTAGATGAGTTATGTATACAGTGCTTAGCATAGAATAAGCATGCAATACATTTTAGTTAATAATATTATTACTCTTGGCCCGCTAGTACTCACTCAGCCTATCATTCTTCTAGAGCTCCTAGGACTGGAAGATTGCTTTGTTCTTGCCAATCATTTCCAAGAAAGGGAAGTCCTGCCCTAGAGCCCAAGATAAAAAATTGGGGCCCTTCCTGCCCTCTATCTACCCTTGCTTTTTCATTTTTCTTGTTCCTACGCTATCAGCTCTCCTACTTAACAAGCCTCTGGGAGCTCTTTGTTTTTAAGCATCAGTAACCATTTTGACAGTTCACACTCCCAAAAGCCTCAGTGACCATGAGAATGTCCCTCTAAAAAGGCAAAGCCAGTGATCATGGGCCCAGGAGGGAAGGTCTGAGCCTGGTGGTGCCTAAAATCTGAATGTGGCTGAAAATGTACACCCTGATTCTATTCATGGGTATAATAACATGAATCTAGCCTCGAAAATAATTTTGTTGACTTGGCCAATAATCCTTCTCAATTCAACTGCATCTAATGTCCTGTGTAATTAATGATCTTTCTCCAGCCAGGCGTTTAATGGCTGTCATGTTTGACTACACTTTGACATGTATATCTTCATCATCATTATAAATATTGCATTTTACTACTTTATAAAAAAATTATATGCATAATTAGATTCTGTTTTATTTTATAAAATAACGTTATTTTTCTTTGCAGCAAGAAAAGGAAAACATGGCTAGAAGTGGTGCCTGCTCTATTTTCTTTTTCCATCTTCTGTATACTTGTGTTTATGTTCAAACACATTAAAACTATATGTACATATTGCCTCACTTAGGAAAGCTTGCCAACACATTCTGGCTATATGTTATCTACTATTCAGGAAATCATAACCAAGAGTCTACAACTGAAAATAGCATGCTTTATTTCTATCTTCTAAAAAGATACTCAGGGTTTATATTTCCTCTTCATAGGATACTGTCACTAAATTTTTAGGCTTTGTCATTTTAAGTACAATCAATACCTTGGGGCAGTAATATCTATATTTTATCCATTATCTTCTTGTCTAAAATGTCTTATTAAACAACTGAATGGCTTATTTGCACAGGAGAGCCATTTTGGATAATTTTTAATGCAGATTTCTGTGTAGCTCAAGTCTACCTTCTTCCCAAGGCTTGACTGAAGTTCTCAGGTGATAACTCAGTAGACTTCCTTCTTCCTGTTCCAGCCTAATTTTGTATTCTTCTCTGAGAAGGGGATACAAGATGGGTCCCCAAGAGCTGCAGTCCCCTCTGACTCTGTGGGAGAGATTCACCTATCTACACAATATCTAGGCCAATTCTCTGGTTGGCTGCATAGGCCCAGTCTGAAGAGAGAGCTGGGGTTGGAGTATTTGCTAGTTCAGCTGGGGAGGCATCTGCATCTGGATCCCTGATCCACATGCCATGATTAAACAGGAACCCTCAAAGAATTAAGGTATTACTACAGATGATCTCTCTATTAACCTCCAACCTTTGGGTTTTACAACTTTGTGATTTAAAATGAATGGACTTGAGCTATAAAAGTTACAATATACTCATGGTGAAGAATAGGTCTATAATGCTGGAATGGGAGGCTCTGGTTTCTGGAAAAGTCAATCAGGAAACGACATAGTAGGGATAGAGATGGCAGGAGCTTGAGTGTGGAAAAAGAGAGAAGAGCTTCAAGGCACTTTCCTTTGACATGTTTGAAGGAAACATTGACTGTGTCAGCATTACTTGCCCAGCACAATTGCCAATATACTATTAGGAACACCAGAGACAACAAAAAGAACTCACCTAATGAAAGAATATTGTCTTATTCTAAATCAATCAATCCTTTAATTAAAGACTTCTTGGTCCTATGCAGGTGAATATATCACCATCACGCCAATGCATGTTTTTCTTGTTGTGAGCATCTGTTCTTTGGATATTCCCAGAAATGAAACTTCACGGGACATAAAATCCTGCATCCTTAGGATGTTAGACCTAAGGATATTAGCTAATCATCTAGCTAATCTCCTTTTGCAGGTGAGAGAACAGTTCAAATTGTGAAGCACAGGTGTATCCAGACAGGCCTTACCTCTCCAACAGTGTTTCAGGATTATAATTTTTCATTACCACAAAAAGAGAGGTAGAAAATTACAGGTTTTGAATGTAATCATAATCCTTTAAAAATACCCCTTGCTCTTGATCTCTGAATTATTATACCAGTTCCAATAAGTTAAGGTTGTCATTAAGTTTTAACTTAATCTCGAAAAGAACTAAGAAAGCTACATGATCTCACAAGGAGAAATACATGGAAAATTTTCCAGCTCATTGCCCCTGACTTTTTATACAATTATGCGTTTGTAAATCCTAATTGTACCTCTGCGATCTGTATCAGCACACTCTATTGGAAGTGGCTCTCATTATGATCTCAGACCTAGCACAGAGTTCCTGAAGTACCTACATTTCTAGAAGACATGGAAACTTTCTGAGAGTCAGAAAGTTCTGTGCAATTTCAGATTGGTTCATTAGCATAATTGTTTCAACATTAAAAAGAAAGATTCAGGCAATTTAAGATGTTTATGTAGAAAAATATGTCTATAACTGTCTCCTCGACAACGTAACATGGAAGAACCACTGATTCACTGTCCAGAATCACCTCATCAATAGCAAAAAGTGCTTCCACTTCTTTAACTGTTGCTCACAAGTATTGGCATCCTGCCTATAATTTCTTTCTTGAAGAAATTCTGTTCCATTAATTCTGAAATTCAGGCACTTCCATATACTCACTTAATCTTACACATCCATGCTAATAATGATTATTTACTTAAAAATGAGTTGATGGCTCTAAAGAATGACAGAGGGATCCAGCCATACCGTTTGTAGTAAGTATTCCAATCTTTGACTCAGTGGATTAATCACTACCAGAATGAAACACGATCTCACCCACAATACTGGATAAGGTATAACTAGCAATGATATAATGGTATTCCAGACTTTTGTATAAATTTATTCCATTTCCAGGTTTCTTATATGACTTACTTCCAAATCAGAAGATTATCTCTGCTCAGAATATAAAAGTTGATAGCTTCCCAAGAGAATAGAAACATCAAAGACAGAAAGCCTTACTTTGATCTGGATTCCTCAAGGGTAGGGAAGGGAGGATGAGTTCACCCAAGAATAAAACAAAACTTTACACCATGCAGCCCCCATCTGACTTGTAAAGAAATTTTTCTCTCAGGCCTCATTTATTCACTCTTTCATTCATTTGGCCAACATTTATCGAGCACCTACTATGTGCCAGGTACTAGGCCAACATCAGGAATTCAAAAGCAAATAAGCTATGTTCCTTCTCTCAAGGAGCTCATCATTAATCAGCCATGTTAGCAAATAATTACAGTGCTCCATTCAGGCTGATATCTACAGTAAATGCTTATGTAATTCATGAGCAGATCACACAGATCAACCTTCAACGCTTTCTGTATTTATTGAATTGGTATTAGTATCTCCGCATATCCCCTCAAAGACTCACAATTTCATACTTTGGATGATTCTTTCAATAATGCTTTGCCTTTGACTAAAATAATCAATACCTGACCACAAAGATGCCCAAAGTTATTAACCATGCAATTTCACATCTTTCAGGAATTTAATCCCACACTTGCTTCCTCCTCATACACATATACACACAAAGCATTTGTCTCACAGTGAGTTAATTCCTGAGTGCTTTTTCAGGCTCCCTTGGCCTATAGATACCATTCAATTAGAGTGACAGGCAGTGAGTCCACTTACCACCTGATACCCCAAAACACTTCAGGAACATCAGGTAGGTAACTCTTGACATCAGGAAGACTGACCATTAAACCAAATCCTAGCTATAGGACTGGAGTTTAGAGGCATGAATTTTCTACTTGTACAGATATTACAAGATCAAGAAAATAGTCACTATTATTGAGTCCTCATCATAAGCCAGGCACTGTGTGTTAAGTATTTAGCAGGTATTATTTCATCCTCACAAAAATGAGGTAGATACTGTGTATTAGCCCATTTTCATGCTACCAATAAAGACATACTCGAAACTGGGCAATTTACAAAAGAAAGAGGTTTAATCGGACTTACAGTTTCACATGGCTGGAGAGGCCTCACAAGCACGTTGGAGGGCAAGGAGGAGCAAGTCACATCTTATATGGATAGCTGCAGGCAAAGAGAGAGTTTGTGCAGAGCAACTCCCGTTTTTTAAAACTATCAGATCTCATGAGACCCATTGACTAGCACAAGAACAGTATAGGAAAGACCCACCCACATAATTCAGTCATCCCTCACTGCGTCCCTCCCACAACACATGGGAATTATGGGAGCTACAAGATGACATTTGGGTGGGGACACAGAGCCAAACCATACCATACTGCTATTATCCCCATTTTAGAGATAAAGCAATTGAGGTCAAATAACTTGCTGAAAGCTACATAACAGTAAGTGGTGAGGCCCTGATGGAAAGCCCAGCATGCTGACTTCAAAGCCCACTGATTAGGAGGACATAGTTAAAGAAACTGGAACCCAAGATCTTAGGGTGGCACTATTAGGACATCTGAATGCTGACTTTAACTTTTCATATTTCCTTTGAGGACAAAATTTTCCTTAGATTTTGATGAACACCAAGTGCCATGGCAAAAGTCCATTAACCACACAATTTTGTCTCATCTTAGTAGAGCCTGATTTGCACAGCCAACTGCTTCCAAATTTTACTGTTTCTGCTGTATCACAATGGCTGTTTATAAAGCTTTTCTCTGGTACAGATGTAAAAGACAGTAAGGAGTTCTGAAAGGATCAATAGGACTATAAAAAATAGATTCTCAAGTTTTACCATCTCTGTCTTATGAAGTTAGCCCTTTATTTATTTATTTATTTAGCTATGAGTGAGTACAATGCTGATTGCACCTGAAGAACATTTTATATTCTGTTTCAGAAACTTGTTAATACCTTGCTTATTAATTAGAAAATAGTGTGGGTGCCTTGTATTCGGGCTAGGAAAGAGACTCCCATTGCCCCGAGTCTCCACTAAAACAGAGCACAGAGCCAACCACCTTTAACATCCAAAAATGAGCCTCTTAGACATATCAAAGTAAGTCTAGCTGAGAGCTGTGTAGCAGACAGCCACAGGGCCCCATCATGATTAATGGTGTCAGTATGAAGTCCCATGTCTGTCATCTGGGTGCAATGTTTGTGATGATGGCATATTCCGCCTTTCAATTCTCACTTTCCTCTTAAGGAAGACTGCTCATTTTTATCCTCTGAGCATGTTCCTAACAAGACGGATGTACCATCACACGTTTAAGGAGGAAGAAAAAAGGGCAACTGCAGGAGTTCAAGTAAAAAATGAAAGCTGAATCATTCTCAGTAATATCCCAAATTTATATCCCTTAGTATCACAAACTGAATTACCTCTATAAACATTAGTTTAGAAAAACAACTTTTCACTTACAGCTGCATGGTAAAGAACCACATCACCTCCATACAGGAAGGATCTTATTTTCAATCTAATGTGCCAATGGCAGTTTCCAATAAGAAGAAGCAATTTGCCAGCCTTGCCAATTACAATTTGTCCTTGGCTGAAGATGACAGCAAAGTCTGTGCCTCTGGTTCATTGAAAACATCAGAAAGATATCCCTAATACTCAGTCTGTTTCTCTGTGAAGTTAAGCATTAAGGAGGTGATTAAAATTCAGCTTAATTTTGGTACCAAATCAAAGGAAAGACATTGCTATCTGATGGTAGGAGAGGGTTTCAAAACTATCCAAAGCAGCAATGACATGTATTTACATTCCAAGCCCTGTGGATGACATTGAAGCTTGGTGCCTCCAGTTTCACCCTCGCCAGGAAGTGGCTGTTCTGTATCCCATGGATATAGGGCTAAAGGAGGTATCGACACTTACTGCACACAGATTGATTTAAACATGCAGCTCTTGCCTCACTTAATACCTCTTTTATTAAAAGATGACCCTTGGCCATGAAAGAAAGGTCTGGGAAGAAATGGCTCTTATTGTGACACTGGTTTTCTGTGTAATGATCAGAAAATTATTTTCCCTCATTTTGCCCAAGCTATAATGTTAAGACACATCAGAGAGTTGATTTGTGAGGTTGCTATGATGACAGAATCACATGAAAAAGCAGATTGGAGATATCTGCTGTGTTAATAGGCTTTTAAAGATAAGTAAACCGATGACACCCAAACAATTATCCAAGAAAACACTTTTGAAGTTGGTCTGCCACTATTACATCAATGCAACACTGGATTATTAGTGTGAGGAAGTGGGAGACTTTGCTTGCTAATTAAAGGTAATACTTATGTCCTGACAATGATTTGATGCACAGGAAATTAAGCCTAAATTATCTCCTCTGGTTCAAGCATCAAATAAATGTTTTAGGGAGAGACATGATCTGGTGATTTATTTATTAATTCAATAACCCTTCATTGAATGTCAACTCCATGCCTGATTGGCTTCACTAGAGGCACAAAGGTGAGTAAAACTGGGCTCCTGCCTCAAAGGACTTGCAGAAGACTGAAGGGGGCACACCTGCTCCTCAGCCCTGGCCACTACACTTGCCCTCACTTGGAGGCTCACACTCTTCATGAGCTGCCTGCCCACTTTCCATGCTGATCTCTGTGGGAACACACTCTACTCCATTTTTACCTAATTAACTCCTACTTATCATTCAGATTTTAGCTCTGTGCCTGGCACATGGTATTTGCTCAATAATTATTATTGAATGAATGACTAAATGAACAAAACATCATAATACAATACAAGAAGTTCTCAGATACAGGAGGAAGCAAACAGCTCTTGGGCGCTGGGACCATGTTAAGGATATCAAGGAAGGCTTCACAAAGGGCATTTGAGCTCGTGGTATTTGAGATAGATTTTGAATGGAATTGAAGGGTAAATAAGGGCAACATGAAGAGAGGGTTACAAAGTGGTGAGAAAAAAGGAAAACTTATACTAAACAAAGGGAACATCATCTGCAAAGGCATGAAGGTATAAATGAGAATGAAGTGTTGGACAAACAGCAAGTTTAGGGTGACTAAAACATAGAGCACATTGAGAACAGTTTAAACTGGAAAGTATGTATGAACTCTATGTTGAAGGCCTTAGATGCCATAGTTAAAAGTACTGATTTTTTTCCTAAGGTGATGGGAAGTCTTTGAAGGCTTATACATAGGTGTATCTATTGAGATTCAGAGGCAAAGTAAGTGAAAAACAGTAACCACTCTAGCTTAAGGAGAAAAAGAAGAATTTATTAAAGAATATTAAGTAGTTCAGAGACACTCTGGCAGAGACTGTGAGTCCAGACTTAGAGACTCCAGCAAAGACCACTGAGCACATACTCTAGCGGTCACATCAAGACCCTGGGCACTAGGCAGCAAAACCTCCCCCAGTACTCTAAGAAAGCCATTCCTGTCACCCTCAACAGAAATGAATTCCACACAGCACCTCCTTCCTCCCATTGCTTTTTGTCTAATCATAGTCATGCTTATATTCTTCTGATTGGCCCAGGTCGTATGCCAGCACCATAGCTGCAAGGGAGACTGGAAAGTGAATTTCTAGCTTCTATCTAGGAAACCCTGATGTGAGAAATTCCAAGCACAGAAAAGGTATTTCAAAGAAGCTAAAAGGCTACAAATCATAGAAACTATCCACTGCCACATGGAAGATGCATAATCAAGTTGACATCATAAAAAGATTCATTTGGTAGCATTATTGAAAATGGATTGGAGAAGAGGAGAGTTGGGAGACAAGGGGATCAATTTAGAAGGTTAGAGCAGGCAAAAGACGAAAAGAACATAGACTTTAGTGCTGACTGTGGACACAGAAGAGTGAACACAGAACAAGGATATAAGATCTAGGAAGCAAGAACCTGGTCTGTCTTTTCACTTCTGGAACAACAGCACATAGCAGGTGTTCAATAATTTTTGCTTTTATTGTTAAAGAGTAATTTACATACAATAAAATTCACCTTGTTTGTGAATTTTGAAAATTGTATATCATAATGTAACCACTACCACCATCAAGATATAGAACAGTTCCATCACCCCCTAAATTTCTTCATGTTGCCCTTTCATAGTCAATCTCACAACTCCAGCCCCTGGCAACCACATACACACAGTATGTAACCTTTCGAGTCTGGCTTCTTTCATTTATCATAGTGTGTTTGAAGTTCATCCTTATTGTGGTTGTATCAGTACTGTGGTACATTTCTGTTTTTTCCTTAGTAATATTCCGTGGTACAAATATACCAGCATTTATCCAGGCCCCAGTGGAAAGATATTAGAGTTGTTTCTAGTTTGATGGAAAATAAATCATCCATATGTTTGTTCCAAAATAATTTTTATTTCATTTGGGCAAATACCTAAGAATAGAAGCACTGGGTCATATTATCAGCATATGATTAACTTAATAAGTCAATTATCAGCATATGATTAACTTAATAAGTTAATAAGTTACTGGAAACTGTTTTCCAAAAGCAATGTATTAGAGTTTAAGTTACTCTGCATCCTTTCATGTACTTGAGATTGTCATTTTTTAAAGTTATTCCAATAGGTATCCAGTAGTACCTCATTATGGTTTTAGTTTGCATAATAGGTATCCAGCAGTACCTCATTATGGTTTTAGTTTGCATAATAGGTATCCAGCAGTACCTCATTATGGTTTTAGTCTGCATTTCCCTGAAGACTAGTCATGTTAAACATCTTTTCATATTCTTATTTATATTTGATTGATCTTTTTTGATAAGATGTTCAAATATCTTGCCGTAACTGTTAAATAAATATTTGATGAATTTATAAGCAAACTTACACTAAAGATATTTAGAAAAATAAAGTTACCTCCACCTGAAATAATTGGACATTGCTAGGGAAAGGGAAAGGATGGAGTCGAGGAGCACACCACACTTTTAAGTGAATATTGATTAAGAGAGTTTAGCCAAAGGATTTAGAAAGCATAACCAAAGATGGCTGTTCCTGAGCCTAATTAATTATTACAATTCAATAGTTTGCACCCAAACCTAAAATGCATAGAACTGGATAGCTTACTAATGCTTCCTAGAAATTTTCTGCATTTGTAAAAACAGATAAACTTCAATTAGTTTTTACCTCCTTCTTCTAAAATAAATAAGTCTTGATAGCCAATCCCATATCATTCACCAGGAAATGCTAGCAGTGGCTCAGTGTTTGCTCTACCAAAGAGTACTAAATAAAATATTCAATCACGAGAAAGAGAAATGTAAAACTGCAAGCTGTAGGCCCCAGAAGCTAATTAAATGGTTGGTCCTTTGTAATCACCTTCTCTACAGTGAAGGAAGCTGAATAGCAAGGTCAAGAGATTAGACTTTGCTGCCTTCTGAGTCATTGAAGAACCACAGGATCTTGGACAGTAGGGAATAGCTAATAGCTGACGGAAGAAGAGTTGCTTTCTTTGCCTAGGACTTCCAGATTATAAAAATAACACTGTAGGTTGCATCTGAGCCAGGCCAGCACTCCACTGGGTCTCTTGCTGCAGCTGGGAATGACGATTGCTGCATGGCCAGAGCAGCTGACAGTCGAGGGAAGCTGGAGCCAAAGAGTAGACATGGGCCCGCCAGCATATTTGGAAGCTTCATGAAAGATGAACTAATCTTGTTCTCCATTTAAACAGTTATAGTAGAACAGTAGACATCAAGACAAATTGAAAGAAGAAAATAAAATATGGAATACATATCATAGTGTTACTGTGAAGTAAAAACATTAGCTGAAAAAAAGTGCACTGTCCCTTGAATCAGCCCAAGCAATATTATGAAAAGGCCAGGCTAGGGGGTGTGAATTTTCTCCATCCTCTATTGAATCTTCCACTGGAGTAAAACAACAGTGTGGAGACCTCAAAGATCACTGATTTCAGCCCTCACTTCCTCAATAATATGTGTGATAGAAGGGTATAAGAGAGTTTATGACTCCCCCATGCACAGGAAATTATTTGGTAGCATTACAAGTTAGAACTTGGATCTGGTGATTTGCCACTCAGTCACTCTGCCAAAAATGTCAGCGAGAAAGAATGCAGCCCCAGTATGGGGTCTGTAACTACACACTTCCAAAATTTTGTATAGGGTTTTTGATAAAGCCTTTGCTTTATCCTACCCCTTTCTCTGCTCTTAAAAAATAAATAAGTTACCAGAGAACTTACCATTTAATAATTTTTAAACACATGTTATACTTAATATAAAAAAACACTCTATTTAATGTAAAGCTAAGAGGGATGAAAGAGAAGAAACAAAATTAATAGAAGAGAATTTCCATAGCATGGTCTTGTGGGAATGGCTGTATCTGGAGTTAGGTGTTAGTCCATGAACTCGGGAAATACTCCTGGGGTTCTGTTTGTTACTAAAATGAACATGTTAATGCTTTCCTATTAGGGATGTTGTTGGCTTCTCCAGATCTCCAGGATTGTGCACATTCTAGGTCACACTGTTGCAGGACTTTTCCTTAATTCAGTTAAAGATGGGGTGCTTTGTCCCACAGCCATGAAAATTCAGGCTCACAGACAATTTGAATGATGAGTGAGACAGGGTTTTATTGGGTGAAGAGGAAGAAAAGGGGGAAACAGGGACTCTTGCTAGGTCAGAGTCCCTTCTAGAGCACTTCACACCCACTGTTCAAATCCCAGGCTCCACACAGGAAGAGGAGGAGCCAGACTCCTCCCTACTACAAACATCGTAAACTTCATAAGGCTCCACCTCAGTGGGCAAGCTGGCTGGAGTTTCTCTGAGGACCCCCTCCCACCTGGCTGTCTCAGTACTGCCTGGTCATAAAATCAGAAGCCACAGAAGAGAAATCTCCCTCTTCCTGGAGGACCTATTTAGTTCTGCATTAAATAATTTTAATTATTAATTTTGTATTCAAATAAAAACACAGATAATAGAAAAGAATGCAAAATTTTAAGAAATTTAATGTAAATTACACGATTTTCAAAAAATTGAAGGTCGTGGCAAGTTCCTTTGCCTGTGCCTTCAAATATATTTTCTCTACTTCACAAACACAAATGAAAACAAAACTCACACTCCTGAGAAGTGGCAGTTATTCAGTGAAAAGAGTTTTAGAAAGGAAACATTTTGCTTGTCTTTAATACAGTTTCTTTCTTTCCTCTGTCAAATTGTTTCTAAGGTGGGAAACTACATGTGCGTGCTTGACACAACTTGAAAACAATACAAAACAACAAATCACAATTGCAAAATCATACAACACAAATGGAATCACAGTCCATAAGGGAGGCCATGAAAGAGAGAGTGCATGTGGTGGACATATTAAGCTGATATGCAGACCTGGTAAGTTTCCAAAATGTTCTGGGACTAAATCAGGGACAGGAATACACAGAGGGAAGCCCATACTTGGTCGAGGTTGGTTCACAGCAGAAATGACAGTGTAAAGATCAATAACAGTCCCTTGTTACTGAGAGGGCACCGTTTTCACATTCAGAAGGGCTTGTCCCTGGACTACATAACTGCCCAGTTATTTTTCTTCGGTAAATCAAAGCTATCAATTACAGCCTCCTAGAGCAGCTACTCCAGCTGCTGTAGGATAGACAGGGCTGAAAAGGAAAATCATTGACTGTGCATAGCTCTTTCTGGACTTGTCTCCTGCCAGGGATGGTGTCAGACAAGTGCTGAAGGCACTGTTTGTTTCCTGCCCCAATGCTGAGCTCAGACCACAACCGAATCCAGAGCCTGCCATTTATCACTTGACCACGTACATCTGAACCTGCAAGACCCTCGCACAGCCTTCACTGAGGTGTGAAAACTGACAGTTTCCTTCTCCTGCCACTGGTTCTGCAGTAATTAAAGCTTTTTTGCTATCGCACTCCTATTAGTCTCTTGGTTTTAAAGATGCTGCTAACACAGTTAAGTGTGTATTACCAAACTCTGAATTAAAGTGCTTTTACAAGCCACAAGAAAACCAGATTAAGCTAGCAATTTTTATAAGAAAATGTCTTAGTAAAAGGTTTTTACAATGGCTTTTTGAGCAGAAGTTTGAATTATT
Source organism: Homo sapiens (assembly GCF_000001405.40). NCBI lineage: Eukaryota > Metazoa > Chordata > Mammalia > Primates > Hominidae > Homo > Homo sapiens. The sequence continues at coordinate 178,457,487 of NC_000003.12, forward strand.
TACAGACAGTAATGATTTTCAGAAATCATTTGTTCAGATAGTAACTATTGATTGCTACTTTGAGCTAGGCACTGTTCTAACCTATACACTAACACTATTTGATAGTTGTGCACATGGATTAAACTTAAAAGAATTGTTTAAAAGTAAATGATTAATACATGCTTGTAAAAAATAAGTTAAAAAATACTCGAGGACAAAATGAAAAGCAAATGCCTTTCCCATGACCACCATTCCCATCCTACTATTAATAATTTGTTAATTCTCCAGTCATTTTTCTCTCTGTGTACAATGTGTGTGTGTGTGTGTGTATTTAAATATAAACTGTTTAATAGTGTTTTTGCTTTTGAAAAAATGTCATAATGCGATAAATACAGTTCTTTGACATAACTTTTTAATTCAGTAATGTATTGTGGACATTCCTCCATGAATCATACATATCTTTTTTATTCTTTTAACAGCTATATAATGTCATACAAAATTAACCTACCTTATTTCCCCTATCAATGAATATTAAGTTTTTTTCCAACTTTTCCCCATTACAACAAGTTAGTTATCCATGAGCACCCTTGTATTTATATCCTTGTGTATTTGGGATCGCAATTCCTCATACCCCTGTCAGTATTGGAGATTACCAATCCTATTAAATTTTTGCCAGTCTAAATCTTTTTTAAATGCATCAGTTAAGAAGTTTATTTTGTTTTTGATGTAAGAGATGGGGTCTCATTCTGTTGCTCTGGATGGAGTGCAGTGGCAGGTGTGCAAGTGTTCACTGCAATCTTGAACTCCTGGACTCAAACAATCCTCCCATCTCAGCCGTAAGAAGCATTTTTAGTGTCTTCAATAACATTTCCCAATCACTATGAAAATTGAACATTCTTTCATTTGCTGGCCATTTTCACATGTGTGTTCTACAAATTGCCAATCCATATCATGTTCTTGGCTCCTCCACGAGGCTGAGCTCCAAAACACAATGCTTTATCTTTTCATATTTGTTTGTAGAAGCTTTTCATAGAGATATCTGTACTTAGTCTTCCGTATATCTTTTGCAAGTCAGGTTTTTTTTTCCTATTTGTTTTCTTCTGTCTTCCATGTTGCATATTTCCAGTAAGACCTGTTCTCACTTGACTGTTCTTATTTAAAAGTGAAGCATTTAAATACAGATTTAAAACTCTGGGTGCAGAGATGGGACTTGCCAAACAGCGGACTTCATTGAGAGGTCTGATGGAAAACTGATTCTTCCTTGAGGGACCCCAACATATTATTATCTATAAGTCTTTTCCCTGAAAGTCCCCAGTTTTTGCAGAAAACAATCTGCTTCTGCCTGAGAGAATTGGTGAGGTGGAAGCTTTTCACAGATATTCTGGAAGGCTGTCAAGGGAAGTGAGCTTGGGATTTCACTTTTCAACATTCAGACTTTTAACTAATTCCTCTGTTTCATTATGCCCGCCTGTTCTCTAAGTTAAAAAGATCTCTGGTCAAATTTCCCCAGAGTATAAGTAAGCCCATCGTCCCCTGCTGGGAAGATGGCATTCACCTGGTTTCATAGAGTAGAGGTGGGGAGTGGGGGGTCTAACTACCCCTAGAGCCTTTTAATCAAATGTCTCATCCCTTACTCTAGTGCTCTATGGTCCCTAGTGCCTCTATTCCTGAATCATTATGATGCTTTTTGATGAATGACTGTGCTTGTCATGGATATCCAATTCCGAAAGTACTCCATTTTTGCAATTCTTCCAGCTGTCTGCTTTCCATCTTCTAAACTTATTAAAATCTCATGTCCACTATTGTTTCCTCTTTTGTTTTATTTGTCCTCATGGGTTTATGCTTTCAAATGTTTTTTTACTATTGCTTTAGTGGAATGAAGGATGGGAAAAAGATAAAGTTCTGAGTCCAGTGGCTCCTGTCAGTCTTTCCTAAGACTTGTCTCAACTGCAGAGATTCCTGTGAGTGTCTGTCAAGCAGAAATCATCAGCAGTTCTCTTTTGGTTTATATATCACATTAACTTATGTGACAAATTTTCCTAAGTGATCCTTATAATTGGACAGAAAAATGTTGGGATCAATAGAAAAAGCCCTGAACTAGAAATCAGGAAATAGGCTTCAGTCCTGATCCTGCTATGAATTAGCTCATTTTCATGGAGAAATCACTGCACCTCTTAGAGGTTCAGCTTGTTGTTGGTGGTGGTGGTGTTTTCATCAGTAAAATGAGAGGGTTTAACTGCAGGAGCACTAATGTTTGTTCCTTAATTTATAAAGTGATGGTTCTTTGAATGAAGATGTTGAGACTTGTAGCAGGATAATTCTGGATCATGGGGCATGTCTGAAAGATGGAAGTAACTCACAGAATGCTGCAGCCTAAGATGCTGAAGTGGCTATGCTGTCTGGGGTGTATACCAGGGGTTGGTAGTCTGGCACCAGGAAAATTTAGGACACGGACGCACACAAGGAATTTAGGAGCAGAGGTTTAATAGGCAGAAGAAAAGAGAAAGAAAAACAGCTCTCTCTCTATAGAGGGGTCTCCCGAGTGCAAAGACTGGCTGGTAGTAGATGTGCCGGATTTTATAGTCCAGCTTGAGATGATGGTGTCTGATTTACATAGAGTCCACAGATTGGTTTGATCAGGTGTGACATTTACATAGTGTGTGGGGAAGGTTGGTCAACCCACCCTAATCTTATTATGCAAATGAACTCTCTGTTTGGCCTGCACCATCTTATCTGCTCCTTACTGTGCAAGTGGCTGACAGAGAAGGGAAGATGGAGCCGCCATCTTGAGGATGTCTAGTCCCTAGTTGCTGGTGGCATTCATTCGTGCAAGCTCCTGGCTTGCTTGTATATGTCTGCAGGTCGACTTTACAGGCTGTTCTTTGTGAGAAAATTATCTGGGGCTGCTTTTCATTAAAAAGAAAAGCCTTACTGAGGACTCCCATACTCTTACTATCTGCCTAAGTGATTGCTTCTTAACTCCTATACCAATGCCACTTCATGAAGAGGCAACATAGTGCAGAAGAATTTGGAGATTTGGAATCAGAGACCCTGTGTTCAAATCCACAACACATAAATATATTTGAGTAACAGCTGTGTAACTCCAGAGAGCCTCATTTTTCTCACCTGTAAAATGTAATTTAAAACACTTATTTTACAGGATTTGTGCTTTTCTGTTTTTAGGGTGCTTTTGATCATTGTAATCTGGAATTTTCTGTACAGACACTCTGAACAACTTTTCTGGAACACTCATGAAATGCATGATTCTCTCTGATGCATGATCTGATGCACAAGAACCCAACATAACTCAGGGTGGGACTTGGCTATAAGGTATTGATATGGTTTGACTGTGTCCCCACCCAAATCTCAACTTGAAATGTATCTCCCAAAATTTCCACGTGTTGTGGGACGGACCCAGCAGGATGTAATTGAATCATAGGGGCTGGTCTTTCCCGTGCTATTCTTGTGTTAGTGAATAAGTCTCACGAGATCTGATGGGTTTATAAGGGGTTCCTGCTTTTGTTTCTCTCTCATTTTCTCTTGCCACTGACATATAAGAAGTGCCTTTCACCTCCTAACCTTGATTCTGAGGCCTCCCCAACCATGTGGAACTGTAAATCCAACCAAACCTCTTTTTCTTACCAGTCTCTGGTATGTCTCTATCAGTAGCATGAAAAAGGACTAATACAGTAAATTGGTACCAGTAGAGTGGGGCATTGCTGAAAAAATACCCGAAAATATGGAAGTGACTTTGGGTAACAGGCAGTGGTTGGAACAGTTTGGAGGTCTCAGAAGAAGACAGGAAAATGTGGGAAAGTTTGGAACTTCCTAGAGACTTGTTGAATGGCTTTGACAAAAATGCTGATAGTGATAGGAACAATAAGGTCCATGCTGAGGTGGTCACAGATGAGGAACTTGTTGGGAACTGGAACAAAGGTGACTCTTGTTATGTTTAGCAAAGAGACTGGCAGCATTTTGCCCCTGCCCTAGAGATTTGTGGAACTTTGAACTTGAAAGAGATGATTTAGGGTATCTGGTGGAAAAAAATTTCTAAGCAGCAAAGCGTTCAAGAGGTGACTTGGGTGCTGTTAAAGACATTCAGTTTTATAAGGGAAGCAAAGGATAAATGTTTGGAAAATTTGCAGCCTGACTATGCGATAGAAAAGGAAAACCCATTTTCTGGGGAGAAATTCAAGCCAGCTGCAGAAATTTGCATAAGTAGCAAGGAGCCTAATGTTAATCTCCAAGACCATGGGGATTGTCTCCAGGTCATGTCAGAGACCTTCACAGCAGCCCCTCCCATCACAGGCCCAGAGGAAACAGGAGGAAAAAGTGGTTTCATGGGCTGGGTCCTGGGTCCCCGTGCTGTGTGCAGCCTAGGGACTTGGTGCCCTGTGTCCCAACAGCTCTAACCATGGCTGAAAGGGGCCAATGTACAGCTCAGGCTGTGGCTTTAGAGGGTGGAAGCCCCAAACCTTGGCAGCTTCCACGTGGTGTTGAGCCTGAGAGTGCACAGAAGTCAAGAATTGAGGTTTGGGAACCTCCACCTAGATTTCAGAAGATGTATGGAAATGCCTGGATGCCCAGGCAAAACTTTGCTGCAAGAGTGGGGCCCTCATGGAGAACATCTGCTAGGGCAATGCAGAAGGGAAATGTGGGGTCAGAGCCCCCACACAGAACACCTACTGGGGCACTGCCTTGTGGAGCTGTGAGAAGAGGGCCACCATCCTTCAGACCCCAGAATGGTAGATCCACTGACAGCTTACACCATGTACCTGGAAAAGCCACAGACACTCAGTGCCAGCCTGTGAAAGCAGCCAGGAGGGAGGCTGTACCTTGCAAAGCCACAGGGGTGGAGCTGCCCAAAACCATGGGACCCCACCTCATGCGTCAGTGTGACCTGGATGTGAGACCTGGAGTCAAAAGATATCATTTTGAAGCTTTTAAATTTGACTGCCCAATGGATTTTGGACTTGCATGGGCCCTGTAACTCCTTTGTTTCGGCCAATTTCTCCCATTTGAAACAGCTGTATTTACCCAATACCTGCACCCCCATTATGTCTAGGAAATAACGAGCTTGTTTTTGATTTTACAGGCTCATAGGTGAAAGGGACTTGCCTTTTCTCAGATGAGACTTTGGACTATGAACTTTTGGGATTAATGTTGAAATGAGTTAAGACTTGGGGGACTGTTGGGAAGGCATGCTTGGTTTTGAAATGTGACGACATGAGATTTGGAGGGGCCGGGGGTGGAATGATATGGTTTGGCTGTGTCCCCACCCAAATCTCAACTTGAATTGTATCCCCAGAATTCCCACATGTTGTGGGAGGGACCCAGGGGGAGGTAACTGAATCATGGGGGCCAGTCTTTCCCGTGCTATTCTTGCGATAGTGAATAAGTCTCACAAGATCTGATGGGTTCATAAGGAGCTTCTGTTTTTGTTTCTCTCACATTTTCTCTTGCCACTGCCATGTAAGCAGTGTCTTTTGCCTCCAACCATGATTCTGAGGCCTCCCCAACCATGTGGAACTGTAAGTTCAATTAAACCTCTTTTCTTCCCAGTCTTGGGAATGTCTTTATCAGCAACATGCAAACGGACTAATACAGGTATGCTAAAATTGTTTAAAATGTTTGTGTTGTGGGAAAATGTGGAGAGAGACTGCATATTGATGAGTCTGGAGCTAATATATTGCATTGGAACGTGGAGCTACCCTCTGAGGGTCGGCATCCAGTTTTGGTCAATCTGAGGGGTCTGCTATCAGCATTAAAAGGTCCAATTCAGTTGGCAGGGCACAACCGCAGAGGTGCAGACAATGCATGAGCCTTGAAATCAGGCAGCAGAGGGTGCAAAGACTGTGAGTAGACTGAGCTATTCAGAGCAGAACCAGTCCTGCTCCAAATCTGGTGACTAGGGATTTAAAAAAGTCATCTCTGAAAAGAGAGACAAGACAGAAGGCCAAGTCTCAGCCAAGTGGGCTGAGGCTGTGAGGACAGCTTTGTGGTTACAGCAGGAACTTAGATATCCAACTTAAAAATATATACAGTACTGAGGCAGAGGAGCAGCTAGTCAGGATGCGCTCACATGGCTGGGTCAAGAAAACACCATGGCACGATATGCTTGCACATGTCCAGAGCTCCCATCAGTGGCCATGCAGCCAAAATTAAACCCAGCTTCCTTCTACTTCCATGTACAGTCTGCCTTACCCTAGAATGGTCCCAGAGTTGTACAAAGCTATACCTGCAACGATCTCAGTTGAGCTAGGCTTGAGGAGACAAAATGCAGGCATAACCATTATACCCACGTTGACTTTGCAGCTCAAACAGAGCACAGACAACAGTTAACTGCATTTTAGCAAAAAGTCAGGGAGGACACTGAAAGGAGTGTAACTGTTACAGGTGTTGCACAATGGACTTAAAAGAAGGAAAAATTGTTCAGGGAGAACAGCTTCATGCCTATCCTGGTAATTCTCTTCTCCAAAAGGGGAGTGGCTGGGAGAAGAAAAGAGCTAGATGAATGTGTTAAATATCAAAATTTCAAAATATGAAATTAAGATAATTTCTTGGAAGAGTGTGATCTAAGGCATGTGAATTCCATGAGACTGAACAAAGAAGCAACCAGTCTGTCTGGGACTTTATCACTGACTCTGAATGTTTGGTTTGCTGAGTACCAGGCTTTCAATAGAGACAGAAAAGAGCAATATTTTAAAAAGAAATTTTATTTAAATGTTGGTAATCAAGTTTATTAACATTCTCAAAGCTCATTTGAAAATGAAATTTCAAAGAACTGCCTCTGTTTCAATTACTCAAGCTGATGGGTCCATTTTTGATGTGTCATTTCTGATGGCTTAGGCCAGTCAACTTGCAGAAGATTATAAGTGTCACACAGCACAGCATTAGTAATGTCACTGAACAGGGCATACATATCAGTGATGACTGTACCAGAGAAGCTGTTTAATGGAAGACATATGCACCTAAATATGGATTTCTCACCTTTGATTCTTTGTCTAGAACTTCATTTTCTCTCAGTTGTGATTTTTCTCATATCTTCTATCTTGGCATCTTGAATGCCTTTCCTGTGTGTTTTACCTTCAGTTTGCCCATTCCCCAGAGAGAATTGATTAGTGAAAAAGCTTTTTTCCTAGCTTACCTTGCTCAGCCTCAATATGAACACTGCAGGAGAAGAAGACACACATGAATGGCTTGGCTTACCTTGTTGAAATTTAAAAAGTACTCATATAGTATGACTGAAGTTTCCAGGGCTTTTACTGCTGAACCTGTTTCACTTGAGGTTCTTTTCCTTTAAACAGTGAATATTGAGTCAACTACCTTAAAAAAAGTATAAAGGTATGATATGGGGTAACCCACAGTACAGAGTGGAAAACTGAAGAACCAGTCTTTGAAACAGGCAAAACTCAAATATCTCTTGAAATCTACATGGTAGGGATAAATCGCTGTCATTGGGACTCCATCATTTTTGGGTGTTATGTTTTCTGCTTTGTGTGCTAATTCCAAGGAGAGAGGGCTTGTGTGCCTAGTTGGGTCTTTTTCCCACGTTTCAGCTAAAGGAAAAAAAGAGCTGCTTTATTAATCATCCCACTAGCCTATACTCGTTGGAGAAGAAGTGATTCCCTTCACTTGCATTGGAAAGTGAAGAGGAAGAGCTGCTTGGTCTGCAAGCCCCCAGATATCCACTGCAGCCCTGAAGGAGCTGGTTGCCATGAAGCTAGATCTGAGCAGTAGAGATAGCATGGTAAATAAAACACTGTGCCAGAATTTCAGTAGTGTTGGGAGACCACTAAATGGGAGAACCTGGGGATGAGTGCCAGGTCACTAAAAACAAAGTCAAAGGGACCTACAACCAGCCAGTATAGCAGAGAGGTTAAGAACTTAGGCAGCAAGTTCAGAGCAACATGGCTGCATAGCTTAACCTTTCTAATTATGTTTCCTCATCTGTATAATGAGGATAAAAATAACACTTCCTTTGAGAACATTGCTGTGAGAGATGCATGATGTAATGCCCGTGAGGGGCTTAGTGTAGCACCTAACACTTAGTAAGCATTGATATATGTTCTCCTTCTTGAGATAGACCCAAGATTGTCAAGTGTACATTTCTTCATATGGCTTATTCCTTTCAGATTCCCATGCTCTGCCTCTATTATCTGGGAGAGTTTTCTGCCTGAAGGAAGTGTGTTCAGAAGCCTATGTTCAGAAGGCTCTGTTAGACATTTGCATGACTCAGGGTGGAGTACAAAACAAAAACAAAATAGTTCCCTTTTACCCATCTATACTCAACCTGACCTTTGTCATGCTGAGCATATTTCCCTCCTATATGTTACTCTGTACCTCAAGGGACCATATAGAATGAAAGTTTGACAAAGGTAGGAAGAGGAGAAGAGAAGAAAAGTGAATGAAACCGGGAATAAAATGTATGATGAAACTCTGAGAGTCTACCTATTCTTAGAAGCCAAGAGTGAACTGAACCTACTCAAGAGCTCCTCCTCACCTGCAGCCCTCATGTTCAGCACACCATAACCAGGACTGTTTAATGGGCAATGCTCATCTGAGGCATCCATCTTGTAGGGTTATATACAAAGAACCCAAACAAATGTAGCTTCTCAGCTATCCAGTTTCAACCAAAGAACTCCAGAGAAATGCTCAGTTCCTCAGTCCCATTTAGTTTCAAGCAATTAGAATTCCATTTCTGCAGATTAGAGAGTTGCTAACAACTTTCTCTTCTCCAAAGGCCATTTAGAATTTTAGGAGGTTGTACCTTTACCAGGTCAATACCAGTTGGAGCTGGTACTGAGATCTGCAGATATTGGAGTCACAGACATTGCATTGACTCCTGGTCTTCCATCTGATCTCATCCAGAAACATCACTTTGCCTTGTGTCTAGCAGTTCCTACATTCTTTTAAGACTGCTGTAAAATTTAGCTTGTTAATTGTGTTATATGGTACTGTAAAAATATCTGGGGAGAAAGTTCACAGTAATGCTTGTCTAAAACCCAAAGAATATAAAGCATTATTATTGGCAGAGGAGATACAATTATAGTGACATTGAATTCAGCAGATAGTATGTTTTTCATAGTCTAGGGAGACAGAATAATCTTAGGCTTTACGAAATTTTAATTAAATGAACATATAGGCTCAAATAATATATAGCAGACACAAGACATACAGATTTTCAATTAATCTCCAGTGAATTTTCTGTTCTTGAGGTGCCAAAAAGAGAAATACCTGGCAGATGGGCCATCTATGCAACACATTATGCTGATGCCCTCACATTGCTTTGCCTTCTGCAGGAAAGATGAATCTGAAACTTCAGTTGTATGATATAACTGAATACTATATATATAATATTCAGTTAGTATATATATATAGTATATATATAGTATTCAGTTATATATGATATGTATATATAGTATTCAGTTTTATCATATTACATATGATATATATGTCTCATATGTATGAGATACATATATCTGAGATATATAAATAAATATATATTTATATATTTATATTTAGGACTCTCTTGAATATATATATATATATATATATATGAGGAGGAACTCTTGAGTAGGTTTAGTTTGCTCTTGGCTTCTAAGAATATGTAGACTCTCAGAGTTTCATATATATATATGAGATATATATATCAATATATATATTCAAGAGAGTCCTAAATATAAAACAATTTTTAGACCTAAGTACCTTGAAATGTCCAGGATTTAATTTATAAATTAAATTCATAATGACTTTGCCATTTGGGCACACTATTGATAACCTGTTTCATAGACTATCTTTTATTGCTAAATTACAGAAATCAACAATTATATCAGGATGGGTCCATGAAGGGGGATCAACTCCATTGCTAAGGAGAAAATGAAATTTATCCCAAGTCAACTTCAAGTCATCTCCCTGAAATTGTTCAATAGGCATTCTTAAATAATTAATTGGACATCATGAAGACATCCTAGTCTACATAGCAATGAAGACAACTTTGATAACAGTAAAGATGCTACCGCACATCATTAATCTTACTGTTCAAAGATGAAAGGTGCATCCATGTGTCTGCTGCCAAATAGAAGTTTATGAGAAAAGCATCCAGATAATTGACTAAAATTTTCACATTTTTTGCTCTAACATTTTGGCACCAGGAAGATAGCCTCACATGACACACTCTGCAACTGCAACATCCCTGCCTCAATTCCAAAAGCATTTTGTGAGTGACGTGTGAGGTCCCGCAGAAAACACTGAGATAACTGAGAATACTTCAGACTCCAGAGAGATGAAAGTCTGGTAGAATACAGTAGACACATTGGTAAGCCACTATACTATAACTGGAAGGAAGTGGTCCCATAAAGAAATGATGACATGGAAAAGAGAAAGGGGGCAGGTGTGTAGAGAATGTGATGTCCCTGGAATTGTGCAGTGCAGGGGCCTTGAGAGTAGCAGGTCCAAGACTTTGAGCTAGAAGACTTGAGTTTGAGTCCCAAACTGGACATGCATGACATGGGCAAGTCACTCAACATGTCTAGATCTTCCTGTCCTCCTCTGTAAAGTGGAAGTAATTGCTCTTCACAGGGTTGCTGAAAATTTAGATAATGTATGTCAACCCAGTATTACTTGAAGTGCAGGGAGATGAGTTTCCAAGGTGGAATTTATTGGCCATTTAAAGCATCATTTAGTAATTATTACTGGTTTAATTTTGAAAGCAGTTTTAAAAGGCCTCTAGAAATATTGATGCATGCTAAATAAACAAACATTTAAAATGTGTTTGTTTACAGTAAAATGTAAAGAAAGAGATTTAAGTGTAAAATGGCAATGTAATTCTGTTTAATAATTTATACTTTATGGTCTGGTTTTAATATATTCAAATACAAGATATTGGATGACATAAAAGTAATAGTATTACTTCATTTGGATGATTAATGCAGCATTAACTTCTTTCTTTTACACCCCCACCTAATGTGCTCATGTATGTACATATTCCATCCTGGGAATAATTATTATTGATGAGGTGTTTGCTCATGGATAATTTTTAACAACTTTGTAAATCTTTTCAGTTCAAATGTCACTTTATATTGAAAGATTAGTTTTTGATTAAATAAACATGTAACTTTAAGTGTTGCAGTCTCCACTGAGATTAAAGTTAATCGAATAACATTAGACTGAATTTATAAAATACTGCAACAAAAATAGAAGTTTCCAGATCCCTTTGAGAATGGAGAGTTAAATATGCAAAGCAATTCATATGAAGTACCTAGAACAGTCAAATTCTTAGAGACAAAAACTAGAATGGTGATTGTCAGGGGTTGGGGGAGGGGGAATGAGGAATAATTGTTTAATGGGCACATAATTTCAGTTTGAATGATGAAATGGAGACAAATAGTGGTGATTGTGGCACATCAATATGAATGTACTTAATGTCATGGAACTGTAAACTTAGAAACAAGATGGTAAATTTTATGTTATGCATATAGTACCATAGTTAAAAACTGTAACTTAAAAATTTGCAAATCAACCTTTTTTTTTTCTTGAGACAGAGTCTCGCTCTGTCACCAGGCTAGAGTGCAGTGGCATGACCTTGGCTCACTGCAACCTCCGCCTCCCGGGTTCAAGCAATTCTTCTGCCTCAGCCTCCTGAGCAGCTGGAACTACAGGCACGTGCCACCATCACCTAATTTTTGTATTTTTAGTAGAAACAGGGTTTCACCATGTTGACCAGGATGGTCTCGATCTCTTGACCTCACGATCCCCCCACCTAGATTTCTTTTATTATATTATTATTATTAATTTTTTACCTTAAGTCCTGGGATACATGTGCAGAACATGCAGGTTTGTTACATAAGTGTACATATGCCATGGTGGTTTGCTGCACCTATCAACCCTTCATGCAGATTTTAAACCCCATATGCATTAGGTATTTGTCCTAATGCTCTCCCTCCCCTTTCCCCCAACTCCCTGACAGGCCCCGGTGTGTAATGTCCCCCTCCCTGTGTCCATGTGTTCTCATTGTTCAACTCCCACTTATCAGTGAGAACATGCGGTGTTTGGTCTCCTGTTCCTGTGTTACTTTGCTGAGAATGATGGTTTCCAGCTTCATCCATGTCCCTGCAAAGGACATGAACTCATTCTTTTTTATGAGTGCATAGTATCCCATGGTGTACATGTGCCACATTTTCTTTATCCAGCCTATTACTGATGGGCATTTGGGTTTGTTCCATCTTTGCTATTTTAAATAGTGCTGCAATAAACATACATGTGCATCCATTTTATAGTAGAATGACTTATCATCTTTTGGGTATATACTCAATAATAGGATTTCTGGGTCAAATGGTATTTCTGGTTCTAGATCCTTGAGGAATTGCCACACTCTTCCACAGTGGTTGAACTAATTTACACTCCCAAAAGTGTAAAAGTGCTCCTATTTCTCGACATCCTCACCAGCATCTGTTGTTTCCTGACTTTTTAATGCTTGCCATTCTAACTGACATGAGATGGTATCTCACTGTGGTATTTATTTACATTTATTTAATGATCAGTGATGATAAGCTTTTTTGCAGGTGTTTGTTTGGCCACATAAATGTCTTCCTTTGAGAAATGTCTGTTCATATCCCTTGCCCAATTTTTGATTTTTTTTTCTTCTCTTGTAAATTTGTTTAATTTCTTGTAGATTCTGTATATTAGACCTTGGTCAGATGGATAGATTGCAAAAATTTTCTCTCATCCTCTAGGTTGCCTGTTCACTCTGATGATAGTTTGTTTTGCTGTGCAGAAGCTCCTTAGTTTAATTAGATACCATTTGTCAATTTTGGCTTTTGTTGCAATTGCTTTTAGGGTTTTAGTCATGAAGACTTTGCCCATGCTGGGAAAACTGTCTAGCCATATGCAGAAAATGGAAACTGGCTCCCTTCCTTACACCTTATACAAAAATTAACTCAAGATGGATTAAAGACTTACATGTAAAACCTAAAACCATAAAAACCCGAGAGAAAACCTAGGCAATACCATTCAGGACATAGGCATGGACAAATCAGCTTTTAATGATCTCCCACTTCTAATTAATCCTGGGGTTGGGGGGGGGTTTGCTGTTGTTGTTATTGTTCATTTGCTAATTTCAATTCACTAGGGGTAAGAGGAAATATTAAAAATAAAAAAGAGTTGTAGTGAGCTATGATCAGAGCACTGCACTTCAGCCTGGACAACAGGTCTCACTAAATAAGTAAATAAAAGAGAAAGTTTAAATTACAGTGGCATCTGCAAAAGTTTTTTCAAGTTAAAGTTCTTTAGAGATTGCACAGATAATTGAAAATATCTCTAATGTTTTTACCCATGTGCATCTGGCTTCAGATAATGCACAATTTCAAGGAGGAAAAGAGCTGGTGTTAATCAAGTGCTAAGCCAGTTGCTAGATGCTTCCTGATGGCTTTGTCTCATTCTATTCTCACGAGAACTTGTGTAGCATATTATTATTCACATTTTACAGAAGAGGAGAGTAAGACTTCAAGATTATAACTGACAAGCTCAGGTTTATGTTCCTAGTAATCTATGAACTTGGTGATTTGAATCCATGTCCCCTAAATCAAGGCCCTCTGCAGACTTTTAAAAATTTGGTTTTATTAATGCATTAAAAAATTTGTATTTTGTTTCCTTCCCCTGTATAAATGGCTGGTTGCTTCAGCAGTATTTCACCATTCCTAGGAATTACATGTAGTATACCATGGCAGAAAGAGTAATGGCCAGGAGTTTGGAGCAACACTCCAGTCACAGCGCTAACCTGCTCTCTTAATCACTTGAGGTGATCAGTGAATCCCGTCTATGCCTTGCTTCCCCCAGCTATGAAGGAGGAGAGTAATATCTATTCTGCATGAGTGAGTTACACATTAAAGTCCAAAAATGATCATATGTGAAAAAACATGCATGATTATGACAGTGATTAAAGGCTGTAATACAAGTGAATCTAGAATTTACAACCACAATGCTTATTATGGCAAAGATCTGTTAAGTTGTCTGGCTAACCTATCACCATGCAATAATCTAAAACGTTTTTACTTGAAATCTCTTATATTTCTTCATTTTCTCGGCATGATCCCTCTATCCTTCTTGGTAAGGTTAGTCAATGCCATTCTAACATCATCTGGTGTGGAGATAGTGTAGAGTTTTATGAGGTTGAGAAACTTGTCTCCACAGCAATGTTGACTACTTCCTTTCTTGCTCCACAAGCTCTCCAGGCCCTAGCCTTCCCCTTCTCAAGCAGAATCTTGGAGTCAGTCACTGACGAATCAAAGTTGTTGGTGCCTATGCAACAGCTTGGGAGCCCTGGTCAAATTATGTGTCAATATGACATGTCTAGATGTATAACTGGCTTTATTGTTTGGAACTGCTTTGGAGATGGTGTACTGAGAGCCTTCTGGATTGGTAATAGGTGATAATGAATGAGGTGGTTGTCATGAAGATAAACTAGGCTGGCAGGGAGGACAATTAAAATGATGTGGCCACAAAGCCAATGTTATTTCAAAATTTAATCATGCTGCTGGGTGGCTTATTGGGAATTTATTTTCCATAATAAAGAAACCATGCTGGATGCTGGTGCTGTGAATTAGAATCTATCCACACAAAACAGAGCAAAATGCTGTTCTGAAGATGAACCGGGTTAATTTATAAATGTAGACAGTAAAACAGCATAACTCAGAACGTGATATTATGTTTTCTCACTCTGATTCACTCCATTGTTTGCACTTTAGTGAAGCCAATCCAGTAATTACAAATTGGCCTTATTTTTACTATATGGGCTCAGCCTGAAGAGGGTTATACTCACAATTAAGGGTGAAAAAAATGCAAACACTCAGGAGAACTTTAAGAATTCAGCTGATAAACTTTTAACTTCCAAACCAAAATAATATAGTTCTAGTAAGTAGTATCTTTGAAGAAGGAGTTATCCTTACTAGGTAACACCATTAGTATTAGACACACTTTGGATTTTTCACTTTTTGATATGTGCAAGTCAAGTAGGAACACAGTGGCTAAGATCTTACCCTCTAGAACAGAAGTTGGCAATCTACAGCCAATGAGCCAAAATGTTTATCATAGTTTGTAAACCATTTTTTAAAAATCAAAATAAAATATTTTGTGACAGGTGACAATTCTATAAAATTCAAATTTCAGTGACCATAAAGTATTATTGGAACACAGCCACACCCATTCGTTTACATATTATCTATGGCTGTTTTTGTGCTATAACCACAGAGCTGAGTAGTTGCAATAGAGATCAGATGGCCCTCAAAGCCAAAAATACTTAATATCTGACCCTTGACCATAAAAAAAGTTTGCCAGACAATGCCCTAAAATTATTCTACTTAAATTCAAATCCTTCTGTAATTCACTTATTAGCTGGGTATTCTTGGGCAACTTAGCCTTCCTCTGCCTCAGTTTTCTCATCTGAGGGTTATACTACCAAATGCATGTTATTGGGGAGAACTAAATAAATTTGTATAACAAGCACAAAACAGTCCCTGGTGTGCAGTAAACATTCAATAAGTGTCATTATTATTATATTTCATCTTATTAAAAGTTAAATGGTTATGCTAGTGTGGAAAACAGTAAGAAAAAGTCTTTAGTGAGAAAATAATTGAAAATACAAAATCAATATAAATATGTTGTGTTATGTAAGGTCAGCAAAAAAAAGGCATAGGGAAAAAATAGTGAATATGTATTATTCACTCCATCACCCTGCAATGTTCTCAATCAAAAATCTTAGTATAATTTTGAAGCCTATTAATTCAAGACTGAAAATATATTTAAGTAAAAACAATTGGATTGGCACATTGGCCATATAGCTTAAAGATAGGATTAAGGCCCCTGAAATTATGTCCCTCATATAATACACAATTAGATATTGATCGTGAGGCTGAAACACCAGCTTCAATTTAAATACTTATTACCAATTGTATCAGCTCATTGTATTACCTTATATATTATAAAATATAAGACAAGTGGTTAAACGGCTAAAAATATTTAATTTCAAAATTTTGCTTACAGGCTTTTAAGCAAACTTTGTCTACTTTTACCTTGAAGCAAATTTAATCTGGATTGAAAATATATATGCTTAAGAAAAAAACAAAGCAAAGGTGGATGGTGGAATATAATCACCAACACAAAAAGAGTTCTTTGAAATTATTAACGGTAAAGAATTAAAAATGGATAGGGAATATAAATAATAACTTTAAGAAAAAACACAAGTGGTAATCAAATCAAGAAATAATGCAAATGATAAACAAATGAAAAAATCTCTTTTTATGATTATATTGATTCAACTGACGTAAGATATATTTACTTGTAAAATAGCACAGAATTTTCCTCAATGATAATAATGTTGATAAGGGTAGAATAATCATAGCAAAGCCTGATGCAATGTTTACTAGGAGCCATAGTCTTTTCTAAGTGCTTTATATGAATTAACTCATGAAATTATCAGAAAAATCCCTTAAATTAGTATTACTATTTTTAGAGCCATTCAAATATTTTACTAATAAAGAAACTATGGTCCAAAATTATACACCTAGTTGGAGGTGGATCTGATATTTGAACCCAAGCTGTCTAGTTCCGCAACTGTGACTTCCAATCATTATGTTATTGATGCAAGTATATGGATGCATTCATTCTCTGCTGATTCAGAGAAAACATTGCACATTGTGAGCTGAGGACTGATAAAGAAGGGGAAAATGTTCTTCATTGATTTCCTCTTGACCTTAACCTCTTCCAAGTGACTATCCACTCTTAGTATTCCACAGCCTGTCCTAGACCAATGGTAAATATATTTTCAATAATATTTTTAAGACTACATAACAAAAGACTTTCCAGGGCTCATAACAGCAGTTATTGGTCAAGTCAGAACTACTAACGAATACACTGTTTTTGTTCCCAGGTTTAGGGTCAGATGAGCAATCACGAATTTAAGTTATAGAAGGGGTTTTTGTGTCAATATGCAGAAAAGAGAAGGGACAAGCATTTATTGAGGTTTTGCTAAGTCCTAAGAGCTCTGCATATGTTATCTCATACTGACCTCATAACTCTATGAGATGTTATTATCTACACTTAACAGAAGACATCTCTAGATCAGATTAGCTGAGTTATTTTAAATTAACAAAGCTCACACAGCTAGAGACATAGCCTGGTTTAAAGTCGTTTATCAGATTCCAAGACTGTGTTCTTTCCGGTACACAGCACTGCCTTCTATCTAAGGAGTTCTTATCTCAGATTTGATCTGTACACCACGAGGAAGTGGAATTCTGATATGTCTTGTTGTAAGCTGGGGAACAAAACCAGGAGAGTGCAGAGGGAGTAACAAATACAAGAGCAGGAAAGGACACTTGAACAGAAAAGAGGGAGGACAGCCTGGATAAACAGTGGGATCAGTAACTGCAGCTCATAGTTGATTTTTACGTGTTTCTTTGGCATGATATGCGAGTAGATTCGATCAAAGGGTTGAAGACACACACTTTGTTTACAATTTATCATTAACATTGTTGGGAGGCAGCGTGGAGTAATACACATTATGTGGGCCGCTCCACATCTATACAGCTAAAACCAGATGAAAACATACATCAAAAACACCCATAAAAACTAATGTAGGTCAATACCTGGGCGTCAGATAGAACCACAAAGAGGAACAGGATGCAGATTCCCAGGAACAGGAGGACCCCAATATGTGGTGAGATGACAGCATTACAAAGTCAAGCTAATGGAGGGAATCCTGCCTGGTCAGTGCAGCTGGTAGGTAAATACCCGGCCAGCAGTCAGTGCCAGAGGGCCTGCTATGAGCTGACAGGATCCCAAGATAAGAAGAACTTGGGCCTAGAGGAGCAGAACAACACCCAACAAGGGCTAAATGAGTTTCATGCTGATCGTAAGGCACTCTTAAAACACTTTACCAAGCTCTGTTCTTATACAATGATGTGTCTATACATCTCTCCCACTAGACTGGGAACTCTAAAGGCAGACCCATCTTTAAATACCCAGACCCTAACATGGATTGTAAATTGTATAGAGGATGAATAGATGCAACAAATGAACTTAATTACATGAATTTGATGGAAACCCACTTACCATATTTGGGCCACAAAAGCTCAGAATAGGCGTGGCAGCCAAGATAACTTGATACTGATTCACAAGAGTTATCAAATAAAGGCTCCTAATATTCTGTTAACCAAGATCAGAACTGTTTCAAGGCCCCTATAGGGTTGGGTCCTCAGGTGGGCTCCTGGAGCCACAGCAGTGGGATAGGAGCTATGCCAAGGGTTGGAGCCAGCTGGTCAACACAGTGTGCTTTAATGACTATGCATTACCCCCTTGCTTCTATGAAACAGTATGTCCTAGGCATTACTTGATGCCTCCATGAGAAATATCAAGTAACCCTCCCCTCAATTTCAAAGCAAATAAGTTTAATTGACCAGAGTCATACTGTGAGTCAGCAGCAGACGCAAAACATGAACTCAGAACTCTGACAGTCCAAAACGGCTCTTTATCTCTGTGTTGCCCTTGCCCTTTAAATGTAAGCATGATGCTGTGGGCCTGCTGACACAGGACATGGTACATTTTCTTGAGCTACGGAAGCTCTATAGAATCATCAGCACTCCAACCCAGCCGTTTATTCATTCATTTAGCCACTAGCTCAGTATTACATAATAAAAATACAAAGGGCAAAAACAGGCTTGGCCCAACCTTCCTGGAGCCCACAAACCTTTCCCAATACATTTTTAAATGAATACGATCATAGATTTGAAAGTAAGTTAAAAAAAAGTTTTTCTAGGTAGGGAAAAATCTGACACATAACTAGATACATCTGACAAAATGTCTAACTGGAACTGCCAGGCATTGTGATGATGCCAAGTGAGATGAAGATAGAAGATGAGTTTAGTTTCACTGAAAATTTTATATTTCTAACAATGTGAAGGTCTTTAAACTATGTGGGATCTGAAATCTTCAGGTTTAGCAGCCACTTTTCAGTTCAAAGTAGTTTTGAATTTTTACTATGTACCAGGTAATTGTATGCACTATCATTAAATTTCCAAATAACCCAATTAAAAGGCATCAAGGGATGCCTGAGCTTCAGATAATTCAGTTGCTTGCATAGGTTCAAAACTACAAAATAGCAGAAGGAAAACTGGTACACAGAGCTCTGAGGCTTCAGAGTCCACGCTTTCTTCACTTCTCCAAGCTACTCCCCTTGAAATAGGTGAACGACAATTGGTAGTTTGGGGAGGGAGAGGAACCTCTCATGATTTGATTGTAGCAATTAGTGGGTTAATTCTGGAGCCCCATAGAGAGTGTGCTTAGAGACTTGGAGTCACTCTAGGGAGGGAGCATCTGTGCCATCATCATAGCAGCCAGATTTTACCAAGGGCTAGAGGAGAAGGAGAGTGGAAGGGTGTTTACTTCGTATTGGTACCTGGGAGACTGAGGCTTCCAACAGCTTCACCAGTAGTCTAGGTTCACAGGGAGGGCATTTTATTTAATGTTTTTGAGTTTCATGAGACAGTAGGATTTAGTGAAAAGAGTAAGAGTGAGTCAATGAGAGCAGCCTAATCCAGCAGTCAATGACCTGGGTTTAAGTCAGACTCTGCTCTGATGCCAACCAGCTCTGAGCTGGCTCTTTATCCCTGTGTTGCCACTTAAGAAGCAGTTTCTCTACATTATGCCTCAGGTTACACACCGGTCTTAGCCACATGGGAATGATCTGATGACACCTTAAAATAAATATGAACAATACAAAATGCACTATATAAACCCTAATGTATTATTTTTTTTTCTTTTCATATTTTAAGACTGTGAAAACCAAGGCTTGTTAAAGTACTGTTCCAAAGGGTCACTTGTGTAATCTAGGCACAGGCTATGCTCTGTGTTGCAGCCCACCCATCTTCTTTGAAATATGCGAAGCTCTTAACTAGGAATAAGACTTGGTTATCAGTATTTTCCATCTGACTGCATAATTATAAGAGTTGACTAGAAAGTCTCTTTTTAGCTCATTTGTATCTCCAGGGTAGACACAGAATAAGGCGGCTATAATTGCAGAGGCTAGAGAAACGTGAGGCTTTAAATTGGCGTATATAAAATGAAAAGGGGAAAAAACAACCCAAAATGCACCCAGTTAATTTAGTGTGAGTTTTTATTCACTTGCTTCTGATTCACTATTACAATCATACAGGCTTATAAACAAGTTTTCTTTTAGTCTACTGCTTTTCTCTTTTTCTCCATACACGTGTTAATGCATTTTGATATAAGGGTGAAGTCTCACAAACAACATTCATCTCCTAATATGTATATACTGCTAACCCAATAACTAGCTAGAACATTAGGAGATTAGTTCTTAGTCACACACTGTGATCAATTTAATATGCAGAGACCTAAATCCTGCAAAAAGGAAATCATGTTATCTAGAAACTTCTCTCTAGATGCAGCTAGAAGAATAAAACATGGCCCAAGAAGCATAGAGAGTCCGAAGCATATGGCAGAATTTGACCCTATTTTATTTTTTGCTTCACTCTGTAGATTAAAATTTTATTTTAACTTGAAATAAACAAATACACACATCTTTTTTATTTTCCCCTTTCCCCACAAAAGATAAGAGCAAAATAAAATTATCTTTAGTCTCCAGCTACTACCAAAACCATCAAGAGATAACACCAGTAAATAATGTAGCTACAGAAAAAGCTTTGAAGCCAACAAACAAGTTCTTCTTTCTCAAGGTAGGGGCAGCAATGCTAAGTAAACAGAATGAGAAACAGTCAAGCCAATAATTCCTGGTGACAGTCTCTGCATCTATCTGCATCAGAAGGTTCTTTGAAATATGAATCCTATTATCTCAGGTAGCTCGGCTCTCAAAGAAATCATTAATTTAACAAATACATATGAGAGTTTATTCTGAACTAGGTAAGTTGTGTTTTAATAGCAATATGAGCACATGAGACACAAATACATCTGGCCAGGTAAGTCAGGGAAGGTTTTGTAAAGGAGACGACCTTTCATTTGAGTTGGGTCATCAAGTTAACACATGTGGAAGAGTATTCCAGGCAGAAAAAACAACATGAGCAAAGTGCTGAAGACATACAAATGCATGGAAGACTGAAGTAATGATTTGAAAAATCCCACAGAGCTAGAGCATAGTGTACTTAGTAGGAATGGGTAGGTGATGGGGCTGGAGAAATAGATGGGGACAGATTGTAAAAGCTCATATCTGAAGCTAAGGAGTTTAGGCTTTAGCCTGAAAGCTGCAGAGAACCATTTCAGGTTTCTATGCAGGAAAGCAACATGAAAGCTGTGGTAGTTCTATTTTGTTTGTTTAATAAATTTTGTCAAAGTATAATAGGGACACAAAATAAGTGTTCAACTTACTGAATTTTACAAAGTGAACATATGTCCATCTCAGGCCTCTGGTCAGCCAGGTAACCAGTAATTGGGTCAAGAAACATAACATTGCCAACTTCCCAAAAGACCACTCCCCACCGCATGCTCCTCTCCTGTCATAACCTCCCACCCCAACAAGGGAACAATTACCCTGATTTCTAATACTGTTGCTTAGATTTGCTGATTTTGAACTTCATATGAATGGAACAATATGGTATATGTACTTTAGTGTTTGGCTTTTTTGGCTCAATATTAATGTTTGTAAGATTTTATCTACATTGTGATGTAGATTGAATTCATTCATTCCCATTGATGTATGGTATCCCATTATACGAATATACCATAATTTATCAGTTCTAATGTTGGGGTAGGCATCTGGCTTATTTTCAGATTTGGACGATTAACAAACACTGTTACCATGAACACTTCATACAAGACTTTTGATAAATATGTGTGCTTACTCCTGCTGAGTATATGTAGTAGGAGTAGATTTGCTGGATCAAAGGGTATGCTGATATTCAACTTTAGTAGATACTGCTAAACATTTCTCTAAAACATGCAATTCACACTCCCCCCAGCAGTCTATGAAGTACCAGTTCCTCCACATCCTCACCAACCTTGGTACTATTATCTTTTCCATTTTTGCCTTTATCAGGGCATATGGTAGTATCCTGCAGTTTATTTTGAAGACAGTGATAGTGAAGAGAGATTAGAGGTTGAACGGCCAGTTAGGGAACTATGGCAATAATCCAAGAGTGAAGGCATGGATCCAGGACAGTGTCAGTATTTGGAAGCCAGCTCCTGCCAATGCTGGTATTTGTCAGGTGTCATACACATCCAGTGAAAAAGGTCATATGCAATAATATGAAGCTTAGTTTCTCATCATCTCATGCATACTTGTACTTTTTCCTTTCAATGATAAAATAATTTCCATTTATATAGGATCTTTAATCCCAAAGCCCTTTGCAAATGAAGCCAAGAAAATAAAGCACAGTCCATGTCAGTTACAGCCAAAAACAAAAGGCCCAGGTGTGCCACCCACCCCCACCCCGACTGCCTCCTTTGTCAGGAGCAGGGTTGCCAGGCTTGCCTCCCCAGCACTCCCTGCCTACTGTGCCCTGGAGTGGCCTTGGACCTGTGAGTACTGGGCCCTCAACAGCCACGAGGGTGGCATGGGAGGTGGCCTGCAGTGAGACAGCCTGGCCTGATCGGCATCCATAAAAGCATTTGCTCCCTGCTGTAGGAGTCCTGGTCACCAGGGAAACCAGGCGAGGAAGAGGGACCTGGAAGATGGGTGGGAGTCCAGCCAAGGCACCTGCAAGCAAGAGAGGGTATTTCAATTTCCTCTGAATAGCTTGACTAATGATGATCACTTGCTATGGGAACAAGAAAGCTTTTGTTTGTGAATTTTAACTTTCAATCTCAAATGTTTTAAGACAGTTTTCAGAAAGGTGGCAGGTCATACCATTTAAAGAACCGTTTCTGAGAGGCAGGGTCTGTGAGGTGTCAGGGAAGGGGTACGCCCCCATCTATTATACTCGGCCTTTCGATACAGAGAGAGGCATCAGTTCCCTCACATCCACTTCACACCCTCTTCCCCACCCCACTATGCAACAAGCCCAGCCTGGGTGCCTGGGGGCAGTGCTCTTTATCACCCACACAACCAGCACAGTAGCATTTGCTGGGCTGAAAGGGAGGGTCATGCAGGGGTGCTTCTTGGGAAGGGCTAGCACCTGGAGAAAGCCATGCGGGTTGGAATTGGGATTGTGAATAAGTTTATAGAGGAGGCTTTTCCCTACTAGATCACCTTATTAAATAGCATAGCACTCTTTCTTTAAGGCAAGTAAAAGTGTATGTCTGCTTTCTTCCTTTTTTTCTGGGTTAGCATCCTCTTTCAAACAAATCTCTCAGTCCATCAATGTCTTTTTAGCTGCCCTTATAATCCCTAACTAATTTGAACTCAGGAATCAGCACCTTAAATTCCCTAAGCAAAGCATCCCCTTTCTCAAAGCTGTTCTTCTCCTTTTGGGTTGCCTTTCCTGTCCGTGCTAATAGCATCATCTATACCACCAGTCACTGATTCAGAACCTTGGGGGCAGCTTTCACTTCTGCTTCTATTCTGACCTCCACCCACCACACTCCCTCGAGTTCCATGAGTTCTACCTCTCACACCACCCTGCATTTCACTTTCTGACTTCTATCATCTTGGCTGGGTGCTCTTGCTTGGAACCTTGCTGGACCTCAGCCTGAACTGCTCACCTCCAGCATCTCTATTCCAACGCATCCCACATCGCACTGAAAGCTCAACCTTCCTCAAATATGTATACATATGTGAAGCATTTATTTCCAGATGTTGGTGTTTAAGTGTCCAAGTTTTTCCATCGTCTCCAGAATAAAATGCAAGCTTCTTAGATGGGCCACTGAATAGACGCCTTAACCCATCCTTTCAACCTCCTCCTCGTCAAGTATTTTGCAGTCTGCTCCAGCAGATTTTAAAATGTCCTCACAGTTTACTCAGTTTGTATTTTAGTGGAATTTGTATTTTTAGTAGAACTTAGGCATTATTTGGGGTTAGGGAAGATATTTGAGGTCCAAATAGACCAAGAGCTAAGGAAATTTGCAAGATAAACAGAGTTGGGAAGGAAATCAAATGAAAATCTAAGAGGAAATAGATCAAATCTGAAGAAGTAGACAAAATTGAAGACAAAATAGGCAAAAGGCCTCAAATCCAGGAGCTAGCTGAGACAGTAGCATGAAGTAGGAAAAACAGAAATCTGAGCTTAGTGCTAAAATAGAGGCAGCTCAGCTTCAGTCCTTTTTATGGTTCTTCTAAGGATGAGTGATCCTTACTAATTGATGTTAAAAGTTAGAGCCTTGCCCTTTGGGAGGCCAAGGTGGGCGGATCGCAAGGTTAAGAATTCGAGACCAGCCTGGTCAACATGGTGAAACCCTGTCTCTACTAAAAAATACAAAAATCAGCCGGGTGTGGTGGTGTGCTCCTGTAATCCCAGCTACTCAGGAGGCTGAGGCAGGCGAATTGCTTGAATCCGGAGGGGGAGGTTGCAGTGAGCCGAGATCATGCACTGCACTCTAGCCTGGGCAAGAGAGCAAGACGCTGTCTCAAAAAAGAAAAAAAGTTAGAGCCTTTACCTGTGATGTGACTCCAAATGTGGTAGCAGCAAGAAGTTCTGTAATCCTCAAGCTACTCAAATGAAAAAACTATTTCTCATAGAAGCAGCATATGATGTTATTACTTGACTTCACTCAGAAAGATTATGTTCGGATTTTGCAGGGCTTTTGACTCAATCATACAGATAATGAGAAAGGCAAAGATAGCTTCAACATGCAGCTAAAGTTTTGTCCATACTGCCAAACCTTTGTGATGGATTGTATTGATAGATCAATTGGAGTCAAGGGGTGTGGGGGGAACTGGTCACTTCATTCAGCAAGCATATACCAATCAATTAAGTGGTCTGTTAAGAAACAGCCAATTCAGTCTAAAATGGTTGAGATTGTGTATGTGCATATGTACTCAGACAAAAGTAGGAAATATTGATAAAATAATCTTTCGGTTATTACAGCCATTCAGAAAGCACTCAGATATGTTGTTTTGTGACTTCTAATGGCCCTTGGTATTAAAAACAATTAAGCAGAGCAAAGATCTGTTTCCATATCTACTCTTAGAAGAGATCATGAAAACAGCAAAGTCGGGAAAAGAAAAATTACTCTGTGTGCGTATGTGTGTATGCTTCTCCCACATGGGGTAAAAGACACAAAAGCTCAGAAGTGAATCACCACCTCTAGAACCATGAGTGTAGGCTTTGGGTCTAACTTCGTTTCTGTGGAAATGAGGCAGTTCAGCTATGCACAGAAATTAAAGTGTACATGGGGAAAGCGCTAAACAAAATATGAATTGTAATGAAATCTAAAATGCCAGTGGTCCTATTATTGTGTGTTTTATGTGACTGTGAGGCCAAACAGCATGGGTAATGAGAGGTCACGATAGCTAAAACTCAGGGCACTAATGGCTCTAACCCACTGGTGAAAGCGGTGACCTCACTAAAATGCAGCCCTAATGGAAATAGCCCCACTAGGAAAAAGCCAGCATCTGTATCTTAAGAAAATGGAGAGAAAGAGAGAAAACTTTTTAATCCACCTAAATATCTATTGTTTCAAAGAATAATGCTTTTAAAAATCACTTGGGAAATTTCTCTTGCAAGTGCCTGCTTCTAATGCTTCCTCTACCCAGACTCCAATCTTCTAGGTTTCCCTCCAGTGAGCGAACCAGCCAGCTGTGTCAGTGCCATTCGGAAGTGCATTCCTGGATATGGCAACAGTGATCAACATCCCCATGATATGAGAGATCTGTGGTTAAGCAATGTACAAGGAGGCTGCCAGGAAAAGAGATGGCACTAGTTGGAGCTGAATATTTCCTGAGGCTTGTAAGTATACAGCCAGCCCCTGAGCCTGCGACCATAGCCAAAACCAAATCAGTCAGAGACCCTCCCTATTCCTGTACAGCCAATTGGAAGAGATAGGTTTCCCATTGCCTTTCAGTTTTTTGTTCTGTTTTTGCTTTGGTCCAGTTTTTACCTCATTTTAAGAGAAAAATGGTAAAGGGACCAACTTCAGGTTTTGCCCCTAGCCATAGAAATTATAAGAGGACCTCCACTTTGACCACTTTCTCTGTTCAAAGAGTTCTTACATGATACATTTCACTAGATGTTAGGCTCCTTGAAGTCCAGGATTATTTCTAAACTTTTTAAAATTATCACCTATAACTCTTAGTATAATGTTCTCCATTTATTTAGGAGAAAGATGGCAAATTAAACATAAAACTCCATCATGTATCAGAATTGCTGAAATAACATTTTTAGTCCCATATCATGGAAATTGAAAAAAATGGGAAATTTTAAAAGATAGTGAAATATACAGACAGGCACACAGTGAGGAAAGAAGGAGGAAATGTATTTAGGAAGAAAAGAGATTAGATCCTTCTATTCTCTCGCATTCCGCCAGCTGTGGAATCATGAAGGGAGGCAAACATTAAGCTCATTTCTTACTCAACCATTCATTCCTTTCATTCCTTTTGAGAGTATGAAAACACATCCAATTTGTCTCTATCCAGACAAACAGTGTCCCAGAGTCTTTTAGTTTGAGTTATATTTTTACATGACAGTTTCATATAAAGAAAAATTTCATATATCATTTTAATCTTAAAACAATTATTAGTAAATTGGATGAAGAGGCATAGAGAAGTAAGTGTGAAAAGTAATGATGGGGAAAAGAAGATGTGATGAAGAGATCAATACCCAAAGACTAAAATGAAGAAACAGAGGGTGACGGAGAAGAAGCAGAAGAAGAATTGAATAGATTACAAATGGAGTGTTCATCAAAGCAGGAAATTAGTTTTGTGAATTATTCTTGTAGCTCCTGTATTGTTTGCATGAGCTATTGAATGGCAAGGCAATGAGGATTAATACCTCTCTTAATAGTATTGTTGGTTAACCTGTGATAACAATTCTTCAATTGTCTTCCCTAGATCTTAAAAGGCTCTGTTCTGAATTATAGAGGAACAGCAGCCCATCTGGAATAAATTATTCTCTTGGCCTCAAAAACAGGGAGCAGAACATCACCCCACTTTCTAGCAGACTGATTCTCAACTTTCTCCCTCATCCAATCACATAAGAATGTCACACTCCCATCATTCATGCAGCTGGTTATGGCAGGCATCCCCCTTGAGAAAGTACGGTGGGGGTACAGACTCCTCAAGATGGAGGCTTCGGGATTCCTGGGATGGAGGCTGAGGGGTGTGACAGGAGAGCAGGGGCACGGTCATGTGGCTGTTGGAGTTTGAATCTGCTTGCTAGGAAATCCCAGTGCTCCAAAATAACCCCTACTGCTTACTACACCTGGTTGTGAATTATTGTTGTAGAATTTCAGTATAAATCAAGATCCCCAGTCTTAAACTAAAGTCTGATGTTCAGCCCAGAGGAGGCATGGAACGATAGAAGTTTATCTGGATAGCCAGAGGGCAACAGGAAAATGATGTTAACTTGCCTTGTGAAGAAAGGTAGTAGGGATACCCATACTGATTGCCTGAGCCCCCTGCCTTTTATTCTTTCCCCATGTCAAGCCATCCCACCCATCTTCCACAAATCTCCATGAATCATGGCACCTTCTCACTTAGAGCCCACTGTCTCTTCAATGCCCTCAGTATAATAAAGCGTCCCCATGAATTGCCCCACAACCTTCTCTAGCTTTACTTGCATAGTCTACCCCCTCCAAAAGACCCATGATCCAGTCACTGTTCCCCACATGGTTCCCCTGATCTTTCAGGCCTCCGAGCATTCCTCAAACTGTTGTCTGCACAATTGAGCTTCCTTTCCCTCACATACAGTTCTAACAATATTCTTGCTATTATTTGTGATCTAGCTCAAATCAAAAATCCTCTAAGAAATGTCCCCACTTCAAATCAAAATTAATCTTTTATTCCATTTATGTTTATAGCACTATGGACTATATTTGTATTTCCTCTTTCATTCACTCACTGATGCATACTGAATTCCATTCCCCCCACAATTCCTACATTAAAGTGCTTACTCCCAACATGACTATATTTCAGGAGGTGATTAAGGCTAAACTAGATCATAAGGATGTGGCCCTAATACAATAGAACTGATGTCCTTATAATAAGGAGAAAAGATACTAGAGACCTCTCTCTCTCTTTCCTGCCCCCAACTCCAAGCACACAGAGAAAGAACCATGTAAGGATACAGGAAGAAAGTGGCTGTTTGCAAGCCAAGGAGAGAGGCTTTCAGAGAAACCAAACCTGCTGGCACCTTGATCTTAGACTTCCAGCCCCCGGAACTGTGAGAAAATAAATTCCTGTTGTTTAAGCCACTCAATGTTTGATATTTTGTTAGGGCAGCCGGAGCAGGCTAACACATTTAGCAAACTTGTGTCAGGAAACTAATATATATTAGACCTCTTGATCATGCCCCCTGTGTAACATTGCCAGCTGTGCATCAGTGTAACTGCCCAACGGGAAGCTCTTTGTGGAGCGGTAAGGCTCAGAGCCAAGCACATGCCTTCTGCAGACTACAGGCTTACTCATCTGCTGAATTAAAACCAAATTTTGCTTAAACTACGTGTTGGCCCTGGAGAAGAGGAAGACATTTGCAGTATGATAGACAATACTGCCTTTCCTCAGGGCACATTTCAGCTCCTCCTCTGAGCATCCCACTGCACATGTTTACCTCATTTTTTCTGCCTGAGCCCTCCTGGCTCCTGAACTAAGAAACTTCTAAGCTAACGGAGCACAGTCCATGAATTGATTTCTAACCATGGCCATGGGTGCTGGCTTCCTCTTACCACGCAGTCTAAGAAAGACAAAAGCATTTGAAATCCACTTCTTTTTCTCCAATGTAGACCCTCCTTTTCTTCGTTTTAACAATTCAGTTTGTTTTCACATTTGGAAAAGAAAAAATGAGATGCACAAAATTCCCCTCTTTCTCTACTCCCTTTGGCTTTTTACACTGCAAAAGACTGTCCAAGTTCAGGAAAATTGATTTTTGCCATTTAAATAATCTAATCTCCAAAAACCTCTTAACACCTAAACGATAACTTTTTAAGCCACAGCAAGGTAATTAATACTGAAAATAGTCTCCGCAGGGGATCTGTGTATCTGCCTGCCCACATTTCCCATTCAGAAGAAATATCTAGTTTGTAGTTGTAAGTTTATGGAAAGATTTACCACAACAAACATGAATTCTATTTTAATAGGCCTTTCCTTCCACATATTTTACAAATTGATTAACTTAACTGACCAAATACTAATTAAAAATGCATTAGGAAATGGTTTGTATTCAACAGCTTTGCTAATATTCTTGCTGATGTTTTTGAAGCCCACTGAGGCAGAAAATCAATGCCATAGAGTCTATTTCTCTGCCATATCCTGCACACTGTACCAGCTCCCTGGTGCTGATGGGTAATGCACTGGGAGGAAAGAGCCAAGCCAGGGGGAGGAGGGAAATCATTATTTAAAGGCCAAATGCCACCATTAGCATTGCTAGCAAATTCAAAGATGCATACAAGCATAGAGATAGCTCTTCCCTTATTATTCACCTTGTTTTTTTGTGAATTGAGAGCATCCAGTGGAACTGGAGTAAGACTGATAAAAATCCTGCCTAGCAGGAACCCTTGTCCCTGACAATCATGCAAACACTGCTCATTCCAAACACTCCTCTTGCTGAGAAAACACTTTCTTCTCCTGAGAGCCAGGCCCAGTTGCATCCTGTCCTTAAAGCAGGAACTCTTATTCTGGAGTTTGAGGACAAGCTTCTGCAAATCTGTGAAGCTCCTGAATTTTGAATGTAGAGCACATTTTGGAGAGAGGATGCATAGCTTTCAACAGATCTTAAATATACCTGTGAGTCCAGAAACATCAGGAATGAAAATTCTCCCCATCTCAGTCCTCTAATTGCACTGGCTTATTGCCTTCCTGCAGCTGGGCAGTTGCCTTCCTTCTCCACCTTATGTCTCTCTCTGTACGTGCCATGTCGTATACCTAGAATACTCCCCACCTCCACTGCCTAACTATCTCTTACTCATCCTTTGGATGTTTGATTAAACATTGGTCTGACCACTCTGCTCCAGACCATTTCCCGTAATAATTTTCTTTCAAGGCACTTAACACAGTGTATAATTTAATATCTGTTCATTTAGTTGACTAATGTTTGTCTCTCCTCTTAAACTATAAACACCATAAGGATAGAGACCATTTCAGTTTTCTTCACCATTTTATCAGAACATGGAATATTGTACATGACATATAATGTTTGCTGTGTGAATGAAAAATATATGAATAATAAATGCATAATAAATTATAATAAATATATAAAAATTATCTATAATTAATGTAACATATAATAAATAAATTAATGTGTATACCAAGCCTTATTTTCTATGCCTCCTACAGCTAAACTGGCTTATACTGTCCTCTTAATTTTCTGAATTCTAAATTCTCTAGCACACAGTGACATCATTCATTTGAACAATGTTACTTTTTCCCTGCTTGCGTCACCTAAGTCTTAGTCACTCAGGTGACCTAAGCGTCCTTTGGGACAGAGAAAGGTCTTACAACCTTTGTGTAACTCCCATATCACTTGGCTTATAGTTGAGTGTGCATTAGGAAATAATGAGATTCACGTGTTGAATGTAACCAAATCAACCCAAATCTGCTGTTGAGTACCCCACAGCCAGCCAGTCATATTTAGCTCATTCTGTTCCATACTAATTTAAAATAATTGATAAGGTGTTAAGTATTTGGCCTGCCTTCCAGATTGATCACCAGCTTCCTAAGAGCCCGGATTCTTCCTTCTTTTCTAGAACACCTAGCATGGTGCTGGACGCTCAATGGATTCACAGTCAGCCTTATGGCTGACCATAACAAAAAGAACAGGGTTAAACAGTCAGAAGCTATGTTTTCCATGAGACTTTAAAAAAAAAAATGTGTAAATGGGAAAAAAGTCAAGACTGGCCTGAGTTTTCTGATCTCCTTTGCTTTCCACAAGTTGTAGCTTCCCCATTGCAGAACGCTAAAGAACATCACACTAACTTCTGTTGGGAAATCTGAATGGGCATCCATTAGGGCTCTTGCCCTCAACTCTAACAGATAAGCCACTTTTTTGACTGAATCATTTTATACTGCTCATCCTGATGCATGAACAATATTGTCTTCTCAGTTAGAAACCTGCAATATGAACTACAGGGGTAGTCCATATCTTTCTCATTCACTTCCCATCTGCTGTACATCTTCAGGGCAAAGCCCACACACTTAATCAGACCTCACTAATGAGTACATTTTGGACAGATTAGGAAAGGGAAAATTAAGATAGATTATTGTATCTGGATGCCCAGAAGCTCAGGCAATGGGAATATTTCATAACTCAGTCAACAAATATCTGAAGGTAGCATCTGTTCAGTATCATTATTTATGAGAAAGGTAGGAACAAAATGCATGGAGTTTGTGAAGCAAAAGAGATTCTGTTACATATTCTGAAAAGAAGCGATATTATAGCAACTATAAAATTGGTATTATTGTTGTGCCTTTTGATGCACCACGCTTTTGGAGTTGGAACGTGGCAATTGTATACCTCCTTTTGGGAGGTAATGAAACTAAACTGAGTGTCCTTATATTAAGGTCAGACACAACTCTATCTAAGAGAGCAAATAATAACACACATCAAAAATCTCCATGTTGAGTGGTGTGCTTTGTTGCAAAACACCCATGGGAAATCTTTTGTATTAGTTTGCCAGGGATGCCATAATAAAATATCACAGTCTGGGTGGTTTAAACAACATAACTTTATTTTCCCACAGCTCTGGAGGCTAGAAGTTCAAGATCAAGTTGTAAGTGGATTTGGTTTCTTTGAGGCCTCTCTTCTTGGCTTGCAGATGCCAGCCTACTCTCCATGTCCTCACATGGTCACCCCTTGGTCTGTGTGTTGTCTGTTTCCTAATCTCTTCTTTTTTATAAAAGATACCAGTCATATTGAATTAGAGCCCATTCATATGATGTCATTTTACCTTGATTATCTCTTAAAAGATGCTGTCTCTCGACAGTCACATTCTCACATACATACTGGGGTTAGGACTTCAACATATGAATTTTGAGGAGACACAGTTTAGCCCATAACACCCTAGTTTCTTGCAATATAGTGTTATCTCCTCCTAACCAGTCTCTCCCTACCTTCAGTACTTTTCTTCTCTAAATTATACCATAGCCAGAGATTCTTCCTGAACATAGATCTTACCTTGTCATCCTCCTGCCTAAAAACCACCCTATTTTCTATAGATTATAAAATGAAATCCACACTCTAACTGGACACATAAGGCCATTTCTTATGTGTCTTATTTGTGGCTCTTCCGTTTGCAAATTAATTGAACTCTGCCTTCCTCTCTGGATAGGTCTCCCACCTGACAGCCTATGGACCTTTAATTGTAAGTTTCCTTCTGCCTGGAATTCACTGCCCACCTCCACCCATACCCAAAACACATCTACTCAACAATCCCAGGCTCACCAACCTCCAGCACCATCATCATAAGCTCAGTCTTTCTAAATCACAATTCTGTTCATTTTAAGAGGATTCTCAAATCCTTCCTCCTTTAGTAACTATGTCCTGATACCCCCCAGTAGAAAGAAATCTCTTCTTTCTCCAAATTCCTACTGTAACCAATCTTATTGCATTTAAAAACAATATAATATAGAAAGAAATATGTTATCTTCCTTGGAGACTGGATCTTCATTAGTTTCCTGAGGCTGCCATAACATATTACCACACATTTGGTGGCTTAAGCAACAGAAATTTATTGTCATAGTTCTGGAGGACAGAAGTCCAAAATCAAGATGTTGGTAGAGCTGCATTCCCTGTGAAAATTCTAGGGTAAAATTAATTCCCTTTCTCTTCTAGTTTCTGGTAGCTGCAGGTATTTCTTGATTTATGGCCACATCACTCCAATCTCTGCCTCTGTAGCTATGTTGCCTCATTTGTTCTTGGAATTAGTCTTATCTTGATAATCCAGAAGTATTTATTCATCTTAAGATTCTTAATTATATGTGTAAGGAACTTTTTCCAAATAAGGCTTTGGGAATTAGGACCTCCACATATCTTTTGCAGAGGCCACCATTGAACTCATTACAGGATGCAATCTGATCCATTTCTATATCCCCAGTGTCTAAAAGTGTCTTACATAGGTGGGTGCTCAACAGATATTTGTGGAATGGATGGATAGCAAGTAAAATAATCTAGTTAGTTCAATCCTAACAGTTGATAGATGGTTCACTGAATGAACAAACTGTTACTCTGAAATAACAAAATCAGTGGATTGTTTTGGTGTTTCCAAAATAATGCTTTTGAGCATTTCTGTTGCAAAAAGGAAAGAAAAATCATCGATGGATTTCTGGTATAATTAAATGTCTAAGCTAGATAAACTACTTAATAATAATGTTTACATCAAAGACAATTTTTTATATGTTTCAATTAACATTTTCTCTCTGTTCTGTTGTATTCTAAATACCTCAGTGCCAAGAGCACTGAAATGTCTGATAGCATGATTCTTATGCAAAACAAAATAAAATTGACTTATAGTAAGTTTTTTTTAACAAACATTTCTTGCAAAGCATCAGATTTGTATATTACTCAAAGTGTCGATCATTAATTATTTAAAATATGACATCATTTCTTTTGAAATCATTTATTTTGTGGCCAGATATTGCATGAATTTATTTATTTTGTGGCCAGATATTGAGAACAGCTCACAGTGCAGCTTGAAGTACACGTTTAAAAGATAATTAAACTTACTTTTATTTTAGCATAATGACATTTTTGCAATGTAGAAAAGACCTGTTTAAGTTAACACCTTAACAGTGGGTAGCACTTTATGCTCTTTAAACTCCTTCCCTGAGTTGTATTATTTCATTAAATCACATGACAAGCATGAAAAGAAGGTAAGACCCACTTAATTCAAATTTCTAATCACTGGTGAGGCTCTTTTCAGAATGTACTTTTGTAATGGTCAATAAAATCCCTTTCACAGAGAACAAATATTCACCAGGATCTATACAGATAAAAGACTTTTATTTTTTCCTACAGAGCTTGTTAAAATCCATTCTGTCCATTTTGTCTCTAGATAAAAAAGACATGTGACCTAGGAATAAGCAATGGAAAGCTGTATCTCTAGAATTATTGATTATTGGCTTTTAGAGTTGGAAAGGGTCTTAGAAACTCTCTGGGCTTCAGACTTCGTTGAGTCTTAAAGGGGTTAAGTGACTTTTCCAAGGTCACAGCATCCCTAAAAATTTAGGACTAGAACCCAAGTCGTTGATTCCCGGTCCTGTGACTACTTCACCACAGTCGGAATTCTCAGTCATAAGAGTTTATATAAATATATATTATCAGTATATCACATGGGGCAACCTAGATAATGTGATTTTGTAGCTCTTGTGTATTATGTGGGTTCAGGAAGATGAAAAAAATCCAGTGGCAGCTTGTTAGCATCTCCTGCCAGCTCTGTGTTCACTGACATCACACTGGTAGTGTTTATACCATGGAAATCAGCAAACACTACAGATTAGGAGTTAACTAGTGAGGAGGTGGGTATAGTTAGCTAATTTTTAAACATTTGTTAGTATATCGCTGATAAAATTCTCACCCTCCTCTGTAAGAACAACATTCACCTTTGATTCCCTGGATCCATCATAGAGAGATGGGCTTAGAAATACTATTTTTTCTTTAAGATCTGAATGTGAATTAACAGCAGTTACTATTCATTATATGCTTTACCAATATGCCAGGAACTATTCATGGGATTTTACATGTTTTGCTCTTTAAATCTGCATGATAATCCTTTAAGGTAGGTACTCTTACTACCCTCATTCCACATATGAGGAAACTGAAGCCTAGAGTTGATGTGTAATTTACCAACCTTTGCTGATAATAAGCAGAAGAACTAGAATTGAAAACCAGATTTTGCTCCAAAGTCTTTGTTCTTTCCTCAATATGATGTTTCTTTCATCTTAGCTCTATGAACTACATTATTTGAATTAATAATTATAGCCACAGCCAGTGGGTGTCTACCAGCGCCTGATGTTGTGTTAGGCCATATACAAATATAAATTATCTTGCAAAGTGGGTGTTATTAGCACCTTGCATTGTACTGATGAATAAACTGACAGAAAGATTAAGTGATTTGCTCTCAGTTACAAAGCCCAGGAAACTGTGGGTGGAATCTACAGGAGGCCTGCCCATCCCAGACCTCTACTTCTCACACTACCTCAAAAGGACTGTGAACCGACAGCTCCAACCCATGATGACATTTGGTGAATGTGACTGATATGCCGCAGCTGTAACCTCTGCCAAAGTGCCACCTTTTGTTTTTTGTTCCCCTTGTCACAGGCAATTCTGAGGCACTTTAGACTTCTTCTATAAAACAGAAGTAGTAGTAACATATGTATCAAGGCTTTGGTGAAATTAAAGAGCTGAGCAGAGTGACTATGATCACCCGAACATCGTGACCTAAGCCTTCCAAAAACCATCATGGTTATTGATAGACTTTTCATTTCTACTTGGAATTAGCATAAAGCAAATTTTTTCTCTCACTCATTTACAGACAGCCTCAGCACTCAGACCAAAAATGAGAATGATTTTTGTTGTTGTTGTTGTTATTATTTAGGTTTTTTTCATAATCATAAACTTAATTCTTCAATACAGTTTGGCATGGAAGGGAATAAGGAAAACATGGAACTGGAAGGAAATAAGGAAAACATGGAACCCAAAGGGAATGAGAGCACAAAGATTATAGAATACTGCAAGCAAATGGGGTGGAGGGGTGCTCTCCTGAACTACAGAAGGAATGGTCTGGTGGTTAAGGTAAAACACAAGTCCAACTTACTGGAATTGTCCACAGTCAGCAATGGTGATATTCTTGCTGGTCTTGACATTCCTGGACCCAAAGCACTCCATGGCGTCCACAATATTCATGCCTTCTTTCACCTTGCCAAGACCACATGCTTGCCATCCAACCACTCAGTCTTGGCAGTGCAGATGAAAAACTGAGAACCATTTGTGTTGGGTCTAGCATTGCCATGGACAAGATGCCAGGACCTGTATTCTTCAGGATGAATTTCTCATCATCAAATTTCTCCCCATAGATGGACTTGCCACCAGTGCCATCATGGTGTTTGAAGTCACCACCCTGACACATAAACCCTGGAATAATTATGTGAAAGCAGGAACCCTTGTAACCAAATCCTTTCTCTCCAGTGCTCAAAGCATAAAAGTGTTCTGCTGTTTCAGAAACTTGTCTGCAAACAGTTCTAAGGAGACACGGTCCACGTGCTTGCCATTGATGGTGATGTGGAAGAACACGGTGGGGTAGATCATGGCTGATAGTATGGGGCTACCAGTGTTGCTGGTGTCTGCAAAACAGCCGAGAATGATTTCAGAATGTTCAGCCTCCCAAATGGCTTTTGAGGTCCAAGTTGCATAACACAATAGAGAAAATGCTTTGAACTACAAAGACGAAAAAAACTTTATGTTTATTACCCATCACTGTTTCTGACCTTACTCTACTCCAAATTTGTGGATGGTAGTGGTAGACAGCCCAAAACTCACATGAAATATAATAGGAAATGTGAAAAATGATCATGGTGGATTTAAAAAAAAAACCACTTCATGATAAACCATGAGAACTCATATGAGTGGTTAGAATGAAAAGAAGGATCTACACATTTTTCAGCCAAATATAAGTTATTAAGTGTCCAGTGGAACTCAGATCTATGTCTCTAAATTACTTCAGTTATCTGGCCAATTTTTATGCCTGTATCTAGCCCCATATGGTTCTGCAGTGTTGTGCTAAGTACTAGGTAATGACTGAGAATATGGGGAGAAAAGGAAACTTTTGTTTCCTTACTATTATTTTGTTTCCTTGTTATTATAGTAGCTTATTATCTATCTAAGGAGATAAAGCTAACATCTTCTAAACAATCTGGGAATAATTAGATGTTAAATAGTGTGTCATCGTACAAGAGAAGTATGTGTACACATGGGCTAAATTGGTTTGGAAATCATTGAGAGAAAATAACTGAAGGTAAGAGTGGAAAACACGTAGGGCTTGACTGGCTGTTTAATGATGAATATCATTTACATAAGTAGTGAGCGAGTCATTC
Source organism: Homo sapiens (assembly GCF_000001405.40). Taxonomy (NCBI): domain Eukaryota; kingdom Metazoa; phylum Chordata; class Mammalia; order Primates; family Hominidae; genus Homo; species Homo sapiens. The sequence goes on from NC_000003.12 coordinate 178,494,598, forward strand.
CAGCCATTTAAAGTGAAAACGAAGGGAAAACCAAAATCCTAGATAGAAATGAGCCTGCTGTGGTCTGGGAACATTTCTCAAATGTTATTTTAAAAGTGAGAAATAAGACTGTAAAGGAAACATGGGTCTAATTTGAAGGTCCCAGCTGGCCGCTCAGGGGAGTTTGAGCTTAAAGGGCGAGGCATCAGGAACTCATTCTAAGTCTTTGAAAAAGAATAACACAATGGAGGTGGTGACTCAAGAAGAGAGGTCCATTCTCCCTCAGCCACCCCATGTCTCCACATGTGTGTCCCCCAGTGCTTTCCTGCAGTTCCTGAGCCAGTCCTGGCCAAAGCAGGCCACAGGGAGCTTCAGCATTTTGAGCAACTGTCCCTTTAGCCATATTGGTGGATCTCAGCAATATTTTCCTTCACATTCTCAGTATTCCAACACTGACTCTTCAAATCTTTCCCTAACCTGCCAAAAGGTGTGAATATCTGCTGATAACCCCTAGGCTCCTGTGTGGCCCTCCATCCTCCAGGTGCCCAGGAGCTATGCTTCCTAAAGCCTCTACATTGCCTTGTCACCATCCACCCCTGAAGAGGTAAGATGTTTACTCTACAGGCTTTTTTGGTGTCTAAGGCCTTGCGCTTCTCTTAGGTGAAGCCATCTCTTAGGTGAAGACTGCCTGGATTCACCACCTCTGTGCTTTGACCACCTTGGGACCCTGACCTTTGGAGTGTTAATGCCTGTCATATATATTTGCTATGATTACGTATTTTGTGTTTTCTGAAGAAGTACTAGCCCACTTGGCTTCATCTCCACTACTATAAACAGCTAGAGCCATCAGGCCTAGACCTCCAGATCCATCCTTCCTAGAATATCTTTTTTTTTTTTTTTTTTTTTTTGTCTATCGGTTAACCTGGTAAACATTTATTCACCTCCTAATATGGTTTGGCTCTTTGTCCCTACCCAAATCTTGTCGAAATGTAATCCTCAATGTTAGAGGAGGGGCTTGATGAGAAGTGATTGGATCATGGGGGCAGACTTCCCCCTTGCTGTTCTCATGATAGCGAGTGAGTTCTCATGAGATTTGGTTGTTTAAAAGTTTGTGGCACCTCCTTCTTTACTCTCTCTCCTGATCCACCACGTGAAGACGTGCTTGCTTCCACTTCACCTTCTGCCATAATTGTAAGTTTCCTGAGGCCTCCTCAGCCATGCTTCCTTACAGTCTGCAGAACTCTGAGTCAACTAAACCTCTTTTCTTTATAAATTACCCCATCCAGGTAGTTCTTTAGAGCAATGCAAGAACAGATTAATACAGAAAATTGGTACCAGGAAGTGGGGCATTGATATAAAGATATGTGAAAATGTGGAAGCAGCTTTGGAACAGGGTAGCAGGCAGAGGTTGCAACAGTTTGGAGGGCTCAGAAGAAGAAGGCAAGTTGAGGGAAAGCTTGGAACTTCCTAGAGTATTGTTAAATTGTTGTGATCAAAATGATGATAGTGATATGGACAATGAAATCCAGGCTGAGGTAGTCTCAGATAAGGATGAAGAACTTTGGGAACTGGAGCAGCAGTCACTTTTGTTGTGCATTAGCAAAAAGGATGGAGGCACTGTGCCCCTGCCCTAAAGATCTGTGGAATTTTTAACTGTGAGTCAAATCTCTTTTCTTCATAAACTACCCAGTCTCAGTTGATTTAGGTTGAAGAGATCTATAACCAACAAAGCATTCAAGATGTAGCCTTGCTTCTTCTAACAGCATATGCTTATATTCATGAACAAAGAGATTATCTGAAACTGGAACTTATATTTAAAAGTGAAGCAGAATATAAAAGTTTGGAAAAATTGCAACCTGACCATGCAGTAGAAAAGAAAAATCAATTTTCAGGGGAGAAATTAAAGCCGGCTGCAGAAATTTACAAAAGTAAAGAGGAGCCAAAGGTTAATAGACAAAATGATGGGGAAAATGCAAGGAAGGCATTTCAGAGACCTTCACAGTAGCCATTCCCATCACAGGCCCAGAGGCCTAGGAGGGAAAAATGGTTTTGTGGGCTGGGCCCAGGGCCCCACTGCCGTGCACAACCTTGGGACACTGCTACATGTGCCCCAGCCACTCCAGCTCCAGCCATGGCCCCAGATACATCTCAGGCCACTGCTCCAGAGGGTGCGAGCCATAAATCTTGGCAGCTTCCACATGGTGTTAAGCCTGTGCATACACAGAGGGTAAGAGTTGAGACTTGGGAGCCTCTGCCTAGATTTCAGAGGATGTATGGAAATGCCTGAGTGTCCAGGCAGAGGTCTGCTGCAGGGGCAGAGCCCTCATGTAGAACCTCTACTAAGGGAGTACAGAAGGGAAATGTGGGGTTGGAACCCCAACACAGAGTCCTCACTGGGGCACTGCCTAGTGGAGCTGTGAGAAGAGGGCCATCATCCTCCAGATTCCAGAATGGTAGATCCACCGACAGCTTGAAGCTTTCACTGTGTGCATGGAAAAGCCACAGGCATTCAATGCCAGCCTGTGAAAATAGCCACAAGGGCTGTACCCTGCAGCACCACAGAGATGAATCTGCCCAAGGCCTTGGTAGCATACTCCTTGCATCAGTGTGGTCTAGATGTGAGACATGGAGTCAAAGCAGATTATTTTGGAGCCTTAAGATTTAATGACTTCCCTGCTGGGTTTTGGACTTGCATGGATGCTGTAGCCCCTTTGTTTTGGCCAATTTCTCCCTTTTGAAATGAGAGCATTTATCCAATGCCTATTCCCCTATTGTATCTTGGAAGTAACTAATTTGTTTTTGATTGTACAGGCTCATAGGCAAAAGGAAATTGTCTTGTCTCAGATGAGACTTTGAACTTGGACTTCTGAGTTAATGCTGGAATAAGTTAAGACTTTGGAGGACTGTTGGAAATACATGATTGTGTTTTGAAATGTGAGAAGGACATAAGTTTTTGGCAGGGACAAATGATATGGTTTGGCTCTGTATCCCTACCCAAATCTCAAGTTGAATTGTAATCCTCAGTGTTGGAGGCGGGATCTGATGGCAGGTGATTGGATCATGGGGGCAGACATCTCCCTTGCTGTTTTCATGATGGTGAATGAGTTCTCATGAGATCTGGTTGCCTAAAAGTGTGTTGCAACTCCCACTTCACTCTTTGTCTCTCCTGCTCTGCCACGTGAAGACATGCCTACTTCTTTTTCACCTTCCACAATGATTGTAAGTTTCCTGAGGCCTCCCCAGCCATGCTTCCTGTAAAGCCTTCAGAACTGTGAGTCAAATCTCTTTTCTTCATAAACTACCCAGTCTCAGGTAGTTCATTATAGCAGTGTGAGAATGGACTAATACACTGCCCAACTCATAGCTCAAGAAACCTCTGCCCTCCTCCTACCCCTCCAACACATACATGCACACATGCACGCATGTGCATGCACACACACACATTGCACTTTAATGCAGACCTTACCTTGTCCTCACTATGCCCTACTGGATCTAGAAAGCTTTGAGGGCAAACATGTCACATTTCTCTCTCCCCCAGCAGACCAAGAGCCCTTTGAGGGCAAGGACATGAGAGTGTCTTCCTTTACATAGGTAGAGAGTGAATTCCTTAGTGATGAATCCAGAGCCGGGTCATAGCTCTTTTCTCCTCTCTGTCTGACCTTTATTGATAACTATAACCAATGAATATGAAAGAACAGTGTGGTCCCAGCCTTCTGAAGGAACAAATAATTAGTAGATATTCGAAGGGAGCAGGGGAATACATTTTACACACTGCAGTCCACTCTACTTAGGTGCCAGCGGAATAAGAAATGGCATGAAAGAGTATATGCTTGCCCCTATGTTAGCAGTTATCACACTGTATTGTAATTTAATTATCTGTATCCTTATTAGATGCTGGATTCCATGGGGTTCAGCATCATGTCCTATTCATTTCTGTGTTCCCAGGCCCATTTCAATACATAGCCATCTGCAGCTCAGTGCTGAGGGCTACTCTCCACCTCCTGCCACATCATGTGCTTACACCCTCTGCCCCTAGAGAATTAGAGGGAGAAGTATTGGCAGGTTTTGAAGTGGGGAGTGATAGTATGGATCGATCTAAGCATGCCCCAAAATTGAGACCTGTGGCATAAACTCCATGGATGGCTGACCTCTTATCTTCAGTCAACATCTAGTAACTTATAGTTGGTTTTAAGGAGGGAACAGTATCTTGGAAAAAAGTCTGCTAACTCCAACAATCCCAGACTTCCAGTGAGCACTGGGACAGGAGGGTGACACAAGGTGAGGGGGCAATCTAAAACATTGACAAGAAGAAAAGAATATTTGGCTAATCTCCCAAATTCAGGAAACACAAAACTCTATCAGCCCAAAGAAACATTAGAAGTTTATGATGCAGAAATAAGTAGCTTGTGTGTGACACATTCCCAACTTGTTAAGACAGCTATTACAATGGAATGCTCTCCAATGGATGGGACCAGATTAGACTCCGTTGCTACCAGCCAAATGCAGCCCGGGAAAATTGGCAATTGCATGCAAATGGGAAGTGATTAGTATTATCTCTGCCATTAGACTCTTCCCAATGGGAAGGTGACAGAGCAGTTTTGAGATAGACTATTAGAAAAAGCAGACATGACTCTGGCTTGTCTTTTAAAGACATTGTTTTGTCTCTGCATTTTTTTCCCTGAAAAGTGTTTAATTGTGTGTTCATTAATTTAATTAACATCATTGATTGAGCACCTCCTAGTACTAGGCAAAGTGCTCATCTCTGAAATTCCAAGATAGATAAGAAGATCCTTGCTTTCCAGACTAGTAGGGGAGAAGGGTGATAAACAGTTAAAATTACAATGATGTAGTCAGAAATGGCCAGCTGAATAAGACTTTGCTTTTTCTGTGGGAGGGATAAGATGTCTGGAAGGTCAGACTTTCTGGTGAATCTTTTGTTATGCTGAGTCCTGAAGTGTGTACAAGGAGTGGGCAGGCAGAAGGTTGGTTCACCGAGGCATGCAGGTAAGGGAGAAGGTCATGCTGTGGGAGAACCTCAGGTCTTTCATTAGGGTAGGGGATCAGAGGCATGAGGCAGGAAAGAGGCAGTGCTGAGCTGGTTCGATAATCCAATCCAAGACATACCTTAAGGGATTTAACCCTATTGAGATTTCTTTTTGTTCTAATGACAAGGAGAATAAAGTATTTATCAATCTCACTACCCAAATGAGGAGTTTCTATTGAGATATAGTCCACTTTTGTTCATTTGCTTTGTTTTTGGTGGAGAGAAGGGGAATGGATAGATAATATTTTTAATCCTTTTAAGTATTAATGCTTCTAATCTCATAGATGTCAGCACTTCAAGGGACCTTAAAGATTATTTAATTCAATCCTGTTATTTTATAGATGAGGAAATTGAGCTCTACAAAGGTTAAATGACTTGCTGAAGGTCATGTGAATAACAAAGAGCCTAGAGCCCACTTTTCTTGCTTTTTAAATCCTTTGAATATATCAGAGAAATTTACGAACCAGTCCAACCTTAACATACTTCACTTTTCAGAAAACTAACCTTTTCCATTGTCTCAATGTACAAGCTTTCATCTAGATACTGCTCTTTCCTGGCCTCTTCCCCACATTCTAGGGTTGTGCCCACTTTGAAGGCCATGAAACTTCTTCTTCCTCCTCTATATCCACCTCATCAGACCCCTTTTGTATGTGAAGAACATAGAAATATATTCTAGCCTGCCCAGGTGTGGCTCAAAGATGCAGTCTTCCAAGCTGTTGGGGGTGGTATGGCTATATTGCTTTAGTTCTCGTTAAATCATTTTGCTTTTATTTAAAAAAATTAATATTTAAGTAATTGTCCCTGACTTAAATATTCCCTATAAATATGGGACTAACAGGCCTCAGAAAACCTCCTAGCCATTTCTGGCATCAGCCATCAATCTTACCCTTCTCTTTGTCCCCCACTTCTTCCAAACTCGGGATGTAGTCAAACTAAAATGCAAATATTTATTGACCTATTTTTCTTTATTTCACAACTTAAGAGATATCTTTACCAACCCTTGTAAAGTTTGGTACTCTATCATGGTCATCATTAAAAGTGAGTCAAAATACTTTTTGGTTTCTTGTAAACTATGTTCAGAGGAAGTGATTCAGATAATGGAAAATTTTAGCCAGGCTGGCTTCCTTTGACAAATCTCATATCAGAACCATATTCAATAATAGTCTAAAAGAAACCCTCCTGGAATGATGCGAAAGTGTTTGTCTCGCTCAAGAAAAATGGCCAGAACTGTAGTGTATGCATCACTCCTAATACAGCAGCTGTGGTCTTGACTGCCAAAACCTGACCACGGCTTGGCTGGGCACAGTGGCTCACGGGCCTGTAATCCCAGCACTTTGGGAGGCCGAGGCGAGCGGATCACGAGGTCAGGAGATCCAGATCATCCTGCCTAACTTGGTGAAACCCCGTCTCTACTAAAAATAAAAAAAAATAAAAAAAAAAATTAGCCGGGTGCAGTGGTGAGCGCCTGTAGTCCCAGCTACTCGGGAGGCTGAGGCAGGAGAATGCCGTGAGCCCGGGAGGCGGAGCTTGCAGTGAGCCGTGATCGTGCCCCTGCACTCCAGCCTGGGCGACAGAGCCAGACTCCGTCTCAAAAAAAAAGAACCTGACCATGGCTTTCACCACCTTATCCCAGTAAGTAAAGGCTGAAACCGGCTTAATAGCTATCCATGTCAATGCAAGCAGCTTGGGTTACTTCTTTACACATTACCTAAAACATAGGTGATGGAAGATTGCTTGGGTTATTTCTCCATGCTACCTAACACAAGTGATCACAAATCGCTTGTAGAAATGAATGAAATAAGAGTAGAAAGGAGACTTGACAGGCTTGAATTCTTCTGTCACAGATGGTACGTTTAAGCCTAGTGTTATAAATGCGTTACTCTGGGACTATATTTCGCAAAACATGTCTCTTGAGACCAGGATGTAAAATTGTTGCCATTAACTTCTCAGCCATGTTCACATCAGATGCAAGAGTCAAAAGTGTGGTAATAACTACTTCTATATTGTTTTTAGGCCAATCCACACCATTGTCCTGTATGAGAAAATGTTATCTTAGGAATGAGTATGGAACAGAGCAAGATTCCGTCTCAAAAGAAAAGAAAAAGAAAAGAATGAGCGTGCTCATGCTCATCACGACGGAGACTTTCGATCCTCACTTTTAGAAAGCTCTCTGGGAAAACATTTGCCAGCTCTTTGGATTGGGAAATAAAATGGTGTTCATTAGGTTCCTCCCTCAGGTGCCATGCTCAAGAAACCATGTATTGATCAGGCAGTCACTTTAGAAATGTGACTTCCAAAATTCTCAGTGAGGAAGTAATCTATTGCCTAGGAGATGTTTATTTTTCACCCCTCTGATGATTAAATTTAAATCTCAGCCAAGGTTTAGGCTTCCTACCAAGCCATCCGAATATTAAAGTAATACGACTGTGCATGGACATACAGAAAAATATAATTTAATACAGAGTGGCAATTAATACAATTTAATACAATATAGAATACATACGTGTATTTGTGGGGAGTGGATATAAGATTAGGAAAAGTGGTAAAGGATGAGGCTGAAAAATTAGGCTGGTGCAAGATCACAAAAATCCTTAACTCTCATACTGCAGAGTTTGGGATTAACTACTCTTGCCTTTATACTCTCCCTGTTTCCTAATCAGTGTCATCAGTGTATCTATAACATTCATTCCTCTGATTTATTTATGTTTACCTTTCCTACTAGACAGTAAACAACATGAAGGCAGAGCCTATATCCAAGCAGTCTCTTTCTTCAGTGCTTAGCATCATGAGTAAGGGGACCATTCCAACAAATACTAACTGACGTCAACATGTTTGTTGTAAAGAATCAAAACAATGATTTTTTTTTTTTTTTTGATGGATCCTCGCTCTGTCGCCCAGGCTGGAGTGCACTGGTGCAATGTTGGCTCACTACAACCTCCGCCTCCCAGGTTCAAGCAATTCTCCTGCCTCAGCCTCCTGAGTAGCTGGGATTACAGGTGCTTGCCACCATGCCCAGCTAATTTTTGTATTTATAGTAGAGACAGCATTTCACCATGTTGGTCAGGCTGGTCTCGAAGTCCTGATCTCGTGATCTGCCCACCTCGCCCTCCCAAAGTGCTGGGATTACAGGTGTGAAAAACAATGATTTTTTAAAGTAAAAGCAAGAGTGAATGAATGAAGAATCTGGATATGTGATTGTGTTTCATTGCTTCTCATTGTGTTGTATGTCACTCTATAAGAGTAAACCACGAAGGGAAACTTCACTGACCCCAAGCTATCTCTGTCACCTGAGGCAGTTCACTTCAGTCATACAGGATGCAGAGAGCAAAATTTAATACAGTAAACATTATTTGCTCATTGGCTTTTACATTAAAATTAGATTAAAATGGGAGTTAATGGGCTCTGCTGTGTTGCTTGTGCTCATCAGCTCCTGAGGGGGTTCCAATTAGGCAGATTAATTCTATGAATCAGTATAAATTTAACCCATATAGTATTCCAAGACTATCACTCCATATACTACACATACTATAAAACTTTCTTCTATCTTATAAAATAAAAACAGATCTTATAGACTCTCTCTCTTACAGAAAATGTTTAATTCACAACTCAGCCAATATAGAAATAGTCATACCTCAGTATCCATGCAGTATTGATTCTAGGAATCTTCCCCACAATATCAAAATCCACAGAAGTCTCTTATATAAATGGTCCAGTATTTGCATGTGACCCACACAATCCTCCCATATACTTTAAATTGTCTCTAGATTTCTTCTAATACCTAATACAATCAATGCAAATGCTCTATAATAGTTGTTTTCCTATATTGTTTGGGGAATAATGCCAAGAAAAAAAATTCTGTACATGTTTGGTACAAACACAACCATACATCATTTTTTAGTATTTTTAATTATTATTATTATTTTTTTGAGACAGGGTTTGGCTCTGTTGCCCAGACTGGAGTGCAGTGGCATGATCTCACTGCAATCTCCTCCTCCTAGGCTCAAGAGATCCTCCCACCTCAGCCTCCTAAGTAGCTGGGACTACATGTGTGAGCCACCACACCTGACTAATTTTTTTTCTTTTTTTTTTTTTTTTTTTTTTTTTGGTAAAGATGGGGTTTAACCATGTTGTCCAAGCTGGTCTCAAGCTCCTGAGCTCAAGTGATCCACTTACCTCTGCCTCCCAAAATGCTGGGATTACAGGCGTGAGCCACTGCGCCCAGCTAAAGTATTTTATTCCAAGGTTAGTTGAATCCATGGATGTAGAGCCCCTAGATACGAAGGCCAACTGTAGACAGGTTCTAGGACTTTTTTATATTTGAGATTTTTGCCATTGAATAACAAATAATAATAGAAATAGCAATAACATATGAACAATAACAACCACTTTTGGTCATCTGTTATGATTCAGAAACTTTTCTAGGTGCTGTTTGAGTAAGAATATTACTCCTATTTTCCAGATAGGAAAGCCGAGTGTCAAAAAAAGTCAAAGCATTTGCATGAGAAAAGCTAGTAAATAATTAAACCAGAAGTAAATCCTTTGATCTATCCAGTTCCAAGTTTCAACTCTTTTCATTATGGCACTTCCTTTTATGCATCCGTTTATATACTTTATAACAAATGTTATGTTCAGGTCAACAAATTTCAGCATGAGTCAAATCCCAATGTGGATGCAGGAAAATTCACAAACCCCTGACAGCAAGTTTCTTGGCATGACCATGAGGAATGAGCTTGTTTGGAGTGATATTATTATGATGTTACATGAGTCATTTGGCTAAATTGAGTTTAAAGGGGAAATAGATTTGGGGAGAAACAAAGAGGCATATGGGAAAATAACAGGTGCTTTCTTTGGTCTTGCCTATAATTTACAAAAGGCGACAATCTCATCAAAAGAAAAAATAAGCAAATCTGCCAGTACATACAAGATAAATGGCAACCTGAGAATATGTGTCTCTTATGATCAGCTCTGATACATTTACCTTAACAGATAGAGAATAGAAATTGTGATGGAGGAAAAAGAGTGGAGTGGTGTTGGGGAGGGGGGATGGAGAGGAGTATTCTGTGTGTGTGCTCCCAACATGTTCACATGGTTAACAGTAAATGCAAAGAGCATGTCACCTATGAAAATAATATCCTTTGAGGATTTGAGGCCAGTTAGCAGCTACTCTGAAACAAAGAAACTCGATTACGTTAATAAAAATTCTTTTTATTTGTCCACAATTTTGCAGCTTTTCATGATTTCTTCAATTTTCTCACAAATAAAATTCATTGATTCTTATTCATATATAAAATTCTAAGTAATTAACCCAAAGTTTTAATTTTTATTCAGTCTTAAGTAGTAGAAAAACTATTCTTATAAATTAACAGCTAAAATTTCTTAGTTTTTAAAAGTCTCAATAGAATGAGTTTTGAAAGGGAGATAATATAGGATGATATTAAGAGCATGGGATTTGAATGATACCAAGAAAGCCTCAGATACTCATCTGTCCTTCCCCAATGTTCTCATCTACTCTGCTAACTTTTTATTGTCAGGGAGTCTTTGCTTTCCATTAAGTGTTGTGCTCCACCCATCATCTCTCGCGTATGTAAAAATATCTAAGAGGGACTGACATTACAACTCATTAATGTGGGCTTGAAGGAGCCAACTAGTCATTGGACAAAAGATGACAACTTGCTTTTACTTCACATTAATTCGATCATTTGGAAATACTGCCTAGAGATTCATGTTGAAAAGGACAATGAAGCCAGACAGATTCTATGGGCGTGAGAGAAATGCCTGACCCACACCATCCAGCATGTCACTTGTCAAGTTCTTCCATCCCTGTTCCAACGTGCTCATCTGGCAGAAGAGAAAACCTTAGCCCAGACTAACGATGGTCTGCTCTATGCCACATAGCCAGTCTAGAGGTTGGACAAAGAAATTAAAAGCAAAGATTATCCAGCTCTTTCATCTGCAAGTACAGTGTTCTTCTTTTAAAAATATATTCATTTATAACACAATTTGATTTAATTGTATAAGACCACTTTTTACTATGAAAAGGGACACTAAATAGTGAAGTGGGCTGAAGGAAAAAATGTAAAACCTCTGAAGTTTGGCGATAATTGTAGAATTTGTTGGCCCAAGTCTTTATAACATGCTTTAAGAAAGAAGACAATGAAACCCAAAAACACTAAAAACCCAAAGCCAGAGATATAAGCTACTAATTTCTAAAGAACTTCATATCCTGAACTGATAGAGCAATTTGTATAAGCAATTTAAGTAAATACAGAGAAAATTACTAATGGCATTTTCTAGACAATTTATCTATGTGATAAGCCAGAAAATAAGGGAGAAATATTGCATGCCTCTGCTGAGCTGTCAACAATGAAACATATGGGAATCAAGCATTATGAGAAACAGAATGGGAAATCCTGTATCTGTGTTTCGTAACAATGGCTTATTATCGATGTACACATAACGGTCTCATATCTAACTTCCATGCATGATTAGGCACATTAGCTGATTTTGCAAAATGGACTCCCAAGTTCCAAAGATGATAATCAATTGACTTGTCTTATTTATTTAACAATAGCAGCATACTTAATAATCTAAAGTCCTGACTCAGAGCTTTCACAAGTGACACATATTTATCCTAGCTAAAAAAATCAAAAGTCCACAGTTTCAAACAGTGCCTTATTTGCCTCACAGAACCATTCCTATGATTTGTTAGAAAGAAAAACTGCCTCCTGTGGAGATGTTTGATTTCTGTAGCATTCCTTCTGTTCCTAATCTGTACCAACGTGGAGTAATAAGTGACACAGGAAGAGGCTGCTTTCAATCTCTTTCTAGAGGAGACACTCCTTGCTTGGCATGCTTGAGAGGGCTCTAAGACAGTGCAAATATTGATGCTTCACCCTACTGCAGGCATCTCACTTAACTACCTGAAAGGAGTCTTAACAAGGACAAAAAATGGATTGATGAGCAGAAAAAAATAAAACTTATATTATCATATGCAATATGCCACAAACAATTTTTTCACTTTTAAACAGAAACATTGGCCAGGTATGGTGGCTCAGCCTGCAATCCCAGCATTTTGGGAGGCCCAAGTGGGAGGATCATTTGAGCCCAAGAGTTAGAGGCCAGCCTGGGCCACATAGTAGGACTCTATCTCTACAAAAATAAAATAATTAGCCAGGCATGGTGGTGCACACCTATAATCCCAGCTACTCAGGAGGCTGAGGCAGAAGGATTGCTTGAGCCTAGGAGGTCGAGGCTGCAGTGAGCCATGATTGCACCACTGCACTCCAGCCTAGGTGACAGAACAAGACCTTGCCTCCAGATTAAAAACAAAAAGAAAGAAAGAAAAAAACATAAACAGCAACCATAGTAACATGCCCCATGCAAACAATTGTTTATTTGATATGTCAGATGAAGAACAAATTACAAATAATATTATATAGCTTGGTGGAGCAGAAAGTCTATGGTTTTTATAGCAAAATGTAAGTTTTAATGTAGGTTCAGTCACTAATCAGCTGCATAAATGCATAAGTGTGGGGACGTTGCTCCACCTCCTTGAGACTTCTTGGCCTCTATAATATCTACCACGCTAAGTTTAAGTGTAGAGATAGTAAGTATGTAATGTTTAGCTCCTACTAGGTATTAAATCACTTATTTGGACATTATTGTTATCATGATTGCAGTATGATCCTGGTGTTTGTGTCCATATCTAGATGATGGTGGGAGGGGGGCAGTCTGTATTGGTCTCAATAGGACAGGACCCCCCAATCCCACCACCATTTTTTCTATCCTGCTCCATGCCTTCTTTGGTTGAATGATCTTTTTTCAGTTTCAATCTGACATTTTTTTGGTTCAGGCTTTACAGTGAAGCAACGTTTGATTTCAACTGTACAGCTACTATTATATCTAATTTCAAAAATTTTAGCCATAAGCATCTTTCAAAAAAATCTTAATGACACAAAACGGAAGAAAGTAGAAGTGTTCTACTGGAAGTCTCCTCAACCCCTTAGAGATTTCTAAGTGCAGAACACCTAGCACTTTTTAGAGTGTGACCAGTGGTTCTCAGCCAAGGTGCTGGTGACCCCTGGCATGCATTCGGAAATATGTGTGAGCCATTACAGCTGTCACAGTGATATCTGGAGTCACTACTGGCATTTAGCGGGAGAGAAACAGAAAAGCTAAACAATCTACAAAGAGAAGGACCCCCTCACCTCAGAAAACTATCACCTGCCCCACCAAATGCCATTAGTGTCCCCACTGAAAAAGTCCAGAGCTCTATCTCTTCTTTTATTTGCACAAGCCTGTGTGTGTAACATAAATGAGTCACTCTGGCAATGCCTTCTACACAAAGCCTTCTGCTCCACTCTGCTTGAGTGTGAGAGGTGTCGTTTACCTCAGTAGCTATAGCATAGAATGAAAGACTATCTTCTAGGCCAAATACCTCTCTTGTAGCCTCAAATTGTGAAAATCATAAGGAGGCCAAGGAGAAGTCTGAGGCTGAGAGAAATTATGTGTCTTTCCCAAGGTCACACACATAACACTGAGGAACTGGATCTATTGGACTCCAAAGCCCATTTCTGCAGTCCAAGAAACTGTCTCACAAACAAGTGCTATTAATCTCCATGTTATTAACAAATGCTCCCTGTTAAGCACTGTGCAAAGTCCAAAGTAAAATGAAGGCACAGTCTCTGCTCACAGGAAGCTCACAATCTGGCTGGATCCGTAGGACATAGACATTGGAAGCACAAATCCCAATATAGCAAAATTGCTATGTGCCTTATAGCTTTAGAGATTGGAAAGCTCAGTGAGAGTAGGAATCATTCAGAGTGCTGAAGGGGGAAGCTGGTATGTTTCCTGCTACTATTACAAAGGGTTGATTTAGAGGAATTAGAGGATCCGCAAACTTTATCTGTAAAGGGCCAGACAGTAAATATTTTAGGATTTGTGGGCAATACAGTAACTGTTGTAACTACTGAACTCTGCTATTGAGCAAAATCATAATGTGATAGCCACAGACGATATGTAAACAAAAGGGCATGGCTGTGTTCCAATAAAACTTTATTTACAATAACAGATGGCAGACTGGATTTGACCTGCAGGCTATTTTGTCAGCCCCTGGGTTAGACTATAGATTTAGTTATAAACCTCTTAGTTTGGACTTCAAGACCTTTCCAATTGGACTAAAATCTACCTTTTCAATACCTCTGTACTTCTCATCAGGTAGACCATTAAGGCAGGAGTTCCATTTGTACAAAGTGTTGGAAGCAAGAATGCAAAAGTCATGTCCTAGGTAAAGAAATATCAGCATGGCTAGGGAAGAGGATTCTGTTGAAGAGTAGGGAGAGTCTGGAAACACAGATTTGACTCTAATGGCAGAGTATTTGACACTTGAGAGTCAGGTTAGGGGATTTAGACCTGAACCTATAGGCAATGGAGATACTTGAGGCATTTAAGTGAGGAAGAGAGACATTTTTATAAGGTCAATATTTTTTCAGATCAAGGTTTTTCTGACCTTCGTAGAGGTCAGTAACATTCACTGTATTTGTGGTAGACATGGATTTCTCCCACCCAGATCTCTCTTCATGGAAGAACTTGCTGTCCCCATGAGGAATGCAGTCTGTAGCCGACCTTTGACTATCTGCTCCTTCAGGGTCTCCCAGTACTTCACAAAGATGCGCCATCCAAGGTCAAGTCCTTCCTAGCAGCCCACACCCAATGACTGAGTGAGACAGGGGTGTGAAGGCTCACCACTGCCTGTCAAAGGACACTCTGATGGGCAATATTTCTTCCAAAGCCCACCGCCAGAAGGTCCAAGGCTTTGGAGGCTCTGCATCACAGCTTAACTTCTTCCTCTGCCCAATGTTGCTTCTTCCCCATTTCCTTCACAGATATACATTTTGTACCCTGTATGGGTTGAATTGTGGGCCCCCAAAATTTGTATGTTGACGTCCCAACCCCTAGTATCTCAGAATATGACCTTATTGGAAAACAGAGTCATTGTAGATGTAACTTGTTGAGATGAGATCATGTTGGAATAAGGTAGGCTTTAATGCAATATGAATGGTGGCCTTACGAAAAGGGGAAATTTTGACATAGACACACACACACACACACACACACACATACGAAGAACACTATATGAAGATGAAGGCAGAAATTGGGGTGATGCTGCCACAAGCCAAGGAAGACCAAAGAATGCCAACAAATCAGCAAAAGGTGTGTGGAAGGCGTAGAACAGAGCCTTCCCTTACAGCCCTCAGAAGGAACCAACCCTGCCACACTTTGACTCCAGACTCAGTCTCCAAAACTGTGAGACAACAGAATTCTGTTTTGTTTGTTTGTTGTTTGTTTTTGAGATGGAGTTTTATTCCTGTTGCCCAACAAGTGCATTGCTGGAGTGCAATGGTGCCATCTAGGCTCACTGCAACCTCCACCTCCCAGGATCAAGAGATTCTCCTGCCTCAGCCTCCCGACTAGCTGGGATTACAAGTATGTGCTACCATGCCTGGCTAATTTTGTAAGTTTAGTAGAGACAGGGTTTCTCCATGTTGGTCAGGCTGTTCTCAAACGCCCATCCTCAGGTGATCCACCCACCTCAGCCTCCCAAATTGCTGGGATTACAGGCGTGAGCCACCGCACGTGGCCAAAGTCTCTGTTTTTTAAGTCACTCAATTTGTGGTACATTGTTATAGCAGCCCTAGGAAATTAATTCATACCCCAAACTCTGTCTCAGTGTCAGAGAAGCCAAGCTAGGGCAGTATTACTTTAATACAAAGATAACCTGAAAATATTAAACAATAATGTAGCATGCCCTGAAGTAAAGAGTAAAACAAAATTCATAAAGGATGTTTTACATAGACTTTTACATCAAGTATAAAACCTTCAAATTATTTTCATTTACAAAGGGAAAGAATTGTGTGTGTGTGTATTTGTTTTTCTAAGAAAAGTAAAATAAAAACAGACACCAGGGCAAAAGTAAAGAAGCAGAGGCAAGAATATGGGAAGATAATCATAAGTATAACAATAATTTTATGAAATATTGAAAGTATGGTTTAATTAGGTAACATAAAATTGCTGATTATGTGGAATATCCATAATGCAGGGAAAATAAATGTTCCAGGTAAAAGTTCTGCTGTGGTCTATCTTTAGATAGAAAACACTGTGTTCCAAATTGTTTACTGTAATTAAATCATGAACTTCCTATTAAGCTTAATCTACTTGTTGCAATTGTGAAATATGCTTTCTTTGTTCTAAAAGGTATCTAGATTAAATCCAGTGCAGCAAACATTCCTTTCTTATAACAAGACATTTTCTACAGATTTTTTATTTGTAACCCTTATTTACACGTATATTACACATCAGTGACAAAGTTTGGGATTACCATGGCTCCAAAGATCTTAGTTTATCATAATGGTACCCAAACAGATCAAAGGTTAAAGTGAATGAGAGAAGCAGGGTACAGACAGAAACAATTAAACATTACCATCTGGACTTTACTCTCAAATCAACCTCAGATGAGGGTGTGACCTTGAGTAAAGGTCTCTTCCCTACTTAGTGCCTAAAGTAGCTCCATTGCCTATAGGTTCAGGTCTAAATTCCCTAATCTGGCTCTCAAGATACTCTGCCATTGGACTCAAATCTATGTTTCCAGACTCTCTCTACTCTTCAACAGTACTTGCTCTCTTTAATTGTCCATTTTCTCTTCTGTAAAAATGAGGGTTAAACCAGATGACCTTTAAGTTTTGAACTTTGTCTTTTTAACATTTTGAAAGAGTGGACGTACAATGAGCAAAAGAGTGGGGGATAGTCATGCATATAAGCTTCAGGAGAAATGTTTGTAAGAGCACCAGTTTTCAGTTGTAAGCCATGCCCTTCTGTAGCCCATCCCAAACACCCATGTATTCTGGCATGAGAAGCGATACCCTCAGCACGCACTCAGAGTAAAGATCACTCATTTTGCAGGGCATCCCTTCCTTACCGCTGTGATCGTGTTCTCCCCTCCAGCAGAGAGGAAAATACACAGACCTTTTAATAGGTTTATCTGGGCTCAAGTCATACTTTTAGCATAAACAGTAAGTTCCTTTGAATATACAACGTAAGTCCTATGAGGTTCTTTACATTGCTGGTGAAAGGAAGACAACAGTGTGAATTATGTATCAATAAAGCTATTAAAAAAAAGATGACAGTAGCTGCCTTAAAAGGTCACTGTAAAGAGTGGTCATGATATGTCCAGAGAATCTGAATTTAGGAATTACTCAAGTCAGCAGCTACTGATACTCGCAATAACATATGTTAAAATGAGCATTTTAGAGTTTTCAATTCTCTTTTACTAGCATTTGCTTCTTTAATTTCCTCGGCAGAATTAATGAATCTAAAAAGCAAATAATAAAACCAGGGAGGTTTATAAGAATGTACCCACAGAGCATGTAAAACCATGAAATTATCTTTCCTTTTCCCCTCATGCCTCAGCTGATTGGGGAAATAAATGAATCTTCGGTAAACATTCCTGGCATCAGATGATATTTCTAAGGATTGTATTATGCCTCCAACGTCTGTGTAAGTTAATTATCTTCATGAATATTGGTAATTATTTGGAAAGTGTGCTCCTAAATCTACTCAAACCATCATTGAAGACTCAATCAGGAGTCTATTCGCACTCAAAGCAGATGTGAAGTAAGTTATCTGCTATATGTGTACCATAGTCTTTTCACATGAAAATGGGGCAGTTATGATCGGGTAAAGGTAGGAGTGATGGTTTCATCAAAAAAGGCTTTGAGAGCCTTTAAAAATCATTTAGTATTAGACCTAGAGGAAAAATTAGAGAAACAGTAATTTAATTTACTCCTCATTTTCATTTGAAGTTACTGGGGCATAGAATTTTAAATAACTTACCCAAAACCACAACTTTGTGGCGGTGCAACTCAGACTAAAATCTTCATGGCTTAACTTCCACATAAATATCCTTTCCACATACTACCCTGCTTCACCATGGCAAAAAAAAAGATAGGAAACGCAATAGACATGGGAGTGCAGCTATCTCTTCAATATACTGATTTCCTTTCTTTTGGGTAGATTACCTAGCAGTGGGATTGCTGGATCATATAGTAGCTCTCTTTTTAGTTTGAGGAACCTCCAAACCGTTCTCCATAGTGGTAATACTAAAATAACACTGACACACACTTCATGTCACTGGGCGCATTAAAATCCGGATGTTTAATCTTATCATGTAAACATATATTTCCTCTCCTGCTGCCAGCCCAGAAGCTAAAGAAAATGAGAACATGCCAGAAGACACAAGTGTGCTAATATGGTTTGGGCCTGTGTCCCCGCCTAAATCTAACAACGAATTGTAACCCCCAGTGTTGGAGGTGAGGCCTGGTGGGAGGTAATTGCATCATGGGGGCAGTTCTCATGAATGGTTTAGCACCTTCCCCTCAGTTGTGTTCTTGTGATAGTGAGTGAGTGAATTATCATGAGATCTGGTTATTTAAAAGTGTGTAGAACCTCCCCCCCTCCGCTCCTCCTCCTGCTCCTGCCATGTAAGATGTGTCTGCTTCACCTTCACCTTCCACTGTGATTGTAAGTTTCCTGAGGCCTCCCCAGAAGCAGAAACCACTATGCTTCTTGTATAGCCTGCAGAACCCTGAGCCAATTAAACTTCTTTTCTCCATAAATTTCCCAGTTTCAGGTATTTCTTTGTAGCAATGTGAGAATGGACTAATACATGTGCCCTATGGAACCCTGTGGTATTATAGGAAGAATGCAGGCTTTGACTCCAGAATGATAGGGGCTTAAATGACATTTCAGTGTAACTTTGAGTTTATTACTCCACCAATATGAGCCTCAATTCCCTGTCATTCCAACAAAGTGGAGACGACACCTGTCTTGAGGGATCAACAAGGAAGCGGAGAGTGCACATGTAAAGATTCTGGCACATAGTAGGCATTCAATAAATGCCACTTATTATTACCTCTGAGGCTCACTCATGGCTCAGCCATTTGGTTCACCATCACCACCATAAGGCCGTTTGGAGAGGACTGAGAATATCACACTGAGAAAAGGCTTGAGGTCTAACTGCCCCCAGCTGCAATAGATATGGGACCTTGGCCTTCCTCTTGCCTTGCTTGGGCCTTGGCTTTGGTCCATAAGTGGGGGCTACATCCTGCTTTCTTTACCAGCTGGTGAACTTTTGAGGATACTTTTGTTTCCCCAGTGCTTTTCCCAGAGGCTTATAAGAGTCTTAAATCAATCCATGTGTATGAAAGGAGAAGAACACTGCAGAGGAATTCAGAGTAAGGGAGACCCACCTGTCCTGTCTTTCCCTTCTGTCTCAGGGAAGCATTCTCCTAACTACCCTGAACACTCCTGCTCTGAGGCGTCTGGGCATTTCATTGTCTGCATTGCTCTATTTCTAATACACACACCCTCACAGAATTCCACAGCTCTCACATGTTCAATTTCATCTGAAAAAGTCACATTTTCTCAAGAAAGCTAAGTTCATGCTCTTAGGCAATAAAAATACCTTGTTTGTTTATTCATTTCCTCCTCCATTCCCAAACCCCATATTATATGCCTTGGTGTGATTTGAAAAAGCTGTTCTCAACAGCATCTCCCCTCCCTCCCCCATTTCTTCTTTGAAAATATAGCGTGACATTACTAACCAAAAAGACATCTGCCATCTGGTGAAGTCCTATTTTTACTGCCAAGGAAGCCAAAATATTAATTACCTTAAAATAGTAACACCTTTTTTTTTCTACTGATCCTCTTTTTTTTAGTCTTTAACATTTATACATTTACTTATTTTTAAAATACGACACAGTTATATTATTATAATTATCTTTTAATTTGACCCTTTTTACTTTTTAAAAAATGTTTATCTTTATTTTAGATTCATAGGGTACATGTGCAGATTTCTTACATGGCTATATAGTGTGATGCTGAGGTTTGGGGTATGACAGTCTCTGTCACCCAGATAGTGAGCACAGTACCCAACAGGTAGTTTTCAGCTCTTGCCTTCCTGTCTCTCTTCCCCTGCTAGTAGTCTCCAGTGTCCATTGCTCCCATCTTTATGTCCATGTGTACCCAATGTTTAGCTTCTACTTATAAGTGAGAACATGCAATACTTGGTTTTCTGTTCCCGCATTAATTTGCTGAGGACATTTTTTTTTTGAGACAGGGTTTCACCCTGTTGGCCAGGTTGGTCTCAAACTCCTGACCTCAAGTGATCTGCCTGCCTCGGCCTCCCAAAGTGCTAGGATTGCAGGCATGAGCCACTGCACCCAGCCCAAAGGATGTAATTTTCTTCTCTCTTATAGCTGCGTGGTATTCCACGGTGTATATTGTACCACATTTTCTTATCCAATCCTCCATTGATGGGCATCTAGGTTGATTACATGTCTTCATCATTGTGAATAGTGCTGCCATGAACATATAAGCACATGTCTTTTTGGTAGAATGACTTATTTTCCTTTGGATATATACCCAGTAATGGGATCACTGAGACAAATGGTAGTTCTGTTTTACATTCTTTGAAAAATCTCCAAACTGCTTTCCACAGTGGCTGGACTAATTTACATTCCCACCAACAGTGTATAAGCATTCCTTTTTTTCTTCTTCAGCCTCACCAGCATTTGTTATTTTTTGACGTTTAAGTAATAGCCAGCTGGGTGCAGTGGCTCATGCCAATAATCTCAGCATTTTGGGAGGCCGAGACGGATGGATTACTTGAGTTCAGGAGTTCAAGACCAGCCTGGGCAACATGGCAAAACCCTGTCTCTACAAAAAATACAAAAAAATAGAAATTAGCTGGGCGTGGTGTCACATTCCTGTAGACCCAGCTACTCAGGAGCCTGAGGTGGGAGGATAACTTGAGGTCGAGGCTGCAGTGAGCCATGATCGCACCACTGCACTCCAGTCTGGGTGACAGAGTGAGGCCCCATCTCAAATAATGATAATAATAATAATAGTAATAGCCATTCTAACTCATGTGAGATGATACCTCATTGTGGTTTTGATTTGCATTTCTCTACTGTTTAGTGATGCTGAACATTTTTTCATATGTTTGTTGGCTGCTTGTATGTCTTCTTTTGAGAAGTGTCTGTTCATGTCCTTTGCACACTGTTTGAAAGGATTACTTCTTGCTTGTTGAACTGTTTAAGTTCCTAAGAGATTCTGGATGCTAGTGGACCCCTACCTTTCACCATATACAAAAATTAACTCAAGATGGATTAAATATTTAAATGTAAGTCCTCAAACTATAAAATACTAGAAGAAAACCTAGGAAACACCATTCTGGACATCAGCCTTGGCAAATAATTTATGGCTAAGTCCTCAAAAGCAATTGCAACAAACACAAAAATTGATAAATAGACCTAATTAAACTAAATAGCTTCTACATGGCAAAAGAAACTATCAACAGAGTAAACAGACATGCTACAGAATGGGAGAAAATATTTGCGAACTATTTATTCTCTTTTATAAATGTCTTCAAAATATGTTTGTCAGAAACAGTCACAGGGTATTTGAGATTAAGAGGTGATCACCCAACCACATATGTCATAGATACTCCTGTGATTTAATTATCACCCAAGAATTTAAACAAAATAAAGGTCCAAAATATGCATTTGGAGGTTCAGAAAATAAATGACAAATTGCAACTTCTAGATTTACATAGACTGAGCCTTCTCTAACGCTGCCAGAAGACAGTCTGAATATTGAAGCCTTTGTCTCTTTTGAGCTTTTTAACACATTTGAAAATCAACACCTTGAAAACCTTTAGACATTTTCCATCCTAAAAGGTAGAGTTGATTTTTACGTATAAGGATTTGTGATCTCCAGCATCAGGGAATGTACCTGTCTGAATGAACTCTGCTGAAAAAAATGCATCTTCAACTCCATCATCATCTTCATTGTCACCATTTATCAGGAGTTTACTATATATCTGAAATTGTACTAAGAGCCTTACATGTTGCAATTCACTTAATTTTGACACTAACTCTGAAAATGGGGTAATGTCAATCTTATTTTATAAGTGGGAAACTGAGGCACAGAGAAGCTTATTTCCTCAGTCATGCAGGTAGAACATACAGAACCATAATTCAGATTCAGGTAATCCTGGTTCTCAAACTCATGCTGTCACCACTACCAACCAATTTCTCACTGAGGTCTTGATGTCTGTGACTGATGAATTATGTCTTCTAGAATCTTAAGAATTGAGATATAAATTAAAATATCTATAACTCATTTGTTAATAAAAGGAATTAATAGAATCATGGGACACTGTGAAAACCATGATATTCTAAAATAGAAAATGAAATCATGACACTAATAAATTTGTTGAGTCTGAGATTTTTTTAAAAAAGCTAATATGTACTTTTTAGGCTCACTTCTTGGAGGGGAGCCCTCTCTAACTGTCAGGGACTAGAGATTTCCTGCTGCTGTTGTTTGCTAACACCCTACTCAGCCTGCTTAGGAACATGTTGACAACATTAAAGATAGGCTGGATGTACTCATGAAAAGATAAATATTAAAAATGAGCTGGAGGACAGGAGGGAGGCTTTTTGTTTTTCTTCTGTGTGTGTGTGTGTGTGTGTGTGTGTGTGTGTGTGTGTGTTTAGCACATGTCATTAGGCAAACAAACAATGCCATTTTCTGTTGCTTTGTTTCTGAAACAAAAATGGTAGTGGGTAGAAGAAATCAGCAACTTTACAGTCAGAATCAGACCACTAAAACCCTCAACAGGCATCAAACGCTTCACTCAAAAAAACAGAAACAGAACACTTGGAGACAATACTATGGTAAAGATGTTTCTTTCCCTCTGATCAAACCTACCCTGAGAAAAGAGATTTACAGAATGAAAAAGATATGTTTGTACATTGCTGCCTTAAAAAATATTTCTTGGCTTCACGTTTCCCCTTACTATTAAATGAATGTGTGACAATGTGAAAATTTTATCACTTGCTAAACTTTTAGTTCACTTCAACAGATGAGACCTCTTGTAGGTTTTGCTGAAGGTGGAATTGGGCTTTTCAGGATGAGTCTGTCTCCATCATGGATCCTCAAGCAACTGGTAGAAGCCAAAGAATAGAAAATGCTGGAACTTAGCATGAGGTAATAAAGAACTTAAAGTTAGAAGAAACTTACTCTAGCTCATCGTCTGCATGTGAACGGAGAAAAGACTATGCTTAGTTGTTACTGGCAACGACTTCTTTCTTACAGCTCACGGGAAACTCTTAAAATTCTTTTTAAAATATAATTCCTCACCCGTGTGGTACACTATGGAATACAGAAAGTTGGAGTTGCCTTTTTTCTAGTTAAATAGCGGACTTTTTTTTTTTTTTTTTTACCTATTCACATAGATCTTGTAGTTATGTACTCATCTTCATTCAACCCTTCATTAAATCATTTCATAGGTAATTATAGAGCACACACCATGTGCCAGGGGCACTTCTAGGTCTGAGAATACAAAGATGAATAGATGAGTAAGATGTGATCTGTACTTTCAAGAAGCTCACATTCTAATTCTATCTAGTGTGATTAATGAGCCTTTAACAGGGGAATGTACACAATGCAGCAGAGGTGAGCGTAAGGGATACAACTCTACCCAGGAAGGTCAAAAAGGGCTTCACACAGAGTGAGGCTTCAGCTGAGACCTGATGGATAAAGAGAAGTTCACCAAGTAGACATAAGGAAAAGGGGCTGTCCAAGAAAAAAGTGAATTTACACAAGACACAGGGTGCAATGGTCTTCGTGCACAGTGGTACCCTTCTGAGTAGTAAACTTAAGGATTCACTGATTCAAGAGATAATATAGGCTGAAAATTAGAAAATCTTTAAAGTATTTTGAAACTTTCAAAACAACTGACAAATAATAGTTTAATAGAGGAGGCTAAGGAGGGTTGGGGTCCCTCCTGCCCTAAATAGGATTAGGTTTCTCCATTTTTAGATAACTCCTCTCCCATAATGCATCCCTTATGGCTCACATTAGAAAGAGAAAAGCCATCTTCACTCTGCAAAAGTGATCATAGTAGGTATCCTAAAGAAATATATACAGGTATTTAACCAGAGACAAACTGATAATCCATATGTAGTCTGTCCAGTTATCCGTCTAAGAGGAGGTGGACCTTCAGATATTGCTCCATGCCACCTTCCTGTCGTGCCCTGCAGCACTCATCTGGCTCTTCTAACTGCAGTGCCGCATTGCTGACTCACAGGCAATCTGATAACTACCCAGAACCTCACTTTCTTTTTCTCCCCCTCCACACATAGCTGGCTCTTTCCCCTCATAAATATGGGCACATTTGAGCCTTCTCCCCATCCTGTGTCTTCCTCTGCTCCTAGTTAGAAACGAGTTTTCTGTATTTATTTTCTAAATCACCAAAGTCACTTTGAATTCTGAATCTATCTTTTATCAAAGTAATAGAACCCAGTTTACACAGCCTTGTCACTGATATACTTAATAATCTTCATTGGTCTCTGCTGTGTCATTGATTTAAATGTGACTCACCCTGCTTCTAAGACTTCTTGCTACTGAACATCACTTGTTGTGTCTCTAACCATTTATTCTCAAAGACTATTCTCAGATTATGTTTCTAGCCAGATGTTATGTAGTTAGAAGTGTACGTGTTCTTAGTCATATTTCCACAAGGACCGATACTGTGCTGCAAACTCAATTTAGAAACATTACCAAGGTCAAGAGAAATGACATCTATAGAATGTCAGAAACCAAAACTACCCTTCTGCCCTACATGAGACTAGGTTTTTCTGATAGGGCTTGATCTTGACAAGAAATAACCTCAAGACCAACTGGCAGCTGTAGTCTTTAGAGTATTCAAAGGAATTGTATACAGCTGAACCTAATGATAATTCTGTGAGGTAGGTATTTGAAGTCCTATTTAATAGATGAGAAACCTGAAAAACACAAAAGTTAAAGGATTTGCCCTGATTCGCACACAAGTAAATGGCTAAACACAGATTTGAAGGCAAGTACTCCTAGGTCAAATCCTGTATCAACTCTAGGGTTCTGGAAAAATGAATTTTATTATAGTTTCCTCTGTGAAAAAGTTAGAGTTATAATCCTCTAATTTTCCATGTCATCTCTAGGCACCTTCCAGGATTCCTATTCTTTTTAATTGAGCTAATATTCCATCAACAAAAGCAGGCATCTATTTTCAGGTCATGGAATGTAAATCAGCCCAGGTTTTCACATAA
The DNA here is from genome assembly GCF_000001405.40 of Homo sapiens. Taxonomy (NCBI): domain Eukaryota; kingdom Metazoa; phylum Chordata; class Mammalia; order Primates; family Hominidae; genus Homo; species Homo sapiens. Next base: position 178,519,825 of record NC_000003.12, read on the forward strand.
GAAAATCAGAGAACCATGTCTGAAAATACATGTTAGCTTAGGGACCTAACAAGTGATGTTCAGTAGAATAAAGTCTTGAGGCCAAGGTAAGTAACGTTTGAACGGATGGCATCTCGAAGAGCTCAGAATACAGATCTTGTGTGACCATTCTTTGCTCCATTTCTTTTTCTGCCTTTTAGTTTGCTGTCTGCCCTTTTCTAAAGATCTGGTCTGTATTTTCTATCATGCTGAGTTTTAGCATATTGGTTCTAAAACACTAAGTAATTGAAATTGAAAAATGGTGATAAGAAGATGAAGTCAAAGTATGTGAAAAATTTTAAAAGCATTATACCAGATCTTTAATTTTTTTTCTTAAGATAAAAGAAATGAATTAGCCCCCAGTACTATGATAGGTGAAGCTAATGGCATAAACTTAATTTAAGGTCATAGACCCCAAAAAAGCCTGTTTTATGTGATGAAGACAGCATCTTAGGGAGCTAAGGGCTCTGTTGTCAAATTTCCAGAGTAGAGATGCGTGATTTATTCTCTAAACTGCTTTTGATTACCCTAAAGAAGGAACGGTGGTAATAACTACTGGAAGGCTTTGGAGAAATTAACAAAACTAAGAGAGTAGTGACTGTGGGACCCCTAAATGATAGTAAAAGGTGAGGGTTTCTAAGTCATCGTATGCTCTGCCAGAGAGATAACATTTGATCAGTAATCCACTACTTAACAAATGGAACACCAGCAGACATCAATTGACTCTCAGCAGAATATGTAGAGGGAGGGGAAGTTGAACCAAATTCCCAGCACTCACATGGGTCTATCTGAAGCCAAGTGAATTCTGTGACCTTCTATCAAGGGAAGCAAGAGTGGGAAATTCCTTTGGAATTACTCAATAAAGCTCTTATACAGACAGCCTAATTTGGTCAAATGCCACCTGCATATATAAATATAATGAATCCTATATAGTTTTGGGAGAGAACTAAAGAGGCAGTCAGCATCCAGTTTTGAAAAAGGATGCTGCGATTATTCTACATGCTTTCCATTTCGTTGTAACCTGCCATATTTCCGTCTTTGAAGGATTACTAAAGCCTTGGTTATGCCCAGAAGAAAAATCACTTTTATTATCCTTTTTAGAGTGCTCTATATTCTTTATGTGACAAATAATTTTTTAAAACAGTATTTAAATGTACTAAATTAAATATATCATGTGACCTATATGTATACATTGAATATGTCAAAATGAGCAGAAGCAACTTTAGCAGCTTCGTTCTGCATATCGTTTTACATTTTATCAAATGCTCTCTTATTTGGTTCTCACTATAACCTTCTGAGGTGGGGATACATATTAGTATCCTTGTATTAGAAGTGGGAAAGGTGAATGTACATGACTTTCCAAGGTGACATTCAAAATTACTCCATGCAAAATTCAAAAACAGCAGCCATGATACTGAAATCCACATTTCCCAACTATAAATACAGTGCTCTTGCTTCCAAGCCAGGCTTCCAGAGAAATATCACCAAAGTGGCTGAGCGCAGTGGCTTACACCTGTAATCCAAGCACTTTGGGAGGCCGAGGCGGGTGGATCACGAGGTCAGGAGTTTGAGACCAGCCGGGCCAAGATGGTGAAACCCCGTCTCTACTAAAAATACAAAAATTACCTGGGCGTGGTGACACACACCTATAATCCTAGCTACTCCGGAGGCTGAGGCAGGAGAATCACTTGAACCCGGGAGGAGGAGGTTGCAGTGAGCCAAGATCATGCCATTGCACTCCGGCCTGGGCAACAAGAGTGAAACTCCGTCTTAAAAAAAAAAAAAAAAGAAATATCACCAAAGATTGCTTATTAGAATTTTCCCTAGCACTGGTCTTCTGCATTCTTTAAGAACTCACCAGCATGGATATAAAGAGTTCAAATGAAGGTGGTAGTTGGTCAGTCGGGCTACATGTCTCTACTGAGCACCTGTTAATTTCTAAGCAACTGCTAATAGTGTTAATAAATGAGACTATGGAAGTAAAGGACATATACAACCTAACCTCACCTCTAGACATACAAACAATTGTAATTAAATGTGGTATATTATAAAATACTGACATGAATAAAGGAAAAAATCACAGCTTATTCTGGGTGGGGTCAGGTAAGGCTTCCCTGAGAATATGGTACTTGAAATGAGTTTTGAAGTTGGAGGAGTGTGGCCTTAATTTCCATACGGTACATTTTACATGCCCAAATATATAGGACAACTGAGTATAAGTTATACCAATTATTAAAATTTTTGCAAGTTGACTGGAATTAGGAGAAAGCAATTAAATATAAGCTACTAATTGTGAAGCATATTAGCTATTCTTCATTCCCCTTGTAGAAGTAGCATCTGGAACAGACGTGTTAAGGAACGGTCAGCCAGACCCTCAACAATTTGATAACTAATGGCCAGACAAATGAAGGGGATGACAGAGTCATGTTTACAGGATAATGAGAAAATCTTTCACATCTGGGACATGTAACAATGGCAGATGGCAAAGGCTAGAGTGAGAGACAAAAAAAAAAATACCTACAGGAAGTGGCAAGTTCTAGCAGCTGCAGAATCAAGCTCACCTACTGAACTCTTTTGAGTTCATTCAAAAGAAATTTTCCCCTTGACAGCCTCGAAATCAGTAGTTAAAAACATGCATACTGCACAAGCAATGATTGTCAAGTGTTCACTGAATCATCAGCCAGCAAAACACCATAGCAAAACACTAGAGAATTTGTATAAAACACCACGTAAAAGGTGAAGACTTCTTCTGGATCACTGAACAGGGCTTCTGGAACATCTCCTCTGCCCCCATGCTCATCCCATTCTTTCAGGACACAATGGCAAGAACAAAGGAATGGGCAAGTAATCTAGCAGATACAGACACAAGTGGCAGTTCATGACGCAGAACACGAGTAAAATCCATTACTAGCACCATTTGTCAGGTGTGCATATGGGTCATAAAACAAAAGAACATAATTCATCCATCCACAAAGAGACAAGTTTTGTCATCATCATGAGTGGGCATCTCAGCAGGAAGTAACCACCATTGCTGTTACTAGGGGTAGTAAAAGCAAGGCAACAGAGGCTTTAGTGTTTGTGGATTGTTCATCTCTTTGTACATTGATTCAGTTAACTTTTATTACACATGTTCTATGTGTCAGGCACAGAGCTAGATACTGGGTATGCAAAGGGAAATGAACCTTATTTCTGTGCTGAAGCAGCATTTCTTATGAGCAATACATGGGCATCTATGGGAGGGCAGGAGTAGGTCTTAAAAATGAGACATACCCCAGATGAAAAAGAGAGGAGAAGCATGAGCAGTCATGGAAGGGAAAGAGGGCAGCATGAGCACAAGCAGAGAGGGAAGAAAACATCAAACATGGGCGCTAGACAAAGATCTCAATGGACAGTGACCTATGAGTAATACAGTGAAGAAAATGAAGCTCCAAAAGGAGGCAGGGCCATGCAAGAATGCCTTCACATGTCAGGAAGCTTGAACTTCTTAATAGACCAGTGCAGAACCAATCAAGAGTTTTGAGCTAAGCATCCCTAACTAATTTATTATTTTAATTGAAATTTCCTTAGAGTTTTACATTTAGAATATTTGCTGTTGGATTTTGGAAAACAGTCTTTATTATATTTAAATTGTCTTTCTTTGTTCTTTCTTTTATTTTACTTAATATGTTATTAGGACTGGATGTTGACTTTTATCAAATGCCTTTTAATGTCTTTTAACAAGATAATATGACTTTTCCCCTTGAATTTGTTGAAAGCTTATATTGATAGATTAATAGATGTTGCATTTCTTGAATAAATCCTAGTTTGACACAATATATTATTACTTTTTCCGAAGTAACTTTATTCTGGTTTGGTACTAAAGTTATTCTGACTTTATAAAAATCAAATTAAATGATTTACTCATTTTTTATGATCTGGATTAGAAATAGCTTTACAATTAACTATTCTTTAAAGTTTAGGTAAAATTTCAGCTGTGAACACATCTGATCTTTTATGTGATGACTGGTTTATTAGCATGTTTGTTATCTAAGTTTTCAAATGTTTTATTTTATTACAACTGTAATGTATATGTTTACAGTTATATCTTCCTTCTATATTTATATCTTCCTTCTAATTGATGTCATGTATTTTTGCTCATTGTGTTTTCTTTAATCATGCTCAGAGTATATCTATTTCATTAGTTTTTTTAAGGTTTTAGATTAATTTGTCTTTTCTTTCATTTCATTTTTTCCTATTCTATTAATTTCTACTTCTTTTTAAAAATTGCTTTTCTAATCTTTTCAGATGTATAGTACTAGCTTTACTTTCTCATCTTTCTTTTTTAATAGTACAGGCATTTGGAGTTGTATATTTTAGGAGTAGTAAGTTACAGAATAAAGAGTCTCCCTTTGTAGTTCTTAGATAAATAATAATTTCCATTTGACTTTCCCTTTCTACAATGGTAATTCAAGAGTGCTTTTTAAAATTTTATTTCTAAGAAATAACCTTTCTTTAGTCACCTCTCATTTTCCTCTGTCACAAATTATACTTGATAGAAGACCATGGCTCATGGCTCACACCCAACTTTTAAAAATTTGTAAGGTTTTCCTTTGTTAGTCAAGTACATAATTATCACCATTATTATTATTACTATGATTATTTTGTAATTGTGATTCTCTATTTGAAAGATGGAAGCTTTTTACAAATTCTTACCGATGTATGATACTCTTCAATTGCTTTATGATTTTACTAATTTTTTGCATATTTAATCTGTCCAATTCTTAGAGAGAGCTATCACTTCCTTAAATTAGTGTTACCTATTATAACTTTTTAAAAGTTCTCAAATTTTTAATTGTTTTTGCTTTATGTATTTAGCTAGTTGATGTTTTTTAATTGGTGGGTAAATATAGGTTTATGATTATCATTGCTTCAAGTAGTATCAGTTTTATCATTATATAATATTTTTTATCCTCTATAGTGCTTTTAAGTTTAAATATATCAGCTGCCACTAATATTATAACTTTCTATTAGCTTGCATTTGTATGATACCTCTTTTTTCACCTCTTTATCTTCAATCTTTGTTCACCTTTATCTTATTTTCTTTTAAATAGCATATACATGGGTTAAATTTGCTTTAACCCAATCTGACGTCTCAGTCTTTCAAAGGGAAAATTCTGCCTACAAATGATATAGTAACCATTGTACTTGATTTTATGTCTTCCTTTACACTTTATTTTAATTATTTATTTTATATTACTTCTTTTTTTTTTCTTTCCCTTATCTTTGCTGATCATGCTATTATCTATTGTGGTTTTTCTTTTTTTTTTTTTCTTGTTAATTTGGGACTTTTATGGTACTATTCCATCAATGATTATCTTTTCTCACACTATTTTTGAACATTAAATGCACATTTTCACACCAGAACACACTATACAACCAAGATGCTATATTTCTTCTCAATGTGCTCCCTCTCCTGTCCTCTGTAATATGAGATCTTAAATGCTTGGCCTTCTCCTCCTTTCCCCAGATAGGAATCCTTTGGAAGGATTTTTACTTATCCCCTCCCCTAGCCTGGCTCCTAGTTTTTGCTGAGTCAGCCTAGAACTCTTGTTCCAAGTTTTTAAAAATAATAATCTGAATTCCTCTTTCAGTAAGACTATTTATTCTACTTCAAGAGTCCTTACAGAGCACTGTTGCCACATGTTGCCAGCCAGCCTTTTCCTATCCAACGTTTGTGTATGTGTCTGTGAGTGTGAACGTGTGTACCAAGTGTCATTGATCGTCATGTATTCTTTTCATCAGCCTCCATCAGTTGTTTGATTCTTTCAACAAATCTTCCTTTAGTAAACAAGACCTATTGGAGTACTGCTCTTTTAAGACTATGATGAGAAAATTCAATAAATCTTGCTTACAACAGGTTTCCAGCTTTACCTCTTCTCAGAGAAAATAATATACTGTCTCTTTCTTAAACTTTTTCTTCTTCTGCCCCTGTAGCTCTTGTTTTTAGCTGTTCAGTTGTTTGGATTAAATCCTCAAGTCTCTTGTCTTTTTCTGATTCTTTACATTTTTGCTCTGTGCCTCAAAATGTATCTTGCACTTGATCTTCACCTCAACAGTGACCAGCTTCTTTGATATCTAATAAAAAGTTTAGTTGGAAGGTCATGTGTTTAGCTCTAAAAATTGTGTCCAGAACTTGAATTTTGTTATTTACATGCAAACACACACACACACACACACACACACACACACAGAGAGAGAGAGAATGTTGTATTTTGTCTCCTTTTGAAGTTCTATTTTGCTGGTCGTGTATTCAGTTTGCTTGGCATACTCATTTTCTTTCTAGCTGCTGAATCCCCTTAGATGGGTTGTTATTTTCTTTGTCAGCTGATTGGTATCACATATGATCCCTGGAGAATCCAAGTGGTAGCATTCTGGGAGTGTCTACTCCCATGGGCCCTTGACATACAAGTAGGCAGTGTTAGCCCCCTCCTGAACACCTGAAGGAAGCCTCTTTGTTTTCAGATATCTTCATATTCTCCCAGGCTTAGTGCCAAAGAGGAGACAACCCACATGTTTCGCTATTTCTTTTCTTGTTGGATTCCATAGAAACCAAACAAATTATAGTAAGGAGCTTCCCTAGGAATTTATAGATCCCATGGGTCAAGTCTTCCAATGATATGCTATTTTCTTGTCATTGCCTTATGACTTCCAGCAGTAAGTTTCCAGGCATTCATCCATTCCTTGGAGTTTTCTTCACAAGAAATCCAGCAGAGCTCAGGGTCACACCTGCAAAGGGCCATCAGTCTATTGGAGAAAGGAAAAGAGTGGAAGTGAGCCACACTCAACGAACTGTATCGTAAAATCTCTTCTTTGTTAATACATTTTTGCACTTACTATTGTTTTTGTTAAATAACTCACTTACTAAACAATTCTTCATCATTTAATACAATTGAGTAATTTGCAAATTAATATCACAAACATGACCATTAATAAATACAGTATTAAATAAAAATAGACAATTATCCAAGTTATCATGAAAATATAAGGGAAAGAGGAAGGTTAGTCCTAATCCTTTTTAAAACACAAATTTGCCACAATTATTTTGGCCTGTGCTACCACTTCTCAGTTGAGAAATACAAGACTATCACCTGTAGTCATGCAGGTTTTTTATGCTGTGATTCCAGAGCCGCCATTCATATATGTAGACATCATAGTGTTTTTCTACTTATTGAGATTATTTTCTAACAGAAGGTTCATAAATTCTGATGAAGGGGTGGCTTTTTCTAATTTTTACAAAGTCACCATCTGGCCACACGCATGGTTAAGATTTCACCAAAGTGTCTCTATTTCATAAACTTCATTTTCTAAGAGAAATGGAAAAGGTAACGCTTTAAACTTAAAGATAATGTCAAGTTGTTTTGAATGGCTTGTTTGATTTTGTAATGCATTCTAGTACTTCTACCCAAGACTTTTTCTTTTAGTTGGCAAAACTCTAGTGATTTTTTTCTTCAAAAATTCTGTGATTGTTTTTTAAATTTCCCTTCAGAAATGATAGATTCATGGAATGTTTATCCATTGTATTCTTGTATAAGAAAAAATGTCATTCTCTATTTCCATGATAATATACTCAAATTTTAAATAAACATTTGGGTACATTCTACACTTTTTGACAAGTCTGGATGCTTCTCATTATGTGTTTTCCAGACATAGTTGGGTCATGCTATCAACCTTGTTGCTATCAAGCACTTTGTAGAGAGCTTTAAGGATGTCAGTTTTGACACGTGTCTATAATTTCAGGTTATTCTTAATTTCCTTCATTATCTTGCATATTTCCTGATATTTCAAGCTCATTTTAAGAGTTACTGTTTTTAACTAGCCAGAGAGCTATCACAGTTGAAAATATAACTTTAGAATTAGCATACTTAAGACATAAATTAGGTATGGCCCTAGAATCATGCACACACACACACAATTTAAGTTACTTCACTGGTAGAAATTAAAATAAAACAGGGACTCATTTAAATTAACATTTAATTGAATGCAATTTTAGCAAGATGTTGATCTGATTTGTATGTGGGCAGTTTTCTTATGTGTAACAACCAAAAAAATACTGAATCTTAGGAAATAAACTCTTTCTCCATATAGCAAGCAACATAGGTTTCTTCTAACTTGCCAAGAAATTGTACGCTCCCATCCTTTTGTATTAGCATCACCAGTTCTCACTGAGGACTTGTTTTCTGTTCATTTTGACTTCTATCACAAAAGCTCCCTGAAGACAAAATAGTTCCAGATTCCCAATGACTCCCAGTTCATAAAATTGATCTTTTTTTCTGAGTTTACGTTATTAATGATGTTGAATAACCTGATCTTATGCATCTGTTAAAAACTTTACAGAACACAAAAATTCAAAACTCCTGTCCCTACAGTCTTGGAGCAAATTGATTTTCCAGGAAGACACACCAGATTTACCATGTGGATTTGCTTACATCAGAATCCCCTGGAAGTAGAAATACCCAAGGTTTTAAAGGACACAGTGAGGAAGAGATTTTGCTTTGAACAATAGGAACAACATGAATCTAGGGACCAGACTTTGCAGTAGTTCTTCACTTTCCCTCTTCCCACAATAAGAATGAAAACATTTCTACTTCAAGAAACTGAAATAAAAATGCCAACACTAGTTATTCTTTTCCTTTGCCCCCTTTCTCTCCCCTCTTGTTACATGACAAGTGATTTCCACTTTAGTCCCAAAAGCAAAAAGAAAATGAAATAAACCTGTGTGGAAGACTGGAATAAAGCATTCTTTTCTCACCATGATGACTCTTCTGCCAAAAGTAGAGTCATACTCCACTCATGGGGCTATGAAAATGGTACAACCCTTCAACAGAGCAACTCAGCAAGAACATACCAAGACCCTTTAGAATCCTCGTACATTTCAGCCCAACAATCCACGCATGGAAATCTATCCTAAAGTAATGTAATCAGAGATGTAGACGAAGATTTTGGTACTAAGCCTTCAGCAAAGCCATTTTGCTAATGAAAAAGGAAGATAACCTGTGTGTTAACCAATGAGGGTTGTTGAAAAAAATTACAGAAGATGCATATGACAAAATACTATATGTTTATTAAAAAGATTTAAAGATTTCAAAATAACATGGAAAACATAAGGATAAGGAGAAAATAAATATATAAAACTAGATGCAATAAAATGCTCTTTAATATTATAATAGAAGTTATCTCTGGATTGTGGGATGATAGGAAACTTTTAAAATACTCTTTGTATACTTTTAATTTTTATGTTTTTTCGATACTCCAATTTTTCAATACTGAGTGTGTATCCCTTTCATAATCTGAATTAAACAAGGTTTAGGGATTTTTTGTTTCATTTTTAAGGAATAAAACAGGACATACAATGACACTACCATCCTATCTAACTTACACCCTTTATGAAAGCAACTTTACAAATATACTTCAATATGCAAATGTATGTGTTTATATCCATTTTGCCAATTCCTTTTCTAAGTAAATTATGAAACAAGGAAATATTTATTAAGACTTTTCTAGATGCCTAGAATTTAATAAGCCCTTAAAAATTCTCCACCTAGCAAAGACACAATACATTTATCAGGATTATGCTGTCATTTTGTAAAGTGAACGTTTCACAAAAAATATTCACATTTTGCTAAATAGCATTTTGTTTATTAAGTGGTTCTTCTTTTACTCTAAGAATCTAGCAACATAAAATGAGCTAATAAAATATACACATAAATGTAAATACCAACATACACATAAATCTTTGCCTTTTATAGCTAACCTTAGAGCTCTCTGCATACCAAAGATTTTTGTTTTTGTTCCATTTTGTTTGGAAGACAGATGTCTTTTAATTAACATAATATTGAAAGCAGCAGGTATCATGTCTAATGCTATGTTGTATAGCAACCAGTATCATCTTCCCATTGATTGCACATAGATACACAGAGCCTGGAGTGCCACATTCATATAGTCCATATTTCCAATAAGCAGGAAGACTGCAGCTAGGTCCTGGGAAGTAGGAGATTCCAAATGAAATAAAACCTCAGCAACTGTCAATGCTCTATTTTATGTTTTATTTTAAAACTGATTTATGTTCAGTACTCTGACAGGCTTCAGAAGGATGGTAATGAAGCCCCAATAAGCTTCTGCCAAATGCAATGCCTCAGCCAAAGAACTATTGCTTCTGAAAGTGGTTAAACTAGCTTATTCCAGTGCTTTCTCATGGGATCCAAGAGTGGGCTCTGCAGCATCTCTATCTGTGTTTGGTGGGGAATCAGGGAGGTGTTGGAGAGGATGTTACTATTCTGAAAATTTAGATAAAATTAATTAATATGTATATTATATTATTATGTACCTCCTTCTCCCATTTGACCACATGCACACAGAATGGTAATAACTCTATATAAAACCTGCAGGTAAGGCTAACTGCCACAAGGTTGGTGGTGGGGGTTAGGACCTATAGGACTTGCTCTCCTAATTGTGATAAAGAGAGACGGGAAAGCAATCAAATAATCCAAGAACATGACCCAAATCGTGGTCGTACTGGGTGGGTTTTTGCTTGTAACCCACCGGTCAGGAAGTCCTGGGCAGCTGCAATTATTACAGAATTATTCAATATTGAGTCTGTAATTAGAATTATTATGAATTTCTATAGTTCACCTTTTAAAAATATTTAGCAACTCTATCTTAAAAACATAAGTTGCAATAAAACAAAATGTTTCTTAAAAAGCCATGAGTATTTGTCACATAGAAGGAGAAAATATATATATATATATATATATATATATATTCCAGCAATCTCTTATTTTATGCTTTTTTCTGTAGTTTATTTTAAAAACTTTATTTTTTAGAGCAGTTTTAGGTTCACAGCAAAGTTGAGAGGAAGACACAGAGGTTTCTCATATACCCCCTCACTGTATTCCTTGCCCCACATATGAAGAGATTTCCCCGTTATCCACATCTCCCACCAGAGTGGTACATTGATTAAAATTGGTGAACCTATATTTAATTTTTAAATTGATGAAACTATATTTAGATTCATCATAATTACCCAAAGTCCATAGTCTACATTAAGGTTCACTCTTGGTGATGTACATTCTATGGGTTTGGACAAATGTATTATGACATGATCCGTCACTACAGTATTATACAGACTATTTCCACTGCCCTAAAAATTTTCTGTGCTTCACCCACTTATCCCTCCCCTGACCTCCCATCTCCTGGGAACCAATGATCTTTTTACTGTCTCCATTGTTTTCACTTTTCCAGAACATCAGGTTGCTGGAATCAGTAGGTAGACTTCTCAGATTGGCTTCTTTCACTTAGTAATGCTCATTTGACTATCCTCCATGTCTTTTCATGGCTTGAGAGCTCTTCTTTTTCAGTGCTGAATAATATTCCATTGTCTGGGTGTACCACAGTTTATTTTTTTCAGCTACTGAAGGACATCTTGGTTTCTTCCAAAGTTTGGCAATTATGAATAAAGCTGCTATAAACATTTGTGTGCAGGTTTTTGTGTAGACATAAGTTTTCAGCTCTTTTGGATAAATACCAAAGAGCCTGTTTGCTGGATCATATGGTAAGAGTATGCTTTGCTTATTGTCTTCCAAAGTGGCTGCACCATTTTGCATTTCCACCAGCAATGAATGATAGTTCCTGTTGCTCTTGCATCCTGTTGCTCTCCAGAATTTGGTGTTGTCACTGTTCTAGATTTTGGCTCTTCTAATAGGTGCATAGTGGTAGTGTGTTGTTGTTTTAATTTGCATTTTCCTGATGACATATGATGTGGAGCATCTTTTCATATGCTTATTCGCCATCCATATATCTTCCTTAGTGAAGTGTCTGTTAAGGTCTTTGGAACATTTTTTAATCAGGTTGTGTGTTTTTCTTATTGCTAGGTCTTAAGTGTTCCTTGTATAGCTTGGATAGCAGTCCTTTATAAAATATGTCTTGTGAATATTTTCTACCAGTGCGTAGCTTCTCTTTGTTGTCTCTCTTATTTTAAAATTTTTTTTAAAAAATCTTCTGCTGCATATATTAGTAGAAGTTTTAACTAAAAAATACAGGACCTAGGTGAAAAGTTTTATGAAATAAAAAGAACACTGGATTATGAGGACATACGCACAGGCTACGTGATTGCAAAAAAAATCATTAAACCTCCCTTATCCTCAATTTGCCTAGATGGAAATGTAACTATTAATATTTGCCTTGCCACCCAATAACTTTATTCTAAAAGTATCAAATGTGATGTGGGCAAATATACTCCAGAAATGTAAACTTTTAGAAATTATGATTTCATGAAAACTTTTTTAGAGAAATTTAAATTTGAAGGACAATTTTTGTGAAAAGTGATATGGACCAATTAAAGCATTTCATTTCTATTTTAGAAATAAGATGCTGGTTTGATGTTAGATTTTCTTCAACTGTTGTCTTTAATTGCTTTCTAAGTTTATGCATTTGAGTTTATACTAGAAAATGCCTTTTGTATGCACCTAATGTGGAACTGTAGATCACTTCAAAGTGAGTCAGCTTCAACATTCACAGAAATATAATAGTAAGGAAGCAGTGTCTAAACTAACTTTCCTGTTGTTCCTGGAAAAATAGTCATAATAGGGCAAAAGCAGTTACTTGCTGTATTATTCAGAGCATAAATTATATACTCCAAAATATAATTAGCACTTGTGTCTGTAACAGATAGCTACATTTTCTGGTTATGTATCTATCAAATTTTCATTTTAATAGTGATGACTCATAATGAAATTATGCATTCATTGTTCCATTCATTAAACCATTTCACTGGCGGGCTGTGCACGTAAACTGCAAATTCTGTGTATGTGTGATCACACCACTCTCCCCCAGTCTCCAGTTCTTAACCTAATATTTGTTAACACACACAAATTCTTTCCAGAACAAGTTCTCTGATGTACATTCAGGGAGCAGATGCTGTTGAAATGTTATCAAGTTACAGATGCACAAAATATTCTTGCTGAATGTGTTTGGTAATATAGCTCTGAAATATCACTTCAGTCCCTGCCTTCTGCCGGCCCAAACTTCACTCTCTGGGGAACCATCCAGAAAAGTAATGCTAAGAGTTACTAAATTCACTCCTCCGATCAGCTGTTTTCAAAATGGTAGAACAAGCTTTCAACAAATTCAGCATAGGTTTCTCTCTTGTTGAAGAAGGTATGAGCTTCAAAGACACTTTATTATCTGAAACTTCATGATAGAGGTAAAACTAAAGGAACAGCTATTGAAATGTGATCCAGAAAACAAAACAAATGCAAGAAAGAGATTGTATCTTATATGATTCAACAGGAGAAATTTTTCTCTCTTCTACCTCCCCTAGAGAGGTTCTTTTCATGCTTCCTTTTCTTCCTATCCCTTTTCTCCTCTCTTTCCTATTGTGGCCCTCTCCTCATCTTCAATCATGCATCTCCCTCTTTCTTCCTGCTCTGTGATAACTAACATTTATTTCAGTACATCTCTTTGTAAAGAGCTTCACTCATACATTATGTCCTTTCATTCACATCACTGCAGTCTTAGAACAGCCATTGCTATCATTTCATTTGAACACAGTGAACTGGAAACAGGCTAGCAGAACTGTTTCCAAGTCAGGCTGCCTTATTTCAAAGCCTGTGCCCTCTTCCAATACCATGCTATCTCAAGAAATTCTTTCCTTCCTTCCTCATAAATCTCTTTTCTCCTTTTTCTCTTCTTTCTCCTCCTTCAGCGTCCCTTCCTCATTTCCTGCTCCTCTTTCACTACCACAACAAACCATCTTATGCTCCATCCCCATTCCCATCTGAACACTGCTCCTTCCAGAAACCTCCTTTATTCTCAGATGGGTCTGAGTTAGGGGCTTTCTTTGCTCCTCCAGGAACAGAGCCTCCAGAAAGCGTCACTAACAATCCCTGCCCCAGGCCCACCTTCTCGCTTTATCCCATTATCAAAATCTTATTCATTTATCTCTTGTATTTTTAGCCACTGTTTTCTGAATTAGCCACAGATAAAAATTGGAGGGAAGTATACGACTGGGGTATTTTTTCTGATCCCTCCTCTCTGCTTTCTTCCCCTCCCCTCTTCTCCCTTCTCTTCTCCTCTCCTATTCTCTTCTCTTCTTCTCTTCTCTTCTCTTCTTTTCTCTTCTTTTCTCTCTCTAAATCATATAGTGGTGGTGTTTAGGTTATAATTTAAACACTTCCTTACATTTGAAAAAATAACTGTGAGATATAATTTGTAATATTACTTTTCCTTTTTTTTTTTTTTTGTTTTGTTTTGTTTTGTTTTTTTGAGACAGAGTTTCGCTCTTGTTGCCCAGGCTGGAGTGCAATGGCACGATCTCGGCTCACTGCAACCTCCACCTCCCGAGTTCAAGTGATTCTCCTGCCTCAGCCTCCCGAGTAGCTGGAATTACATGCATACACCACCATGCCCGACTAACTTTTTGTATTTTTGGTAGAGACGGGGTTTCTCCATGTTGGTCAGGCTGATCTCGAACTCCCGACCTCAGGTGATCCGCCTGCCTCGGCCTCCCAAAGTGCTGAGATTACAGGCGTGAGCCACCGTGCTCAGCCCCATTATTATTAAAAGAGAATATCACAAATACTTTTCCCCTGAAATAATTCTTCTATTACAAATGTTTGGATTATTTGCTTGCCTATAAAAGACAGGATTTTCATAAAATCTTTAAGCATTGTTTTTCAACAATTTCTTTTCGGAGTTTTTATACTCACACTTCAGTGGTATCAGTTACTCCAATTACAAACTGTGAAGTTGAGGTACTAAAGAAAATAATTTTGTATTCGCTGGACTCCTCACAACTGTGAAAATTTAATTACGCTGGTGAGAAATAGTTCCTCTTGGATGACCATGAGGCTAGTGAAATGTCTTGGACTCTTAACATAAAAGAATTTTTTTTCTTTTACTACTTGGAAAACTGAAAATTTGAAAAAGTCTTTTTCTCTTTTTCCTACCAATTTAATGGGCAAAGATTTTTTTTTTTTTTTAATTTGAGTTGCAATAAGTATTTTCTGACTTTGGTTGTCCCAGGAAAACCACTATAAGGATACTCAAAGAGAACAAAATTATGGTTTGTGATACTAGGACAGTTTTCCTCTAAATCACGTTTTATTCCTGAGAAGAAACTGTAACCAGTCAAGTAACAACTAAAACTCACACACCATTAGGGCATATTCAAACTGACAACTAGGAGTTTAGAAAAAGAAAGGTTTGAGAACACCCTGGGTAACATAGTGGACCCCTGTCTCGAAAGAGAGAGAGAGAGTGAGAGAGAGAGAGAGTGAGAGAGAGAGAGAGGAAAAGAAAAGAAAGAGAGAGAGGGAGAGAGGGAAGGAGGGAGGGAGAGAGGGAGGGAGGAAAGAAGGAAGGAAGGAAGACAGAGAGGGAGGGAGGGAGGGAGGGACAAAGGAGCAGAGGAAACAGCGTCTTTGCTTTATCAGACATCTGAGCAATTCAGATATTCAGTTATTACATATAATAAAATAATGGATGCTATGACCCGATCATTAGAGCATTTCTAGATTACAAAACTACCAATAATTAAGTAGTGGTGATTTATAATCATTCTCTCTAATATTTTGTTGTAGTAGTTTGTAGCAGTTTTTGTTTGTTAATTGCTACTCATTTTTAGTTCTATAGGCCAGTATAATACATGTCCATCCATATTACATCTGCTGCTCTCTTTAAGCCCTTCCCTGGAGCACACCATCTAGTTTCCGTAGTAACTACTACAATACTATTGCTCCTGGAGTAGCAGGAAGAAAGGAAATGCGGAAGAGAATGAATAAATTGTGTAGTTCTATTAAGAACTTTCTCCGCTTCCTTACTTGCAAAGGTACTTAACTTTTCAGAGTAGCACTTCCAGCTAACTGATACCCTCTTCTCTGACCAATGTTAAGAAATCCCTCTTCTATCTTCCATGATCATGACTGTCCAAAGTGGAGCAAGATAACGTACACATTCCCATTCTTTCCATCCATCATTCATTCTTGCCGTTTGACAGTTGTGCATGGCATGTGATTGCTTCAGCCTGAAACACAAAGCTTTGTAAGTCAGCATAAAATAAACACTTTATGCACTGAATGATCCATTCAGTCTAGTTGATCTATAATTTGAGATTTTGTGTACATGTGTACCTTAAGTCATATCTCAGTAATAATGAGAACTTTTCCTATTTGGATTGATTTTCATACCTAACTCCAGAGAACACTTATTTTTGTAACTGGGAAGAGCAGGAATCCCTTACTGGGAGTGAGAAAATTGTTTGGAGAATCCTAGAGTGTTTACTACCAAGTTCGCTTTCCATATAGAAAATATCTATTTGGCTCTCTCTCCTATAGTTAAGGAGGATTTGGAAATCTGATCCAGTGCAGGGCGATGTCGGTCTGGGAAGGAAGACTGTGAGCCCTCTCTCCCTTTTTAATATGAGAATTCGAAAGCAGTGGGGAAGTGATGTTGGACCTATCACAGCATTGCTAACAGACAGCCTATTACAGTATTTAATAAAAACAGAAACAGCATGCCTATCATAGGCTAATAAATCCTACCTCCTGCACGCTTTAAAACAGTATGAAGCAGCTTTAACGGAGCTCCAGATAACTAATTTCAAGCATGGCTGTCTAGCGTGCCTGTCACTCCTATTGTCCTTCCAAACTCTTTCAGACATTTTGAGCAGGGAGTATTAAAGCTATGAGTTAGAAAGGGTTGTGACATTAATGGTCCACAAAGGCTTTAGGCACAAGAGGTAATGATGATTACCGGTGGCTATTTGGAGGACTGCACCGGATCGCTGTCATTAAAAATTAAGCGTGGCTTTTGAGGAAGATGTGACAACTACCGGAGGTAGGATTTGCATGTAAAACAAAGGAATCTGTTGCTGTTTCATGCTTTTTGTTTGTTCTGTGGCGTGAGGATCGTGAATTGCAGCCAGGTGCGGAGTGAGAAGCAGCAAGAGGAGGGAGAGGGGAGTGGGAGACGCTCTGCTTAGAGCAAAACACAGTGGACAGTATTATGTTTTATGGCAGAAATGCCTCCAGGACAAACTGGCTCCAGGCTTACAGCTTGCTGAGTGTGCATTCCACGTTGCTTTTCCTGTGGAGTAGAATGCTTAGAGGTCACGAAGGAAACACTTTGCCTCTTACCTGTGGTGCCGGCTGGGCTACTGTACTGGTAGGGTCGAGTGAAGACTTTGGTGGGTGGAAGGCATAAAGGTCCAAGAAAAATAAAGAGGAAGCTGTCCTTAAGATTTGAAACCTGTTATTTTATTTCTACAGTCAATGTGTTTTGATGGTCAGAGTCTGATTTTTCAAAGGGGAAATTGGAAGATTACGACAAATTTCCCTGACAAAGAACTATTTCCTATGTAATCCATTATAAAAGAAAATTGGGTACCTTCGTCCGTTTTGCATATTGAAAGGCTGACCCACACTGTTTGGGTTCATGGTTTTCCTAAGCAGAGTAAGAGTTTTCGACTAAAAGAAGGGGCTTTCTCTCGGTTCCTGCTCTTGCTTTTCAACAACTGCTGGGGCTGCAGATGGAAATGGTGATTAGTTAGAGGTTATGGACTTGACATTTTACCTTTCTGTTTTGTTTTGTTTTTTAAATGAACAGCATAAAAACACAATTCTCCTTCAAAGATGGGAGGGGCAGTTGGGTTCCAAAGTCCAGTCGATAATGAATAGATTTGCAGAGGAACTTATTATACTGCTTTGTACTTTATATGGGATCGGTATAGCACAATCAGAAAAGGAAATGTCAGGAAATCACAGGCTGAGATTTCTAAGGCAAAAGTACAATGATCAGAAACCAGTGTTTTCTCAACTTGATCTATGGTGCAAATTTCAGTCTTTGTCATTGCATATGACCCTCAATGTGAAGTGGCAGAAACATAGTAAGTGAATTTCTCAGTGCTGTTGTGTTGTTTCCCCAGTGGACTTCACAAACTCCGAGCTGTAAAGATGTTGCTTTATATTCTGAAAAACTCTGTATTCTGAGGCATAGATTGGTTATAACGAATGGCAGATATGTGAAATAATTATAAATTTATAAAAGAATGCAATATTCTTCAAATGCATCTAAAACTTCCATACTAATGCAGAATTAACTAGAAATAAAATTGGAAGATGATTAGAGTATGTTTGTTTTCAGCTAAATACTGCAATTAAGGATAAATAGGGCTTTTGCTCTTCTCTGATGCAGTTGAGTTTGTGTATTTGTGAGCTTCTATATATATACTGTAATCCACATACAAAGTTGAAATCATTGCCCCATAGTAGATGGCATCTATGTTACAGTTTCCTGTTTGTTTTTCCTAACAGTGTGGTGGATTTTACTGAACCAGCCGAACTCTCTTGGCTGGTCTTTACGTGACCAGACCACATGTCCACGAAATGACTGTATGGAATTCTTGGTGCATTTGATAGCTATGACATCGTTTTCTGCTTCTATGTTACCAGTGAAATGTGTGCCCTTGACCTTGTGAAGTCCCTTCTCCAGCCAACTGACCAGTCAAGAATGCATGTATAGAAAGAGAGAGCTCAAAATACACAAACAAAAATACACACATACATTTTACTTACTGTTGTTAGAGGTTTACAAATCGATATTATTTCTATTATTTTCATTAATTTCATTAAGGGTAAAAGGACTTTCACTGCCTCTGGTCTTACCGATATCTTCTGAATCTAATTGCATCAAGTATTTACTTTAGAGGCAATTCGTGCCTTGAAAGTTGTCAACAGGAGAAATTATTTTGCTATGGTTATGCTCATAACACTTTACTGATAAACTAAAATGAATTTTCACAATTTTCACAGATTGATGAGGAAAAAGTTTCCGTATTCTTGATGATATATGTGTCTGAACTGTATGCCCACAACCTGAAAAATATAGAGGAGATATGGTGCTTGTTTTTTTTTCTTTATAAGCTGTGAGGAAAGCCAAACCAAGTAATTTAGTCAAAACAATCTACTTTATATCACAAATTAATTTTATTGCCTGTTTACATTGGTAGATACCAGCCAAAACATTTTGAGATATCTTTTTCTTTCAGCTTCTTCTACATCTAGTAATAAAAAACAAACAATTCTCCAGCTATGCAAAAAGCAAGTCTGCAGTCCCCCTTGATATAAAAAATAAGCACAGCTTTAGTCAGTCTTGTTTCCTCAGTCCCCATGGGTAACACAGCCATCGTATCAGTCACCAAGACACTTAGAATCCAGAGTTGTCCTTGTTCTCTGTCTCTCTTATATACACAGACAGTCATCATCCTACTTTATTGGAAGATATTGGACCAGATATTTCTCAAACTAACACAATCTTCCCTTTGATCATCTCTCCCTCTCATCAAAATATAATTAAAAATAAAGCTTCCAAAAATATTTCTGCTATGATATCAAATAAAAAAGCAGACTGCAAGAATGTGTATATAATTTTGTTAATGCATATGTGTGTATGAAAAAAACTAGAAAAAAATGCATCAAAATTTTAACAGCAGTTATCTCAGTGAGGCGGAATTGGTGCATTTTATTCTCTTCATACATTTGCACGGTTGCATTTTTTTTCAAAGAGCATCTATTATATCAATAGTAAGAATAAGACATATCATAAAAGTTTATCTCCAGCCCCTGTTGCCATCTTTGTCTGTGATCCTGCTGCATATCATGTAGTATGTCTTCACCTCAAATTCCAAAGTCATTTGCTTGTCTAAGCACAACTGATTAAAGATGCCATTCCATTGTCAAATCCTCTTCATCCTTAGGTTTCTTGGTACTTCAAGAAAAACAGCATTATCCTTTTTCAGGGACTGACTCCTACCTCTTAACTCAGGTTTCTGAAAAAAGGGGAAAGAGAGAGAGAGAGTGTGTGTGTGCGTGTGTGTGTGTTGAGTGTGCATGTGTGCGTGTGTGTGTGATTTCTCCTTATTTTATAAACAGAGACTTTTTCAATCTCCTGCTGGTTCCTTATTATTTCCTAAACCTTTAAATATTGGAGTGTTCCATGGATCAACTATAAATTTCTTCTTTATCTATACTTAAGCCCTAAATGAGTTCAATCAAGTGTCAAGCCCTCAGAAACTTCCCGTATACAGAGCTCTCAAATTCTAATCCCTAACCTTGACTTTTCCTCTAACCTCCATACTTACATATCCAACTACCTACATAACATTTCCACTTAAATGTCTACAGGCATCTCACACAGGATATGTTCAAAATCAAAGTTCGGAATTCCACAAAATGTCCTCCTTCTATATTTTTCTCCATCTGTGTAAATGGGAACTTCACTGTTGCACTTGCTCAGAAGAAAAACCTTGGAGTCCTCTGTGATCCTCTCTTTCTTTTGCACATCACAGGAAATCCTAAGGCCTCTACCTTCAAACTGTGCCTAGCTTTAATTATTTCTTGTCATTTCCACTGCTACCACTCTGGGCAAGTCACTACCAACTCTCACATTATTACACATTTTTCACAGTTGGTCTCTTACTTCTGCCTCCCTTCTCCCACCCACACGTTCTATTCTCTACCCAACACTGGTGGTCATTTCAATATTGACGTTAAGTCCTACCTTCTGCTCAAAAGCCTCCAATGTCTTTCTGTATGACTGCAGACAGAAGCCAAGGCCTTACAGTGGCCCATGTGCCCTGGAATAATCTGGTTCCTCCCTGTACCCTTCTGCTACCATTCTTTTCCATTCCACTGCCACCACGCTGGCCTCCTGGGCTAGTGCTCAAATCCACCAAGCACTCTCAAACCTCAGAGGCTTTGACTTGCTCTGCCTGCTGCCTAAAGAATTCTTCCCCTGCATAGTCACTTGACTCAGTTCTTTACTTTTTTTCAGGTTTCTGCTGAATGTCAGAAAACTTCCCTGAAAACACCTTTCAAATCACACCCCTTTGTACACTTCTTATTCCCAGACAATGCTTTCTTTTTCTCCATAGCATACCATATTATCCCCAGGACATTACATGCTAAGATTTTATTGTCTATCTCCCTTCTCCTCAGTTGTAAACTCTATGAAAGCAGGAATTTTTATTTACTTTCTGAAGTATTCATAGCACGTAGAATAGGGTCTCTTATGTAGTAGGCACTTAATGAGCAATTGTCAAACGAATGAACAAATTATTCAATGTGGTAATTAAATGTTTTCCTTCATCAAAATCCATTAGTAGCATTAGATTCCAAGTATAAGATTTTCAACCTCAGAGTCAGAGCTCTGTGTCATAACACTCTGTTGCTTTTTCCAAAGAGCACCTTCAAGAAAGTTAAGGAAATTTATCAAGATGGTTTTCTTTCCCCTGCCTGCACAGGAGGGGGAAAAAAAATCACATCACTGATTCCAATCCATGTCAAAGCAAATAAAAATTCAATTTGTCTGAATTTGATCTTATCCAAACGATGACTTCTATTTCAAAAAGGACATTTTCACAGATCTCCTATACAAATGACTATAAATGTTGACACGTCCTATATTTTCTTTGCTCTCCCCTGGCAATGAGGAAAGGGATGGTAAAACCAAGTTGGAAGGGATGATTGGGGTCAGTATGGCTTTCTAAGTGTACAAGCCCCAGTAGCCTGTGCAGCAGTAGTAATCAGTTAATACAATCAATAATCGTACTATTCATTTACACTTTCAAAATCAGCATGGTACAATCTCATGGTCTGTTAAACAGTGACCTCTCTACCATTTATACATTTTTTCAATTAATTAAAATATAATAGAATAATCTTATTGTACAAATTGGATTTAAATAATAATGTCCAATATTTCTAGAATGTTTTATAGTGTCAAGAGGTAGTGTGATGTGAAAAGGATGCAGCATCTGAGACAAACACAAGCATTAAGACAAGATAAACTTGGTTTGAATCTCACCTTTTCTACTTCATGTTGTTAGATATGAGTTCTAAATTTCTTTTCAAAGAATTAATATCAGTATGTTCAATTCTTTGCCTTCTACTTTTAAACTTAACTTCCTCATAAAGCAACCTTTTTCGATTACCTACTACACCCTGACTCAGTCCGATCACCTGCTCATTCTCCACCCTGACTCATTCTGATTACCTGCTACCTGCTCTGCTCCGACTCCAGCCAAAGCACCCACCCTGTCATTCTCTTTAAATTAGCCAATTGGAATTAGTTTATCCTGTGCAGTCTAACCCCACCCAATAGGGGAACAACACAGCAGCAGGGGCCACGTGTGTCAGGGATGAGGACCCCTTCCCCTCCCTTGTCCAAGTGTGCGCTCACCATTGATCCATCTGTAAGGGCGCATCCTTCTATAGAAGTAACTTGTCTTGCTAAGAATTAAAAAGAAAATTTTACATTCTAGTGCTATTCCTTTTGCAGCACCGAAACTTTATATATAAAAATAGCTACATGATGTTGGGCAAGTTTCTTAAACCTTACTGAGCCTCAGTTTCTTCAGTGGTAATTGATGACAGTAATAACTACCTGGTTGGGTTGAAGTTTAAATGTCATAATATATACCACTTTCCCATTAGAGTAACTGGATCAGAGGAGAAGCTCAAAAAGTAATAGTTATCTCATTACTATTGTTATTTAATCTTCACAGCATACCTCAGCAGTAGATATTATACCTTCCATTGAACAGATAAGAAAACTCAAAAGTAGGAAAGTTAATCAAATTGCTCAAGGTCAAAGAGCTACTATGCTATCAAAATTTACTCTCTATTCAGCTGTAAAGACTCCTGATAAATAGAATGTTAGATTAACTGTCTTTAATGTATTTGATGACTGAAGGCTACTGGTGGTTAGGAGAATTTTTTTAAAGGAAGAATCTAAAGAATAGAATTTTCTTTCATATTTGAACAATACAGATGTCTCATGTACTCCTTCCCTAAACAAAAGTACACTCAAACTCCCAGGAAACAATCTGAATTAATGCAAATTTACAAATTAAGAAAGCCCTTTCTAGACACGCTGTATAATGGAGTATTAGAAAACCAGTTTCACAGCCCTGAATATCTTGGTTTGAATCCCAGTTCTGCGTCTTGCCTGAGTCTCCCTTTCCTCAGAAGGAATGTAGGTAGTAATGGTATATTATTCATGGGGTCACAAGGATTAAATGAAATAACCTGTGCCCAGGTGTTAGCACCATGCTTGGCACAAATTAGTGCATACTGCCTATGACCTATTTGTATTAAACTATTATCATCTAAGATGAAACTATAAACTTTAATTGCATGTATTATAATACTGCAAGATTTGGTTTAAAGGTCCCCTTTAGTTTTTACTTCTTGGCATGTCATGTCTCCAAATTCATTCAATAGATGTCATTTAAGAGTCATTTGACCAGAACCAGAAACCAATTTTCCTGAAATGTATGACATTTGCTCACTGCTTATTAGGCCCAAAATGAAAGAAGCAATTCTGGAAAAATCAAAGAAAATGTCTGCCTCTCTGAGATACCAAACCTAATTTTATAATTCACATACCTGGGACAGAACTTCAACCCAGTACCTTGTCAGACTTCAGCTTCAACATGTCCAGTGTCTTCACTCTGTCTGTGGCTGCGCTGACTGAAACCCTGAGAAACTGACCAGGTGAATGCATGATCATACAAATGACTTCAGTGCACAACGTGCATGAAATTGGGAATTAACCTCATCAGTTACTCTAGATTTAGCATTAATTTTTGAATCCAAAGGGTGTTTCATTTAATTGCTCAATAAAAATGTCACTACCTCCAATTAAACTATTGGGAAACTCTCAAATCCTGATCTACTACATAGGTTAAACTTTCCTTTTCTTTGGTCAATTCTGAGCTTCATTCTGTACCAAATAACTTCTCAAATTTCCGATTCCTGAAGCTTGGTAACTAATGGTTGAATTTTGGGGGATGTGTTCTTTAATATTTTGTAATTTCTCATATCTTCCTCTGTAAGTGCAACTGGTCCCGACACTAGTATATCTCTCCAAAAGTGTGTATGTGTCACTGTCATAAAAATGTCACAGATTTTTAAGATTGGATTTTTTTCTTAATCTTCACAATATGTTTCTCCTTTTTGTTGCAAGAATACTCTGTGCATAATTCTACCACGGTCCTTAATACATTATGCTGTGATATTTGGTTCACTTATCTGCCTCCTTCCACCCCTCCTTAAACTGTAAGTCTCTGAAAGGTTAAGGACTAGGTCATCGTCATCACAGTACTTTCAATGCCTAGCACAGTTCATGGCAGTAGTTAATGCTCAATAAGTGTTTCTTGAAAGAACAAATCAATCATATCTATAGTATATTTCTTAGTGTCCAGTTTGACCTAAAAAGGGTAAATGCCCACATGGTCAAAAAAATCATACACCTCAGAAATACAGTGCTGCAGGGAATTATTTTATAATAATTAAGCCCTGGATCTGCCATGGGCTCACTAAACTCTCATTCACCTGTCCTCTCACCTCTTCTCTTTATATTCCCAGGCCCACATCAGATGCTCTTTCAGAATGTTTCTCTCTCCCTTCCTCTCTGCTGTCTGCCCACAGCCACTACCCTATTTTTCTAAAGCACATGGTGGGACCTTCCATTCAAAGCTGACTTTGAGTTTGACAGTTCAGACAGCAAATGCCTAAACCCCCTCCTCATCAAAGCCCGGGTGACAGATGATCCTGGGTGAGAATTTCAGCTCTGGAGAGGGGAGGAAATGAATAAGCAGTCAAATGTCAAGTCTGCTGACTTCTTAGGAAAGAAAGAGAAGATACTTATAATACTGGACAGGAGGGCTTTGGCTTACATTTGCCAGCATTATACTAAATAGGGAAAATGTCAGCTGAGTCCCACATGTAGATTCCTTGTCATCTTGGTGTTTTCCTGAGTGTAAAATTAAAACTCCAAAAGATTCTGGACATCAGAGCTCATTTTCAGTTTTCAACAAATCTATCTGATGAGAAAAAAAATAGGCAAGTAGTAAAATATGCAACTAAAATTTTAAAGTCTAATTTTTAGCCAGATAATTAGGTTGCAAACTCATTGAAAGCAGCAACGATGTTTTTTATAAATCTCAGGTGACTAGAACTATATTAAGTATATACAATAGGTTTTTTAAAAACAACCTCTTGATTAATATATGCCCTCCTCCTTACCCTGTCCCCTGAGGTAAAGCCATATTAGGGAAATCAAGTAAATGCCTTATCTTTATTTACCAGACTGCTTGACTGGGGATTTAGGGTTCCAGAAACCACACAAGTTTTAATTCCACAGAATCCCCTTTGCACACCATGGTGTAGAGAGGGCTCTTATAGAAGGGGAAGGAAAGAGCAGCTTGTGAGTTCTGATGCTGCCCGTTTGTTTGTAGAATCCTATCACTCACAGGCATTTCTATGATTGGAAATCATTTACAAAATTAGTCCACATAGGATTCTTACTAAAGAGGATTCAATTTGGGAATTTCTCGAAATAAAGCCCTTACTACACTATGTGTGTCTGGGAATGTCACTGACATAGTTCAGGACTTCATAAATAATGAGTTTGGTTTTGTAAGACGTTTGAAGTCTTTTCCTCATTGGATTTTTCACTGGAAAGCTGGTAAAGGTCAAGCACCTGACTCCATAACTCATCCACAAAGGTAAAATATCTCTCAAAGTAAAACTCTGAGAAAGTTAAAAATAGCCAGCAATTCAAATGCAAATCTAGAATCTTTCTTGCTTTGCATCAGATGCAGAGAATCATTCCGGACATGCTGCATAAGGCACTTTATGAGAAGGATAGAGAAGCAGTTGGTAAATCTTGCTCGTGAGATAATTCTTGAATGTCTTGAGTTTGGTTTTGCATAAACATCTGAAAATTTTAGACTATATGAAGAATGTATAGTCCCATCAAATTGAACTAAAACTCCTACAGAGGGATTCTATTTCTGTAGAAATTCTGGAACTATTGGTTGTCTCTGGATTGTTTGTTTGTTTCCTACTATATTTCAAATGAGGAAATTAGAAGGGGGAAAAGAAACCTGACATCCAGAAGAAAATAATACCTAATTTTAGAGGCCACATTTTCATCGCATTTTGACAGGATTGGTCCCATTTCTCCCTCTCTGTGAAGATGATCATTCACTGGTTTAACTTTGCTTCATGGTGGTTTTATCTGTGTGGTGCTTGGGAACAGCCATGTGAGGCTCTCTGTGTAGATAACTCAAGGTAACTGTTTGCTTTGAAAACATAAAAATAGAACAGCACAGGACTCATTTCTCTGTTGGAATGAATCAAAAGAAAAGTTGACAGAGAAATAAAGTTTATGTACAAAGGAGAAGGAAGGTTTAGATAACATATACCCAAATATGAGAAAATTTTTGTAGATATAGAAAATATAACAATAGAACTGGTACAAAGAAAACTGGCTAGAGAATGTCTATAACAATCTGCTTCTCAGTCTTCTAGGTCTATTTCCCCATTGACACGTGGATTTAGTGTTTGCTGAACTGAAAGTGAAAAAAACTGGTATAAAGAAAACAAATGTGCTCTGATTTACATGCCTAAATGAAGAAAGCTATCTTTTTTCATATAAGCATATAAAGTTGTAATTTTGATTTCAGGCACATGATGGTGTTTAAGTACATTTATTGCAGCTTGTATTCTAGTGAGAAGTAATAAGAAAATTAATAAACAAGATAAAAAGGAAGCTACTTACTTCACCACAACCTATGAACGTCCTAAGGTGTCTACACGTTTTAAAAATTCATTCTCCATCCTACTACCCTTTAAATTATAGCCTGTTACAGGGAGTAAGTGGGGACTGTGCCCTGACAGAGTGTCAATGTGTCTGGAGAGCAAGAGTCAGCAGCATGTATTTGGAAATAAGGCTAAAAGGTAGAAAAGAGCCATGCTAAGTAAGACCTTACAGGTCACACGAATGAGTTTGCTCATCATTCTAAGAGGAATGGAAAGCCATCCAAGGTATTAAGCAGGGGGCTGACAAGGTAATTGCACTTTCCAAAGGTATCTATGACTGCAGTGTTGTGATCAAAATGGAGAAGAACAAGAGTGGATGCCAAGAAGCCAGATGAAAGTCTACTGTAGTAATCCAAATGATGCTAGCCTAGCCCAGGCAGCTGTGAGATGGCGGAAAGATGGCCAGAAGAATATGTGTCTGGAAAGTGCTATGTTTGAATACATTCCCAATGTTCACGTGACAGAAACTTAATCCCCAATGCAACAGTGTTAAAAGGTGGGACCTTTAGGTGAGCAGGTCATGAGTGCTCTGCCCTCCAGAATGGATTAATGCCATTTTCGCTGGAGTGGGTTAGTTATTGTGGAAGTGGGTCCCTAATAAATGGACGAGTTGGGCCCCCTTTTCCTCCTTCACTTCTCTCTTATGTGTGTGTGCTCTCTTGCTCTTCCGCTTTCCACCATTGGCCCCTTGACCTTGAACTTCCCAGCCTCCAGGTGTGTAAGAAATAAATCTCTGTTCTGTATAAATTACTCAGTCTCAGGTATTCTGTTATAGCAGCATAAAATGAACTAAGACAGAAAATCACTTCATAGAGTTGTTCATGGACTATATTTGAGATGTGGATAGAGAAAGAGACGATGTCAAAGATAACGCTATATTTCTGGTTAAACAACTGGATAGATGGTGAGATTATGGAACACTGGAAAAGGACTACAGTTCCCTTTCATCATAAAACATTTTAAAATTATAGTGTATGCTCACTGCCTCTATTTCATATATGTGTGTGTATGTGTATGTATGTATGTGTGTATGTGTACATGTATATTCTTGAAATCCTCTCTTTACTTGACTTGAATTATGTTTAACTATTTAACTTCCCAGGTTCTCTCCTACTTTATAGTTCTTTTTATCTTTTCTCCTTTCCTGGGTTCTTTATCTTCTCTTACACTTTAGAGCTTTTTTCAGTAATTGGAAATATCATCTATCCACACTTAAAACCGAAGCCATCTCTCCAGCTGCAACCTTGCTCTTCCAACCCAAGTCCTGTGTTGTCTACTACCTATGTTGACATTTCCCTGTGGCTGTCATCTTTAGACTTCAAAATTCACTTGGCAAAATTAAACTCTTATCAGACCTAATAAATCTATACTGTCTCATGTTTCTGTTCATTGTACCACAAATCTTCCAGCTATTAAAGCCAATAATTGTCTTTGAATCCTCTTCCAACGATAGATCTAATTGGCCTACTGATTCTTCTTTCAAAATATCTTTTGTTTCTGTCACTTTTCTCTTCACAGACAAATAAAGTCCCTTTATTGGAACACTTTGGTTATTAAGATAGTTTGCTAAATAACCTCCTCAACTCTACCCTCATATTTTTCAAAGTGGTAGTTATTGAATCACCTGCACAAGAATTATCTGGGGAGCTTTGTAAAAACATCACTTCATGTGGCCCATATTTAATCAGAATCTTTTTGGGTAAGGCCTGGAAATTTACCAAATACTATAGATAGATCTTGCAATCTCTTTCTGCCCTGGGTTTCTTCTGCCTAGATCATGCAAATGAATAGTTTCCAAGCATGACCTTGATCATGGAACTTCCCTCATCACAGCCATTGGCTCTCACTTAACCAAGCAAATCAAGTCTTCTAGGACTGGATGTCAAGACCCTCCAATTTTTGATGGCCAGGTGAATTTCTAGCCTAATCCTTACCTCCCTTCTCTCATCCTGTTACAACTAAACTATACTACTTGCCATATCTCAAGCATGCCTATCATGTCTTTATATCTCTGTCCCTGAGCCCCATGCATTTCAAACCTCCAGAAAAGGTCTCTTTCCCCTCTCATTTCCACCTCCCAAAATCTACCAATTCTCAATGGTTCCTCTTAAATAGAGCCTCCCCTTAATCCTTTCACATTTTTCCTCTTCCTTTTCTATTCCTTTCACTCCAAGCTAGAAGGAGCCTCTCCAATCTTTGAACTCCTTCAGCAGATTCTACCTTTTGGTACTTGCTTGTAACATAATTATATGTATAAATAAGTTTTCCTTTTTTACTTCTACTTACAAAATTGAAGACAGGAACTATATTTTATGAAAAGATGAATTGATGAATAGAAAGAAAGTTGACCAGAGTTCAAAATCCATCTAGTGCATGTCCTTGGGCAAATAATTGAGTTCCCTTATTAAGTGAGATTATGTCACTTACTTTATAGAATTTTGGTCAGTATAAGTAGAGGTATCTTATAAAAAGATAAGCAATATGAAATGGCTAATATTTTATTTTCACTAACAAAATGGAAATTTCATTATACCTGGTGGTTCTCTATATTTTAGTACGCTTTTCTTTAAAATAATGTTGTATACTATGCTTTACATCCACTTTACAAATATTGCCCACTGAATATATAAATGAATATAGTAATGCTAACCCTATTAGCATGAAGAGAGAGAAGAATTAGAGAGACTCTGAAATAGAGAGAAGAGAGAAAAGAAGGGAAACAATCTGCCTCGGGGCTTACCTTGCCTCTTCCTTTTTCTTTTATTTTCTTTTTTTTTTTTTTTTCTTGAGATGCAGTCTCACTCTGTCATCCAGGCTGGAGTGCAATGGCACAATCTTGGCTCACTGCAGTCTCTGCCTCCTGGGTTCAAGCGATTCTCCTGCCTCAGCCTCCCAAGTAGCTGGGATTACAGGCACACACCACAATGCCCAGCTTTTTTTTTTTTTTTTTTTTTTTTGTATTTTTAGTAGAGATGAGGTTTCACTATGTTAGCCAGGCTGGTCTTGAATGCCTGACCTCAGGTGATCCGCCTGCCTCAGCCTCCCAGAGTGCTGGGATTATAGGCGTGAACCACCATGTCAGGCTGCCTGTTCCTTTTTCAAAGCAGGTGAGCACACAGCAGTTTTAACAATAAGCTAAAGCAAGCTCTTTTCTAATGAGAGAGTTCTGTTAAATAAAGGTCAACAAGAAAAGTAACAACACTCATTGTCTCTTGTTTACGGTCCATCTGAGCATCATGCAAACTTGCTCAAATTTCTCTCCTGTGCATTGTTACTTTACCTAGAGTTTATCTAAATCACATTACACTCTACCCTGGCTGGAATTCTTTGTCGTTAATCAGAATAACAATAGTTTCCAAATGTAACTTATAAAAAAGTATGCATATTTTTTTTTCTCTTCAGCTATCTTTCTATCCCCTTGCATTATTTATGAAAAGAAAAATACCTCTTGACCAGTTAACTTAAAGGAAACTCTTACCTTGATAAGGTCAGTGTTATGTTGGCTATATAAGTAAATTAACTAAGGAATTGATGTCATTCTCAGATTCTTACTTTAATCTTCAGACTTTGCAACCCCAAGGAGAGATTCTTTGTCTAATATTTCCTTTGTTAAAAAATGATTTGCCCGGCCAGGCACAGTGGCTCACGCCTGTAATCCCAGCACTTTGGGAGGCCGAGGCGGGCGGATCATGAGGTCAGGAGATCGAGACTGTCCTGGCTAACATGGTGAAACCCCATTTCTACTAAAAATACAAAAAAAAAAAAAATTAGACGGGCATGGTGGCGGGCACCTGTAGTCCCAGCTACTCGGGAGGCTGAGGCAGGAGAATGGCATGAACCCGGGAGGCAGAACTTGCAGTGAGCCAAGATAGCGCCACTGCACTCCAGCCTGGGCGACAGAGCGAGACTCCGTCTCAAAAAAAAAAAAAAAAAAAAAAAAAGATTTGCCCCACGAAGGCATTATAATAAAAGAGGTCCTTGAGGATTATACATTATTCAAGAGGTAGGTCAAGTTCCCAGGAGTTAGGAGTGAGATAGTGAGAGAAATGCCATACAAAGTTACACAGTGCTTTGGATATTTTAATAGACAGAAAAAATATTACGAACAGAAGCTAAGAAAAGAACAAAGCTCTAAGAAGGAACATCAGTATTAGCAGGGTTCCAATCTCTTTTTTGCCACTAGTGTGGCAATTATGTGATATTGAGAAGTTAGCATCTCGGTGCCTCAGTTTCCTCCTCTGTAAAATGGGATCTGAATACCGGCCACACAAGGGCTTTTGTATAAGTTAAATGAAATCATGTATGCCACGTGGCTAGCACAGTGCAGCACATAGTAGCATTTCAATAAATGACTCCTGTTTTTATTATTAAGATGAGAGTGGGTAATCATGTCAAATATTACAGAGAATTCAAAGGAAGAGCTTTGGATTTTGGATTTTGGATTTTGGCTCTGAATTCAATGAAAAAGCGGGAGACCATTTTCCACAAAGAGGATAAGCACCAAAATCAGGTTGCAATGACATTAAAGGACTGAGCAAGTGGTGAGGATGCAGATTTTTCTTTCCAAGAAAAAATTTTCCCCAAAAGGAAAGTAAGAGTGAGGGCAGTTGACAAAGGGCCGGTGAGGATGAAGGAACAGTACAGATGCTTTTTCTTCCCAGAGGCTGGCTGTGAGGGCTTTTTAGTAGTTGATGAACTAGTATCTTATCCTATTTTGTAGATTACACATTGAATTCACTCTAAACTTATCTCCTATTATTCTCACAACTCTGTGTGGTGAGCATCACCATCCCCATTTAGGACAGAAAAACTGAAGTTAAAAAGCATTGAAAGTCCTATCCCAAGTCCCATGACAAGTAATGGCAGAGCCAGGCTTTCCACCAGCTCTTCTAATGTAAACTGCAGGCCACACTGCCTGACCTAACTATGAACCCATCACTTCGGCCTTTCGAACCTTCTTCACTAAGACATGTGCATTTTCAGAGAGGATTTGGAGGGAAAATCCTTGGAGAAATAGTTGTTTATTCTAAGGGGGCCACTGCTAACAAGTCCTTAAAAATATCCACAATGTTGCACAACATTTATTGAGCATTTTGTAGATGGCAGACAGTTTACACAATAATATCAGTTATAGCTTGTGAGCCCTTATTAAGTGCAAGGATTGTACTAGGCATTTTACCTGCATTCTGTCATTTAAAGTTCAGAAGAGTCCTAAAATCCCTATCGTGCACTTGAGAAATCTCTCGCTCAGAAAGCATGATCAGCTTGCCCAAGGTACACAACTTGTAGATGGCAAAGCCAATATTCAAGCTGAAGCCTGCCAGACTGACAGACCTTCAGATATCCCATTTGACACCTGCTGGCCATTTGACACACTTTCTCCCTAGGTACCAGTGTGCACAAGCCCCAGGTGTGCAGGTCTGGACTGTGAGGTCCTAAGAGGACCCAGAGCTCCGGAACCCAGAGCTGCCACACCCAGAGCTCCGGAACCCAGAAGAAAGCATATGACTCACACACAAACGTCTGGGGCAGCTAACCCAGGCAATCTGCTTTCCTGTGGATCAAAATCTATCTTAGAATTCCCTTTGTATATGCACAAGGTAATGCATGGCTGGTCCCCATCCAGACGCTGACCAAGGTTTACAGATACGATTCTAAATGTCGACTGTGGAAGAATGATGTAACAGCACTCCCACCACAAACTCCCACACTGAGGAGTTGCGAAAGAGAAAGAAGAGTCCAGCAAAGAAGGAAAATGTTTCATAACAGATTTCCTATTCTTTTCTTAACATATCAAATTGTTTCTCTATTTTTCTGCAGTTTTATTTTTTGAATTAAACCCCCCCCCAAAATATTCTATTCTTTTGCCACCATCCTAAGACAATTCAGTTTGACAACCCATTTCAGACAAAATACTATTATGCCTCTATTTTATTTACCTAATAATTTCCATAACTGTATATCAATGGTACTATAAGCTTTATTTCCTTTCTGTCTCATTTCCCCAAAATCAGCCTTGAGCTCATTAATATGATGCATGGGGCTGCTTTTCTATAAAATCACCTTTTCCCAAACTAGGTAGAATTTAGACCATAGTTCTTTCCATCTCTATTAGTTTGTTAAATATATATTTGTAACTGTTTTAACTCAAGCAAATATAATAAGTATCCTTGCTTTTGCTTTTCTCTAAATTATAGGAATTCAAACAATCTATTATTCTAAAATTATTATAATTAGTATTCAAAAGCAATGTCCTAATAAGTCACATATTTTAAGCCTCAGTAGTCCACTAGATTTGTGAATAAATACCATAGTCACTTCTGACAGCCCCCATAATGATGCTTAGATTTCTCTCTTCTTTGCTAACTAGTGCAGAGTTTGATGTTACTCGTGTTTCGAAGGCCTAATAACACCTAAGCGTTTCTTACTGGTAGTTCTACAATAAAGATAAGCAGAAAACAACTGCCCTATGTTGTTATCTTAGCTGGATTTTTGTCACTGCTTGTCAACATGCTTCCTCTGCAGTGATATTGCATTCATTCATAATCACAAAAGAAAATCAATTTTAATAAAACATTAAAATGAAATTTCACCCGAACCTTCACCTGAAACTTGAACTTCTAAATTGCAGTTCATCTAAAGTCAGTTAAGATTTATGACAGATACATAAAATGTGAGGAAGGAAACAGATTTCCCTTATTATCCTACCTAAGTACAATCTGGCACCATGCTAGAAAAGAACCTGAAATCCTGGTTTGTGGCTAGTCTTAATCTGGATATGTTTATAAGATTTGATTCCAACTTTTGAAAAATGAACTGAAAATTGGCCAACACAGACTTTTAACAATGCCCACTGAAAACAAAATTAAAAGGCATGGACAAACCACTCAAATGCAAGAAATGATGGGAATTGTGACCCAGACACAGAAAGAGAGTTTTTGGCTGAGGAATGTCACTCAGCACTGAGCATTCTCTGATCAGCTTCAGAGAGATTCCTTTTTTTTTTTTTTTTGACAGTCTCCCTCTGTGGCCCAGGCTGGAGTGCAGTGGCACCACCTCAGCTCACGGCAACCTTCATTTCGTCTCCTGGTTTCAAGTGATTCTCTTGCCTCATCACTCCCAGGGAGCAGAGATTATGGGCGCGCATGCTATCACACCCAGATAATTTTTGTATTTTTAGTAGAGATGGGGTTTCACCATGTTGGCCAGGCTGTTCTCAAACTCCCAACCTCAAGGGATCTGCCTGTCTTGGTCTCCCAAAGTGCTGGGATTACAGGTTTGAGCCACCGCACCCAGCCAGAGATTCTATAGTACTGGAGGATTGTTCATATCGGTTTTCCTAAAAATAAAAGAAGGAATGAAGGTAAGCAGAGAAAAGAAAAATGCAAATAATTAGACAAAACCATTGAAAAGAAATATACCACAGCCAGATTGTTTTAACAAAAACTATTAAAATTATTAATAGCTAACATTTATTGATTACCTATTATGTGTCAGGTGTTATGCTTACATGATTATCTCATCTCATGCTGATGATAAAGCTATGAGGTAGGTTTTTTTTTTAATATCTGTTTCTCAGATGAGGAAAATGAGGCACAGAAAAGACCTTCAACTTCTTCAAAGTTACAGTTAACAAGTGTTAAGGCCTAATTCAAATTCAGTTGATCCAATCCTGATTCCAGAGTTATATACTTTATCCCCATCGCAATAAAATTTCAAACCACTATGCAGGTAAAATAATAACCTTCAGAGGATATGGTTGTAGATAAATTTGAATCAACTTTTAATAAGAATTCAAGCCTGAAATATTTATTGGAGTCAAATCTCGAAACTACAATTGGTACCAAAGAACCATGCCTATTGTCATCTGGTGTTACAGAATTGAACTTCAAATCACAGTGATATTTAGAGAGTTCATAAACATGTATTGTTTAAAGAAAAAAATATTTGTTTCTCTTACCAGTGTCACCTAGAACCTTATTAGAAATGTCAATTCCTTTCTTTCTTTCTGATGTAGAACAAGTGACCCAACTTGCAAATTAATTTAATTCAATTCTTTTTAACAATCAATTCTCAGGCCCCTTTCAGAAAAAAAAGCACTTATGCTTTTCCTTCCTCTCAAAAATAAAGAACTCAAGTTTGCATTATTTCTATGAAATAAGTATAATTTACACTCAGAAGTCAGTAGGCTAGTAAGAAACTAGGGTTGATAAACAGACTGGAAGACATGTTCCCTTACTCTCAAGTTGCTTGCAAATTAGTACTGATTACTATTCAAAAGAAAGCAATGTCTTGGTTTTCAAAAGCATATGGGTCTTTTGTAAGGACATGGGTCTCTGCTCTCTGCAAGTGACTTTATTATGGATAGAGGTTGTCTAGAGAGGACTTCACAAGGCTGTCAAACTAATCCTTCCTTAGCAGGTAGCTGATAAGAACATATGACCAAGACCAATGTTCTTGTCATTTAAATTAGAATTACTTAAAGTTGATGCCTTCAGGATGAAAAGAGAGGTGATAGAAATGGTGGTCTGACAGATCAGAGGAGCTGGTATGTTAGAAGAGTGTCCTCTCACACATGGTAAGCCCCCATGCTACCTGCTGCTCAGGTGGACTCTGCAACTGGGAAGTTCCAAGAACAATGAGAGTCAAAAGAAAGACTGAACAGAACATCTTACTCTTTCTCAATAAAATAACTCTTCATTGTCCACAAACCTTCCCCAAGCAAAAAATTTTCTTCCCTGTGCCGCCAGCTCCTGTTGTATGACACAACACCCAATTTAGTCTAATGGAATCACATGAAGTTAAGAGCGTGGGCTTTCACACCTGGGATTTGGACCTTGTCCTCTCATTACTAGCTGTGTCATCTTGGGCAAGTTACTTAATGTTTTGAGCATCAGTTTCTACATCTATAAAATGGGTGCTCATAATATTTATCTTGCAGGTCTTTTGGGAAGTTTGAATGAAATGACATATATAACACATGTGCTCATATGATGGGTGAGCAATCAAAACTAGCCGTTGTTATAAAAGCATGGGCTATGTTTACAAAGCCCTATTGTCATTATTCACTTTATGGTGAATAGCCATTTCCACTGTATTGCAGTTTGTGGGGAGGAGGCCCAGGGTGAGAAAGAATGGGGAGGTATTTTTGTTTACTCAGATAGATTGTAAGTCCCTCATCCTTGATACTAACTACATCCAAGAAAGCATATCATCTCTGACATTGAGGGTCTAACCTAAGTGGTGGAGACTATACATATGGTGCTATATTAGAAAGTAGAATGTGCTCACTGTTATACTAGACTCACAAAGCACTTTGGGATCACCAAAGAGGGGAAAGCTAATTTTGATCAGGAGTTGGGGATGCCATCATGGAAGGCTGCATATTTGATCTGTGTCTTAAACAAAGGCTCGAATAAGAATTAGAAATAAGAAGGAAATAGACACCTCAAAATTTCAAAAGCAAAACAGACACAACTTGGGATGCATAGGATATGGAGAGTAAATAGGAAAAAGAAGAGTGAAAGATAACCAGAATTTAGAAGCCCAGAAAACTGGAAGGACAGTGCTGACTGAAGTTCAGCAGGACGTCACAGAGAAGGGGTGAAATCAGTAGAAGATGATAAACTCAGGTTGAGTTTGAGGTGGAGGAAGAACATCCAGATGAGGATATATCCTGGTGAAGTATAATTTACAACTCAGGGAAGAGATGCAGATTCCAGAGTCATTTTCATGGATGTGGTCATTTAAACTTAAGCAATCATTTTAGGGTAGAGAATAAATCAATAATTTAATGGCAACTAGTGTAGAACAGTAAGAAGCAGCTATGCTTTGGAGACTCATAGAACACATAGTTGGGTTTTTTTGTTGTTGTTTTTCTGAGATGGAGTTTTGCTCTTATTGACCAGGCTAGAGTGCAATGGCACAATCTTGGCTTGCTGCAACCTCCGCCTTCCGGTTTCAAGCAATTCTCCTGCCTCAGCCTCCCAAGTAGCTGGGATTACAGGCGCCTGCCACCACGCCCAGCTAATTTTTTTGTATTTTTAGTAGAGATGGGGTTTCACCATGTTGGTCAGAGTGGTCTTGAACTGCTGACCTCGTGATCCACCCACCTCGGCCTCCCAAAGTGCTGGGATTACAGGTGTAAGCCACCTCGCCCTGCCGACACATACTTTTAAAGGAAACTTTGTGCAACTGGGAAGGAAACCAGGAGAATGCAGAATCACAGAGGCCAAAGGAAGAGCGAATTTTACAGTGGCAAGGGTGATTGGGAATGTCAGGCCCTAAAGAGAGCCTGAGTAGCATGAAGCATAAGGGACTGTGTATGCCATGAGGTGACTGCATAGAAAGCTGTTTCAGGGCTAACAAGGAGCAGAACCATTGAGAAGATAAAGTGGGAGAGAGGAGGATGCATAGAATCGTAGCTTGAGGGACAAGGGAAGGTGTTTTATTAGGATAATAATAGCCTAAACACATTTGCAGGTTTGAGGGAAGGAGCCAGTAAAATGGATTAAAGCTGAAGAATAAACAAGGATTAATTAATCAATCAAGACCTCCACAGCACTGGTTATCAACCCTTTCTTAACATAAAACTCACTTAGGACCCTTATTATAATACTAACACCTGGTCCTGATTCTGATCAGGATTATTTACTAGTTTTCCCAGGTGATTCAAATCTGTATCTAGGTATGAGAGTCACTTACTTAGAAGAACTGGACATTGGATTAAGACCACTATAGATGGTTATTTTGGGATGACAAAGGCTCTCTTTTTCCTCTGAGATGAGGGTAGTATAGTACCGGGGTGGCGGAGTAAGAAAAGGATGAATTAAGAGCGGAAACATTTAGAAAGACTTTGAAAGGACTCCTGATGAATGGCTTCGAACTGAGAAAGTAGAAGGTGAGATGCTTACATTGAGGGTGCAAAAGTAAGACTGGGCCATTAAAGAAATTTAAAGCATTCCGAATAACTATTAAGATTTCCACAGAGATAAACAAGGTAACTGTCCAATTACTGCTTTATTCTCTCTACCCTTATTCGTTGGCCATGCCTTTACAAAGAAAGGGCATTACTGTGTTTCTTGTTACTCTTATGAAAAAGAGAAAAAGAAATATTATAATTGGGGAACAGATAGAAGAATAGTAACGTTAATAGAGCTTTAGTGAAGGCTTTAAGTAAAGGTATCAAGAATAAGGAAATCTAAGCAGTGCATTGAGATCTCTGTGAAATCAGTGAGAATTCATCCTTGATGGTATCTTGGAGATTATCTCACCCACCATTTAAATTATGAGTAAACTAGGGTTCAGAGACATTCTGTGATTTGACCACCATCAAACAGCAAGTTAGCAACACCAAGAGACATTGAAACGAAACCTTGGAGCCCCACACCAGTGCCTTCAGCTCCTGCACACACTTGGCCTCCTGACCTCTGCTGTGAGGTTCCTGGTTAGCAAAATGGCTGTCGTTCTTTTGGGAGGATTAATAAGAAAATCTGTAAATTGGTTTTAGCTCTTTGCAAGAGAGAAAAAAAAACTATGTGCAATTTCTTCTTTATTGCTGTTATTATGTGAACCAGATTGAATTGCTGCATCTCTGAAGAGTTTCTTATGACTAGTGTGAAGTTTCCCATTTTAACCCAAGTCAATTTTAAATTGCCCATACAATACACAGATAACTGACTGTAATAATTCAGTTGCCACACTCAATACATTGTTTGAAATCCAATGAAAGGCAAAAGGAAAACTTGCAATCCTACAGAATCAGCAGGATAGATCCTGCAAGCTGTCACAGGACTTATTTTAAGTAATTAAAAAGGAGCTGTGTGTGTAGTAACAAGATCAGTGGGTCTCCTCTGCATGGCTACAATACAAGGATAGGAGCTGCAATTCTCTGGGCCTGGGGTTTTTTAAATCTGTAAAACAAGATGAATAAGCTAGAACACTTCTTTCAGAATTAAGCCTCTCTCATTTCTGTCTGTATTTTAATTTTTGTCATCCCTCCACCAACATTTCTAAAATAGTTCAAAACAAACTATAAAGAATATTTCACGGATCATAGTTCCAGGTTTTTTTAAAATCATAAATAAATTTATGGCTCAATTTCAGGTTCCTTATCAGTAAAATAGAGGAGCGTTGGTGTAAATATTCTAAACTCAGCTCTGTGCTTCAGTGGGCTTTTCACTACCTTTAGTTAGTTGCACTAGGCTGGTTGCTGTTTACCTTGCATGGTTGACTGCTCTCTTCTCACATTGTGTGCCAGGAAGGGCACTGCACCTTGGTATAAATGCTGCTGGGCACCGTTCTGTTTTCTTTCTTTTCTTAATCCTATCCAAGTATGCAGTACGCTCTTGGGTCGTCTCATGAGACCCAGGGGCATGTTGGAAAGAACTGAGAGAAAGAGCAACAAAGCGGCGAGTGGTGTGAGAGGGCAGCACGCGCTGTGGGTAAGCTGGACTCACCCAAAGAACTGTATTTATTTTGCATTCATCCCCATGAATTAATAAAAAGAATTGGTGATACACAAAGAGAGGAGAGGCTACAATTTAAAAGAGCTGTACTGGTTTGGATGTTTTGTAAAATGATTACATGATGGAAAAGTGTAGAAAATGCAATATTTGCTGGCTTTGGAACTATCTGTATGACTATAAAGTCAGGAGTGGAGGGACATGAGGACTTGTGAGAATGGTTTTTTTCACAGGGAAGTGATTTTTCTTTTCTTAGTTGGATTTAGGGTTATTCTTGATTCTAGTGCATATTTTCTCATATTTTAAAACATTGCGTGATGTTAATTCACAAGTCTCAGATTTCAACTTTAATATAATACATTGGAATCATGATTTTTTCTCAGCCTTTCAAATTCTCAAGTATTTTACTATGAGAATTTTCTTGTATTTGAACAATTTTTTAAAAGAAGCTCTGTCTAGACACGCAAACTGAGTTGGAAAATGGATATAAGCATCTAGATGACTCTATAAAAAAAGTATCTTCATTGTTTTAGGCAACAAGTGTCTAGTCTTCACTGGTATTAATTATCCAAATATGTATTTTATATCACTAATTAACTTTTCACACCTAGAAATTGTCTTACAAAAACATTTAACAACACTATTATTTTCCAGGACCCTTTTTTCCTCTGCATACTAGATCACAGTATTTTTAGTGATGAGGAAATATATACAAATTCAAACTGACAGCAATTCATGAATCTCTAATATTCCTGGTATATGTTGTCCACTTTGCGAAAATGATTATTAATAGCCTGACTGCAAAATTGTTTAAGAAACCTTTCATTTTAAATTAGCCATAATTTATTTTTTCAGACTATACAGATGTATTAAGGTCATTTTCCTTGCCCATATTTAGTTTTCCCTGTTTAATAAAAATTATATATATATAAAATATATAATACAAATATGTATAAAATATATATTAAAACAATATATGTATATTTATATACTCTTTTATGAATACACAGCATATTTATTATATATTATACATATCTTTTTTATTAAACAGGGAAAATGAATATATAAATTACTAATATATATAAATTACTTTTTATATATATATAAATTAAGAACCACAAGAAAGAAAATAATTGGCAAGTAATTAGTCAGTTCATTTGATTATTTTAGATCACCAAACAAAATACTTCAAGTTTTCCAAGATAGTTTGTACCATTTGGCTCAAATGTTTCCTCTGAGGGGCTAATTTATTAGCAACAACAGAGTGAGTTAGAGATAAGAAAGGATGAGAACCCAAGTAATTGACATCCAATCAGGAGGCCTTTGTCTAAGAATCTGAGGTGACTAATAAAAACTGACAATCAAAGGGAGGGAGACTTCTATCTGGAGGGTATTTCTCATGAAAACAAATAATGCAAAATTAAATTAAAGATATCACCCCACTGAAGCGATTGCTATTCCCAACTTTATCCTTAGAATTCTTTTTCCAAGCTTGAGATTACTGCATGGGCAAATGCACTCCACTGAGCCGCACAAGCACAAGCACACCTAGATCAATCAACCAGTAGTCAGCCAATCAATGAAATCTATCCAAAGCCAAAGTTTTCTTTTCCTAAATGTAGCGAGATAATTGGCTTTGCTCTACACTGTTCTTTGATAGAGAGTTCACTGACTTAAGGTGATAAAGATTTTAAACATTAGCTAACATTTTTGAGCACTACGTGTTGGGGATGTGCCAAATGATTTCTGTCTTGTCTTTTATCAGAATTTTTGAAATAACTATATGAAGTTAGTGCATTTTTGTCCCCAGATGTGGACACTAAGGCTTGACTACAGTTGCTTGCCCAAGATAACACAGCTGCTAAACAACAGAACCAGGATGCAAACCC
The DNA here is from genome assembly GCF_000001405.40 of Homo sapiens. NCBI lineage: Eukaryota > Metazoa > Chordata > Mammalia > Primates > Hominidae > Homo > Homo sapiens. The sequence continues at coordinate 178,560,895 of NC_000003.12, forward strand.
AGCGTGACCTGAGCCACCACCCTATACCATCTCCTTAGGCGCAGCACTGTTTTGCTTCAGATGCTTCTGGACACTCAGAAGCACACAGCAGAGTATCAGTTATCTGAGGCTAAAAGGCATGCCATATGTTGCCTCTGCATCCAAAAAAGTGCCAACAATAATGCCACACTCAGAGTGGTGCTTGAAAAATATCTATTGAATCGTATTCACAAATGAAAACTCTTTTCTCTAATGATGTATCATCTCACTCCACTAAGAAATCAAGTATGGCTCCATAAAATTTTAGTCATAAGGATAATGTTATTTGAACAGGAACAAGATGGCATTATGAATAATAGATTTCAATCTATTAAGCACAGAGCTACAGCAACAGTTTAACAGGATAATGCAAGGATTATTATAAAATTTTTAGAGATTACTGTAAGTAGCACATGATCCCCTTTGCTATCAATAAAAACAAAACAATGCTGAGAAATAGGCCATTTTGTTTATTTGCTTTTACATGAAAGCTGTGTGGAGTTGCGCAACTAGACTAGGGTTAGGACAGCTGAGTTCTATTCTTGGTTCTGAAACTAAATGGCTCTACGACTCTCAGTAAAAGACTGACCTTTTCACGCCTAAATCTCCTCATGGTTAAATGTAGGGGAGGATCAGATGAGATGAGTGATAAGGTCCTTCCAACTCTAAAATCCCATCATTCTGTAATAGTGCTGCATTAGATTCCAATGTTAGCGTAGTTGGAAATGCTCACTTCACAATTTTTTACCTTTTGCAAAATTCCCTGTATCAGGAGATTCAAAACATACTTTATGCCAAAACTCAGAAGGGAAAGAAATACAGCAGCCTTTTAGCTATAATCTGATATGCAGCAACTATAGTGTATGTGCAAGGTGAAGGAAGAGTGACAAAATAAGACTAAGAAAAGGAAAAACAAAACTGTCACCATTACAGGACACCAAACCAGCCAAGACATGATGAAAGACATGGCAAGATTCATACAGGGAATTAGAGCAATCTGAGCCATTTTCTAGAACTTTCTCAATTTTAATTGGGCTTATTTAAAATTCAGTTATCCACTTTGGTGTACATGAAATAAAATCTAAAATATCACCAAGACTTACTGTACTTACAATTAGTGACAGCTCGTGAACAAATACAGTTTCTAGTAATATTGTATATAAAGCAATGCTATATATACAGATCTGGAACCCCCAGTGCTGGGTTCTTTGCCTACCTTTCTATAATTAGCTGTGTTATCTTCATTAATGAATGTGACCTTCCTGTCAGATATGTTGCTTAGCTCTAACACAATTGATTTTATTGTGATACAAAAACAATATGTTTTGGTTATGCAATCACTCACTGACTTCTATGAAATAGGTCTTAGTAAGTGGAGGGTCTGTTGTTAGCCAAGGGAATGACAAGTGTGACCACTAGGTTTGGCACAGCTGGGCCAAGACTGCGTAATTAAGGGAAAGAGATTGAGAAGCCCCAGAGACAGGATTCTGGGAAGGGAAGCAGGAACCATTACAGCTAAGTGGTAGCGGTGAAAAAGCAGATAAGAAAGTAGAGAAGAAGACCCAAGAGCTATAAGGCTAAGAAAAGAAACTTGGAGGGAAATGCTGTGTTCTACAAACCCTCTCTTTTTCCTCCAATTCTAAACTGTCAATAAACTATACACTCTTCAGTAATGCCTTGGTGCAAGTGGATTCTTTATTTTGAAGGTAAAGTGATTAAATCCAGTTTCAGAGGCTGACTCATGGGTTAAAAATGCATTGTAAGGAAATGTGCTGAAATACACAAATCTGAATTTGCAGTATTGCTATCATCATAGCATGAAGGCCCTCCTCGATCAGAATGTGACTGGCTAGATTGCATCTAGGTTCAGTTCTGAATATGACACTTTAGCAGGGGTCTTAAACATAGACACCTTTGGGGACCAAGTTGAGTGAAAGCGGGACAAAGACAGTAAGCACTGATGAAACCTTGAAGCTGGAGAGGGTGTGCCCAGCAGAAAGATAGTCAAATTCCTTTTGTTTTTACTTTTGGATGTAAAAACAAAACAAATAAAATAGATATTGTGTCAAGCAAAACACATCTGTGAGCCAGAATCTCTGAGTCATTACAAAATAAAAGGACATTCAAAGGAGAGTGGTCAGGATACGAAATAACTCACAACTGTGCAGCATGTGGAACAACTGAGTGAACTGGGATCCTTTAATTTGAAAAAGTGTAGACCCTTGTGAGCCTGGTGGTTGCCTTCCAAGTATTTGAAGGTTGCTATACAGATGAGGTATTACAGATATTTTAGCTTCTCTTTAGGGGCTAAACCAGAAAAAAACTGGGCAGCCGTTAAGGATTAAATGAGTAAATATTTGTAAAGCACCTAAAGTAGTATCTGCACAGAGTAAGCATTATCTATTAAATAAAATGAAGTTGTCTTCACAGTCAGAGTTGTCCAAAGCTTAAACGAGTTGTTTCTGTGGTGGGTAGCTGGAGCGCAAACATTCATGAGATGGTTATGAGACAGTATTCTGATAAATGAAAAGCCCACCCAGACTTGGAGACTACCAGGGTCCAGGCCTAGATGGTTCTCGAAGGTAGCTTATAAACCTGGACTCAATTTCATGTGCAACAGATACTTGAAGTCAAAGACGTGTCTCCTTTACTGAATGGTCTTGCATCACATTTCACTTCTCAGACAGGACTCATCCCTGCTTTGAGATGAGAATCAATTGAAGTCATAAATTAAGTACCCAGGAAAAATGAAGTATGGGGAAGGCATATGCAATCCTAGAAAGTAAGGGTGGTGTCCAGGAAGTGTGGGTACTTTGGAAAGGAAATACCAGAGCGTCCCCCAGAGTCCTTCAACAAAGGAGCAGAGAGCATAGGCGTAGTGATGAGGAGCTTCAGAATTTAGGATCTGCAATCTCTCAGAGCCACCTTTATGACGTTTTGTGAGACTGAGTCAAAGTGGACACTTTAATGTTGAATCATTCAAAATAGAAATCCATGTCTTAAAATCCCCAAAACATGGAAATGAAGAGTCACAACAAGAAGACTGAGAAGACATCTGCAAAGTATTTTTAAAACATTGAGATTCTGGCCAGGTGTGGTGGCTCATGCTTGTAATCCCAGCACTTTGGGAGGCAAGGCAGGTGGATCACGAGGTCAGGAGTTCGAGACCAGCTTGACCAACATGGTGAAAGCCCATCTCTACTAAAAATAAAAAAATTAGCCAGGTGTGGTGGCATGCACCTATCATCCCAGCTACTCAAGAGGCTGAGGCAGGAGAATCGCTTCAACCCGGGAGGCGGAGGTTGCAGTGAGTCGAGGTCGTGCCAGTGCACTCCAGCCTGGGCGACAGAGCGAGACTCCATCTCAAAAAAAAAAAAAATTGAGATTCTGATTATGGTGGGTACCATATGTCACAGAAGGACAATGATTAATATATAACAATAGTGACTAGAACAAACTCTGACTGAGACAAGAAATTCAGTGCTTATGTAGGTCTGAATATCATAGGTCTGAGAACAGGGCACTTAATCCAACTGGAAAAATTGAGAGGAAAAATCAGACCTATCTAACAATTGCATGTTGTTGCTTTGTATAAAGTAGAGTAGTTGGAAAGTAAACAGATGGGAATAAAGATTTATCAAACACCCCACTTCTAGCAGGCACAGTGCTAGGTGATTTACATGCATTGCCTTATCGAATCCCCATATTAATCTTGAGAAAAAAAGGTAATTTATTCCCATTTCTGCACAAGAAAACTAGAGCTCAGTTTAAAAAACTTGCCCATCTCTCATTAACTTGATGGATTACAAATCAATACAAATGTTTTGGAGGGTAATTCATCCAAATCTATCAAAAACTTTAAGAAGCAAAATTATTACCTCAGCAACAAAATTTTTAGCCATTTATTCCTCAGAAATACTTTTTCATGTGTGCAAAGATATTATGTGCAATTTTCCTCATTGCAGCATTATTTGTAATATTAAAATTTTGGAGGCAACCTAACAGTTATTTGGTGAAACAAACTTATGATACATCTATATTCTAGAATACTTTGAAGGTAATAAAAATATTAAAGTATATGAAATTAAATTCATTCGGAAGAATATTTTAGTAATATTTCTTAGTATAAAAATCAAAAATACAAAAATATCATAAGTAGAAAAATTAACTTTTTATTAATAAAGTATATATACATCTGTATGGATATAGTGAACGATCTGGAACACTACATGCCACGTGATTAACAGTAGTTACATCTAGAGAATGAGACGAAGGGCTAGAGCAGAAGAGACCACATCCTACCTTCTGCTGTTCTGTATTATTTAAACTATCTCAAACAGAAAAGTACCATTCCATTAAAAAAGATGGAAAGGAATAATGAACCCAAAGTCATACAAGCAGCCACCAGCAGTCGAGACTCATCATAGTTCCTGCTTCAGTATTGACTTCTAAGTTTACATTTTGGGATTCCTCTTCTTCTGAAATGACGTTACACTGTCTAGAGTGGAAAATGATACACAGCAGAATTATGTGAGAGAATAGGAAAAATTGTCCAAGGAAAATCAATTAAAGCATGGATGAAGGCCATGGCAGCAGCCACAAACTCATTCTTTTGCCAAGAATTAATATGTATCTCTAGATATGAAGATGGATACAAAGAAAGTGTTGTGTCACATGAGTTTGTTTTTCTAAGAGTGTCGTTCTTTAGAGCAGGTCTAACTATTCGATTGAATTACCCCCAGAAGACATGGCTAGGTACACATAGCTATCATTGACTTTCAGATTCTCTACCAATGCATTTATATCTCCAAATTTAAATCTTCAGCATCCCCTCTGGCTTTTCTCATATAGTATCCTGCTGAAAATCAAGATTCTGATCAATCACATCCTCACAATATAAATCTCATACAAGGAAGAAGAGCTGGATTTTTAGAAACACTACAATATTTAATAACACTGATTATAATTATTAATGAAATCTAGAACCTGGAAACAAGGTAACAGAGAGTAAAACACGAATATAAAAAATTCAGAAATATGTCCAAAGTTCCAAGAATATTGAAGGTAGACAAACTAAATGATAGTAACTTATCTCTTTGAATCAGGGCAGATTCTTACTGGCAAGGGGAATATCATGAGAATAAACTGAAGCACCCAAAGATGGTTGAACCAGATGTCCTTTAAGGTCTTTTCTTCTCTTACATGCATTTCTCCTAAAACGTCTAAGTAATAACACTTAGATGTTTCAGATGAAAATGCTCAAGGCTGATCTGCTAAGGTCTATGGTAGTCTATAACTTTCTCAGGTATAATATTAGTCCAACTTTTTCCGGCCTATTAATAAATAAGGTAAAACCATGTTTAGAATGTGCAGTTTACTAAAGGTATTAATTTTCTATTAGATACTTTTAGAGGTAGGTCTAAATATAAATTGAATCACATCTGTAAAGTTCATTGGTCTCAGCACTTGAGTGGCAGTATCTGGCCGTGTCACTCAAACACACACGCACACTTGCACATGTGCACACACACATACACACACACTCCTACTTGGCAATGTTAGCTCAGAGAAAACTCATATGGACTATAACACACAAGCCATTCAAAAACTTTCTCCAAAACCAAGTCAAAAGAAATGTTAGTCTACCTAGCCATTACATCCTGTCTCCTTCAAGAAAACCAGTTTCTCTGTTTTTTGTTTTGAACCCAATGTCAGAGAGGAATAACATATTAATTTAATTTTTTAAATCAAGCAAACATAAAAAAAAACTATCCCTTACTTTAAATTTAGATAAATGTGTACAAATCCAGGAAACTCCATATGAATGTTGCTCAAGTGGGGACATTTCAGCAAAAATTGATTTTACTAAGGATACATTTACAGTGCACACTTTGCAAAAGTTACCAAGTAGCGCTGTGCTTAACAATGTACGTTCATATTGTATGAATTAACCACCTAATGGCTACCCAGGAAATATTACAGCAAAACACATTGATGTTGGCATAATTGAGAAGCATTCATTTAAAGATAAATGTCCTATCTTTTGTAGCTGTAGGTACTGAGGATGCATTATGATGAATAATTACACAGATTAATAAGATGTCTTCAAACCTTCTGGTACTTAATGGAAGTAGTTCGATTATTTTCAAATGAGCGTATCGTGACTCTATTGAAGGTATACTTTGCATATCACCATTCTAGGTTTTCTCATTCTGATCTTTATACTTGCCAATATCTGACCAGAAGCAGAAAGATCAATGGAAGTAATCTGAGTTTCTGAATGTACATGTAGATGAGAGTACACATGTGTGAGAGCGTGTGAGAGTGTGTGTGTGTGTCTAAATAGCTCACTTAAGCATGGTATCATTTATCAGCCAATATCATCTGTTTGAAAATTACCTGAGACATAGAAAACAGTTGGGGAGGAAGTCCTGAGCAACAAATAGAAATGTCTAAATGTGGAGATTAAGTAGACACATATGTAATACAACTAGTGGCTTAGAGAAGGTATTCAATAAATGATCACTATATTATTATCATCATTATTGCCTCTGTATGGCTACACAGAGAACCTGAAATCACTAACAAACTTATTTAGCCTTAAAGCAGATAAGAAGCAATCAGCTGAAATGGAGGACACATTTTGCTATAGTCAGGCCTGCTTACAATAGCAAAGAGTTACAGCTAGCATTCTAACAATAAAGAAAAAATATAAAGAAAATTATAAAAGACAAACATAACTTAAAGAGCAGCATGCGCCAGGACATTTGCGCCAGGACAAATAGTTTAGACTATTTGTAGCCAGAGAGAGCATCACTTAATCTTTGCGAAACACACACTTTATGTTCTTAATGATGACACTGTTAAAAATAGCAGCTGTGGAGTCAGACATATCTGAGTTCAAATCCCAGCTCTACCACCCTGTGGTTTTGTGATCTTGGTTAAGTTGCTTAACCATGATTCTCAGTTTACTGCTCCCTTAAATAAAGATTCCATCTCTTCCTCACAGTACACTAGGTCTAAATGAAATGTTGAATGTATGTGGCTAACACAGGGTCCACCACATGGAATCCACTTAGGTAACTACATTATTATTAACATATTTTGCTTAAGAAAACATAGAAATGTGTGATTAAAGGTCCCTTTCAAATATTTTAATGTTATAAAACAATGCTGTCATGTAAAGAGGTAATTTTTAGTTATCTAGAAAATTAACATATGGAAAGCCTAATTTCCATATGACACTGCAGTTAGACTTGGTTTATAATTTAATATATACTCAGACACAGATAAGAAGATATGTAATCACAGACAGAAAGAAAAAGTAGTTTCCCTTTCTCCTTTTTATCTGAGTCAAAGCAAGTTCATAAACGTCTCAGACTTTAAAGCCTGTTGACTAATTGTTGAAGCTGGGCCAGCCACTACACCACTGTGAGTGTAACTACACCAGCTTGGATGTATGTTCCTGCTATGTTTCTTTCATGATACTTTCCTGTTTCCCTTTTTGAAACCACAGACAAAATCTGGATCCCTCCAGATTACACATTCATAAATGCCAGTGATATCTTGAACACTCATAATGTCAGAGGAAGGAATTCCGCTTGGAAAGAGCACAAAACCTTCTGATGACATTCATGCTATAATCATGGGGATAGTCAATCAGCTTAATAGTCACAGTACTTCAAAGCTCTTAAGAGGAATGGTAAAAGGAAAGGGAGAGAAATACATCATAACCAGCACTTTTCCAGTGCTTAGAAGACACTCAAGGAATACTTATTGAACTAATAAATGCATTTATCCTACCTGGAATGTGTAGAGAAATCTTTAAGATGATAGATAGATAGATGATAGATAGATAGATGATAGATAGATAGATAGATAGATAGATAGATAGATAGATAGATAATAGATAGATAGATGATAGATAGATAGATAGATAGATGATAGATAGATAGATAGATAGATAGATAGATAGATAGATAGATAGATGGATAGATAGACTGAACTAGGACCTTGGTTTAAAAGAGTTCAGTCTCTGTATTATTCAGAACTGTTTTGGATATAAATGACAGAAACACATTTCAAATACATCCAACCAAATATGAATCATATTGGCTTATATAAGTAAAAATATCAGGAGTTGACTGGCTTAGCATAGCTGCTCAAAAATGTTCTCTCTTTATTTCTTGGCTCTTTTTCTTTTGGGTTGGCTACATTTTCCAGAAGTTTTTCCCCATGTATTAGGAATAAATAGCCACCAGAAGCTTCAGAACTACATAGACTTTGCCCTCAGTAGGACAGAGAGGCAATCTCTTCAAACATCCAAATAATTACCTTAAAAGAGGACTTCAAGTGAAGAGACCCTGCTTAAATCTGATTGGCCCCACACGATCATGGTGGCTAATCACAATGGTTAGAAACATAGCACATTCTAATTTACCACCTCGGTTCATGTAACCACATCTGCGGTGTAGAGGGGCGCACTACCCTTTGATTCATAGCCTCATCCAAATCACAGTAAGAGAAAGAGGCAATTTCCAAATGAAAAGGATGTAGAAGAAACAAAATAATAGATGCCACCTACAGCTTCTTCCATAAATTACTTTTACATCCTTGGTTGCTTCCCTCCTTGAGCCTCCATAGTACTGTAGTCAGTTGTTTACAACCGCCGGACTGCCTCAGGATTTAAACATTCTGAGTAGAAAAACATGTTTTCCTCACAGCCTGGTGTATTGAACATCATCTGCCTCTTTAATTTAAAGGGATAACTTCTGCAAAACCACTTTGTAAACTGTAAAGAATTATATAAATGTAAATATTTAGGATAATGAATTTAATTGCCTTCAACCTTCTGAAAGAGTTAAAAGTCAGCCCTTCTGTCTCAAAATTCAGTGATTTTCAAGGGGTAATGTAGAACTGCTTCCAGCAATAGCTTCTGCATCTATGCCTCCTTCAACTTATATCTGTTTATTGCATGCCTTTTTTTCCCTGATTTATAAAGGAAAGGGGCTGAAGATGAAATTTTAAAACTGTGTTATTATCTTGAAACGCAACTCCTATAGTATTCATTGCAATATTATTTCTCTACTCCTGGCACGGAGCAAGATTATTTGGAATGTAGCCATGTCTGTTTTTCTTTTCTTTTGTTAGTAATGACATCTAATCTGGTAGCATTGGCTCTTTCTCCTATGCATGTTATTTCTTTTAATCTTCAGAATGAAGTAGTTTGTTTTCAATATTCCCCAATATCTTTGTAGTGCCTTACAAGTCATCACTATCTTGAAACCAGTCTCTCACCCATTGAAAGTGGTTTCCTAGTTTTCATGTATTTTTAATTATGCTGGGAGACAAATCATAACCCTCTCAAGGAGGACTATGTTTTATACATTTTTTTAAATCATTCACAACACCCTGCAATCAAAAAAGTCCCCCACAATTTTTTTAATTTAGTCTGAGAAATTAGGAGGTCATTAGACAAAACGTGAAAATATTTCAAGAAGACTAGAAACTTACCTCATTAAAATGAACCCAACTGCAATAGAAGGTCATTATAATTAAAATATTTCCAGTCCCTTCTGAACATTGACCAAAGGTAATGATACCTTTTTTTTTTTTTTTTTTTTTTTTTGCTCTTGGTAAAGTAAATGTTTCCTTTGTTAATAACTCAGTATAACAAAGACTTTTAGTCCTCAGTTCTTTTCACATAATTGTCACTAGCTATTGTGGAGAGAAAAAACCCTGAACACTTGATTCTGGAGCAAAGAACAAGTGAAAAAAGGAGCAGAAGGCACCAGCTAAAAGAGCAAAACCTTACAAAGAAATGACTGTCAAGAAAATATGATATGCAGCAATTTTTATTCTCACAAAAATGGGGGTAATAGGTAATATAATTAATGAACTCTGGTAAGAAGAAAAGGAGCTTTGACCACAAAGATATGCTATCTTACTTAACAATTTACACCAAAGTTTTATCTGTTTTGCCTCATAGGATGCAACCATTCAACAATGCTTTGAAATAGCTATTATATGTTCATCACTTTGGGATTGGGAAACTGTGTTTCAGACTTAAAGTGGTTTTCCCAAGAAAGCAAGGCTAGCCACATTCTGATGTAAACATTTTGTACTGTTTCCACGATGTCACAGAGGCTAATATTTTCTTCCACAAATTAACTATAAACTTTTAAAACACTGAATTACTATGTGTACTTTAAATATAATCTCTAATTTATTACAATTTTATTCTTTCTACTTTTTAGTTGCTCTATATACCTATGTGGATGTGTAGCAGAGTCTTTTGTGATTTTTTTTTTAATCAAGCTTCACGGCTTTCCCTGGCTCTATTTGACAAAAGTGTTTTGTTGTTGTTGTTGTTCTTTTACCACAAGTGACTCTGTTTTGAAACTGACAACTTTCACATTTCCCCTTTTGATCAAGATCTAATAATGTGTTACATAAATATATGGTGAATAAATAAATAAAATAGAAGGAATATTTGTAGGTAAGGCAAAATCTGTGGATCTGCCTTTTCCTTATGGATATATATATATATATATATATATATATATATATATATACTTTTTTCTGTTTCACTTATTTATGTATTTGTTTATGTATTTATTTTACTTTAAGTTCTGGGATACATGTGCAGAACATGCAGGTTTGCTACATAGGTATACACGTGCCATGGTGGTTTGCTGCACCTATCAACCTGTCATCTAGGTTTTAAGCCCCACATGCATTAGGTATTTGTCCTAATGCTCTCCCTCCCCTTGCCCCCAAACCCCTGACAGGCCCCGGTGTGTGATGTTGCCCTCCCTGTGTCCACGTGTTTTCATTGTTCAACTCCCAATTACGAATGAGAACATGCGGTGTTTGGCTTTCTGTTCCTGTGTTAGTTTGCTGAGAATGATGGTTTCCAGCCCATCCATGTCCCTGCAAAGGACATGAAGTCATTCCTTTTTACGGCTGCATAGTATTCTATGATATACATGTGCCAAATTTTCTTTATCCAGCTTATCACTGATGGGCTTTTGGGTTGGTTCCAAGTGTTTGCTATTGTAAATAGTGCTGCAATAAACACACGTGTGCATGTGTCTTTGTTTCCCACTCTGTAAATTACTGTACAAGTGTAAGATTTATTTTTTGAATTTAAAATTCTGCCATTCTGAATATTTCAAATGAATGTTACACAATCATTTCTCCAAGCAAATGGAAACATTTCCAGGGGTAGCTGCACAGCATATACAAAAGAAGGGTGGTTGGTCAATGCGCATTTTTTGTGTGAGTGAGTATGACAGTTTAGTATAGAGAGAAGAGACTTTCTGGCAGAATCATGCCACTTGCTTACTTAACTGGCTCAACAAAGCTATACAATTATATCCATACATAGAATGCATGACTACCTATTTAACAGAGTAGCTAAGGAAACAGAAAATCACTGATTTTTCTCAAGGGAAGAATCATCCAAAGAACAAGTGCTATCTTGTCTGTTTTTATCTATATGCTACTCTCAGCTAATACTGATGATGAAAGATTATCAAGAATCTCCAACATATGACCTTAGTATATAAAAATATAGTTGTTTAGAACATGATATCTAGTAGTAATAACAAAGGAAATGTATTAATCTTCTGCAAAATTCCAGTGCTATCTCTACTACCTTTGAAAAAGACTTGCAATTTTGTGCATTTTGGTTGTTGATTTACTTCTCCCCACTTTACTTCTGCATCTTTAAAAATAAAACAGCAAGATAAAACAAAGGGAAATCCTAGCATCTTTGAGGGAAATGTGGATTCCATGGATAATGACATTATTCATCCAGACTCAGTCCTCAGAACACCACTTACATAGGAAGAAAAGCAATCAGCAAATATAAATAACCTAATCAAGTCATAGTCTAGGAAGTTATGACTTTAAAGAATAAAAACCTAAGCAAATGCTTGGAATAACTAAAATAAATGAATCTAAAACTGTTTACTAATGTTATAACTGGACACGTTTTAAGTAGGTTTTTTCATTTATTTACGAATTCATACAGTAAATATTGTAGTAGGTTCTCCAGAAACTATTATGAACAAAATGTGAAAATGTAAATACATTTGAGGAAGAATTTTTTTTTTTTTAGACAGAATCTGTCACCCAGGTTAGAGGACAGTGGCACAATCTCAGCTTACTGCAACTTTCGCCTCCCGGGTTCCAAGATTCTCTTGCCTCAGCCTCCCGAGTAGCTGGGATTACAGGCGCCCACCACCACACCCAGCAAATTTTTGTATTTTTAGTAGACATGGTGTTTCACCATGTTGACCAGGCTAGTCTCGAATTCCTGACCTCAGGTGATCCACCTGCTTCAGCATCCCAAAGTGCTGGGATTACAGGCATGAGCCACCACACCTGGCCAGAAATATTCTAAGTAACAACTCCAAAAGTTTATGAATTAAGGTCTAAATCAGTAGTATAGATATTAATAAGTGCAACCAGAGTTTCTGGAATTGTTTTACGTTCAGTCTTAAAGCCAGTTCCGTATTTGACCAAAGATTTGATTTGGCTGTGTACAGTGGGGGCTCATGCCTATAATCCCAGCAATTTGAGAAACCAAGGCAGGAGGATTGCTTGAGCTCAGGAGTTCAAGTCCAGCCTGGACAATGTGGGGAGACCTCATCTCTACAAAACATAAAAAAAAAAAAAAAACTAGCCAGGTGTGGTGGTGCATGCCTCAACTCAGCAACTTGGGAGGCTGAGGTGGGAGGATTGTTTGAGCCCAGAAGGTCAAAGCTGAAGTGAACCATGATTGTGCCACTGCATTCCAGCCTGGGTAACAGAGTGAGACCCTGTCTCAAAAAAAAAAAAAAAAAAAAAAAGGCTTTTATTTAGCAGCAATGTTGTATGAGACATGGCACTAAGCAATATGAGAGATAAACTGCTTTCTACACGTTTAGTGTTTAATAGAAAAATGTAAGGCATTCACTCAAATAAAGCTGTGATGCCTGTGAAAGGAGAGATGAAAATGATCAAGAAGTGTGTAAGAGAGAAATTTCCCACGTAGAGGAAATAAAGAAACTTCACAGAGCGAGGTTGCTGTGAGAAGCAAATGGCATAATATACATTAAAGCACTCTGTAAATTATAAAATTATGTTCTAATGTTAGATTATTTTTTCCAAGAATAGAGCCAAACATGTGGCACTCTAAATTCGACACCAAGAAGGACAGTTGAATTAGTCTCTTTTAGATATAAGAACAGAGGTCCTCTAAGAACACGGAAACCAAGGAAACACACCTCTTGCCCCAAACAAGGAGATGTTAGGTAGTGCAGGTTCCCATGGAGGAAATGAGGGAAGCAGAAGCTTGTTTGGAGATCAGGCTGCACTGAACACACAGGCAGCAGGCTGTGACTCTTCACGCTCTGACTCTACCATTTTAACCTGGCTCCTCCTGGGGCTTCAGAACTAAGTGAGCCTTATTCCTTCCGGACATATCTTATCTCTTTGCCTTTTAAGTATTTCTTCATGTTCAACTTGTCTCTATCCCTGTTGGACTCATTGCAGCTTACAACTGCTTTCTATTCATGTTTTTACTTCCACAGCCACCATGTAATGTTGATTCTCTTTATGGCTTTTGCTGCAAATTCCTAAGGGAGGGAATCTGCCTGTTTGGCTTATCTTTTCTCATCCAGTCCGTGTCAGACATCCCTGTCTAACTTAAGGATCGGCTGCCCTTGAGTCGAGTGCCCAGCTGTTGCCCAGTCAGCTTTAATCAGGGTGGAAGTGTTGTGTGGTTCAAGGCCTGACCATCTAGATTTTATCCTTCATTCACACACCTGTTGCTCTATGTGCTGGATGATACAATGTACACAATTTAAATAAATTAATAAATCTGGGCCAGGCGTGGTGGCTTATGCCTGTAATTCCAGCACTTTGGGATGCTGAGGCAGGTGGATCACCTGAGGTCAGGAGTTCAAGACCAGCCTGGCCAACATGCTGAAACCCCGTCTCTACTAAAAATGCAAAAACTAGCCAGGCATGGTGGTGCATACCTGTAATCCCAGCTACTCGGGAGGCTAAGGCAGGAGAATCACTTGAACCCAGGAGACAGAGGTTGCAGTGAGCCAAGATCACGCCACTGCACTCAAGCCTGGGCAACAGAACAAGACTCTGTCTATAAATAAATAAACAAATAAAATCTGTATCTTTGTGATGCTTCCATTCTAGTTGTAAGAGGCCATAATAAAAGTGAGAAAATAAACAAGATAAATTCAACTGTGATAAATACTATGGAAATAATAAAATATCTAACGAGAATGGGAGTGAGGAAAGAGATGAGATACTGGTTTGGGCTGGGTAGTTACAGAAGGAAGGGGACTCAGTGAATAGAGAGCAGGGTGAGTTGGGTTCTGGGGTAGGGGGTTATGTCACATCACCACAAGTAAAATATACCAAGACTGCTAAGTTTATTAGCATCATTCCAATCCTCCTCCCAACCAGGGTCAATATTAACATACCAAGTTTAAAATATGTATACTAACAATTGTGAGCTGTGACGAATCAACTTCCAAACATGTAGAAGCACAAATCAAAGAAAATAAAGATACCATCTAGTGATAGTCAGAACTGACGGTAATTTTGCTGTGATTTCTACTCCACAGGATTATTGACAGGATACAACTAATATGAAATAAAAGATATAAAAGCATTTGTGAACCAAAGGACTTTATATAGATACACAGGATCATAATCATTACCAGTATAAACTACAGTAAAGGGAAGAACAGTGAGTCCCATGCCAGGTAGGCATCCACCAATCTCACTTTTTAGAAATTGTGAGTAATAAAAAAATGCTTGCAATACATACTTATGATGTGTGAGGGAGAGAAAATTACCAAGCTTGAACTTTATAGGGAAAAAATTTTTATGTCCATATATTTATGTCATCCCTGTTGGTAACACTGTGAACACTGTTTAAAATCAAAATCTCTTCATTTCACCATTTATTTAGCCTAAGTACATTGCAATTTCTACAGCTGGATCTCACAGAAATATGATTTTTAAGTCAGAAGTTTGTCCCAGTTTTAGAGGTTATATTTTCAGTCCTGCCACCTTTCCTATATCACTCTAAGCTTATACAAAATCAGATAAGGGGGTGGCTGGTAAGATGGCTGAATAGGAACAGCTCTGGTCTGCAGCTTCCAGCAAGATCAATGCAGAAGGCGGGTGATTTCTGCATTTGCAACTGAGGTACCCGGCTCATCTCATTGGGACTGGTTAGATAGTGGGTGCAGCCCACGGAGGGCAAGCAGAAGCAGGGTGGGGCGTTGCCTCACCCAGGAAGCACAAGAGGCTGGGGAACTCCCTCCCCTAGCCAAGGGAAGCTGTGAGGGACTGTGCCAAGAACTAGGCACTCGGCCCAGATACTGCTCTTTTCCCATGGTCTTTGCAACCTGCAGACCAGGACATTCCCTTGGGTGCCTATACCACCAGGGACCGGGGTTTCAAGCAGAAAGCTGGGCAGACGTTTGGGCAGACACCGAGCAAGCTGCAGGAATTTTTTTTCATACCCCAGTGGTGCCTGGAAAACCAGCAAGACAAAACTGTTCACTCTCCTGGAAAGGGGGCTGAAGCCAGGGAGCCAAGTGGTCTAGCTCAGCAGATCCCACCCCCATGGAGCCCAGCAAGCTAAGATCCCCTGGCTTGAAATTCTTGCTGCCAGCACAGCAGTCTGAAGTCGACCTGGGAGGCTCAAGCTTGGTAGGGGGAGGGGCATCCACCATTACCAAGGCTTGAGTAGGCAATTTTCCCCTCACAGTGTAAACAAAGCCACCCGGAAGTTCAAACAGGGCAGAGCCCACCACACCTTGGCAAAGCCGCTGTAGCCAGACTGCCTGTCTAGATTCATCCTCCCTGGGCAGGGCATCTCTGAAAGAAAGGCAGCAGCCCCAGACAGGGGCTTATACCTAAAACTCCCGTTTCCCTGGGACAGAGCACCTGGGGGAAGGGGCAGCTGTGGGTGCAGCCTCAGCAGACTTAAATATTCCTGACTGCCAGCTCTGAAGAGAGCGGAGGATCTCCCAGCTCAGTGCTCGAGCTCTGCTAAGGGACAGACTGCCTCCTCAAGTGGGTCCCTGACCCCGGTGCCTCCTGACTGGGAGACACCTCCCAGCAGGTTGACACCTCCCACAAATGAGGTGTCAACAGGCACCTCACACTGGAGAGCTCCAGCTGGCATCTGGTGGGTGCCTCTCTGGGACAAAGCTTCCAAAGGAAGGAACAAGGAGCAATATTTGCTCTTCTGCAGCCTCCGCTTGCGTCCACTCCAGGCAAACAGGGTCTGGAGTGGACCTTCAGCAGATTACAGTAGACCTGCAGAAGAGGGGCCTGACTGTTAGAAGGAAAACTAACAAACAGAAAGGAATAGCATCAACATCAACAAAAAGGACATCCACACCAAAACCCCATCCGAAGGTCACCAATATCAAAACCAAAGGTAGATAAATCCATAAAGATGAGGAAAAACCAGCTCAACAATTCTGAAAATTCCAAAAACCAGAACGTCTCTTCTCCTCCAAAGGATCACAACTCCTCACCAGCAAGGGAACAAAAGTGGACAGAGAATGAGTTTGATGAATTGACAGAAGTAGGCTTCAGAAGGTGGGTAATAACAAACTCCTCCGAGCTAAAGGAGCACGTTCTAACCCAATACAAGGAAGCTAAGAACCTTGAAAAAAGGTTAGAGGAATTGCTAACTAGAATAACCAGTTTAGAGAAGAACACAAACACAAGTTTAGAGAAGATGGAGCTGAAAAACAGCACAAGAACTTCATGAAGCATACACAAATATCAATAGCCGAATCGATTAAGCAGAAGAAAGGATATCAGAGATTGAAGATCAACTTGATGAAATAAAGTATGAAGACAAGACTAGAGAAAAAAGAATGAAAAGGAAAGAACAAAGCCTCCAAGAAATATGGGATTATGTGAAAAGACCAATCCTACATTTGATTGGTGTACCTGAAAGTGACAGGGAGAATGGAACCAAGTTGGAAAACATTCTTCAGGATATTATCCAGGAGAACTTCCCCAACCTAGCAAGGCAGGCCAACATTCAAACTCAGGAAATACAGAGAACACCACAAAGATACTCCTTGAGAAGAGCAACCCCAAGACACGTAATTGTCAGATTCACCAAGGTTAAAATGAAGGAGAAAATGTTAAGGGCAGCCAGAGAGAAAGGTTGGGTTACCGACAAAGAGAAGCCCATCAAACTAACAGCAGATCTCTCTGCAGAAACCCTGCAAGCCAGAATAGAGTGGGGGCCAATATTCAACACTCTTACAGAAAAGAATTTTCAACCCAGAATTTCATATCCTGCCAAACTAAGCTTCATAAGCAAAGGAGAAATCAATTAGTTTACAGACAAGCAAATGCTGAAAGATTTTGTCACCATCAGGCCTGCCTTACAAGAATTCCCGAAGGATGCACTAAATATGGAGAGGAAAAACTAGTACCAGCCACTGCAAAAACATACCAAATTGTAAAGACCATTGACACTATAAAGAAACTGCATCAACTGACAGTCAAAATAACCAGCTAGCATCATAATGACAGGATCAAATTCACACATAACAATGTTAACCTCAAATGTAAACAGGCTAAATGCCCCAGTTAAAAGACACAGACTGGCAAATTGGATAAAAAATCAAGACCCATCAGTCTGCTGTATTCAGGAGACCAATCAATGTGCAAAGACACACAAAGGCTCAAAATAAAGAGATGGAGGAATATTTACTAACCAAATGGAAAGCAAAAAGAAGCAGAGTTTGCAATCCTAGTCTCTGATAAAACAGACTTTAAACTAACAAAGATCAAAAAAGACAAGAGCATTACATAAAGGTAAAGAGATCAATGTAATGAGAAGAGCTAACTATCCTAAATATATATGCACCCAATACAGGAGCAAACAGATTCATAAAGCAAGTTCTTAGAGACCTACAAAGAGACTAAGACTTCCACACAATAATAATGGGAGACTTTAACACCCCACCGTCAATATTAGACAGATCAATGAGATGGGAAATTAACAAGGATATTCAGGACTTGACCTCAGCTATGGACCAAGCAGACCTAATAGACATCAACAGAACTCTCCACCCCAAATCAACAGAATATACATTCTTCTAAGAACCGCAACATGCTTATTCTAAAATTGACCACATAATTGGAAGTAAAACACTCCTCAGCAAATGCAAAAGAACAGAAATCATAACAGTCTCTCAGACTACAATGCAATCAAATTAGAACTCAGGATTAAGAAACTCACTCAAAACCACACAACTACATGGAAACTGAACAACCTGCTCCTAAATGACTATTAGGTAAAAATGAAATTATGGCAAAAATAAGTAAGTTCTTTGAAACTAATGAGAACAAAGACACAACATACAAGAATCTCTGGGACACAGCTAAAGCAGTGTTTAGAGGGAAATTTATAGCACTAAATGCCCACAGGAGAAAGCAGGAAAGATCTAAAATCAAGACCCTAAAATGACAATTAAAAGAACTAGAGAAGCAAGAGCAAACAAATTCAAAAGCTAGCAGAAGACAAGAAATAACTAAGATCAGAGCAGAACTGAAGGAGATAGAGACATGAAAAACCCTTCAAAAAATCAAAGAATCCATGAGCTGGTTTATTTGAAAAGATTAACAAAATAGATAGACCACTCTCCAGGCTAATAAAGAAGAAATGAGAGAAGAATCAAATAGACACAATAAAAAATGATAAAGGGGATATCACCTCTTATACCATAGAAATACAAACTACCATCAGAGAACACTATAAACACCTCTATGCAAATAAACTAGAAAATCTAGAACAAATAGATAAACTCCTGGACACATATACCCTCCCAAGGCTAAACCAGGAAGAAGTCAAATCTCTGAATATACCAATAACAAGTTCTGAAATTGAGGCAGTAATTAATCGCCTACCAACCAAAAAAGCCCAGGACCAGATGAATTCACAGCCGAATTCTATCAGAGGTAAAAGAGAATTTGGTACCATTCGTTCTGAAACTATTCCAAACAATAGAAAAAGAGGGACTCCTCCCTAACTCATTTTATGAGACCAGCATCATCCTGATACAAAAACCTGGCAGACACAAAACAAAAAAAGAAAATTTCAGGCCAATATCAGGCCTGATGAACATTGATGTGAAAATCCTCAGTAAAATACTGGCAAACCGAATCCATCAGCACATCAAAAAGCTTATCCACCACAATCCAGTTGGCTTCATCCCTGGGATGCAAGGTTGGTTCAACATATGCAAATCAATAAACTTAATCCAACACATAACCAGAACCAATGACAGAAACCACATGATTATCTCAATAGATGCAGAAAAGGCCTTCAATAAAATTCAACAGCCCTTCATGCTAAAAACTCAATAAACTAGGTATTGATACAATGTATCAAAATAATAAGAGCTATTTATGACAAACCCACAGCCAATATCATACTGAATGGGCAAAAGCTGGAAGCATTCCCTTTGAAAACCAGCACAAGACAAGGATGCCCTCTCTCCACTCCTATTCAACATAGTATTGGAAGTTCTGGCCAGGGCAATCAGGCAAGAGAAAGAAATAAAAGGTATTCAAATAGGAAGAGAGGAAGTCAAATTGTCTCTGTTTGAAGGTGACATGATTGTGTATTTAGAAAACGCCATCATCTCAGCCCAAAATCTGCTTAAGCTGATAAGCAACTTCAGCAAAGTCTCAGGAGACAAAATCAGTATGCAAAAATCACAAGCATTTCTATACGCCAATAATAGACAAACAGGGAGCCAAATCATGAGTGAACTCCCATTCACAATTGCTACAAAGAGAATAAAATACCTAGGAATCCAAATTACAAGGGATGTGAAGGACCTCTTCAAGGACAACTACAAAGCACTGCTCAAGGAAATAAGAGAGGACACAAACAAATAGAAAAACATTCCATGCTCATGGATAGGAAGAATCAATATAGTTAAAATGGCCATAATGCCCAAAATAATTTATAGATTCAATGCTATCCCCATCAAACTACCACTGACTTTCTTCACAGAATTAGAAAAAACTACCTTAAAGTTCATATGGAATCAAAAAAGAGCCCGTATAGCCAAGACAACCCTTAGCAAAAGAACAAAGCTGGAGGCATCACACTATCTGACTTCAAACTATACTACAAGGCTACAGTAAACAAAACAGCATGGTACTGGTACCAAAACAGAGAGATAGACCAATGGAACAAAACAGAGGCCTCAGAAATAACATCACACATCTACAACCATCTGGTCTTTGACAGACGTGACAAAAACAAGCTATGGGGAAAAGATTCCCTATTTAATAAATGATGTTGGGAAAACTGGCTAGCCATATGCAGAAAACTGAAACTGGATCCCTTCCTTACACGTTATACAAAAATTAACTCAAGATGGATTAAAGTCTTAAACATAAGACCTAAAACCATAAAAACCCTAGAAGAAAACCTAGGCAATACCATTCAGGACATAGGCTTAGGCAAAGTCTTCGTGACTAAAACACCAAAAGCAATGGCAACAAAAGCCAAAATAGACAAATGGGATCTAATTAAACTAAAGAGCTTCTGCACAGCAAAAGAAACTATCATCAGAGTGGTCAGGCAACCTACAGAATGGGAGAAAATTTTTACAATCTATACATCTGACAAAGCCCTAATATCTAGAATCTACAAGGAGCTTAAACAAATTTGCAAGAAAAAAGAACAACGCCATCAAAAAAGTGGGCAAAGAATATAAACAGACACTTCTCAAAATAAGACACTTATGCAGCCAACAAACATATGAAAAAAAGCTCATCATCAGTGATCATTAGAGAAATGCAAATCAAAACCACAATGAGATACCATCTCATGCCAGTTAGAATGGCAATCATTAAAAAGGCAGGAAACAACAGATGCTGGAGAGGATGTGGAGAAATAGGAATACACTGTTGGTAGGAGTGTATATTAGTTCAACCATTGTGGAAGACAGTGTGGCAGTTAGTCAAGGATCTAGAACCAGAAATACCATTTGACCCAGCAACCCCATTACTGGGTATATATCCAAAGGATTATAAATCATTCCAATATTAAGACACATGCACATGTATGTTTATTGCAGCACTGTCCACAATAGCAAAGACTTGCTAGCAACCCAAATGCCCATCAATGATAGACTGGATAAAGAAAATGTGGCACATATACACCATTGAATACTATGCAACCATAAAAAAAGGATGAGTTCATGTCCTTTGCTGGGACATGGATGAAGCTGGAAACTATCACTCTCAGCAAACTAACACAGGAACAGAAAACCAAACACCGCATGTTCTCACTCATATGTGGGAGCTGAATAATGAGAACACGTTGACACAGGGAGAGAACATCACACACCAGGGCCTGTGGCGGGGTGGGAGTTAGGGGAGGGATAGCCTTAGGAGAAATACCTAATGTAGGTGACAGGTTGATGGGTACAGCAAACCACCATGGCACACATATACCTATGTAACAAACATGCACATTCTGCAAATGTATCCCAGAACTTAGAGTATAGAAAAATAGAAAAAAATCAGATAAGGAGCATAACAAATATTTTAATTTATTTCCTTAAGACATGTCATGTAATTACAAGATAATGGGTTGTCTAGTTTTACAAATACAGGGCAAGTCATTCAAAAGGTCACTTTTTTGATTGACCTCTTCTCACATCTATCACTAATTTTTTTTAAAAGTTAATTTACATTGAGCTTTCCCTCCAGAATAATTATTTTTCTGTATCTATTGTCTATATCTTTCTTAGGCCTTCTAGAAATAGGAAGACTTTGCATATGATTTTGTTTATATGCCCATTTATATGAAAAAATAATAATGTCACTGTGAATCTGCACAATGCAGAGAAAAGGCCTTGGATTAAATACTATTTTTACCACTGAACTATTGCATGACCACGAGCAAATTATTTAACTTTTCTGAGAATCAACTTCTCAATGGTAAAACTGAAGAAGGAAAGACAATATTATATGTAAAACTTCTGGCATAAAATAAGAATCCAATGATATTGGTTCTCTTTAAAAATGGAATAATTTTCTATATGTTCATTTGGTTATAAGAGGAAACAGAAATAATGTGCTTTGAGTTCAATATAATCTATGTCTTAGGACTTCAAGTGAACAGTCTTAAAGTATACATTATTTACTTGATGGATGAAATGGCTACCTAGATTTGTTAATACGTATTAAGATGCATGTTTCAGAAATAAAAAAGTTACTATAAAAATTGCTAATATACTTATAGGATATTTGGCTGTTTAAAGTATGATCTATTTGTTATTTGCATTCCACAAAGTAAGATGAGCAATTACATCAGATTATACTAATCATTGGTTAAATCTTATTTTCTTATTTAAATCAAAATTAAGTTATACAAATATAAAAAGGGAACCTAATAATGGCAAGTTTCCGTCTCTTTTTGGCTGGGATTCATCAAAAACCTTTAATTCAGTAGTTGGAGGTGATATTCTGTAATTGTAAATAGTTAAGAACTTTGAGCTATTTATTTCAAATTTGACTGAGTTACAAAATATAAAAACAATAACTGTTTCTCATTGACTGGATCTTTTACAATGATGTCCTCAAGAAGATAGAATTTAAAAGCAGAATAAAAATTTCCTTTTCACAGCTAAAATCTACTAGCTGTGTAATCCTGGCAAGTTACTTAACTTTTCTGAGGCTCCGAAATTTTTATTTCTAAAAGTGGGAATAATACCTTACGCTCTTCACAGAGATGTTTTGAAGAAGAAAGGAGATAATGCACATAAATGTACTCAGAAATGCTAAGGTCAGAAAAGAAGGAAACGGCCAGAGTTAATGGTTCCTTTCTTTGACTTCCAATAGCAAGCTGTTCACTGCACTCCATAGTGTTATAATTACCTGTTCTCATGGCCTGAAAGTGATGCAGTAGCAGGTGGAAGAATTAACCGGAGGTCTGTGAAACTCCACACTAAGCTATCTTCCCTGG
The DNA here is from genome assembly GCF_000001405.40 of Homo sapiens. NCBI lineage: Eukaryota > Metazoa > Chordata > Mammalia > Primates > Hominidae > Homo > Homo sapiens. The sequence goes on from NC_000003.12 coordinate 178,583,972, forward strand.
TTAGGAAAACTTAGGTTGAAATCATTTATTTAACCAGAAATGGTGTTATTTTTGTCATGTTTTGTAATGTCTAACTTCTCCAAGGGCACTGGCAAAGGAGATGTACAGAAGACAAAAGGCAGCTAGCCAAGGGGTTGTCCTAGCTGGCAGGGCTAACACGTCTGCTTTAAAAAGATGATGAAACGGATAGCTCATGCATCTGGGTATGGCTTTTATATCCCAGCCAACACACAAGTTTAGTGCCTCCAAAGCAGCTTGCTGCTCACCTTACAAAACCCTGAACGAGAATGAGAAACTGGTCCAAGGTTGGTGTATTAGAGGATTCTTACATGTACAGACTAAGATAAATTAGTGAGGCTTAGTGGGAGACAGTGCTGGGTACTTTGCCACAGGCAATAGTTGTTCTGACTTCATAGGAGAGATCCTGCCCAGTCTCCCGCAGGTGCTGTCTCCCTCCCTCCCTCCCTCCCTCTCCAAAAGAAAAAGTTTGTATGAAATAGTACTTACCTCACAGAGCTGTTGTGAAAAGTAATGACTGAATAGGTAAAAGCACCTAGAACAGTGCCTGGCACATGCTAAGTGCTTTGTTCATTATTGTTGTTATTATGTTATTTTCTCTCAGACTGAGAGCACTGTTAGTGACCCAAGTAAATTTATAGTTTTTAAGTTCAGAGGAAAAATAAAGCCTATTTTTTGTTAACAGTCTTAATAAATAATAAAATGGAATAAAGAAACCAAAAAAAAAAGAAAAAGTTTGTATGAAAATTCATCCCTATTTCTTTATTTTGGACTAAGTAGTCAAATTTCTACTATATTAATATTATGTAAGCGACACCCATTTAAATTCACTCTCTTGATAGAAAGGTGAGTTGATTATCACACCTGCTATTTTTTCACTGCCAAAAGATTGCAATAACCTCCCTCCATCACCCTCAAAAAACAAACAGAAACCATCTGAGGCATAGCCATTGTTTACATATTGTGTTTGTGTGCACCTATCTACAATGTTCTTTCTTGTAAGGAGTTTATCTGCCAATATTTTTGGCTTCAGCAGCAGCGCTCTTCTTGACAGACTAAGAGAAGGATCTACAGAAAAGTCATCTGATTAAGGTTTTGGGTCAAATTAAAACTCTCTGGACAGAATCCTCTTTCCTTCACTTGGATTTCTGCAAACAGAAAGCAGATTATTCTCCTGGCAAATAGCGACTCTAGAAACGCTTATGTTTTTCAGACTTTGGCAGAACTTGTTAAGAACAGCATCATCATAATACATTTGTACAAACTCGAATTTCAGTGGCTCTTTTGTCCCACATGATGCATGATGAAATTTATAAAGGTCTGTTTTACCCCCACAGGGTCATTTCTTTTGTGTTCCTACAGAGCCAATAGGCTTCATTTAAGTCCAAGTTATTATATTAACCATCCCTTTCACTAGACTAGAGAACTTCTTTTTCATGGTCCATATCGTGGCCACAATGCATCAAAGGTAGGATCATTGTTTTCCACTTACTTTTGCTACTAGACCCCCAAATTCTAATAAAAGAAATTTTTAGGGTTGGGAAGGGGAGAGAGACAGGGCTGGAAACAGATTCCATGATCAGCAATCTTATCTGGGTATTTGAATATACCAAGCCTGGGATACTTCCTGTAACACTGTGTTCAGGGTTCAGTCTGACTTGCTTTTCTTCCAGATGTACGGTGGGCTGACTTGGGCTTGATCCAGAGACTTAGGCATCTGATAAAAGCTGCCTGAGTAGTTTTGCATTTTTATTAACAAAGCAATATAATGCTAGTTTTCTAGGGCACAGTAGTCTCACTTACAACATGTATAAACTGTTTTATTAGAGATTATAGCACTATTGGGAGAGAAAATAAAAGTGATCATTTATATGATAATGTGAGCTGATAATTTAGGAGTGATTCATTCTCATTAATGTTCGCACACTGCCATGTAAGTTTATTAGTTAGTGTGTGTGGTACAACAGAAGGTAAGGCCTTTGATAAAACAATCTTTAATTGAGTATTTTTTCTGTATGGTAAAGTGGTATAGAAAACTTAGTAAGATTGTAAGGTGCAGAAACAGCCACTGCTCCCCTCTTGCTGTTTCTCTACCCTGTCTCTTGCTCTTTGCCTCGTTTACATAGGCTGGGGCAACTGGGATAAGCCCATGGATGTGTCAAGAGGGGATTTTGTGGAGGGAATTCAAGTTTAGGATGGAGGATTTGACTAGATGAATTCTAAGATTCCTTCCATCTTTGACTTTCCCTTGACCTAAGCAGGAGGTGGAAATAATTTCCAGCTGCAAACACCAGCAGAGAGCCAAATTAAAAAGAAGTTTTGTGATATGCCACTGGACAGGAAAAAAAAAGAAACAAGTAATTGTGGTAACAAATCAAGCACGTCAGGAAGTCTAAAGATGAGCTCTTTTAGTCAGCATTATATTTTAGCATAAAATAAATCTTGTGCCTTTAAAATTTACTTTTTGAAAACAGCCTGTCATAATTTTTTTTCAGAAGAATAGAAGGAGGTGGGGAGAAAGCAATTTTCTTTTCTTTTTTTTTTCTTTCTTTTTTTTTTTTTTTTTTTTTTTTTGAGACAGCGTCTCGCTCTGTCACCAGGCTGGAGTGCAGTGGCATGATCTCGGCTCACTGCAACCTCCGCCTCCCGGGTTCAAGTGATTCTCCTGCCTCAGCCTCCTGAGTAGTTGGGATTACAGGCATGTGCCACCACGCCTGGCTAATTTTTGTATTTTTAGTAGAGACAGGGTTTCACCGTGTTGGTCAGGCTCGTCTCGAACTCCTGACCTCGGGTGATCTGCCCGCCTGGGCCTCCCAAAGTGCTGGGATTACAGGCGTGAACCACTATGCCCGGCCCAAAATGCCAATCTTTTCTCTTGTGGTTTCTCGGTTTGATGTCAAGATTATAAAACTATTCTCTTATACTTTTTGTAGTACAATATTGTTTTTTATGTTTAGATTTTTTAATCCACCTGGACTAAAATGTGGATTAAAACCACCTTTTGGATACCAAAAAGGAATATACTTTTATTTTTCTCCAAATATATGTAATAAAATAGTCTCTTCTTCCTTTACTGATTCAAAATGGCACATTTATGGTGTGAACATAGTAATTGGTGAAGAGGACATGGTTTGAACTCTATTCTGCTCTCTGGGTGGTCTATTTATCTATTCCTCTTTTGTTATTAAATGGCTCCTAACTTCTTCAGCTTTTATACTACATTTTCCAATCTACTAGGAAAAATCTTTTTAAGATATCTTCATTTATTCATTTTTACTAGATAATCCCTAATAAATTTTCCAGCAGAAATGGATTATCCCAGGCTGACCTAAGGCCTGGGAAGTGTTGGGAAACAGAGGGTGGAAGAAGGACCCCTAGAGTCCAAGGACCTTTGTCCCCCAATAAACAGAACTCAGGAGATTATCTTTTCCAGTAATTTTTTCTTTTTTTTGAGACAGGGTTTCCCTCTTGTTGCCCAGGCTGGAGTGCAATGGTGCCATCTTGGCTCACTGCAACCTCCGCCTCCCGGGTTCAAGTGATTCTCCTGCCTCAGCCTCCAGGGTAGTTGGCATTACAGGCATGTGCCGCCACACCCGGCTAATTTTTTGGGTGGTTTTTTTTTTTTTTTGTATTTTTAGTAGAGATGGGGTTTCACCATGTTGGTCAGGCTGGTCTCAAACTCATGATCTCAGGTGATCCGCCCACCTCGGCCTCCCAAAGTGCTGGGATTACAGGCGTGAGCCAGTAATCTTTTTTTTTTTTTTATACGTTAAGTTTTAGGGCACATGTGCACAACGTGCAGGTTTGTTACATATGTATACATGTACCATGTTGGTGTGCTGCACCCATTAACTCATCATTTAACATTAGGTATATCTCCTAATGCTATCCCTCCCCCCCTCCCCCCACCCCACAACAGGCCCCGGTGTGTGATGTTCCCCTTCCTGTGTCCATGTGTTCTCACTGTTCAATTCCCACCTATGAGTGAGAACATGCGGTGTTTGGTTTTCTGTCCTTGCGACAGTCTGCTAAGAATGATGGTTTCCGGCTTCATCCATGTCCCTACAAAGGACATGAACTCATCATTTTTTATGGCTGCATAGTAATCTTTTTATCAGAGGCTCTTTCTGACCTACTAAGAGATGGCAGGTAACAGAGCACCTGTACAACATCAGGCACCTTGTCAAGGACTTCATTAACCAGATGGACCCTGCCTTTAAGAAGCTCATAGTCTATCAGAGAGAGGTCCCATGCAAAAAAAAGGCCTCATTCCAATCAGAGGTTAAAAGCTCTGTCACCATTACCTGAGGTGGAAGCAAAAGAGTCCTATTAGTGTATAATTCATTCAACTAGTGGGAGATTAACAATTTTCAGGGAACTTTAAGCAGGGAGATGGTAGAAAGTAATTAAAACTCTGCCTTAAGAGAGTGTTAGCAAGCCTCAAATGAAATCTTCTTCATTTACTTCTCACCTGTGTCGTGTCTATATATTCCTCTACAGAAGCAAGTTTCTCATTGTAGAAAGGTGATCTCTGTTGATATAATGCTACTTATCAAATGTTTCTCATGTACCAGACACACACATACATGCATATATGTGTGTGGGTATATATATAATTTTTAATTTAATTTTTATCTATATTCATAATATCATATGTATATATGAGTGGATATCACATATTGTATATAAACATGTATACATATACGTGTATTCCTGACAGCCACTCTGGGAGGTAGCTATTACGACTTCCGTTTGAAGACACTGAACCCAGCTACCCAGCATCATTACACCACTTACAAAACCTTGGGCAATTACCACAGTACTCTAAGCCTCAGGCTCCTCATGAAGAAAATAAGAGGGGCCATTCAAAGGACTATTGTAAGTAATTTATGAGATAATGGATATGAAACAAGGAGCAAGGACCTGTCGCAGAGAAAGTGCTCAACAGCTAATGACTGTTCAGGTCACACAGCTATTAAGTGGTTTAACAGAGCCTATGTGAATGAACTGATACCCTTCAGGCTTAACTCAAACACTAAATACTTAGTAGGGTTGCTTTTTTAAACCATCTTCTATGGCCTTAAAAAAGACTCTTCACTAAATAGAAGGGCAGGTTTATCTAAATAGAAAATTACCTAAAACATACAATCCTTATCAAATAAATGTAATGGGTTTTTACCCCAGCGTTCTAACAGCTCAGCTTCCCCCTTCCAAGCCCTCCAATTAGAAAACACAAGGCTTGCAGAGCCCAAATTTCTGGCAGAAACACTAGGTGCATTGTAAAATCACTGAATTTTGTTAGCACGTTTGGTTCTGCCTGAGCTCACGTGCAAATACCACAGCCTGTGCTAATTCAATGAGATCTGTCTCCACACCCCACTTCCTAATTCCCAATTATGGTGTCTCAGAAATAACCAGCAGATCACAGGGACTCACACCATGGTTTTGGTTTTTTCCTTGGGGGGAGGGGGAGGTTGTGTTTTTTTTGTTGTTGTTTGTTTGTTTTTGAGATAAGGTCTTGATCTTTCACCCAAGCTATAATGCAGTAGTGCAATCATAGCCCACTGTACCCTCGAACTCCTGGGCTGAAGCAATCCTCCAGCCTCAGCCTCCCAAGTAGCTAGGACTACAAGTGTGTGCCACCACACCTGACAAATTTTAAAATATTTTTGTAGAAACCAGGCCCTTGCTGTGTTGCCTACGCTGGTCTCAAACTCCTTGACAATAGATTTATTTCAGCCTGATCCCATCCAGGGTTCCCTCACATTTGAAAAGAGATTGTGTGAGGCCATTTGGAAGGGTAGTGACCTGTCCTAGACAAAGTTTTAAAACTTTGGACGCAGAGTAATTAACCATTCAATAAATACTTGTGGGTTAATTCACTGAAGTGGCAAGACCAGGTAAAAGTGAGATCTCAAAACTCTCTTTTGCAATCCCCTAAAGAAAGTCGTAACATTTTAAATTGTTCACCCTGAGCTGGGAATTTTCTTTTAACATCCTACTGTGTAAGACGAAATCAAGTCAGATCTATATCCATAACAATACACTTAAAATTACTGGCCCAGAAGTATGACAGTGAGAGGTAAGGTTTGGTATGAGACTAAAATGTTATTCCATTGAGATTTGGGAAGGTTTAACCAGAAAAATTGCATCTAACCATTTTTATTCATCTTCTTCCTCTTATCCTCCTTCCTTCTCTCTCTTATTTAGTGCTGGAAGGTCATAGTGACAAATATTCATTGAGAAAAAAGGAGGGAGAACGGGTTTTTGCAAAAAGATTGGGTAGAACAATTTTATCTGTACATTTTTTATCCATTTTTCTCCCCTTCATATACACACTATTCCTCTCAAAAATTGAACCTCATCTTAGTTGACATTGGATTTAGAGGAAAAAAAAGAGAGCCTTTCAACATTTTCAAATTTCAAAAATTTTTACTTTTTGTTTTGTATTTATGACTTTAGTTTCTGTCATAATGTAACATATAACATAATTGCATTAACTTTTTTAAAAAATTAAGGGAAAAAATCACTCATTGTCCTACCACTTGGAAATAATAATAGCTGACATTTATTGGGCACTTTGTATATTCCAGATACTTCTCCAAGAGCTGTATGCATTATCTTGTTTAATCCTCATCAATGCTACAAAGTAGGCACTACTAGTATCTCTTATCTGTGGTTGAAATTAATGCACAGAACAGTTAAGTAACTTGCCTTGAGCCATACAGCTTGTAGTTGGAGAAAACACTATTCAAACTAAGAGTACATCATGACTGGTCATGACTGAGTGTATCATGCCAGTGCCCAGGCCCTCCACAACTCTACTTTTATATAATACTTTAATCACTTTTTAAGGTAGAGTTAGGATCCCACTGCAATTACGATTTTGGTGCAGGACTGGTAAATTCTTTTTCCCCCAAACATTTCCTCCTATTTGAATGAAAGAGAAAGCAAGTCTACTAATTTCATTTCAATGTTTTTTATTATGTTGCATGATCCATGATCCACTAAAAAACAAAGCCCAGATTAGTGACTGAAAGCAAGTTACTTCAGAATTTGGCCCAGGAAACTTGTAAAACAAAATGGTGTAATCTGCAACGGAGAGGAAGCTAATATTTCATAAGCCACATTTTGGTAGGTCTTTATTTAAAGTAATTCTCACCCTCTCATAGTTAGTCCATAGATCTGAGGACTCCAATGGAAAAAAAACCTCAAACATCCCTGTACATAATCAATACTCAATGGTTAAGATTAATAAATACTCATTAGAGGAATCAGCATATACGTGAGTCTGCCAAAAGAAAGAGCTGACTGTTTCACATTCCTTGTCTTTCTTTGCACAGATCACTAGGTTTTCATCGCTTTTCCCTTCTTCGGGGCTCATTCTGTCTTTTTCTAGAACCAAGTGCTCTACACAGTAAGATTCAAAACATGCATAAACGAGGAACTCATGGTTTCCATTTTCTTAAAAACTTCTCTCCTGCTTGTCCCCAAGCCTTCTCAGGAGGAGGGAGCACTCCCCGTCTCTCATTGCTTTAAATCAATCTTCCCCAAAGAAACCCACATTGAAGAAGGGGGTACTCAGCCAGACTGTCACATGACTATAAAGAGGCTATAGATGCCATTGGGACCTCCATTGCTGATGGTGTGTTTTTATAATCTGGCATCTGTATCAAGGAGTGAGAGGCAGCTTGGCCTTCAGAGAATAAGCGCTGGTCCCTAGGCTCCTAAGTTTAACTTGAAGACTCCAGCCCTTCTTGCTATAGTCAAATCCCTTAACGTCTTTGGTCATAGTGCTTTCCTGTGAACCCCTGGGATTCTGATGTAGAATATCAGGTCGGTCAGTCCACAGGTTGAAAAGATCAGGCCCAGCTTTTCCCTACTCCCCTGGCTTCATTGAGAGCAGCTCTGCCTTTATTTTTTTTTAGGGTTCTATATAAAACTTTGTTTGAAAACAGTATTCTGCCACCAATGTTTTTTCTTTTTGGTGAAAATTACTGAATAAGATGATTCCTAGTGTCGGTTTTAGCCCAATGTGAATTTTTATAATAACCCAGTTCAAGTTTGTATCTTTCTATGGGAGGGCAAAAGAGTACTTTCCCTTCATGTCTGTAGCATATATTGCTTTCCATAGGATTTTCTTCTTTGCTATTACTGGCAATATTTATGGATGGTCTGATCTGATTATCTTAATCACACTAGCAGTTGTAAATCATGTTCAGGCTACATAATGTGTGATCTCTCACCCTTAGCCCTCAAACAAAGCATTCCTGAAAGGCATAGTTTGACTGCGTTATTTCAGACTATGGGAATGTAAGAGTGCAGGTGGAACGCGAAGGTAATACAGATGAGCTTCTGCCTCCCACAAGAGAGCAACCACATCTGTTTTCCTAAGCCAGAGGTCCATTGAGGACAAAGACATCATTTAATACTTATGGTTATCTCACACTCTCTTAAGGAATGATGCGTATGTGTAATGCATAAAAATCAGGAGGGCTTGATACACAAATGGCTGAAAAGGGATAATTGTATTTGCAATTATTATGCTATGTTGGACAGCCACAAAGGCTCTATGACAGCCTATGTGTGCTATGTGTGTTTTCCATAAAAAGAGATGTTGATAGAGAAGTAGTATCTGTTAACCTGTAATCTGGGTTATACTATTGTCTTTTTAAAGTTCTGGTAGGTCTATACGTTTTGGTAAACTCCTGGTTTGCGCCTGCTTATTTTGTTTTACGAGAGTCATTCTTAAAGTATGGCACATAGACCATCTACGTTAGCATCACTGCAGTGAGGTATTTTTTTAAAGTGAAGGTTTCTATGGAATCAGAATTTCTGTGAGAAGGGCCCAGTTTGTTAGCATACTCTCTGGAGCTTCTAATGCACACTGAAGTCGTTTTCTTTTTTCGTGTGACTCTTTTGCTTTAACGTGGTCCCAGAAAACACCATTTAATATTCCAAATGTTTTGGCCACTAAAGGTATAAAGTTTGACAAGTTCTTTTACCCCTCAATTTCTTTTTTTAAAAAATAAAGTACGAGCAGAGGGAAGGGGGCTCTGGTGTTGGGGAGTGGGGTGTTGTAGATAATCTCTATGGGTCCTGCCAACTAACATGCCATTCTCGAGTTTTAAGTTAACTTAAGCTTGGAGGCCAGAGCAGTTTATTACCTAGGTACTTTTAGAGCTATTATCAATTATATGGCACATATTCAACCTGGATTAACAGAAACTTTTAAAATATTTATGTATATATTTATGACGTGTAAAATGGAAAATGATACCAGAAATGAAGTACCAGAAATGAAATAAGTGTCTAATAAAATAAGCAAACCAGTAAGAAGTCATATATCACCTGACTCAGTTCCTTCTACAGGGACTAATCAAATGAAATGCATCTTGAAATCCACAATTAAACATGCCAAAGAGTCTAGCCAGAGAATACTGCATCAAAAGACATGATTTGACTTTTATGAGTCCACTTTTTCATTGGATAAGTTAAATTTTGTAAACTGATTTCAAAGTGGTTTTGGAGTCCTTGAGCTGAATTCTCCCCACTACAATCTACTCTGAAAACTAACTGGTGACAAAGTTTTATTCTATTGATTTTGACCGATGCTTATTTTGTTGACCAATAGTTATTTAATGTCCATAATATGGCATGTTCCACTTCCTGGAATGACCTAATCACCTCCCGTCTCTATCTACTACCAATTCCCCGGCCTTAGATTGGGCTTTTGTGTCTCTTTCCCGTGTTGCAATGTCCTTCCAACAGGTCATCCTTCTCCTTTCAATACATCTCCACCTTAGATTCTTAAAATGCAAGTCTGATTATGTCAGCCTTCTACTTGAAACTCTTTATTGGCTACTCTTTACCTATTGTATAAAGTCCAACCTCTTGGCCACGGCATACCAGATCATTCATTACCTGACTAAGCTTTTATCTCTAATCATGTCTGCATGACCCCAGAGGGACTGAAATTCCAAGCAGGCAAGTTCTTTGAGAGCCATCACTTTGAAAATGCTATTTTGTTCTTCTGGTATGCCCTCTTCCCTCCCTCCCTCCTTACCTACCCAAGTGTGCCTGGCATATTTGAGGAATATCAGGAAGACAGCACTGAGGCAAGAGTAAAGTGAGTGAAGGGAAGACTATTAGGAGATTAGGTGGTAGACAGAAAATGAGGCAGATCATGTAGGACCTTATGCTTTGAGTAATATGGAATGTCACTGGAAGGATTCTAGCAAATAATTGGTATGATCTGTTTTGTATTTTAAAGGCTCACTCTGGCTTCCATGGTGAGAATGTCTGTGAGAGTGAGAAGCGTGAGAAGAGCAAAAGCAGAGAGACCAATTACGAAGAAATTACATTAACCTGAGCAAGAAATTAGTGTGGAAGCAGTGAAGATGGTGGGAAGTTGCCAGATTCTGGATGTGTTTTGAAACTAGAAGCAATAGGATTTGCTGGTGAATTGATGTAGGTGTGACAGAATGAAGAAATCAAAGATGACCCCCATGTTTGGGGTCAAAGGAATTGGAAAATTGGAGTAGCCATTTACTGAGATAGAATAGAAAGAGCATGTTTGCAGAGAATAGGAGCAAATTAGAAGTTCAATCCTGGAAATGTTGAATTGAGATGCTTATTAGACACTCAAGTCAGGATGCCTTGTAGACAACTGGATGTTTTAGTCTGGAATTCAAGGGGGAGGCTGCAACTACATAAATTAACTCAGAAGTTGTCAACACATAAGCATTATTTATAAGTGAGTATAGATAAAAAAGAGGAATGTTAACACATAAAAAGCACTAAAAATGTGAAATGAATAAATGAATGAATAATACTGAGATCCCAACTTACACAACAATACTAAAGTTTCATATGAGTATCATTAGAGAGATTTCATTCTTCACCATATTCTCTTATGAAAAATCTGTTTGCAATTCTTCTTTCCAATGACACACTACTAATGAAATTATTTATGAGGCTAATATAGACATGGGCATACAATTATCTGTTTGAATATTGAATTACTAACGTCTTATTATTCCGTGCCTTAGTGGCATATACAGTATTTGCAAAAAAAAAAAAAAAATCAATACATCAATACGATGAGGCTGTCAACTGTTAGATGGCTATCACTGCTAAAAGAGGTATTTCAGCATATTAAAAATTTGTCACATCCTCACATGATGGCTAACAGTTTCCAGTGTGCTTTATCATCCATTATCTCTGTTTGACTTTGAACCTCATGACATCCAAATACTAGGCAGGTCAGTGTTATTATCCGTGATTTAAATTTTGAGAAACTAAGGCTCAGGAGGTGAAGTGATTTACTTGAGCTGATGAATGGGTCATCATGGTTTGAATCCTGGTAGTCCAAGTGACTGCTCCTCTTCAACTTGCCACCTTTCTGAAAAGCCCGAGGTCCTGCTCATCCTTAGCTGCTGATATGGTTTGGCTGTGTCTCCACCCAAATCTTATCTTGAATTGCAGTTCCCATAATCCCCATGTGTTGTGGGAGGGACCAGGTGGTGATAATTGAATCATGGGGGGCAGTTCCCCCATCTTGTTCTCATGGTAGTGAGTTAGTGCTAACGAGATCTGGTTGTTTTTATAAGGGGCTTCCCCATTAGCTGGGCATTCATTCTCCTTCCTGCTGCCATGTGAAAAAGGATGTGTTTGCTTTTCCCTTCCACCATAATTGTAAGTTTCCTGAGGCCTCCCCAGCCATGCTGAGCTGTGAGTCAATTAAACCTCTTTCCTTTATAAATTACCCAGTCTCGGGTATGTCTTTATTAGCAGCATGAGAACGGACTAATAGAGGTGCCAAACCAATGAATGGCGCAGGATGACAAGTAGTATAGGTCTTTTTTACATTTCAGATTGAAGACTAAGGAAATAAATGGTCTTTACTGGGCACCATTCAGTAGGTCAGATGCTCTGTGTGTGGATCTGGGTTTAATCACTAGACACCCTCAGGCAGGGGATCTTGAGCTTTCCGAAGAGGCACTGAAGGGGAGGAGAATGATGACCCCAAGAATGTGTCTGGACTCAGCTTGAGAGGCACCTTCCACTCAACCCCATCACCCACTTAGCTCTTGCCACCTTTGATTTGAGATGTGTTCCCATAGATGCCAACACATTAACATTTTATCTTGCTCTTCAATCTTAATCCCTTAGACGCCTTCCTTTTGTTAACTAAGTTTCTGAGTCCTACTCACACATTCCCATGCATCCAGTTGCAGATGATCTATTTTCAATTTCAATAACCTATCCTCAATAATGATAGTTCAGAATAAGAACATATATCATTGATTTTATACTTTTATATACACTTGGCCTTTGCTCATGTTATCTAAGCTGGACAACAATCATATTAGAAAGGCATTATTTTTCTATTTTAAAAATGAGAGAACTCAGAAAAACTAAAACATTCTTTCCTATGATCACAAAGCTACTAATAATTGGAAGAGTTGGGATATGAACTCAATGAACATATAAATCCAAAGTCTAAGCTTTCCCTAATTACACTACCACCTCCCCTCATCATGACCCTTTGCTACTTTCCATAAGACAATATCAAACATGAGCCAAACTGTAGTCTACTTCATCCTCTGGATGAGATTAATTTGCTTCTTCTTTCTGCCTTAAAAGAGTCAACAAGTTTTTCCATGGTCCTCTCCCATCTTCTAGCCCCACATTCCCACCAACCCCCGCCCCCAACCCAGGAATTGCCAAACCCTGATACAATTAGTGAAGTTCAGGAATGAATGAGATATCTTTACAACAGCCTGATTGAAAGAAACTTCTATGTTTCTAAAAGGCAAGAGATTCAATTTTGTACCAGACACTAAATCTGTCTCTCAAACAGGACCCATAAATCTCCACCAAAACTAAAAGATATACTTTATTGGAGAACCTCTTTCAGTTAATACATCCAATCCATTGTCTGCTTCATATTTAAGGTTTCTATGTGGCATATGGCTGGAGAAGAGAGAACAGGGTGGGTGGAGTTTCCATCCTGAGGTTCAGCCTTCACAGGTGTGCCTGCTGCTCTTCTCCACGCAGATGCCATGCATGCTGAGGAGACTCATAAAAGAACAGGGTTAGTAATGCACAGTCTCGAGCTACCTGACTTAAACAGGCATCATGGGGAGAAATTTAATTCACACCCTGACATTCTTATGCCTCTTTTCTATAATGGGTTTTTATCACATAAAGGAGCTCCTCAGCCAGTTGAAAATCATTGCCTTGTTAATGAATTATGATTGTGGGGCACTCTGGAATGCTATGTTGATTGTGATGTTAATAGGTACAAAGATACACAATGTACAGCTCAATAACCATTACATTAATGTCTAGTTTAAAGTTTATTTCGGATATCATCATTATGAAGGAGAAAGTGACCCATAGGACACAGCCACTGGGAAAAGTAAAGCTCACTTATAAGTGTGCAGGCATGTAAAAGCCACTTGCTTCTCCCTAGCTTCATTCCTCATGAAATGTGCACAACACTGAGTTTGCACAGCTAGGCCCATTGAATAATCAAAGAGAAGGTTTCACTTGGGATAAAATTGGCATGCAAAGCATGAATGGGAACAAAGTCACACTGTCATTTCAATTTACTGACGCAGTGATACAACAAACACATCATTCACCATGAACTGCATTAAGACTCCTGAAGCAGAAATACTGGAGGTGCTCAAGTATCACAATGTCAGTAATTTCACACAAATATACTCAAATGATGTGCTCCTCACCATTCATTTTCCAAACTACCGTGGGTTGTGTTTGGCAAGCTTATAGGCAAGATATTTAGATGGTTATTTTCATCTTTTCCTCTCTGACCGAGTTATGATAGTAAAAAGCCCTGTTGATAATCTCCTTGGCTACAACTTCTTCTTTTGTGTTGGCTCTTAAATATCTCAAAAGTTAAAAAATTGGGGTGGGAGGAAGAAATGGCTGGAAAAGTGAAACATGGAGCCTTAATAAGAACTCAGATTTTTAAACTGTTAGAAAACAGTTTGATGATAAAGAATTCAGGAAAATGCAGGACAAAAAAACAAAACAAAAAAAAAAACAAGAAATACAGACTTCAAGTTTCTAATTAGAGTTTAAAACCAGCCTCAAAACTTGCGACATAAGCTCAGTCAGGTACCTGACCATTTTGCTATAACCCCTCCATCTTAACCTCTAAACTCTCTAAACTGGGGAGTAGTTCCGTATATAAAAGTGTTTGGTGGGATGAGCTTGGGATTTGTAGAGAACTCCAGGTTTGAATCCAGTCAAGAGATAGCGACATAGCGCCACTTTTCTGCGATGCAAATTATAGACAATAAAGGTCTGTAAAGCACTAGAGAATACGAATTGTTATATAGAGATAGAGTGACCAGATTTCTTAGCAAGCTAATAGGTATTCTGCTTATTTATTTATTTGTTCACTCATTCACTCATTCATTTATGTACTCATTCTGGTAAGGAAACTTTTCCCAGTAATTCACATCAATAATGAACCAAACAGAGAGATATTTGTTTTTTAGAAAGAAAGCTATGATTACAGTAGAGTTTATTCATTGGTTAGAAGAAAGGGGGAAGGAGGGACAAAGGAAAGAAGGAACCAGCATGGAACTGGTGATGTTTGAGCTGTGTTGTCAAGATGGACTCTCAGGGGTTATAACAAAAAAGGCCAGATGCAGGGGGAGCAACCTGAGCAAGCAGGAAAGGGTTAGAGTGCTCACGTGACCAGGGACCTCATTTGGTCCATGTGTGGGGCCATGTTGAAGTTAAGCATGACTGGGGAAAGATCAAATCTTGAAGCTCTTATGTGTCATATTAAGAGGTGTATGCACTCTCCTCTAAGTCAGTCGTTCTTCATTCTTGCTGCACACTACACTTCGGGAGTTTTTGAAATATACTCAGAACCCAACCCAAAATATTTGATTTATTTGGTTTGGGGATAGACTCGAGGTTGGAATTTTCAGTGCTACTCACAGATAGCTAGGGATCACCACCATGCTACAGAGATGGAGTTATGCAGAGGATGTTTAAGCAAAGATATGTCAAGGTCAGTTTCGTGTTTTACAAAGACAAGTCCAGCAGATGTGTGGAGAGTGGATCGAGAAAGGTGAAAACCAAGTAGAAGATTAACATAGTGTATTATAGCAGTGATTTTCAAACTGTGGTTCACCAAAGCTCTAAGGTTTTATGGAGTTTCTGCAAAGGTTGTAAAACACTTGCTTTCAATTTGCTTTTTAAAATATTTGCTTAATTACTATTAAAAAGAATAATTGACAAAAATTCAATGTGATATAGATCAAATTTTAATACATCAGGGATGGCTGAATTTATGTTTCCAATTTAATTCAATAAAGATGCTCCTGAAATCTTAACTGATGAATAGCTTGGAATTATATGGCAAGCTACTAAAAAAGCAGGAAAAAGAAAAAGTCATCAGGCTACAGAATTTTTTAAAAGTATGTGCTATCAAAACAATACACATTAAATGTTGATGACAAATCGCAACACACAATTCCAGATTTCAGGTGTTTTGTGTTCTGCACACTCATCCTTACACATGACTTTTTTTTACCTTGTGCATTTACTTTCTTTAAAAAAGTGGTAATATACACATAAAATGTTATTTTTATGTGTATTCATTATTCATTTTATGCATACAGTTCAATAGTATTAAGCACATTCACATTGTCGTGCAACTAATTTCCAAAACCTTTTCCTCTTACAAAACTGAAACTTCATACCCATGAAACACACAACTCGTTTCCCTCTCCTCTGCCAGCCCCTGGGAACCACCATTCTACTTTTCTCTTTCTATGAATTTGACTAATCTAGATACCTCATACAAGACATATTCTGCAGTATTTCTCTTTTGGTGACTAGCCTTTTTATTGAGATGGAGTCTCACTCTTTCACCCAGCCCAGGCTGGAGTCAAGTGGCATGATCTTGGCTCACTACAATCTCCACTTCCTGGGTTTAAACGATTCTCCTGCCTCAGCCTCCCAAGTAGCTGGGATTACAGGTGTGTGCCACCATGCCCAGCTAATTTTTGTATTTTTAGTAGAGAAGGGGTTTCATCATGTTGGCCAGGTTGGTCTTGAACTCCTGACCTCAAGTGATCCACCCACCTCGGCCTCCCAAAGTGCTAGGATTACAGGTATGAGCCACTGGGCCCAGTTGTGACTAGCTTATTTTATTTAGCATAATGTCCTCAAGATTTATTCATGTTGTATCAAATGTCAGAATTTTCTTCCTTTTTAAGGCTGAATATTCCATTGTGTATATATATGCCACATTTTGTTTATTCATTTGTCCATCAACAAGCATTTGGGTTGCTTTCATGTCTTGGCTATTTTGAATAATGCTGCTACGAACATGCGTGTGCAAATATCTCTTTAAGACCCTTCAATTACCTTGAATAGATAACCAGAAGTAGAATTGCTGGATCATACAATAACTCTGTTTTTAATTTTTTAAGGAATACATTGACTTTTAATAAGTAAAAGCTATACATTGGAAAATAAATGTATCCACATAAAAAGCAGCTTTATCTATTTTATAAAACAGAATTCTACATAAGCACTTGATTCATAAAGGGTAGGGAGGGATCTGCTGCTTTGGAGAGACAGGAAAGGGAGGATGGGGACTTCAGGACAGAGATGGTAGGAATGAAGGGCAAGGGCAGACATCTCTCAGAGAGGTTAATGAGGTGATTTTGTTGGTTCCAAGTCTTTGCTAGTGTGAATAGTGCTGCAATAAACATGCGTGCATGTGTCTTTATAGTAGAATGATTTATAACCCTTTGGGTATATACCCAGTAATGAGATTGCTGGGTCAAATGGTATTTCTAGTTCTAGATCCTTGAGGAATCACCACACTGCCTTCCACAATGGTTGAACTAATTTACACTCCAACAGTGTAAAAGCATTCCTATTTCTCCATATCCTGTCCAGCATCAATGATAGACTAGATAAAGAAAATGTGGAACATATACACCACGGAATACTATGCAGCCATATAAAAGGATGAGTTCATGTCCTTTGCAGGGACATGGATGAAGCTAGAAACCATCATTTTCAGCAAACTAACACAGAAACAGAAAACCAGACACCGCATGTTCTCACTCAAATGTGGGAGTTGAACAATGAGAACATATGGGCACAGTGAGGGAAACATTACATATGGGGGCCTGTCAGGGGGTTGGGGGGGAAGGGGAGGGATAGCATTAGGACAAATACCTAATGCAGATGACAGGTTGATGGGTGCAGCAAACCACCATGGCACATGTATACCTATGCAATAAACCTGCACGCTCTGCACATGTACCCCAGAACTTAAGTATAATAAAAATAAATAAATAAATAAAAATTTTAAAAATGAAGGTGATTTTGTTAAGGTCTTTAGAACCTCCCCACAACTACCACTGGTCTTTTTAATGAATGTGGCCCCGTGAGGGGTTTTTCAGTTGTACGAAAATAACACAAACCTCTTTGGATAGCATAATCTTGAGGTCAGTGAATATCCCTGTCCACAGCTGACTCAGAAAGAACACTTCTACAAGAAGTATAGAAAAATTAAACATTGCATTACTTTCCTGGCCTTTCCTCAGGAGGGGCCCTCCTTTTGAGTCACAGGGTAAAGGAAGTGTACAGAAAAGTTCCTCATTCTATTTTACCTAGAGGCCTTGGTGGCTTCTCGGATATTCTTAAAGTTACACCACCGCCAATAAATTCTGCATTGTGCTTTGAAAAAGCAGATTACCTAAGATTTCCATGTTAGTACACAGGGTTTCTATCAGAAAGAGTTGAAAACTAACAGTGGCACTCTCAGGCAATTAGCTGGGGCCACAAAGGAACAAAGGCAACAGAAGAAAAGCCATTATGCAAATACCTGGCCAGGAATTGTCTGACCATTTTGAGGAGCCTTGGCAAAGAATTGGAAGAGAGCAGGTAAATTAAAGGGTTTTCTGCCAGACTGAATTATTAGATCTCTCTATAATTAATAACAGGCTTCTGCATGATTTTTCCTCAACAGGTTTATTGACTGCCTTGACATGATAGAGGAGAGAGGTATAAGAAGGATAGATCCAGGATAATACCCTAATATCACCACTCAGATGACTTAGCTGGTATGGCAGAGACCTGGAATATAGGGGAAAGTATGACTTTGGAGAATTAGAAGAGATTGCCAATCTAGGGTAACTATCTCGCCAATCTAGGGTAACTAACTATCTCCTATGCCTATAGAGCAGCATGAACCCAGAGGGATATAGGGCAGAAACCAGAATCATTCATCCCCCTCCCCACAAAAAAATATATATATCGATTTTTTTTGGTGATTTACCTACTATATGCCTGAATAATTCTGATTTAGTTAATAGCTTCAGTGAAATAAAGCTTTAGGAAATAGAATAAACACGGTCCAAATCCTCAGAGAGTTCCTAGAAAATGTGACAGACAAGGAATCAGCAATTACAATAAAGGGGGTCAATAAAAAAATAGCCATTACTGCAGAGTCCTGTGGGACACTTAGGACAAGCCCTACTACAGCTCTGGGTACTGGGAGGTTCGGGGGTGGGGGGGAGGAGTGATATGTAAGCAAAGCCAGAGGGACAAGGAGGAGCCAGCCAGGTGGAAAGGAAGAATGGGAGCAGCAGCAGGTACGAGGGTCCTGCAGCTGGAGAGAGGAGGCAGGGTGAGTAAAGGACTGTAGCTTAGTAGGACAAGTATGAAGTGAGTGGGTTGACGTTGGTGAGGTTCTCATATTTTACAAACACCAAAGCCATCGGGAGGGTAGGACAGACAGCTGAGCCTACCCCCAGCGTTTCTGATGTTATAGTGCTGGTGAATTTGCAATTTGAACAAGTTCCCAGATGACACAGATGCAGCTGGTCTGGGGACCACATACTGAGAACCACTAATGTAGAGAATATATTGGAGTTAGAGATTGGACGGGGTGGGAAGCACATCTTCCAAAACAGGTGGCCATTATAGTAAGAGATAGTGACAGCCTGGATGAGTAACGTGGGAGAGGTGATGGACTGTGATCAAGGTGTAGAACTGAGAGTTCTCAGTGACTAATTGGATATGGCAGGTGATGAGGTCTTTGAAGTGTGTAGTCAGAAGGATTATGTTACTCCCTGGGGCAGGGAAAAAATGAGGAAGAGATGGGACAGAAAAATGGCATTTGGGTCCTGAGGGTGGTGCTTATAAGTCTCATAAGTAGAATGTAATAATCAAGTGTAAGTTATTTCAAATGTATATATCAGATTTACACAAAGCAGGTAGTTAAATATATGTTATTAAGGAGCTAAAAGAAATAGAAAAATGGACAGAGACACAGGTCAGGGATCTGGGAAGGTATGGAGATAGAGATTAAAGCTGTAGAAATAGCCCAGAGAGAACATGTAGATAAAAAGAGAAGCCCTAGAACAAATTTTTGAAAAAAGAAATGGGTCATTTGAGAAATGGGCAAAGGAAGGAAGGAAGAAATGGGCAAAGGAAGGAAAAAAGGAAGACCCAAAAGGTCAGGAGAGGCAATCAGAAGTGCTCAAGAAATGAACAGAATAGAAGAGAACATTTCCAGGAGGAGATGATGCTCTACAACTGCAGAGAGGACCAACAAGAGAGGGTCACAGACATCCATTGTCTTCAGGAACATGGGAGAGTTGAGACCATAGGGAGAGCATGTTAGTTGAATGATAAGCAGGGTAACCAGATGCAGTACTGACGTGATGATACTGTATTCTAGGCAGTGGAGGGTCTGTTGGGAATTGGAAATTCTACTGCTTATTCTCAAGTTTAAGCACCTTCATTCTGTGTTCAGGGACATTTGAAAATTTCATGTCTAGGGGAAAGCAACCATGAAGGCTGGTAAGTGAAACTGACATTGCACATATACTGGTCTAAAAGGAAGAGTATCAGTGACACAGTTCAAAGCCCTGGAGCAAGAGTTCTCACACTGAGGAGACACAGAACCACCCCAAGGCAACTGTGGCAGCCGTTTCCCAGAGACACAGCAGGCTACCCCAACATGGCTCTGCTCACCTCTTTCTCTAAAGGGCATCCTGTTTCTGATCTTAGTCTTTCATCACCTCATACTCAGTGTGTCCTCATTCCCTGCCCACCTCCCCCCAGTACTCTCACCCCTTTGGAACAAAGCAGATGGGAATGCTGTTCCTTGCTAAATAAGCACTGTTTGCAGGTGAGAAAGGAAATTAAACCACAGAACTGACATGCAACTGGAGTGGAGTGAGTTATATGAAGTCCTGATGGACAAAGTCAGATATGATCAAGAGAAATTACAAAATTAATTCCAAAATATGGAAAATAATGCTACAAACAAAGTTTCACAGAGTAAAATTCAATACAAAAAACATGCTGAAAGAAGCAATTGAAGTGGTTTAAAAAAAAAAAAAAGCACACAGTGTAACCCAGAACCATGAATATTTTATAGCATGCAGCCAACAGCATTTCAAAATGTCTGAAATCCACATCATTTTCTCCTCATAACCTAAAATTACCCTATGGTTTTAGTGCAAACATTCAAGTCTGATTTTAAATGGTTTATGAATATTTTTAAATGAACTAAAGAAATATAAATGGAATTTACAAGTTTGGAATTACAAGATTTGGTTTTTAAAATTATGAAAATCCAGAAAAATCTCATTTTCACCAATACCTGCTAGCACTTCCCTTGCCAAATCATTCATCTGATTTATTAGTGACTAATGATACTCATTCTGAAGTTACTTGCCTTGTATGAGAAAGCATAGAATCTGGTCCTGCTGCTGGCTAACTTATTTGACACAAAGTAAATCATTTAAATCAATCAGTTTCCCAGTAAGTAAAATTATTCAATTTGATTAGGCAATCTGTAAGTTCCTGGCTAGCCTAAGAATTCTGAAAACATGACACATTATACTCATAACTGTGATATAATAGCTTATGACCAACAGAATCATAAAACTGATGAAAGCTTAGACAATATTCAATTTGCCCCATTTGTTTTACTGATCTATAAAAAGAAGTCCCCAAAGATTTATGTCTGGCCTAAGGTCAAGTAGTTTTTTTAGGACCTGCTACAGACTGAATGTTTGTGTTCCCCTAAAATTCATATTTTGAAATATTATGGTATTAGGAAGCAAGACCTTTGGTTGGTGATTAGGTTGTGAGGACCAAGACCTCATGAATGGGATTAAAGCCCTTATAAAAGAGCTCTGAAGAGCTCTCTCACCCTCTTTCATCACATGAGGACACAACCAGAAGATGACCAGACACTAAATCTATCAGTGCTTTGATCTAGGACTTCCCAGCCTCTAAAGCTGTGGAGAAATAAATTTCTGTTGTTTATAAAAGCTACTTAGTCTGTGGAATTCTCTTATAGCAGCCCAAACTGACTAAGACAGAAAATTGGTCCCAAGAAGTGAACGTGCTGCTGTAACAAATACCTTAAAACGTATCTTAAAACAGGATAAAGGGTGGAGGCTGAAAGAGTTTGTATGTACATGCTAGGAAAAGTTTGCATTTCCATGAATAGACCTTTAAAGGTGATTCTGGTACAGGCTCAGAAAGAAAAGCAGCATAGAAAGCCTCAGTCTTCCTATGGAATAGCTAAGTATCATGAACAGAATATTGGTAGACATATAAACAGCAAAAGTCAGACAGAAATGAGGAATATTTTATTGGAAACTGGAGGAAAGGTGATCTTTTTTATAAAGTGGCAAATAATTTGGCTGAATAGTGTTTATGTTCTAGTGCTTTGTGGAAGATAGAACTTGCAAGCTTTGATATTTAGCTGAAATAATTCCCAAGCAAAGTGTTAAAAGTACAGCTTGGTGCCCCCTGGCTTCTTACAGTAAAATCTAAGAGGGAAAATGACATAACAATAGAATTGTTAGGCAAAAAGGATCTAAACTTAAAGATTTGGAAAATTTGCAGCCATCCATATTGCAAAAATTGAGAAAAAATGTTTGGAACACTAAGGGTGTGGCCTAGTGACCATTTGATAAGATTTGTGTGGGCATAAACTGTAGATTTAATCAGCCACCCCAGAAGGAATACCACCAGTTTGAACTGAAGGGGAAGGAGATAGGAAGGAATGAAGGGAGGCTGTCAGACTTCTTACGTCTTATAGGACAGGACCAATCTTATAGATACGTTTTATAGTATAGGACCTATTCAGCTGCAAATGTGCACTATTGAAGACAAGGGAAGAAGAACCCCAAAAGCAATTCAAATATCATCAGAGATGCCTCTTCAGTTACAAAAAGTGGAGCCATTGCCTGAGTTTCAACTGGTTAGACAGGTTCTGCCCAAAGCTGTGGGTCCATAGAGAGGTACCTCCCCAACTAGTGGACCTAGAGGGCAGAGCCACAAGCCAAAGAGGATTATTCTGCAGCTGTAAGACCTCATGAAGTTTCCCTTGTAGCCTGGACTTATTTTGAATGTGTTATGCCTTTCTTCTTTCCTATTTCTTTTTTTTTTTTTTTTGTGGAAATTTCTTTCCTTTGTCTGAGCCATCTTTGAATTTTGGAAGTACATAATTTGTTTGGTTTCACAAGCTCACAGCTGGAGAGCAATTTGTCTCTGGATGAATCATACCTTGAGTCTCACCCATCTCTGGGGCTATGATGATCCCTTTAATGTATTTTGCATGTAAGAAGGACATGATTTGGGGGTGGGGGCAGAAGCTGAATAATATAGATTGAATGTTTGCATCCCCCCCACCAAATTCATAAGTTAAAATCCTCATCCCTAATATGATGGTATTAAGAGGTAAGGGGCTTTGGTAGGAGAGTAAGTCACAAGGGCAGAGCCCTTACAAATGGGATTTGAGCTATAGAGAAAGCTTCAATCTCGGGAAATACAAGATGAGATACCAGAAAGCTCTCTCTCCCCTTCCATCATGTGAAGACACAGCAAAAAGACAGCCATCTATGAACCAATAAGTAGTCCCTCACTAGACATTGAATCTGCCAGCACTTTGATCTAGGACTTCCCAGCCTTCAGAACTGTGAGAAATAAATTTCTGCTGTTTATAAGCAACCCAGCTTATGGTAGTTTATTATAGCAGCCTGAATAGACTAAAACAGGACCAGGTCCAAGGTCAGATTTAGGACGAGTGTTATTTCCACTGGAGCATATTCCTCTTAAAGAGAGGTTAAGACAACACAAAGAACTGAATATAGAAACTTAATGGTGATTCGGGTGTAAAAAACATCGGGGCAGGTATACAGTGCAGTGGCAAAGGGTTAGATCTCCTAGAAGAAAGATATTTTGACGGAGCCCTAAAGATTCTGAAACATGTGGAAAGGCTAAGTTGATAATAAATTAAGAAATCAAAAGACAGGCAGGATTGTGGATGGAGTATGTCAGTGGTCATTTAAAATCCATGTTTTTGTTTTTAAAATGCCTGCAAACCTCTTCAAACCTCTGATTACAACAACCTGTTAACTTCTTGTTCTAGACTGCCCAGATTTCAGGACTACAGAGTTGTGTTTCTCAGTCTCTGTAATGTAGGCATTGTATCTTATCTGAGAGTTTATATACAGGATTGCCAAGGTAGTGATCAAAGTAAATGCAATTGTCAATTTAATTAGCATTAGTCCCTCCAAATTCATTGTGCATGCGTGTGTGTGTGTGTGTGTGTGTGTATGTGTGCATAAACACATACAAGTTTGTGTTTCAGGTTTGCTAACTGGCTTATTAGCAAATACTAAAGACAAAGCTTTAAGAAAGCATTCATAATTTCTTGGGTCAGCTACTGAGTATCTAACATAAGTAATTTCCTTCTATGCTCTGTTATCTTGTTAATACAGTCATTTAAAATGAGATTTTCTTTATAGGTTTTAATGAAAAGAACAGATCAATTTTTATGGGATCCATGTTCCTACTCAGCTAGCAAGAATGAACACCATTTCTCTAGTAGTTCTAAGATTCTTCCTTAAGTAAAATTTTAATGTTTAGGAGACACAGAGCACACAAAGGGAGTAAAAGAGCTTAAAAATGTGAGTTTATATTTTGAATCATCCTAAACAAGCACAGAAATATACATGAGAGGAAGTAAAATTATAGTCACAGGATAGAGAGACTTTGAAAGAGGTAAGAGCAAAATAGACAAAATCAGAAAATTAAATTCAAACTTCTAAAGTAAAGCAACAGACACTATGAATGCTTTGGAGAAAAACTGGACTTTGTGGGATTTTTAACCCATGAAGGAAAGTAAACAAGGATGCAAGAGCATTTTATAATTTTACCCATAGGCTGGCAATAATCATTTATTCCTGCAGGACATGGAGTTAAAATTGAAGTGCTCAAATTGGCTCTGAATTCTCTCATTAAAACTGTCCTAAAATATACATAGGGTTGATTGTATTTTTAATTTATCCTTTTTTTAATTTTTGTGGGTACATAGTAGGTGCATATATTTATTGAGTACATGAGATGTTTTGATAGAGGCATGCAGCATGAAATAAGCACAATAATAGAGAATGGGCTATCCATCCATCAAAGTATTTATCCATTGAGTTACAAACAATCCAATTACACTCTATTTTAAAATGTACAATTAAGTTATCATTGACAATAATCACCCTATTGTGCTATTGAATAGTAGGTCTTATTTATTCTTTCTATTTTTTGTACCTATTTCCACTGCCCCCTCAGCCCCCAACTACCCTTCCCAGCTCCTGGGAACCACTCTTCTACTCTCTGGGTCCATGAGTTCAATTGTTCTGATTTTTAGATCCCACAAATAAGTGAGAATATGCAGTTTGTCTTTCTGTGCCTCCAGTTCTATGTTGCTACAAATGACTGTATCGCATCCTTTTTTATGGTTAAATAGTACTCCATTGTGTACGTATACCACATTTTTCTTTACCTGTTTATCTGTTGATGGACACTTAGGTTGCTTCCAAATCTTAGCTATTGTAAACCATGCTGCGACAAACACAGGAGTGCAACTATCTCTTCAATATACTGATTTCCTTTCTTTTGGGTACATGCCCAGCAGTGGGATTGCTGGATCGTATGGCAGCTCAATTTTCAGTTTTTTTGAGGAACCTCCAAATTGTTCCCCATACTGTTTTTACTAATTTACATTCCCACAAACAATGTACAACAGTTCCCTTTTCTCCACATCCTCGCCAGCATTTGTTATTGCCTGTTTTTTGGCTACAAACCATTTTAACTGTGGTGACATGATATGTCATTATAGTTTTGCATTTCTCTGATGATCAGTGATGTTGAGCACCTTTACATATTCCTGTTTGCCCTTTTTTATGACTTCTTTTGAGAAATGTCTATTCAAATCTTGTGCCCATTTTTTGATAAGTTTATTAGATTTTTTCCTATAGAGTCGTTTGAGCTCCTTATGTATTCTGATTATTAATCCCTTGTCTGAGGTGTTTTTTTTTCCCATTCTGTCAGTTGTCTCTTCACTTTGTTGATTACAACCCTTGCTGTGCAGAAGCTTTTTAATTTGATGTGATCCGATTTGTCCATTTTTTACTTTGGTTGCCTGTGCTTGTAGGGTATTGTTCAAGAAACCTTTGCCCAGATAAATGTCCTGGAAATTTTCTCCAATGTTTACTTGTAGTCATTTCATAGTGTGAGATCTTAGATATAAGTCTTTAGTCTATTTCGATTTTTTTTTTTTTGGCAGATTGTCCCTCTGTCATCCAGCTTGGAGTGCAGTGGTGCCATCTTGGCTCACTGCAACCTCTGCCTCCCAGGCTCAAGCAGTCCTCCCACCTCACCCCCATGAGTATCTGGGACTACAGGCATGCACCACCATGCCCAGCTAATTTTCATATTTTTTGGTAGAGACTGAGTTTTGCCACGTTGCTCAGGCTGGTTTCAAGCTCCTGGGATCAAGCAATCCACATACCTTGGCCTCCCAAAGTGCTGGGATTACAGGTGTGAGTCACCATGCCCAGCCTGGTTTGATTTTTCTGTATGGTAAGAGACAAAGTTCTAGTTTCAATCTTCTGCATGTGAATATCCAGTTTTCTAGCACCATTTATTGAAGAGACTATCTTTTTTCCAGTGTATATTCTTTACACCTTTGTCAAAAATGAGTTCACTGTAGGTGTGTGGATTTGTTTCTGGGTTCTCTATGTTGTTCCATTGGTCTATGTGTCTGTTTTTATGCCAGTACCATGCTGTTTTGTTTACTGTAGCTCTGTAGTATACTTTGAGGTCAGGTAATGTGATTCCTCCAGTTTTTTGCTTAGGATAGCTTTGGCTATTCTGGATCTTTTGTGACTCCATATAAATTTTAGCATAGTTTTTTCTAATTTCTGTGAAAAATATTGGTATTTTGAATCTGTAGATTGTTTTGGGTAGCATGGACATTTTAACAATATTGATTCTTTCAATACATGAACATGAAATATTTTTCCATTTTTTGATGTCCTCTTCAATTTCCTTAATCAGCGTTTTACAGTTTTCATTATAGAGATCATTCACTTCTTTGGTTATGTTAATTCCTAGATATATAATTTTATGTGTGGCTATTTTAAATGGGATTACTTTTTAATTTCTTTTTCACATTGTTCACTGTTGGCATATAGAAATACTACTGATTTCTGTATGTTGACTCTGTATCCTGCAACTTTACTGAATTTATCAGTTCTAATAGTTTTCTTGTGGAGTCTCAAAGTTTTTCCAAATCTTAGATCATCTCATCAGCAAACAAGAATAATTTGACTTATTTTTCCAGTCAGGATGCCCATTATATCTTTCTCTTGTCTGACTGCTCTAGCTAGGATCTCCAGTACTATTTTGAATAGAATCCTTGTCGTGTTCCAGATCTTAGAGGAAAGGCTTTCAGTTTTTCCCCACTTAATATGATACTAGCTGTGGGTTTGTTGTATATGGCTTTTATTATGTTGAGATACGTTCCTTCTATACCTAGTCTTCCTGACGGTTTTTATCATGAAGTGATGTTGAGGTGTTTTTTTCTGGTTTTGGTATCAGGGTAATACTAGCCTCATAGAATAAATTTGGAAGTATTCGCTCCTCCTCTATTTTTGTGAATAGTTTGAGTAGAATTGGTATTTATTCTTCATTCAATATTTGGTAGAATTCAGCAGTGAAGCCATCAGGTCCCAGGCTTTTCTTTACTGGGAGACTTTTTATTACAGCTTTGATCTTGTTACTTATTATTGGTCTGTTCATGTTTTGGTTCAATATTGGTAGGTTGTATGTATCTAGAGATTTGTCCATTTATTCCAGATTTTTCAGTTTACGGGCATATAGTTGCTCATAGTAGCCACTAGTAATCCTTTGAATTTTTGCAGTATCAGTTGTAATACCTTCTTTTGTATTTCTCATTGTATTTATTTGGAACCTCTCTCTTTTTTTCTTAGTTTGTCCGGCTAAAGGTTGGTCAACTTTGTTTAACTTTTCAAAAAAAACCCCAGGCCAGGTGCAGTGGCTCACGCCTGTAATCCCAGCACTTTAGGAGGCCGAAGCGGGCAGGTCACAAGGTCAGGAGATCAAGACCATCCTGGCCAACATGATGAAACCCCGTCTCTACTAAAAATACAAAAATATTAGCTGGACGTGGTGGCAGGTGCCTGTAGTCCCAGCTATTCGGGAGGCTGAGGCAGGAGAATGGTGTGAACCCAGGAGGTGGAGCTTGCAGTGAGCTCAGATCGCACCACTGCACTCCAGCCTGGGAGACAGAGCGAGACTCTGTCTCACAAAAAACAAACAAACAAACAAACAAAAACCCTTTTTATTGCATTGATCTTTTATATTTTCTTCATTTTATTTATTTTTATACTAATTATGGGATTGACTTGCTCTTGCTTTACTAGTTCTTTAAGATGCATTGTTAGATTGTAGATTTGAAGTTTCTTCTCTTTTTTGATGTAGACACTGATAGCTATAAACTTCCCTCTTAGTATTGTCTTTGCTGTATCCCATAGGTTTTGGCATGCTGTGTTTCCGTTATTATTTGTTTAAGAAATTTTTCAACTTCCTTCTTAATTTATTCATCAACCCACTAATCACTCAAGAATATATTGTTTCATTTTCACGTATTTGTATAGTTTCCAAAATTTTTCTTGTTATTAATTTCTAGTTTAGTTTCATTGTGGTCAGAGAAGATTATTGACATTATTTTAATTTTTGTAATGTTGTAAGACTTGTTTGGTGACCTAATTCATAGTCTATCCTTCAGAATGATCTATGTTCTGAGGAAAAGATTGTGAGTTCTGCAGATGTTGGAAGAAATGTTCTGTAAATATCTATTAGATCCATTTGGTCTACAGTGCAAATTTAGTCTGATTTTTTTTGTTGATTCTTCTGTCAGGAAGATCCAATGCTGCAAGTGGGGTGTTGAAGTCCCCAGCTATTATTATATTGGGGCCTATTTCTCTTTAATTACATTTCCTTTCTATATCTGGGTGCTGCAGTGTTGGGTGCATATATATTAAAAATTGTTATATCTTCTTGCTGAATTAACCCCTTTATCATTATATAGTGACCTTCCTTGTCTCTTATAATTTTTGTTCTGAAATCTATTTTGGCTGAAAGAAGCATAGTGACTCCTGCTCTTTTTTGTTTTTATTGGTATAAAATATCTTTTTTCCAACCTTTTATTTTCAGTCTATGTTTGTCTTCATAGATGTAGTATTTCCTGTAGGCAGTGAATCAATGGGTCTTGTTTTTTCATCTGTTCAGCCAGTCTATGTCTTTTGATTAGAGAGTTTAGTCCATTTTACATTTAATATTATTATTGATAAGTAAGGACTTAATCCTGTCATTTTGTTATTTGTTTTCTGGTTGTTTTATGATCTCCTTTTCCTTCTTTCTTTTCTTCTTGTTTTCCTCTAGTGAAGGTGATTTTCTCTGATAGTATGATTTTGCTTCTTACTTTATATTTTTTGTGTATCTATTGTGTGTTTTTTTGGTTTGAGGTTACCATGAGGCTTGCAAATATTATATTATAACCCATTATTTTAACCTGATAATAACTTAATACTGTTTGCATAAACAAAAAACAAACAAAAAGAACACTAATAAAAACTCACCATGACTTTGTCCTTCCACTTTTTAACATTTTATTATTTCTAATTATATCTCACTGTAATGACAAAGAGTTGTTAGGCTGAGAGCAGTGGCTCATGCCTGTAATCCCGGCACTTTGGGTGGCCAAGGTAAGAGTATTACATGAGGTCAAGAGTTCACGACCCACATGGCCAACATGGCAAAACCCCATCTCTACTAAAAATACAAAAATTAGTGGGGCATGGTGGTGGGCGCCTTTAATCCCCACTACTTGGGAGGCTGAGGCAGGAGAATCTCTTGACCCAGGAGGCAGAGGTTGCCGTGAGCCAAGATTGTGCCACTGTCCTTTACACACGGTTACAGTGTATTAATATTCTGTGTTTTTCTCTGCACTTACTATTACCAGTAAGGTTTGTACCTTCAGGTGAGTATTTATTGCTCATTAATATCCTTTTATTTCTGATTGAAGTATTCCCTTTAGCATTTCCTGTGGGACAGGTTTGGTATTGATGAAATTCCTCCCCTTTTGTTTGTCTGGGAAAGTCTTTATTTCTCCTTCATGATGAAGGATATTTTCACCAGATACGCTACTCAAGGGTAAAGTTCAGCAGTTTAAATATGTCATGCCACTCTCTCCTGCACTGTAAAGTTTCCATGGAAAAGTCTGCTGTCAGAGGTATTGGAGCTCCATTATATGTTATTTGTTTCTGTCTTCTTGATGCTTTTATAATCCTTTCTTTATCCTTGACCTTTAAAGTTTGATTATTAAATGCCTTGAGGTAGTCTTCTTTGGGTTAAATCTGCTTGGTTCTATAACCATCTTGTACGTGGATACTGATATCTTTCTCTAGGTTTGGGATGTTCTCTGTTATTATCCGTTTGAATAAGCTTTCCACCCCCTCTTTGAGGACAATAACTCTTAGATTTGCCCTTTTGAGGCTATTTTCTTGATCCTGTAGGTGTGCTTCATTTCTATGTTTTTCTTTTTTCTCCTCTGACTGTTGTATTTTCAAATAGTCTTTCTTCAGGCTCACGAATTCTTTCTTCTGCTTGATCTGTCCTGCTATTAAAAGAATCTAGTGCATTCATTAGTATGCCGATAGCATTTTTCAACTCTAGAATTTCTGCTTGATTCCTTTTAATTATTTCTGTCTCTTTGTTAAATTTATCTTATAGTATTAGCCTGTTTTCACACTGCTGATAAAGACATACCTAAGACTGGGCTAATTTTATATATATATATATATATATATATATATATATATATATATATATATATGTATGTATATATATGTATGTGTATATATATATGTATGTATATATATATATGTATATATATATGAGATTTAATGGACTCACAGTTCCACATGGCTGGGGAGGCCTCATAATCATGGCAGAAGGTGAAAGTCATGTCTTCATGGTGGCAGACAAGAGAATAGGACTTGTGCAGGGAAACTCCCCTTTATAAAACCATCATATCTCATGAGACTTATTCACTATCATGAGAACAGCATGGAAAAGACCTGCCCCCATGATTCAATTATCTCTCACCAGGTCCTTCCCACAAGATATGGGAATTGTGGGAGCTACAAGTCAAGGTGAGATTTGGGTGGGGACACAGCCAAACCATATCACTTACAAAATTCTGAATTCCTTCTCTGTGTTATCTGGAATTTCTTTGAGTTTCCTCAACACAGCTATTTTGAATTCTGTGTCTGAGAGGTCACATAACTGTTTCTCCACCATTGGTCCCTGGTGACTTATTTAGTTCATTTGGTGAGTTCATGTTTTCATGGATGGTATTGATGATAGTAGATGTTTTTTGGTGTCTGTGCATAAAGTGTTAGGTATTTATTGTAGTCTTCACCATCTGGGCTTATTTGTAGTTGTCCTTCTTGAAAAGGCTTTTCAGATATTTGAAAGGACTTGGGTGTTGTGATGTAAGCCATGTCTACTTTAGGGGGCACCACAAGACGAGTAATGCTGTGGTTCTTGCAGACTCATAGAAGTGCTGCCTTGATGGTCTTGGACAAGATTTAGGAGAATTATCTGGATTACCTGACAGAAACTCCTGTTTCTCCCCTTACTTTCTCCAAAGCAAACAGAGTCTCTTTCTCTCTCTGTTCTGAGTCACCTTAGCTGAAAGTGGAGTGACACACACACCCCTGTGGGCCAGCACTACAATGACTGCACTGGATCAGATCTGAAACAGCACAATACTGCATCTCGCCCATGGCCTGCTGTAACCATTCCCTGGCTACTGCCTATGTTCACTCAAGTCTCTGGGGCTCTACAGTCAGCAGGTGGCAAAGCCAGCCAGTCCTCTGTCCTTCCCTTCAGGATGGTGAATTCCCCCAGGCCCCAAGTGGGTCCAGAGATGCTATCCAGGAGTCAGGGACCAGAGTCAAAAATATTAGAAGTCTACCTGCTGTACTATTGTATTGAGGCTGAGCTGGCAGTCAAATCACAGACGCACTTGTTCCTACTCTTCCCTCCCCTTTCCAAAGGCAAAGGAGCCTCACCCTGTAGCCATCACCATCCCAGGCCACAAGGAGAACTGCCAGACTACCAGCCAATGTTCCCTTTAGGCTCAAGGGCTCTTAAGTCAGCTTGCGATGAGTGCTGCCTGGCCTGGGACTCACCTGTCAGGGCAATGGGCTCCCCGCTGGCCTAGGGCAGGTCCAGAAATGCCATACAAGAGTAAAATCCTGGAACTGGGGAACCCAAAAGCCCACTTGATGCTCTGCCTCACTGTGGTTGTGCTGGAGCCTGAAGACAAGTCTCAGAGGCTTACCCAAGGGCCTTGATACAGTACCTGAGTATCATTGCTTGTTATTCAGGGCCCAAGGCTTCTTCAGTTGGCAGGTGATGAATGCTGCCAGGACTGGTTCCTTTCCTTCAAGGCAGTGGGTTCTCTTCTGACCCAGGTGTCTAGAAATGTCATCTGGGGGCTAGGGCCTGGAATGGGAACTTCACGACTCTGACTGGT
Source organism: Homo sapiens (assembly GCF_000001405.40). Taxonomy (NCBI): domain Eukaryota; kingdom Metazoa; phylum Chordata; class Mammalia; order Primates; family Hominidae; genus Homo; species Homo sapiens. The sequence goes on from NC_000003.12 coordinate 178,616,007, forward strand.
GCCTTATCTTGCTGTGGCTGAGTTGGTATCCAAGATGCAAAACTAAGTCTTCCCCACTCTTCCCTTTCCTCTCCACAAGCAGAAAGAAGGGCTCTCTTTTGGATTTGTGAGCTATGCAGCCTGAAGTGAGGGGAGGGATGATGCCAGCAATCCCTTGGCAGCCCCAGCTGATGTCTTAGTAAGTCGGGTGCCCCCAGAGTCCACCATCTCTGAGCCTAGTTTGTCATTAGGACTCACGTAAGAGTTGCAGTCCTTACGTCCTAGACTTCCTTTCAAGTTTACTTGGAGATATAGAGTGCTGTAGCCCTCAGTGGCAAGGTTTTCAGGCACTGAAGTTCATGCCACTGGGATCAGAAATGGTGCTCTGGCTAGGGCTGGTTTAAACACTCCCTCCTTGGGTGGGTGTTGGAAGAGTTTTGTCTGGTTCTCTTCTGGTCTAACAGGATAGTACTGTATTCAATGCCTCGAAATTGCTGTGTTCTCCCTCCCCCAGCATCCAGAGACACTCTCTGCACCAAGCTGCTGCTGCCTGGGGTGGAGGAGGGGCGACATCTACAATTCAGAACTGTTTTTTTCTTTTCTGCAATGCCTCTTTCAGTGACACAAAGTTAAAACCAGGTACTATGAGTGCTCACCTGACTTTTGGTTCTTATGAAGGTGTTTTTTTCTGTGTGGATAGTTGTTAACTTGGTGTCCTTGTCGGAGGAACAATCAGTGGAAGCTTCTATCTCACCATCTTGCCCTGCCTCCTGTGGGGTTGGTTTTATAATCCCATTTCGTAGATGGAAAAACAAAAAGGGAGTAAACTTCCATGATATGCCTACAGATTCATACCAAATCATTTGTAAAAATGGAAAGTGGAATCTAGGTATATTATCTCCAACCCATTCCTTTCCTACTTGACCAGGCTGGAATCAATGACCAGAGGGATAACTCCATTTTCTTCCCTGTAGACATTTTAGGACTACATAGACATCCATCTATCTCACTGGGGAAATGTGGTATGGGCGGAGGAGATACAGAGGTTTTATTTTTGTTTTTTTCCTAGATTTTAGTGCTCTTTAAGATGATTTTTGTTGCGTGTGTTTTTTATTTTTAAAAGAACATAGAAACAAGTAACAATTGCTCAAATTCCTACCACTCAGAATTAATTATTACTAGAATGTTGAAATATTTGCTTCTAATTATGATTGTTAGCTTGTTTTAAAATATTATTATTATTCAAAAGAAATGTTACCATCTAAAAAAATTAAATGTTTTTAAAAACACAGTCCAGGCGTGGTGGCTCACGCCTGTAATCCCAGCACTTTGGGAGGCCGAGGCAGGCAGATCGTGAGGTCAGGAGATCGAGACCATCCTGGCTAACATGGTGAAACCGAATCTCTACTAAAAATACAAAACATTAGCCGGGCGTGGTGGCAGGCACCTGTAGTCCCAGCTACTCAGGAGGCTGAGGCAGGAGAATCGCTTGAACCCGGGAGGTGGAGGTTGCAGATTGGGCGGCAGAGAAGACTCCATCTCAAAAAAATAAAAATAAAAATAAAAAAATAAAAACACAAAGGTGAAAGTATCAAAATAACACAAAAGAAAACCCAACACCCAGCGAGGCGCGGTGGCTCATGCCTGTAATCCCAGCACTTTGGGAGGCCAAGGCAGGCGGATCACAAGGTCAGGAGATCAAGATCATCCTGGCCAACACGATGAAACCCCGTCTCTACTAAAAACACAAAAAAAATTAGCTGAGTGTGGTGGTGGGTACCTGTAGTCCCAGCTACTCTGGAGCCTGAGGCAGGAGAATCGCTTAAACCCAGGAGGCAGAGATTGCAGCGAGCCAAGATCACGCCACTGCACTCCAGCCTGGGTGACAGAGCAAGACTCTGTCTAAAAAAAAAAAAAAAAAAAAAACCCAACACTCAAAAGTAATCGTCCTTCACATTAAGAAAACACATTTCTGGCATATTTCATTGTAGATATGCCTATAGACAAAAATCATATGCAGATAGATAGATTTTTAATAAACTTAGAATCATTTTTATAGATAGTATCTTTAAGTAAAAATAATACATTTTATCTTATTTCCTATAGGCAGTATATAAGCAAAAATGAGGGGAAAAGAACTTCAACCAATATCAAATTATGGTTCCACAAGCTCAAATTCTTACTTTTCCACATTATTACAAAAATAAATAACAGCAAAAATAATACAACTTTTTATTTGTTTCTGTGTGGATTTCCTTCTAGTTATTACCATTAACATTTTCATTATCATCATCATCTATTATTGTCCTAAATATTGGCATTATTTACGGCTCACAGTGTGCCAGATACCTTGCCAATGTTTCATTTACATGAATTTTTTATTTTATCCTCATAAGCCATCTGCCCACAGAGCCTGCGTGCTGAATCATCCTGCCCTAATCCTTCTCTGTCTTCACCCTATTTCAACAGAAAGAAAGACCAGATACATAGCAAGAGCTTCGTTCTTGCATTCAGGGGTCAAGCATAGGGAGTTCTGACACTTTCTTTCACTCTCTTTATGCCTCCTTTTCACTTACAACTCAAAAGTGAGAAGAGAGGAGGTAAAGGGAAGGTAATCTATCTGATTGGCAAACAGAAACCTATTTTTGGAAAATGAAAGTTACCGAAAGCCATAAAGAAGTTTAAAAAATTCTCAATGCCCTTCCCATTTTTCCATCTTTCTACTGCTTTTTATAGCCTTTTACTTACATAGTTTATTCTCTTGTGAATTTAGCCTCAGATAGAGGAGAGGCTAAGAGAATTTAAAAAGTAATGTGAATTGGGATATCTCAAAAAGGAAGGAAAGATACATTTTATGGTGTATGTTCTATGTGCCAAGCCCACTTACACATATTATTTCCTTTAGTCCTTAGGTAAGAATTATTTTTTCACTGTAAGATAAAAAAATTGGGACTAGGGAATACAAATCACCTGTCCAGGAACACACAGCCAGTGATGGTTTAAAACCCAGCTCTGTTTGATCCCAAAGCCCGTGTCCTAAAAAGTTTTCTCTAATACAGTGAGGAAACAGCAGTCATCGTTAATTCTTTCAGCCAACATTTACTGAGCAGCTGCCATGTATCAGACACAGTTTAGGTTCTGAGGATACAGAGTAGAGCATTATATGACCTCTGGCTTTGAAGAATTTACAGTCTAGTAGGGGAAGGAGAGTGAGACTGGAGGGCCTTATATACTATCTTTCCTTAGCTGCAGGTATGGCAGATATATTTAAAATAAGCAACTGTTCATCTCCTCTAAGAATAAATGTCAGAAGTCACATGGAAATTGAACTTTAGAGACTAGAAGTGTCTCAAGCAGCCTGCTCAGTTTTGATCAAGGAAATAAAAACCTAAAGAAATACTCAGAGCAAAGTTACTAAACACGTAACTTTGAGTAAAAGATGGCTGCAACATGAAATTATCAAAGATTTACAGACTATAAATACCAAGAGGATTAAAATGCTCTTGGACTTGCAATCAAATTTGGAGTAATTGGATAAAATAAGACTACCTCTAACTCATTTTATTATAAAGATTTATTAGAGTATAAAAAACCGAGGCCCAAAGATATTTCTGCTTGCGACAATTAAACCAAAAAAGTCTAAAGTCAATCCATGATTATATATGGAAATAAGGACCACAGAAAGTAAAATGAATTTCATTTCCATCATCTTTAAACCACATTTTGCTTCCAACCTTTTCCTTGACCCACGAAATTGCCAAAAATAAAAATTTACATGTTTTGGATAATTTTTACTGAGTCTTGTGAGAGAAATGGAAGCCTTTTGTTTCTTGTGGGCAGAATAATCTTTGTTTTTAGTAGGCAAAGAGAAGTCCCTCATATAAGAGCTTCCTCATTCTTACCCCTATACACTCCATCTTTCATCTGAGAGCACATAAATCATAGGGAAATTTTTCAGCAAGACAAAAAGGAACAATGATTATTACTTACTGAGCATCTACTATGTCTTAGTTCCTTTTGTAAGTTCTTTAATATGTTTCTCATTAATCTTCACAATAATGGTGGAAGATAGGCATTCTTATTGACTTATTCTATGGAAAAAGAAACTGAGGCTCCCACAGGGGAATGTTTATATATATTATGATATGTTCCTATGCTTGAATATTAGGCAGCCCTCAAAGTAATATTTTTAAGGACTTGTTATGAACATACGATTATAATGAAAAGTATATAAAAATTAAGTTCTCAATATTCATACATACAACTAGAAAAAAATGCCAAAATGCTAATAGCTGGATAAGCTAATAAAACTATGAATAATTTTTATATGCAGATTTTAAATGGAAAAAATTTTAAATTATTTTTTAGAGAAAAAGTTATATACAGGAAAGATATTTTTGTCCATTAAGCTTCTGTAACAAAATGCCATAGAATGAGAGGGATATACACAGCAAAAATTTATCTATTACAATTCTTGAGGCTGAGAAGTCCAAGACCAAGGTGCTAGCAGATTCAGTGTCTGGTGAGGACTTGCTCCCTGGTTCATAGACGGTACCTTCTCACTGTGCTCTTGCATGATGAAAAGAATGAGCTAATTCTATGAGGTCTCCTTAATAAGAACACTAAGCACTCATGACCTAACCACTTACCAGGTTCCCACCTCTTCATACCATCATTTTACACGTTAGGATTTCAACATAATGTATTTTGGGGAAACACTAACATTCAGACCATAGCAAATGACAACCAAAAAGGTGTAAGATTTTAAGGATGCAGATCTAACTCCTGGCAATAAGATAACATTTGATACAAATGTGAAAGATAAACAGGACTTGCCAATGCTAAGACTGGATAGAAAGGGGAAAGAAGGATGCATTCTAGGCAGAGAAGGACAGAGCAAAATTAGTTAAGAGTTTTGGGTATGTAAAGGAAGTTTTGAGATATAAGACCCAAAGCAGTTTGAAGCCAAATTGAAATTATCACTGTATGCTTGGCTAAAGAGTTTGGAATTTATTTTCATAGGCAATGGCAAACTTTTGAAAGTTTTTTAGTAAGGCAATGCCATGGTCAAAGGGGTGCTTTAGGACCTTAATTTGCCGGGAATATGCACAATGAATAGAAGACGCAAGAGAGTACAAACAGGAAGAATAATTACAAAGTCATTGAAATAATTTAGGCCCAAAACAATAGAGCCTGAATTCACATGATAGCAGTGGAACAGATAACAAGGGAGGAACAGATGGGAAAGTTCCTCTTCTGCCTCTCCAACCAACCCCCTAATTCCTGCTCCTCTTATTCTCTCCATTTTAGCTATTCTGGCCTTTTCTCTGTTTCTAGAAGGAACTAATCTAGTTGCCCAACTAGGGATTCCTCCACCCTTCTCTCTCTGACATCTTTGTTCATTATTTCTTTGGGTCTCTGCTTAAATATTTTATCTCTCTGACATCTTTGTTCATTATTTCTTTGGGTTTCTGCTTAAATATCTGCTTCCTCCACCCTTCTCTTTCTGATATCTTTGTTCATTATTTCTTTGGGTCTCTGCTTAAATATTTTTCCAGGACAGTTTTCATGCCCCTCTAAGCCAGTCTAGACTAGGTTTTCCTGTTTTACTCCCTCGCAGCACCTTGCAGTTTTTTTCCATTGCACTTATTATAATCAATAGCTAAAAAATAATATTTACTATGCATTTGTGAGATAAATTACTCTGTTAAGTTTTCTTTACAAGGATTATCTCCTTTTATCCAAAATAAAAAATAAAAAATAAAAAAACACATAAGTAGACATTAGTATTATCCCCTATTTTCCAGAGAAGGGAACTCAAGATCAGAAAGGTTAGTTAACTATGGAATTTGGAAGTGACTGCTCTTACCTACCTAGAGGGATGCTCTGGCTCAAGTAAGGGAGGTAATTTGATGTAGTGATTATTAGGTTAAGCATAGAATCTAGAGACAGACTAATTGGGTTATGATCTTGCCTTTGCCACTTACTAGCTGTGAAATCCCTCAAGCAAGTTGTTTAAGCTCTCTGGGGCTAAATTTCTTCATTTATAAAATAAGATATTGTTGCTTCTCTTATAGGATTGTCAGGAATACTAAATGAGATGAATGCTGAGAACAAGATTGGCATATAGGAAGTGGAGTATATCTGAAAACTATTACTAGTCATGTAATAAGTTGTTTAAAACATGCCTTCTCATGTATTCTGTGAGGGCAGAATCTATCTGTAAGAGGTTGAGAATGTGTTTAACACTATATCACAGGCCTAGCAGAGTGCCTGGACACAGTGGGTGTTTGATAAATATTTGAATTAATGAATGGACAAATGAAAAGCTGAGTACACAGATCTTACTGCCTAACACCACCACATGCATAGAGCACATTAAAATGTATGGTGCCTGTTTCATGACCATTTTGTTTAATTTTAACCACAAAGTCAAAGAAGGGAAGGAACTATTATCCATATTTTACCTTTGATAATGTTGAGTCTCAGAAAGTTGTTTGCTCAAGGTCATATAGTTGATAAATGGTAAAGCCAAAGGAAGATCCTGACTCTCAAACTACCCAAGGCCAGAGTTATCTTAAAGACAACCCAGATGAGAGTCACCACAGGCAAGGTTGAACCAATCACCATTCACAGTGCCCTCTTGAGTTGCCCCAGTTCTGAACCTTGATCTTGCTGTGATTCCTGAAAACCTCTCTACCTGCTGCTTCAGCTTTGTTAAGTAGCCTCCCCCATAGCATCTGGTGGTGTCTGCTTATCCAGGCGCCCCTGCTGACTTCACTGCCCACCTGAAATCTGAGTACAGCATCACAAACCAAGTCTGACACAAACGTAGGATCCTTTAATTGGACCATAACAAAGTGGGACACTGATTTTTTTTGGGAGGGATTGAATATGAGAAGAGATTAAAGGAGTTAACTAAGTTTCAAGCCCAGTTAACCAGGAGAATGACATTAACACAAATAGTCAATACAAGAGTAGTTTGTTTGAAGGAACATAGAACTATTCAACATTAGACACGTCAAGTTTGGGACACCAGTAAGTAGTCTAAGTGAATAGCAAATAGATATGGATTAACATTCAGGAGAGAAATAAAGCCCAAGGAATCACCTACACACAAAAAAATGATTAAAGCCACAGAACTCAAATCCTGCACAGTGTTATTTAGTGTGGGGCTATTCTGTGTCTGATGGTGTGCTGACATTCCCTAGAGGGGCAGCAGTATCCAACTGCCTGGACTTGGGACCTCAGATACCGCTTCAATCACCATAGGGCCACACTTACGTGATTTATATTGAATCTCAGTGTCAGAGTTTGTTTGATTAACAAAATTAGCTAAAAGAAATGTTTGAAGCATTAATTTAGTAGGTATTCTCTCTCCCTATTCTACTACCAAAGCCTCTGTTATAGTGTCTCTACCCACACCCAGATATACGGCAGGGAGAAATCATCAACTTGAATTTTAGTTCTGACAGTGAACAAGCCAGGAACTCTTAACTAAATAATATTCAGTTGACTCATGTGTGATTTAGAAAATATTTTGATATTCTAGTCTGGTTCCAGTTCAGTGAATCAGTGACAGGTTCAAAGTGGTTCACTGCAGTTTAAATAATAAAATAAAATAAAATAAGCTTTGTTTTATTTCTCAGTTCCATAGAAAATAAAATAATAATGTTTGGTATTTGAGTTGAGGTTCAGCAAACTTTTATAATTCATTCTAGGTTTTTGTTTATTGTTTCCCTCTGCATCAACTCCTCCTGTTTTGGAAACATGCCCTGTAGATATCTACAAATCCATACTGGTGGACCGTATTCAAGGCCTCAATTTAAAATGATGAGTCACAGCTATTCATGATGTCAGGGGTAAGCCTCAGCTAGCCTTCTACTTGAGTGCTGGGCAAGCCTCAGGTATAATCTCATTGGAAGAATATTTGCCCAGGAGCTCTCCTGAGAGAAGGTCCCAGGTCATAGGATACCTTAAGGACAATAGCATCACAGGTATGATAAATTACATCAGACACAGCTGCCCCTTTCAGTGCCTCAAGTTTCATGTGGATTAGCACCTACGTGCTGTGTGCATCTGGGCCCAATTCCCAGGCGGTTAGCTAACCCAAGGCCCCTGATCCAAAGGAGAGCTGAGCTGAGCAAATTGCCACCAGCATTCAAGTAAGGGCAGATTTCAGCTTTCTTTTAATCAAACCTCAGAGAATTAAATAAATAAATAAATAACAAAACAAACAAAAAATTTGTTACTGGGTAATTTTTTTTTTTTTTTTTTTGCCTTTTTCTGGATTGATACCCAACCCATGAACAGCTCAACTTAATAATAAAAGTTTCTCATTGTTGCCTGGGATTTTTGAAAATACACAAATTTGTTTTTTGTAGCTGCAAAATATCTGTACTAAGATGTCTATACTAAATGGTTGAATTCCACTGTGGAAAATGTGTAATGTTGCATAAAGTCAAATTTTTCTCCTTCCAACATACTTGTTGAGACAACACATTATTTATCAAGTGTGATCCATTTGACCTCTATGTTAGTAATTTCATAATATCTTGAATTGGGGGCTTTTAGAAAGATTCAGTAGCTTTCTATTTTTTCTTTTTTTCTTTCTTTTTTTTTTTTTTTAAAAAAGGCATTTAGTTTATTCTCCTCATCAGTTTCACTTATATTTTCATGGTTCACACTTGCCAACGCCGCTCTTCTCATTACAGTAGTTAAATGTGCAAACTCACTTGGGGGCTCAGGGAGGGGTGGGGGCTCGGTCCTGGGTGGGAAGGGTGTTGGCACTTCACGTGGACAGGGCGGGCAACCTGTCCCGAGTGACAGAGGTGTGGGTGAGTGGGCAGCCAGGGAAGGGGAGTTGGCAGGGGAGGGCCCCATGGTCTTTTTTCTCTGGTGGTTGGTGATTCTCCATTCAGATTCCTTCCTGGCTGCCCAGAGTGAGGGAAACCATGCAGCTTAGCGCAGGGCAGGGGAGGAAGATAAGGAAAAAGCAGCAGGCTGCCCAGGGGAAGGGGTAGGGGGTGAACAGCAGGGCAAGGAGGGCACAGGGGTGGCTCCTGGGGTAAGGCACAACCTTGTCTTTGGCTCTCCTGGTGAGGGGTTTCCTCCCTTGCACCCTCTGCCTGGCCCTTCTTCCCCCCATCACCCACCAGACCCACACACACAGTCCCAGGAGCCAGGGGGCACCTCTTGGGGTCCCTGAAACAAGTGGGCCCTGCCACCCAAGCCAGTGCCACAGGGCTTGAGGAGGGACACCCAAGGAAAAGGCAGAGAGAGGCAGGCAGGGGCCCACCCAGGACAAGGGGGTGGGGGCGGGGAGAAGACCCCAGGCCCAGGAGCTGGACCCCCCCACCCCAACTAAGGCCTGGAAGTCGGGGAGCAGCCGCTTCTTTTCAGGGACCTGGCTGGAGCTCCGGCCCGCCCCTAGGCCTTCACCAGGCCCAGCCGCTTGCCAAGTGACCAGGGCATTGCACTTTGGGGTCAATGCCGGGGTGGGGAGGTGGGCCAGGTGAGGGGAGAAGAGGGGCAACTAAGGTGCTTGACTATTATCTAACTCATAGCAAAGTCTATCAGGAAGATAGAGAACAGAGATTGCCACAAATCAAGCAGTGAATTATTACATAGTGTAGAACAGTGGAAAATAGGGAAGAAAAGATGAGTCAAGGAGTTAGACAGCCCTAAGTTCAAATACTAACCCTTCACCTACTTGGTAGGCAGCCTTGGTGAAGTCATTAAACTTTTCTGAACCTGTTTTCAACTCCTCAAAATGGACTATCATCAGTGTAGTATATGCTCAATATCCACTTGTTCACTTTTCCTACCCTTCTTACATAAATCAGGGGTCACGTGTTCGTGTTCTTCCAAATGCATCAATGGCAAAAAGTAAAACTTTGACATGACTCACCCTATAGAGTAAGACTTGATCTTGCCATAAGTATTAGTGAGAGACATTCCCCTGTCTCATTTATTATACAGTGAAATAGGCCTAAAGGACACAGAGTATTTTTTAAGAAGAAACTGATCAGGGAAACTATTTTAATGAGCACCCAGCTGAAGGTTAATTTCAGAATGCTCTGGTACCTGAGTTCATTCTCTCATACCACTGAGGAAAATGGAAAATGATGGGACAAAATGCTCCTGTAAATTTCTATCGTTGGCATTGCTCCCTTGTGTAGTATAAGAGATCTTGCAAAAAGGCAAAGGGGACCTGGAGTCAGAGAGACTTGAATCTGAACACCAGTACTGTCATTAACTGTCAGACCCATGCAAGTTATTTAACATTTCTGAGCATTGATTTCTCATTTATGAAGTGAAAATTATAATAAAGTCTACCTCACAGGCTTGTGGGAAAAATTAAATAATTTAAGTAAAATGGCTTGCAAAGTGCCTGACACATGGTAAGTATTCAACAAGTGATCTTTATTACAAAGTATTAGTCCATTTTCACACTGCTATAAAGAACTGCCCAAGGCTGCATAATTTATAAAGAAAGAAGATTTAATTGACTCAAGTTCCACATGGCTGGGAAGGCCTCAGGAAACTTACAATAATGGCAGAAGGGGAAGCAAATATGTCCTTCTTCACAAGGCAGCAGGAGAGAAAGGGTATGCAGTGAAGTGGGAAGAGCCTCTTATAAAACCATCAGATCTCATGAGAAGTCACTCACTATCACGGGAACAGCATGGGGTAAACTGCCCCCAGGATCCAATCACTCCTCACCACGTCTCTCCCTAGACACATGGAGATTATGAGGATTAGAATTCAAGATGAGATTTGGGTGGGGACACAAAGCCTAACCATATCATACTAAAACTTGTTAACTTAACTATACTATACTATAGTATAGTAAGTATATATATAACTTATATAGAGAGAATAAGTATATATGTAACTTATATATATATAGTAAGTATATATATAAGTATATATATAACTTAACTATACTATAACAAGTAAACTTAACTTGTTAACTATAACAATGTTAACTTACACTGGCCAATGGCAAAATCCAAGGTTATAAAATTAATTTATAAGGATAAACGCCTGTCTCCTGTGTAAAATTATTAAGTGCAATTAATGTCATCTTATTAATTGCCTCATAGAGGTTTAAGGATTTGAGTTGGCTAGATTATTTATAAACATTGAGATTTATTTTATTCTCTCCGTGTTAAAAGTCTAAACTTCTGAAGTAACCAGAAAGAAAAGTTGAAATTCTTTAATTTCATTCATGATTGGCCTTACATTTTGGTTATCTGGTAATATTTTTCCTTAAATGTACAACTACAAAGAAAATACTAAGACTAATTTATACTGTTATTCCATAATTTTGCCTTTGAAACAAGAATTTGAAGCCTGATGTTGTGGCTTTGAACATCCATTTTGGATTATAGTAGAATGTCCTAGGAGAACAGTTTTATGTACAGTCCAGAGCCTCATTATAAGACTGATGCTGAAACCTAACACCCAGTTCTTTTTTGAAAGAAAACTTTTACATTTGTTCTTATAAAAGCGTGTGAGAAATGATATCTCATTTTGACTCATTTCACTTTCATAATAACATTCTATATGAAACAACTTTCCTCAACAAATGTTCAGACACCTTCTCAACTTTGTCCCTGGAAAACTTCTCTTAATTTTCTTTCATCATGGTGACCATTTGATTTAAGGTCACAGGAAAAAAGAACTGACCTGCAGCTGCTAATCATGCTGCTCTATCTTCACCTGTATTTTATGCGCCATTTCAGCCTTGATTATGCTAATCTGATAAAATTGTATTGAAATAAGTTGTCGCTTCTCAAAGACTTGAATTGTATTATGGGGACAGCAACCAGTGCAATCAAATATTCTGTTCTTGTATTTCAGTCACTGATTTTCCAAAGAAGAGCAAAGAATTTAAATTTTGATGGAAGGAAAAAGTGAGACTTGAACACCCAGAAAATGCTAAAGAGGCAGCTGTAATTGTGCGGAACTGACTAGTGTGAATTTCCTGGCTAATGACAATGAGCGCAAACTAACCACTTAGCCCAGTTTTAATTAAGAAAATGACTTCACTCTAAATTAATTGTATAAGATTTTGCTTCATATTTTTAACAGTTTCAAAATATACTCATAAACAAACTTCTAATTATTATTAGAATTATCTTAGAGCTAGATTATTTTGTCTCATACAGTAACTCTCCCTAAGCCCCTCTCCCTTCTTGTCAACATCCATCTTCCTTAACACTCCTCTCTAGGATTCTGCTTCAATGCTAAAAGGAGGACTGAACAAAAGAAGACAAGAGCACTTGGTTTTCCTCTGTGAATACCAGACTCTAGTCCCATTTGATTTTGTAAGCAAATAGTTCTTGGAAAGAAATCCTATGAAAGGAAAATTAATGATCCTGGTTTCTGCCAATTAAAGTGCATTTAACTTATCATTTTACTTCCTATAACACAGAACATGAATTAGAGAATAAATGTAATCAAAATGCTGGAGAGGGTAGGCTAGCCATCATTTCTGAGATTAGAGAATGAGGTTTGATTATTGTGATCTAGCAATATTTTCAAGGAATTGCAGTCTAAAACTATACAGAAAATGATGGGGCTTTTGTTAAGTATCCAGCTCCGGGTGTGAGTTAAATGAACTGAAGAATCATTATGGGAAGATGCCACTGCAAAAGACCCTCTAGGAGTACACGTGATAAACTTTACCATAGAAGGGCACTTTCTGGTGTTTATATTAAGGACCACTGTGTAGTTTCCTGGGATTTAGGAAAGGGAAAATCATTCTTAAAAATGGTAGAGATGTTCAAATGCCTAAGTCTTTTAAAGAATTCTGGCTGGGCTGCTCTGGAGAGAATACTTCCAACTGTGTATATTATAGCCATTATATTTATATCTAAGAAAACACATACTTGGTTTTAAATTGCTCATGTCCCAAGAGCACGAACTACTTTTACCATAAGACCTCTGTCTACTTAAATATCTTCTCCTGATATCATCTCAACAATATAAAAATACTCATTTAACTGAAGCAAATTTAACTACTCAATTTAATGTACGGAATTAATATTTTCATTCAGACCTCTCCTTTTCTATAATATTTAAAATGGCTCCTAATTATCTACATTATAACCCCCAACTCCCTATTTCAGTTCCCGGTTAGCTTTCCAAACTTCTATTCTTTCACTCCTTCCTGCATTTTTAGTTCCAGCCATATTAAGCGACTCATTGTCTTCTATACATAGTCTTACATTTTTCTGCATTTATATATCTGTTCATTCTACTCATCTGGATTTGTTTGATTTGTTTATTATAAATAGCATATTCTAATTCTAGAGCAAGCAAGGATAAACTAAATGCAATCCTGTAGGAAAAATTAACAGGGAAAAAGGAGGTGATTCCTCCTGAAAGGCAGAGTGGTGAAGTGAAGGGCAAATTTCTTATTAGAAGTCTGAGGCGCTGGGTAAAGTTCAAGAGGAATCAAAGCAGTAGGATGTTACTTGGTTGGGGTGAGAATGGGGTGGTTGCAAGGCATAAGAGGTGTTATAATCAGAGAGATTGAAAACAACATAAACAGAATCCTGGTCTGGAAAATGAGGTCACCAATATTCCAAGATCACAATCATCATTGTATTTTGTTATGTAATAGTTACAGAGTACCTCTTATAGTAAAAGCTTTGTGCCAGACACACAGATACACAAAGATCAATAAGACAAACTCCTTGACCTCAAATAAATACACAATAAACACAAATAATTCAATAAATAAAATGTCAAGAAGGAGAAGTAGTAAGTTTGTGCTCATGGAAATGAATAGTCAACCAGAAGTTTCCAAATGGAACTTCCTCATTAAGTTTGGGCCCATTTAGAGTAAGGCAAAATGCCCTACATACCTCCATACTTTCAAAGGGCATTTCTGCAGTACAAACTACAGTAAACAGTATAGGCTAGTGATGGTTCTTAGATCTGGTAAGATGAGATCATGTTTAATGTACTGCCAATGTTACCTGACACCACCAACAGACTCACAGTTACAGTCATGCCCAATGACAGTTATGAATCTCCAGTGCTAAAGGAAGAACTCACCCTGCCCCAGTGTCCACCATATTGCTTTTTTCCTGCTTTTACTTCCATGTATAAATGACCACAAAGTCCATTTCCCTGGCGCTTCTTTTAAGAGACTCTCTGCTACAGTTGAGCCATTTCTGTTTACACCAAGACCATGACAAGAAAGATGGTATCAAAGGATGGCTTGCTTGGGCTTTAGACCCCTCCTTCTCCCACAATTTCCAGCAATACTCTCCTAGAACCTACTGACAAATAAGCATACAATCTAAATTAAAATGTGTGTGAACACAAAATCATCTTCGAAATAAAATAAGTGTTCCAGCATCTCCTCCCAACGGGACTGCCACCAGTAAGCTGTTCCACATAAGAATTTTGGAACCATCACTAATGCCAAGGTCATGGACTGTCAAGTTCTGTTTCTGCCAGTCACAGAGAGAACGATCTCTTCTAAACTCTTTGCTATATTTTGCCACCTGGTTCCTAACTAGAGTTACATTGGGTCTGGAATATTACAAATTCTTTCTTGAAAATGGTTGTGCCAGTTTCTGGTTTTTATAAGTATACTGTGGGCACCACAGTCCAGCTTCTAGTTTATAGTAAATTAATTCAAGGAGGTGAGAGGGCAACAGATACCATGCCATTCCCTCCTCCCTTCTCCTTTTCTTGTCTTCCCCATCTCTTTTTTCCAAGATACATAGATGCTATTATATGCAATAGTATATGCAAATTGATGTGAGGAATGGAGACCTGAACTTCTGTCTTCTAAGCAAAATGTTTCATTCACTAGTGGACTCTTAAGAACTCTTAAGAGCTCTTATGAACAGAAATGCTGGAATTGTTTTTAAGAAAATGTTATCCAAGCCTAATCAGCTTTAGTGTTTTAGAAAGCAACTTTCAATTATCTGGAAAAGTGATTTATGTGAAGCACCTTATTTTTCAGTAGTTTCGAATATGTTAGGCATTATTTACAAGCAAAGAAAGAAGTCAGACAACTTAATAAAACTATATAGCATTTTTAATACGGAGAAAGTGTTTCTACTCTCCCTGATGGAAGCTTATCTATTAAAAGGATTCAGATATCTAAACTTTAAGAAAGGCAGAGACCCTTCCTACCTCCTTAATATGGTTCATCGGGGTAAAAGTTACTCCTTACTCACTAACCAAACCTCTAGGTCATCTTCCCACTTCATATTCCTTCTTCTCCGTGACTGATAAACCTCTCAGTACTTTCTGAAATTCCTGGTAAAGATGGCATTCTCAGTGGTGCTTGCTTCCTAACACATGGCAAAAACAGACTGACAGCTTATTAGTGCTGTCAGTAACAGCTACATTGAGACTGAAAAGGCTAGGGGACCCAAGCCACATAGCTATTAATAAAAGGACATGAATGCATTTTACCCCACAATCCAAGAACTGACAAAACTACTCAGCTTCCGCCTATGCGGCTGGCATTCCTTAATTCCCTTTTGCTGCCCATGGTTAGGCCCAAATAACACATGGTGAACACTGGATCGGGGGGTCGATGGATGGGCAGATGGATGAATGGATTAATGGATGAACAGATGAATAATTGTTCCTTGACTATAGCCAGGTAGACAAAGAATGAGAGAGGGAAATTCAAATCTCAGGTGTGCTATTTGTCACAATTCAAATTAAAAGGTGTTGGGAGAAAATGGGACTACTAACTAAAATTCAAATTATGGATTTCAGCTTGTTTTGCCACTCCTTTGGCTAATTAATTTAAATTTTACTCAAAGTTAACTGCACTAACAATTCTCAAGCCACAGAAGCATACCTAGCATAATAACTAGGTATAATAATTAACCAGATGTTAATTCTCACATGGAGAAAACAGCTATTCTAGCCACAGCTTCACATCATGCATGGTTTCCAGCCTTACTAGAAAATATTTTCAGTTAAAATAGAAATATGGGTTATTTAATTTGCATTCACTGCAACAGGTTGACAGTACAACAGGTTTGGAAGCAATTTAATTGAAACTATAAATTATTCTGCGTCATCTGGGAGGCAAGACCATGTTATCCTGATGCTTTTGTTTCCTTTGGAAACAGGATTAGTACAATGCCTCAGGAAATGTACATATCTCAACACAGAGGCTGAAAACACAGGGCTTTGTCTGACTGTTGGGTATGTCCCTCTGCCTTTATCTCCACAACAAACAATAACATTACAGAAAAGAGTGGCTTGATTAAGGAAAAATGATAGTACACACAGTATGCTCTCTATCCCTGGGATCAAACTAAGACCCATGGTGTATTAGTCCATTCTCACACTGCTAATAAAGATATACCTGACACTGGATAATTTGTAAAGGAAAGAGATTTAATTGACTCATGTCTCAGCATGACTGGCGAGGACTCAAGAAACTTACAATCGTGGCAGAGGGGAACCAAATATGTCCTTCTTCACATGGCAGCAGCAAGGAGAAGTGCTGAGAAAAAGGGGAAATGCCACTTATAAAGCCATCAGATCTTTTGAGAGCTTACTATCATGAGAACAGCATGGTGGTAACTCCCCCTATGATTCAATTACCTCCCACTGAGTCCCTCCCATGACACATGGGGATTACGGGAACTACAATTCAAGATGAGATTTGGGTGAGGACACAGCCAAACAATATCATTTCACCCTTGGCCCCTCCCAAATCTCATGTCCTCACATTTCAAAACACAATCATGCCTTCCCAACAGTTCCCCAAAGTCTTAGCTCATTCCAGCATTAACTCAAAAGTCCAGGTCCAAAGTCTCATCTGAGACAAGGCAAGTCCCTTCTGCCTATGAGCCTGTAAAATCAAAAGCAAGTTAGTTACTTCCTAGATACCATGGGAGTACAGGTATTGGGTCAATACACCCATTCCAAATAGAAGAAATTGTTCAAAACAAAGGGGCTACAGGCCCCATGCAAGTCCAAAATCCAATAGGGCAATCATTAAACCTTAAAGTTACAAAATGATCCCCTTTGACTCCATGTCTCACACACATCCAGGTCACACTGATGCAAGAGGTAGCCTCCCATGGTCTTGGGCAGCTCCGCCCCTGTAGCTTTGCAGGGTACAGCCCCCCCGCCAGCTCCTTTCACAGGCTGGCATTGAGTGTCTGCAACTTTTCCAGGTGCACAGTGTAAGCTGTTGGTGGCTCTACCATTCTGGGGTCTGAAGAATGGTGGCCCTCTTCTCACAGATCCACTAGGCAGTGCCTCAATGGGGACTCTGTGTGGGGGATTCAACCCACATTTCCCTTCTGCACTGCCCTCACGGAGGTTCTCCATGAGGGCCCCAGCCCCTCCAGCAAACTTCTGACTGGACATACAGGCATTCCTATAAACCCTCTGAAATCTAGGCAGAAGTTCCCAAACCTCAGTTCTTGACTTCTGTGCACCTGCAGGCTGAACACCACATGGCACCTGCCAAGGCTTGGGGCTCACACCCTCTGAAGCCATGACCCAAACTGTACCTTGGCCCCTTGTAGCCAAGGCTGGAGGGGCTGGGATGTGGGGCACCAAGGCCTGAGGCTGCACACAGTGGTCACAGGGTGGGTGGGCACCTGTACCTGCCCCAGGAAACCATTTTTCCCTCCTAGGCCTCTGGGCCTGTGATGGGAGGGGCTGCCATGAAGGTCTCTGACATGCCCTGGAGACATTTTCCCCATTGCCTTGGCAATTAGCATTTGGCTCCTTGTTACTCATGCAAACTTCTACTACTGGCTTGAATTTCTTCCCAGAATATAAGTTTTTCTTTTCTATCACATCATTAGACTGCAAATTTTTCAAATTTTTATGCTCTTCTTCCTGTTGAACACTTTGCTGCTTAGAAATTTCTTCTGCCAGATACCTTAAATCATATCTCTCAAGTTCAAAGTTACACAGATCTCTAGGGCAGGGGCAAAATGCCGCTAGTCTCTTTGCATACAAGAGTGACCTTTACTCCAGTTCCTAACAAGTTCCTCATCTCCATCTGAGACTACCTTGGCCTGGACTTTATTGTCCATATCACTATCACAATTCTGGTCAAAGCCATTCAACATGTCTCTACAAAATTTCAAACTTTCCCATGTCTTCCTGTCTTCTGAGCCCTCCAAGTCTCTAGAAAGTTCCAAACTTTCCCACATTTCCTATATTCTGAGCCCTTCAAATGGTTCCCACCTCTGTCTGTTACCCAGTTCCAAAGTCACTTTCACATTTTTGGGTATCTTTACAGCAGCACTCCACTCTCTGCAGTCCCAATTTACTGTATTAGTCCGTTCTCACACTGCTAATAAGGAAATACCTGAGACTGGGTAATTTATGAAGGAAAGAGGTTTAATTGACTCACAGTTCAGCATGACCAGGGAGGCCTCAGGAAACTTAAAATCATGGCAGAAGGGGAAGCAAACATGCCCTTCTTCACATGGTGGCAGCAAGGAGAAGAGCCAAGCAAAATGGGAAAAATCCCTTATAAAACCATCAGATATCATGAGATATCTGACTCACTATCATGAGAACAGCATGGAGGTAACCACCTCCATGATTCAATTACCTCCCACCAGGTCCTTCCCATGATACATGGGATTATGGGGACTACAATTCAAGATGAGATGTGGGTGGGGATACAACAAAACCATATCACACGGTTTGGTCTAACAGAGCAAAACCCAATGCTAGACTCCCTCAAAAGCCTAAGTGAACAGCTGCCATCTTTCTGATGTGAGATCTCAGGGAGAAATATTTAAGAAGGCAGAGGGGAGTAACCACGATTAAGTTTATGAGTGCCTATGACCCTGAAGGCCTCTATAACTGTATATTTGTTTGAATTGTTTGAGCTCTGAGGAAAAGGGCCTTTGATCAGAAGGTCTTGGTCATGCCAGGCCTAGGGTAAAATGGGAGAGATAGAGGCAACATGGGGTGCAAGGGTACAAGTCTGAGTTCAGTGGGGAGGAAAATTTTCCCCTTTCCCTGTCCCATATTGAGGCTCCTGGACTGTGGTGATGGAAGGGAATTGAATTCTGTTTTCATGTATGACTTTTCAGCCTTAAGGCATAGCAGGGGGCAGCACCGCAGACAAGGTAGTGCTTCTCTGTAGTGGAAGGGCTGGAGAGGAAACAGCAATGCCCAGTGCACAAAGATTTTATTGCACTCAACAGCCTTGGAGATGAGCCAAAATACCAGCCAGAGGAGGACACTTTACCAACCTGCTTGAACTAAGAAGAGCTAAGAACCAGCACCATTTGGATACAAATTGCTGATTTATTTTCTTCCTTGCCAGTAGGCTAGTGAGGCCTGGGGACATACATGTTACTAAGACAAGTATCCAGCAGTTACAGGATTCTTGTTTGCAATAATTATAATATCCCTTACACAGGTGCTTATGCATACACACACACACACACACACACACACACACACACACTCCCTTCCTCACAATAAGCTCAGCTTTGACACCGGGCAGAGGGAAAAACAACAGACAACTTTAGATGTAGCTGTAGTGGAATAGCTCTGAAATTCTGTGTCACAGTTTTCTATGAATGAATAGAAGTGTCATTTGGCATCTTGCCACATTCTCCTCACCAGTCTCATCACTTGCTCTGCAACTCTGCCCGGTTTTCTGTGTCATAGTCCTTCTTCATTCAGGCTGTGTGGTGCCATCAAGACCTAAATTTATATTCAGGTATACATTCTGTGTTTTCTTCACATACTAATCATTCACCACTGTGTCTATATGGTGACATTTAAGAATTTATATTTGGGCATGAAATTATCTTTTAGCTTATTATTTTAAAGATCATTGCCTGGTAAACTATAATAATTATACAAATTCAATACTTCAGTTCTTGTTCATTACCTACTAATTCATAGTCATTAGTACCACAAACAAAATGGTTATTAACCAAAAGCCAGAGTTTCATAGTTTCATTGACATCACTGTCATTAGAGATGCAGAAGACATATTTCACCTGTGCACTTCATGTTATGTATGGTTTGAGCATTTTTCCCAAGCTAAAGTAATTTTGAACTTTGATTTTAAATTAGATATAACATAATTTATTGTTTGAGTACTTTATGTCCTTGAAATCTGTGTCTCAGATACAACCATAAGTCAGTGTTTGGTTTCTTCCAAATTTTCCAAACCCAGCCCAGGGACTTACAGAAAATTGCTTCTCAAAAAAGATCCCTTCAGCATAAAAATGATATAATGGATTGTAGGAACTTGGGTGGAAGAATGGGAGGGGAGTGAGGGATAAAAGAATACAAATATAATGCAGTGTATACTGCTCGGGTGATGGGTGCACCAAAATCTTACAAATCACCACTAAAGAACTTACTCATGTAACTAAATACCACCTGTACCCCAATAACTTACGAAAAAAATAAAATAAAGTAAGAGGCACAAGTAACATTAAAAAAATCTCTTCAACTTAGATGAATTATGTTTTTCACGCATGTCATTTAAAAACAAAACACAAATAGAGGGACCCATGTCTGAATTAATTGCCTTGTGATATCACTGTGCATTGGGGACTTAATATATAATCAGAAAGAAAAACTGCACTCACTCTCTTAGCTTCTTGAGTATCTTGAAGCTTCCAGCACTCTTTTCACCTTCATGTGGGACAAATACACAAAACTGCTTGAGCAAGCCATCTGGGACCTCTTTCCAAGAATCGTCCTTCTCTATCATTGGAGTCTCTTCTAAGCATTGCTTTTATTTTCTTCAACTTTTAAGTACACTGGTACATGTGCCAGATGTGCAGGTTTGTTACAGAGGTAAACATGTGCCGTGGTGGTTTGCTGCACAGATCATTCCACCACCCAAGTATTAAGCCCATGCCCCCCAACAGACCACAGTGTGTGTTGTTCCCCCATGTGTCCACGTGTTCTCATCATTCAGCACCCACTCATAAGTGAGAACATGTGGTGTTTGGTTTTCAGTTCTTGCATTAGTTTGTTAAGGAAAATGACTTCCAACTCCATCCATATTCCTGCAAAGGACATGCTCTCATTCTTTTTTTTGTGGCTGCATAGTATTCCATGGTGTATACGTACCATATTTTGTTTATCCAATCTATCATTGATGGGCATTTAGGCTGCTTCCATGCCTTTTCTATTGTGTATAGTGCTGCAATGAACATATGCAAGCATGTATCTTTATAACAGAATGATTTCTGTTCCTTTGAGTATGTACCTAGTAATGGGATTGTTGGGTCAAATTGTATTTCTGCTTCTAGGTCTTTGAGGAATAGCCACACTGTCTTACACAACGGTTGAATTAATTTACACTCCCACTAACATTGTAAAAACATTCCTTTTTCTATGTGGCTTCACCAGCATGATCAAACTATCTTTGTTTCCTATTTTCTTTTCTTGAGGTTAGGAGTTCCTGTGACACAGGGATGGGAAGAACTGTCTTATGACACAGCAGAACTTGGACACTGGAAGGGAGTGGTGAGAAGGTTCTTCATTAGTATCTAATAACATTTAGAAGATAGTTAATTACATTGGTCTTTAGTTTCCCCAATCTATAAGGTGAAATTATAGAAAAAGAAAATTTGTGAGGTCCCATACCTATTGTTCTAATTCAGTAAATGAATGTAAATGGTCTAACACAAGTGAAATGAAGGTCATACAGGGATAGATGGTTTATGAAGAAACCACTAACAAACTCATGGGGCAAACCTGGAGATACTAGGTAGTCACAAGCATGGTAGAAGAAACCCAAGGCTCATAACAAACCCTGCATATGGTAGTTATTTTCTGTCTCTGATAGACCATTCTCCCTTTACAACATCTTACTGGACATGTTCCTACTTGGGTGTTCTATAAGATAAATTCAAACTTATTAAGTCCCACAATGATTTCAGTATTTCTGTCAATCCTGAATCTTCTAATACTTCTGTTTTTATTGAGGAGTCCCAGCACCCTCTTAGTGATACAGCTTTCAGATTTACTAAACTCCTTTCTGTTCCTGGACACTCATCTAAACAGGGCTCAATCCTGCTGATTCAACTGCCACAACTCATAGCAGTTACGTCCTCTTCACCATCAGCACCTCGATTCAGACCTCTCTGTGGATTTCCACAATACCTAATTTGCGGCCTCACTTATTTTCTCTGTCTTCCAGCCCATTCTGGAAATAGCTACCAGAGTTATTTTTCAAAGGACAGGGAAAAGTCTACTATTCTTAAACACATTTAATTGTACCCTTTAGCCTGTGTGTAAAATTCAAACTCCCCAGACTGTTTTTTGAGATCCCCACAACCTCATTTCAACCAAACATTTTTTGGTTCATTTCCTTCTAATCTCTTTCAGATACACTCCTAACTTACTGAACTGCATGGTCCTTTCTTTATATTTTCCTGTTTTTATTCCCCTCTAGATTGCTTTCCCCATTATCTCTGCATGTCTGAATCTACTCTCGTATCAAGGCACCAATAAAATGCCACCTCTTCTCTAAAGCTTTTCCCCATCCTCCTGCTGGAAGCAATATTTTCTGCCTCCAAACACCTACAGTGTTTTACCTGCAATTCTCTTATGGCACTTCTCACTTTTTATGATAAAATACTCACTAAAAGACACTCTTGACAAGAATGTAAGCTTAAATAACTAATGTAGTGTCTTGTATATATTTTGGCCCCAATTCATATGTATTGAGGTTGAAGTCTCATCAGAGGAGACAGATATGAAAGAAATTACATTTTGACCAGGAAGTATTTTCTTAGATAGTAGAAAGAACATATCAATTAGAGGGGTTGTTTAGATGGGCTGTTCTGGTACAGACTACCAAATGCTTGTAGACTTCTTTCATACAAGCCTTTTAAAATAGCATTAGTCAATCATTTCCTTATGGATATCCAAAGACTTAAATTGTTAAATAGATTTTTTAAACATCCATGTAATTTATATTTACTCTAGAAATATAGACCATTGACTTAAGGTAGGTTTCTACATTATGCAGTGGTAGCTACAGATTTCATGTGTTAGATGTCTTTCTACTCTTGTTTGTTTTATCGGTTTTAGCTGTACTAGAGTTACCCTTGAATAGATTTTTTTTAATTTCTATAAATCCAAGTAACATCTTCAAATATTGTTTGCTGCTTATGACAGAAGCAAAGCCATGTTAAAATAATTCCAGTTGATATATATGATCTGTTTTATACACCTTGTAATGTATTAAAATCTTGACATTAATTATCTCATTTAAGTCTCACAGCAATCTGATGAGATCATATCACTATTTTCCAGATGTGAGCATTGAGGCACAGATATGTTGAATAAATTATCCAAGGTTAAACAGCTAATAAGTGAAAATCACAGAAAGAGAATCAAAGTAATTTGACACTGGAATCTACCTACTTGATCACTATACTGTACTGTCCATTGGCTGTGGAGTTAGACAAGGATTAAATCCTTCCTCTGTTATTTACTACTAGTTGTGTTATCGTGAGCAAAGTATTTAACCTCTCTGAGACTCATTTCATTATCTACAAGATGGTTAAATAATACTTATATGACAAAGTTATTAATAAAAATAAATAAAATAATATCTATATAACCCAAATCCCAGGGTTCTTCATCCTCAGGAGTAACTTTCCCCTTTGGGAAAAAGGGCTCTTCTCAAACTGATCCTAAATGGTCCATTCCCCTGTTGCATGTTCCTTTCTATTCTTCCACTCTCTGTGAGTTATCACTCACTTCTCAGGCCTCTTGGAAATTTTTTTAAAAATGGGATTCACTATAGCACATCCACACACCTACGTGTGCCATGTGGTTCTATACAACATCAGAAGGACATTTAAAATTAAATGGTTTTTTCAATTTTTAAATCAAGTTCTTAGTTTGCATGTCTTGCATAACATCCTTCTATTATTTCTGTATGGAGTGAGGGATGGAATCAGTGTGAGCATGTATTAACCTCATGGCTAAAAGTAGGAAAGAAAAAGATTTCCTCATACTGTTATGTATGTGTCTAGTACAATGTCTGACACAGAACACATGCCAATAAATATCAATGTTTTCCCTTGTCCTAGAAAAAAAAAATGCCATGAAATATTAAAATTTATTTTCAACCTCACATTCTTGTGGACTTTATATATCATGACTTACTACAACACAATGAAATGGGCACAAGACGCTACTATCTCTATTGGTAACTGTATTCGTCCGTTTTCACACTGCTGTAAAGAACTACCTGACATTGGGTAATTTGTGAAGAAAAGAGGTTTAATTGACTTACAGTTCCACAGGCTGTACAGGAAGCATGGCTGGGAGGCCTCAGGAAACTTACAATCACAGCAGAAGGCAAAGGGGAAGCAAGCATGTGTTACCATGGAGGAGCAAGAGAGAGAGAGCAAAGGGTGAAGTGCTACACACTTTTAAACAACCAGATCTTGTAAGAACTCACTCACTATCACAAGAACAGCAAGGGGGAAATCCGCCCCCATGATCCAAACACTTCCCACCACGTCCCTCCCCAACACTGGGTATTACAATTTGACATGAGATTTGGGTGGGGACCCAGAGCCAAACCATATCACTAAGTCTCTATGCCTTGAAAATTTTCCTCTTTTTTTGTTTATATATATTTGAAAACTCATCTGGACTAAAAGTTAATTATTTGACAACCAAAAATTAATTCCCAACTCATGAAGCCAAAATTCTCATTTTTTAATAAAGTTCAACTTATTGGTTTTTCTCTCATAGATTGTGCTTTGGGGGTTGTACTAAAAACTGAGAACCAAATCCAAGGTCACCTGGATTGCCTCCTATGCTTATTCTAGAAGTTTTGTAGTTTTGCATTAAGGTCAATGATCCATTTTCAGTTAAATTTTTTTTTAAGTAATAAGGTCTCTGGGTCTGTGTCTAGGTTCTTCTTTTTTGCATATGGAGATCCAATTGGTCTATTATCATTTGGTGAAAAGACTACCTTTCCTCCATTGAATTGTCTGTGTTCCTTTGTCAAAGATCAGTTGAACATGTTTCTTTGGGTCTGCTTCTGGACTCTGAATTTAGTTTTAATGATTTATGTGTCTATTAATTTACCAATACTACACTGTCATGATTTCTTTAACTTTACATTAATTTTTGAAATCAGATAGTTTCAGTTCTCTAACTTTGTTCTTCTTCAGTATTGTGTAACTGATTGTAGATTTTTGCTTTTTTATAAGAGCTCTAGAATCAGTTTGTCAATATCTACAAAACAGCTTCCTGGAATTTTGACTGATATTGTGTTAACTTTATAGATTAAGTTTGAAAGAATTAACATCTTAATATTAAGTCTTCTAAATCAATAAATGGGGATATCTCTACATTTATTTTGATTTTTTCAAAGAGTTTTGTAGTTTTTCACATATAGAACCCACACATATTTTGTCAGATTTATACTTAAGTTTCACTGGTGCAATTTTATGTGATACTATTTTTTTTAAATTTCAAATCCATTTGTTTATTGCTAGTAAAAGGAAAGCAATTGGCTTTTATATATTAACCTTTTGTTCGGGGACCTTGCTATAATCACTGATTTATTCCAGGAGGGTTTCTTGTTGATTCTTTGAGATATTCTGCACACATAATCATATGTATGAATAAAGCTTTTTTTTCTTTTTCCCCACTTTGTATGCATTTTATTTCTTGTTTTTACCTTACTGCAGTAGTTAGGACTTTTGGTACAATGTTGAACAGAAGTAGTAAGAGCTAAATTTTTTTCCTTGTTCCCTAGAGGAAATGTTCTCTTTCTCTTTAACATCATGCCAATTCTAGGATTTCTGTACATGTTCTTTTCAAGTTGAGAAAGTTCCTCTCTATTCCTAGTTTGTTGAGAGTTTTTATCATGAATGGGTAAATCTTATTTTTAAAAACTTTCTTTTTAACTTTTATATTTCATCTCAATATGTTTCTAAATTATGCTTATTTATCCATTTTATTTTTATACCCTTAGTTTCTAAACTGGTATAATTAAGCCATCTGGAGATTTTTATAAGACTTACTAAATAGCTAGGATTTTGCCCCCAGGTAAAATAAATTACTGCAATCATGTGTAATAATATACAGCAGTTTATTCTAAGTATCTCTAAGATTTGTTTGGGGAAAAACAATTCAGATAGAGATTTTGTTTTATACAAACATGACTTTCAGCAAGTGATTACTACAGAAATACACATATGGGATATTTTGACATTGGGATTGTAAAGGTCAAATGATGGAAATAGTCTCCAAATAAAAAAGCACAGATTTCTCCTTTTCTAAAAAGTGTTTATTTATCCATAAGAAATGGGGTGAAAGTAGAATGAAGATCAGAGTTCTAACCAGGCTTATGAATTAAGTAGTTGTGCAGTCCTGGACAAATAAGATGACACCTCTGTGGTTCTGTTCTCTTATGTGTCCAGGGAAATGACAATAACACCCACCACCAGCACCACCCTGTGCTCCCCACCTTCCTCACAGTATTAATTCAATACTAAGCACAACAGTATGTATGAAGCTACCTTTTATAATTTTCAAGTGCAATAGAAATGGAAGATACTAATATTATTAGAAGTGCAAGTTAGGGAGAAGATGTTCTGAGATCCTCTCATCAGGTTTTTATACATAAAGTCCATCATTAATGCAATTTCATTTCCTGGGATTTCAAATTTTTTGTTAAACTCCATTGCTGGGGTGAAAATCTTGCAGTGTAATCAAGACATTAAAAACTGAAGTTTTCAACTATATCACCAATTTAAAATTTGGCCTGATCATGGCAGCATGCAAATGCAGTTGTTGTATCATTTGGTCTTATTTGATCTACTTCTTCATCATTCAAATGAGGTGACTGGTCATTTAAGGGGATTCATGGCAGTGGATTTCAATCAGAAGGTCAAAACAATTACCTGTTTTAAATGTTATGGAAATAACCAGCTTCAACTTTCCCCACCTGCAGAAGACGTTTGACACAGCAAGTTGTTTGTAGAGTCAGTTATTCTTTTACATAGCTGACACTGAGCTCCAGCTATGTGCTGGGTGGGACAAGGTCCCTTTGGTACACAATAGCATAGAATACAACTCAGCAATAAAAAGGAATGAACCACTGCATGGAATAACCTGGATGAACCTCAAGGAAATTATGCCAAATGAAAATAGCCAATCTCAAAGGATTGATTCTTAGTGATTTTATTTATGGAACATTCATGAAATAACATAATTATGGAGCTGGAGAATGGGTTTGTAGTTGCCAGGGGTTAGGGATCATAGTGGAAGGGATAGAAGTGGTGACTATAAAGATGTCAGTCACATGACAGAGTCATGTGATGATGGTACAATTAAGTGTCTTGATTGTAGTAGTGTTTACATGAGGCTAAACATGTGATAAAGTTGTATAGCCCTATATATACACACACATACATGCATGTATAACTGCTGAAACCTGAATAAGCTCTACAGATTGTAGCAGTGTCCATTTCTTGGTTTTTATATTGTATTACAGTTGTGCATGACACTAATGTTGGTAAAGAGTGGAGGAAGGGTGCATGAGACTTTCCTGTGCATTTCTTTGCAACATACTGTGAATCTATAATTATTTCAAGATATTGATAATCTTGTCAAAAAAGATAAGTTCACTGCTCTCCAGGAGCTAAAAGTCAGGCATCCCTGATCTCCCCAGCCCACAGGAAACAGTAGGTTCCAGTCATAGAAATGCCCCAAATTTCAAACCCTCTAGCCTGACTTTCTTAGGGACTCGCCCTGTTGTTTCTAGGTACTTTCAAGGATTCCTCACACACGTTGCCTTCTTCTTCCTCAATCTACATTGCCTGTTGTGATACCACTTCCCAGTTCTCAGAGCTGTCTGAGAACGCCAACTCTGTCTTCAATATCATCATCCCTCAAGAGCTTAGACCTTGCCCATGGAACTACCAGAAGGATATAGAGGCATATGCCAGTCTTTTCCATCCCTTTTCACACTTCACACCTTTAGATATCCAATCAACAGCCTTCTCACAGACCATGTCCTCTGAGGCAAACCAGCACATTAAATACTCCCCCAGTTCCACCATGTCACTAACTGTACCTGGTTTCCAGAAGTCCTTTTGAGATCTGAAAGAAATGATAATACCCTCCGAGCAAGGCAAAAACAAAGTACTCCACCAGAATGCCTAAATCAGGGAAGGTTCCCAAGAAGGTGGTGCTTGACTGGGACTTCAAGATACAGGAGAAACTCTCTAGATAGAAAGGAAGCAAGAAGGAACTCCAGGCAAAGGGCACCAGTGTGCAAAGGCACTGAGAGAGCACATTTAGCCAAGGAAGAGAGGTGGGTCATTATTGGAGTGTTGTTGGAGAGGGCCAGGTGGGGAAGATGTGAATTGGACCACAGGGCTGCTGATTTTCAAAGTCCATGTCCTCCATGGCGCCATGTGATAAGTATCATAGCCAGACACAACTATATAAGAACCACTGCACTCTGTCACACTAAGGGCTTACACTCATCCTGAGACACCTGGAACTCCACCTGCCTGGCTTAGCAGGCCCTCTGCAGCAGTGCTGCATCTGTGAGATGATTGAGGAAGGCTAAGATGGGGCCACTTAAGCTCCAATGTGTTCACAGATTGTCCTTAAGCTAAAGACATGTGTATGTGTGCATCGTCAGCTTCTCCTCTTAGCTTTGCATCAGTTTCTGCCATAGACCCATGCTTTTATTTTCGCACTACCCAAAATTGTGAGGCAGAGTAGCAGGCAAACATGGTGTTACAGAAGAAATAGCGAACTTGGAGTCACACAATCTCAGTATGAACCAAAGCTCTACATCCCTTACAAGCTACATGAATTTAGACAAGTTCATTTTGTAGAGCTTTAGTTTACCCACCTATAAAATAGGGATAAGAATGTACCAAACCGAACTAGATTAGATTAAATTGAGTTAAATGAAGACATGTATATGAAAATGCCTTTCAAGGTCCTTAGCACCTAAGACATAGGTACTTGTTTTTTAAAACGTTGCCTTCTTTTTCTAATGGTAGTTCCCCTCCCTTGTTTAAGATCCAAGATTTTTTTTTTTTTTTTTTTTTTTGAGATGAGTTTTGCTCTTGTTGCCCAGACTGGAGTGCAATGGCGCAATCTCGGCTCACAACAACCTCTGCCACCCGGGTTCAAGCGATTCTCCTGCCTCAGCCTCCTGAGTAGCTGGGATTACAGGCATGCATCACTATGCCCAGCTAAGTTTGTATTTTTAGTAGAGACGGGGTTTCTCCATGTTGGTCAGGTTGGTCTCGAACTCCCAACCTCAGGCAATCTGCCCGCCTCGGCCTCCCAAAGTGCTAGGATTACAAGTATGAGCCACCGCACCCAGCCTAAGATCCAAGATTCTTATGTTTTCTCTCCTTGCCTTTTGTACTTAGAATCCTCTGAAAGCAAACTCCTGAGACAATGATTCCAGTGCCATTCATTTCTTTGGCAGGGGAAATAAACATCTGTAAGGGGGATGCAAATTCAGTCCAGGAAGGAAAGGCAGTCAATGAAGGGGAAAATATCAAGCTAGCTACCTCTATGGGCCACTGATGTGCAATCCCACCAGGGCAGCCCTGGGAGCCAGTGTAGGAGAATGGCTCAAAGAGAGTGGAGGTATCTATTCATTCACTGGTTAGGGTGCTCCTGGATCAGTGTTAGTGGCACTTCCGTTCTGCCAACCCAGCCACAGAGCCGGTTCTGGGGGCCTGAGAAAGCCCTCAGGCAAGACAGACCAGTGCTCACAGCAGGCAGTTGGAGGCTGTACTCTGACTGAGGTGGGGAGGGAGAGCATATGGGTGAGGCACAGCATGAAAGGGTCTGCGAAACATATGTGTCCAAAAAGCCTCATGTGCCTATTACCTTTTAATGGAATAAAAAGTATTAGGCATTTAACAAATCTGATAGAATGTCTAGTGCTGCTTGAAGGGGGACAGGAGTTTTTTGTGGTCCTCCTGGAATCACATAATGAGGGCACATATTTTTTTCCGCTTAGAAGTAAGGCAGACCCTCGCGTCTCACATCCATCTGCATACAGTTACCTGCATCCATGGTTATCAAGAGAAACGTCTCATCTGAACACAAGAAAATGTAGCTTGGAACAAAAAAGGTGACAGTGTCCAGAGAAGTGGGCCTGAGAACATTTATTTCCTGAGGCTATCTGTGTCCCTGCCTAGATGATAGTCCTGGAGAGATAGTTTGAAGATCACAGAGAAATCAAACAGCTGTAGGGGAGAGCCCAAGGTTCATTTCAATCTGTGCTGGGCAGTGGACTCTTAAGGACTCTGGAAACAGGCAAATATCTGACAATGGCTCAACCTCCATGACAAAGGTTTTGATGAATCATCAGCACATTAATTTGTTTCCTCTACATTATAAGCTTGGTTTAACTGCCAGCTTCATTTTGGCCCAAACTTAGTATAATTTAGCTATGCCAGCCAGAAAAGAACAGACTGAACCTCTCAGGGACAAAGGGCATCTGTTTCTCTGACTTATAGGAAGATAAAAGGGAAACAGCTGTGGGGCCAGAGATGTTGATGTTGTAGTCCAGGGAAAGCATGACACTCACTGTAAAGAAGTAAGAACCTGCTATTGTAAGCGAGGCTGAAACAATCCTTTCCGACCAGCAGGTCTGAGAATTAGTTAGGACTACAGAAGACAGGGTGATGGAAGCATTCTCTGGCATCAATCTCCCAAGCCACAGCTCTGGATAGTAAGTTAATAGTGTGTCGTGCTGTTAATGAACTTGGTCTGTTCCTGGTGACAGAATTCATTAAAGAACATTTATCCTCCACTCAATAAGGAGAAAAATGACTTCAATAAAATCTATGCCAGCTCTACAGATAAATCGTCTTTATTAAAAAAGCATTTTCAATAGTAAACTTCATTATACAGCCACATAATTGATCTCTTGAATCAACTTCTCCATATATAGTATTGTTGGATAAATGCTAAGAAGCTTTAAGAAAAATAAGTATGATCTTATAGCTATACTGTAATTGAAAATAGATGCAATAAAAAAGACAGCTATGAAGTATGTTTATATGTTGATTCTGCTACATCAATTTATAATCTATCCAGTTCTAACTTAAGTCTCAGCTTGCCTGCTGCTGGACCTCTCTGGTTTGCACGTCTGCTAATGCCAGTTGTAAGGATAAATATGCTTCCTAGCCTGTCAGAAAGACCACTGCACAGGCTGCAACCCTTTATAAGACACAAAGTTCTCCTTCCAAATTAAAAAAACAAACAAATAAATAATAAAATAAAGGGAGAAAATTCCTATTAGACAGATGAAGTTCATTACCTGTGTGCTTTTTTCCATATTTCTCTTTTTAATTCTAGACATACACTATGGACAAAATTTGCAGACGAAAATAAATGAGAAAAAGAGTTTAGTTGCTTTCTACTAGAATTTAGCAATGTCTTGTGATTACTCGCCTGTTTCCAGAGCCTTAACAGAGTGCACTAGAATCATAATAACCTGAGTTAAAATCCTAAGTCCACCACTTATAAGCTTAAAAAAGTTATTTAAATTATCTGAACCCAAGTTTTATCATCTATAAAATGCAAATGAGAAAGGCTACCCCATAGTGTTTTGTTGATTAAATGAGAATACATGTTATTTACCTATAGCACATTAAGTACTTAATAATAGTTAAGTAGGCTTCCCTTCATGATTTTTGGATAACCAAGGCAGTTTTATTTATTTATTCATCAAACCTTTACTGAAAATCCATCATGGTCCAGCAGTAATGTTTTAGGTTGCTGGGATATAGAAAAGAGCAACGTGGACACGATTCTGGACATACTAAAATATAGTAGGACATATAATCGTAGAACAAATATTTGCTAACAATTCATGAAAAATAAAGGTCTCATTTTAAGTCAAATGATTACAGATGGTTATTACTTTCAAACATGAGAATATCAGTAATGTTTTGATATAATTATATATAAATAATTAATTTCATTTATACAGTACATATTGTCTTTTCTTTTTTCTTCTGACTTCAAGTGCACAACACTGAATTAATCACATTTCTTAGCTCATGACACACTCTCATCAAGTGCATGCAGAGCCCTATTTTTCCCTTTGTTCCTTACCAACACTCTTATTCTTTGCACCATAGGTATCTACACTAAAGAATTTAATATTCTACTTTCACACATTCATTCAGAGCTCTATGTATTCTTGAAATATATGTTCCCATATATGATATACACAAAAATATTATGTCATAAATAAGTTGTTTTACCAGGCACAATGGCTCACGCATGTAATCCCAACACTTTGGGAAACTGAGGCAAGAGGATCACCTGAGGCCAGTAGTTCAAGACCATCCTGGGCAACATAGCAAGACCCTATCTCTACAAAAAAATTAAAACATTAGCCAAATGTGGCAGCATGCACCTGTAGTGCCAACTACTTGTGAGCCTGAGGGGGAAGATTACTTGAGCCCAGGAGTTCAAGGCAGCACGCTGTGAGCTATGATCATGCCACTTTACCCCAGTCTGAACTACAGAGTCAGAGTCTGTCTCTTAAAAACAAAACAAAACAAAACAAAAACATAAAAAATAAGTCATTTCTTTGTTCTCTTAACACTTCTTGAGTGAACCATTCTGTTTTTATGTAAACCTAACTTGTATTCCATGGAATGCATAGATTGCATTTTACTTATCTGTTAGCCTAGCTGGACATTCAATTTGCTTTCTTTCCTTGCTGCCGTAACAAATAAACATCAACTCCATATAAGTCTGTTAAAGATTTTTTGGTTTATAGACATATCTAGGCACCAGGATTTGCATATTTAATGTCACTTATAGTTTGCTGCCTCATTTTCCAATTCCCCATGTCCTTGGCAAAGCATGGCATTATTTGGTGTGCTAATATATGTTATTTGATGGATGTGGAGTGGTATTTCATTGTTTTTTGAATTTGCACTTCTCTAATAAGTGTGATGTTGCTTATATCTTAATGTCATTATTCATCATAGACATAGGTAGCTCATTCTCTAAATTGCCTAATCATGGTATTGCCCATTTTTCCTAGGTTTCCTGCCATTTCTTACAGATTTGTAATTCCCTATATGATTTAGATGTTAGTTTCCTTTATCTGCTTTACATTTTGTAAGTAACTTGTCTTAGTTTTTCATCTTCTGATAATTTTTCCTGTGTTCTCTTTCATTGAATATAATTTTTGTTTGGATGTAAATCAGTTCATCATCTTTGCTCTTTATGTTTTAAGCTCTTTTAGTCTTGTTCAATAAATTCTTCTCCACATAAAAACTAGAGATACTCATAAACATCACCTTCTATTCTTTTCATATTTTTACTATTCTTGTTTAGAAGTTATTTCAATTAGAAGCTTTTTGCATATTATGTGAGGTAGGGATCCAGCTTTATTTTTTTCCATATACTGCAACAGTTCTCCCAACATCATCTATAGAATTTTTTTTCCTCTTTGGTAGAATTCGGCTGTGAACCTGTCTAGTCCTGGGCTTTTTTTTTTGGTTGGTAGGCTATTAATTACTGCCTCAATTTTAGAATTTGTTATTAGTCTATTCAGGGATTTGACTGTTCCTGGTTTAGTCTTGGGAGGGTGTATGTGTCCAAGAATGTATCCATTTCTTCTAGATTTTCTAGTTTATTTGAGTAGAGGTGTTTATAGTATTCTCTGATGGTAGTTTGTATTTCTGTGGGATCAGTGATGATATCCCCTTTATCATTTTTTATTTGTATCTATCTGACTCTTCTCTCTTTTCTTCATTAGTCTGGCTAGCAGTCTATTTTGTTAATCATTTAAAAAAAACAGCTCCTGGATTCATTGACTTTTTTCTCCTTCAGTTCTGCTCTGAGCTTAGTTATTTCTTGTCTTCTGCTAGCTTTTAAATTTCTTTGCTCTTGTTTCTCTAGTTATTTTAATTGTGATGTTAGGGTATTGATCTTAGATCTTTCCCGCTTTCTCCTGTGGGCATTTAGCGCTATAAATTTCCCTCTAAATGCTGCTTTAGCTGTGTACCAGGGATTCTTGTACATTGTGTCTTTGTTCTCATTGGTTTCAAAGAACTTATTTATTTCTGCCTTAATTTCATTATTTACCCAGTAGTCATTCAGGAGTAGCTTGTTCAGTTTCCATGTAGTTGTATGGTTTTGAGTGAGTTTCTTAATCCTGAGTTCTAATTTGATTGCACTGTGGTCTGAGAGACTGTTTGTTATGATTTCCATTCTTTTGCATTTGCTGAGGAGTGTTTTGCTCCCAATTATGTGGTCAATTTTAGAATAAGTGTGATGTGGTGCTGAGAAAAATGTATATTCTGTTACTTTGGGGTGGAGAGTTCTGTAGATGTCTATTAGGTCCGCTTGATCCTGAGTTTAAGTCTTCAATATCCTTGTTAATTTTCTGTCTCGATGATCTGTCTAATATTGACAGTGGGGTGTTAAAGTCTCCTACTATTATTATGTGGGAGTCTACGTCTTTTTGTAGGTGTCTAAGATCTTGCTTTATGAATCTGGGTACTCCTTCTGAACTACAGGGACTTCTCCCTCACTCATTTCATGAGGCCAGCATCATCCTGATACCAAAACCTGGCAGAGACACAACAACAAAAAAAAATTTCAGGCCAATATCCCTGATGAACATTGATGCGAAAATCCTCAATAAAATACTGGCAAACCGAATCCAGCAGCACATCAAAAAGAATATCCACCGTGATCACGTTGCTTTCATCCATAGGATGCAAGGCTGATTCAACATAGGCATATCAATATACGTAATCCATCACATAAACAGAACCAATGGCAAAAACCACACGATTATCTCAATAGATGCAGAAAAGGCCTTTGATAAAATTTAACACCGCTTCATGCTAAAAACTCTCAATAAACTAGGTATTGATGGAACGTATCTCAAAATTATAAGAGCTATTTATGAAAAACCCACAGCCAATATCATATTGAATGGGCAAGAGCTGGAAGCATTCCCTTTGAAAAACAGATCAAGACAACGATGCCCTCTCTCACCACTCCTATTCAACATAGTATTGGAAGTTCTGGCAGGGCAATCAGGCAAGAGAAAGAAACAAAGGGCATTCAAATAGGAAGAGAGGAAGTCAAATGGTCTCTGTTTGAAGATGACATGATTGTATATTTGGAAAACCCCATCGTCTCATCCCAAAATCTCCTTAAGCTGATAAGCAACTTCAGCAACATCTCAGGATAAAAATCAACGTCTCAGGATACAAAATCAATGTGCAAAAATCACAAGCATTCCTATTCACCAAACAGAGAGCCAAATCATGAGTGAACTCCCATTCACAATTGCCACAAAGAGAATAAAATACCTAGAAATACAACTTACAAGGGATGTGAAGGACCTCTTCAAGGACAACTACAAAGCACTGCTCAAGGAAATAAGAGAGGACACAAACAAATGGAAAAACATTCCATGTTCATGGATAGGAAGAATCAATATAGTTAAAATGGCCATACTGCCCAAAGGAATTTATAGATTCAATGCTATCCCCATCGAGCTACCATTGACTTTCTTCACAGAATTAGAAAAAAACTGCTTTAAAGTTCATATGGAACCAAAAAATAGCCCATATAGCCAAGACAATCCTAAGCAAAAAGAACAAAGCTGGAGGCATCAAGCTACCTGACTTCAAACTATACTACAAGGCTACAGTAACCAAAACAGCATGGTACTGGTACCAAAACAGATAAATAGAACAATGGAAAAGAACAGAGGCCTCAGAAATAATGCCACACATCTACAACCATCTGATCTTTGACAAACCTGAGAAAAACAAGCAATGGGGAAAGAATTCCCTATTTAATAAACAGTGTTGGGAAAACTGGCTAGCCATATGCAGAAAGCTGAAACTGGATCCCTTCCTTACACCTTATACAAAAGTTAACTCAAGATGGATTAAAGACTTAAACATCAGACCTTAAACCATAAAAACCCTAGAAGAAAACCTAGACAATACCATTCAGGACATAGGCATGGGCAAAGACTTCATGACTAAAACACCAAAAGCAATGGCAACAAAATCCAAAATTGACAAATGGGATCTAAATAAACTAAAGAACTTCTGCACAGCAAAAGAAACTGTCGTCAGAGTGAACAGGTAACCTGCAGAATGGGAGAAAATTTTTATCTATCTATCTATCTGACAAAGAGCTATTATCCAGAATCTACAAGGAACTTAAACGAATTTACATGAAAAAAACAAACAACCCCATCAAAAAGTGGGAGTTGAACAATGAGAACACATGGACACAGGGAGGGGATCATTGCACACTGGGACCTGTCGAGGTTGGGTGGCTAGGGGAGGGATAGCATTAGGAGAAATACCTAATGTAGGTGACAGGTTGATGGGTGCAGCAAACCATCATGGCATGTGTATACCTATGTAAAAAACCTGCACGTTCTGCACATGTACCCCAGAACTTGAAGTATTAAAAAAAAAATCATGTATTTTTTTCTCCAGTGATTTGTGAAGCTATTTTTAACACACATCTATGATACTGTAATATGTTTTAATGTTTAAATTTAATTAATTTAATAATGTTACGTATTTAATATTGTAAGGTAATTTCCCCTCTTTGCTCCTTTTTTTTTCTTTCTTAGCTATTTCTGGACCTCTAGTTCTCTATATACTTTTTTTTTTTTTTGAGACAAGAGTTTTGCTCTTGTCGCCCAGGCTGGAGTGCAATGGTGCAATCTCAGCTGACTGCAACCTCTTCCTCCTGGGTTCAAGTGATTCTCCTGCCACAGCCTCCCGTGTTGCTGGGATTACAAGCATGTGCCACCACGCCTGGCCATTTTTTTTGTATTTAATAGTGACGAGGTTTCACCATGTTGGTCAGGCTGGTCTCAAACTCCTGACCCCAGGTGATCCACCTGCCTCGGCCTCCCAAAGTGCTGAGATTACAGGCGTGAGCCACTGCTCCCAGTCCTCTATATACTGTTTTAAGTCAACTTATTAAGATTACCCTAAAATTTTTGCTGGTATTTTAATTAAATTTATATCCATAAATTAATTGATATATTAATTTAAGAATTATTAACACCTTTACAACATCATCTTATCCATATACTAATGCTATCACTTCATTTATTCAGGTATCTTTTATATTCTTTAGTAGGATCTTATACTTTCTCCATAATGGTCCTATGGATTCTTTGTTAAGGTAATTTCTATGTAGATAGTTTATATTCATAGCCTTTGGATAATATCATATTTTCTATCTGATTTTTGCTAATATAAAAATACTAAGTTAATTTAAACTTGCTAAACATTCATATTAGTTTTTATAGTTTATTCATGAATTCTTTTTTATGTTTGATGTAAATAATTATGTCATTTTCAAATAATAACAATTCTGTCTCTTCCCTTCTAATTCTTATTCTTTATTTATTTTCTTATAGCATAGAAAGGATACTATGTACTGTACCAAATAGTAGTAAAGATTGTGGCCATCCTTGTTTTGTGTCTGACCTTAAAGTATCTCCATTAAGTACGATGTTTGCTCTAGCCTTTTGATATGTAGCTTCTATAGAGTTAAACAAGGCCTGGCCCTCCAGGAAATTTTTAGAAACCATAAATCTTCATCAAGTGTTTTTGATATTCTTTAACTAAAGTAACAATTGATATAATTAAATAATTTTTTCTCTATTAATGAATTGAATTACATTAATATATTATTAATATCAAATTGTCTTTATGTTTTTAAGATTGAATCATGCTTAATTATAATTTTCATAAAATATACTGTAAAATTTGGCTAGCTGAGATTTTACTTGCAACATCTGCACCAATAACCATCATTGAAATTGGCCTATAATTTTCATATGTGTGCTGAGTTTATGTGTCCCTCATCTCAGTATTACACTGGCCTCATGAAATGAGTTAGAAAATCTTCCCTTTTTTTACTACTTTCTGAAAACTCTTTCATAAGATGAAAACTACCATTTCTTGCAAGTTTGAGTCAGATCATCTGTGTAATGGGCTGAACCTAGAAGCTTTAGGTTATAGATCTAGCTAAGTCTCTTCTTGCACCAATTTTAGCACTTTTCACAGTTCCAGAAATTTGTCCATTTTATTCAAACTTATTGGCATGCAGTGTTTTACATGATTATTCTTATTATATTATAAACTTATTTTATATCTGTGACTATTTCCCTTATTTCATTCTGGGTTTTATGTATTTTCATTTATTTTTAAAAATTAGCCTTGCCATACGTTGATTCTTCTTGTTTGTCTTTTCAACGAAGGAGATTTTGGTTTCATTTATGCATATTTATAAATACTTTAAACTGAAGGGTAGTAAAAGCATCTCATGTCAACATATGAGGGACATAGATAAAATAATATTTACAGGAAAATTTACAGCTTTGAATACATTTATCACAAAACAAAGATGACCAAAAATTTGAGCTGAACATTCAACTCAAAGGATAAATAGAGCAAACCCAAAGAAATGAGGAAGAAAATAATAAAATTAATGGCAAAAATGAATGAGATCGAAAACCACAACAAAAATTGGTCAAAACTGACAATTTATACTTTTCAAAGAACTTTTACATACATGTTATCTCTTGAGGCATAGCCTTGAATTATATTCCAATACTTAGACTTTTTTTAAAAAAGATGGGATTTTTATGTGTTTGCTTTTGGTTTTTGTTTTTTAAGTGTAGAGAGTTTTTGGTAAGGAAAACACAAGAGGCGAGGACATTTTGAGGTGAAGACATTTTGACTAGCAAAACGTAAGGTGGAGCTGTATTGTTCTTATTGAAAAATGGTATCACATACTTGTTTAAGGGAGTAAGCTCTACGGTCAGCCTGAATAGGTTCAAGTTTTGGCTCCTCTGCTTATTTGCTGTGTTATCTCAGGCTGTCTAAGCCTCAGTTTTCTCATTTGTAACATGGAGATTATAGTGGTTTCTACCTCAGAGAGCAGTCATGAGAATTAAATGAGATCAAATAAGGTTAGTGGTTTCTACCTCAGAGAGCAGTCATGAGAATTAAATGAGATCAAATAAGGTATATAACATGCTTAGTGTAAAGTTCAGTAAATATTAGCTCTCCCTCTCTCTCTCTCTCTCTCTCTCTCTCTCTCTCTCTCTCTCTCTCTCTATCTCTATTTCTCTGGGACTTAGTGAAATGAATTACATTTAAATACACCTTTCCATGTCCAAGAAAAGAAAATCTTGCACAAACTAGGAATGGTACTTCAGTATTAATTTTAATTCTCTCAAAAATGTAAGATAATTATTGTATTATGTGTTAGTAAGAGTTTACCCAAATTCAGATTTAAAGTAGTATAAGGCAGTTTCAAATCACAGGTGAAAAATTTAGTGACAAAAAGCTGATGTAGAATGATCTCTGGGTTCTACCTATAAGAAGTAGATAAAGGAATTGGAAATAAAACATCACAGCTGTAGCCCAGATGGAGTGCTGAGAAATGAAAAGAGAAAGCTTTTAGGGTAACTGGTAAGAATTAAACACCCACAAGGACAGTAAAGATCCCCCCTTGGTTGATTTGCCTTTGAGCTTTCCCAATCTTTTCTAAAGAATATTCTCCAAAAACGACAAAACAAAACGGAGAGAAAATGCAAGGAAAGAGTTAGCCCTGTAGAAAGGGCGACAGTGCTGTGGTTTACTGGTCTGAAGAGTGAGGTTTTCAGAGGCCAGGAACGCCCAGGTCCTGGGC
Organism: Homo sapiens; assembly: GCF_000001405.40. Classification (NCBI taxonomy): domain Eukaryota; kingdom Metazoa; phylum Chordata; class Mammalia; order Primates; family Hominidae; genus Homo; species Homo sapiens. Next base: position 178,655,721 of record NC_000003.12, read on the forward strand.
TCTGGGCAGCACCAGCAGAGAAGGCCCTACCTGCCACACTTCTAAGCAGACAAATTGGTCTTCTGAGGATTTCCCCAAAGCCTGATGCATGAAAGTTATTCATATAAAAGTAGGAGCTTCCCAGACTTCCTGAATTCACAACCTCTCATCAGAATTTACTTTTATCACAGGGAAAACAAGAGATCTGTATCACAGTAACTATCAGCCTTCTTTTACCGGGGATGGAACAGCAATGAAACCAAGTGGGACTCATGTATTCTCCATAAAGGAGGCCCACAAAAGGCCTTTTCTCCTTTAGTAAAAGGAAATATTATTTCCTTTTTGAAAGTGGCAACAATTGTCTCATAACCAGACATGTAATTAAGACGTAAACATGATAGAAAACAGGCTTACCTATCAATATGACCTAGGAAGTACTGAGTGGGACCTCAATTATATTACATTAATGTAAATGAAAATGTATATTTAATTTCTTCTGAGATATCTTCACAGTCTAGTAAATGCAAATAGAATTATTTCTGACAACTGAAATAATTCCCAAATAAGTCCCAAAACGATTCTCCAGGAACAGGCAAGCTTTCTTTCACTAGCTAGCAGGCATTCATGCTAACAAACACTGAATTCAAATGATATTCCTATAAAGTAGAAATTATCACCTGAGAATTCTTCTTGAATAATGATATTATAGCATATGTCAGAAATGTGTTAATCAGTGTAATAGCAAAGGTAACAGGGTGTTCTTGCAACCAGCTAAAGAAATGCTGTGCTCAGGCTGGGTGCGGTGGCTCACGTTCATAATCCCAGAACTTTGGGAGGCTGAGGCAGGCAGATCACCCGAGGTCAGGAGTTTGAGACCAGTCTGGACAACAAGGTGAAACCCCGTCTCTACTGAAAATACAAAAATTAGCCGGGTGTGGCGGTGGGTGCCTGTAATCCCAGCTACTCAGGAGGCTGAGGCAGGAGAATCGCTTGAACCGGGAGATGGAGGTTGCAGTGAGCCGAGATCGCGCCACTGCCCTACAGTCTTATCAACAAAACGAGACTCTGTCTCAAAAAAATAAATAAATAAAGGAATGCTGTACTCATTTTGACCTATATCCTAAGTCTCACCTGTGAAGTTTAAACAGCACATATTACCACGATTAAAACATGTGTTTGTTGGGGCGGGGTAGGGGGGTGGTAAAGGAGACAAGTAGGAGCAGCTGAAGTTAAAAAAAGAAAAAATTCACTCAGTCAAACCCAAATGCAGGGTGTGACCTTCAGGGTTTTTATTGATTGAGCACCTACTATGCTGGCCCTCCGCCACTTGCCTGCTAGATGCTCTCTGTCTCTCAGTACCTCAGTTGTTATTACATTCCTGCAAAATGAGGGAAATAGGGTTCCCAGGTTGTCTAAATCTACACAGCTAGTAAGTAGCAGAGGCAATATTAAACCTCAATCTGACTCCAGAACCCATATGTTTTCCCTGCTGCTACGATCCCCACAAAAGAGGTCCTGCACCACACAGGATAGCTCTGAGTTCATTTCTTCAGGCTGCTGGTGTTCTCTCCTAATTGTTTTGAATTCTTTGAAAGATATCTCAAGGTTCTCTTTCATTGCTGATTCTTAGTCACTCCAGCCTGGAGTTGAGAGCTCTTGCTCTCAGCATAAGGCTCAGCCTTTGAAGCTGGACTGACCTGGGAACAAACTCCACCTCTAAACCTATGTGACCTTGTTCAAGCTATGCCATCTCTCTAAATCTTGGGTTTTCACCTGTAAAATAAGGATAGTTACACCTACCTCAAACGAGACCCTTTCAAAATGAGGTGATGTTACATAGCAAGCTTACCATCAATGGATAAAAGCTATCCTCATGTCTGTGGTCTGTAATCAGTTATGGTTTTGCTCTATAATGAGTGTTTTGTACCACACTGTCTTAGCCTGTTTTCTATTGCTATAACAGAATACCTGAAACTGGATAACTTATAATGAAAAGAAGTTTATTTGGCTGATGGTTCTAGAGGCTGGGAAGTTCAAGACCTGGAGGCTACATCTGGTGAGGGCCTCATGCTGTGTCATAACATGGCAGATGGCATCACATGGAAGGAGCATGTTCAAAAGAGAACAAACACAAGAGGCAGCCTCACTTTATAATAACCCACTTTCATGGTAACTAATCCAGTGCCACAAAAACTAACTCAATCCCACACAAAGAAAGCAATGCATCCTAATGACCTAATTGCTTCTTAAATGAACCACCTCCCAACACTGCCACATTGGGAATCAAGTGTCAACACAAGTTTTCATGGGGACAAACCATCTTTTAACCATGGCACTTACTCCCTCAAGTATCTGACTTTGATCCAGTCCTATTTTGCCATTACTTCTGTCTTGGTATTGGCACTTTAGAATCCCATCCAGCTTAAATGCATGGAATGAGTCCAGGGAAGAGAAATAAGGAAAGGAAGTGATGACAAAGACATAGATGATGAGAGGGAAGAGACAGCCATCATTGGCTCTGAAACTTAAGATCTTGTCAAAATAATGCCATTTTTTTCATACCAGTTGTCAAACTTCCAAAGTATGCACTTTAAGAAACAGGTATCCCTCATAATAACAAGTCCAGTAAGCTGCTAGTGTTTTCATCATTGAGAAATTGAAGTCAAAACCATCTGTTCATGAAAGTTAAATGAATCTTCATTATTTAATCAAGATAAGGTTATCTCTTCTTAGTAGTACTTCCTCCCTTTTCTCTAGCACCCACATTTTACGCTGTCAGGAAAGCTCATGGTACTAATTACTCCAAGAAGCTTTTTCTTACCCCTGCACTGATCCCTCTCTTCCTTTACTTTTTCTTTCCTCTGAACTAAGATATCTGTGTCACACTCTCCTGTGTCACTATAAAAGATGAATTTTTTCTGATTAATTAATGTGGGGATGGTTGCCTTCCAATCTAGACAGAATGCATGCCAGCCAATGAACAGAAAGCCCAGAGGGCCATGCCTTCTGCTTTCTTTACTTCATCCAGACTCCTCTAGCTAGTACCATATCATGACTATAATATATTACTCAGTAAATGATGCTCAAAATAATAATACACATGAAGGACTGCTCAGATTATTACATCAAAAGCCTACAGAATGCTCAGAATGTTATCTTCCTGAATTAGGATAATCTCATTAAGTCTGGCATGCACAGTGCTGAGTGAACATGAATGACATACTTGAGAGACAGCTCCCACCCCATCAGATTATTAAGAATACCAGGTTATCTCTTCAGGCAAATGCCTGAGCTTGGGCCTCAACAGAAAGCCAATAGTAAAGTGAACGGGCTCTCAGAAGATGCACATTTCCTTCTGGCCTCTACTCTGGCTAAAGGAGCTTTCGCAAAGCAATCGGCTAAGGATATTTTCAACATTTCAAATAGCAAAGTCAGCTCATGCATGAAGCAGTCACTATGGAATTCTATGCATGTCTCCAGAATGGAGGCCAGATCCGATATGACAACTGCCAGGTGAAAATCACAGAAGCATTATATTATGCAATTTGATTTCAAGCCAGAATGTTCTGCATCCTCAGGTTTCCAGCCAGACAAAACATTTGTGAAGAACAAATCCACACTTAGACATAGAAGCCCCTCATATTTAAACTTTTGTATTAATATTGTGAAGCTGGAGAGTTAAAGCCTTCAACAAGTTCTTTAAAACCATAATTTTAAAAGTTCAATTTTCTCCAGATAGTGATATTAGTCAACTTTGATGTCAATTTCATAGAATCTTAAAATGTTGGTGTTAGAATATCCATGATATATTTTCTGGTACAATTACCTCTGTTTACAGATAAAGAAATAAAAACTTAGAAGGGTACATGATTATCTCAAGTTCACTCAGCTAACATCAAAGCCAAGACATGGCCCCAGATTTGGTCAATTTCTGCACTGTACAGCTTGGCTTCTGTGCAGCCTCTGATATATAATGCAAGCCACATGGGCTTCATGAGCAAGCTACTTAACATCTCTTAAAATAAAATGAATAACTCCTATTTCATATGAAAGTTATGTTAATTAAATGAGATAGTGTGTGTAGCACATGGCCCATTATAGTTCCTTATAAATGGTAGCTTTTGCTATGATCATTATCATTACTATTATTATTATTATTATCCAATCTGCAGTCTAAGCCCCACACAGTTTCCCACCTAATCACAGACATCCTGGCTTTGTTTTTAAGAGACCACTTTCCATCAGCAAATGGAAAATGGTGTTGAAGTTGGAGTTTTCACAATAGGCTGACTTCCCAATAGGCCTAAGATGAGCCCTGAGTGCTAGTCTCTATATCAAGCGTCAGCCATTCCTTCTATCCTGCAGCATGAGAGCCTCATAGCCAAGCAAAAGGAGCATAAATTTTGAATCACACAGTCCTGTATCTGAATCCATTTCTGCTACTTATTACTTGATTGCCCTTTGATTAATTACTTAATTTTATTGAGCAACAGTTGTCTCATCTCTTAGTATTTACATTGCAGAGTTTGCAGAGGATATTAAATAAGAAAACGTATGCAAAATACCAATTACAGCACCAGACAATGGTAGGCATTCAACTGAAAATAGTCATTATTTTTATTATTACGAATATTCCCTATCTGTGTGATAAGGCTTTTGTCTCAGATTCTGAGATATTACCATCAGGACTAGAACTCTGCCATGAAGCCCAACCCACTTGGCTGGGACTGAGTTCTCACTGGGGCCCCTTCCCAAGAAGGACCACCTGGAACCAGGAAACAACTACCCACTTGACCCTGAGCATCACAATAACTTAGAAATTCCAGCCATGTCTCTCAGAGCTGACAAGACCCTCTTTGCTTAGCCCATGCCCTGGTAACAGTTATTTTATTATCTACTCTGTGGCAGGTTATATGTTAAATATCTTTCATACATAATCACTAATCTTCCAAGGGAATCCAAGAGTTGGTTTGGTGAATGTTATTTTACAGTTGAGCAAACTAAGACTCGGAGAGGTTAAAATGACTTGCTCAGGGTCACAGAGCTGGTAAAGGGCAGGGTCAAGACTTCAAATCCTGCACACTTGTCACCAGGTCCTATTGCTTCATATACACAGGGCCTGACACTGACAGTTATTCCCAGCATTTTCTTCCTACATGGTGATCTAGTGGGATCCAATAAAATAACCTGATTCTTCAGACAGATCCTTCTATGTCCCTCTAGCAGCATTATATTGCCCCTTCATGATGTTACAAACCTTCAGTGTTTTTTATATATACACATACATATATATATATTATTATTATATTTTAAGTTCTGGGATACATGCGCAGAACGTGCAGATTTGTTACATAGGTATACACGTGTCATGGTGGTTTGCTGCACCCATCAACCCGTCATCTACATTAGGTATTTCTCCTAATGCTGTCCCTCCCCTAGCCCCCCACCCTCCGACAGGCCCCAGTGTGTGATGTTCCCCTCCCTGTGTCCATGTGTTCTCATTGTTCAGCACCCACTTATGAGTGAGAACATGCAGTGTCTGGTTTTCTGTTCCTGTGTTAGTTTGTTGAGCATGATGGTTTCCAGCTTTATCCATGTTCCTGCAAAGGACATGAACTCTTCCTTTTTTATGGCTGCATAGTATTTCATGGTGTACATGTGCCACATTTTCTTTATCTAGTCTACATTGATGGGCATCTTGGTTGGTTCTAAGTCTTTGCTATTGTGAATAGTGCTGCAATAAACATTTTTTTTAATAAAGAGACAGACACTAAACAGCTTTGTGAGCTATACAGTCTCTCTTGCGGTCACTCTACTCTGCCACTGTAGTGCACAGATATAGACAGTAGATAAACAAATGATCCTGGCTGTGTTCCAGTAAAACTTTTTTGCAAAGCCAGGCAGTTGGCTGAATTTGACCCATGGGCTACAGTTTACCAACCCCTGATCATTATGCTTGCTACTCAAAGTGTGGTCCATGCACCAGCAGCATTAGAATTACTTGGAAGCTTGCCGGAAATGCAGAATCTTGGATCCCGCCCCAAATCTACTGAATCAGAATCAGACTTTTAACAAGATTCTCCAGAAGAGTCATACACACATTGAAGTGTGAGAAGCTCTGCTCTACATGTCTTTAATTCATTGAATGCCTCTTATAGTCCAAGCATTCTTACAGGGACAATACACACTACTAGATCTATAGTCCTCACAACAGGATAAGGTGGCTGTTATTATCCCATTTTACAGATGAGGAAACAAAAGCTCAGAGAAATTAGATGAATCAAGGAGACAATAGATGGCATTGAAATTTAACTAGAAATTAAACAATCTGCTATGATATTCATCTCAGAAATGGTATGACTAAGGCCACACAGAATATTCCATAGGTACTAACTCTAGATGTGAATAAATATTGTTTTCACAATTATAAGCACAGGTGTTTATATGCTAAAGTATTGAAATTATCGCATAGCCACAGAAATAAATTTTTATTCTCAAAGATAATCCTAAAAGTAGAATACCCTTTGCTAAACTGTTTTCTTTGCAATTTCTCTTCACAAGTTCTCATTTACTCAGCTTTATCCAACATCAAAAACTATTCAAGGAGCCATGTCATTACTTGGGCAATATTTATATAAATTTTATAGTCTTTTTCTAATGCCTCAAAAAAGTTTTGAAAAACGATTTGAGGTAGCTTAGAGACACATAAAATGCAAGATAAATATGATGTAAACAATGATACAGATCATTTTGGGTTATAAAATATGACCAAGGATGAAGACTATATACAAAATTCACACCATTATGGTCTTATACCTTTTCTGTGGTATAAAAAGGACAAGAGCTTGTATCATCTATTACATGGTGCAAAGAGCCCAGGCTTAGAAAACATTTGCTTGTCAAGGATATCATTTAATTTCCACTTGTTCAAATATAAATTGTGGATAATAATATCTCACAGAGGAAGTGTGAGTATGAAATAACAAATATGAAAAAATTACACTATTTCACTACTAATTTAATGATTTTTAATTATAATAATTCCTGATATAAAATATAATTATAACTAATATTTATTCATTACTTATGCTAAGATCTCTAAATGGATTATCTCACTGTCTTCACAGCAACCCCAAATTACTAAAATTATCCCCATTTGCACGTGATAAAACAGGCCTAAGAGAAGTTCAGTAATTGGGTCATCCAATGTATCAGGTAGCTACTATTATATACAAAACCACCCAGAAACACAGTAGCTTAAAACAATAATTATTTATTTGTTCCCAATTCTTTTGGTCAGCAATTTGGGCTGGGCTCAACTGAGATGGTTCATCTCTGCTCCACGTGGTGTTGGCTAGGCTTACTTATTCTGTGGGAGGGCTAGGACAGCAGAGCCTCTCTCTCCGTTGGTCCCTCATCTTCAAGGAGGCTGGCCTAGGTTTCTTCACTTGTTGCCAAATGGGTTCCCAGGAAGGAGTAAGAAAGGGCAAGCCTCAGTGAATAAGCACTCTTTAAGCCTCTGCTTGAGTCACATTACCAATGTCCCAAACCTAGGGTTAATGTGGAGAGAGCTCAACAAGGGTATACATACAATAGGCATGATTCTTTGAGAGTCACTGTAGTAATAAGATATGTTACCCAGAATATAAAAGTGTTCCAAGTTTGAACTGAAGAACTGTAAATTCATATCCCATGCTCTTAACCATGACATCACACTTGCCTCCAAGAAAAATTCCCATAATGTTTTCTACATGATGTCGGTTTCTCTTTTAACTCTTAAACTGCCACCTTATGAAACAGCAAAGATATTCCTAATCTCATCTCCAAATGATTTCTTTCTGACTTACAAAATCCCTTGAGTCTCAGGGTAGGCTTAGCAAAGTACAAATTGAAGACAGATTATGTTTTCATTCCTTAAGTCATTTGTACTACTAGAAAGATTGAACTTTACATAGCTGCTCTCTAGGGACCTAGCTGATACCAAAATGATACCAATGCATTAAAAGACAACAGTATTACCTCATTTTGTATAACACTTTACTATTAGCACAGAACTTTCAAAATGAATATAAAACTCATTCATCTGGGCTTTCCCTATAGGCATCTGGAAGCTTCTGAAGCTATCTTAGCATGGTGCAAAGGAGTGTTTTAAGGGTGTTAAACTGATGTGAAAGAAGTACTGTAGCTGAAACACTGGTGGCAAGAAGACTAATCTAGAGACTGTGGCACAAGTTTGAAAGAGTTATGGCAATGAAACATACAAGACCTCACAAAAGAAGAAAAACTAGTCCTTCTAACCATCTAGAGGGGAGGGAAAAGAAAGAGTCGGGGTGTTCAAGGGTTACTGTTCTTTTTAATGTCTTTAGACTTGGCATTTTTCCGTTTACATAGCACTTTTACCTCCTGATGGTTAGGGAGAACAGGAATGCTCATCCTCATTCAGAGAAGTTTCATGTGGTACACTGGGACCTGCAGGAACTCACTGCAGCTAGCCCTGTAAATTGTAAATGTCCACAATGGAGGAGGAGGGTCAAGATTAAAATTTTAATAAAAGTAGAGAACAAATGACATGATTAGATTGGAATTTTAGAAACATTTCTCAGTCAACAGAGGGAAAGATAGGTTGGAGAAAGCAGAGATAAGAGGGAGAACAATTGAGAGGCTTTTACAGTAATCTGGGTGAAAGGCTATAAAAATCTAAGTCTGAATGACAGAGGGGATGATTCTAAAGTCAAACAACCTGGGCATGCACTCCTCTTTGCTACACTATTATATACTTTTTTTTCTTTTCATCAATTTTGGCTAGAGAATATACTTGTGATGGTGTAAGGAGGAGATTATGAAGATTGGCTTGTTTGCTCTGTAAAATCTATAATTATCAGTCATTCTTTGTACCCAGAGGATTAAGAAAGGCATCCCTGTATCTGAAAGATTCATTTTTTTCTACATCTCTTTTTATAAATCTCCCACAGTTAAAAGAAAGGAGAGACGAAGGAAGGAAGAATGGGAAGAAGGAAGAAAGGAAGGGAGAGAAGGAGGGAGGAAGGGAAAAATTTCATTTTCACGTAAATAATGGCATCCTTCTTAAAGAAAATAAAAAAGTAGCATTAGATGAAGTTCTATTGACATAATTATAATCATACAGTGAAGTCCTAAAGAGATATATTGTGAAGATAATTTTTCTTGTCACAAAGGACGATCTATACAAAAGAACAAAGGAAATAATTTTAATAAAACATTTTGCCCTGAGCAAGAAATGTGCTTCATGTATCATACATGAGAAAGGATAGTTGTTTGATATAAAATGGAACTGTGACCTTGCTATAAGAGTTTTTATTACTTGATGCCACTGAAAGTAAATTAATGGACTCCCAAAAGGTGTAAAATTCATTCTGCTTTGTGGCATTTGTTTGCTGACAGACAAGTTTAAGAGGAATCTTTTCATGTGATTATTTAAACAAAGAGCTTCTAGGAATTCTGATCAACCTTTAAGGTTCCACCAGAGGACATTTCTCATAGACAGGATTCATTTGAGAGAGAAGTCACACTTTTAAAAGAGTTTATTAACAAGAGAAGAGAGGTTCATGTGCTATCTGTAATTTCAACAATTTTTGCTTTCAAATATAATTTTGTTTTCTTTTAGATTTCTCTAAACAAATTCAACATTGTTTAAAAAATGATAAACTTTTTAAAAATACTGAGCTGGCAACCCAGCAAATAAACTGTTTTTTTTAAAGGTTTTTACTCCATCAAGTCTGAAGTCCTTACGTAACATTTTATTACATAGTGTTTCTTTATAGTGTTTCAAAACCACATATATTTATAACTGCTTAATTTATCTTTACAAGCTACTTTGCACTATACAAATTGCCTTTATGCCTCTTTAGTTGTTTTCAATGACTTTGAGATTAGGCATAACAAATATTGGTATTATAATCTGACATATGAGCAAGTTTATCCTCAGAGAATCTGTCACCTGCTTAATATCAGGAACTGCTCTGATGGTTGGCAATAGAGCAGCACACAAGACAGGCAAAGTTTCTATCCTCGTACAGTTTATCTTCCAGAATGAGATACTCACGAATGTGTGAACAAATAAATATGTAATATAATGCCAGGAGAATAATAAATGGTGATACTAAGACCATACAAGTGACCAGTCTCAAATCTCAGAACTATTCCTAGCAACTTTTCATCAGCACAAATCCTGCCAAGTGGGGTTGTCCAAGAATAGCATCCCCGTTAAGCCTTTCTATTACGCCTCCAGCTAATGCTGATAAGTATGTATGATGTGGCTTTACTGGTCACATGAGGCAACTTTGGAGGCCTCTACACTTTAGCTCTACTTGTCTATTCAATGTAGATGTGTGTGTGTCATTGGAGAGCAGCAGACCAGGGAAGTAGGTGTAAATGTTCTGAAAAGGTTACTTAAAACATGGTTTGTGAACACTTAAGAGCATGACATTTACTAGACACCAGCATGGTTCACTGAGAACAAGTAAGATCAGCAGATCAACACTACTTACATTTGCAAGAGGGTCATGAAAGAGATAGATGAAGACAATGCAATAGAAATACTGTGTCTAAATTTTAAGGGCCACCTCAAATCATTTTTTAGGGATCAGTTTAGTGATAAGCATGTAAAAAATCCATGAATACACTTGGTAAAATAAACACATAACAAAACATCTTTGTAGAGGCATGTGACCTGCATGGTAATATAGTTAGTTGAATTTAAAATTAATGAAATAAACCTACCAAAAATTGTAGCTATTGCCAATCCAGAGGAAGGGTGTACAATGAAAGGCCTCGATCCTTGATTCTGCGTGGTGTTTTCTAAAATTATTTAAATCAGTATGTCAACAAAATGCTGATAAAACTCGCATATGAAATAAAGGCCAAGAGGGAAAGCTTGCATGTTGAAAATCTTATTTCACTTCTAAGTAGAGTCTGTCATTTAATTCCAAAAAGATCTGTTAAATGCCCACCATGAACAAGGCACTGTGAAAAATGCCAAGGCAAGGAATAGCTCCTGCTCTCCAGCGTTTCCTGTGAGCAGCCATTGCTGTCCCAATTACCACCCTGTTAACAACTTAATTGTATCCCCCCATCCAAAGTTCATACAACAAAGTCCTAACTTGCAGTACCTTAGAATGTGATTGAGCAGGGATTTGTCCCAGGACCCCCTACAGATACGAAACTCTTCAGATGTTCAAGTTCCTTACATAAAATGATGTAGTATTTGCACATAACCTACACAAGTTTTCCCAGATATTTTAAATCACCACTAGATTACTTATAATACTTAATACAATGTAAATGCTACATAAATGGTTTTTCATTGTATTCTTTTTGATTTGTATTGTTTTTATTGTTATATTTATTTTATTTTTTTCAAACATTTTTAATCCATGGACATGGGGGGTCAAGTGTACTTAGAGTCACGAAAGAAGTAACTAAGTTAAAATGAGGTTATTAGGATAGGCCTATTCCAATCTGATTGGTATCCTTATAAAAAGAGGAAATTAAGACACAGACACACAGAGAAGACCATGTGCTATTGTTTGAATGTGTCCCCTCCAAAGTTTAGATGGGGCCAATGTGATAGTCAAGGCCTAGGAAGTCAAGGCCTTTAAGAAGTAAGTAGGCTATAAGGATTCCTTCCTCATGAAAGGGGTTATGACCCTCATAAAAAAGGCTTCACACATCATTTAGCTCACTTTCCCTTCTACCTTCCACCTTGTGAGGACACACCAAGAAGGCCCTCCCAAGACGCCAAATGCTGATGCCTTGATCTTAGACTTCCCAGCCTCTACAACCGTGAGAAATCACATTTTCATTTCTTATAAACTACTCAGGCATTTTGTTGTAGCAGCACAAAACAGACTAAGACACCATATGAGGACACAGTGAGAAGGTGGCCTCAATTTACAGCCAAAAAAAAGAGGCTTTAGAAGAAACCAATCCTGCTGACACCTTGATCTTGGATTTCCAGCCTCTGGAATGTTCAAAACAATTAATTTCTGCTGTTTAGCCTGGCAGACCTAGTAAACTAATACAACCCACCTCTCCCATCAAACCTCTACCATCCAGGACTCTGCCCCCTAAAGCCCCACTCTTGAGTATCGGCTTTCCTGTCCAAACTTCTATTTCTTCCCCTACCTCAGGGTTTCTGGTTGGCCAAGGCTGACAGACAAACAGTCCACAGTGGGTGGTTGGCTGGGGGCGAATAATTACTGTGAGGATGGTCCTCTCTTGCCCCCATGAGTTTTTAAGCAGAGGGAGTACGTATCTCTTTTTACATAAAAACAATATTATACATGGATCAGTCATGCTGGGTTAAACTTACTTATAAACATCCAGAAGAGAACTCATTAATAAGACAAAGATCCTTCTTTGAATTTGCAAGCTCAGTTGTCTATTCACCCACGGAACATGTATTTGCTGAGCCACTGCTCTGCGGCAAGCCCTCTGCTAGTCCTTTTCACATTTATCACTTCATAGGAGGAAGTGGGGTTATGTCAAGAGGAGGTAAGGAGACGGGGGTGAGCAGAGCCTTCCAGGAAATAGGAAGCTTTTGCTCAGAGGGTCCAAGGCACAGAAGGGTCCACAATATTTTCAGAGAAGATAAAGAAGTTTGCTGTGGCTTAAGTGTGTATTGAATACAGGAGCCAAGAGATAAATTTGGGTGGAGTGTAAGAGCTTTTTCTGCGATATTGAGGAGTTGTGGACCCCAAGCTGTACACAATGGAGACTGTGAAATTTTTCAGGACATGAAACGTAGGATCATCTTTAAAATTATAACCCTAGCAGGAAGTGAGGTTAGATAGAGGTAGGAAAAAAGAAATGTCAGGGGGCTGAGCTTGGAAGCTCTTTAAAGTCATGAAGTAATGAATCTCTTCCCTACGAGGTCCTAAAGTTACGGATCTGTGCATCGATCTAATAGTATTGCTACAGTGTGTAAAACTGAATCACAACTGCTACTTATGTATGTGTGGGCATTGTGTACTTGTGGGCAGGTCCAAATGTAATTCCATTCATCAGCACCAAAAATAAAGCTATGATTACTTATAATGACTTACTGCAATTGTCCATATCTTCTGTTCTTTAATAGCAAGTGATTATAACATTAAATGGTTTATCTATTACTACTTTTAAAAAAATACTTAAGACTTTATAAAATGGCACATTTCTATGATCAAATCACAGGGACAGACAGTTCATCTTTCCTTCAGTAATGAAGCTCTCATCTCTAGAGGTCCAATTCATCCAATTCATAAAAAGATATTTACATAGCTCAGAGGGTTTTCCCTGTCTTCTGCTTCTTATGAGAAGAGAGAAGTAAGGAAAGAATATAAATCAAATGTAAAATTAAAGCCAGGACAAAAATAACATGAAAATCCTCAATGACTGGTGTAGTGTGTAGGGTGGGTAGTATGATAGGAAAAAAGTAAATCACATGGGCTCATAGGAAACACCTCTCAAACATAAGTGAAGATGGATGGGCATGTGACCCACAGGGGAATTCAGGCTGCTTCTTAATTTATTAATAGCAGCTGCGACCTTTTACTGCATTCCTAAAATAGCTTGCATGTTAACAGAAGAGGACAGACAAATGAAGTATATCATGGCAGATTTCATCAGTGAAAATAATTAACCTTCAAAAAAAAGAGGAGAGAGGAGAGAAGGAGAGGACAGAGTGTAGACATTGCAAAGGTAATACCTAGGAACATTAAAACAGGAATTCTAATGCAGGCCTAGGGACGTCCTGGGCAACTGCAGTGAACATGTAGGGGTGGAGTTTAGTCATGGGAACAATACTGTAATTCACCAAGTGTTGCTTGAAGCCTCACCTAATCAACCTCACCAATGTGTATGCAACACATTGGCTAAATTCTAAAGATAATTCAAAGGTGAATAAGAGGCAATCCCTGTCTTCCAGGAACTTATCATTTAGGAGAAAGGATTATACAAATATGTCAATACCTGTGATACAGGGCAGGATATGAGATACACCATGAAACATAAAATCATAGGCTCTGGGAGCCAGCAGTAAAAAGGAAACTTTTGGATGTTTTGGAAAAACATCATGGAAGGAACCATGTGTGACATGGATTTTAAAGGAAGAGCAGAATTTTAGTAGGTACAGAAGCAGAGGGATCCCCTGTCCCAACAGTGGGTAGAATGTGAAGCAGCAGCAAACCACAGAGATAAGAGAAAGCAAGCAGGAAGTGGATATACAGCCAAGAAAAGTTTCACTTTTAGGTGTCTGGAGCTGGTTTTCATTGATTCTTCTTGACTAGAAAATACATATACATATTGATTGATTTGCGAGAAAGGATTCGAAGTTGAGCTTTCTCAGTGGAAAGTGAAGGATATAAAACAGGACTTACCATCCTCTTCTATTACCACTTATTGAGCCAGAAGCATCATCACTGCCAATAAATACTAATTTGGCAAAGGAAAAGAAAACATATCACCAAAAGACACTCAAAGCAGGTTTCAAATCCCTCCTTCATAGCAATCCTCAAGGACAGGACAATTTTTTGTTGGTGGGAAGCAGGGCTGGCCTGTGCACTGTAGGACATCTAGCAGCACCTCTGGGCTCTACCCACTAGATATCATTAACACCAGTCACGACAATCAAAGAACTTCTGCAAAGGGGTGGGGATTATAGAAGCAAATGATATTAAAACAAAAGAAAATTTTAAAACTGGGAGACTCTAGAATGTCTGTTAGTAATAACAACAGTAATTAACACTTCTAGTGTTACGTGCCAGTGTTCTGAGGTCTTTATTGTATTGATGTTAAGCAAGTTAAAAATTAGCAGAATAAACCTACCTAAAGATGATGGCTCATTGTTCAACTCCTAAGAGGGCTGCACAACAGAAGGCCTCAATCCTTACAAACTATGTACCATTATTATCCCCATTTTACAGGTAATAAAACTGAGGCTCAAGTCATTCAGTTCTTAAGTTTTGAATCCGGGCTTTGAACCAGGTCATCTGACTGCTGGTCAAAAGTCTTAACCACTCTGCTGCATTGCCTCTCCTGTGAGGCAGCTCAGTGTTCTTTATTCTGCTACAGAGGAAGCTGAAGCCGGGAGAGGTGATGTGATTTGTCCAAGGCTACTCATTTGTTGGTGACTACTCTGGGTATAAAATCTAGGTCTTCTAACTCACACTTCAGATGTTTTTCTGATACCTAGAGGCCTCTGGGAATGTACAAAAGGGAGATTGATTCTTCCCGCTGGAAGACGTGGGTACAGCAGAGGTTGGAGCAAGTAACAGGTGACAATACAACTGGTTCTAGAATAGAAAGAAGTTTCAGATTCAATCTGATTCCTTCATTAAAAGATTAACTCTTGAAAGTCAAACACCACCACTGCCCCCCTCACCACCACCCCCCACCCCAAAACACACGTACAAACACACAGGCCTCAAGGAAATAGAGAATTTGGTTGATATTGGTTTGAACCTGCAGAGATCTAAAGAAATCGAGAGAATCAAAATGCCTGTATTGTTTCCAAAAACTTCTAGGCCCACTGAAAGAAAATTGCTCTGATTAAAGTTTCCAATTCAGGGATAATTCCACTAAACTACAAGAAAAACCACTTTTCAGTTGCTTTGAGGTTGACATAAGATGTTTTGATTCAAACTCTCCCTTAATTGTGTAACCTTGTGGCATTTGGAACTAGAAAGAGGGTCCAAACACACCACTACTGCCCAACCTCTAGAGAGGCAGTCTGCCCACACATGACAGGTGCTCCCATCTGCCTGGCAGAGCAAATGAGCAGTCTAGACTCATTATCTCAGCCCCCAGTGTCTCAGAGCGGCAAGCTCTGAGCTTAGAGAGAAAATACAGAATACAGAGAGAAGGTGAAATTGATGATCCACAGCACAGTTTTCTGGTCAGTCAAAAGGTTGAGGGGCTTAACAGAGAGCAGAGAAAGGCTGCATTGCATTAGACAGCGTGCATTTCAGGCCACGTCACCCTGCTCTGCTGTCTGTCCTTGCTTCCCTGAAAACAAAGAGCCTAAGAACAGTTCCTTAAGTGCACTTTTCTGAAACAGTAGTTTTTGTGCTTATAAATGAGTATTTATCATATCTATGTGCTCTAGCTTAATCAACATGTAATACAATAATGTAATCATTGACAACATAGAGGCTGGAACTAGCAACACTTTTCAGTTCGTTGGGTAACTATGGAAACAGGGACACTGCATTTCCTGGGCTGTGCACACAGAGAGGTGCACACCTTTGGCTAAGAGAACTCATGAAATCTTTTCTAGTAATAACATTCTTTCATCATCTCTCACTGGGCATGTTACCAAACTACTGGAGACTCTTGGAGAGTCAGCTTCCTCCTAACACCCTTTTTCTCTGAAGGACTGTAGCACAGGACTGGCTGATGTGGAAGTCTGGCACCCTGGAAATAACACAAGCATGAAGTTTTATTGCCTTCATGATTCAGTATTTAAAATTTATAAAGCATTTTCTACGTTCCAGGACTCTACTGATCACCTTCTATGTAAAGCCTTGTCACATGGATTCCTTACCACACCCCTGTGAGGGGTGCAGGAGGTAGTAGGGGGTAATGTCCCCATCTTACAGACAAGGAAATGGCCATAAGTGTCTTTTCCAGAAGTATTTAGCTAATAAGAGGCAGCTGGAATTACAACCTAGGTCTTTCAGACTTCAGAATCAGTGTTCTCAACCACTGTAAGTAACAAATATCTATTGAGCACTGTGCCAGCCTTTAAGGTTCCTATGACTAATAGTACATCCATGTCCTTAAAGAGCTTGTAGTTGGATAAAGAAAGCAGATTAAAAAGATGACTGCTGTGTAACTGATAGCCTAGAGGAGATAAAGTTTGCTTATGGAAATGCAGCGGAGAGGCACCGAACATTCACAAGGGTCTATGCTAACACTGACTTCGTGACTTCATACACCCACAGAGAAATGTGCCCATGAACATTTGATTTGAGGAAGCTGATGGTACATCCTAAGCTAATGTCTTCAATATTTTTACTAGGGAAGTTCTTTAAATTCGTAGTGACTTCAGTGTCTGCAAGATGAGACTTCCAAAACTCTGGCCTTTTCATTTCCAAAACCGCTCTCCTCTAGTGATATTGTCCATCTTCCTATCTCAGCCACTCACTTCCAGGGTCATACCTCCAGGCTTGTCCTCCAAACCTGCAAAACACCTGTAATCTAAATTTGAAGCATCCCATTTTCTGACCACCACTTTCTGTATCTCCAGTTCATTTGCTCTTACACATTACCAAAAACCATTGATGGCCCAAAGAGCCACAACTCATTGATCATACTATTCTTTTATTGTCCCTTGCCTCCTTATTTTTCCTTCTCTCTTACCCAGCTTAAAGTGCATACCCAATTATTTGTATCCCTCCCTTGCATGCACTCTCAATTCTCTTGCCCCTCTTATACTTCATTACAATCATTCAGAAAAACCTCAACCCTAGTTAAATTCAACTCTCCACTTAATCTGTGCTTGTACCCTTCAGTTTATTATGGCTGGACACAAGCATACGACAATGGAAGGAGTCTCACTTTTTATTCATGTCCATAAACCTCAAGTGGGCCTAAGGGAAAATATATTATTAATATACTTTCCTAGTCTATTACCAAATGCAATATTCTTCTATTCATATCTCATTATTTCTTACGTCTCTGGTTTCTATTCCCATATCTTCACTCTCAGCTAATGACCTTAATTCTTATTTTACTGAAAAAAAATAGAAGCAACCTTAAGAGAACTCCTTCAAGCTCCCACCGTCACACTTACCCATTTACCAGCATCTGTGCCTATAAATTTCACCTTCCCTCCTCTTACTATAGATGAACTGTCAGGACACGTGTGGGAGAGCAACCCCTTCACTTTGCACTGGAGCCCATGCCCACCCAAGACAGTGCTCCAACACTGTATGATTAAATTTTTCTTCTCTATGGAAACTTTACCATCAGCCTAAAGGCAGCCTCAGGCTAATTCTCCAGTCTTTCAAGAATCTTTTCTTGATTTCACTTCCCTAGAGGAACTGCCTCATTTTTCTGCTTTTCATTTCAGTAAGGCCCTTTAAGGTCTGCTTCTCATTAAAGTAAGGTCCTCATCTGTAAAAGCCTAACAAGCCTCTGCCTACACTCTCACCAATTCTTTCTTTCCCCTTCTTTCTTAAATTCATTTCAATTAGACTTTTGCCCACATGTTTTAATAAAGTTTACTAACCACTCTACCAATCGTTTTAATCATGTTTACTAAACCTCTACTTGTTAAACGAAATATCAATTCCTAGGCCTCCTTTTCTTTATATCTCAGAAACATTTGACACCATTGACTCTGTCCCCTCTTCATCCATCAATTACTTTCTTGCCTTGCTTCCAGAATGCCATGATCTTCTGATTTTTTTTTTACCCCACTGGCCACTCTCTTTCACTCTCCTCTGTTTTACTCCTCATCTCTTCTACCTCTTCTCTTCTCTTTCTACACTCACTCCTTGGATGACCTTATCTAGTGCCATGGCTCTAAATACCTTTTGTAAACTCACAACTTTTTATATTTCTACTCTGGACTCCACTCTAGCTTTCTACTCAGCATCTCCACTTAGATGTCATATATATATATATCTTTAGCTTAGCATGTTAAGTTAAATATCTGGTTCCTCCAAGCCTATTTCACCTACACTCATGTCTTCACCATTAATGGTAACTTAGTTGCTCAAGATGAAAGTCTAGAAGACATCCTTGGCTCCTCTCTCTCTCATTCCCTACATCTAATCCATCAGTACATTTGATAGACTTTACCTTCAAAATAGATCCAGAATCTGACACCACTACTTCTGCCACATTAATCCAAGCTACCTTTATCTCTCACATCAATTATCTCAGGTCTCCCTGCTTCTACCTTCCCTAGCAACCCCATCATGGTCTATTTCCAACAAAGCAGTCTCGGTGAGCCTAACAGGCAAGCCAGATCATGGTTTCCCCCTTCTTGAAACCCACCTCTCTCATAATAGAAGCCAATGTTTGCAATGGCCTCCCAGTCCCATCACCATCTGGCCACCACAATCTGAGCTCTTCCACTGCTCTCCCCTTGCTTGGCCCAGTTCAGCCACAATGGCCCCCTTGCCATTGCTGGAACAAACTGGACATTGTTCCAGAAAGAGGGCTTTATTCTCTTTGCCTAGAATGTTCTTCTCCCAGAATGCCATGTGGTTCCCTCTCAAATTCTCAGCAAGACTTTCTCTGACCATAAAATTATAATTGCAGCTCCTGCACTTCCTATTATGTCCTCTGCTAATTGTTAAAATAGACGGCAAGCTTCACAAGGACAGAAATAGTCTTATTGCTTTTAATCCTCAGCACCATATCCAGCACATGGTAGGGATTCAGTAAATGTCTGTAAATGTTGAATGAAAGATAATATAGTTTTAAAATATAATTTTGATTCATTTTTAATTCAACCTTTGTCATGTCCTATTATACAAGCTATTCAGTATTTAAAAGCCTAACAAGCCTCTTAATAAGCATTTGTGAAAAGCCTGGTGTATTTAAATTACTGAATAGTAAACATCAGCCAAGACTTGCAGAACTTGATGAGGTTTGAAACAAAGGATCTTATTCCTCTAACTTGCATCAAGCTAAGTACCAGTTACCGTGTTTCTGAGGGCATTTCAAGAGAGTGAGGTGATGTTCAGTTTAGAGGGATGAACTGCCAGCTTTCCCGCAGGGCTGGATTTCTGTTAGTGTCAGAACTGCTGACACACCTGCTCGGGGTGGACTCAGGGCAAAACCTGATCAAGGGCAAGCCTGGGTAAGTAAAGAGTGCAAGTTAGCATCTGACCACTTTTTCCTTAGACATTAAAAAAAAAGTTTTCTTCAATAAATATGAAAAATCTTTGATCAATGTTCACATGTTTTCTTGGAAATGCACATCTAAAAGTGGAACTATCTGCTCTTCTCTAGAAACTTCTAGGGGCAAGAGAACAGAATAGCCATAATAGAGATCAGAGTATAAATTAGAGGGCTGACAGCATCATTACAAAATGAGGATTGGTATCTAAAATGCTAGAGCCGGTGGCTAGAGGAGTCTCTGGCCTCCTGTCAGACAGAGAGAAACATGCTTCTTCCCAAAGTTTCTCCCCCTGTGCAATAACCTTAATAATATCAACCAGTTCTAAACAACATATTCTGTGTTGGGTCTGTTAGATACTTTATCAACATTATCTCATAATTGTTCAAAATACTTATTACCCGCACTCTGAAGATGAGAATACTGAGGCTCAGAAAGGTTAATCAGCTTGCCTAAAATCTCCCAGCTAGTATGAGATAGGGTCAGTATTCAAACTCAAGTATCTATGACCCCAAGCCCATGTTACGCCTCTAATACTAGGCTGAAGCTGAAGCTAGGGTTTAGAGAAAGCACCCAGGCCTGGAAAAGGGAGTAGGCTGGCATCATAGCAGTGCTAAGGCCCCAGTAAAGAACTGGAGGCCACCCAGGGCATAAGTCCAGTCTCAGAGCCTGGACGCACACCAGAGCATGAGTGACAAGACTAACTCAGTGGGCACGAATGATAAAGGCTTCACTCCATGGTTAGAGCTACAGTCTAATCCTTGGCAGACAGAGAGGTGAACTGACTGACAGACATGTGGAGATACTGACACAGATGGAGAGGGACAGTGCAGGGCTGGGACTGTCAGGAGGGACCTTCACCACTCTCCTCTCCCCTAACATCCAAAGTCCGTCTTCACATCCTCCTCAGCCATTTTTCTCCTCCAGCTCCACCATTCTCTCCAAGCACACCTTAGTGGCTCTACAAGGGAGCATCCTGGGTTTGAATTTTACCACCTCCTGCCTCCCAAGAAGGCCACTGAGCCCTAAGCTTGAGTTTT
The DNA here is from genome assembly GCF_000001405.40 of Homo sapiens. Taxonomy (NCBI): domain Eukaryota; kingdom Metazoa; phylum Chordata; class Mammalia; order Primates; family Hominidae; genus Homo; species Homo sapiens. The sequence continues at coordinate 178,676,610 of NC_000003.12, forward strand.
TTTATTGTCACCCAGGTAACGATAATCCATAAAGAGGCAGAAAATAAGCCACTTGGAGGTAAAGTAACCTCTCACAGCAAATGTCCTTACAGTAGTCTTTATAGCCTGGCACACGGACTTTAGGTAGCAGAGTCAATATACTTGCATGCTACACAACTTTCTCATGTTTTGCCTGACACTCACTTATTCCTGACCTTTCCATACTAGGGAGAGACAAACCCTTCCATTTGTTTAGCATTTTAACGTTACGAAACGCTTTCTGCTGCATTACCTCACTGAGCCCTCACTAGAGTGTGGAAGGCCTAATCCCCGTGTCAGATGAGGAAATGGAGCCTGGGAGAAGGTGAACAGACCACCCTAGGCCATAGGAGTGGCCAACCTCAAACAGCAGTCAGAGCCCAGAGCCAGTGGTCCCTATTCTGGGCCCTGCTCGCCTCACCACAGCGAAAGAGAGAATGACTCCACCTGCAATTGAAGCAAAGTCTTCTTCAGCCCAACTTTCATTTCCTCATGGTGTAAACTTTGCCTCAGTTAATATAAGTAAAACCAGCTAAAACAAAAGCACTTGCCACAACTCTGGGAGTGGAACATCAAACTCCCCACGCTGACCTCAGTTGACAGAGGGCTTCCTGACTCAGAGATTTCCTCCTAACCTCTACATATTTATATCTCTTTTCCTAACGAAAACACCAGACACCATAAGGAGGGTATGTACATGGAGGACAATTTTAGACTGTGAACAACCAAAGAAATGATGAATATGGGTCATGTAAAGGACAAGAGACAAGAAGACATGAGGAGGGACTCACACAGATAAGCCTGGGCACGTGGGAAGTCCCCACCTGACGCAGACAGCTCTCTTCATCGTCAGCCCTCTGTGCTGGCCCAGATGAAGCTCAGTATCCAGCCACCTTCCCCTGCTGCCCTCAGCTCATTTGTTTTGTCTTCCCACCAGGAACATGTGTTTCACTTCCCAGCCTCCTCCTAAAACCCCTGGCCTGTCGTCTGTGCACCATGTAAAGAGAACCAGATGTCAACTCAAAAATCACGAGGTTTTCACAAATTCAGAGAGCAAGCTTTATTTCTTAATGAGGATTACACCCTGAGAGGTGATCATTTTGATAGGCTGGGAAGCATAGCCTCTAACAGAGAAAGCAAGCAAGCCCTTCAAGGGGGAGAAGGATGGGACAGGAATTTATACTGAACAGGTTGGTCAAGTATGCATATTCAACAGGTTATTGGAGGAGCTATGAATATTCAGGAAGGGGGTCCTAATGCACACATACTAAATGATCATGTATGTTACATATGACCCATGCTCACTTTGGGGTAGAGACTTCGCATTTAAATGCATTATAATTAGCCTGTATAGGTCAAAAGATAAAAGAAGGACACGAAGGCTCCCAGTTCACAACCTCTATAAACGGGCCAGAACTAGTTCATCACCAGTGGTCTCTAATTAGGAGAAGGTTGCTGAAATCAGTCTCTTGTCCAATCAAAATGGGAGTTATGGCTTATGGAACAGGAGGGTGAGCTAGTCAGTGTCAGGGGTCAGTGAGCTGCAATTGTTTTAACATTTTTTATCTTGAGACCAGTGCTTCCTTAGCTGTTAGAGGAAAAAACAAAAATGGAAACTGTGGCAGTTAGAACATAGTTTATTCTTTAAGTGAGGGGGAAGGGGGTGGTGCATGAATTAACCCTTGCCTGACATGGCCTCAGATCCCATTTATAATTTGGAATCTTATTGCCACAAAGAGCCCATTCCCTCTTGCCTGTGGGCCTAAGGGACTTTATTTTTATTTTACACAGGTATATAAGAAATTAGCCAAAGAGACATAAAAATAAGAGGAAGATAGAAGACAGGAAAACTGGCAGTAAAATTCAAGCATAGCAGAACTTGATTTGTTTATCTTCAGCCTTATGTGAATGGCTGATCAAACTGGAGTTGCCTTGGAACACATTTTTGTAGACTGATAACCTCATTTCCGACATAGTCCAGTACCCAGAACACTGAGAACCACCAGCACATGAAAACTCAGATGACTTCACCTATTGGGGATGCTGCTGTATCCAAAAGAGAAAGAACAGAAAGATATGGAAACATTTTCTGTATTCAATGGGCAAAGCATGCCAGTGAGTGGTGAAGGGGAGACCAACATGTCCTAGAATAACGTGGGGAGCATGTAGTATTCTGTGGGCTGCAGGCTTCCCCCAGTCACTAGCATGGTTATGGCTTTCTCATCACATTACCGGGCTCAATGTAAAAGAGATCCATAGACCTTTCCTGATCTTCTTTCTAAAATAAATCCTTCTGTTATTCTCTTTCACAGCACTCTATTCGTACCCTTCTTAACATTTAATTATTGCTATAATTGGTTTGTTGTTGTTGTTGTCATTGTTGTTCATTTATCAGTTTTTTTTTGTTTGTTTGTTTTTTGTTTTGTTTTTGTTTTTTTTATTATACTTTAAGTTTTAGGGTACATGTGCACATTGTGCAGGTTAGTTACATATGTATATTTATCAGTTTTTTTATTTGTTGACTGGGTCTCCCAAAAGATATACACTACATTAACATTAATCACTAATGTGATATTAACTAAGGGCTCAATTCTCAATTTCTCCTTTATTTTTTCTTTTTAGAGATAGGCTCTTGGTCTGTCACCCAGGCTGGAGTACAGTGGTGCACTCATGGTTCACTGCAGCCTGGAACTCCTGGGCTCAAGTGATCATCCTGCCTCAGCCTTCTGAGTAGCTGGGACTACAGGTGCATGCCACCATACCCAGCCTATGGGCTCTATTTGTATCAGTGGAATGAATGAATGCGTATTAAAATCTTTAGCACAAAGCCTGATTTTTAGTAGGTATTTCATACATCCAAGTTTTCCTCTCAGAGCTTTCCAACTGTCTGTTGGGGCTTGCACATGTACATACATGATTCTACACAAAGCTCAGAGTGACATGCTGATTTAGATCTGCAAAAGAAGAGCTGGTAGTGAAGATTAGGTTCAAGGAAGGTCTTAGGTATGGCAGTAGGGGCCACATGCACATTTCAAGGATCTTTGGAAACAAAGAGAAGTTACACCCAAGTTCATGTCCACTTGCCCTGTCCCCTTTGACCTCTGGTGGTGTTGGTTAAAATAAAGATGCCCAAAGGCCTGGAAAGAATTAACAGAGACATTAAATTTAAAAACTCCCTAGTGCAATAAAGCCTCACCATTCCAGAGTGCCTATCATTTGATTTTTGTATATATTTCCCTTATTTTTTCCAACAAGGATTTGAAAGAGGGTGAGTGAAAATGCCCCCATTCACAAAGTGCTCTGTCCTCAGAAATGTCTCCTAAAGATACATTTCAGAGCTTTTCCCCCAAGCAGTTGGAGGACAGCATAGAGTCTGACCTTGGCAGGTGACAGTGGGGAAGAATCGGCCCCAGACTCCAGGGTTGTTAGTGGACAACTTTCTGGAGACCCCAAGGAGCTCTGGAGCACCCCTCTGCGCATAAATTAGCAGCTGATTGTTTCTGCTCCCCACTTTCTTTTCTTCTTGAATGAGACTGCACACGTCTTCCCTAATCCCAGTAAAGTTACTGCAAAGCCTGTGGGAGAGAGATAAGGTGAGGAAGAGCTGGGGAATGCAGAAGGACTGTGCCTTTTCCTTTAATCTGACTCTACCAGCACCTGCCTAGGGAGGCCCAGAGGTCTCTTCAGGGCCTGTCCGGCTAGAAGCACACTTTTTCCATGTGCTCCAGCTACACTTACAGCTTCTACAACACCTACCTGTGCTATCTGGAGGCTGGTTGTCACTCACCTGGGCTATTCTTTATCCAAACCTTTTTTTTCTTTATTTCCAAAGATTTTTGTTTCATTATTTTGGGAAATGAAAATGCAGGAAAATCAAGACACAGCTAAAACTCTTTATATTACATTTTACTGAAAAAAGAAATATTATAACCCAACTCCAATGTGAGGAATTTCTCATTTTCCTTCTTGGCTTTTGAAGCTACTGAGGTCATGTCTCTGATATCCTCCATCAGAGCTCTCTGCTGGCAACTGTACAGATCTAGTCTAGGTGTACACAAGGGACACCACGCTCTCCTGGTTTTGCTCACTCCTCATTCAACAACCTTGCTCAGTGTGACTCATTTTCTAAATTTTGTCTTCCTATCTTCTCTCAGCAAAATGTATCCCAGTAAAGAAATTTTAGACTTGGAGTCTAAAGACTAGTAGAATATGACTCTTAGGAACGGGGCCCCCAGATTCCCTAAACAGATGCCCCTGAAGATAAGTGCCTGAAGGACTGTCATTGAAAGCTTTTCAGGCTACCTCTGTGTCCCTGCAGGATAGGATTGGGGCCAATCAGTAGAAGCTCCAGGAGGCAGATTGTGACTTTTCTCACAGTCAGAGCTCTGAGTTGCCTCACAAGACAACTCCTGTCACCAAGAGCTTGCTAGAGCAGTGATTCCTTAGCTTAGCTGCCTATTAAAATCACTGAAAAATTTTAACAGATATACAGATACTCCAGACTCAGAGAATCAGACTCTGGGAGTCAGAGGCCAGAACACAGAACCTGTGTCAGAGAGCATAGATTTCAGATCATCATCTCACACTTACTAATTAGAGTCACTGAAACCTGGAGCTGCAGTTTTCTTGTTAGCCAAATAGTATAACAATACCAACTTTACAGGATTGTTGTAAGCAGTGAGAATTAGTTATGTGCTCAATAATTTGTAATAGCTAATTCACATTCAGGTGCTTTTGGGAATGAGTTAGAAGCCTGACAACATCTGTGGATTTATTAATGGCCCCCCAAAAAACAATGGGCCTATATCTGCCTAGGTTAATAACATCTAATAAATGAGTTTTCAAGTCAGGTATGGCACTTCATAATTCACAAGGCATATTAATACACATTGTTTCATTTAGACTTTGGTTCTTACAACAACCATGAAAGGTGGGCAAGATAATGTTATGTCAAGTTTACAGATAAGAAAACTGAACATTAGAAGGGTTAAGTAATTTGTCCAAGGTCCTACTGCTAGTTATCCAAAGGTCCTTAGACAAATACGTAGCCGGATACTGTCATATCGACTACCTGAAGCTTTGTTGCCACTCAATGGATTCAGAGGCATACTTCTTGTCTTCTCAAGTAGACAAAGAACTAGAAAATGTATTTTGTGTTTCTTTTTTCCCCCTACCATCCTGCCTGGCACTATCTTGCATACAGTGGGAGTCCACTAAATGTACATTATTATAGTGGACTTATGGAATGGTCTGCGGGGAGAGCAGTGCTATTTCATCAGCATAACCCTCAACTTGAGACTTAAAACTTTTCTCACCACTCTCAGTATCCCCAAGGCTTTTGGTCCTAAGGTTTGTTTAAATATCTTCTTTCTTAACTGTTTGCACTCATTTTTTCTCAAAGCCTGCTAATTTTTGTGTTACAGTTTTCTAAATGTTCCCCATCCCCATAGGTAAGTCCCCAGTACCCCTGCCATTCTTCTCCACTTCCCTGGTCAAGTGGAAGGACATGGAGTATACATGAGTTTGAACCTGCAATCTTATTTCAGTAGGTTAAGTAATTTGGGAAATGTTACTTACTATTGCTAAATGTCAGTTTTTCATCTGTGAAATACAAGGAATACTTACATACCAAGGTTGTTGTGGAGATAAAGAGAGATAGTGGACCAGTGTGCCAGGCACATAGTCACTACACAATAATTGCTGTTGGTCATCTCTTCCCTCCAACTGCTGTCTTCTCCTTGCAAATTTTTCTAAGCTGCCACAATCACAAGAACATAATCCTCAAGTATAATGTTGATTTTGTCACCTATTTACTCAAATCTTCTATTCAGCATCTCCTAAGCAATATTCCTTTCAAGTTCTAAGTCAACACTGTCCAATAGAAATTTGATGCATGCCACAAATGTGACTTGTATATGTAATTTTAAAATCACCTAATATCTACATTAAAGCAAAGTGAAAATAAATGGCTAATTAATTTTGATGATTTAATTCAATATATCTAAAATATTATAATTTTCTATAAGAAACTTAAACAATTGAACAAGCAAAAAAAACCCTATTAAAAATGGGCAAAAGATAAGAACAGACACTTCTTAAAAGAAAGCATACAAGTAGCCAACAAACATATGAAAAAATGTTCCACATCACTAATCATCAGGGAAATGCAAATCAAAACCACAATGAGATACCATCTCACATCAGTCAAAATGGCTATTACTAAAAAGTCAAAAAAGAAAAAAAAACAGATGTTGGCAAGGCTATGGAGAAAAGGAAATGCCTATACACTGTTGGTGGGAATGTAAATTTGTTCAGCCACTGTAGAAAGTGATCTCATTATCAACACAGTGATCTCATTATCAGGTATGTATTCAAAAGAAAATAAATCTACCAAAAAGACACATCCACTTGCGCATTCATTGCAACACTATTCACCATGGCAAAGACATGGAATCAACCATGGTACCCATCAACAGTAGATGGTACATATACACCATGGAATACTACGCAACCATAAAAAAGAATGAAATCGTGTTCTTTGCAGCAACATGAATGCAGCTAGAGACCATTATCCTTAGAAAATTAATGCAGAAACAGAAAACCAAATACCGCATGTTCTCAGTTGTAAGTGGAAACTAAACATTAGATACTTGAGGACATAAAAATGGCAGCAATAAAGACTGGGGACTACTAGATGGCACAGAGAGGGGAGGGAGACAAGTCTCAAAAAAACTAACTGTTGGGCACTATGCTCAGTACCTATGTGACAGGATCATTCATATTCCAAACCTCAGCATCATGCAATATATCCAGATAACTAATCTGCACATGTACCCACTGAATCTAGGATAAAAGTTGAATAAATACATGAAAATTATCATTTTAACATGTAATCACATAGAAATTACTAATTAGATATTTTACATTCTTTTTATGCTAAGTCTTCACATTCAGATGTGTGTTTTATACTTATAGCACATCTCAGTTCACACTAGCTACATCTCAAGTGCTCAGTGGCCATATGTACCTAGTCGTTATTGCATCAGACAATGCAGCCCAACCCTCAGTTTAACCTTCACTCATCAACTGCTCCTGTTTGCTAATGGTTCTGATTTTCCAGGCTTGTCAAATGCTTATCAAAACACTCATCTGCCTGGTTATTATCAAAAAGTCAAAAGGTAAATATTGGCAAAGGTGTGGAGAAAAGGGAATGCTTGTATCTTGTTGGTAGGAATGTAGATAGGTGCAGCCATTATGAAGAACAGTATGGAGGTTTCTAAAGAAACAAAAAATAGAACTACCCCATGATCCAACAACCCCTCTTCTGGTCAAATACTCAGAGTAAATGAGAAGTGGAGATACTCACTGCTATACTTACAGTGAAAGCCCAGAGGAAAGGATCACCACTTTGTATCTGCACTCACATATTCACTGCAGCATTATTCACAGTAGCCAGGATATGGACACAACCTGAGTGTCCATCACCAGATGAATGGATAAAGAAACTGTTCTATATATATACAATGAAAACTTATTTATTCCTAAAAAATGAGATATTGCCATTTGCCACCACATGGATAAGTCTGGAGGACGTTATGCTAAGTGAAATAAGCCAAACACAGAAAAAAATTGCATAATCTCAGTTATATGTGGAATCTTTAAAATCTCAAATATAGAGAGATAGAGAACAAAACAGTGGTTGCCAGGGTGGGGGGTGGGAGAGGAAATGGGGAGATGTAGATTGGAGTATACAAAATAGCACATATGCAGGATGAACAAGTCTAGAGATCTAATGTAAAACATGAGCACTATAGGTAATATAGGTATGGGATTTGTGCCAAATAAGTAGATTTTAGCTGCATTTGCCACAAAAACAAAAACAAAAAAAATGGGTAATTATTTGAGATAATGGGTATGTGGCCAGGCGTGGTGGCTCACACCTGTAATCCAAGCACTTTGGGAGTCCGAGGCGGGCAGATCACCTGAGGTCGGGAGTTCGTGACCAGCCTGACCAACATGGAGAAACCCCGTCTCTACTAAAAATACAAAAAAAGTTAGCTGGGTGTGGTGGTGCATGCCTGTAATCCCAACTACTCGGGAGGCTGAGGAAGGAGAATGGCTTGAACCTGGGAGGTGGAGGTTGCGGTGAGCCGAGATCGCGCCATTGCACTCCAGCCTGTGCAACAAGAGCGAAACTCCGTCTCAAAAAATAAATAAATAGTGTGTTATTTTGCTTCATTATAGCAACCTTTTTACTATCTCCATATATTCCATAACATCATTTTGTATACCTTAAACATACACAGTAAAATTTATTTTAAAAGCACGCATCTGTGAAGTTTTCCCTTTCTTACCTAAAGAAATGCATACATCTTTTATCTGTTTGGAAAGCCCTCCCTCCTTCCTCTTCTACTCTGCTACTTCAGAACCTTGAGTGTTGGACAGCTCCTCTGGGGACCATGCCTACCCAACTCCACCTGGGTGAGAGGCCACAAACTGAGAAGAGAGATCTATTGATTACAAGGTAAAAACTGATCTGGTGACAAGCAAGGGCTCTGAAGTGAGGCAGGCCTGGCTTTATGTTCATGCCTAGGCTCTGCCATTAGGTTTCCTTGATAAATAGGGGTGAAGGTGGGGCTGGGACCAGTAGCTATCAGTATTTTAAAAGCTCCTGGAATAGGCCATAACCATCAATAATAATAATCTAGTTTAGTCCAAGGAATCCACACTTGAGAATGCCTTTTGATAGCATCTTTGCTTTTTGATAAGATCTTTCATAGATACCTTGAGGTTTCTGTTGTCTTATAACATTAAGGCATGTGGTTACAACTACATGTTGGCCTGTGGGTGTTAGTGCCATCCAAAGGCAGCCAGAGACCAAGGTGGCTATTGCTTATTCTTGCCAAATCCATCAGCCACATCAACAGTGGTTCTGTTTTTATATTTAGGAATTGATACTTAATACTTTAGTCACCTTGTTTTTATATAACATCATCCTATTGCCTTGAAGGGCTATGCACGTGGGAAGCTTTTTGTTAGGAAATTATTAAGTCCAAACCTGAGCAGTTGTTATTTCCTCACCACGAAGTTAATCAATAACGTTCCCACAGCCTAGCAGTGCTTTCTTTTTAAACAGTATCATTCTGAAGGAATAAGCATTGATAGATAGAAACCAGAAGAAAACCCAATAAAATATTTAATAGTTCAGTTAATACCTTCTAAGTAAGTTATTTTTTGCTTTTTAAAAATAGAGGTAAGAGGCACTCAAGTTGCAAATTCTGGTTAGTCAAAGTAAAAAGTCCTCCAGGCTTCAGGAAAAAGCACTGACTACCACAAATCATGGTCTTAATAACATCATTATGAAATACTTTTTAGAAACTCTAGTATTCTTTCATAACTGATTTTATTGTGTGTGTGTGAGAGAGAGAGAGAGAGAGATAATAAACCTTGATGGTCCCATACTTTTGCAAATAGTAAACTCACTTTTTAGTATAGATAGGATGAGAAATATGTTTTTCTCACCCATTCTACATTGATGGCTGAGGCCTCTATAGGCTGAGCCCCTATAACAAAAGACAGATTAACAAGAGAAAAGCATACACATTTATTTAATAAAGTTCTACGTGGCATGGGAGACTTCATAAAGAAATAAAGACCCAAAGAAATGGATAAACCTGTGCATTTTCCATACTAGGTTTGGTGATAAAGTTGGTAGTCATGAAGAAATATGATTTAATTTTCTTTAAAAGTGATCTATTGGTAATAAACTGGAAGGAATTTAGTAAGACCTGTTTATTCCAATTCCTCTCTGTGCCCTGTGTCTTTAGAGGTAAAGACGTTCTTTTCTTCTGAGTATGGGAAGGGCACCTCTCAAATGAGGGCCTTATAACCTGCTTCGGGCCAGAAAAATTCTTCCTAAGTTTTATTACCTGCTTCAAGGGAGGAGGGAAGGTGAGAGTGACCTTCCTGCTTTTGCTGTTCTCTCAAATTCCAAGGTGTCCTATTTGGGGATACCATGTCCTAAATCCCATCAAGTAACACCTCTTTGTGTATGTATGCACCTAAGTCCATGTCTGTATATGGTGTACAACTTTTAGTTACTTCATTTACAATTTAAAAAACTTTCGCGACACCCAAATAATCAAAGAGGAAAATGTAGTTACCACAGAGACTCCCTGATGAATCAGAGAGTGGTATCTGGACAAACTGTCTCTACTTAATTCAGGAAACCTTACATTTAAAAAAAGAACAAATCATGTTCCAACCAACTGTAGATTATGAATTTCTACTGGCAAGAAGTGCAGACAGCTTTTATTTATCTTTTTAACCATGAAAGCAAATTAGCAAGTATCTCTATATTGAATCTATGAATAGGTTTAGATGGACTGGAAATTTCTCTTGAGCATGCTTGATTTAGAAAAACAAATACCATCCAAGGACAAAGTGGCCCAGTAGGGGTGGCTAAGGATAACAAAGCCATTTTGCATTTCCATCCGGGAATCCATATGAGGATGCTCTTAGAAATAGGAACTAAGAAAACTATATCTCTGGCTGCAGCCATGACATTTTCCAAAATAAAGGCAGTGCCATTTAAAAAAAAGCTGACCCTGATTTACTTTCACATGACTGGAATGAACTGCATGAACAATTCAAAAAGTCAGATCAGACTTTTTGGTTCCTATCCTGATAAAAGGAAGATTAATATTTATATCCAAGTTTCCTCATTGAGTCTCATCATATTTTTGTAATATGCTTCAGTGTACTTATGGGTCTGGAGTTTCTACCTTGCTGCCTGATGGGAATGAAGTAGCTTTTAAACAAAGACTTTTGCAAAGATAGCATGAGAAAAACATATCCAGTTGAATGCTGAACTGTGCTGCTTATGGGAATTAACATAATGCTCAGGAATCAAGTGAATAAAACAACTGGAGAATGATACGCAAACAGCACGGTAGGGCAGAGACAGAGTTTCAAAATTGTGGAGGTAACCAGGGCTTTGTAAAATAAAGTTTGAATGCAGAACCTCAATTTTTATTATTTATTTTTATGACTGCTGCTTTTGTTCATGAGCAGCCAAGAGAAAGTACTAGGAAAATACTCTAATTTTGACACTTTTAGTACTTTCATTATTTTTTTTCTTGGAAAATACCTTCAAAAATTTGAGTAAAGGAAAAGAAAGAAAAAAATTCAAAACTCTTTGGAAATAGAATATTTCTGCAAACTACTTATTTTTAAATAGGCTTTCTTCCAAAAGGTGAAACTACAAATGAATGTAACTGAAAGGAAAAATATCTTTGCCTGACAAAATTGAAACCTTCTTACCAGAAACTTTGGGTCCACTGTTACTAAGGTAACTCAATCAATGAAAGTTTGGGAAATATTCCTGAAATTATTAATGGAATACAGGAGGAGGAAAGAGGTTAGGTTTGGGGTGAGAAAAATTGAGAATCAAGGATTAAGTGGGCTGCTGACAACCCTCCCTTTTGCTTTTGCATTTCAAATAAGAATTTTCAGAACTTGCTGATTTGAAAAGATAAAGAAACTAATGAGATTCTGAGTGCTCAGGTGAAAAATATTTTATAGGATAATAATTGAGGTTTAATGTTATGGCAAATTTTGCTACTTCATCACTAGAAAAAATAAAGCTAGTGATAGCAGTTGTAGCCTGAATTTTAAAATCAAGTTTATGGTCATATTTTTCTGGCAACTTTATAAAATTTGTCATCAAATCTTATTGATTTAATGATATGATACCTCAGGTTCTAAATTAAATGGGGACACAATAAATAACTACCTTTTTAATTAAAAAACAAGTATAATGATGAATTTATAATGGGAAGAGACCAAGGAATAGAAATTGTGCAGCACATAACAAATAAATATGCCAACTTTAAGCTGAAGACTCCATAACAATGCTTTTTCACTTGTAATTTGTTCTATTATAGATGGAAGATACATATCCCAGAGGCCTGAAATGGTTTTGTCCAATCTGCAATTTCAGGAAAAATGAAAGGACAAGCAAACAAAAAGAAAACCCTAAAGATAGACTATCTAGTGTTTGCTTTTTTTTTAACCATTGAGTTTCTAGCTCAAATTTAAAGTTTTTGTGAACTTCGTATTTATTTATATTTGCATAGGCTTTAATTTTTGTGGAAGGGCCAAAAGAAAGTTATTGAACATGAGGCAAAGAAAGACAGACTTAACTAAAGGTGGTAAACGTTCTCATATTTCTATCAAATAATTTGAATATCTATATGTACCAGCTTTGTTATCAGTATTTATTTTTATTTGAACAGCAAGTGTTTCAGTAAGTATTTATACATAAAAAATACTCTTTGGGAATTAAAACTATAAGAAATAGAGAAAAGAGAAAAGAAACTAAACTTATCATCAGTTTTGGCTTAAGTCAAATCAGTCTTTAGAGAAAATTGCTGTGTATTACAAAATTTTAAACAAAGTTAGCATTCAGAAAATCTTGAGTCTAAAGAAAATATTGTTGTTTATTATAATGCAAATTTCTATTGTTATAGTGGATTTGTGTCATTCTCTCCTCAAAAAAATGTTAGTTAAAAAAATGTACATTGACTTGATAATGATGAGCATCTTTATAATCCTGGACTTTTAATACCATATTTTTTATCTCATTTTATGGAACTTTGTGTACTGTTAAAAAGGGTGTTACCAGCTAGAACCGCCTTGCATTTGTATAGCATCTTAGAAGTTATAAGCCGGGCACAGTGGTTCATGCCTGTAATCCCAGCACTTTGGGAGGCTGAGATGGGGGGATCACGAAGTCAGGAGATCGAGACCATCCTGGCTAACAAGGTGAAATCCCGTCTCTACTAAAAATACAAAAAAGTTAGCTGGGCGTGGTGGTGGGCGCCTGTAGACCCAGCTACTCAGGAGGCTGAGGCAAGAGAATGGCGTGAACCCAGGAGGAGGAGCTTGTAGTGAGCTGAAATTGCACCACTGCACTCCAGCCTGGGAGAGAGAGCGAGACTCTGTCTCAAAATAAAGAGAAGTTATGGAAGAAAGACATCCAGATGATCTGATTTAACACCCAAATACTCTGGAAAATACCTCTTTCTCCCTTCCTTTCTCTAGAAAAGAAAACATAGACCTTGCATGGATAGGACTTAAAGTGAGTGAGTAGTAAAATTGTAGCTTGAACTTGGGTCTTCTCACTCTAGTGACATGTTCATACACTACTCTGCAATATCTCCACTGAAACAATACAATATTACTGTGGAAACTTACCAAAGGAAAAGAGAATACATCACCTATGTTTTCTTCTCCAGACAAAGGAAAGGAGAGAGACCTTAAAGTGTAGTGTAATTGACATTTTATGCAAATTTAGATTGTGCAAATTTGAAATAGTGTGATATATTAAAATCACTGTATACACAAAATTTTATATAATAAAAATCTGTGTTTTTAGAAATCAGGAAATGTGTTATTTCTGAAGTAGAAAGCCAAGTGAATTATAAACTGTATTATGCCATCACCAAATGGCAAAATAACTTATCCTTTGCCAAAATCATGTGAATCTTATCATTGTATGTATCAGAACTTTGGCAGATAATTCTGGTGACTATTTGACTTTTAGTGTGATGCTTACTATTATGAATGTATGTAGCCTTTTAATATACTATAATAAAGTTTCTAATTATTCATCAAATCATAGTGCTAGGGCAAAAAAAAAAGCCTCCAAAAATAACAACTTTGGGACAAAGGTTAGATATGCTAAAACACTTTAAAGAGAACTAGATGACTGCCATGAAACAATGAACTGCTGATTTAGGAGAGAAGTGTGATAAATAATAAATAATTTTGCACCAAAATATATAAAAGCATCATTGAAGGAAGAGGAGAGGGATAAGAGGAAGAGGAGGAGAATGAGAAGGAAGAAGGAAGAGAAAGAGGGAGGGAGTGAGGGAAGAACTGAGACAATGGGGATGTAGATTTTTGTCCTCTGACATGCACTCTTCTTCTTTACACTTACTACTTTGGGAAAATTAGCCTTGGATTATTTAAATTATGTTTTATGCAAAGTCATTAATAACAAACCACTCACATAAAATAAGATTTCCCTTTCTAAATCAATGCAGTCAGATTCAGCACTATGGATAGTTCACTCATGGAAGATTGAATCATGACATGGTGTACTAAAGGTTGGAATGAAACTCAGAGTTCTTCTGCTTCAAACGTTTTGGCAGGGAATCTATGGAATCATCTTTAAAAGTGACTCAAGTGATCTAGCGATCTATAGGTCAATTAAGGCCTTTGAGTTTGCAAAGTATTTTTATGTTTATAATCTTTTATTTTTTTAAGATGGAGTCTCACTCTGCCTCCCAGGCTGGAGTGCAGTGGTGTAATCTCAACTCACTGCAACCTCCACATCCAGAGTTCAAGCAATTCTCGCACCTTAGTCTCCCGAGTAGCTGGGACTACAGGTGTACAGCATAATTCCCCATTAAGTCTTTTTTTTTTTTTTTTTTTTGATAGAGACGGGGTTTCACCATGTTTCCCAGGCTGGTCTTGAACTCCTGACCTCAAATGATCCACCTGCCTCAGCCTCTCAAAGTCCTGGGATTACAGGTGTGAGCCACACCTGGCTTTTTAATTTTTTTTAACTTTTGTTTTAAGTTCAGGAGTACATGTGCAGGTTTTTTTTTTTTTTAACATAGATAAACTTGTGTCATGGGCATTTCTTATTTCATCACTGAGTTATTAAGCTTAGTACCCATTAGTTATTTTTCCCAATTATCTGCTTCTTCCCACCCTCCAACCTCTAATAGGGTCCCAGTGTGTGTTTTTCCCATCTCTGTGCCCATATGTTCTCATTATTTAGCTCCCACTTAATAAGTGAAAACATGTGGTATTTGGTTTCCTGTTCCTGTGTTCATTTGCTAAGGATAAAGGCCTCCAGCTCCATCCATGTCCCTGAAAAGGATACAACCTCATTCTTTTTATGGCTGCATAGTATTCCATAGTGTGTATGTACCACATGTTATTTATCCAGTCTATCATTGGTGGGCATTTATGTTGATTCCATGTCTCTGCTATTGTGAATAGTGCTGCAATGAACATACGCATGCATGTGTCTTTATAATAGAACAATTTATACTCCTTTGGGGATATACCTAGTAATTGTTGGGTGGAATGGTATTTCTGTCTTTAGGTATTTGAGGAATTGCCACACTATCTTCCATAATTGTTGAACTAATTTACATTCCCACCAACAGTCTATAAATATTCCATTTTTTTTCACAACCTCACCAGCACCTGTTATTTTTTGACTTTTTAATAATAGCAATTCTGACTGGGGTGAGATGGTATCTCATTGTGGTTTTGATTTCATTTCTCTAATGGTCAATGATGTTGAGCTTTTCTTCATATTCTCATTGGCCACATGTATGTCTTCTTTTGAAAACTGTCTATGTCTGCCCAATTTTTAATGGGGTTGTTTTTTTCTTGTAAATTTGTTTAAGTTCCTTAGAGATGCTGGATATTAGACCTTTGTCAGATGCATAGTTTACAAAAATTTTTCTCCCATTCTGTAGGTTGTCTGTTTACTCTGATGATAGTTTCTTTTGCTGTACAGAAGCTCTTTAATTTAATTAGATCTCATTTGTCAATTTTTGCTTTTGTTGCAATTGCTTTTAGCATCTTCATCATGAAATCTTTGCCCATGCCTATGTTTTGAATGGTATTGCCTAGGCTGTCTTCAAGGAATTTTATAGTTTTGGGTTTTATATTTAAGTCATTAATCCATCTTGAGTTAATTTTTGCATATGGTATAAGGAAGGGGTCCAATTTCAATCTTCTGCATTTGGCTAGCCAGTTAACCCAGCACCATTTATTGAACAGGGAATCCTTTCCCCATTTCTTGTTTTTGTCAGGTTTGTCAAAGATAAGATAGTTGTAGGTGTGCAGCCTTATTTCTGGGCTCCCTATTCTGCTCCATTGGTCTATGTGGCTGTTTTTGTGTCAGTACCATGCTGTTTTGGTTACTTCAACTCTGTAGTATAGTTTGAAGTTGGGTAGTGTGATGCCTCTGGCTTTATACCTTTTGCTTAGGATTGTGTCAGCTGTTTGGGCTTTTGTTGTGTTTTGTTTTATATAAAGTTTAAAATAGATTTTTCTAGTTATATGAAGAATCTCAACAGTAGTTTAATAAGAATAGCATTGAATTTATAAATTGCTTTGGGCACTATGGCCATTTTAATGATATTGATTATTCATATCCACGAGCATGGAATGTTTTCCCATTTGTTTGTGTCATCTCTGATTTATTTGAGCCATGTTTTGCAGTTCTCCTAATAGAGATCTTTCACCTCCCTAGTTAGGTGTATTCCTAGACATTTTATTCTTTTTGTGGCAATTGTGAATGGGGCTACATTCCTGTTTTGGCTCTTGACTTGACTGTTGCTGGTGTATAGAAATGCTCATGATTATTGCACATTGATTTTGTATCCTGAGACTTTGCTGAACTTGTTTATCAGCTTAAGAAGCATTTAGGCTGAGACTATGGGGTTTTCTAGATATAGGATCATGTCATCTGCAAATTAGGATATTTTGACTTCCACTCTTCCTGTTTGGATGTCTTTTATTTCTTTCTTTTGCCTGATTGTCCTGGCCAGGATGTCCAATACTATTTTGAATAGGAGCAGTGAGAAAGGGTATCTTTGTTTTGTGCCAGTTGTCAAAGGGAATGCTTCCAGCTTTTGCCCATTCAGTATGATGTTGGCTGTGGATTTGTTTATATGACTCTTATAATTTTGAGGTATGTTCCTTCAATAACGAGTTTATTGGGACTTTTTAACATGAATGAAAGTTGAATTTTATTGAAAGCATTTTCTACATATATTGAGATAATTATGTGGTTTTTGTCTTTAGCTCTGTTAATGTGATGAATCACATTTATTTATTTGTATATGTTGAACCAACCTTGCATCCCAGAAATAATGCCTACTTGATCATGGTGAACAAGTTGTTGATATGCTGATGGATTCTGTTTGCCAGTATTTTGCTGAGGATTTTTACATTGATATTCATCAAGAATATTGGCCTGAAGCTTTTTTTTCTGTATCTCTGGGAGGATTTGGTATAAGGATGATGCTGGCCTCCTACAATGAGTTAGGGAGGAGCCCCTAGTCCTCAATATTTTGGAATAGTTTCAGTAGGAATTGTACCAGCTCTTCTTTGTACATCTGGTGAAATTCAGCTGTGAATCCATCTGGTCCTGGGCTTTTTTTCTTTTTCTTTTTTTTTTTTAGTTAGTAGACTATTTATTACTGCCTCAATTTCAGAGCTCATTATTGGTCTTTTCAGGGATTAAACGCATTCCTGTTTCAGTCTTGGGAGGGTGTGTATTAGTCTCTTCTCATGTTGCCAATAAAGACATACCCGACACTGGGTAATTTATAAAGGAAAGAAGTTTGACTCCCAGTTCAGCATAGCTGGGGAGGCCTCACGAAACTTATAAGCATGGCAGAAGCGGAAGCAAGCATATCCTCCTTCATGTGGCAGCAGGAAGAATGAGTGGACAGTGGACTGGAATCCACTTATAAAACCTCATGAGAACTAACTCACTATCACAAGAACAGAATGGGGGAAACCGCACCCCTGATTCAGTTATTTCCACCTAGTCCCTCCTATAACATGTGGGGATCATGGGAACCACAATTAAAGATGAGATTTGGGTGGAGACACAGTCAAACCATATTATTCCCCTCCTGTCCTCTCCCAATTCTCCTGTCCTTATAATTCAAAACACAAGTATGCCCTTCCAACAGTCCTCCAAAGTCTTAACTCATTCCAGCATTAACTCAAAAGTCCAAGTCCAAAGTCTCATCTGAGACCAGGCAAGTCCCTTCTGTATATGAGCCTGTAAAATCAAAAGCAAGTTAGTTACTTCCTAGATAAAATGGGGTACAGGCACTGGGTAAGTACACCCATTCCAAATAGGAGAAATTGGCCAAAACAAAGGGCCTACAGGCCCCATGCAATTCTGAAATCCAATAAGGTAATTTTTAACCTTAAAGTTCCAAAATGATCTCTTTTAACTCCATCTCTCAAATCCATGTAATGCTGATTCAAGAGGTGGGCTCCCAGGGTTTTGAACAGTTCTGCCCATGTGGCTTTGAAAGGTACAATTCCCCTCCCAGCTGCTTTCACAGGCTAGTGTTGAGTGTCTGTGGCTTTTCCAGGTGTACGGTGCAAGCTGTCAGTAGATCTACCATTCTGGGGTCTGGAGGATGGTGGGCTTATTCTCACAGCTCCACCAGGCAGTGCCCCAGTGGGAACTCTGTGTGGTGGCTCCAACCCCAGATTTCCCTTCTGCACTGACCTGGCAGAGGTTCTCCATGAGGGCTCCACCCCTGCAGCAGGTTTCTGCCTGGGCATCCAGGCATTTCTATACGTCCTCTGAAATCTAGGCAGAGGTTCCCAAACCTCAATTCTTGTATGCTACACACTGCAGGACAAACACCACATGGAAGTTGCCAGGGCTTGGGGTTTGCACCCTCTGAAGCTACAGCCCTAGCTGTACCTTGGCCCCTTTTAGCCATGGCTGGAGCAGCTGGGATACAGGGAACCAAGTCCCCATGGCACAGAGCAGGGGGGCCCTGGACTCAGCTCAGGAAACCTTTTTTCCCTCCTTGGCCTCCAGGCCTGTGATGGAAGGGTCTGCCATTAAGGTCTCTGACATATCCTGGAGACATTTTCCCCATTGTCTTGGTGATTAGTGTCTGGCTCCTCGCTACTTATGCAAATTTCTGCATTAGGCTTGACTTTCTCCCCCACGAAGTGGGTTTTCTTTTCTACTGCCTCATCAGGCTGCAAATTTTCCAAACTTTTATGCTCTATCAACTCTTGAATGTCTTGCTGCTTGTAAATTTCTTCCTCCAGTTACCCTAAATCATCTCTCATAAATTCAATGTTCCACAGATCTCTAGGTCAGGGGTAAAAAATCCACCAGTCTCTTTGCTAAAGCATACCAAGATTCACCTTTATTCCAGTTCCCAACAAGTTCCTCATCTCCATCCGAGACCACCTCAGCCTGGATTTCATTGTCTATATTGTTGTCAGCATTTTGGTCAAAGCCATTCAATAAGTCTCTAGGAAGGTCCAAACTTTCCCACATCTTCCTGTCTTCTGAGCCCTCCAAGTCTCTAGGGAGTTCCAAACTTTCCCACATTTCCCTATCTTCTTCTGAGCCTTCCAAATGGTTCCAACCTCTGCCTGTTACCCAGTTCCAAAGTTGCTTCCACATTTTTTGGTATCATTATAGCAGCACCCCATTCTCCCAGCACCAATTTACTGTATTAGTCCATGCTCACACTGCTAACAAAGACTCACCTGAGACTGGGTCATTTATAAGATAAGAGGTTTAATTGACTCACAGTTCAGCTTGGCTGGGAGGCCTCAGGAAACTTACAATTGTGGTGGAAGGGGAAGTAAACATGTCCTTCTTCATATGGCAGCAGGAAGGAGAAGAATGAGTCCCCAGTGAAAGGGAAAGCCTCTTATAAAACCATAAAAGCTCATGAGAACTAACTTACTATCATGAGAACAGGATGGGGGAAACCATCCTTATGATTTAATTATCTCCACCTGGCCCCTCCCATGACCTGTGGGGATCATGGGAACTACAATTCAAGATGAGATTTGAGTGGGGACACAGCCAAACCATATCAGGTGAATGTGTACAGGAATTTACCCATTTCTTCCAGATTTTCTAGATTGTGTGCATAGAGGTGTTCATAATATTCTCTGATGGTTGTTTGTATTTCTGTGAGGTGACTGGTAATATCCGCCTTGTCATTTCTGATTGTGTTTATTTGAATCTTTTCTCTTTTGTTCTTTATTATTCTAGCTAGAAGTCTGTCTATTTTATCAAATTTTTTTCAAAATATCAGCTCCTGGATTCTTTGATACTTTGAATGTATTTTCATTTCTCAATCTTATTCAGTTCAGTTCTGATTTTTGTTATTTCTTATTTTCTGCTACCTTTTGGATTTCTTTGCACTTGATTCTCTAGCTCTTTCAGTTGTGATATTAGGTTGTTAACTTGAGATCTTTCTAACTTTTTGATGTGTGCATTTTCTTCTATAAATTTCCCTTTTAACATCACCTTAGCTGTGTCCTGTAGATTCTGATATGTGGTATCTTTGTTCTCAAAAGTAAATAATGATATTATTTACCAAAAAGTAAATTACTTTTACCAAATAGTAAACAATGAAATTCAGAAGGAAGTCATTCAATTTACTTGTAATTGCATGGTTTTGAGTGAATTTCTTAGTCTTGATTTGAATTTGATTGTGCTGTGGTCCAAGAGATTGTTAGTTATCATTTCAATTATTCTACATTTGCTGAGGAGTATTTCACTTCTGAATGTGACCAATTTTAGAGTATGTGCCATGTGGTAATAAGAAGAATGTATATTCTGTTGTTTTGGGGTGAAGAGTTCTGTAGATATCTATCAGGTCCATTTGATCCAGGGCTGAGTTCAGGTCCTGAATACCTTTGTTGATTTTCTGTCTCAGTGATCTGTCTAATATTTTCAATGGGATGTTAAAGTATCCCATTATTATTGTGTGGAAGTCTAAGTCTCTTTGAAGGTCTCTAAGAATTTGCCTTATGAATCTGAGTGCTCCTGTGTTGGGTACATATATATTTAGGATAGTTAGATCTTCTTGTTGAATTGAACCCTTTACCATTATGTAATGCCCTTTTTGGTCTTTTTTGATCTTTGTTGGTCTAAAGCCTATTTTGTTAGAAACTAGAATTGCAACCCCTGCTTTTTCCTGTTTTCCATTTGCTTGGTATATTTTTTCTCCACACATTTCTTTTAAACCTATGTGTGTCATTGCATGTGAGATGGATTTCTTGAAGACAGCAGCCCAATGGGTCTTAGTTCTTTATCCAGCTTACCTCTCTATGCCTTTTATTTGGAGTATTTAGCCCATTTACACTTAAGGTTATTATTGACATCTGTGGATTTGATCCTGTCATCATGTTAGCTGGTTATTTTGCAGACTTGTTTATGTGGTTGCTTTACAGTGTCACTGGTATGTGTCCTTCAGTGTGTTTTCGTAGTGGCTGGTAATGGTCTTTCCTTTCCATGTTTAGTGCTTCCTTCAGAAGCTCTTATAAGGCAGGTCTTGTGGTAACAAATTCCGTCAGCATTTGCTTGTCAGAAAAGAATCTTATTTCTCCTTCTCTTATGAAGCTTAGTTTAGCTGGATATGAAATTCTGGGTTAAAAGTTTTTTTTTTAAGAATGTTGAATATTGGTCCCCAATCTCTTCTATCTTACAGGGTTTCAGCTAAGAGGTCTGCTGTTAGTCTGATGGGCTTCCCTTCGTAGGTGACCAGAACTTTCTCTCTAGCTGCCTTTAACATCTTTTCTTTCATTTAGATGTTGGAGAATCATGATTATGTGTGTTGGGGATGATCTTGTGAAGTAGCTTACTGGGGTTCTCTGTGTTTCCTGAATTTGAATGTTGGCTTGTCTAGCTAGTTTGGGGAAGTTCTCATGGAAAACATCCTGAAATAAGTCTTCCAAGTTGGTTCCATTCTCCCCATCTCTTTCAGGGACACCAATAAGTCATAGATTCATAACACCAAGAGTCACAGATTCATATCTTTACATAATCCCATATTTTTTGGAGGTTTTCTTCATTCTTTTTCATTCTCTTTTCTCTATTCTTGTCTGCCTGTCTTATTTCAGAAAGCCAATCTTCACGCTATGAGAGTGTTTCCTCCACTTGGTCTATTCTGCTATGAATACTTGTGATTGCATTATTAAATTCTTGTGTTTTTTAGCCCTATCTGGTCAGTTACATTCTTATTTTTACTGGTTATTTGTCTGCCAACTCCTGCATTGTTTTACCATAATTTTTAGCTTCATTGCATTGGGTTTCAACATACTCCTGTAGCTCAGTGAATTTCTTTCCTATCTATATACCGAATTCTATTTTCTGTCATTTCAGCCATCTTAGCTCAGTTCAGAACCCTTGCCAAAGCAGTGATGCAGTTGTTTGGATGAAAGAAAGCACTCTGCATTTTTTAGTTTTCAGACTTCTTGTGCTGATTTGTTCTCATCTTTGTGGGTTTATCTACCTTCAATCTTTGAGGTTGCTGATTTTTGGATTTTTTTCTTTTATTCTATTGGACAACCTTGGAGATTTAATTGTGGTATAAGGTGGATTCAGCTGACTGACTTTGTCTCTGGGAGATTTTAGGGGGCCAACCCTCAGCTCCCAACTGCTAGACTGCATGCTCCAACTCTGGGGGACTCATATTCGGCCCCAACTTTATTATCTGGCTCTTCAAGGTTTGGAGTCCACTGTGCTGGGAGGGCCAAGGTGCAGCAGCTGCAGCAGAGTGCTAGCAGACGCAGGGCTGCCTGCCATCCTGTGGGCATCCACCACAGTGGTGGGGGCAATGCAACCAGGGGGTACAGAGGGCCCCTGCTGGAGCCTATGTGTGCTGTTGCACTAGAAGTGGTGTTGGCTTGGGGCAGGATGCTGACTAGCTCAGGCCTGGGTGCCTTCTCCATGCCCTGCAAGCAGGATCACTCAGGGCATAGAAGGATCCATTGTTGTCTGCACAGTGTTAGTGCAAAAGCAGGGCTCTGGTGAGGGTGGGGCTTGCTGGCTCTGTGCCAGCCAAGGCTCCCTGCAATGGTGGTTAGTGAGTGAAGGGGAGTGGACTGCACTCTTGCATCCTGATGGGCAAAGTAATGCAAAACCCACCTGTGAAGACACACACCAGCAAAGTGATATGAGGAATTGATGTGGGCTTGGGGAAAGCTGCAGTATGGGGAGGGGGCATACAGGCTGGTGTGAGGCCATAGGGGCTGGCTCACTGGAGCTCTGTGCCAGTCAGGTAAGGTCTGCCAGTACAGAAGCTATGGTGTGGGCCCCCCGGGCACCCAAAACTGCTCTGTAAGCTGGCATGACCAGGCTGGGGCCCTGGGAGAGGCCAGGAGACCAAGGGGTGCTCAGGTCAGTCCAACCCCGTCTGATGTCCAAGACCACCCTGCGGAGATCAGAACTGACAATTCCCCTAGGGCTAAAGTCTCCTATGAGAGCAATTTGAGCTTAGGGGGATGGCTGTCCCTGACCGTGCTCCACTACAGACACTCCTGCACCAAACCCTCTGGGCTTCACATCAGCTGGCTTGCCATCCCACCACTTCTCTAGGCAGCTCTTGCTGCTACCTCAAGTGTCATGTGGTGGTCGAGGGTTCCCCTCCTGCCGGGGTTCTAGAGGCCTGTGGCAAGAAAGAGTTTCTCCTTGCCAATTGAACTCACCAGTTCCCCTGGAGCTGTTGTGGTTCAAAAATGAGTCCCAGTGTGCAATGGCCCATGCAAGGTCGGTGCCTTTCCTCTGAAGATCTGAAAGTTCTGGCCTTTTTCCAGCAGCTCTAGGCATCTATCCAAGCCAGTATTACCAAGATGACTGAGAGTTCTTGACTCAAGCCTACAGAAGACACTCACTTTGCCTCTTTTAATTTTCAAAATAATTCTGTGCAGATATAATTACATTAATTTTACAATGCAAATATTAATGCCCATGTTAGTTGCTTATGGATACTAAACTAGCTTAAAAAAATACCAGATCTTCTCACAACCAATTCAGTACTTATCTCCTATCAACTAAATAATTCCACTTCACTGTCTAAAACATTTATAGGATTTCTTTAAAATTCCATTTTAAGCCTAAAGGCTTAATAAAGTACACATATATTTTGGAAAGTATATACACAAGCTCTCTTATAGCCTCCTATCCTTACCAGGGAGGTAAATTAAATCCCTGGACCACTGGAACTTAGATTCAGTGAAAGGACTTTTCAGGCCATACAGTGATATTGGGCTAGCCCAATGCCCTTCTTTCTCAAAAGGAAAACAAGCCCAAGAAGGTGAAAAGATATGCTCTGGATCCTCACATGGCCATTTCCTTACAGAAAATAAGAATTCTAAATATCCTCCCATGCCTAATATGACTGAGATTTAGGAAGAGATTTGAGAAGATATTTGCAACATATATTACTCGTGACATAGAAACAAGAGCTCATTACTTTTTCCAGCTAACTCATCCCCAATCACCAATATCTTTTTGATGAGTAGTGTAAAAAAAAAAACCAACAACAAGAAATTGTTGATGCTTTAAACTACTCTTCAAACAAAGTTTTAAAGCTATAGAGAGAATGGATATTAGCCCTTTGTCAGATGAGTAGATTGCAAAAATTTTCTCCCATTCTGTAGGTTGCCTGTTCACTCTGATGGTGGTTTCTTTTGCTGTGCAGAAGCTCTTTAGTTTAATTAGATCCCGTTTGTCAATTTTGGCTTTTGTTGCCATTGCTTTTGGTGTTTTAGACATGAAGTCCTTGCCCATGCCTATGTCCTGAATGGTATTGCCTAGGTTTTCTTCTAAGGTTTTTATGGTTTTAGGTCTAACATTTAAGCCTTTAATCCATCTTGAATTAATTGTTGTATAAGGTGTAAGAAAGGGATCCAGTTTCAGCTTTCTACATACGGCTAGCCACTTTCCCCAGCACCATTTGTTAAATAGGGAATCCTTTCCCCATTTCTTGTTTTTGTCAGGTTTGTCAAAGATGAGACAGCTGTAGATGTGTGGTATTATTTCTGAGGGCTCTGTTCTGTTCCATTAGTCTATATCTCTGTTTTGGTACCAGTACCATGCTGTTTTGGTTACTGTAGCCTTGTAGTATAGTTTGAAGTCAGGTAGCCTGATGCCTCCAGCTTTGTTCCTTTGGCTTAGGATTGACTTGGCAATGAGGGCTCTTTTTTGGTTTCATATGAACTTTAAAGTAGTTTTTTTCCAATTCTGTGAAGAAAGTCATTGGTAGCTTGATGGGGATGGCATTGGGCTAATATCCAGAATCTACAAAGAACTCAAACAAATTTACAAGAAAAAAACAAACAACCCCATCAAAAAGTGGGTGAAGGATACGAACAGACACTTCTCAAAAGAAGACATTTATGCAGCCAACAGACACATGAAAAAATGCTCATCATCACTGGCCATCAGAGAAATGCAAATCAAAACCACAATGACATATCATCTCACACCAGTTAGAATGGCAATCATCAAAAAGTCAGGAAACAACAGGTGCTGGAGAGGATGTGGAGAAATAGGAACACTTTTACACTGTTGGTGGGACTGTAAACTAGTTCAACCATTGTGGAAGACAGTGTGGTGATTCCTCAGGGATCTAGAATTAGAAATACCATTTGACCCAGCCATACCATTACCATTTTGGGTATACTGGGTATATACCCAATGGAATATAAATCATGCTGCTATAAAGACACATGCACACGTACATTTATTGCGGCACTACTCACAATAGCAAAGACTTGGAACCAACGAAAATGTCCATCAATGATAGACTGGATTAAGAAAATGTGGCACATATACACCATGGAATACTATGCAGCCATAAAAAATGATGAGTTCATGTCCTTTGTAGGGGCATGGATGAAGCTGGAAACCATCATTCTCAGCAAACTATCACAAGGACAAAAAACCAAACACCGCATGTTCTCACTCATAGGTGGGAACTGAACAATGAGAACACTTGGACACAGGAAGGGGAACATCACACACTAGGGCCTGTTGTGGGGTGGGGGGAGGGGGGAGGGATAGCGTTAGGAGATATACCTAATGTAAATGACAAGTTAATGGGTGCAGCACACCAACATGGCACATGTATACATATGTAACAAACCTGCATTTTGTGCACATGTACCCTAGAACTTAAAAAGTATAATAAATATATATATATTTAAAAATAAAGAAATACATAAAAATAAATAAATAAAGCTAATGAGAGAATTTGCCTGGTTGAGTGTGAAACTGAGCCCCACTGAGCTGTATTACAAGAGCCAAAGGTCCTCCCCTACAGGATTTTACTGTGACTGCCTATCAAAACTCACTTAATTAATGCCACTTACATTCTATGTAGACTTTTCAAGCAAAAATAAATTTCATCTAATGATTTTTTAAAGCTCCAATAGCCTTCACATCTACACAAATATCAGTGCTAAAAAACAGTTAATCAAGGGATATGAACCGAGTCTGAGACCATCACTGTCAAATCTTTGTTCATGGAAGCAGGTGGAGTTAGGGCAGATACGCCAGACATTCTTCCTTACTAAAAGCATCTAGTCCCACTGCCTGATACAAAGTGAGTTCTTAACAACTTTTCCTTTACTTCTGCTTAAGTAGCTTTATCCTACCTGCTTCCTGCAACTTTATCATCATGTATATAGTAATGGGCTTGTTGGTAGGGATGTATTTTCAGGCCAAGGAAAGGTTGGGAGACAAGAGGAGAAGGATGAAGATTAGTTATGTAGTTAATTGTACAGATAGCCTTATTCCCTTTAAGTTTTAAGATAGTCAAGAAAAATATTTGAAGGATGATTAATATTAACAGGAAAAAAGGGAAAGAGAATCAGTAAATAAACAAAAAGGAGAGAGATGATGACAATGACCACGAGTTCTTGACCAATAATATTAATAACCATCTATTCAGGGCTCCTATTTGCTAAGTGCCGAATACATTCTTATCTCTATCAGGTACTCATAGACTCATTTTGCAAGTGAGAAAAGGGGTTGAGTGGAGGGCCACAGAACTGGAATGTTTTTGGAGTTGGGATTTGCCTACATGCTTTCCACCATTCCATTATTCCCAAGGCTTTTTAGAAAAACAGAAGTGGCTAGATAAAGGGGAGAAAAAAGGAAAAGGAAGGTATTTAGTTCTCCATTTGTACTCCTCTGGCCTCCTGCTGGTCATTTCAGTCAGGGGATGATATGGAGACCCTGGTAAGTCCCATTCAGGCACCCACCCCCCCAAAAAAAGTAGCTGTTCGTGTTCATTATTCATGTTGAAATTGATAAAGAAACCAAGGGTTTTAATCACAGCAAAGAGAAACTGTTATTCTTTAGCTAACAGTACTCAGCTAATGCTGGACCAAAATTATAGGAAAATATATATAGCATAAATGAGTCATAAAAACTTTGAGAGTCACATGAATGTATGAACATTCTCCACAGGCCTTGTTTATGTAATCATGTATCTACTTACATGGGTGTGTTTATCTTAGCTTTTCCATGTGGAACCCAGCTTGCTGTAGACCCAATCTCTTTCTAAACAGTGAGTAATCAAAAGGAATTCATCTGTGAGTAACTTCACACATTTATTATAAGATGTTAGAGTGAGGAACAAGGTGGTTTAAATGATAGCATAAAGTAACACAATTCCCAGAGTTTTAAGTCCAGAAAAAATTCAAGAGTCAGGTCTGTGGTGAATCTCTCAAGCAATAAAGAAAATGCTTTCGTTTATAGACCAATTGACATCAGAACTTGGAGAAAAGAATCATTTCACTTTATAATGCTGGAATTTGAAAGATATGGCATTAGAAATTGACAAAGTCTTTTTATGTTTAATTTTATTTAAAATCTCCATCTTCCAGGGAAAACAACCAGGTTTCAAGTGTCATTGTAAAAATTGACATGCCCTATGTTTGATTTGCTATGTAAATCACACTCCCAAACAAACATTTTCTGACAGTTCAAACTCATCGTGGCAGCTCCCAAGCAGAGAGGTCAACTAATAAGAGATAGTCTCTTCCCTTTTTTATGCTAGCTGTAAAATATTCTGGGTATCACCCCTGCATACATTCCAAACCTAGAAGCATACTATGTGTTTCAAATTTATCTAGACTTAGATATCTGTCTAGATATGGTAGTCATTAGCCAAACAAGGCTAAATTAATTAAATCCAACAAAATTAAGAATTCCATATTCCTGTCTCACTAGCCATATTTCAAGTGTTCCATTGTCATATGGGGCTAGTGGCTATTGTATTTATTGGCACATGGTTATAGAATATTTCTATCATTGCAAAAAAAAATTTTCTTCATCAGTGCTTCTCTAGACAAGTATCTTCCCTTCACAAAGATGGAAATCTGTTTTTAAAGATACCTTGTTGGAAGGGAGAACAAGAAAGCAATCACCTTACTTCCTCTCCTACAATTTAAGAACATGAGACTCAAGAGGTTAACTGGCTTTGTTAAACTCAACACCAGTTAATGAGAGAACCAAGACTAAAGTCCACCTTTCTTGCATCATGCTCATTCCCAGGCTATTCACAGGGTCGTTTCATTAAATGCTATGAATAAATGGTATATTTGAATGGCCAAGATATTTTCCAACCATCTTCAGTTCCTGACTCCTATAAGATGAAATTTTCACAAGTCTCCAGGCTCTTTCATTTCTATTTCTACTTCTCTAGGTATATACCACCATCACCACTATCATCCTTTCCTCCTCTTCAAACTCAAATCCAAGTTAGCATAAACTCTCCTGTAAGCTCCTTTCTAGGGTTTTCTAAGCCAAAACCCAGACTCTCTCCCATAAATCCATGGTTCCAGATCTCATGCTCCCAACCCCAATCCTCAAGCTGGTAGCCTAAACCAGTCATATCCTGGGAACCTGCCCACCCACTACATCCCTATACAGCCCTTCTGGTAGCTTCACCTCAGACTTTTGAGCAGAGGCCTATTCTGAGTCCCTGAACAGTATTGATGGAGGGGTGATTCCCTGGACAATTTTCTAGGTAGTCACTTCCTATCCCAAGCAGCAAAGAAGGGAATGAATCTCAGGCCTGTGAAAACCATGCTGCCACTGTGCAGCAGCTTCTTGGGGGTAAGAGATAATATCCTCACTTGTCTCTTAGGTCGTTCCATAGGCTAAAGCTGGCCTAGCCAAGAACTTGTATCAGGTACTGTGAAATTATGAAAAGTTGTTTCATTGTCTATCTTCAAGTAATATAAATGAGAGAGTAGGTTTTATTTTCATAAAATTAAAGATTACAGAAATGTTGTTCAAATTAGAGCTTAATCACACAG